>NC_000001.11:94553835-95803835 GCF_000001405.40 Homo sapiens
TTCAGATGTATTTTTTCCTAATTATTAATCAACCAGAAAGTAAGTTATGCCACTGAATTAGTTTACTTACCTAGTCACTTTTTGCAAAGCATTAATCTAAGGGGAGAAAAATCAGACTTAGAAGTAAATAAAATATTTTTTCCACTCCCTGTCCCCTTCCAGATGGGGAGGGATGGATGGGCTGTGAGGCCCCCCAGCCAAGAAGCTGGAAGAACTTTCTCGAATCCTGCAGAGCTGCTCAGGGGCCTGCCTTGTATCTGCCTGGCTGTTCCAGGGAGGTTGGAAGACAAACTGAAGGCTTTCCATTGCTGAACATCAGACCTCAGAAGTACTGACTGGAGGGCTCCCAAGCTGGCTCAGATCAGCCTCATATTGCCCCGAACAGTATCATCACCGCTTTGCCCTGGTGGGGAAACTACTCTTTACCCTCTGTATGAACCTATGAAGCACGCAGGTCACTGGGGCAATTTCTGAGTTTGAAGTTGCTTGGATTTGCCATTGCTGCTATGTTGAAGGGAAGGGAGTGCTTTTGAAGAAAATGTTCATCTCTAGTTCCAGTAACAGGCATGGAATTGACACATAACAGGTGTTTGTTGAATTGAGCTGAATAAATTAGAATCTGGGGCAAAATATAGTTGTTCTTTATAGTCCTAAGTCTATTAATAAAGCAGATATATCCTTATTACATGTTTTACTGCCATAAATGTGTCTACCAGAACTAGGAATAATGACAGACGGAAGGGTTGAGGATTCTTTCTGACGATAACCTGCCAGGACACCCGCTTCCTCCCTCCCTGTCCAGATGGGGTGGACTACAGTGCTCTGGCTCACACCAGGGGTGGAGGTATTCCCATTATTTGTCTGTTTTGTTGTCTGTAGTGCTTAGTCAGAATGCTGCCTGATACATTGCAGGGGTTCAATGACTTTCTGTGGAATGAATGAACAGACAGATGGTTACTTACCCCAGGGACATAAGAGCCTCACATAGCTGCAGCGTGAGCAGTGCCCTCTGCAGTCCTGGACCCAGATGCATAGAGGCCGAGAT
This sequence comes from Homo sapiens, assembly GCF_000001405.40. Taxonomy (NCBI): domain Eukaryota; kingdom Metazoa; phylum Chordata; class Mammalia; order Primates; family Hominidae; genus Homo; species Homo sapiens. Next base: position 94,554,881 of record NC_000001.11, read on the forward strand.
GTTCAGCCTTCCACCCCATGGCCATCCCGGAGCCTGGGGCTGACTCTGTCTGGTTTGGCTGCTTCTCTTCAGACAGTTGTCAAGCTCTGTCTTTTCTCAAACAGCTTTATTAAAATGAGTTATAACTACAAGAAGTTAGTTCTATAGTTATCTTCTATTTTGCAAATTGAACATGCATTCATTATTCTTTGACACTTCCTTGGAATTTACATTTCCTGGATTTTTAGCCCATCTTTAGGGTCCTCTTTCTCACTTTCCTAAAAATGCTTTCATATATTTGATAATGTGTTGGGGAGAACATCATTTTCGCCAGGGATGAGCAGAGAAAGTCCTTGCATATTACCTACTCGTCCTTGATCAGTGGCCTCTGGCAATACCTCCAATCCTTCTTTCCCCGCCCTGCCCCACCTCTTGCCATATTTGCAACCGATTCTCCACTACATTGTTGATTTCAGCATAGTGCCAGTTATTCACCTGTATGCCCTTAGATTCGTAAATGGCCTTTCTCTGTCCAGCCCTATATGTCAGGGAAGTCCACCTCCCAGGCTCCTTTTCCCTCCAGCCTCAGGTAAGTTCAGTCATTGGGAGGAACAGTCAGAAGCCTGGAGGGCAAGAGAAAGGGAAAAGCCAGGGCATTTCTCCCCACCCTCAGACTCTGTGCTGGTCAGCGTGTCCATTGCTGGCTGTGCCTCCATCTTGGACCCAGCTGGGCAGCCCTACACCTGGGATCTGGTAGCACCACTTCTTCCTGTTGCCCCCTGTCCCTGGGGATGGTAGCAGATGTCAGCTCTTGTTCTTCTTGAGACTGCCTCCTGTGCCCTTTCTGGTTTCTCAGCTCTTCCATGACGTTTGTAACCAATTCCCTGTAACAAATCCACTCTGTGTGAGAAACCTGGAGTGGCTTCTGATATCTGATAAGACTCTAATGGCACAGCCCAAAAATACCACTGCTGACTTCATGTGAGCCCCTCACTTTCCTTCTGACTGGAATGGGTGCCCTCACCAGATACCCTGATAATCAGTTATCTGTGGAAAATCTCTGAAATCTTCGAATGGCTAAGTTAAAAGTAAGTATATATTTCATTAATTGGCATTCATCCAAATATTCACTGCATGCTGAAAAATATTTTTAATTTCTATTTCTTTTGGAGCAACCATTTGAAAGATTGCTGGTTGAAAAGAAAGAGCACTAATTTGGCAATGGTTTTGCTTGCCTTCCAAGCCTGGAGACAGCTGGGGTACCTGACTTGTCACTCACTCAACGTCAGGCCGCCTTCCACCTCTGCTAAAGCCATTTGTCCAGTGTGCTTTGGACACCAGTGAGAACCCAAAGCTAGATCCAGTGTAGCTGTCCCAAGGAACCTGGCAGATGACTCAGGGCTGCAGGTCTGGGTTGGTGAGGTTCAGTGGGAAGGGAGTTGTCATCAGAGCCAGACGTGCCTACTTTGGAGTCCCAGCTTTGGATCTCCCAAGCTGTGTAAGGTTGGGAAAGTTTCTTAAATTATTTAAGTCTTTTTTTTTAATATCATTTTTCAAATGAGGAGAAGAAAGCCTGTTTTGAAGGATTGTGAGGATTGCAGATGATGGGTGCTGGCACCTCAAAGGGAGCTCTGAAGATTACAACAGCAATTATTAGTAATAGATGCCTGTCTAAGATGATCCTGTATGTATGAAGTTGGTGGTCGCTTCTTAGTTGTAGCAAGTGTGGCTTTGACTGGCACTTGTTAGCTCTCTGCTAAGTCATGAAGAAACCCAAGAAAACAGAGTTATGTTTGCTTTGTAAAACAAAGTATTACCAGTACATTCTGCTCAACTATGTACTGGTAGCATTTATAAACAATTTATTCTAACTTTTTTTTCAAAATACTGTTGCAAAAAAGTCTTGTTTCTTCTTTCCTCTTTGCACAGCCATTAAATTTCAGCAATTCTAAATCAGAATAGCATCTAATAGACTGCATATGAAATGTGTTTACTATCTTCAAATATTTTCTGGCCTATTCATTAAGTACTCAATATTTATTTATTTATTTATTTAATTTATTTTTTAAGACAGGGTTTCCCTCTTGTTGCCCAGGCTATAGTACAATGGTATGATCTCAGCTCACTGCAACCTCTGCCTCCTGGCTTCAAGTGATTCTCATGCCTCTGTCTCCCGAGTAGCTGGGATTACAGGCACGTACCACCAAGCCCCGCTGATTTTTCTATTTTTAGTAGAGACAGGGTTTCACCATGTTGGCCAGGCTGGTCTTGAACTCCTGACCTCATGATCCGCCCCCCTTGGCCTCCCAAAGTGCTGAGAATTACAAGCGTGAGCCACCGTGCCGGGCCTCAATATTTATTTATAACATCATGTTACTCTGTTCAGTAACTAAAATAAATTGGCAAATATGGATCTGTATTTTATTTTTTTAGCAGAAGAATTCTGTCCTATATTGCTCTTTTCTTTTGGGTATTGGTCAAATTTAAATAACATATACGAAAGTGTTTTTTATGCTATCTGTTACTGGAAATAAAAGCTCTTTAATTAGTTAACTGAGATAGGTGAGATAGGATACTAATATACAAAGTTTTAATAGTCCCAAGATTGGCCCAATAGCTATATGGGCAATGATACTGTGTATTTAAATTAATTTTAATTTTAAAAATAATAAATATATTGTTACTATATGATCTTCAGTAAATAAAGAATATATAGAAAAAGTGAACCTCTCCCCTTCTTCCTCCCCAAGTTCTACTCTTCTCTCCAAAAGACTGTTAAGAATTTGACATCTATCCTTCAAGATCTTTTTCTATGTACATACAGACACACATATGAGGCCTCTGCAGATATTCTATTTTTGTTTATTCCATAAATGGGATTATACAGAATGTATTCTGCAAGTGGCTTTTTGTTCTTTTTTACAATGTTTTGGAGGGCTCTGTACGTTGATTGGTATTCTTATTTTTATTTTTATTTTTCAAAGAAAGCCTCGAGGCCCCCTGCTGTAGGTTCAGAGTGGCTCCTCCCAGGCAGTTAGACTCCCTGTCTATTGAACTTGGGGCGGATGTGCCAGGCAACTCCCAAGGTTCAGAGGCACCTTAGGCTTTACCGTCAATGGGCTTTATATTAGGGTGTAGACACCAGGGCTTTCTACCTGGCTTTACATTAGGGTGGTTGCCTTAGAGACAAAGACCTGCCTTATAGGAAGACCCAGTGAGCAGTAAGGCCACAGCCAGCATCTGTAACTCTAAGACTTGGTTCCTGAGAGCTGGCTCGCTCCTTTACCATCGACACAGTATATAAGGTCAGCTCATGACCCATACCCGAAGCCAGCTGCCATCTGTTTCCAGATATGCTCAGAGGTAACCCAGATCTAAGGCCTTTTAAAGAACACAATAACTTTGTTTCTACTAAAAAGTTGGCTTCCTTAATTGGTTCTTTTCTGGGTTTATTAATCTTGCCTGTTTATTAAACACATGTTGCTTAGCCTTTGTAAGCAGGATTAAAAAATGAAGAGATTCAAAATGATGTTGAGCATTTTTTCATGTTTGTTGGCTACTTCTGTGTTTTCAAAAAGAAGTCATAGATATCACCTCACACCAGTCAAAATGGCTATTAAAAAGTCAAAAAAATAACAAGGGCAGCAAGGCTGTGAAGAAAAGGGAATGCTTATACACTGCTGGTGGGAATGTAAATTAGTTCAGCCACTGTGGAAAGCAGTTTGGAGATTTCTCAAAGGACTTAGAACTATCATTAGGTCCAGTAACCCCATGAATGAGTATATACTCAAAGGAAAATAAATCATTATATCAAAAAGACACATGCACTCATATGTTCATCGAAGCACTATTCACAATAGCAAATACATGGAATCAACCTAGGTGTTCATCAATGGTGGATTGGATAAAGAAAATGAGGTACATATACACCATGGAATACTACACAGCCATAAAGGAGAATAAAATTATTTCCTTTGCAACAACGTGGATGCAGCCGGAGGCCATTACCCCAAGTGAACAAATGCAGGAACAGAAAACCAAATACTGCGTGTTCTCATTTATAAACGGGAACTAAACACTGGGTAAACATGAACATAAAGATGGGAATCATAGACTCTGGGGACTATTAGAGTGGGGAGAGAGGGAGTGGATAAGGGTTGAAAAACTACCTATTGGGTACTATGCTTACTACCTTTGTGATGTCAAACCTCAGTGTCACACAATATACTCATGTAAAAAAACCTGCACATATGCCCCCTGAATCTAAAGTAAAAGTTGAAATTATAAAAATATATATATATATAAAAGAAAATGTGGCACATATACACCACGGAATACTATGCAGCCATAAAAAAGGATGAGTTCATGTCATTTGTAGAGACGTGGATGAAGCTGGAAACCATCATTCTGAGCAAACTGTCACAAGGACGGAAAACCAAACGCCGCATGTTCTCACTCATAGGTGGGTGAACAATGAGAACACTTGGACACAGGGTGGGGAACATCACACACTGGGGCCTGTTGCGGGGAGGGGGGCTGGGTGGGGGATAGCATTAGGAGAAATACTTAATGTAAATGATGAGTTGATGGGTGCAGCAAACCACCATGGCACATGTATACCTAAGTAACAAACCTGCACGTTGTGCACATGTACCCTAGAACTTAAAGTATAATAAAAAAATTAAAAATAATTGTGCCCTTAAATGTCCGCTTTAAATATGCCAATTATGTTTCAATAAAAATATTTTAAAGAAAAAAAAGAAATGTTTGGAATGCCTTTCTGTCTTCCCCATCCACCGCCTTTGCCTGACAAGCAGTCTCCTTATGTGGATGGATTTGCTTTCCTAAGCAGCCTCTCCCGCAGAGAGATGAGTGAAGTTGTTTTTCGATCCAAACACTCTGATCCCTGGCAATTTGTTTCCTCCTAGAAATTAGTGAAATTAGTGAATTGCCTTTTGAGTGTGTATGGCCACCTTTAGTGAACTTGAACCATTCAACTTGTCCCCCTAGAGCTTGCTTATTGTGGGTAAGGAGAAGTGGGAAAGTCACTATGGGATTGAGAGAGATGCCACCTAAGATAGATTTACTCTGCATCTCTGTGAGGGCTCCTCAGCCCATTCCAAACACCACAGCCTGTCTTGTGTGAGGTCATTGACCTTTACAGTCTCTTGGCCTCTTGTGCTCTCCACCCAGTAGCTCTCATTGCCCTGCCTGGGTTTGGGGCCCAACCCATGACATAGATACCTTTGGGAGGTGAAAAGCTGAATTAGCAAGAGGCCAGACAGAATGACACAGACAAGCCTGTCTTTCTGGAAAGCCATTGTTCTCATGTCAACTCTTGAGAAATGTGTCTCTAAGATTTCAGCCAGGAAACTTATGAAGCCCATGCTCTTAACCTGTGGGGCAGAAGATCCCAGGTCAGGGGCTCCTTCAAGGACAGGGCCAGCATGGAAAAGCCGCTGTTACTATTTTCAAGACAACAGGGCCACTGAGAAATGTTTAGAACAAAGCTTTGGTGATGCAGAATCATTCACACTTTCAGCACATTACATTAATCAAAGGAAACTCAATTATATTAGCTATGCTTTGTACCACTTTGTTTATTAAAACCAGGACATGAGCAATGCATTTTAGAAATTTTTTCAGTAAGTCTTGAAATAACAAAGGATTTCTTTGTATAACTCAGTTTGGAATACCAGTGCTGTCCAACAGAGATATGTGAGCCACATATGCGACTTAAATTTTTTAGTAGCCATATTTAAAAAAATAGAAACAGGTGAAATGAGTTTTGAGCTTGTTTTACTGATCCCAATATATCCCAAGCATTATCATTTCAATATGTAATCAGTATAAAAATTATTAATGAGATATTTTACATTCTGGTTTTTGTTTTTACTTTTTTGTGGAGGGGATACTAAGTCAAAATTCAATGTATCTTTTTTTTTTTTTTTTTTTTGAGATGGAGTCTTGCTCTGTCACTCAGGCTGGAGTGCAGTGGCGCGATCTCGGCTCACTGCGAGCTCCACCTCCCGAGTTCACGCCATTCTTCCGCCTCAGCCTCCCGAGTAGCTGGGACTACAGACGCCTGTCACCACGCCTGACTAATTTTGTTTTGTATTTTTAGTAGACGGGGTTTCACTGTGTTAGCCAGGATGGTCTCGATCTCCTGACCTCGTGATCCACCCGCCTCGGCCTCCCAAAGTGCTGGGATTATAGGCGTGAGCCACCGCGCCCAGCCCAGTGTATCATTTTTAAAGAGCGTCTCAATTAGAACTAGCTGTGCTTCAAGTTCTCAGTAGCCACAGGTAGCTAGTGGGTGGCTACTATATAGAAAGAAGAGTGTAATCCTAAGCCTTTTGTATACCACGGACTTTCTGCACTTTTGAATTCTAACGCAAGGAACTCATCATTAACTCAACTTGACCTGAGGTTCTCAGTATGGATGGCAAAGCTCATGTTAATGTGCTAATCATCTGCCACACTAGTCTCCTTCCTGGGCTATTCCTGCTTCCACTATATTTTGTATACACAATTAGGATGATCCCTATAAAGCTGAAGTTAGATACCATCACTTCTCTGCTCAAAACTTTTCCGTGGCTTTACATCCCAGTCATTACCATGGCTTACAAGGCTCCACACAGTCTGATCCCTGCCTACAGCGTTGGTCTCACTTCCTACAATTCTCTCCCTCGCTTGCTCCACTTACTCATCTCAGCCACATGGGATTGTTGCTGCTCTTTGACTGTGCCAAGCACACTCGTGCCCCATTCGCTTCTCCCCTTGTGCTAGAGCTCTTTCCCCAACATCTTCCCATGGTTTACCTTGAACTTCCTGCACAATGTCATTCCTCAGAGAGGCCTTCCTGGAGTACTCTATATAAAATAGCCCTCAAAGAGGGCTTCTCTTAAGGCCCCTTCTCATGACCCTATAGTTTCATCCTCTTCTTACCCACTTTATTGCTTTTCATAGCACTTGTTTGTTAGCTAGTTTATTTTCTACCTCCCTCAGCCCCACACCACACAAGGTGAGCTCCATGAAAGGAGGGACTTCCTCTGTTTCATTCGGAGGCACTGGGGACCCAGCAATAGAATCTGGAACACAGTAGGTGCTCAACAAATATTGGTAAGTGAAAGAATAAAGGAATGAATCCAATTTTGGTGAGAGATGCTTCTGAGTATTATGGGTTCCCACAACAATAATAGATTTATATCTAAGGTCCTTATTTGAGCTTAGTTCTCAAACCAAGCAACTGTTTTCCCAGTGGTAAATACTCCCCTGAACAGAAACGCAATGGCCATGCATTCATCCAGGTCATTCAGCTCTGCTTGGTGTCTCGCTTCCTGATCCCCTTATTGCACTTCTTATTAGTGCAGCCATTATCTCACCTTTTGCAGGCCAGATCAGACATGCTTTGTTTTATTTGATGAATTGTAAATCGATAGTCATCTCACACAGCAGTTCCCAACCTTTTTGGCACCAGGGACTGGTTTCATGTGAGACAACTTTTCCACAGACTGGGGTTGGTGGGGCGATCTTTTCGGGATGATTCGAGTGCATTGGGTTTATTGTGCACTTTATTTCTATTATTATTACATTATAATATATAATGAAATAATTATACAACTCACCATAATGTAGCATCAGTGGGACCCCAGTCCCACCTGGGGGTGACGGGAGACAGTGACAGATCATCAGGCATTAGACTCTCATAAGGAGCGGGCAACCTAGATCCTGCACGTGCACAGTTCACAACAGAGTTTGCACTCCATGAGATTCTAATGTGACAGCTGATCTGACAGGAGTCGGAGCTCATGCAGTAATGCAATTGAAGGGGAGTGGCTGTAAACACAGAAGAAGCTTTGTTCGCTCGCCCACCACTCTCCTCCTACTGTGTAGCCCAGTTCCTAACAGGCCATGGACTGGTATCAGTTGATGGCCCAGTGGTGGGGGATCCCTGTTCTAACTAATCCTACACGTGTTGCTTTGCTCATGGCTCCTGCTTACAGCACCTCGAGTTGCTTAAAACTAGATAAACAATCTCTGTTAAGGAAGTCCAGCCTTCCTTGTGACTATCCGGTTGTCCTTCTCTTTAATAGTATGCACACATTCCCTTCAGAAACTCAGGGAGGATCCCTGGCATTTGTGTTTGGGCATTGGAATTCACACTAATTTCCCTGTCCAGGTTGGGTGCTCACAGCCATGAGGAGTGGCTAAGTAAACATCTGCTCTCGGCAGGGCCCTCTGAGATCAGGCACAGCCATCAACAGTGGCTGCATGCCTCTCATGCTTCTGAGTTACGTTTGTCCTGCTTCTGAGAAGATCAGCCACTTCAGAATGAACCAATTAATACAATCGCTAGGTGCCCTCCTGTAGTACCTCTGTGAGGTTTGAAGGACTTGCCCTGATGAACCTCCACTTCCCTGTAATTCCCTATAAGATCTGCAGCACAAAGCTGTGAAGGTGCTGGTCAGGGGTGGAATGCAACTGATGCTGTCACCAGACTCTAATCCCAATATCTCCCAGATATTCCACAGATACCACATTCTAACCAGAATAATCTGCATCATCTAAAGGGTTTATGATATGTGGCTGTGGGACTGGACCAATATGAGCCCACAGAAGCCTGCATACTTGGAACCACTTGGTGGGATCAATGTCATTAGGAGACACAACTATAAATGCTGTCATTCAACCCAGCTTGAATGAATAACAAAGAACATGCTCCAGGAGGATAAAGAACAGAGCATCTCCTTGGTAAGTATTCTAAATATATAATATAAGTATCATGAATTCTGATTAGTTGTAAGATAAAGCTAAAAAATCTTTTTTATATGAACATAGAAAAGTATAATGGCCGTTGCGAACTATGTCAGAATTATGCAAATTATTTAGAATTTATTAAAGGCTGTGTGACCCATTTTCTTTTTGTTGTTGTTGTTGTTGTTGTTTTGTTTTTATTGCATGGCAGAGTCCAGGCTCAAATGTCACTTCTTCAGAGAGGCTTTCCCTGACCATCCTAGGCAAAGGTCTTCCCTGTTATTTTCTGTCCTGTACACCGTTTTTGTCTTTAATAGCATGTATTGTAAGTTATAACAATACATTTGTTTTCTTGTTTCTTACCTGTGTTCCTGACAAGATTAGAAACTCCACAAAGGCAACAGAACAGGTTTATTTTATTCACCCTTATATACTCAGGAACAGGTACCATACTTGGCCCATGAAGTACTTAAAAATATTAATTGAATGAATGATTTAGTGACAGTCTTTCAACAAATATCCCTAAACAAAAGCGACTAAATCAAGATAAAGTATCATCATTATCAACAGTGAAATTGATATCACTGCTGTCAATATCAATTTCAAAAGTCTAAATTATTTTGAAAGAGGCAGTTGACTAATGCAATCTAGGAGTTAAAACAGGTTAATTCTTGAAAGGTCCTTTATTCTAACTGGGCAAATAATATTTTGTGTTCTAGAATGTTACATTCATGTAATACTGATTTATCAAAGTTTGTAAACTTTGCCAAGCTTTATCCAGAGAGGACAAGAGCAGTGAGGATGTTGGCTTAACTAGATCCAGGAGTGTGAGCTAATGTTAGATTAGAGGTCAATTAATGGATGACTCTACCTGCCAGATTAGGACATCAAGCTTCATTCAATTCAGTTCCACAAATTTTTATCAATGACTTATAGTACTCCAGATGACATGAATTAAATAGGGTTCTATAGTCAATAAACTCAGTCTATCAGAGAGAGACAAACTTGACAATTTTGACAATCACTCAAATAGAAGCACGGACACCGTGATTTAGTCACTCAGAAGAGAAGCAGCTTGCTTCCCTGGTACGCTGGGGAAGACTTGCCAAATGATATGATTTCCACCTTAGGGCCTTGGCACCTGCTGTTCCCTCTCCTAGAATAGATTATGGCCCCAGATTTTCCAGATCACCTCATAACACTTCAGGTTACCTCCTCCATCACTATTTATCTATCTGGTTTCTTCTTGGCACTTACCATTATCTGCAATTATCTAGATATTTCCTTTTTACTTGTTTATTGTCTATCTTACCCCTCAAGAACATAAGCTCTGTGAGAGCAGGGACCTGGTCTTTGTTCACATGCTAGAAATGTGACTGAGACATGGTAGGAAATGGAGATGTCTACGGAGTCACCGAGGGGCTCACAGCAATAGGGAGTCATTGGAACTTCTCGATTGCAAATGATATGACAGAATTGCTTTGGAAAAATCATCCTGGCAATGAGGTTTGTCAGAATGATTGGATGGGGAGACAGCCAATGAATGGGGAGACACAGAATTGGGGTAAGAGAAACATTTAGAAGATACCTATAGTAACTTAGATGTGAGTGATATAAGTAAGGATATGAGTTGTGGTAGGAAGCATGAAAAGGGAGGTTGAATTCAAGACATAAGTTGAAAGAAGAAACTGCACTCACACTGGCCTTCTTATGAATCCTAAGGCAGGCCTAGCCCCATCCTGCTCATGGGGCTTCTTGGACCCTTTCCCCCCAGATCTTTGCATTTTATTTAGATCTCTCCTCATGTGTCACCTTATTAAAAAATTTTTTTTCCTGACCACCTTATCTTAAAAGCATCCTCCCCACCCATGCCCTGATTTTGCTTTTCTTCCAGGCGCATTCACCTCCTGCCATTACATTGTTTACACTGCATTATATTACACATTACATGTAAGCTCCCTGAAGCCAGGAGGGCAAAAACTCATTCTACCTTGTTTGCTACTCTATTTTCAATGAATGGCATATAACAGGAGCTCAACACATATTTGTTGAACTAATTGATACACAAATTAGATTAGATATAAATATGGTTAATAAGAGAAATGGTCAAGGGAGACCTTGGGTCATTAGGAAATTAAAATAACAGAAATAGGGAGCTTGGTAGGAATTACAGGTCCATGAGAAAAGCTCTTCATTAGGACAGATTCAGCTAAGCCTCTATTTTGCAGCATCAGTGTCTGAAACATAGCAGGCCCTCAATTAATCTAAAGTGAATAAAAGAATATCTTATTTGCCCTTCCAATTACTGTATGTCAGGAAATTAATAAAAATTACATCCTCAATGAATAATTTTCCTTCTTCAGATATTTTACTAATGCATATTGGTTTTACTAGTGAGGCTTTGCTAGATTTAACTAAGCCATCCGTACCACAGATTCTTTTAAACTACTGCCTTCAGGGTTTCCTTGGGGAGTACAATTAACATCTTAACTTATAACAATCTAGTTTGGATTAATAATGCCCTGATTTCAATAGTACGTAAAAGCTTTGCTTCTCTGGAGTGTAATTCCCTCACTCTCTTTTGTGCTGTTATTGCCATGCAAATTACATCTTATATATTATATGCCCATCACATAGATTTTAATTATTGTTTTATGCAGTTGTCTTTTAAATCAGATAGAAGGAAAAGGACTTACAACCATAAAATACCATCTTTCATATTTACTATGTACTTATCTTTACCAGTACACTCTATTTCTTTATGTAGATTTGAGTTACTGTCCAGTGTCCTTCCATTTCAGTCTGAAGGACTTCATTTAGTATTTATTTTCTGTATGACATATTTGCTAGTTTTCAGTCAGGTCTGTGTGAAGAGACCACCAAACAGGCTTTGTGTGAGCAACAAGGCTGTTTATTTCACCTGGGTGCAGGCGGGCTGAGTCTGAAAACAGTCAGCGAAGGGAGATAGGGGTGGGGCCGTTTTATAGGATTTGGGCGGGTAAAGGAAGATTAGTCAAAGGGGGTTGTTCTTTGTCGGGCAGGGCCAGGAGTCACAAGGTGTTCAGTGGGGGAGCTTTTGAGGCAGGATGAGCCAGGAGAAGGAATTTCACAAGATAATATCATCAGTTAAGGCAGAAACAGGCCATTTTCACTTCTTTTGTGATTCTTCAGTTGCTTCAGGCCATCTGGATGTGTATGTGCAGGGCACAGGGGATATGATGGCTTAGCTTGGGCTCAGAGGCCTGACATTCATGTCTTCTTATATTAATAAGAAAAATAAAATGAAATAGTGGTAAAGTGTTGGGGTGGTGAAAATTTTTTTGGGTGGCATGGAGAGATAATGGGCGATGTTTCTCAGGGCTGCTTCAAGCAGGATTAGGGGCAGCGTGGGAAACTAGAGTGGGAGAGGTTAAGTTGAAGGAGGATTTTGTGGTAAGGGGTGATATTGTGGAGTTGTTAGAAAGAGCATTTGTCATATAGAATGATTGGTGATGACCTGGATATGGTTTTGGATGAATTGAGAAACTAAACGGAAGACACAAAGTCCGAATTAAGAGAAGGAGAAAAACAGGTATTAAAGGACTAAGAATTGGGAGGACCCAGGACATCCAATTAGAGAATGCCCAAGGGGTTCAGTGTAATTACTTGCTTGGTTGGTGACTTTTTAGGCTCTATCCAAGTTTTTGGGGTGCAGTTCAAGTTGGGCTGGTGTCTCGGATGAGACTGGGGCCTAATAAAAAGGTGTGTCTATACAGGAGCTCAGATGGGCTGTATCCTGTAGCATTCCAAGGACAGGCCCGAATTCTGAGAAGGGAAAGTGGTAAAAGTATTGTCCAGTCCTTTTTAAGTTGGTGGCTGAGCTTGGTGAGGTGCTTTTTTTAAAAGACCATTTGTTCACTGAATACCAAGAGCCTGAGAAACTGCTTCGGTGATTTGACTAATAAAAGCCGGTCTGTTATCGGACTGTATAGAGGTGGGAAGGCCAAACCTAAGAATTATGTCTGACAGAGGGGAAGAAATGACCACGGTGGCCTTCTCAGACCCTGTGGGAAACGCCTGTACTCATCCAGTGAAAGTGTCTACCTAGACCAAGAGGTATTTTAGTTTCCTGACTCAGGGCATGTGAGTAAAGTCAATTTGCCAGTCCTGAGAGGGGGCAAATCTCTGAGCTTGATGTGTAGGAAATGGAGGCGGCCTGAACAATCCCTGAGGGGTAGTAGAATAGCAGATGGAACACTGAGAAGTGATTTCCTTGAGGATAGATTCCCACAATGGAAAGGAAATGAGAGGTTCTAAGAGGTGGGCTAGAGGCTTGTAACCTACATGGAAGATGTTACGAAATGATGACAGAATAGAATGGGCCTGTGAGGCTGGAAGGAGATATTTTCCTTGGTCTAAGAACTATTTGCCTTGTGTGGGAAGAGATTGATAGGTGGAAGTTTTAGTTGGGGAGTAGGTGGGAGTGGCCAGGTGAGAAGAAGAAAAACTGCCGTGAGGGATAGAAGTTGGAATGCTAGCTGCTTTTTTAGCTACCTTATCAGCATAAGCATTGTCCTGAGTGGTGGGATCTGACACCTTTTGATAGCTGCTTTTTTAGCTACTTTATCAGCAGAAGCTTTGTCCTGAGCCATGGATCTGATGCCTTTTGATGGCCTTTGCAGTGAATGACTCCAGCTTCCTTTGGAAGTAAAGCAGCTTTGAGAAGCATTTTTATTAAAGAGGGATTAATGATGGAGGACCCTTGAGTAGTGAGGAAACCCCTTTCAGCCCATATAACAGCATGGTGGTGCAGGATATGGAAGGCATATTTAGAGTTAGTATAAATATTGACATGTAGTCCCTTTGCAAGAGTGAGGGCCCAAGTTAAGGCAATGAGTTCAGCTTGCTGAGAGGTAGTGGAAGGGGGCAGAGCGGTAGCCTCAATCATACATGTGGAAGATACTATAGCATAGCCTGCCTTTGCTGGTGAGTGGCAATTAGGCCTGGTGGAACTGCCGTCAATAAACCAAGTGTGATCAGGGTGAGGAAGAGGAAAGAATATGGGGAAATGGAGTGAATGTCAGGTGGATCAGAGAGATACAGTCACGGGGGTCAGGTGTGGTATCAGGAATAATGTGGGAGGCTGGATTGAAGTCCAGGCCAGGAACAATGGTAATTGTGGAAGACTCAACAAAGAGTGAGTATAGCTGAAGAAGCCAGGGAGCAGAAGGTATATGCCCCAGGTGGGAGGAAGAAAATAGATTTTGGAAGTTATGGGAACTGTAGAGAGTGAGTTGAGCATAGTTTGTGATTTTGAGGGCCTCTAAAAGCATTAAAGCAGCGGCAGCTGCTGCATGCAGACATGAAGGCTAGGCTAAACCAGTAAGGTCAAGTTGGACAGAAAGGCTACAGGGCGCGGTCCCGACTCTTGGGTAAGAATTCTGACCACACTAACCATGCCTAGGAAAGGAAAGGAGTTGTTGTTCTGTAGAGGGGATTGGGGTTTGGGAGATTAGTCAGACACGATCAGCAGGGAGAGCACATGTGTTTTTATGAGAATTATGCTGAGATAGGTAACAGATGAGGAAGAAATTTGGGCTTGACTGAAGTAATGGGGGCTGTCTGTGAAGCCTTGTAGCAGTACAGCCCAGGTAATTTGCTGAGCCTGATGGGTGTCAGGGTCAGTCCAAGTGAAAGCGAAGAGAGGCTGGGATGAAGGGTGCAAAGGAATAGTAAAGAAAGCATGTTTGAGATCCAGAACAGAAGAATGGGCTGTGGAGGGAGGTATTGAGGATAGGAGAGTATATGGGTTTGTCACCATGAGGTGGATAGGTAAAACAATTTGGTTGATAAGGTGCAGATCCTGAACTAAACCTGTAAGGCTTGTCCGGTTTTTGGACAGGTAAAATGGGGAATTGTAAGGAGAGTTTATAGGCTTTAAAAGGCCATGCTGTAACAGGGGAGTGATAACAGGCTTTAATCCTTTTAAAGCATGCTGTGGGATGGGATACTGGCGTTGAGTGGGGTAAGGGTGATTAGGTTTTAATGGGATGGTAAGGGGTGCATCATCCATTGCCAAGGAGGGAGTAGAGGTGTCCTATACTTGTGGGTTAAGGTGGGGGGATACGAGAGGAAGACACGAAGGAGGCTTTGGGTTGGGAAGAAGGGTGGCAATGAGATGTGGCTGTAGTCCAGGAATAATAAGGGAAGCAGATAATTTGGTTAAAATGTCTCGGCCTAATAAGGGAACTGGGCAGGTGGGGTTAAATAAAAAGGAATGTATAAAAGAATATTGTCCAAGTTGGCACCAGAGTTGGGGAGTTTTAAGAGGTTTAGAAGCCTGGCCGTCAATACCCACAACAATTATGGGGGCAAGGGAAACAGTCCTTGAAAAGAAGGTAATGTGGAGTTGGTAGCCTCAGTATTGATTAAGAAGGGGACAGACTTACCCTCCACTGTAAAAGTTACCCAAAGCGTCTGTGATGGTCCTGTAGGCTTCTGAGGTGATCGGGCAGTATCAGTCTTCAGCCACTAAGCTGAGAAGATCTGGGAAGGAGTCAGTCAGAGAGCCTTGGGCCAGAGTTCCAGGGGCTCTGGGAGTGGCTGCCAGGCGAGCTGAACAGTCCTATTTTCAGTGGGGTTCCACACAGATGGGACACAGCTTAGGAGGGGTCCTGGGCTGCAGGCATTCCTTGGCCCAGTGGCCAGATTTCTGGCACTTGTAGCAAGCTCCTGGGGTAAGAGGGTTTGGAGGAACCCCTGGCAGCTGTGGTTCAGGTGTTTGGTGTTCTTGTGTGCTGGAGATGTGGCTGGGGTTTGTCTCACAGTGGAGGCAAGGAATTGCAACTCAGAAATACATTGCTACTTGGCTGCCTCTACTTTATTATTGTACACCTTGAAGGCGAGGTTAATTAAGTCCTGTTGTGGGGTTTGAGGACTGGAATCTAATTTTTGGAGCTTTTTCTACTGTCGGGAGTGGGTTGGGTAATAAAATGCGTGTTGAGAATAAGATGGCCTTCTGGCCCTTCTGGGTCTAGGGCAGTAAAACATCTAAGGGTTGTTGCCAAATGGGCCATGGACTGGGCTGGGTTTTTATATTTGATGAAAAAGAGCCTAAACGCTATCTGATTTGGGAGAGGTCGGATAAAGAAAAGAGAGCATTAACGTTGACTATGCCTTTAGCTGGCAGCCCCCTTTTTTTTTTTTTTTTTTTGAGATGGAGTCTTGCTCTGCCGCCCAGGCTGGAGTGCAGTGACACGATCTCGGCTCACTGCAAGCTCTGCCTTCCAGGTTCACGCCATTCTCCTGCCTCAGCCTCCCGAGTAGCTGGGACTACAGGCACCTGCCACCATGCCTGGCTAAGTTTTTGTATTTTTAGTAGAGATGGGGTTTCACCGTGTTAGTCAGCATGGTCTCAATCTCCTGACCTTGTTATCTGCCTGCCTCAGCCTCCCAAAGTGCTGGGATTACAGGTCTGACTCACTGCACCTGGCCAGCTCCAGCCACCTTTTTAAGAGGAAATTGCTGGGCAGGTGGGGGAGAGCTAGTTGCGGAAGGAAACTAAGCCGGACCAGGCGTGAGGAGGGGAGGTGCTAAAAGGATTATAGGGTGGGGGAGCGGAGGCCGAGGAAAAATTAGGACCTGGCTTGGCCTGGTGAGGAGCAGCCTGGGGAGGAGGGGAGAGGTCAGATGGGTCTGTAGAAAAGGAAGATCAGAAAGTCTCAGCGACGCTTGGGGTTGGGACTGAGGGGACAGTCGGGAGGAAAAGAAGGATTTGGGACAAGCTGCATTGGGAACAGAGACTAGGGAGGGACTGATGTGTAAAAAAATGCCTGGACGTCAGGCATCTCAGACCGTTTGCCCATTTTATGACAAGAATTATCTAGATCTTATAGGATGGAAAAATTGAAAGTGCCATTCTCTGACTATTGGAACTACTCTCGAGTTTGTATCAGGCCCAAGTGACATTACAGTAGAAAATAAGATGCTTAGATTTTAGGTCAGGTGAGAGTTGAAGAGGTTTTAAGTTCTTGAGAACACAGGCTAAGGGAGAAGAAGGAGGAATGGAGGGTGGAAGGTTGCCCATAGCGAAGGAGGCAAGTTTAAAGAGAAGGGTAGAGACATGGAGAGAAGGGGTGGGGGGTGCTTGCCTCCCAGGAAAGTGGAGAAGGGGTGGGGAGAGACACAGAGAGAAGGGGTGGGGGGTGCTTGCCCCCCAGGAAAGTGGAGAAGGGGTAGAGACACGGAGAGAAGGGGTGGGGTGAGCAGCCCTGGGCTGCAATGTGAGTGAGCAGCCAAAGCAGGCGTCCCCGCAATTGACTTGCCACCAAGGGAATGTGGGTGAATGACCAAGGCAGGCATCCCTGCAGTGATCAGACACCAATTAAATGTGGGTGAATAATCAGGCAGGTGTCCCTGCAATGATTAAACACCAAGGGAAGACTGCCTTCCCGAGTCTGTGACTGGTGCCGGAGTTTTGGGTCCATGGATAAAACGTGTCTCCTTTGTCTCTACCAGAAAAGGAAAGGAACTGAAATTAAGAGAAGGGAGAAAT
The DNA here is from genome assembly GCF_000001405.40 of Homo sapiens. Lineage (NCBI taxonomy): Eukaryota > Metazoa > Chordata > Mammalia > Primates > Hominidae > Homo > Homo sapiens. The sequence continues at coordinate 94,572,150 of NC_000001.11, forward strand.
TGAAGTGTGGCACCAAGATTGAAAGGAGAAAGAGGTTGAGGGATAATGAGAGAGGTTGGAGAAGAGAGTAAAAAGAGGCCGCTTACCTGATTTAAAATTGGTGAGATGTTCCTTGGGCTGGTTAGTCTGAGGACCAGAGGTCGTAGGTGGATCTTTCTCACGGAGCAAAGAGCAGGAGGACAGGGGATTGATCTCCCAAGGGAGGTCCGCTGATCCGAGTCAGGGCACCAAATTTCACTCACGTCCATGTGAAGGGACCACCAAACAGGCTTTGTGTGAGCAACAAGGCTGTTTATTTCACCTGGGTGCAGGTGGGCTGAGTCCGAAAAGAGAGTCAGCGAAGGGAGATAGGGATGGGGCTGTTTTATAGGATTTGGGCAGGTAAAGGAAAATTAGTCAAAGGGGGGTTGTTCTCTGGTGGGCAGGGATGGGGGTCACAAGGTGCTCAGTGGGGGAGCTTTTGAGCCAGGACGAGCCAGGAGAAGGAATTTCACAAGATAATATAATCAGTTAAGGCAGGAACAGGCCATTTTCACTTCTTTTGTGGTGGAACGTCATCAGCTAAGGCAGGAACAGGCTATTTTCACTTCTTTTGTGATTCTTCAGTTACTTCAGGCCGTCTGGATGTGCAGGTCACAGGGGATATGATGGCTTAGCTTGGGCTCAGAGGCCTGACACTAGTGACGAATTCTTTCAGTTTTTAAAATCTGGGAATATCTTAATTTCTCCACTTTTGAAGGATGTTGAATTCTTGGTTGGCAGTCTTTCTTTCAGAACTTTGACTATGGCATCCTACTGCTTTTTGGCCCCCATGGTTCCTTATAAGAAATCAGCTGTTCATCTAATTGAGAATCCCTTATACATGATCAGTCATTTATCTCTTGCTGCTTTCAAGATCCTGTCTTTGTCTCAGCTTTTAGCAATTTAATTATGATCTGTCTAGGTGTGAATCATTTTTAGCTTATCCTACTTGGAAGGACAAGCTATTTATCCTGTTTTTGTTTTGTTTTTAGCATCTGGGATGTGTACATTAAAGTTTTTGTCAAATTTGGGAAGTTTTCAGCCATTATTTTTTCATATATTCTTTCTGTTCTTTTTTCTCCTCTCCTTCTGAAACTCTCATTATTTGTATTTTGGGATGCTTGATGGTGTCTCACAGGTCTCTGAGGCTCTGTTCATATTCTTTATTCTTTTTTTCTTTGTTTTCCTCAGACTGGATAGTCTCAATTGACCTCTTAAAGCACAGCAATTCTGTCTTCTGCCTGCCCATATATGTTGTTGAACTACTCTAGTGATTTTTAAATTTCAATTATTGTATTTTTCTTCTTAAAAAATTTCTGACTTTTAAGTTCAGGGGTACATGTGCAGGATGTGCAAGTTTGTTACATAGGTACATATGTGCCATGGTGGTTTGCTGCACAGATCATCCCATTGCCCAGGCATTAAGCTCAACATTCACTTGCTATTCTTCCTGATGCTCTCCCTCCTCCCATCCCACATCCTCTGACAGGCCCCAGTGTGTGTTGTTCCACATCCATGAGTCCATGTTTTCTCATCATTCAGCTCCCACTGAAAAGTGAGAACATGTGGTATTTGGGTTTCTGTTCCTGCATTAGTTTGCTAAGGATAATGGGCTTCAACTCCAACCATGTCCCTGCAAAGGACATGATCTCATTCCTTTTTATGGCTGCATAGTTTCCATGGTGTATATGTACCACGTTTTTTTTTCATCGAGCATATCACTGCTGCCCATTTAGGTTGATTCCATGTCTTTGCTATGGTGAATAGTGCTGCAGTGAACATACATGTCCATGTATCTTTATAACAGGACAATTTATAGTCCTTTAGATATATACCCAGTAATGAGATTGCTGAGTCAAATGGTATTTCTGGCTCTAGGTCTTTGCAGAATTGTCACACTGTCTTCCACAATGGTTGAACTGATTTACATTCCCACTAACAGTGTAAAAATGTTCCTTTTTCTCCACATATTGCCAGCATCTGTTGCTTTTTGACTTTTTAATAATATCCATTCTGACTGGTGTGAGATGATATCTCATTGTGGTTTTGATTTGCATTTCTCTAATGATCAGTGATGAGCTTTTTTTCATATGTTTGTTGGCTGCATGTGTGCCTTCTTTTGAAAAGTGTTCATGTCCTTTGCCCACTTTTTAATGGGGTTGTTTTTGTCTTATAAATTTGTTTAAATTCTTTATAGATGGTGAATATTTGACCTTTGCCAGGTAGACAGATTGTAAAATTTTTCTCCCACTCTGTATGTTATCTGTTTATTCTGTTGATAGTTTCTTTTGCTGTGCAGAAGTTCTTTAGTTTAAACAGATTCCATTTGTCAATTATTGCTTTTGTTGCAATTGCTTTTGGTGTCTTTGTCATGAAATCTTTGTCAGTGCCCATGTCCTGAATGGTATTGCCTAGGTTTTCTTCTAGGGTTTTTATAGTTTTGGGTTTTGTATTTAAGTCTTTAGTCCATTCTGAGTTGATTTTTGTATATGGTGTAAGAGAGGTATCCAGTTTCAATTTTCTGCATATAGTCAAGTAGTTCTCCCAGCACCATTTATTAAATAGGGAGTCCTTTCTCCATTGCTTGTTTTTTTCAGGTTTGTCAAAGATCGGATGGTTGTAGGTGTGCAGTCTTATTTCTGGGTTCTCTGTTCTGTTCCATTGGTCTATGTGTCTGTTTTTAATACTGGTATCTGCTGTTTTGGTTACTGTAGCCTTGTAGTATAGTTTGAAGTCAGGTAACAGGCTTTGTTCTTTTGCTTAGGATTGCCTTGGCTATTTGGGCCCTTTTTTGGCTCCATATAAATTTTTAAATAGTTTTTTCTAATTCTGTGAGGAATGTGAAATGGTAGTTTAATGGGAATAGCACTGAATTTATAAATTGCTTTGGGCAGTATTGTCATTTTCACGATATTGATTCTTCCTATCCATGGGCATGGAATGTTTTTCCATTTATTTGTGTCATCTCTGATTTCTTTGAGCAGTGGTTTGTAGTTCTCCTTGAAGAAGTCCTTCATTTCCCTTGTTGGCTGTATTCCTAGTTATTTTATTCTTTTTGTGGCAATTGTGAATGGCAGTTCATTCGTGATTTGGCTCTTGGCATATAAGAATGCTAGCAATTTTTGCACATTGATTTTGTATTCTGAGATTTTGCTGAAGTTGCTTATCAGCTTAAGAAGCTTTTGGGCTGAGACGAGGGGTTTTTCTAGATATAGGATCATGCCATCTGCAAACAAAGATAGCTTAACTTCCTGTCTTATATAAAAACAGTTTATTTCTTTCTCTCGCCTAATTGCCCTGGCCAGAAATTCCAGTACTTTGTTGAATAGGAGTGGTGAGAGAGGGCAAACTTACCTTGTGCTGGTTTTCAAGTGGAATGCTTCTGGCTTTTTTCCATTCAGCATGATATTGGCTGTGGGTTTTTCATATATGGCTGTTATTATTTTGACGTATGTTCCTTCAATACCTAATATGTTTTTAACATGAAGCGGTGTTGAATTTTATTGAAGGCCTTTTCTTCATCTATTGAGATGATCATGTGGTTTTTGTCTTAGTTCTGTTTATGTGATGAGTTACATTTATTGATTTGTGTATGTTGAACTAGCCTTGCATCCCAAGGATGAAGCCTACTTGGTTGTGGTGGATAAGCTTTTTGATGTGCTGTTGGATTTGGTTTGCCAGTATTTTGTTGAGGATTTTTCATTGATGTTCATCAAGGATATTGGCCAGAAGTTTTCTTTTTTTTCTTGTATCTCTGCCAGATTTTGGTATCAGGATGATGCTGGCCTCATAGCATGAGTTAGGGAGGAGTCTCTCCTTTTCAATTTTTTTGAATAGTTTCAGTAGGAATCGTACCAGCTCTTATCTGTGCCTCTGGTAGAATTCAGCTGTGAATTCATCTGGTCCTGGGCTTTCATTTATTGGTAGGCTATTTATTACTGCTTCAATTTTGGAACTCATTATTGGTCGGTTCAGGGGTTCAGTTTCTTCCTGGTTCAGTCTTGGGAGGGTGTATGTGTCCAGGAACTTATCCATTTCTTCTAGATTTTCTAGTTTCTGTGCATAGAGGTTTTTACAGTACTCTCTGATGGTTGTTTGTATTTCTGTGGGGTCAGTGCTAGTATTCCCCTTATCATTTCTGATTGTGTTTATTTGAATCTTCTCTCTTTTCTTCTTTGTTTTGTTTTTGTTTTTTTTTTTTTTTTGAGACGGAGTCTCGCTGTCGCCCAGGCTGGAGTGCAGTGGCGTGCTCTCCGCTCACTGCAGGCTCCGCCCCCTGGGGTTCACTCCACTCTCCTGCCTCAACCTCCTGAGTAGCTGGGACTACAGGCGCCTGCCACCTCGCCCGGCTAATTTTTTGTATTTTTAGTAGAGACAGGGTTTCACCATGTTAGCCAGGATGGTTTCGATCTCCTGACCTCGTGATCCGCCCGCCTCGGCCTCCCAAAGTTCTGGGATTACAGGTGTGAGCCACTGCGCCCGGCCCTCTCTTTTCTTCTTTATTAGTCTAGCTAGTGGTCTATTTTATTAATTTTTTCAAAAAACCAGCTCCTGGATTCATTGATTTTTTTGAAGGGTTTTTCTTGTCTCTATCTCCTTCAGTTCAGCTCTGATCTTGGTTATTTCTTATCTTCTGCTAGCTTTGGGGTGTGTTTGCTCTTTGTTCTCTAGCTTTTTAACTGTGATGTTAGGTTGTTAATTTGAGATCTTTCTAGCTTTTTTATGTGGGCATTTAGTGCTATAAATTTCCCTCTTAATGCTGCTTTAGCTGTGTCCCAAAGATTCTGGTACATTGTATCTTTGTTCTCATTTGTTTCAAAGAACTTGATTTCTGCCTTAATTTCATTATTTGCCCAAATGTCCCTCAGGAGCAGGTTGTTCAATTTTCATGTAGTTGTATGGTTTTGAGTGAATTTCTTTTTTTTTTCTTTTTTTTTTTTTTTGAGATGGAGTTTTGCTCTTGTTGCCCAGGCTGGAGTGCATTGGCGCAATCTCGGCTCACCGCAACCTCCTCCTCCCGGGTTCAAGCAATTCTCCTGCCTCAGCCTCTCCAAGTAGCTGGAATTATAGGCATGTGCCACCAAACCTAGCTAATTTTGTATTTTTAGTAGAGACGGGTTTCTCCATGTTGGACAGGCTGATCTTGAACTCCTGACCTCAGGTGATCCGCCCGCCTTGGACCTCAGGTGACCTGCCTGCCTTGGACTCCCAAAGTGCTGGGATTACAGATGTGAGCCACCACACCTGGCCTGTGAATTTCTTAATCTTGAGTTCTAATTTGATTGTGCTGTCATCTGAGAGACTGTTATGATTTCAGTGCTTTTGCATTTGCTGAGGAGTATTTTACTTCTGATTACGTGATCAATTTTAGAATAAGTGCCATGTGGCGAGAAGGAGGATATATGTTCTGTTGTTTTTGGGTGGAGAGTTCTATAGATATCTATCAGGTCCACTTGATCCAGAGCTGAGTTCAGTTCCTGGATATCTTTGTCAATTTTCTGTCCTGATGATACGTCTAATATTGTCAGTGGGGTGTTAAATTCTCTCACTATTATTTTGTGAGAGTCTAAGTCTCTTTGAAGATCTCTAAGAACTTGCTTTATGAATCTGGGTGCACCTATTGGAGATATATGTATACACACACATATATGTATATATATTAGCCCTTCTTGTTGAATTGAACCCTTTACCGTATGTAATGCCCTTCTTTGTCTTTTTTTATCTTTGTTGTTTTCAAGTCTGTTTTGTCAGAAATCAGAATTGCAATCCCTACTTTTTTCTGTTTTCCATTTGCTTAGTAAATTTTCCTCCACTCCTTTATTTTGAGCCTGTATGTGTCTTTGCATGTGAGATGGGTCTCTTGAAAACAACATACCAATGAATCTTGGTTCTTTATCTGTGTCTTTTAATTAGGATATTTAGTCCATTTACATTTAAGCTTAGTATTGTTATGTGTGGCTTTAATCCTGCCATCATAATGCTTTGCAGACTTGTTTATGTGATTGCTTCAGAGTGTCACTGGTCTGTATACTTCAGTGTGGTTTTGTAGGGGATGATAACAGTTTTTCCTTTTCATATTCAGTGCTTTCTTCGGGAGCTCTTGTAAGGCAGGTCTGATGGTAACAAATTCCTGCAGCATTTGCATGTCTGAAAAATATCTTATTTCTCCTTCACTTATGAAGCTTCATTTGGCTGGATACGAAATTCTGTGTTGGAAATTATTTTCTTTAAGAGTGTTGAATATTGCCCCCTAATCTCTTCTGGCTTGGAGGGTTTCTGCTGAGAGGTCCACTGTTAGTCTGATGGTCTTCCCTTTGTAGGTGACCTGGCCCTTCTCTCTGGCTGCCCTTAACATTTTTTATTTCATTTCAACCTTGGAGAATTTGATGGTTATGAGTCTTGGGGATGATCTTCTTGTGGAGAATTTTACTGGGGTTCTCTGCATTTCCTGAATGTGAATGTTGGCCTGTCTTGCTAGGTTGGGAAAGGTCTCCTGGATGATATCCTGAAGTATGCTTTTCAAATTGATTCCATTCTCCCCATCTCTTTCAGATACCCTAGTCAGTCGTAGATTAGGTCTCTTTACATAATCCCATACTTCTCGGAGGTTTTCTTCATTCCTTTCATTTTTCTTTTTTATCTATTCTTGTCTGCTTGTCTTATTTCAGAAAGATAGTCTTTAAGCTCTGAGATTCTTTCCTCCACTTGGTCTGTTCTGCTATTAATACTTGTGACTGCATTGTTAAGTTTTTATAGTGTGTTTTTCAACTCCATCAGGTCAGTTATGTTTCTATCTATACTGGATATTATGGCTCCTGCTGCTTCCTACAGACACATTCAGGCTGGCAACAGGTCAGCTCCTGCATTGTTTTATCATGATTCTTAGCTCCTTTGCATTGGGTTACAACATGCTTCTTTAGCTCAGTGAAGTTCATTTTTATCCACATTCTGAAGCCTACTTCTGTCATTTCAGCCATACCAGCCTCAGCCCAATTCTGACCGCTTGCTGGAGAAGTGCTGCACTCATTTGGAGGAAAAGGGACACTCTGGCTTTTTGAGTTTTCAGCGTTTTTTTGTTGGTTCTTTCTCATCTTTGTGGGCTTATCTACTTTCGATCTTTGGAGTTGCTGACCTTTGGATGGGGTTTTTGTGGGCCTTTTTGCTTTTGTTGTTTGTTTGTTTGTTTTTCTTTTAACAGTCTGGCCACTCTTTCATAGGCTGCTGCAGTTTTCTGTGGGTCCATTCTGGACTCTAGTCACCTTGGTTTTTCCCTAACCTGGAGGTATCACCGGTGAAGGCTGTGAAAAAGCAAAGATGGCAGCCTGCCCCTTCCTCTGGAAGGTCCTCCATCCCAGAGGGTACTGACCTGTTGCCAGCCTGAATGTGCCTGTAGGAAGTGGCTAGAGATCCCGGTCTTTCAGTCAGGAGGAATGGGATCAGAGATCTGCTTAAAGAAGCAGTTTGGCTGCTTTTTTGTAGAGCAGCTGTGCTGTGTTGGGGATCCCTTCAGCCCCCAGTTGGTTTAGGTTCTGCAATATCCTCAGGCTGGACCAGCTGAGATGCCCAAACAGCCAAGGTGTTGGCCTGCCCCACCACCCCAGGCTCCCCATCCCAGGGAGAAATTAGAACTCTGTCGGCCATAGAACATGGGCAGGGAAGGCCAAGTCCTCTGCTGGGGGGACCAACACCTTAGGAGAAGTGGATCAGGGTTCTGCTTGAAGAAGCAGTCTGACCATGCCTCAACAAAACAGCCATGTTGTGCTGGGAAGCTGCCTCTGCTTCTGTAGACTTGGACTCTCCAAAGCCTGCAGGCTAGAATGGCTGAGTCATCCAAACAACCAAGGTAGTGGCCCACCCTTCCTCCTCAGGCATTCCATCCCGGGAGAGATCAGATTCCTGCTTAAAGAAGCATTCTGGCCAGGCTCTGGCAAAGCAGCTGTGCTGTGCTAGGGAGACACCTCCTCATCTGGACTGTCTGACTCTCCAAAGCCCACAGTCTGGAATGGCCAAGTAGATCAAACAGCAGAGATGGCACCCGCCCCTCCCCCTAGGGGTTCAGTCTTGTATCAGGCAGGCTCCACCCTGTTGCTGGTGGCTTGCTGGAATTCCAAGCCAGTGGGTTTTATCTTGTGAGGTGCCGTGAAAGTGGGGCCCACAGACTGATGCTGCTCAGCCTCCTGGATTCAGCCCACTTCTTTGGGGTATGCACGGACCTCCTGATTTGCCTCGTTGCATACACCTTTATTAGAGATCCTGAGGCCAGAGTATGTAAAGCTCCTGGGTCTCTGTGTGTGCCTGAGCAGGCACTCTGCCAAGACTCCATACAGCTCCGTGTGTTGAACCTAAGGCCCTGATGGTGTGGGCTCACAAAGGGATTCCCTGATCTGCGGGTTGCAAAGATCTGTGGGAAAAGCATGGTTTCCCAGGGTTGCACACTCACTCACCACTTCCCTTGGCTGGGGGTGGGGGTTCCCTCGACTCTGTGTCACTCCTAGGTGGGCTGTCACCCCACCCTAGTTTTCTTTATTCTCCGTGCTTTGAGTTGTTTCCCTGATCAGTCCCAATGCGAGTATCTGGATATTTCAGTTAAAGGTGCTGTATTCACGCACCTCTTTCGTTCCTCTCTGTGAATGCCACAGATCGCAGCTGCTTCTAATCAGCCATCTTGGTCCCCTTTATTGTACTTTTCAACTCCAGAATTTCTATTTGTTTTCTTAAAAGTAATTTTAATCTCTTTATCTGGTGAGACATTCTTCTCATACTTTCCTTTAGTTTAGACATAGTTTTCTTTAGTTCTTTGAACATATTTAAAGTAGCTGACTTTGTCTAGTATTACAGAATCTGGCTTTCCAGGGATAGTTTTTATTGGCTGCTTTTTCTCTCTGAGCATAGGCCATATATTCTTGTTTCTTTGCATGTTTCATAATTTTTACAGACATTTCTAAAAACTAGACTTTTAAAAATATAATGTGGTAACTCTGGAACAGATTCCCATCTCCAGGATTTGTTGTTGCTGGTTTGTTTCTGAACTAATTCTGTAAAATTTGCATTCTTTTTCATATGTGGTTATTGATGTCTCTGCTCAGTTATCTTAGTGGTCAGGTAATGATTACACAGAAATTTATCAAATGCTTAGGACCAAGAAGTGTCATAGTGTTTGGTCAGGGCAGGGGGTCTATGTGAATATTTGAGATACATCTTCAAAATTCAGCCAGACAGCTTCCAACTCCACCTTAGCCTTCACTTCCTGCTTGGGCAGAACCTCAATATCAATCAGAGGTGAGAGTTTAGGCCTTGTTAGTTCTTTCCTGAGTATGTGCACAGGCCTGGGCATGCACGTAACCTTCTAGATTACCAGGAATATATCAAAGCTTTCCAAAGCTCCCTATGGACATTTCACTACCCTGACTTTCTTTTTAAGATTTTTTATTAGCTTATTGTTTGACCCAACTGCTATCTACCACTTTGGGCAGCTATATTGTTTTCAACCAATGCTTCTAGGAAAAGACTCTCCACAGTAGACAGGTACTTTCCAAGTCAGTTCAAATAAAGACATCCTTGCAAGTGGAGTCTCCCAGGAACTACCAGACAGATCAAATAATGACAATTCTGTGGGAATGGGGCTTTGAAGGCAATCTAATCCCACATAACCCCCTCCAGTGTCTTCCTGGATGCTGATTTTCACTGTACTTGTGGGCTGTTGGTTTTCAAGGCTGTTGTTGAGTTGTGGAGGGGGAAATAGGGATACAGCAAATTAAAATGTCATAAATATTGCTACCCTTACTGAGATTGAGCCATTTTTCCTTGAATAAACTTTCCTTGTATTGCTGCAAGCCTTTGCTTAATTTCCAATGTTCTGAAAAATTTGACTCTGACCATTTTTGTCAGTGTTCTCACTGCTTGTATAGAGATGATTTTCCATGATCCTCACTTATGCTTTTCACTGATACCCCTCCACAGATTCTTTCAATGGCATTTATCTTTTCCTTGACATCAACTCTTATTTTTCCGAACACTGAAAAATCTAAAGCCCCAAATAGTTTATACGTGCTCTGTTTTCAAGAAGTGAGTTTTCTGAAGTAAATGTTTATTCTTATGAAAATCACCAGTAAAACAAGGCAATTAATGAATGTACAAACAGACAAGCCACAGAAAAGATAAATTGTTTGTGACTGTCTTCAACTTTCATCATTTGTTAATGTCTTTTTTCATCATTTGTTAATGTCTTTTTTCTTGTTTGTCTTAGTGCAGACCTGGTTAACCTGAAAATTCCTGGTTAGATTTTGACTGTGTGGGTCAGCTCCTCATCTCCCTGGGCCTGAGCAATTCTGGAAGAGAAAGAGAATGAGGTAGAGTTGGTCTTCAGCAGCTCCTTCACTGTTGGCCATCAGTGTTGTAATAATCAGCCTGAGCTGCCATCACAGATTGCCACAGATAGGGTGGCTTAAATGACAGAAATTTATTTTCTCACAGTTCTGGAATTCTGAGATCAAGTTGCTGGCAGGCTTGGTTTCTCCTGAGGCCCCTCTTTTTGGTTTGTTGGTGGCTTCCTTCTTCCTGTGTCCTCACAAAACCTTTCTTCTGTGTGTGCATGCTCCTGGTGTCTCTTCCTCTTCTTATAAGGACAATAGTCCTATTGGATTACAGCCCCACCCTTATGAACTCATGTAACTTTTTTTTTTTTTTTTTTTTTGAGATGGAGTCTCACTCTGTTGCCAGGCTGGAGTGAAGTAGCATGTTCTCGGCTTACTGCAACCTTCGCCTCCTGGGTTCAAGTGATTCTCCTGCCTCAGCCTCCCTAGTAGCTGGGACTACAGGCGCACACCACCACGCCCAGCTAATTTTTGTATTTTTAGTAGAGACAGAGTTTCACCACATTGGCCAGGATGCTGGCCTTGATCTCTTGACCTCATGATCCACCCACCTTGGCCCCCGAAAGTGCTGGGATTACAGGCGTGAGCTACTGCACCCAGCCTGAACTCACGTAACCTTAATTACCTCCTTAAAGGCCTGATTTCCAAATACAGTCACTTTGGAGGTTAGAGCTTCAAAATATGAATTTGTGGGGAGGGACACAATTTAATTCATAAGAAATGTCTAATACACAGTAAGTAAGTTCTCCATAAACACTCATTGATCATATGCGTTCTCTTTCCTTTACATTTCTGCACCATCCTTTTTTCTTCTTTTTCTTTTTTTTTTTGTTTTTTTTTTTTTGAGATGGAGTCTTGCTCTGTCACCCAGGCTGGCATGCAATGGCGTGATCTCCGCTCACTGCAACCTTCACCTCCTGGGTTCAAGCGATTCTTCTGCCTCAGCCTCCTGAGTAGCTGGAATTACAGGCACGCACCACAACGCCCGGCTAATTTTTGTATTTTTTAGTAGAGATGGGGTTTCACCATGTTGGTCATGCTGGTCTTGAACTCCCAACCTCAGGTGATCCACCCACCTCGGCCTCCAAACGTGCTGGGATTACAGGCGTGAGCCACCACACCCAGCCCATTTCTGCACCATCCTTATCCCTCTGCAAGCACCTCCCAAACTAGGCACTATGGCTTCTGGTCTACTGTGACAGCAGCACTATGCAGAGTTGCCAGACTAGGAATCCTGACAACAGAGTTCAAATCCCTCCTCTGGTGTCAAAAAGCTGTATTGCCTTGGGCAAGTCAGTTAACCCACCAATTTTCTCTAGCTTTTGCATTTTTGAGTGGTTTGGCCCAATTATCTCACTGCTCTCTATTCCCTAAGCTCTTGATTTGTCACCAACTTCTACTACTAAAACATCCTTGCTTCATCCTCTGTGTAGCCATATCTAGGGGTCAGCTAGCAAAATATATCCTGATAATGCACTGACTAAATAGCTCTCCAGAGTAGTCTTCGTCTCTGCCAGATGTATTTCTGGAAATACTGTCCCTGTTGCTGCTGCTCAGGTAAGAGTTGCATTAGCATTACTGGGTAGTTTAGCCCAGGAAGGAAACATGCAGTGAGAGAAAGGGCTGGTACGGGAGGTAAGCAGGGGTAGAGTGGAAGCTGGGAACTCATTCACGTATATTTGCTTAATCAACTTTTGCTAGGAATCTACTTGTTCCAAGCATTGTGCAAAGTGATGAACCAGAGCTCACATCAAGGGCTTCTCTGACCATAGGATTTGTATTTGGCATGAATTATAGTTGTAGAAAAAGATAAATGACCTGGGTTCAAGTTTTGAATTTGTTGTTTATTTCTCTGTGACAACAGGCAAGCCACTTACCTCTTCAAAGTCTTGGTTATTCCATTTTAAAAAGAAGGGATGGATCAAGTGTTTTTATGGTCAGTTCTCCCAGTTTGGCTCTCACCTCCTAGAATTCTGTTTCACTGGGAGTTGGGTGTAGATCCTGTCCAAAGAAAAATCTGTATTTTTGAGCTTGTTTTCTGCATAAGGCTGCTCTGCAAAGAAGATGGAAGGAGAGAAGTGTACAAGTGGCAAACGTTTGGAGGGGGTGGAATTAACCCCACAGTTCATTCAGAAAACTTGGAAAGGAACCCTTAAGGGAACCAAGTATTTGCATTCTTATACTGTCCTTTGGGGGTGCTATTAAGGAATACCTCACAGATGATAGGAAAGAACTCATTTTAGCAGTGTAGACCAAGAAGGGTCCATTGTGGGTTATTAACCCTAAGGAGATTGGCCAGGTGTTAATAGTAAATGCAGACTCAAGGGACAAAACTATCATTTGCCCAGTGAAATAGACACTTTAGTCACATGTTTATGTGTTTTGGTGCAAGAACCATGTTTTGTTAACTTCTCTATTTCTCATACCTAGCAACACAGAGTAGAAACTAAATGGACATAATAGTCCTTGTTCTCCAAATGAAATTTTCTTCATGCCACCTGCTTAAAAATAGAGACAAAACCAAAACCAAATTTTAATACTGACAGTGTTCCCTAAATTGCTGAAGAACTAGATTTCATTATCTTCAACAAATTCAATAGAAGTTGTCCATACCTTTGAAGTTAGCAATTTAAGCCTTTGCCTCTCCAAGTCCCAATGGTACCTCTATGTTCAGGCTAACTTGGTCTCAGTGTCAGCCTTCATGGACAGCTTGGATGATACAGGCAAGGTGGTATATCACAGTGGATAAGGCTCGGGCTTCAGGCCAGGGCTAGATTTGAGTTCCGACTCTGCCACTCACAACCTTGTAACTTTGGCAAGGTGCTAATCTCTCTAAGTCCAGTTTCCAAGTCTATGAAATGAGGATGATACTATTACCTACCTTATAGAGTCATTGTGAAGAATAATTTTTAAAATGCATTAAACTATACAGTGACTGGGATAAAATTTAAAGGCACAGAAATTGTGAGCTTTTTGAAGAATTGAGAGTTTGAAGAACTGATAGTTATGGGTAGGAAGGAGAACTTTCTATTTCTTTTATTTTTTCAGGATCCACATAGCATAGCTATATTATTATTATTAATTATTATCATTGTACTTTAAACCTGTATATTAACTTTATCAGGAGACTAGGATACATCTGAACCATAGCATGGATACTTGCTCAACCTGAGATGTCATTAATTGGTTTTCCAGATGTCATTTCAGAGAAGTCCCATAAACCACTGTCCTGTATTATTAGAGTGCTCACAAGGTTTAGAAGAAATCAAGTTAAAAAAATGCAGTCAAAGAGATGCAGCAAAAATAAAACAAAATTAAAAGTAATCTCATACATTTGTATTTATAAATAGTACCATATTCTCTATGAAATAATACTTAAAATCTTTGAGGATATACACATAACTTCTTCAAAGCCATGACAAGAAATAAAACATACACAAATCCTCAATACTGATATAAATATTTTTAAAGTCTTTCCAAACCAGTGAATCTAAACACTACACTTCCTTCTATTTTTCCCACCCTCCCTCCTTCAAATGAACACTCTTGTTTTCTTTAGGTCCCAAAGGCACTTGAATTCATATACTGGTGATCAGAGACTAAAATTTCAAGAGCTCTTCCTCCCAAGTACTTAGAAATATTTGAAATAATTACATGCAGATAGACTCTCTGGAAGTTAGCTTTCCTTCGAATAATTGGAAACAGTGAGTAGTTGGCATTTTAGAGTTTTTCAAAAGAGATATTAATCAGGGCAACTGTTATGTTCTTGGAGAAGGAAAATATGAGCTATGTGGTAGATAAATATTTTGGCCACAGTTATATCTAAAATAAGAAGATGACACTCCCAGGACTTGACAAAGCTTCATTGGATCAAATATGCAGCTCATGATCCCACTTTTTCTTGAGAATTTGGGGTTGAGAAGTGGCTGGATATCCATATTTGTTGAGATAGTAAAGATTGAAGTCACAATAATGAGAATGAATTAGGCATCCGGGGATAATGAGGCATCTCAGCTGCTCTGAGATATTCACAGGGATTTTTGAGAGACCAGAGAGCTTCTCTGAAGTTTATACACCTGTTCAACTTCCTGTGTGTATTTCTTGAAGATCATTTATGCTCCAGATGCAAGATTCTCTCTTATTTTTCTGGAACTCCAGATCTCACCCTCCTTGTAACAGTTAGTGCTCTCGCAAGCATAACTCTAAAGTTTTCCTGAGGCTGGGGAATAAAAGCAAAACAGAATAAAGTTAGAGGCCTGAACAAATGAAATGGTCCTTCTATTTTCTTTCCGTATGTCAGCATAAAAATCCCCTGTGTGTCTCTTTCAAATATGTGATTATTTTTTAAAAACTTCCAACTCCAGACAATAAATTTTGGTTCTCTGTACTTGGACCAAATGCCTAATAGAATGGGTAAGTTTGGGGAATAATCACCACAGTGGAATACATTATAACAATTAGAATGAACAGCCTGCTACGAATGCAACAATACCAGTGACTCTCATAAGCAGAATGTTGAGTGGAAGAAGCGAGACATAAAAGTTTGCACACTATGTGATTTATTTTATGTGAAATATAGAAACAGGAAAACTAACTGGGATAGGGATTGTCCTTTGTGGGAGGAGATATCAGTGTGTCTTCTGGGGTGTTCGTGACATTGTTTTTTGTTCTAAGTGCTGGTTACACAGTTGTGTTCTTTGCAAAAATTCCTTAGATTGTACACTAATCATACATATCCTTTCTGTATGTTTCATTTCATTAAAAAAACTTTTTAAAAAATGATTTACGAAAGCAGCTGACCCTCAAGCCATTGGCCAAAACCTTTTCTGATTTCAGTCTGCTATCCCTCACTTATCTTTGGCGCTTTCTGTATTTTCTAATTTACCTTGGAAGAAAATCCTTTAAGACTTTTCAAAGTTTTCCATGATGGCATCCCTAGTAAACATAATCAAGCATTTATGATTTTGGGTGGCATAACGATTTCCAGATTTCTCTATCAGGGATTTTGTACACTGTTGTCTAACATGTTATAAACTTCTCAGGGTGTTCTTGTTGGGGTCATTTGAGCTGTCAGCTAAATTATTCCTTTTGTTTGCAAAGATTTCAGGAAAACACATGTTCTTTTATGGCAAGATTGCTGTGGTGATTACCAGCTGGCATGGGTTTTGTGTATTTTATTTAGTGATTTCTTACAGTCACCTGATGATAGAGGGAAACTGGAATAGCTCAGATGCAAGGATGATGGAACACAGATTACAAAAAGACATTTTTTTCTGAGTGTTACTAATGTTTTCAATTTATTCATTAATAAAAAGTGCACAGTATAAGCCTTTTATCCCAATCCAAGTACTCAGTGAAAGATTAACAATAAACACTGGATGGCACAGACATGATTTGTTTGGCATGATTTAAACATATGAAAACAGCAATTAACATTTAATATACCACATGACTACTTTTGCTTTTAACAAAGTAATCATCATATGTGGTAACAAATACATATGATTTTTCATTTAGAAATATTATAAGAAAACCACACTTAATATTGCAACAACAAAAATTTAACCCATTAACTACAAACTCTCTTCATTTTTCCTCCTTCAAGTTGCTGTTTTGTGTCTTAAACTGAGCCAGTCATATTTGAGCACATATTTATTTAGAGTGATAGACTCATTTAGAGTGACAGACTTCCAAGTTTCCCTTGAAAATATAAGATATTGTTAATTATATAAACACTATCACATCACATACCACAAAGACACTAAAAGTACCCATAAAATGGCTATATCCAGTAATTATTTTGGAAAGTCTGTCCAAGCTGTAAAATATGACTTACTGACTATGGGATAGTGCTTGGATAGATAATAAGATAAGCTCAGAAATGCTAGCAGTTTTCAAAGTGTTCCATTTGTTCTTTATTTTTATATGATTTGTTGGTAGAGTTTTCCCAAATATAATTAATAAGCAAGAAAGGAGAGCAGTTAAATTAATTAATTCACCTTTATATTTGTTTAATAGAAGAACCAAAATTTGGTTTTTAAAAAGGTGTTTTATGCCAGTAATGATGTGGAAATCTGCAGGTATCTTAAGCTCATCAGAGGGAATATCTTAAGACAATTTTAAAATGCTTGGGTCCTGAAAAGAAATGTCAAACGTAGTGCAATCATAGCTCACTGCAGCCTTGAACTCTTGGGCTCAAGCAAGCCTCCTGCCTCAGCCTCTGGAACAACTAAGACTACAGGCATGTGCTACTACACTGGGATAATTATTTTTTAATTTAATTTAATTTTGTAGAGATGGGGGTCTCACTATCTTGCCAAGCTGGTCTCGAACTCCTGGCCTCAAGCAATCCTCCCACATAAGCCTCCCAAACTGCTGGGATAACAGGCTTGAGTCACTGTGCCAGGCCCTGACTATTATTTTTTAAACACTAAGTTTAAAAGTTTTCACTGATTATTTAAAATAATAAAAAGTAACAAAGAGGCCAGGTGTGGTGGCTCATGCCTGTAATCCCAGCACTTTGGGAGGCTGAGATGGACGGATCACCTGAGGGGTCAGGAATTCACGACCACCCTGGCCAACGTGGTGAAACTGTCTCTACTAAAAATACAAAAATTAGCTAGGCATGGTGGCTGGCACCTGTAATCCCAGCTACTCGGGAGGCTGAGGTAGGATAATTGCTTGAACACAGGAGGTGGAGGTTGCAGTGAGCCGAGATCATGCCACTGCACTCCAGCCTGGGCAACAGAGCAAGACTCTGTCTCAAAAAACAAAACAAAACAAAACAAAACAGGAACAAAGAATAATAAAATAGGTAGGAATTATCCCGAAATGGAAGGCCGTTCAGTTTCAAACAAGTTGACTTTTCAAGGCAACTAGTTAATTAGTTTTCCCCCAGCAAAGAATCACCTTCCTCTCTCAGGCAAGCTTGAACCTGACAACACTGCTTTCATCCCATGCAGGATGGTCACTGCCGTTTCTGGAACTCTCAGTCCCCCATCAGTGATGGTCTATTACAAAGATCTTTCTCTTCTCCTAGGAAGCACAAAGATCCTCTTTCCTGGGTCGGGCTGAGGTTCTTGAGGGCATAACTGTTACAAGGAGGCTGAGACTTAAAGTCCCCAAATGTGATTTTTCTGCTAGAACAAACTATCATAGTCAAACCTCCCTTTTTTCAGGAACAGATGAAATAATCTGAGGAAGGTGCATGGCCTGTGTGAGTGGGAAGAGCAGTGAGGTGGAGGGGCCTCAAGCCCAGAGCTCAGCCGGCCCACAGCTCTCCAGCCCAGCAGCGTGATGGAGACAGGGAAAAGCTCTCCTATAGTGAGACCCTTGGCTTTGACAAGGCTACAGTCACTCTCCCTGGATCCTGACCCAGAAGTCTTCTTAGTACTCTGAATTTCCTTGTATTTAAAGCAGAGATAAAGAGTTCCGTCCTGTAGGACCGGGACTTTTGGGTCAAAAGCTAAACACCCTGCTAAGCCTATTAATTTCTGTGTGATTTCATATACCCAGCACCTTGCTTAGATCTGGTCCTTCACAAAGACCTGAAATTCACTGAGTATTGAAAGTATTTCAGTTCATCTATGTCTGTCACCTTGAACGTGAAACAGGTTTCATGCAAAATATTAATAAAGTAGTTTTTTAGTATGTCTGCCTCTCCAATAGAGATTGCCAAACACTGGGGCTGTCTTGGTCAGCCAGAGCCAAGGGGTGACCCTACAGTAAACACCATACCTCAGGCACTTCTGCTGAAGGGTCCACCTTTCAGCATATCTGCTACACGGGATCCTCTTTTCCGCCCTCCCTCTCTCCCCAGGGCCCTCCTCCAGTCACAAGAAATGACCTGGGATGTGCTGTTGACTTAGGGTGATAGATAGGCCGTCCAGCAACTTATGACATGACCTAGTTCAAAATGATAAACTTGTCTAGGAATGCAGCTAAAAATATCAAGAGGACAAATTACTAGGAACCAGCTCAAAAGAGGGGACATTCAGAAACAGATAAAGCTGGGACCATGCCAGGTCCATGTTCCTGGCATTGAAAGTTACAGGGAAGTAAAACCCTAAGTAAGCATCAGCGAAGAGGCACAAATAAGGCTGAGCAGAGGGAAAGAACACAGCAAAAGGTAGAAGGGCAGAAAAAGAATAGCTGAGAATGTTTTCTGAATTTTAGTTTCTTTTCCTGGGTTTCTGTGCACTCCTCATAATAAACCTCCACACTTTTTGAGTCACTGTGATCTGTTTGTTGCACCCAAAAGAGCAAAACCAGAACAGTTAGATGCATGTGATCTTCCCTTCCTTCCAGGGAGTGATTCAGGCCCGTAGGGGGAGAATCTCAGATGACTGGAGTTATGGATTGCCCATACTAATGGGGCTCCCTAACAGATCAATAATACTACAAACATAGCAGGCCTCAGGTCTCTAAATTACCAGACTGAAGTAATGACTCACTCTCCTCATTTCCAATTCTGGCCCACAGTTTGTAGAAGAGGGCTTTCCTTCCTTGCTGTGGGCTGTCGAGGTCATTGACACCAGGCAGCGATCTTATTTCTCCCTGACACTGTTTCTCCCTGGCATTTGTAAGAATGGAGTAGAGGAGAATTCCTTAAGAAGGCATTTTAGATTTCTGGATAGTAGGAGAAGGAAACCAGAAAAGGCTCAACACCCCTACAAATTATTCTTTGATTTTTTCATAGCCAGCCATTGGGCATTTAACAAAAAAAAAAAAAAAAAAAAAAAAAAAAAGGGCTTACGCAGCAGCTGTGACTTTAGGAGAGTTTCACCTCACCTGGTACTGACGGATAGACTGGTTACCAGGGCTGAGTGTAAATTCTGTTCCTGTATGGGAGGAGACAGAGGTGCCCGACCCAGGCTTGCTGGAGGGCAGCACTGTTGTGGCCAGGACCACCGCTGGAACATCTCCCAGTGCTCTTTCCATCTATCTTCAAAGCAGGATTTCACTGCACAATTGAATGCTTTTCATTCTGTTGCCCAGGCTGGAGTGCAGTGATGCTATCTTGGTTTACTGCAATCTCTGCCTCCCAGGCTCAAACAATCTTCCTGTCTCAGCCTCCCAAGTAGCTGGGACTTCAGGCATGAGCCACTAAGCCTGGCTAAGTTTTGAATTTTTTGTAGAGATGGGTTTCGCCATGTTGGCTGGGCTGGTCTTGAATCCCTGGGCTCAAGCAATTTGCCCGCCTTGGCCTCACCAAGTGCTGTGATTACAGGCGTGAGCCACCCGCACCCAGTCTAAACAATTTATGGTTGTTGTTGTTTTTTAATGAGTTCATGGAAAGTTGATTTCTTCTGTCCATCAATCTTAAAAAGAGTTCTCCTCTTACTGGAAACCTGTGCTGTGAGATGAATTTGAAAGGAGCAGACTCCTGTGACTAGCTCTGCTTCTTTCATTGTTTTCCATCTTGAAAAGCATGTGAAACTGCTGAGTGAGGAAATAATATTTTCTTAAAATGTCATAGCTCATGCCTTTCCATCTTTGAATGGAAAATCTGACCATCAAGGCCTCACTGCTCGGTGCTTTCCACCTGCAAAAGCAATTGGAATCTAGGCTGTAGGCTGAAGAAATAAGCAGTGTGTCCCCTCCAGAGAGTGCGGGAGCCCATACATCTTTGGGAGGCCAGAGCAGTCAGCTCACTGGGAACAGTCCAGAAATTCCGACCTCCCAGGGCACTGCAATGCCACTGTAATTTAGCGTGCTCTAACTCACCTCTTTCGCCTTCAGTTCTGAGAAGCTCAGGAGCCTAGTTCCCATTATGGTGTCAACACAATGGCTGGGACTTAGAAAGACTTAAAAGGAGAAAAGAGGTCACAGCTCTTCCTGCCAAGCATAAAACAGAGGCCCATTTGTGCAGCCCCTCTTTGGTCATCCTGCCTCTGTTCTGAAATAATCAACTTCATGAAAAGAGTGGGCAAGAGCCCCAGATTGTAGCTCCCATCCACCCCGCCCCCAGCCCCACATCTCATAGCTCTTCTTTCATCTCGGCAACAATTACCATCTGAGAAAGGGCTCCAATTTACCTCCTTTAGAATAAAACCGCCTTCAAGAAAAACCACCCAAATACTCCTCAGAAACAAGAGCTCTGATGGGCATGGTAGCATTTCCTCCCTGATGGGAAGGGGCAGTCTTGGGTCTGTCCATCACTCAGATGAATGAATACTGTCGCTAAGCAACCATCTCTAACCCCAGTCTAGAGCCAGCAAGAAGAGAAAGAATGAGGCCACTTATTTCCCAGTCTCTGCTCATTACTGGCTCATGGCTTTGTCTGGAAAGACTATGAATACACAAAAGTGTCCTCAGGCTTACACTAATGGTAATAGTATATTTCAAGACAGAGTGACAGAGAGCAACAGTGGCCTTAAAGCAGGTTGAAGTCACTTCCTGAAGTTCTAGTGAGTTGTCCAAGGCAGCAGATTGGTAGCAGGGACCCAGTAGATAGAGTGGAGTTGTATATATGCTATTTCATTTGAGTCTCACAAGCACCCTGGAAAGTGTTAGCTGTTTTACGTTTGAGAGACTGAAGTTTGAAGACAGGTGAAGTGACTGGGCCAAGGTTACACAGAAAATGAGCAGCTGAGTCAGGCCTGGGTTCTGGGTCTGTCTAATTTAAAGCACTTGCCCTTTCCTCCACACACACTGCAGCCTCCAGACTTCTGGGAAGGAAGTGCGGGAGCCAGCCAGGCAGGTGCTGGTGTTTATTAACAACTAAATATTTGCCAATTTAAAAATCCTATTGGGTTCCTCTCCAGCTGATCATGATTGGATTTCTTTCTGGCCACAGCAGCTTACTAAATGTTTATCCACACTGTTATGCTCATCAAGTATTTCGGGAACATGCCGAGGCTTCCTGGCTTCAGGAAAGGGGATGGAGTCAAGTCTTCATGGTGGACACTGCTGTGTCTGGAGTGCAGCCAAAGTATGGCGGGGTGAGGAAGGAATTGTGTTCTTTTACTCGCCCCTCAGGATGCCATTCTTCGCCCACCAGGCGACGGTAGTCCATATGCACCTTAGCTCAAATTTACTTCTGCCTTTTCCTGCCTGGAAAGCTCTTCTCATCCTCTAAGATGCTTCCCAGTAGAGCCTTCATGAGTCTTCCCAGCAGCTGATTGCTCCTCCTCCTTCCCTAGGGCGATTCGCCTGGCAGGTGGGCCCTGCACTGCACTTCCCGAATCCTCCTTCATTGCAGAACTTGTTGCCCCCGTTGCTAGAAGTGCTGTTGGTAGATGACCTTTGGCTGTCAGCTCCTCAAGGATGCCCGCAGCTGCCCATGTCAGGCCCCTGTCTGGTGGCCCACATCCAGTGATGAATCAGTGTAGCATGTGAAGGCTATCTCTATCTAACCCAGCACAACTCTGAAGGGACAGAGCTCCCTGTGGGGTCGCCTTCATCAAGCCTGTATCACAGCTTAGCATTTCTGCCCACGCTGCTTCCTCCTTCTTCGTTCCACAGGTGTTGAACCCAAGGGCAGTCTGGATGCCCAACTCTGTCTCAGAGACAGTTTTCTGGGGAGCCCAATGTGCTACATTCTCCTTCAGGCCTTCTCTGTACACAACTGTCTGGCCCATTAGATTGCGAGCAACTTAGTGCAGGGGTCCGGTCCGTGGCCTGTTAGGAACTGGGACACACAGCGGGGGGGTGAGTGGCGGGCAAGACAGCAAGCATTACCACCTGAGCTCCGCCTCCTGTCAAATCAACAGCGGCAGTAGATTCTCACAGAAGCGAACCCTACTGTGAACTGCGCATGCGAGGGATCTGGGTTGTGCGCTCCTTGTGAGAATCTCACGCGTGATGATCTGAGGTGGAACAGTTTTCATCCCGAAACATCCCCCCATCCCACCTTGCTATCTGTGAAAAAATTTGGAAAATTGTCTTTCACAAAACCAGTCCCTGGTGCCAAAAAAGGTTGGGGACCACTGCCTTAGAGGCAAAAGCTGTACCTTATTTATTTCCAGACCTACAGTGCCTAACCCAGCCTGGCCAGCAGGTGCTTGGTAGATGTCTATTGAATGAATAAACAGAGTCACTTAAAATGATGAGAGAGACTGAAAGACTCTCTTGTGGATGGACATCTCAGTTAGAGTCTTTTTTCCACTTTGAAAATACTGCCTTCCCAGAAGAGTATGCAAGCAACTCTATTATCTAAACTGGGAGGGGCATGGACTCCTTCCTCCTTTCCCAAACTCTGTCCTGCTGGACTAAAAACTAGGCTTGGGGTGTGGTCCTTCAGGATTATTGAAATACAGTGAGGAGCCAGGTCCAGGAGCTGTGTCTGCAGTGCAGTCAATGTATGGCCAGAGGCTGGTCATTCCCAAATAGCAGCCCTGTGCTCTGCACCTCCTTCCGTGGGTAGATTGTTTTCTCCCAGTTTATTTCTGTTTTATTTTAACCTAACATTTAGAAGATACTCTGTTTCAGGTGAGATAAACATGTTGCTCGCACCTGTCCAGATGCCCTGTCCAAATGAGCCCCAGGGGCTACCTGGTGGTGGCAGTCATAGTGGCAGCCCAGATGGAAGCGTTTCATGTAGAACAGAGGCAATGAGACAGCTACAAGCCAAGGCATTTGGGAAGAACAGTGATTCCTTTTATGACCCTTCCCTGAATGCAATTCAGAGGCATAGGGTTCCTCTCTCCAAGGAAACGATGGATTTATCCCCGACAGAGAAAGAAGGAATACACAGTCCTCCAAGGGAGGAAACTCTGGTAAGTGCTACAGGAGGGACCTCGGTGAACACTTTGAAGTTCCCGGGTCATAACCTCAAATGCTCTCAGGACTATTATGTCAGTGACTTCAGGATTATTGGTCCAGGTCTGCTTCTTTTTTTTTTTTTTTTTTTTTGAGACAGAGTTTCACTGTGTTGCCCAGGCTGGAGTGCAGTGCTGCCCTGCAACCTCTGCCTTCCGGGTTCAAGCGATTCTCCTGCCTCCAAGTAGCTGGGATTACAGGTGAGTGCCACCATGCCTGGCTAATTTTTTATATTTTGGGTAGAGATGGGGTTTGACCATGTTGGCCAGGCTGGTCTCAAACTACTGATCTCAAGTGATCCACCCACCTCTGCCTCCCAAAGTGCTGGGATTACAGGTGTGAGCCACTGTGCCCCGCCCCAGGTCTGCTTCTGAAGGAGCCTGGGTGTAGCCTCCAGCGGCCACAGAGGCTCCTTGCCAGACCTCCTTGTGGCTTGGAACAAACTTGGCCCAAAGGAAAAATGGACAAAAGAGGGGCCTCTCCCTTTGCAGAGGATATACGTCCTCTCCTGACTCAGACAGGCACATTCCTCCTGTCATCAAGTGGCTCCCTCTGATGTGACACCGGAGACCCTCCTGATTTACTGCCATGCAGCTGTGTTTGTGCAAGAATCTACATATAAACAAGAGTTGCCAGCATGTTGCACAAGCAAGTCCTAAAGTCATCAACACATGTCTTTATTTGCAGTCTTCCACCGTGCCTTCATGTTCCTTAATGTTGTGTTTACTATTGGTGATCTCTCCCTGATGTTGGACGAGAACTCTAAGCAGGTTCCAAGATGTTTTGCTTACTCTTAGGTAAGGGACAATTCCAGGGTGTTTTTAAGCAGCAAATACTGACTTAATTCAGCAATTAGAAAGTCCACTGTAAGAGAGCAATCAATACTTGGATCCCGATAAGATGTCAAACCCTGCAGAGGGCCTGCAGAGGGCCTGCAGAGGGCTGTTTGCTGGCTGTGGAGGACTGGGTGGTGGTCTGATTGGCTTCTCCCAAGTGGGGCTGGCCCATGGGGAGGGAAGAGGGGAAAAGTCTCACTTCAGTGGGGATTGTCATTAGCTGGCCTCACCTTTTAGTGCCTCTTGTCCTCCATCTCTTGGGGCACTTTCATGAGCAATTCTCAGGTTCCCCACCAGGTAGTGCCTTCGGCAGTGCTGTCGGACCCAAGTCAGGGCATCTCTGTTTTGAAGGGTTGCTGGCATTCCTTCTTCAGTCCCAAGAATTTACCTCCAACTTCTTGCTATGGGGATCTCTCAGCCCCTGCAGGAGGCCCTCAGGACAACATCCATGTTGACCCAAGCCAGGGTGTCTTTCCTTATAGTCCATCGTTACAATACTGCACAGCCCTTGCCCCAACAAACCAGGGGTGCTGGCCGGCCCTGCCAAGACAGCAATCTGCTGACCCGGCTTCCAAAGCAGCAGGTCGGTCCAGCTCTCAGCCTGTGGGATCCTAGGTGGGAGTCAGGCCTTTCTCCCCAATTATAGGGGTCATATATGAAGCTCTTTGGGGGCCAAGGAAGCAGGCAATCTTCCTTGCCTCAGGGAATAGAGGGGATGGGCCCATAGCACAGCATTCTCCACATAAATCCTCCTCATAGAATCCTCTCTCCTTGCCACCCTCTTGGCACTGTTTTTTTTTTGTTTTGTTTCGTTTTTTTGAGACAGAGTCTCACTTCATCATGCAGGCTGGAGTGCTGTGGTTTGATCTCAGCTCACTGCAACCTCTGCCTCCTGAGTTCAGGTAATTCTTGTGCCTCAGCCTTCCGAGTAGCTGGGATTACTGGCACGTGTGACCATGCCCAGCTAATTTTTGTGTTTTTAGTAGAGATAGGACTTTGCCATGTTGGCCAGGCTGGTCTCAAACTCCTGACCTCAAGTGATCCACCCCCCTGGCCACCCAAATTGCTGGGATTACAGATGTGAGCCACCACACCAGGCCCTCTTGGCCCTTTTTTATTCTCTAAGTGGTGAGAAGATTTAACAGTTATGGAGCAGGTTTTCTGAATTTTCCTTTGAAGCAAACATGGAGATTTGACTTCTTAGTCTGGGATTACAAACATACTGTGTTTTGTGCCTCATGAAAGCTTCAATTTAATATCCCGTTACATAAAACTTTCCAAATGCTGATTGTTACATTCCAATAATTTCAAATTATTTAAAACAAAAACCACACATCTCACAGGTATGTTTATGCAGTGGCATCAAAATCACTAGAAAGAGGACAGAGTCTCAGACTCAGCCATGAATGAAAGCATTTTTCTGCAACAATTCTTACAAAATTTAAGGGCCTGAGGAGGGCAGATTCATGAACACACCTCTGCCCTCTGTGGAGAAAGGGGCTGGAAGAGGGTCCTGATGTCAGTTTGGGTGATTGCAGAGGTGGAAGCAGGGTTAGCAGCAGGGAAATCTTCCTGCTTTCCCAAGTCTTCTGCCCTTCAGCAGAGGCAGCAATGTGGTCAAAGGCATGGATTCCAGGGCTGGCCAGACCTAGATTTGAATCCCAGCACTGCTGCTGATGAGCTGTGTAATCTTGGGAAAGTACTTCACTCCCTGGAATCTCAGGTTCTGCCTCAGCAAAATGAGGGTATTGCTCACCTCACATTGCACAGTCATAGTAATGAGGTAAGATCTTCCGTGTAAAGTGACTGTATGGTCCAGCGTGTGGCAAGCTCTCCATGAGTAACAGCTGTTGCTATTTCAGCTCCACCAGATGCTGTGTCTTATAGTGAACCAGGAGAGAATTTTGGAGAGAACACGCATGATAAAGCCCCCTGGGAAAAGTCACAGCAAAATCTCTCAAACCTGAGCTGGAAAAGAAAAGAGTTAGAAAAAAGGTATTTACTAATCACATCCCAGGTGTCCAGCTGTAACTTTACGAGTCTTTTATTTATTTATTTATTTTTACTTTTATTTTTTATTGAGATAAGATCTCACTGTGTCACCCAGGCTGGAGTACAGTGGCAGTCTTGGCTCACTGCAGCCTCAAATTCCCAGGCTCAGGTGATCCTCCCACCTCAGCATCCTGAGAAGCTGGAACCACAGGTGTGTGCCACCATGCCTGGCTAATTATTGTATTTTTTGTAGAGTTTTTCCATGTTGTCCAGGCTGGTTTCAAACTCCTAGGCTCAAGCGATTCACCCGCTTTGGCCTCCCAAAGTGCTGGAATTGAGCCACCACACCTGTGTGTCAAGCTATAATTTTAGGAGTCTTTGTAAAGAGATTTTTCATTTAACGTTTGGAGTAACTCCATGACATTGGAAATTTCATAGAAAGAAATCAGAGCTCAGGAATGTTTCTTTTTGGTTTAGGTTTGGATGCCTATGGCAGAAAAACCTAAAGTAATAATGACTAAAATAGGATAGAACTATATTTCCCTTTCATATGAAAGAAGTTTGTCAATAGACAATTCAGAGCTTATACAATTTTATGTAGTGGAAGGACATGAGCCCTTTTTGTCTTGTTGCTCTCAGCCTTAGCGTCTACCTTTTTTTTTTCTTTTTTTGAGACAGGGTCGTGCTCTGTCGCCAGGCTGCAGTGGCACGTGGCACGTGCAGTGGCACGATCTCGGCTCACCACAACCTCCGCCTGTCAGGTTCAAGTGATTCTCCTGCCTCAGCCTTCCGAGTAGCTAGTACTACAGGCGCACACCACCATGCCTAGTTAATTTTTTTGTATTTTTAGTAGAGACGAGATTTCACCATGTTGGTTAGGATGGTCTTGATCTCCTGACCTCATGATCTGCCAGCCTCAGCCTCCCAAAGTGCTGGGATTACAAGTGTGAGCCACCGTGCCCGGCCTTTAGCTTCTACTTTATGGTCTGATTCCCGCAATCCCCTCCATGTTCCAGCCAGCAGGCAAGAAGAAGGAACAAAAAAAGAGTGCACTCGCTTTTTTCAAGAACACCTCCTGAAAGTCGAATACATTGCTTTCACTTATAACTCATCAGCTAAAACTTAGTCACATGGCTAGACCTAGTTGCAAGGGAGGTTGGGAAATGTAGTGTTTATTGTGGGAGGTCATTTACCCCACTAAAAATCCGGGCTTCTGATACGAAGGAAGTAAAGAATGGCTTTGGGACCAAACAACCAGCAATTTCTGCTTTTGGTGTGAAATAGCGTGCCCAGAGTTTCTCAGTTGTGCCCTGTCTGCAGAAGACACTGCATACCCCAGAGGCAAGTAGTAAGGACAGGGTGGGGGGCCGGAAGGGTGGGAGCTTAGCATAATGTCCACCCTCAAATTTGGGAGGTGGCTGTAGGGTTCCCGGCTGGCTCTCCTGCAATTCCAGTTACTTTGCCAGGAGCCTGGAGGACTCAGCTAACTGCCTGAATCTTCACTGCCACCTGGCTTTAGCCAGTGGTCACTGGTACTGAAGCCTGTTGCAGCCTGCAAGCCGGAGCGGAGAGGAAAAATTTCAAAGTCAGTGTTGAAATCATCAGGAGGAGTAAAAAGTAGAGCCATTTTTATTTCTTTCCAGGTCCCTGACCTCAGTTTCTCTTTGAGAGTGGTGGATTTGTGGTTCAGCTAATATTTAGTGAGCATCTACTTTATGCAAGACCCCAGATAGGCCCGAGGCAATACAGACTTGAGTGGACAGGGTCCTACTTTCAGGATCATAGATGTGTACACAGATAACTCTACGGCAAGGCCCCGGAAAAGGTAAAGTGAGGTGGGCAATCAGCCTAGGGGGTTGGGGGAACATTCAGGAAACAGAAGGCATTTGAGCTTGGCTTGGAGGAGCAGTTGGAATAGTGATTAGAGTAACTTGGGGAAATGGTCAAAGGGCACCCCAAAGAAAGAAAAGAAGAGCAGAAAGGGCCTGAGAAAAAGTAATTAACGTAGAACCATTGGAGTTTATGGAGGCTGTGTGGTGTGTGTGTGTAGTGTGTATGTGCATGTTTTTAGAATGGACATGGGCATGGAGATGGGGTGGAATGAGATGAGAGAAAAAACTGGGAAAGTAGTTTGAAGTAGCTCGCAGCAGGCTGTACATGCTAGAATAAGAACCCCAGGCTTTATTATGTAGAAAGGAGAAAGTCATCAAAAAATTTTGAAAGGGGGTAACATAATAGGCTTCCCTTTCTGTCATATATATATATATATATATATACATATTTTTTTTAATATAAAGCAGCAGACATTCTCTAAGAGGGCCAAACACCAACACAAGTCACAATAGAGAGGGCTTATTATCGGCATTTTCAGTTTTCCATTTACAGACATTCTATAGTTAGATGATGACAAATTTCCATGGGAAAAGCTCAAAGTGTGGAATGAGCATAGTTCTGTTCCCATCTGAATAGGTTGTCACTAGCCAAGGTCACTGGGGAGGAGGCTCTAGAGACTTGTCCAGATACAGCTTCTCTCTCTGTGGGTTAGACTTAGCCTGACTCCCCAGGAGCAGGGCAGCCTCACCTGAATGGTAGCTGAGCAGGGCACTGAGCAGGGAGGGACAAGAGCTTCCTCTGCCCAAGCCCAGGGCACCTGGAAAGCCAGCCTCCTCTCCTGGAGGAAAGGAGGAGATTGAGAGGGTGACCCGGGGTGGTGGACAACTGCATCCCTCATGTTCTCTGCCACTTCCACCTACACTGTTGCAGTGTCTGAGAAACTTATCAGAACAAGTTCTCCTGTCCATTAAATAGCATTTAATCCTCCGAGGAGCCTTAAGAATTGGGAATATGCTACATTTTACTCTGGAAAATATGTTTAGTTTTTTGGTACTCACTGAAAACCTGGTGCATGGGAGACTGAAAAAAATAAAATGATGTTTTATGCACATGAAAGCAGCAAGTTATGTCAGTTACTTCATCTGTTACCAAGGATTTGGGAATTTTAGAGGCTCACTGGGTAAAAGCAGACTTTATTTTCATTTCCTAGACTGAAACAATATAGGGTTGTGAGAAGTTTAACTGTAATTTTTTTGTCATTGTTTAAAGCTGCAACTTTGAACATTGTGCTGAAACTTAGATCTGAGAGATCAGCAGATCTATATAGTAGCATCTGATTTGTCAGGGATCATCAGGGGATGAGGCATTTCAGAGAAATAAAATATTCCAGTATTTAAATCATATCTCTTGAGGGTCTTAATGTTTGTGTTAATCATTTTTTGATGTAAGAGTTTCCCAAATCTCCAGCTAACCCACTGCCTTGTGAAACAAGAATGCAGTATCAGATCCCATTTGCCCTGCTGATTTAAGAGCATTTGTATGAAAGCCAGTTATCAGATCATTCTGATGCACTGCCCTCTGAGGCTACCAAAACTTGTTGGGTGTTTACCCCTGTCTTCAGCGGACCCATTTGTCATCATCCTATAATTCTGTTAGCCATAAGTACCCCCAGTATATTTTCCTGGGCAAGAATGTGGTATTTCTGTCTGGTGTTGGCATTAGAGGATCTCCATCCGAGTGACAGTTGGGTTTGTTTAGGCTTGCTTTGATTAGCCTTGCTTGCTTGTAATGTGAAGTCCAAAGATCAGAATTCAAGTTCCATTTCTTTCTCTTCTCCTTGTATGATCTTGGACAAGTTATCAGCCCCTCTATACCTGGGTTTGCCCGCTAACAAAAATGGTCATAATAATACCCAGCCCAGGGCTGAGAATGAAGCTGTATCATAAATACAATGTGTTATACAAATGGTAGTTCATTTCACTACAAAATACCTGCTCATGCCCAACTTCACCTTAGGCATATAATTGATCAGGAGTGAGTTGTTGAGAGCACTTCTGAGTTTTAAATAACATGGAGAGGGGCTGTTTATTGAAGGGATAACTGTGGCAGATGCAGCAGGAAGGCTCTAAGGGGAAAGCGTCTCCCCTAAATTTCCTATTATGCAACTTAGTGTCCAGAACACTGTGGTGGTTGAGAATCAGGGTTCAGCAGAATATGCAAATTGCCTTTCCTTTCATCAGGACACAAAGAAAGAAATGAGCCCCCAAAATATCTCTCAGAAGTGACATGGGTTTATCATTTCCATTATCCTTGACACTTTTCAGGGGTTAAATGTCTCTGGCTAGGCGCATGTTATTATTTGAGTATTACTAGCCCTTTAAGAGCCTCGACACTTCTGGAAAGCAGCCCGTGGAGCTGCTTCAGCACCGAGTGGGTCTGAGCTACAAGAGGGTGACCGCTAATCCTAATTCTAACCCCAACCTGAATTTATGAGGTCCTGCTGGTACGCAGAGGGAGGACTGGAGGGACCAGTCAGGTTGGCCAGCTGGCCCAGTGGTATAGGGAGCCGTTGGATTGGGGTTTGTCACATAAACTGGGACCCTGCCCAAAGCCGAGACGTCGTAAGATTCCCCTGTTTTGCACAACCCTGTGGTAGTAGCCACATCCTTATTGTGTAAACTCAGGTTTAACCACAGAACAACCAGCTTATGCCTTGTTAGATGAGGAGGAGCTTAACCCACTGAAGAGTACTTTCTTTTAATAAGGAGAGACAACTTCAAAAAAAATTGTTTTAGGGGCCCCCAAAATTTCAGATGAGGACACTATGAAGATTTTGAGTCTTGCAAGCTGTGTGATTAAAATGATCAAGTGATTAAAATGCTGTTTTAATGCTATTATAAAATGGTATTTTAGTTTGGACACATCCTTAGAAAGACTCCTTCCGCAGAAAAACTGACGCAGCAATTTGTAGAGGGAACTCACAGGTGTTCCATGAACTGAATCACTACATGGGGGATTTTTAAAAGCTGGATTGGGGGAGCAGTGGATGGTAGAATGAATCCTTTATCTTGAAGATATAGCAAAAGTAAATACAAATTATACAGCTTGTAAGATTAATGCTTTTGAATCATAAAAAATAAACACAAAATTCTTGTGGCTTAGTTGCATAAAGATAAGCAATTCAAAGTCCATATCTTTAATGATAGCCTTTTTTCTGTCGTAAGTAAAGACTGCATCAAGGAATTAATGCAAACACATTTCTGCCTACCATCCTTATATTTCTCCTTTCTTGCTAAAATTACCTACTTCACAGGATGTGAGAATTAAATGAGATATGTGTCACTTTGTTTAGCACCAAAGAAACACTAAATAAGTATTGTCAAGTTGAAATCTGAATAGTGCTTTTCTTCTTCTCCCTGTCTTCCTTCTCCTTTTCCCATCCTCACCTGCTTTCTTGGTGCTTACTGAGAACTGACTGTGTCCCCTGGACTGGGGCAGAGGTGGCCCTGCTCTCCAGGAGCTTTGCTTATTCACTTACTCAACCAGTATTTATTGAACTCCAACTTGTACCAGTCTGTCTTCCAGCCCTGAAGACTCAGTGTTGAGGATGAAAAAGTCCCTGTTTACATCCAAGGGTTAATACACCAATACATTAATCAATCCATAGTATAACCTTGAGTACTATTAAGCGCTACAAAGAAAGACAAAGAAGGCTAAAGGGATGGAGAATGGTGGAAGTGAGTTGGAGGCTATTTTACATGGATACATCAAGAAAGCCTCTCTGGAGAAAGTGGCATTTGGGCAGAGTCCTGAATGAGGTGAGGAGGTGGCCCATGAGAGGATCCAGGCAGAGGATGAGGCAGGGGCACAGGAAACAGCATGTGCAAAGGCCCTGAGGTGAGCACAAGCTTGGCATGGTCTCAGGAAAACAAAAAGATCAGAAGGGTATGGTCTCAGGAAAACAAAAATATAGTGAGCTGGGAGAAGGTTGTCACACAGGAGCCTGGAGGCATGGGGTGAGGAGAAGATCACATAGGGCCTCATGGGGCATGCTATGAAGTTTGTTCAGATTGTATTCCAGGATTGATGGGAAGCTATTGGAGAGTTTTGAGTCCTTATATTGTTTATGTGCTTTAAAAGGATCACTTTAGCCACTGGAGAATACAGAAGAGCAAGAGCAGAGGCCCCAACCAGGGGGCTAGTATAGGGACGGAGAGGCAGTATAACACAGTGGGGAAGCCTCCAGGGCCAGACTGCCAGGGTTTGAAGCATGTCTGCCATTGATGAGCAGCATGAGCATGGACAAGTTAAATAACTCACCTGCACTTCACTTCTCTCATCTATAAAATGGAGATGTAATAGGGTTACCACATTGTACAACTCCAGAATCTCCCCCTGGAGTCCGACGAGTGCAGCGTGCACAGTGCCACTCAGAGCTGTGCAATGCAGCGGTCTCCATCATGAGTCCTACCTTGTTGTGTTACCATGAAGATTAAGGCATAACACACATGTAAAGTGTGTAGAACAATGCCTGGTACCCAAGAATATCTCAAAAATATCTGTTATTATTCGTAGCTGAGGTGAGAGATGATGGTAAGTGGATTAAAGTCGTTACAGTGGGGGTGTTGAAAAGTGATAAAATTTGAAATGAAATTTGAAGAAAGAGCTTGTGCTGGTTCCCAGGGCACAACCACTAATGATGATGGAATTCAGAAGCACATCCTTGCCAGGACTTCTAGGTGGGTTTCTTAGTATGATTCTATTTTGGAGCTGAATTTCTCAGAATCTTCCCCACCAGGATGTTTTCCACCTAAAACAATGAGTGGATGTAGTACATATTTTATAGAGTGATTATGAGATTTAAACAGGATCTTGCATGTAAATACCCTAACTTAGTGCCTAGTACATTGTAAGTTTCAATGACCGTTAGCTATCATCGTCATCATCATCTGAGCAGCTCAATGTTTCTGCTTAATGCAGGCACATACCTACAACTCCACAGAAGAGAGATAGCAGCAGTTTTCCCCTCTTGTGAGGAGAGCTAAAGAGAACAGAAGCATTTGGGAATTAAGGTCCTGAGGCCATAGTGTCCCTAAAGGAGGCCTGTTGTTGTGCCCTCAGACACCCTCCATGGCCCTCAAAAGGCCTGGATAAGAACCAGCCCAACCAGGAAGAGAAGCACCGGAACCTAAATAAAGACATAGGATTCAAAAGGCATGATTCACCTTTATTTCATTGGGTTTACCACTTACAGAGCCCAAGTCAACCATGTAAAGCTATGAAATTTATGTTCTATTCCTTTTCCTGACCCGCTTGGCCCTAATGAACCTCAAACACAAATACTGGAGGTGGCAAGGGGACCTCGGCAGGCCCAAGAGCTGCAGATACCCAACTCCTCCCAGGCCCTCCTCAACACCACCCCGCTCTGCTCTGCCCCACTGATGCCAGGTCCTGGTATCATTGCTGTCTGACTACTCACACACCATGAGGTAGCGTCCCTGCTTTTTTTTTTTTTTTTTTCCTGAGACAGAGTCTCGCTCTGTCACCCAGGCTGGAGTGCAGTGGCGCGATCTCGGCTCACTGCAAGCTCCGCCTCCTGGGTTCATGCTATTCTCCTGCCTCAGCCTCCCGAGTAGCTGGGACTACAGGTGCCCACCACCACACTCGGCTAATTTTTTTTGTATTTTTAGCAGAGACAGGGTTTCTCATGTTAGCCAGGATGGTCTTGATCTCCTGACCTCGTGATCCACCCGCCTCGGCCTCCCAAAGTGCTGGGATTACAGGCGTGAGCCACCGAGCCCGGCCGGCAACCCTGTTTTATTTGTTCTTGGATGTATGAACCATATAATTCCTTCTTCAAAAGTCATAAAGGCGAGACTCCAGCCAACAATTCCACATAAAAAGAGAGCGCCATTTTCTCGCTCTCAGGCTTGGTAATGATTCCTGCTGTGAGGCAGTCATTACGGAAATGACTCAGTCTTTCTCTCCTGTGTTAATAAGATTTTACTGTCTTTGGTCCTGACTCAAACTGGCTGAGAGCAATGTGGGGATCACAGAAGCTGTACCAGAGTGTGTCACTATGTAACTTTTCTTAACTTACCAAAATACCATGTGGATAGGAGCCATTCCAGCCCATCGCCTTGCTTCCGAGTTGGCTGTAGTCTTAGCCGGGTTCACACAATGGGCATCTGCTAATCTCTTTCCTTACCTGCCAGGAAGTTGAGGCCAAAGTTCTGTTTTCTCTCTAAAGGCTAATCAAGCTGTAAAGACGGTTAGTGGGCTGAGCTCAAAATAAGGCACCTGAGCTCTCTTTGCATCTCTAACATCCACAACACTAAGCTTCTTCCTGGGGTCCCAGTGTGATAACTGACCCAGGCCCAGATGGCAAACGAAAGCTATTAGGGTGACTGTGGAAACTTCTGTGTCTTCTTCTTGGTTGAAATTATCCTTCTGGAGCACATCTGGAGATCCTGGCCATTTAGAAGCCATCCAGGAGCCATTCATTTATTTGACAGACATTATTGATCACCTACAATCCAATGCCAAACAGCACTAGGCATTGAGTACAGAAAGACAAAAGGCACAGCTTCTAATGTCAGGGACCTCAAGGTGTCATGTAGGGGACTGATGAGAAAGTGAACAATGTGAGTCATATGGTTAGTGCTATAAAATATTCTGGGTGCTACAGAGGCGTTCAAGGAGTACTGACCACACTGGTGGTCAAGAAAGATTTCCTAAAGGAAGACACACTTAGATGACCTGAAGGGTGCACCGGCGCCCTCTAATCAGAGAAAGGCGAGGAAGGAAGCAGAGGGACATTTCTAAAGAGAGAGGGAACAGCACATGCAACAAAGCTGGCTAGCTGTGACCACTAACATCCATTTCCTCCTTCCTGGTCAAATAGCTAGGTGATACCTCCCAGCCTCCCTTTCAGTTGAGGATGCTACGAGACTGCATTCTGGCCAATGGGAGGTGTGCAGAGACACTGGGTGTTCTGGCCTACAAGATCCTCTCGTGTGTTCTCTGTGTGCTTCCCTACCTCAGCTAATTGGGAACAGATAGAAATCAGATCACAAAGGGCTTGTGTGCTGCCTGAAGGAACTCCATGTTACGGTGCTGGTAAGAAGCAAATGAGCACAACAAAGTGACCATACTTAGTGTTTAGAAAAATGGAGGTGGCAGGATATTAGGGACAGGTTAAACTTTACCTGAGCTTAAGAAATCCCCTACCTTTTTGTTTTCCAAAACACCCCCATCCTTTTGTGTTCCATGGCAAAATCTCAAAGGACCATCCTGCCCTCCAATATTTCAAGTAAGACCTGCCTCCATCCTTTCTAGAGATTCCTGTGAGATTCCTTTGTTCACCTGCCTGTGTAAAGCCCCGGGGCCCCTTCCTTTTCTTTGAGACATTCTCCTTTCATGAACATTCTCCCTATTGCAATACCCTGAATAAAACCATCTCCTTGATGGTCTGGTGCATTTGGTCTTTCACATGAGCACTGGATGAGGAGTCAAATCTTCTAAGTGAAATTCTGCTTCTACTTGAGAGTAGACTTCCACCTTGCTTTATTTTGCTTTGTTTTGTTTCGAGACAAGGTCTTGCTCTATCAGCCAGGCTGGAGTGCAGTTTTGTGATCATGACTCATTGAAGCCTCAGGCTCAGGTGATCCTCCCACCTCAGCCTCCTGAGTAGCTGGAACTACAGGCACGTACCACCATGCCTGGCTAATACTTTTTTTTTTTTTAATTTTCATAGAGACAGGGTCTCGCTATGTTGCCCAGGATGATCTTGAACTCTTGGGCCCAAGTAATTCACCCGTCTTGTCCTCCCAAAGTGCTAGGATTACAGGACGTTGACTCCCAACATCCTTGGCCTCTGCTTTATTTTTCTTCAACACATCTTATTGCATATTATTTATCATCAGTCCTCCATTAGAATATAAACTCCTTGAGGAATGGGCTTGCCTTCTTGACCACTGCATGTCCAGGGCCTAGCACAACTCCTGGCATGTAGCAGGTGCTCAATTATTAGGACAAATCATGGCTTGGTGACCTGATCCCAGACCGCCTGAGCTTTCTACCACCCTCCCTCGGCACCTCTGACCTTTCTTGCTCTCCATTGTTTCTCTCCCTCTTTCTCTGTGTTCCTGTCTGTCTCTTTTGCTCTAATCTCTCTCTGCCTGCCTCTCCCCCTTCCTCTTTGTGGATCTCTTTCTTAATCCCTCCCTTCTTGTTTTCCCCCGTCTCCTCCTTGGGCCTTGGGCCTGCAGTTCCCTCTTAGCCCTTCAGCTCTTACTTTTCAGCCAGGTTGTTTATCGGGAGGATATGGACCCAGGTGACAGAGCACCAGCTGTGGAATAAGGAATGACCCAACCCCATCTGTGTTTGTATCTGTTGAGTCATACAACTTTAGCACCTTCGGACATTCGTCTGCTCACAGGCTCCTTGAAAGTTAAAGATTTACCCAGAACTGGCCAAGTCCATGTTTTGGTAACAATCAACAAAGTGATCTATAAGCCTTGCTCCAAGCAGATTGCTGAGTGCTGAGAAGGAAAAAAGAACCCGGGTGAGAGGCCCCTGCCTTTCAGGAGCTTCCAGTCTAGTTAGCCAAGGAGGTGAGGCCCACACACAGTCTTACAGGAAACAGAGAACAAAGACAGGTAGAATTTGGGGTGTAGGCTGTGTAAACCAATGGGTCTGGAAAGGACCGGCCATTGCTAACTTTGGAACTTCGAGACACGTGGTCTGTGTGTGAATGATGAAGCAGGGATCAGGGCTTCGACTGCAGACAGGAAAGCAAGAAGTGAGGGTCAGTGAGTTGCAGTGTTCTGCTGGTAACTGCAAGGCTCTTTCGGCCACTGTGGCCCAAGCTTGCCTGAGGGGCCTCCTCTCTTATCAAGGCCCCACACTGTGTCCTTCTCATCCCATCATCGAACTGAGTTAAGGTGCAGGACTCGGTGAATGGAGATTTCCTCAGAACACAGAGTTAGAGCTGATGAGCTGGGCAGCCAGGTGTGGCTGCACAGAGGCGCATAAGCAGTTGTGTCCTGGAGCTGCAGGCCTGATCTAAGTTTCTTCATGTGGAGACTGCATCTCAGTGTATCTGGAGTGAACTCTCCCTCTGGTTTCTTAATAGCTATCCGCTGAATTGATTGAGATAGTAGGAAATTGTCTGAAAATCTTAATGAATAAACCCTGCAGTATGGCTGATGCCTTTTCCTCTGCAGGCTCAGAAAGTTGCCCACAGGAAAGTACAGCTCTGAGACACAGTGGGAGGTGGGTGGCCAGGTTGAGCTGAGAGCAGAAAACAGAAGGTGGTGACTTCGTGCTGGTTGTGGAAACTCCAGGCTGATGGCGATCCATCCAGTGTGAAACTTGTTTATACTGACACAAAGCTGAAGAGCACTTGGCATTCCTTTAGTTACTGCTTTTATAAACAGAGGGGCCTGAAACTTCCTGGGAAATGCTGGGAGCATCGTACGGCCTCCTAAGGTGGCTCTTTGTGGTTCTATAACTCTGGGGAGGCAGGGGAGGGAACGCATACTTTCCTGAGCCCTGGCTCATTTATAAATGTGGCGGGTGAGGTGGCAGAAATGAGTAAACTGAGTAAATGTTCCTCCCAGAGGATGATTCTTGGAGCAAAAAGGGATTTGAGGGTGGAAGGAAGCGATTAGCAGAAAGGGGTGTGGGGGTGCGCACGGGGCATCTCCCAAGTTCCTTCAGGAGGCGAGCTCTCATCTTACAGTCTTGTTGACTCCTGTCCTTGCTCCCATCTAACCTTGCCCAAAATACACACCAAAAACCAAATCCCCCCAGGAAGGCCGGTTCGTTTAGTCACCCCTTCCTTATCGCTGACGGTCTCCTTGCTCACATTTCACTCCCATTGCTGACTCAGGTTTGTCTTAAAAACTGCAGTTTTTGCACCTTGGGAAGATAATTTTATAACCCCACACCTGCTCTCTAGGTCTGGTCTGTGTGCTGTTAGAGTTGGTGTGTCTATGTCAGAGATACCAACAACATTTGAAGCCATAGTTCATGGCCTGGGTTAATGGATATTTAGGGCAAAGGCCCCAGTTCCACATTCGGATCTCCCTCCCCCACCAATTAGTATATTTAGGAAATATTTAAATGGCAACTCAGCAATGATCAACTCGATTTACTTCTGTTTCTTTATTTTAAAAAATAGGATTATCCAGGTTCCACATTTCAGTATTAAGATGCCTTAAGTTATTGAAATTTCAATTGTAATAAAGTAATAAAATGAGTCCTGGAGGCACGGGAGTGAAAAGGGGCTAATATCTCTAATATTTGTTAACCATTCACCTGCTCTGCCAGGCATCATGGGTGCTTTGCACATGACTTCTTAATCCACCTAGAAATGAGGTGTCAAGAAAGTGTGATTTACTCTCATTTCAGTTGAAGGAAGTACGGCTAAGTGGCATGTGCAAGTTCACACAGCCAATAGAAAATGCAATCGGGACCAGAAGCCACATTTGCAGGACTTCAAAGCCAAGGTTCTTCCTACCACAAAACCAGGATGCCCTCCTCTGCCACTGGAGTCTGCTGGACCAACCAGCAGCACAGGCAATGGCTATTGCTTTTGGTTATAGCATCAACGCAATCTATCTAAGTTGTGTTTTTGTTTTTTTGTTTTTTTTTTTTTGAGAGGGAGTCTCACTCTGTTGCCCAGGCTGGAGTGCAGTGGTGCGATCTTGGCTCACTGCAATCTCCACCTCCCAGGTTCAAGCGATTTTCCTGCCTCAGCCTCTGCAACAGCTGGGACTACAAGCGCGTGCCACCACGTCGGGCTAAATTTTTTTTTTTTTTTTTGTATTTTTAGTAGAGACAAAGTTTCACCATGTTGGCCAGGCTGGTCTCAAATTCCTGACCTCGTGATCTGCCCACCTCAGCCTCCCAAAGTGCTGGGATTACAGGTGTGAGCCACCATGCCTGGCCCAATCTATCTAAGTTTTTCTGTGGAAAAGTAGAATTATCTGCTGAATAATAAAACACCTTTTAGATAAAATTGCATTATGGTTTTCAAACTTCTTGAATCCATATTATTTATTTCTTACCACAATCCTATAGATATCATTATTAGGGATTATGGTGAGCACCTGCTCACCATATTTTTACCAGCCCAGCATCCACTTCTTTTTCTTATGGCACCAACAGATCACTGCCCTTAGAGGATCACTCTTCCTCCATCCTCAGTCCATGTGATTTGCCTAGGGCTGACCCCAGTGACTGGCTCTAGGAGTCTAGACCCAAACCCGACCAATGAGGGCACTGATCTCTGATTGGTTTAGGGGTGAGCATGGCCATGTTGACCAACAAAGGAAATGAGCATCAGCTCCCGACCTTTTGCAGAAACAATAAGACATTGGAGCTTTCCTCCTGGTGGTGGTGCAAAGCTGGCAGGAAGTGCTGGTCGCTGTCTTTGCCTAACTTGGGGAGAGCTGGTCTGAGAATGGAGGTAAATCCAGAGGAGAGCTGAGCTAAAGAGAGGGAGGAGACAGGTCCCCGATGACATTGTCTGGCACCCAAATACAGCAGTGCTCAAAGTCCAGTCTCTCCTGGACTTCTTAGCTCATTAAACTAAGAAAATTTGCCTTTGTTTAAGCTGGTTAGAGTTGAATTTCTGTCACTTTGTTTTATATTATTCAAATTATTGCTCTCTACTGGCAAGGGAAATTTGGTTGAGATCACTGTTTTTCTTCACAAATATATAAATTTGGAAAGGACACTTTGTTTCTTATAAACGGTTACAGCCTGCAAGGTGGCCATCTGCAGGCTGGGAAGTGTAGCCTCTGGCAAAGACCGAAGACAGGCACTTTGAAGGAGGAAGGTTTGGACAGGAATTTAAGCTGAATGGGTTGGCCAAGTACACATATTCAACAGGTTATAAGAGGAGCCATGAATATTCATGAAGGCGGTCCTGACGCATGCATATTGAACAAGCATGCATGTAACATACAACCCGTGTTCACCTAGGGGTGAAGACTTAACATTTAAATGTGTTACAATTAGGCCTTTAATGTCAAAGGTCTTTTTAGGATGCAAAGGCACTCAAATGTGCATCCTCTGTAAACTGGCCAGAGTCAGTCAATGGTTGGTGGTCTTCTTATCAGGAGAAAGTTACTGAAATCAGTCTCTTGTCCAATCAAAGCTGTAGTGATGGCTTGTGGAACAGGGGGTCAGTTAGTGCATGGCAGTGGCTGCAAATTGTTTTACTATTGCTTATCTCGAGGCCAGTGCTTGTTTAACTGCTAGAGAAAAAGGTAAACCTTGTGGCAGAGAACACAGTTTATTCTTTAGGTGTAGAGGTGAGTGACTCAACCCTTGTCTGGCATGGCTCTAGGTCCTGTTTATAATTTAGTATTTTATTGCCACAAAGAGTCTGTTCTGTCAGTCTTATGAGCTCAATTTTAACATTAATGCTGCTCAGTTCTTTCTAACCCATAAAAGGGAGGGGGCATAATGAGGCGTATCTGATCTCCTGTCAAGGCTCAGTTTTTAACATTTTCTGAGGCCTCCTTGGACAAGAGGGAGTCCATTCCGTCAGTTGGGGAACTTAGGATTTTATTTTTAGTTTATAGTTTCATCTTTCCCAACCTTCTTGGCCATTTATGAGTTGTGGATTCTGGGGATACAAGAAGCAGCCAGTCCCAGAGATGTTTCTTATTTTGTCATAGGGTGGTGGAGTGGGTTGCTGATAACACAAGGCATTATGAGCTAAAGTTGAAATCCACTTTCACTTTCCCTGCCTTCTCAATTTTTCTCTCATTTGAAAGGGTGTCAGAGAGCCAGAGAAACTGAAAGAATTAGGAAGAAGAGGGGAGAGGTGGTGTTTGGGGACACTGTTGGAAGGGAGACAGGACCTGCATGTGCAATGCACATTAGGCAATATTAAATGTGACTCTAGGCATTTGGTGAGAGGTCAGAAATGAAAATGCAGTTTTAGGCAACCTAGATAAAAGTGAGAGGTGAAAGGTCAAGTTTCAGGAGTCTATGTGTTAGAGTCATGTGAACCAGAGCAACTCCATCTTAAATAAGAGCTGGGTAAAATGAGGCTGAAAACTACTGGGCTGCATTCTCAGATGGTTAAGGCATTCTAAGTCACAGGATGAGATAGGAGGTCAGCGCAAAATAGAAGTCATAAAGACCTTGCTGTTAAAACAGGTCACAGTAAACGAGCCGGCCAAAACCCACCGAAACCAAAATGGCGACGAGAGTGACCTCTGGTCGTCCTCACTGCTGCACTCCCACCAGCGCCATGACAGTTTGCAAATGCCATGGCAACATCAGGAAGGTACCCTATATGGTCTAAAAAGGGGAGGCATAAATAATCCACCCCTTGTTTAGCATATCATCAAAAAATAACCATAAAAATGGGCAACCAGCAGCCCTTGGGGCT
Source organism: Homo sapiens (assembly GCF_000001405.40). NCBI lineage: Eukaryota > Metazoa > Chordata > Mammalia > Primates > Hominidae > Homo > Homo sapiens. The sequence continues at coordinate 94,613,384 of NC_000001.11, forward strand.
GCTCTGTCTATGGAGTAGCCATTCTTTTATTCCTTTGCTTTTGTAATAAACTTGCTTTCATTTTGCACTGCGGACTCACCCTGAATTCTTTCTTGCGTGAGATCCAAGAACCCTCTCTTGGGATCTGGATCGGGACCCCTTTCCTGTAACATATGCAAGGAAAGAAATGCAGAGGAATGGAACTGAGCCATGGAACAGACATTTGGGGTTGGGCAGGAGGAGTTAGCAGAGAGATCTGCATAGCTCTTATCCTACTTAGCACTAGTGCTGTTCAAGGTAGAACTCACAGCATAAGAATTCACTCTGAAACATAGAATAGGGTGTCTTTAGGTATATACGTATACATCAATATTCAGAAAATGCAGACTCTTAAGATTATAAAATCTGCTGTTCTTCCATAATTTATTCATTTCTTTTGCAGTTGAAGAAAATGTGTTTAGGGCAAGTTACCGTTGGCATGTTTGACCATAATAAATAGTTTGAGTTTTTAAAATAATTTCAGAATGTCTAAGAATTAAATATTTTTTCTGTGTACTTTAGTATATGTGAAATTTAGGGTCAAAACATCACAAAACGCCCTCCAAATGACAAGACCAAAATATTATTTTAGATCAGAGCCTTGTCAACCTTTAGTGTACACTACAGTCTTTTGATTATTTTGAGAAGTCTGTAGTCTTGAAAGCATATCGTATGAGAAGATAGATACTGATATAGAACTGCTAATGGAAACTTGTATGTAAGAATTTTGTTTTTTCTGGCTTCATAGAGCAAACCCTTGTTTACATAGAATAAGAGAGAAAAAAGAGGCAAGAGGATACATTACATTTCTAAGTTAAGTGCAAGCATCCTGGATATTGTAACAGACTGGGAGTTGTATTAGAGTCTATTTGATTCTCAAAGCATTTCGCGGCCTTTCATTAGGCAGCACCCTGCCTTCCACGTCACAGGCTGTCACAGACACTTGTTGAGGATGATGCTGGTGACGTCATCAGTCCTTTTTCAGCAAAGTCTCCTGAAAATAAAGCTCAGATTGGCTGTGCACATCTCTGGACCTAGTCCAGAGTCAAGCACCACTGAGGGCAGGGACCTGCCCAGGGGTGCTGCTGACGTTTGAGATGGAGTGGTTCTTCACAGCACAGAAGTGTTCCATCACTGTGGGACATTTAATATCCCTGCCCTCTTCACTAGATGTTTGCAACACTCCCCAATCATTGCGATAACCGTGACACCATGGTTAACCCTACATTACCAAATACCCTCTAAGAGATTCCGCTTTCTCTTCTTAGTCAGTAACCAGTAGAAGATTGCCCCTTTGGTTCTGAAGATGTTAGCTATGGGAACCTCAAAGGCTTAGGAAACTGCCAACACCTGAGATCTAACTTGATCTAACCTTAACCCACCATCTATTTCTGCCATGACCATGCTACTTTCATCCTTTATAATTGCCAGGCAGAAATAACAAATACTTTGGGATATTGTTGTTCATGACCACTATCCACCCCAGACTTTCCTATCAAATCACATGCAAGTGCTTTAAACCTGCTGCATTAGAATTAAGGCTTTGAGTTATTCACTGAGAAGGAAAAGTTCCAGAAGTTCAGAAACTTAGGAAGCAGTGTGGAGCCCAAGAGACCCAGAGAGCAGCAGTTCTTCTTTAGAGCACATGCAGCTTCTGAGATTCTTCTTCTGGCTGTGCATGTTGAGGAAAAGATGATCCCTTGGCTTCTGCAATCGCCTTTGCACTTGCTCCTTCCTCTGAAGAGCTCACCAGGAAGTCTCTCTGGGCGCCTTCTCCGCACTCCAGACTTCCCACACTCAGCAGCACCTCCACCCTGACCCTGCCTCCTTCCAACTAAGTCGTTTCACTTCCTGTTGTCTGGGGCAGTCAACACATGTAAACTTTCAGAGCTGAGTTTTATTTTTTTTGAGGGAAAATATTTTAAGGAATTTTTAGGGGGATTTCAGTAGAAGACCCAGGGATTCCCAGCACTGTTCTGCTATGCTAAGAATATTAAGTTGTAGTACCCTAAATATTTGCAAAGTCACATTGTCCTTTCCCTTGTTTCTGAAAAGAACAAAACCGTGCAGCCAATAGCTGATCATTCCATTTTCAAGTTCACCTAGGTCAGAAAACCACTGTGGGCAGTTGCTTCAAGGCAGCTTATAACTGCTTCCATGGAAGTCATTGTTTATTTTTATTTTTTAATTAATTAATTAATTAATTAATTAATTTGAGACGGAGTCTCACTCTGTCGCCCAGGCTGGACAGCAGTGGCATCCTCTTGGCTCATTGCAACCTCCGCCTCCCAGGTTCCAGCAATTCTCCTGCCTCAGCCTTCCGAGTACCTGGGACTACAGGTGTGCACCACCACACCTGGCTAATTTTTGTATTTTTTGGTAGAGACGGGCTTTCACCATATTGGCCAGGCTGGTCTCGAACTCCTGACCTTGTGATCCACCCGCCTCAGCCTCCCAAAGTACTGGGATTACAGGCATGAGCTACCACGCTTGGCTGCAATTGTTTATTAAGAGCAGTTACTTGGCCTTTGGGAATATCAATATTTATACTACCAAAAAACAAAATGCAAAGAATTCATGAAGGTCTCTAGAAATTTGAAAAAAGTAGTGTAATGGTGAAGAAGAGAACAGTCATTGGTGTTCTGGATTAAAGTCCTAGCTCTACCCACCTAATGCAGTGGACAAATTACTTGACCTCTCTTATCCTCAGGAGTCTCAGCTATATAGTAGGAATAATAATATTACTTATGACAGGGGGTTTTGGAAAGGATTATGTAAAATAAAATAAGTGAAGAATTGAGCTAATTCCTGGCATATAGTAGTCACTTAACATATTGTAATTATGATGATGGTTTTTCCTACAGAAAGAATGGACACTTGAGAAAATAAAGGTTTTGTTGGGGAGGGGAAGAAGGAAGGGAGGAAAGATGAGCCTAAAGAAGTAAAAACATTTTTTCCAATTACAAATTTATTAACCCCTAAAATAATGTTATAGTTTCAGAGAAAATTAGAAGCATAGAAAAAAAAAAGCAAGATTGTGGTGACATATATGTAATTAACTGAACAAGCAGGAAGAATTCAAAAGCATTTGAATTGAGATCCTAGAATTCATAGCTGGTCTCCCTGCCCACCAAGAAGGCATGTTAATCTGGATTCTTTAGAGATAATAGAAATGTCTTAAATTCCTTTGGGTGCAGTAAAATGGCCCTAGCTTGCACTAGCCCCATTGAAAGGTAGAGATTAAATTGAAGATAACCAAGCACCTGTCATTCTTCCCACTGCCTTCTGGATCACTACAAAGAAATAAGGATTTGTCTTTTCAAAGAGCAGGAGAGCAGTAGCTCATGAGGCAGTGTTGATTGACGGTTCATGCTCGAAGAAAGGTATGAGTGCTGCACTCAATTTTAACTTAAAAAAAAATCTGAGACTTGTATTTCCTGTTAGAAAGCTCTGCAGAGGGGTGTGTCCAAGGATTCTGGAGAATTAATGACAGACATATGGGTAGCTTCTTAGCGACACAGGAGGAGATGAGATGCACGTATGCCGTGTGTTAGGGGGGTAATGGGTGCTTGGATTGAAACTCGTCTGCTGTTTGCTGAGCCCCACTCCTCCTTCAGAGTCGCTTTCAGGCCTCCATTTCTCCATGAAGCACTTTTAACACTGATCCACACTAAAAATAATGACAATAGCATATTAGTAACAATAGTAATTACCATTTATTCAATGCCTACCAGTTGCTAGGCACTATGCTAGGAGTTTAACATATAATATCTATTTCTTAACAATAATCCGATCCTAAAAACAATCCAACAAGCTTTATGCGTATTACCTCTGATTTTTATAACGAGTAAGATAAGTTTTATTATCCTTGCTTCACAGATGAGGAAATAGGCTTAGAGAGGTTGTAGTGTGCCCAAGTCCTCACAGCCTGTTGCAGACACAGCTGGCATTGGACACTTTCCTGAGGGCAAGGGTCTGGATGTGCACATCTTTTGTAGCCCTCATAGCACAGCCCTCAGTCCCTCTTGTTCTGCAAAAGGTCCTCAGCATATGTTATATGATTATGTGATTCTGTCAAAGGTGTTCAAATGAGAGTGACTCCATCTTGAATAGGGGCTGGGTAAAATAAGGCTGAGACCTACTGGGCTGCATTCCCAAGTGGTTAGGCATTAGGCATTCTTAGTCACAGAATGGGATAGGAGGTCGGCACAAGATACAGGTCACGAAGACCTTGCTGATTAAGCAGGATGTGGTAAGGAAGCTGGCCAAAATCTGCCAAAACCAAGATGGCAATGAAAGTGACCTCTGCTCATCTTCACTGCTCATTATACGCTGATTATAATACATTAGCATGCTAAAAGACACTCCCACCAGTGCCATGAAGTTTACAAATGACATGGCAACATCAGGAAGTTACCCTATTTGGTCTAAAAGGGAGAGGAACCCTCAGTTTCAAGAATTGCCCACCTCTTTCCCGGAAAACTCATGAATAATCCACACTTTGTTGCATATAATCAAGAAATAACTATAAGTATACTCAGTGGAGCAGCCCGTGCTGCTACTCTGCCTATGGAGTAGCCATTCTTTATTCCTTTACTTTTCTAATAAACTTGCTTTCACTTTGTGGAAATGCCCCGAATTCTTTCTTGCCCAAGGTCCAAGAGTCCTCTCTTGGGGTCTAAATTAGGATCCCTTTCTGGTAACACTTCAAATAAATATTTGCCATCTACATTTAGGGGTGGTACTATGGTGTGTGTACATCCTGGGGCTGGTATACAGGGAACCTGGATGTGGTCTCTGAGAGAGCTCGAGGCACCGGCATCCACTAGCCACGTGCTGCCAGCAGCTGGGCTGCCTGCCTCTCGCCATACTCATCCACATCCCAGAAAATGCCAGGATTTAGAGCCGGAGCTGACCACTCACACCATCTGGACCATCCCCATCTATAAATCTACACATATAGGGTCTTTTTTGAGTGAGACTCAGAGAGCGTGAGTCAACCAAGTTCATATAGCTAAAAGTGGCAGGGTTGGGACATGAATGCAGGTCACCTCCTAAACCTTCATCCCACCCTTTTCCATGATACAACAGCAAGGCAGGGCATGAGGGAATGTCAGAGCAGAAGATGGCCCTGGCTGAGCTGTCCATGGTGGCGGTCTTTCAGGGAACCCGCCCCGAAAATCACATAGGTTCTTTTCTGTTTTCCTAAGCATCTGCTGGCTTGAGAAATAAAGGGACAAAGTACAAAAGAGAGAAATTTTAAAGCTGGGCATCCACGGGGGACATCACACGTTGGTAGGATCCGTGATGCCACAAAACCAGCCAGTTTTTATTAGGGAAGTTTTTATTAGGGATTTTCAAAAGGGGAGGGAGTGTGCAAATAGGTGTGGGTGACAGACATCAAGTACTTAACAGGGTAATAGAATATCACAAGGCAAGTGGAGGCAGGGGGAGATCACAGGACCATAAGACTGAGGTGAAATTAAAATTGCTAATGAAGTTTCGGGCACCATTGTCATTGATAACATCTTATCAGGAGACAGGGTTTTGAGATCAACTGTTCTGACCAAAATTTATTAGGCGGGAATTTCCTCTTCCTAATAAGCCTGGGAGCGCTATGGGAGACTGGAGTCTATTTCACCTCTGCAGACTTGACATTAAGAGACAGGTACGCCCTGGGGGGGCCAGTTCAGAGACCTACCCCTAGGTGTGCATTCTCTTTCTCAGGGATGTTCCATGCTGAGAAAGAGAATTCAGTGATATTTCTCTCATTTGCTTTTGAAAGAAGAGAAATATGGCTCTGTTCTGCCCGGCTCACCGGTGGTCAGAGTTTAAGGTTATCTCTCTTATTCCCTGAACATTGCTGTTATCCTGTTCTTTTTTCAAGGTGCTCAGATTTCATATTGCACAAACACACATGCTGTACAATTTGTGCAGTTAATGCAATTATTACAGGGTCCTGAGGTGATACACATCCTCCTCGGCTGACAAGATTAAGAGATTAAAGTAAAGACAGGCATAGGAAATCACAGGGGTATTGACTGGGGAAGTGATAAGTCTCCATGAAATCTTTACAATTTATGTTTAGAGATTGCAGTAAAGACAGGCATAAGAAATTACAAAAGTATTAATTTGGGGAACTAATAAATGTCCATAAAATCTTCACAATCCATGTTCTTCTGTCATGGCTTCAGCTGGTCCCTCCATTTGGGGTCCCTGACTTCCCGCAACAGCGGTCAGTCTGGCCATTGGGCTGGGGTGGAGTGACATAGATCACATGCCTGTCAGTCATGCCCCACCCGGCACCACTATGCAACAGCCCCAGATGCACATGCAGGACAGGCAGGGGACCAGCCTGTGGAGAACATTTTGTCTGCCTAGAGTTAAGCCTTGTCAGTGATTGACAATGTGGACCAAGGGAGAAGGTCTATTTTCTGAAAGTTTCATTCTGCATGCTCCCTTAAAAACCCATTGTAATGTTCATCCAAGCAAGCTACACGTTTGTGGCAGATTTCTCTTGATTATATTTGGCTTATTTTGCTTATTTCAGATTTTATCTGTTATACCTGTCTAAACATTCCAGAATAAACCACAGGTATGCAAATCTTGGTTAACTATTTAAAAATAGGGATACTTGCAGTTGAAAATACTTTTATTTTACAAAGTGAGTTTTTTTTTAACAATCTGTACCAAGTTTCACAGATTCACTGTTTTTTTCTTTCCTGGAGGAAATTACCCTACACAATAAAACTATATTCCCCTCGTGTTGCCCCTTTCTTCAAAGTAGGTCAGCAAACCCTCGAGCATATGTTATGTGGAAGGAAGGCTCTGTGGCAGATAACAGCTATGGACACTCATCTCTGTCCTCAAGGGGTTTACACTTCATTTGCAGAAAAACAACAACAGCTGGCAGGTATTGAATACCTCTTGTGTGCCAGGCACTATTCCAGGCACTTTGCATAGGCTATCACATTGACTCCTCCTAACATGCTTAGTGAGGTGGTACTAGTGGGTGAGAAACTGAGAGGCTCAGGGAGGTTTTGTGTTTTGCCCAAGATCACAACTACTGTGAGTGGTAGAGCTGGTCTGTGTACCTGGCAGTCTGACTCCATGCACACCTACCTATTAAGTGCTACAGCCAGCAGGTGCCACCACTTAACAGTTGCTGCTGTATATGGATTGGTTCCCCAACAAGGGTGCAGATGCCTGGTAGATTCACAACATCTTACCTCTTTTGAATGCCCAACAGCCCCAGGAGCGCTGTGCTCCCAGTTCAGGTTGACTAAATGTTCTTTGACTGATTGCACAGGAGAGGGGAGATACGTTGTCTTGCGGTGCCCTGAGAATTGAGATGGACCTTATAAGGAATAAACTCTCTCAACAGTGAGGATGAAATCAAGCCCAGGAACATTTCCTAGGACAGGCCTTGGCAAGCCTTAGCGAGGACCTAATCATCCAATGCTGCCAAGAAGCAATAGTTTAGACGTCGTTATGTCCCACGTTCTCAAACAAGTTTACCTGTTGCACTGGAGAGTCGACTTTCAGTTCAGGGATCAGGAGCCTCCACATGTGGGTCCTTGCTTAGGAACCCTGCGGCAGCATTGAGGGGAGAGAAGCTCGGAGCCCCTCCTGCCCTCAAGTGCTCAAAGTGGAGCTCTGAGCTGTAATAAGGCCTTGGTCCTGGCACCAGACAAAATGTATGTGTGTATGTATATTTATGTGTCTATCTAGCCTTTATTCATTTATATATTTAAATTTTACATTTTGATGATGAAGCCATAGGCCTCACTCTACTTGTCTAGGAGCTGTGTTCTGAGTTCCACCTGCAGCTAACCCCGTGTAGATATTATGCCGCTCAGGGCTGAGGCTGGGGAAAGGCAGGAATCAAAATAGAGGGGCCAAGTCCAGTGGAGGCTGGATCCATCCTGGAATATGTCATCTGTGACATTTAAAGCCACCAAAGGCATTTTCCAGCAACCTTTAACATCCTGGGCAGAGGGGTCTGGAAAAAAGTTGTGTTCCCTCCTTTAACCTCCCTTTCCACCTGGTGCTTCCTTTTCCAAGAATAAAAGGGCGCTACCTGTGTGAGTTGGCCAGGCCACTCTGCAGCCAAAGAATCTGGGGGCTGGCTCAGTGCCAGGCAGCACCACACCCAGGTCTGCTATCCTGCACATTTATCTGCAGAGGCCCTGCACGCTGCTGGGGAGGAGAGGTGGGCTTTCTTGGCTGACTCATGCCGAGGAAGTGAAAAGCCCAGACACATTTGGTTCATCAATTCCTCCCAGGTCTCAGCCTGTGCTTACTAACCCAGGCAGTGTGTACTGACACTGAGAAACTGGGTGTCTCTGGGAGTCAGTGATCTCAGATCTGTGGGTGACATATAGGACTTGATGATTTGATCTTCATTTCAAGTACCAACTGCTTTTTTATCTTCTTTTACTTTGTTCTTCTTTAACTCATTAGGGAATTTTTCAGTAGGATTAAGTAAAATAGATTCCTCAAATTTGTTTCCAAGTTCAGATCCAACCAGGATTTTTCAACATCCTCTTGGTTCCCTGCCACATACAATAAATACTATGGTCAAATATTATTACATCATGACAGCAATGTCTAAGGTGAGGCTTGTAGAAACAGCATTGAAAGGAGTCCTGGATATCCTGGTCCTGATTCTGGAGATGGGGAGGCATTCATTCCAGGATTGGACCTTCTACCCTTAAGGCAGGCCCAGCTCCAGGCTTCTCCTGCCTGAATACTACACACAGTTCCTAAGCCAGGAGCCCTATGTTGGCTCAAGAACCTGGAACTTAAAGCAGACTCCTCCAGTGCTAGAGACAAATGGGAGGTAGCAATGCCCGAACAATTGACCCTTGACAGCTTTGGATGGACAGAGAAGGTCTTCAACAAAGTCATTCTTTCTCATCTCAGTGGTCTTTGAAGAACTCCTTCCAGCTGAGCTACTGTGGAGTTAACTCAGCATGGCTGAGCATTTATCGGAACCTACTAAGTGCTGTGAGGTACCAGGCCCTGCAAAAGTAAGGATAAATGTGCCCAGTTCCTGTCCTGCGTGGACTCAAAGGGCGAGCAGGCCTTGGGTTGATGATTTAGCCCAGGACAATGATCAGAACACACTGTGGGCCTAAATGATTCACCAGAGTCTGCTTTTCTCAGGGATGTAGTCTTGACGGAATCCTAAAGAAGTTCCTTTATCTCTAGCATTTTCTCTTGTTTTCTGTCATTTCCTACCTACTGTGGGGTTTAAAGGGGCTGATGAGGGAGGGAAGCAAATACACAGTGTGTTGAATGAGCAGGTTGGTTACCTTGTGGACAACTGTGCTTGTCCTCCTGGGACCTGGGAAGGATGGTGTAGAACTTTCCTGGCACCATCCCACTTGCAGGCGAGGAATCCGGGGGACGTGTCTACCAGTTCCATCCGCCACTGGCAGAGAGCATTCACTCCCCAGAAAGCCTGGCCTGACCTGCCTGTGGCCCCAGCACATTCCTGAGGACAAAGAAATCCAGAGAAATTGCTGAGGCAGAGAGTCACAGAAGGCGCAGGCCTGCGGAAGGGTGAGGCCAGTGGACCTGGGCAAGGCATTGGCAGACGGTGTCATGCTCCCAGGCCTGGTGGAGCTGCCTGCAGCACAGAGACCAGCCCTCCTGAGGATGAGGGGAAACAGCAGGCAGCGTGGGAATGGCAGCATTAATACCCCACCCAGGGCAGAGGAACGTGGACCCAGCGATGTCAGCCTCTCCTCCCCACACCAGCGGGAGAAAGTGGGAGCACAGGCAGAGGTGTTGTTTCAGGCAGCTCTCCTAACAGAACTTTCCTTATGAAAATATGTAAGCACTCAGGGAAATAGGTTTGAATTAACTTTACATACACACAGTGAGGTTTCCTCAGTCCATACATGGCCTCAGCACAGGCTCAGAGCATCACCTGTACAATTCCTGCACTGACCGACACAGGTTTAGCTGGTAGCAGGGACAGGTGCTGGGTGGGAAGCTCTCAGTTCCTGCTTTTCACCCCCATCTAAGTGTTCTCTGAGACCAGGGATTGATCCTGGCTCACCTGGAGTGTGCTCCACAGTCTGAGGATTTGGGAGGGTTTCTGTGTTCATGCCTACCTGGCAGGCAGAGGTTTCTGTGACCTAAAAGCTGTCTGTGGGAGCCTGTCTGGCTCTTGTGAGCCTGCTTCCTGGGAGCAGCCCCAGCCTCCCTGTGTGTCTCATGCCCCCTGGACTCAACAGGGGCTTGGAAGATCCTGAGGCTGCATCAGGGTCCTTGGCCAAAATTCACACTGGAAGTTACTCTGCCTGACTCCTAGGTGCCAAGGAGTCTATTAATACTTATGAGCTGTTCATTAGCATTGGGAGAAATCAGCCCAAACTCTGGCGGGAAGGGAGGGTGTGTGTTTGTCTAAATAGTTTGGCGCTTGGTCAGCCGCCCTCCTGTTTGTGAAATCTGTGAGGCCCCTCACCACAGCCTGGGGCTGGAAGCAGGCCTCCAGTCGAGCTGGCAGCAACCCCAGCCCCCTAGGTTCTGGCCACAGCGAAGAGAACATTCAGGTTCGAGCCCCCTTCATCCTCAGGCCGGGAGGAGATTGAAGTCTCTGACATGTCTTTTCAACTCCTTCCATTTAATTGTTAATTAGGAGAGAGCAGAGGGAAGAAGGAAAGGTAAATGTTTCCCTTCTTGACAAAGCAATCACTCTGCGGCTGGGCCACAGTTCCCTGACCAGTGAGGAGCCCAGGTGAGTCCTCATCGGCTCAGAAATGGTGAGCAGTTCTTTCCAGCCCTGACCTCCCGAGCCCAGGAAGCCTTCTTGCTTTTCCTCTTTAGGTGAACATAGCCCTTTTGGGTTGAGAAAAGAGCAGGAGATGGCCAGGCACAAAAAGTTATTCTCTAAAGATCTTGCCTAGGAAGAGAGAAATCAAAGCTAAACCCAGGCTCTGTATCAGATCAGGGACCAACTCTCATCTCAGCTGTCGACGCTGCTGTGGTTCCAGGCCTCTTGGATGAACTGGTTGGGCTGCCTGAGCAGTTTATTTCTAAAGGGTATAGGAGCCTCTGGGATAGAACTCATTACAGGGGGAGAGCGAGGCATAGTGGGCCTCGCCAACAGTGAAGCGTCAGGTGTCGGAGGCAAGCTGCGATTCTGACTTCAGTGTGGTTGCATCTGTTCTCCATCTGGTCCCTTGGAGACCTCATCTGGGTCACAGGAGAGAAAGGGTGGCCAGTAAAATATATATACACACATATATATATATGATAAAATATTCTTTAAAAATCTCAGCTTCATCCTGTCACCCACCAACTGTGTGACTGTGGGCAGGTTACCTCTCCTCTCTACGCCTCAGCCTCCTCATCATTAAATGGTGATGCCCGCAGTGCCTGAGAGGGCTGCTCTGAAGTCATTGGAGTTCGTGTTTGTAAACTGCTTAGAATGCTGTAAATGCTAAGTGTTATATAAACAAAACGCAAAGCACCTGTAAGACAGGGCACAAGAAGCTCTAGTTTGGGACTGTCTGACAGTGCCCAAGGAGGAGAGCGAAGCAGGCCTCACGCCTCTCCGCAGACCCCGAGAGGCTCCAGCACATCAGAGAGCAGCACCAGCTCAGCTCCTGCAGCACCCAGGGGTTCCTCTGCTGGCAGGGAATGCTTTGGGGATGCAGAGACAGCTGGGGCTGGAGTGTGCATTGGAGAAAGGCCTGTGTGGGTGGGTAAGAGGCAGCTGCAGGTGGGCCGCTACTGTGAATGTAGCCTCGTCCACACCTGCTGGCTCTGAGGCCCAAGGGGCTGGGTCACAGATAGAAGCCCCTGCACAGCTCCATTCAGAGTCAAAGTCCGTTTCCCTGTAGCCCCTAGGTAGCTCAGAGAAAGGTGAGGGTGGTCTCCTGGGAGGGGCCTGAAGCGCAGCAGTTCTCCCCATCTCACCTGTTATTCTGTTAAGTTTAGTAGCTGAGTCCACTTAGGCTACTATAACAAAGTGCCACAAGCTGGGTGGTTTGTCAACAACAGAAATTTATTCCTCACAGTTCTGGAGGCTGAGAAATCCAAGATCGAGGCACTGGCAGATTTGGTGTCTGCTGAGGGCCCACTTTCTGGTTCATAAATGGCACCTCGCTGTGTCCTCACAGAGTGGGAGGGGCACGTGAGCTCCCGGGCCCGTTTCCTAAGGGCCCTCATGACCTAATTACCTCCCCAGAGGCCCCACCTCCTAACACCATCACCTTGGTGGTTAGAATTTCACCATAAGAATTTGGGACGGACACAAATATTCAGACCATAGCATTTAATAAAACTCCTCCGTTCTTTTGTGTTTCACTTCTATGGGGCTGGGCTTCTTCCATGTTCATAAATACAAATCCCAATCCTTATGGACTGTGCTCACAGGAAACCTTATTTTGAATCCTTTGGCTCACTTGTGAGGGTAGCTGTTACAACTGACAAGTGGAGTCCATGAAAAGTCAACACCAAAAGGTGGGCTCTTTGAAAAGCAGCTGGAAAAGAAAGTGGAAGAGGAATGGGAGGCCAGGCTGCATTTGAAAGGAAGGGTGTTAATTAGGAACCCCTCATTTTAAAGAGGGGCTAGACCCCTTGCTCAAGGCTTAATAAGAGGCTTCAGAACTCGTCCTGCTGGCTCCCCCCAGCCTTCACCCCAGCTCCCCTCTGTAATATAAGCAGAGAGCTAGGGAAAGAAGGAGAAAGAGGGCAAGTGTTAGTCAATGTGGTGTTCACAAGGGGAGGTGACTTCCTCCCCAAAGCTAGGTGGAGACTTGGATGTGCTCTGAGACTGGGGGTGCCCTCGGAGTAGAGCAGAACATGGTGACCCTGGGAAAGCTCTTGAAGAACCTGGCTTGTGTGCTGGGAGTTTGGAGGCACCCATGAACGTTGAGGCCAAAACCTGGAGATTTCTGAAGGCAGAAGGCCTGTGGAAGTGGCCTGGGTGGAGGAACGAGGTTACTGTCCATCAGTTGCTTGGCAGTAAGCTAATTGGCCAAGTGAGGCAATGCCCTGCCCAGAGAGGAAGTTAAAGGCACAAGCCACAATGCTGGTCAAAGGGAGATATGGCTGCCCTGAAGGGGGACTCAGAACAGGGGTATGGCTGGATACAGCTTCCAAAAAACCTTGCCCATCATTTATGATAAGATCAGTGTACCATCAAAATTTCCAGGATCATATAGACCCTGACCGAGCCAGGGTGACACTAGAAACATCCCACACAGACAGGTGGCTGGCCATGTTAGATGGTCCCTGTCCCCCTCCAACCTAAAGGCACTTAACCCATGAAAGGGAAAGTGAAGAATAAGAGGACTGACCACACACTCGACCTCCCTCAAATCCCTTGCTGAGGGCTGACTTTCCCAAGGAGAGGTAAGAAATGAGATTTAAATTGGATCCGAGGTTGGCATTTTGAACCAGACTGGGCTGGACAATGAATAAATGTGATTGTTAGATTATGGAATATACTTAAGACAGTCATTACAGGATGGGCAAAGTGGTGACTGGAGAAAGAAAAAACCTTATCATACTTGTTTCCCACCTACTTGAGACTCCTCAAGCCATTTTTGCAGCCATTAATTCTAGAAACGTTAATAATATATCTTCCTTTTGAAACACAAAATTTGGAGAAACTTAAAAATGGAGCAAGAGTGGTTGCCTTGTTTGGAGCAAAGATCTGAAAACTCTGAAACATTCTTCAAGCTTGGGGAGCTGCTTCCGAAGATTTGTTGATGCATGGTTTATTCGTTTTCTAACGCTGCTGTAACAAATTACCACACAGTGGCTGAAAACAACACAACTCTATCATCTTATAGCTCTATAGGTTAGAAGTCCAACATAGGACTCACTAAGCTAAAATCAAGATCTTAGGCCTTTCTGGAGGCCATAGAGGTGAATCTGTTTCCTTGCCATTTTCAGGTTCTAGAAGTAGCCAACATTCCCACATTCCTTGGTCCGTGGCCATTCTTCCATCTTCAAAATCAGCAATGGAAGGTTGAGACCTTCTCCCTGCACCACTCTGACTTCTCTTCTGCCTTCCTCTTCCACTTTTAAGGACACTTGTGATTACATTGGGCCCACCCAGATAATCCAGGATAATCTTTAGATCAAGTCGGTTGGCAACCTCAATTTCACCTGCAAGTGTAATTCCCCTTTTCCATGCAACCTAACATATTTGCAGGTTCTGGAGATTAGGACATGGACAACTTCGGAGAGCCATTATTCTCCTACCACATGTGGCTTGCATATTATTGAATTCAACTTAATTTAACACAAATGCACGCGATCCTCACAATAAACCAGCCAAGATTCAATCACAAGCCATCACCTTGCCTCACAGGAGTAGGGAGAAGCCCAGCTTACTGTGAACCATGAAAGAGAGGAGCCAAAAGGCTACTGGACATTGATCATGTCCGCAGGGCCAAATGAAAGCTGTTCAATCCCACTTATGCCCCGAGCAGGAGAGCCCGCAGGACACATGCCCCGCACTCACCTGCAGCGAGGATCTGAACTCCTGAGCTGCTGCCTGCCTCCACCCACATGCTCCGCTGATACCAGCACTTACCCTTTCCACTGATAAACATCTTATCAGCACGGCAGGTATCTGGCTTTCAAAATCCTAAATGACTATGACCAGTTTGAGGTGCTACAAGATGCTGCTGACTTAGGGAACAAGAAAGGTGGAGTGCCCTCTCATTAGGTTCCTGAGTGGTAAAGAGAGCTGGAGCCACCCTCCCTCCCATCTTCAGGGAGGCCCAGGGTGGGAGAGTGTGCTGGAGACTAGGACTCAGTGCTCTTAGCTGCGCCTCCTGGGATGGGAGATGCAGGCGGGGATCCTGGTAACTCTTCTGTATTTTGTCAGACTGATGTCTCATCCTCACAGCTCCTGGCTCAGGGAGCACTGACAGTTGCTATCTGGACTCCAGATATGGAAATGGGATTCTAGCCATCATTCCCTGCCATGCTGGCCCAGCCGTACTGGGCCTTATGAGTGTCCTGGAGTGTTGAGGAGGTATGAAGAGCAGAGCCCCTGTGGAGTGTCACCTCCTCACACCTTGCTGGGCCCTCTGGGGTCCAGGGAGTTCTCACCTCCATTAGGGCACCCTAGCAGGTTAGCTTGGCCCTGGGGTAGGGGCAGGGGCAGGGGCAGGGATTTGGTCCGGCATGACCCCTGGTCGTTGGAATGCTTCCCCAGAGCACTCCCTCCCTCGGTCCTGTCATTGGGGCACTTTGAGGACAGCAAACTCACTGTTAGGCCACTCTCAGCGATGGGCTCCTGGGCAGCTGAGACATCAGTGAGGGATTCCTTCCCCACTGCAGCACAGCCACCCCGCCCAGCTGTTTTATACAAAAGCTCTCAT
Source organism: Homo sapiens (assembly GCF_000001405.40). Taxonomy (NCBI): domain Eukaryota; kingdom Metazoa; phylum Chordata; class Mammalia; order Primates; family Hominidae; genus Homo; species Homo sapiens. Next base: position 94,628,764 of record NC_000001.11, read on the forward strand.
TCTGTTTAAGAAGGCTCACCAGCCTGCTGGCAAGGGTGAGACGGACTGTTAAGCCAGAACCTCAAGCTGTTGGGACTTGTTTACCCTTCTGAAGAGTGAGATGGGTCCGTTGTGCCCTAGAATCACAATACCACCTTGATTCAGAGAATGAGATGGGTCTACCCTTTCCTAGAAACACAATATGAGGCCTTGGCATCACCCTTCCCTGAGAACATTCATTCATTTAAGATGGGATCATCTTCCCCCTAAGAACTGACTGAAGACCTTCCTTCCAAAGCACAAAAATCCACAAATCCACTCTAAGCACATTTTTTATAATGAGCACTATGACTTTCATAATGGAAAAAAAAATCATCTGTATTTTTAAATGTTTGAATGGCAAGGCCATGTAGATTGCAGCCAGATGAGATCACATTCCCAATTAAAATAATCAGTTTCCAGTGTTCAGACACTTTGGTGGAGCTGTAGCCTGACAATAATTTTGCCATGGTTGTTTTAGGGATGAGTACACAGGGAAGTTTCCTACCTCAGAAAGAACCCTGGACTAAGTCGGAAGACCTGGCTGTCAACTCCAGCTCTTTCTCTTTGCCGATGTGACCTTGAGCCTTGGTTTCTCCCTCTGTCAGGTGGGGAGAGGGATGTAGCCCCACCTACCTGCCGCCTAGGGTGTTGTGAAATTCTGATGAAATAAGGCCAGTGAAAGAGTGTCATCATCAGGTGGCCCTGGAGAGGAAAAGTGGCTGAGAATCCCCTGCAATGCTGGTGATTCTATTAGGCAACAGTAGCAGAGCATGTACCTGCCCATCACTCCCGCTGCCCTCAAGCACAGCTTCCAAGGGACACCATCAGCCGGGACTAGGACTCCAATGGCAAGGCTGGGAGACTGGGAGACCTGCCTGGCCGGAGGCCGGCTGCACCACGATTTCCTTCCTGGCTTCAGTGAGAGTTTCCACCCAGTCTGGCAGTGAAGTAGTGCCAGGATCTTCTTCAGGAGCATGTTTCCAGGTGAGGAGTCATTTAGGGAACCACACCGCAGGGATCCCCCACTCTCAGCTGGACCCTTGGAGCCAGACTTGCCGACAGCCATAGAGGTCGTCATGCGCTGCCGCCCTAAGACTGCATCCTCTAATACTGCTCCTTCCCAGCCACGCATGTTGATCCTGCTCAGCAAGAATCAGAGAGCTCTGTATCTGCACTGCAAACAGCTGACTTCCTAGAGAAGTGCTTTCATGAAACTGTGTTTTAGTGTGTGATGGAATGTAGGCTTATCTTGAAGCCGAGAACAGAAGCAGCATCTGTTTTCTGAGTCTACTAGGAAGATAGTCATTGCCTTGGCCTTGTCATAAAGGCTTAGTTTCCCTTTTATCTTTGCTTTTCTCTTCACCTTTACCTAACTCACGGCATTCTGCTGCATTTTGTGTATTCTCATACACCATCCTCAGTCCTCTGTGGAAGGAAGAAGGGTATTGCAGCTGATGCTCTCAGTGTCCCACCCTTATCCCTTGGACAAGTCCTGCCAACCAATTGCCTGAACCTGCATTTGCTCCTGAGGTTTCTCCCCTCTCTTGACTAGAAACCGGGGAAGGCAGCATAGTCTAGATGCTGTGGAATGAACACATCTCCAGCAGGAGCTCTGCAATTTATATATAAATATCCCAGCTTCCTCATCCTCAGGTGGAATAATTTCTCAGCATGTGTTTTGCATCTTTCCCCAGAGTTTCTAGGGTTAAGCTCTAGTGGCTTCCTGTGGCAGCTGACTTCATAGGCTCCCTTTCCTTCTAGGGACCCCTTCCCCACTTCCTGGCAAGAACTACTTGCATTTCCCAAATACACTCTTTCTAGAAGTAGATCTTGAATCTTTGCTTGAAGATCCACTTCTAGGAGAATCTAAGCTAAAAGGGATATGAATAAACAGAAATGAATAGAAACCAGTAAAATGTCTTATATATTACAAATAATCAAATAAATGTTTGTTGAGTTAAGGAGATAACAATGCAGTGTATTCTCAACGCTTAGCGCAGAGCTGAGCGCAGAGGAGATGTTCAATAAATGCTTGAAAGGGAGGTAAAATGATCCTAGTTAAGCATAGATTGGATGATCACCCAGAGGATGTATCACAAATGGGCTTGAAGAATCATTGACTAAGTGGACAAGCCAAGCTCTGGGGATTCAGGTAGATTAGAGTTCTATAGGTATGACCTGCTACAGTGGAGGTGGGAGCCTTCTGAATGCTAAGAATGGGGCTAGCTTTGGATTTTCAGTTAGTCTTTCTTATTTCTGTAGTGAATTTTCTTTGATTATACAAAATTTATTTCAAACACCTTTACTGAGATATAATCTATACACCATAACATTCACATTTTATAGTATAATATTCAGTGGTTTTTAGTATCTTTATAGATTGTATAACTAATTCCAGAATACCACCTCCCCCAAAGAAACCTGTACCCATTAGCCATCACTTCCCATTCCAACTCCCCCAAGCCCCAGCCAAGCACTAATCTATTTTCTGTTTCTACAGATTTGCCTTTCATAGACATTTCAAATAAATGGAATCCTATAATATGTGGTCTTTCGTGACTGGGTTCTTTCACTTGGCATAATGTTTTCAAGGCTCATCTATGTTGTAGCATGAATCAGTACGTCATCTTTTTTATTGCCAAATAATATTCTATTATATGAATAGATCACATTATGTTTATCCATTCATCAGTTGATAGACATTTGGACTCTTTCCATTTTCTGGCTATCATGAATAATGCTGCTATGAACATCCATGTACAAGTTTTTATGTGGACCTATGCTTTCATTTCTCTTGAGTATATACCTAGGAGTAGAATTGCTGGGGCATATGGTAACTCTATGTTGAACTTTTTCAGGAGCTGCCAAATTGTTTTCCAAAGTAGCTGCACCATTTACATTCCCAGCAGCAATGGAGGAGGATTCTGATTTCCCCACATCCTCACTAATATTTGTTATAGTCTTTCTTTTCTAGTATATTCTCCTAGTGGGTATGAAGTGGCATCTTATTATAGTTTTGACTTTTCTCTAATAGCTAATGGTGTTGAGCATAATTTCATGTACTTATTGAACATTTGGGTATCTTCTTTGGAGAAATGTCTATTCAGATCCTCTGCCCATTTTAAAATTGTGTTACATGTGTTTTTTATTGTTGAGTTGTAAGAGTTCTTTATATATTCTAGATACTAGACCCTTATCAGACATACGATCTGCAAATATTTTCTCCCACTCTGTAGTTGTTTTTTCACTTTTTTCACAGTGCCTGTTGAAGCACAAGAGTTTTCCATTTTGATGAAATCCAGCTTATCTATTTTTGTCTTTGGTTGCTTTTGCTTTTGGTGTCACTTCTAGGAAACCATTGCCAAATCCAAGGTCATAAAGATTTACATCTAAAATTTCTTCTAAGAGTTTTTTAGTGTTAGCTCTTACATTTAGGTCTTTGATCCTTTTCAAGTTAATTTTTGTACATGGTGTAAGGTAGGAATCCAACTTCATTCTTTTCCATGTGGATATACACTTATCCCAAAACATTTTGTTAAAAAGAGTATTCTTTCTCCTAGTAAATTATCATGGCACCCTTGTCAAAATTAATTGACCATAAATGCAAAGGTTTATTTCTATATTCTCCATTTGATTTCATTCATCTATATATGTCTATCCATATAGCAGTACCACAGTGTCTTGATTACAGTAGCTTTGCAGTAAGTTTTGAAATTGGGAAGTGTGAGTTCTCTTTGTTCTTCATTTCAAGACTGTTTTGGCCATTCTGGGTCCCTTGGATTTCCATATGAATTTTAGTATCAGCTTGTCAATTTCTGAAACAAATCCAGCTAGGATTTTGACAGGGATTTTGTTAGTCTTGTATATCAATTTGGGGAGTGTATCCATCTTAATATTAAGTTATCTGGTCCACAAACATCAGATGTCTTTTCATATATTTAGACCTTCTTTCATTTTCTTCAACAGTATTTTGTAATTTTCAGTGTACAAGTCTTGCACTTCTTTTGTTAAATTTATTCTAAGTATTTTATTCTTTTTGATGGTATTGTAAATGGAATTGTTTCTTAATTATATTTTTGATTGTTGATTGTTAGTGTATAGAAACAAATTGATTTTTGTATGATCCCACAAAATTTCAAAATCTGTTTTTTTCCTCTTCAAAATCAAGAATCATTATTTCCAAGAAATGTTTTCTCCATCTTAAGGCAAGAGATTATTTGAAGCCTGCCATAGAGCACCCAAAGCTTGGGGTTGTCCTTGAGAGAAAACAAAAAATTCTTGGTGTCGGGAACTGTAGCACATGGTTTACTTAGTCTTTAAGATAAGGTAGGCTTACAGAAAGTCATGAACTTTAAAATGTCTGAGAAGTCCTTGAGCACAGAACACAGATCTGGGAGTAGTACAAACCGGTTACAAAATGAGACATTAAGCTCAAAGAGCTGGTAGTGTAATGACATGTGCAGAAGAAATGCATGTTAAAAAAAATGAAAACAAGACAAATAAATACTCTCTCAGGGGAAATGAGTATATGCATTCCACTACCAACTTTGGGCATTGGTTATGAAATTTAGAGCTTGGTTAGATTTTAGGGTCATCCAGCCTTGTCCTCTGAATTTGCAGTTAAGAAAACTGAGTCTGGGCTGGGCACGGTGGCTCACGCCTGTAATCCCAGCACTTTGGGAGGCTGAGGTGGGTGGATCACAAGGTCAGGAGTTCAAGACCAGCCTGGCCAACGTGATGAAACCCCGTCTCTACTAAAAATACAAAAATTAGCCAGGCATGGTGGTGCGAACCTGTAATCTCACCTACTCGGGAAGCTGAGGCAGAGAATTGCTTGAACCCAGGAGGCAGAGGTTGCAGTAAGCCGAGATCGCGCCACTGCATTCCAGGCTGGGTGACAGAATGAGACTTTTCTCAGGAAAAAAAAAAAAAGAAAAAAAGAAAAGAAAACGGAGTCTGGAAAGGTGAAGTGGCTTGGGGTCCTATACAGGATAAAAAGCACAGTTTGGAAACAAATTACCCAAGACATTACCACTATGAGACTTTGGGAAAGGTTGCTTAACTTCCGTCAACATTAGTTCTTCACCTGTGAAAAAGGAAAAAAAAGGATGTCTACATTGCAGACTGGTTGTAGGAAATCAGTTATTCAGTCAATAGTCTTTCCTGGGCACCTTGTGCCAGGCACTGCATTTGGTGCTGAGGATAGAGTGGAGAACAAAAGACATACAGCTCATGACCACAAGAAGAGTAGTTTCAGGATGAGAACTAAATGAGGTAGATAGGTAATAGGGTGCGAGGCTTAGCTTTTTTCCTCTGGCTCATTGTGTTCGCTCAGTTATTTTCCCAAAGGTGGGGGCCTTATTGTAGTACTCTTTTGTTTGTTTGTTTGTTTGTTTGTGACAGTTTCACTTTTATTGCCCAGGCTGGAGTGCAATGGCGTGATCCTGACTCACTGCAACCTCCGCCTCCTGGGTTCAAGTGATTCTCCTGCCTCAGCCTCTCAAGTAGTCTCAGTGGGATTACAGGTGCCCACTGCCACGCCCAGATAATTTTTGTATTTTTAGTACAGACAGGGTTTCACCATGTTGGCCAGGCTGATCTCGAACTCCTGGCCTCAGGCGATCTGCCCACTTTGGCCTCCCTTCCAAAGTGCTAAGATTACAGGCGTGAGCCACTGAGCCCAGCCTGTACTCATTTTTTGAATCCTGAGTGCCAAGCCCAGTGCTAGACACACTGTAGATTCTCAATAACTGTTGAACAAAACGAATCTTCTTCATTGTACCCCAAGTCAAAGGAGGACTTTAAACACATAAAGAAATAACAGAGTTTGGCGTGGTGAGGATGTAGAGCATTTCAGGAGGAGGTGATGACCAGCATGATAAGCCTGGCATTAGGCCAGGTCCTCGTCCCAAGCAAAAGGTAAATGTATCAGTTGAGCAAAGGTTTATTCTATTTTATTTTTAAATTGAAGCTAATCTCTTGATAAAACAAAACAAAAAAAGCTTTCTGGTCCCTTTTTCCTTCTAGTCACATTCACACGTGACTGTCTTTTCTCACAGAATAAATCAGTTTAGCTAGGAAGACTGTTTTAAAATAGAAATAAATGCACTTTATATCAACATCACTCTGAGAGAAAAATAAAAGCAAACCATCACAAGTTCGAGCCTGTCCAAACTGGGATAAGAACGATGGAGGCAATAAAATTATAGGGAGAAGGGAATTCAGGCACAGGAACAGGAGTCCAGGCCCCCAGGGCATCACTGGGGATTTCTGTATGGGAAGGCCCCCTCATTCTTCCTGCTGGGGCTGAAACAGCTTGTGGTTTGCAGTCCCGCTGGGAGGGGGCAGAGAGATCAGAAACCAGACTGGGAGCGGGGAGCAGCTGGTTATCATGAACCATGTATCAGGCATTACACAGACCAGCCAGGTCCCTAATCTCTCCTTGTCTCATAAAAATCAGCCCTCTACAGACCTTATGAGAGAGTGAAAAAAGAGTTGATGTTGAAAACAATACTCAAATGGAAAGCTAGAGGGCTGGATTTTGGATTCAACCCTGCTGCTCCTTGATTGTATGATCTTGCTGGACTTACCTCAACTCTGAATATCTGTTTCCTCATTTGTAAAATAAGAAGCTGGAACTAGATGAGGTGTGTTAAATCCCAAGAGTATTTTGTAATTTTGTAATTTTCAGTGTACAAGTCTTGCACTTCTTTTGTTAAATTTATTCCTGAGTATTTTATTCTTTTTGATGGTATTGTAAATGGAATGCCCATTTAGGGAGTAAGGGAGTAGAGGAGTGCCCCTTTACTGTATCTCATCCATGGCAGCATGACTAATCAATCGCCCCCCACTGTCCTTCCAACAAGTTGCCTGAGCTCCTTCACAGACCAGTGTTGCACAGAACCAACACCAATCATTTGGAACTGGAGTGCAAAATACAGCTTACTTGCCATCCTCGAACAGATGTACAAGGCTTTCTTATGTGATTCTAAATCATTTTCTCTAGGTTTGTGCAGGCTTCCCACTGCAGCTGCCATGCAGCAGAAACTGAATGATTCCATAAAGTCAAGAAATAACCATGATGGCTCTTCGTAAGCGTAAGCTTGGTGAATACTATTATTTTGGTAGAGTATTATTTTGGTAGAGGACTCCCAACACTGCCGTCATGCAGTGAGATCTTGCTGAAGGAAGGGGATCTCATGGGATTGGGGTCTGGGAAGAGGTTTGAAAAGATAAGGAAAGTTCCACTGAGGACTAGAGGAAAGGGTAAAATGACAATACCCTTCTTTGTGGGTCACTTCATAGTTTACCAAGTATTCTCATGTCCACTGTTTGCTTGTGCTTCAAGTCAGCCTTTTGAGGTAAGTGTCCTTATCATTGTTTCTCAGAGGAAGACATAGAGGTTCACAGAAATTAGGTAACTTATCCAAAATCACATAGCTACTAAGGAGTAAAGCCTGGGCCTTCACTAAATATGTAAATGTTGCTTTCGGCATCTGGCCATGACCCTCCCTCTCTACCGCAAGTCTCTCTAGCAAGCTGCTTTCCAGAGAGGCAAAGCTGTTCCAACAATCATGGTTTGACAGAAGTCCCTGACAGAACAGAATATCACATGAGTGATGGCAAACCTTTTTTTTTTTTTTTTTAAATATACCTTGGCTTGACATTAGAGTAGTAATAAGCTCTAAAAACAGTAAATTCATCATGATTCTTGCCCACAGGATGAGAGAGCATGCATGGAAAAGAAACATTCAAGTTTGGAATCAGAGTTTCCAATAACTAAGGTTTTGGAATCACCCAGAATATCCATAAGCAGGATTCCCCCTAGATTTGTGATCTTATTTCCAGGGAATTCCTGGTTTGGATTATAAGTGAAAGTCAAATCTGTTTCTGACCAAGTTTTGGCTTTGATATCCTTAGTGAGGTACTCCCTTTTCCCAGACCCCCAGGAATTTAGCGCCCTAGTCCTGAAACTGGTGACTGGGAACACTTGGAAATTCTTGTGATTGAGCAACTGAGGACTTCAAGTAAACCCCTAGCAGTCAGGACACACCCTGTGTGTGAGTTAGTCCTGAGATCACTGAAGGAAGTTTAAATTCTGGTTCCAAGAAAGTGCCTGTTTATCTTTGTGTATTACAGGATCACTGGAGGTCCAGGGCAGTGTTCCCGGCCTGCCTCACATAGGACGGTGAGGGGTGAGTGGGTTTCACTACAAATAAAGATCTTCAAGTGAATATTTAAATAATGAAATTTCTTCCAATAAAATTTTTCTTATATCTTATTCATATTATTTTCTTCAACTACTTATTTAGCTTGTGAAAATAATAACTATTTTAGTTAATTTCCTTTACTAGGCCCTCAAACAAAAATCACATCTGTGATAGAAAGTGCCTAGATACTTGCTTATACCCTTGTAAACCACACTCCTTTTTAGACTGGGAGATGGAAAAGGGGGCAGTCATGTCCCTGCATCCCAGCCTGCGGACCCAAATCCCTGCTGATGGGGAGGGCCAGAAAATGACAGCAGAAAGTGGGATGCTTCCAGATGTGGCAGGGTGTGGAGTTCTCGGTGTCACAGCTTGAACTTAGAAAGCACAGACTCAATAACAATGGAGGATCAACTGTGGTTTCAACACAAAACTCAGAATCTAAGTGCTTAGAATTACTATGGTCTTAGAGATAGACTGTTAGTTCTTGTTGCATACAAGGTTGTTTAGGGCAAAATGACGGGTACATATACAAAGTAAAAGACAGCATCCTTTCCCTTGAAAAACATACTGACGGTCAGGGTATACAGAACACATAAACATGAAACAATTGGAGAATGATAGACAAATGTCCCAATGCGGAATAAATCAGACAGAAGGAGCAGAGGCAATATGACCGTGGAAGGGGATCAGGTCCCCAGGCTGCATGTACGTTTTCTCCCTACTCTGTCCCCATTGTTCTTTGAGGACATCTGCCCCATCCTAAAGCATCCTAAACCTAAAGTCTTCACTTATTCTTTCTCATTTTCTTTTCCCTAACGAATATTTCCACAGGTTTCCAGCAAGGGCAGAGTATCATACGTTAATTAGAAGATAGAGAGAGATGCCCAGAAATAGCAAATAATAATATAATAGAGAAATAAATATAATATATTGATGATAAGAGAAACAACAGAAGATACAACATATCAGGGGTAAAAGAGATTAAGAATCAACAGCGTATTTTATAAAGAGAATATCCAGCTGACCAATAAACATATGAAAAGGTGCTGAACTTCACTAGTCATCAGGGAACTTGCTATGATCTGAATGCTTATGTCCCCCCAAAATTCACATGTTGAAATCCTAACTCCCAAAGTGGTGGTATTAGGAGCTGGGGGTTTAGGGAAGTGATTAGGTCACAGAGGCAGTGTCCTCATAATGCAACTAGTCCCCTTATGAAAAGGGCCTGGCCGGGCTTAGTGGCTCACGCCTGTAATCCCAGCAGTTTAGGAGGCCGAGGTGGGTGGATCATCTGAGGTCAAGAGTTTAAGACCAGCCTGGCCAACATGGCAAAACCCTATCTCTACCAAAAAAAAAAAAAAAAAAATCAACACACACACACACACACACACACACACACACACACACACACACACAAATTAGCTTGGTGTGCTGGCACATGCCTGTAATCCCAGCTACTTGGGAGGCTGAGGCAGGAGAATTGCTTGAACCTGGGAGGTGGAGGTCGCAGTGAGCCAATATCGTACCGCTGCACACAAGCCTGGGTCACAGAGCAAGACTCTATCTGAAAAAAAACAAAGAAACAAACAAATAAGGCCCAGGAGAGACCCCTTACCCCTTCCATCATGTGAGGGCACAGCAAAAAGGCGCCACCTATGAGCTGGAAAGTGGGCCCTCACCAGATACTGACTGCTTTAATCTCAGACTCCCAGCTTCCAGGACTGAGAAACAATTTTTGTTGTTTATAAGCTGTCAGCTCAAATGGACTACAATAGAACTGCAAATTAAATATCTCACTGTTATACTACCACACATCCAGTTGAATGGCAAAAAGAAAAAAGACAGGCAATACTAAGTTTTGGTAAGGATATGGAGTAACTAAAACTCTCACATACTTATGATGAGAATTTAAGTTACTATCTCTACTAACAAAATTGAATACATATGTACCCTATGACCCAGCAATTCCACTCAACTGAAATGTTCATATATGTTCACCAAAAGACATGCAAAAATGTACTTAGGAGCACTATTTATTATAGCCCCAACTAGAAACCACAAATGTCTGTCAACAATAGTATGTATAAAGGAATTATGGTATATGTATATGATGGAACCCTATACAGCAATGAGAACGAATGAATCTTAATTCCAACTCTGTGAAACACCGTGATGAATCTCACTCACAGAGTGAATGTGAGAGAAATAAACCAGGCACAAAACAGTAGATACTACAATTTTCTTTCTATAAAGTTAAAAAACAGACAAAACTTATCAGTTAAAAGTCAGAATAGTAGTTACCCTTGTTGGGGACAGTGACTTAAAGAGGGCATGGGGGAGCCTTCGGGATTCTGTCACTGTCTGGTTCATCATCTGGGTACTGGTTATACAAGTGCGTTTTCTTTGCAAAAATTCAGTGAGCTGTACGCATTTGATCTGTGCACTTTTCTGTTTGTATATCTTCATAAAATTATGAAGATAAAAATCAATGGTGCATGCAAGAGTAAAGTTGGACTCTTACTTCACACCATATAAAAAATTAACTCAAAATGGACCACAGACCTAAATATAAGAGCTGACATTATAAAACACTTAGAAGAAAACATAGGTATAAATCTTCACGAACTTGGATTTGGCGATGGTTTGTTAGATATGACACCAAAAACACAAGCAACAAAGAAAAAGATACATAAGTCAGACTCCATCAAAATTGAAAACTTATGTGCTTCAAAAGGCACTATGAAGAAAGTGAAAATATAACCCACAGAATGGGAGAAAATACTTGCAGATCATATATCTGATAAGAATCTAGCATCTAGAACATATAAAAGACTCTTAAAAGTCAACAATAAAAAGACAAATAACCAAATTTTTAAATGGACAAAGGATTAAATAGACATTTCTTCAAAAAAGATATACAAATGTTCAATAAGCAATGCAATGATGCTCAACATCATTAATCATTAGGGAAATGCAAATCAAAACCACAGAGATACCACTTCACACACAGTACCATGGCTAACATAAAAAAGACAGATCCAGACAATAACAAGTGGTGGTGAGGACGTGGAAAAATTGGAACTCTCATACATTGTTGGTGGGAATATAAAATGGTGTAGCTGCTTTGGAAACCAGTATTGCAGTTCTTCAAAATGTTTGACATAAAGTTACTCTATACTCCATATATTCTACTCCTAGGTATATACTCAAGAGAAATGAAGACATATGTCTACACAAATAAGTGTACATGAATTTTATCGCAGCACTTTCAAAATAGCCAACAAAAGTAAAAAGAGCCCAAATGTCCATCAACTTATGAATGAATCAGCAAAATGTGGTATATCTACATAATCAAATATTGTTCAACCATAAGAGGAATGAAGTGCTAATGTGTGCCACAATATGGATGAATCTTGAAAGCATGTTAAGTGAAAGAATCCAGTCAAAAAGGCCACGTATTGTGTAGTTCCATTTATAGGAAATGTCCAGAAGGGGAAAATCCATAGAAATAAAAAGCAGATTAGTGGTTGCCAGGGGCTGTGGGAAGAAGAGAATAGGAAGTGACTGTTAATAGGCACTTTTTGTTTCCTGGGGAGGGGAGTGATAAAAAATATTCTGGAATTATACAGTAGTAATATCGCACAACTTTGTGACTATACTTTAAACCATTGAGTTGTACACTTTAAAAGGTTGCATTTTATAGTATGTGAATTATATCTTAATTTTAAAAATCTGGCAGAGGGAGACAAAATAAATAAAGTAACTAGGTAATATGAAAAAAATCAATAGCACAGTTAAATTACTTTGTTTGGAGACCATCTTTGTATCCCTTGCAAGAGCCTGCTGGATTCCATTCTAAACCTTCCATGCTGAAGAGTATGAAATCATGAAGCAGGGATGTGTACACTGTTATCTATCCCTACTTTTCTCCCTGTAGTACCTCCCACCTTGCCTTGTATGTTCATTTTTGCCTTATAGACTAGGGTTTCTCCAAGTGTCACCTGAGTCCAATTGCATCCCAAATCTCTTCTAATGCTTGTGCAAAATTCTTGGGCCTCACTCCACATACACTGAAACAGAAACGCTGTGGGTATAACTCTGGACTTGACATTTTTAACAAGTTACCCACCTATTAAAAATAATACTATTATTAATAATAGTAGCTTTTACCTATAAAATACTATTAATATGTGCAGGCACCATTCCAAATGCTTTACATAAACTGACTTATTTAATCCTCAGCACAATCTATGACTAGGTACTATTATTGTCACCATTTTACAGATGAGTAAACTGAGATACTGATAGATTAAGAAACTTTCCCAGAGGCATAGAACTATTAAGTGTAGAGCTGAGAATGAAATGCAGGCAGCCTAGCTTCAGACTGCAAGCTTTCCACCAGGGCGCAATACCACCTCTTCTCCCCATTGATTCTTATGCTTCAGTCTAAGATTCACTGCAATGATTATTATTTAATGCATCACTTGCACCTGCAGAAATAAAAATCTGTCTCTGCCTTTGATGTGGAAATTTACAAAACCCAATCATCTTAAGGGGAACGTGCCAAGCTGGTATGAGATAGTAAGTTTGGAAATTTGGACATGAAACTAGTACACCTTTGGGAAAAGCATCATGCCCCCTCCCCACCCCCAATCAATGAACTGCAATGATGCAAACCACCCAGAGAAGAGGCCTGTCTGCTGTGGGAGAAACCTGGCCTGAGTTCCATTCTGAAGCCTGGACCAGCCTTCCCCCATGGTGCTTCTGACTCACCAGGACAAGGTGGGGGAGCCTTATTTGTGGGTGTCATTGTTCTTGTCACAGAACTTGGTCAGGCCTGTTAGGAAGTCCCAGCCAGCTTCAGGTTGTCTACTGATGGCCCAGGCCACTTTCAGGCTGGAATTGGGCCTCACAGCTTCTGTGTGGCCAGAGTCAGCACATCCACAAGGGCCAGGGTTGGCTCCACATCACATGGGCACCTTCCAGTGCAGCTCTCCCAGGTGACAGGAGGCACACTGACAAGAGCTTGGTGTTGGATGGTGGAAAGGGCACTAGCCTGGGATGAGAAGACACAAGAAAAATTGCTGCATCTGCCCCTGTGGGTGGGTGCAATGGGCAGTCATGCGGTCTCTAAAGCCTCAGACACCTCACCTGTAGAATAAGGAAAATACTTCCCAGCCAACGCCTCTGCAGGTGGCTAAGATGACTGATAAAGAAAACATCAGTGAAACTGCTTCCTCCAGCATTGGCGTCATTCTGAATTGCCAATCTATAACTCTATGTCTGGCCTTCCTCAACTCTAAAGGACTGGCATTCGCTCACTCATTCAACAAATATTAATTGAGTGAACGTGTGACTTTCCACGTAGATAACATGGAGATCTGCAAAGTGACTAATAGGCATCTGAAGGCTAACGTAGTTGAAGCAGAACTCTTGTTTCTCCAGGAAACCAGCCCCTCTTCCAGCTTGCCCCATCTAGGAAACAGCATCCATATCCATCCACTTGCTGAAGCTAAAACTCAGGAGTCAGCTTTAACTTCTCCCTTACTTCTTTCAATCCCTGAGCAAAGCCTTGAACATGCACTTGAGTCTCTCTCCCACTTGCAACACCAGATTCCAGTCCAGTGCCACCATCCGGCTCTTCATCCATGGCACCACCTCCATGCCAGTCTCTGCTTCTTTTCAGAGGCTCTATATTCAGCAGGCAGGACAAATCACATCACGTCCCTCCCCTGCTGGGAAGTCTGCAGTGGCTTCCCAGTGCACTTGAACTGAAAGCCATGCTGTCAAGGCCCAACATGACCTGGCCCCTTCCCCTCGTACGCAGCTCTCCTTTACTGTGTTCCAGCCACTCCAGCCAGCCTACTTACTCATCCCAGCATGCCAAGCTCATTCCCATCCCAGGCCTTTGCGCTGGCTACTGACCCTATCCTGGAATGCTCTTCTGCCGGAACATTGCCTGACTCCTTCTCATCACCTATGTTTCAGTTCAAGTAGCATATCCTCAGTGAAGCCACCACTCCCTGTCCTGAGTTACTCTCTACCTCTTTATCTGTTCCAGTTTCTGTTATGATCTGATATTGCACCTGTTAGGATCTGATGTTATCCTAACTATGTGTTTATCTACATGTCAAGTATCTGTCATTCCCCTCAAATATACTCTGTTTCACAAGAGAGGCAGTTTGTCTGGTTATCCCCAGCTCCTAATGCTTGACACATAACTGGCACTTAACAAATATTTCTCAAAGGGATGAACTGATATTACTATTACTGCACTGCTTTCAAATACATTTGTCTTGTTCTGAAAAGAATTTAAGGGGGTTATAGAACTGAATGAAATGGAATAAGATTTGTAAAATACCAGCCTAGGAAATTAGGTTTTTTAAGAAAGAGGGTAGGAAACTTAGAAGAACTCTTAGCCTTGCATTGTTCCTGGGCTCAGCCCCGGGAGCGCCTCTTCTCCACCCTCATGCTACCCCCACCTACCCTTTATTCTGCCATCTGCTCTAGGCTGTGGCTCCGAATACCAGCAATGCATTTCTATTCAGCCAGATGTCTACCTGAAACCCAAGCTCACTCATCTCCACTTGGGGTCTAACAGGCCCCGCACTCCTAGCGTGTTCAAATCTACTGCCCCAGATTCCCTTCATGGGAGAGCATGTAGTTAAAGACACTCTATCCTTCCAATTTCTCAGGGTCATCCTTGGCCCCCTCCTGTCCTTCGTGCCCCACACTGTATCTATCAACAAATCCTATTACCCAGAATGTGACCTCTTCCCACCTACTACCATGCTGGCTCAGCACACCATCTCCTCTGAGATCCTGCAGGGGTCTCCTAAGTGGTCTCCCTGCTTCTACCTCTGTCTCCTATGTGTGCTGTCAGCTCGCTAGCTAGAGGGACCCTTTGAAGTTATGCCACTCCTCTGCTCCAAACCCTCTAATGGCTTCTCATCTTACGCAGTGTAAAGGCCCAAGTACAGCAAAGCCCTCTGAAGCTCGACAGGAGCTTGCTTCCGGTTACTTCTTGGACCCTATCGCTGCCTCACCCACTCCACTTCAGCCACGCCATCCTCCTTGCTGTTTCTTCAACATGCTGGGCACACTCCTGCCTCAGGGTTTTGAACTCCCTGTTTCCTATCTCTGGAATGCTTTTTTTCCCCAGGGATCTAGACAGCACACATCACTCCTTCAGGCTTTGCTCAGATGGCAACTTCTCCGTCAGTGCTTCTCAGACCTCTGCTCTATTTAAAATGTATTTTCAGAGTAGTATCTAGAACAGTGTTTGGTGGGTAGCAGGTACTCAGTAACTACTTGTTGTTTAATGAGTGCAGATGAAGAAGAGTGAGGCAAAGGCATGAAGCACACACTTCAAGGTCTTTATATTGCTTAGTGTTGAGCCACAAACTTGCCGCTCCACTTTCTAACAGTCAGCACACACATGAAAGCAGTTTCAGTTATGCGCATCACAGTACCCGTCTATAAAATCCAATCAAACCATTTGTTCAGGAAAAACTTAATAACTCTTCCTGATACCGAGATCAGAGAGAAAGCTCTCCCATTACACTTTCTGAAGAGGTTGTAATATTGTGAGCAAAGTCCTCAGTTCAGAGCACTAGAAAGCTGCAGCAACAAGGAGCAGAGTGCTTCTTATTACATTTTCCAGTGTGGTTGATGACTTATACCAGAGTATAATTAAGGTAAAAGCAGGGCCAGAACAGTTTGGTGCCGAGATGCAGCTTTCTTTTGAATGGATCCAGGAACATACCTAGAGTAGCAGGAACAGATCTATACTCCCAGAAACAAACCTGGAGTACCCAGGATCAGGCATGCTTTATGGCTCTTGCCAGTGCCTCTGAATGAAGCTTGCGTTTGCTGAGAAATTGGCAGGTAGTTTATGAGAATGGGTCATTCTTGGAGTGTCATGGAGATTGTACCAATATAGCTTTAGAAGCACGACCATGGTCCATGTACATGCATTCCCTGGAGTAATGCAGTGCACAACCTGTACAACTGAGTGAGGCATCCCCATTTAGGACGCTGGATAAGTGTAGAGACCTAGGCTTTAACTAGTAGCCAAAGCCAAAGGTGGCTTGCCACATATGTATAAAAGATGCAGTGCCAAAAAAGGATACATAATATCTAATGTACTGCAGAAAAGGGCTAAAGGAATAGCAGTGGGCAGGGCCAAGATGCTTCATAGAAAGAACCTGGAGTTGGGCTATCAGAGAATGGCTACAAGAATACTAGAGTGAAAATGCTCAAAGCAGTTGAAACAAAATATACTCGCCCATGCCAGCTATAAAAGATCTCAGCAGAGCTCCCACTGACCAACTCACTTGAGCTGTGTGGTTTTTCTTCAGTGCACAATTGTGAAATAAACATTGAGGTAGGGCCGGGCACGGTGGCTCACGCCAGTAATTCCAAGACTTTGGGAGGCCGAGGCAAGTGGATCACGAGGTCAGGAGTTCCAGATCAGCCTGACAAACATGGTGAAACCCCCGTCTCTACTAAAAATACAAAAATTAGCCAGGTGTGGTGGCGTGCGTCTGTAATCCCAGCTACTCAGGAGGCTGAGGCAGGAGAATTGCTTGAACCTGGGAGGCAGAGGTTGCAGTGAGCCAAGATCGTGCCACTGAACTCCAGGCTGGGTGACAGAAAGAGACTCTATCTAAAAAAAAGAAAAAAAAGCCAGGCACAGTGGCTCACACCTGTAATCCCAGCACTTTGGGAGGCCGAGGCGGGCAGATCACAGGGTCAGGAGATCGAGACCATCCTGGCTAACACAGTGAAACCCCATCTCTACTGAAAATACAAAAAAAAAATTAGCCAGGCGTGGTGGTGGGCGCCTGCAGTCCCAGCCACTCGGGAGGCTAAGGCAGGAGAATGGTGTGAACCCAGGAGGCAGAGCTTGCAGTGAGCCGAGATTGCGCCACTGCACTCCAGCCTGGGCGACAGAGCGAGACTCCGTCTCAAAAAACAAAAAAAACAAACAAAAAAAACACATCGAGGTAGATGGCTGAATTACATTGCTATTTGGGATTGCTAGCCGTAAACTATTAAATCAGGAGCAGTTACCAGAACTGATGACTGCAGTAAGGTTTCCCACTAAGAAATTTGATTCTATAAAATTTACAGTAATACAAATACAAATATTCACTCCACTGGGGTTCACACTCAGTTCTTCTGTCCAAGGGCTCCTAATTTGCACATGACAGGAAGATCAGTATTTCCCTGTGTCCATGTGTAAGAAGTACATTTCTTGAATTTTTGTGGTAAGTCAAGGACTTCCATGAGAATTAATTTTCACATGCATACATCCCCCAAAGATATATTTTGTCTTTCATTTATTGGAAGATATGAAGAAATTACATGATAATTAAGCTGAAAAATATGCAATGTGGCGATGACTAAGCAAACACCTCAGCTTTCATGATCGCCATTATCATAGCTGACTGGAGTCCCCAGGAATGCATTCATTCAGAGTCAAACCCGCGTTGAGAGCCTACCATGTGCCAAGCCCCATGCTAGGCATTTTTCTGAGGATGGGTTGGGAGTGGGGAGTGGAGATAAAGATCAAGAAGACATGACCCTTGACCTTAAGGAGATCCCAATCTAGTGGAGGAATCATAACTTTCTCATCTGAAAGTTCATCTAGCCCTGCAAGGCAGTGCATGGTGAGCATGCATTTCAGGATGCACCTTGTATGATCTCTGTGGACGAGAGGGGTCTGGGGCCTCCAAGGGAGGTAGGCCTTGAGCTGGTCTTGAAGAAGATTAGAATATGGAAAACTGGGTCTCATAGAGGGGAGACAATCACCAATCTCCTTCCTCTGATCGCTAATCAGAGAGAAATTAAATTCGTAGGGCTTGGTGGTGCAGACCTGTAATCCTAGCACTCTGGGTAGCTGAGACAGGAGCCAGCTTGCCTTCCTGCCTTCCTTCCTTCCTTTCTTTCCTTCTCTCTCTCTCTCTCTCTTCTTACGAGACAGGGTTTCCCTCTGTCGCCCAGGCTGGAATGCAATGTTGCAATCATGGCTAACTGCAGTCTTGACTTCCAGGACTCCAACAACCCTTCCAACTCAGCCTCCCGAGTAGCTGGGACTACAGGCATGCACCACCACACCTAACTAACTTAAATTATTATTATTATTATTATTATTATTATTATTATTTGTAGAGACAAGGTCTCACTATGTTGCCTAACCTATACACCTCTGGAGCAGCTCCTGGGGTTCCCTCCTCCTAACACATACAGCCCAAAATGACTTAGCCAGCAAGAAGGAAGAAAGGAGCCAATGACAAGAGCATGCTTATGATGAGCCAGGCATTCTTCTAATCACATTACCCACAACTCTAACCTCCCCCCGACTCTGCCAGGCAGGAGCAATTGCAATTGCTCACTTCTAGTAATCAAGGAGCAGAAGTGCAAAGATTTTCTAAGTCACACACAGTTAATAGGCAGCAAAGACCAACCACCCTGATAGGTCTGATGCTTTGTACTACTCAGACACAACCAAGTGTGGACAAGGAGGGCCTCAGAGAACTGGATCAGGTGTCCTCATGGGTCTCTCTTCACTGCAGGAGGATAAGAGAAAGAATCTCCAGTGTTCTATTGAATCCAAGCAGGAGCAGATTATTTAGGGAAGCCTGGGGCGGCAGTCCTTTAGAACTGGAAGGAAACTCGAAAAATGTCCAGTTCAACCTTGTTTTACAGAAGAGGGAACTGAGGCTTAGAGAGGTAAAGTGATTTGTCCAAAGTTAAGTGATGCCTACATAGTTTATGGCTCTTCTCCCCACAGTGTACTGCAAATCCTACATCCATGACCTTCATGGACACCAGGCAAATTAGGGTATGCCCTTTCTTGCAGGTCTTCTCTGTGTCTGTCTGGGTTCAAGAAGCAGGAAATGATGGAAAGTGCTCTGTGTTGACAAGGGACTTGTCCATTCTGGGTCCTTTGCTCTCCTCCAGGTCACAAACTCCCCACCTGATGTTCTCCCCTTTCATTCCCACTCTGCTTTCAGGAAAGGGTTGGACAGGTGACACCTTGGTAGGAATTTAAATCATATCATTGGGCACTATATTCATTTAGGCTGTCTCTCCAATCATCAATGAAAAACTTCATCCTCATCAAAGAGACTTCAGTCCCAGCCACAGATTGGTTTTTTGGAGGGGTGGGGTGGGGAGGGGGCGGGTGGTGACAGCAAGGCTAGGAGGGAGGGGGTCATGGGTGAGATCTGATATGCTTAATAGAGCAGCAGTCACTCCAATCAGCTTTGTACCCTGAGGATCTTATCCAAGTTGGTTTTCGTGTCGGAGCTCAACACCGCCTTACAGAAGATGTTTTGGTGATGAAATAAGAGCTTTCGTATCTGTTTAGGCAGCTGGCGCATTTCCGCAAGCCTCCTGACCTGAGCAGGCTGAGTCAGGGACAGGCCTATTTGTTAGATAAACTCAGAGAGTTACAGGTTTCTCAAGACTTTATAAATCCATCCCGTGTGCGAGTACTTCCCTTTCCTTAAATGGATTATTAGAAAAGATTGGATGCAAATCAAGAATTCAATTTCTAACCAAGCAAATTTCCACCCACACAGAGAACTCATTTTAGCGTAGGCAACTTCTAATAAATAAAAGATTTTCTTCAACTCCGAGACTGACTTCTCATTAAAATGAGGTGGGACTCTACAGGGGTCTTTTAAGGGTCCCTGTCTGGGTGCTGAAATCCAACATGTCATAGTTTAAAAACACCGTAGACACACTAAATGAACCTATGTACTCTCATTTGCTGCTCACACCTTCCCTGGGATGAAGGCTGCTGAGTGAGCTCTACGCTTGGCAAGGAAATGTGGAGCAGGTTGTACCCGAGAACGTCCATAATTCCACCTCTGATCAGACAGGTGTGGCATCAAATCCTGGCCCAGACACAAAAGCTGTTTGACTTTGGACAACATACTTAATCTCCCTGAGCCTGGGACTCTTCTAGGTCTTGAAAACAGGGGCACTAACACCCACCTCCCAGTGCTGCTGTGAAGACCACACAAGATACCTTTATAAAGCCCCTGGATATAGTAATCACTCTGTTTCTTGCTAGCAATTATTATGTAAGGAACTTTTCTAAACATGTGTTTCTCTTTTCACATGAGGTTTTTTCCTGAGCATGTGGAAAACTATGATGGTAGATGTTTTGGAAAACACAGAAAACCATAAAAAAGAAAATAAAAATTGTCTGTGTTCCCAACACTCAAAAAGAATCACTATTAACATTTTGATATGCTTTAATTTCATAACATCCACACAGATGCACACATACTTCTATATAGTCACACACATATAATTTTGTGGTTGAGAATGTGTGCTGTTTTCTTTTTTCACCTAACATTATATTTTGAGCATTTTCTTATATAATTAAAAATTCTTAAAAACATCATATTCAACAGTTTCAAAATAATAATATTTTCTGTCTTAATTTCATTGTATACAATTCTTTGTGTTTCTGATTATTTCATATTTTTCTTTTTATTCCTAATTTTGCAGATGAATCGACTGATCAAAGCACATGAACTTTTTAAAAAAGAGTAATAAGTTTACTTAAATAAAGAAAGCTTAAATTATACAGAACTGAAAATATTAGAAATCTATATCTAATTAAATGTGTATAAATTAGCCAACTCCATAGACATTTCTAGTTGAGCATTCGTAAAAATACATATTAATTCTTTCCTTTTATTTAGAGATAACACATGCCTACATAACATAATGACCCTGGCCAAAAAAAAAATCAGATGATAAAAATATTCTCAAGTTGTGAAAATGATGTGAAAAACATTTCAGTGACAACATTCTTCATGAATATAAACCTCTGATTTAATTCCTCTGATTTACCTTTGAACATGCAGAAGCATGATGGTTTTAAATTTTTTTTTAATGTGGTGGTCAGGATTATCATCAAGCAAATATTTTACAGATATTGGTATCATAACACATCAGCTTATTAACATTTAAGGCTTTTTGCATGCACAATATCTCATTGTGAGAAAAACAATTTTAATATTGGTTATTTGCCATAATTTTTTAAACTTTCAAAGCCTTTTCAACATAAGAGAATGGCTGCACACATTTTCTTATAGAATATAATCTTTAAAAAATTAACTAAGATTGGTCTTTATGGTTCCTAGTAATAAGTCCTTGTCTTATTTTTTCATATAGTATAAATTATACGCTTATGTAATATGCAGGACTGCATTAAGACCCAGTAGTTCCTAAACAATGTTACCAAATAACCACATAAATCCCAAATGCACCAAAGTTCAAGTATCTTTGTAGTATCCTTCCACCTAATTGAAGTTGAAGCTGTTCCTTTTGGGTATTTTTCTACTTCAGTATGAAGTATATTGTTAGAATTTCATTAGTGGGTTCATTATGTGGCTTTTTAAAGACAAAAGTGGTTTTGATTTCTCCGATAGTTCACAATTCTGACGAGACATTTTCTTGGAAGTCATATAGTCAAGAGATGCTTTGAATAACAAAACACTCTTTAGTAGCTGTAATCTCTCAATGCCACTGTTACAAATGAGTGTTTATATCCTTGGCTATAATAGCAGTATTTCCCAGATGGCTTCCCTGTTCCCACAATACACTTCATTGTTTTAAAATCTGAATATTTCCATTATTATAATTTGTTTGATTATAATCCTGACCACCACATTTTAATGACTGATTGAATCCAGTTTAAACCAATTATTACATATTTTCTTCAAATTTGCTTTTAAGTAGTGACTTTGCTAGTGGTACCAAATCTATACAGCAGCCATGTAAGGTGTATTGCTTTTCTTCCTGTAAACTATTGGTGAGCACGAGAAGGCAATCCACCAAACTCCAAGATCTCCTATCCTCACCAAATAAGGTACAAATTCACTCACACATCTTTTTCTGCAAAAAATTAAAGCTACTTTCAATCTCAAATTCATGTTCAGCAGAACTTGTGCAACTGTTTCATGGTCCTGCGAAACCTTAGGGAAAGCCCGCCATATTTTGATAATAGGCTGTCTAAAAAATCAGAATCACTGGAGTTAACCAGATATATTTAACTATCATGGTGTAATTTTTCTGGCAGGTGGCCTGCACAAGCCAGTTCATTTTCTTTACTTGTCATGCCCACAGCCCCCACTTGAAGAGGAATGTTCCTTTCCATAGGAAAGATTTGAGATTTGGAAAAAAATGATGAACTTTCTTTCTGCAATAGGTGCCCTTACGTAGTTTATGTGGGCATTTCCTAGCTTCTCCAATTGTTCTAGTTACGTAAGCAGCCAACTGTCTTGGAAATTTCTTAAGCTCCTTCATGTTCTTACCAGTCAAAGTAGAGATCCTTTCTCTAAGACCATCAATGAAATGATCCTCAATAATATTAGAAAATTCCCATTTTTAACATTGGGGTTTCAGATGCTGTAGTTCCTAAACATCAGTGCCTCAGGTTACTGCAGCTGTTCAGCCCAGTCCTGGCATCCACTGGGCAGCCCTCTCAGGCCTGTGCAAGACCTGCTAGGAGAGCGCCCCTTGGGCAAGGTGGGGGCACTTCCCTGACTCCGCCCAATGCTGGTTCTGCCCTTTTCCGGTGGGTCGGTGGGTCGTGAAGGACCTGAAGGAGGGGGAAGAGCTACAGTCTATGAGCTATTAAGGCAGTAGTGGAAATTTGCTGTCCAGAAAATTTGTACCAACTCAACTTCCATCAGCAGGGGAGAAAAGTAAATCTTTGGGAACCTTTGCAACTTTCCCATGCCTGTTCTTATTTGCTCCTATGGCAATTAACAATGAAAGCCAAAAAGACAAGGGGGTCTGTGAAAGATGTCAGAGAACCAGAAAGGGGAGATTGGGAAGTTGGTCCTCATTCCTGGGCTCTGGAAAGCAATAGCAGGAAATTGAATAGATGATAAAAGGTTTACAAAGGCCTGAGGGATAGAAGAAAGAGGGATGTGGGGATGGCAAGGAGGTGCCTCTCAGTGTATATTTTCACCCCTGGATGACACAGAATGTCCTTGGGGCAAGGTGGCAGCCCTGCTCCTTTGCACTGAGTTCTAAGTGCCGTGCTGGGCACACTATGGAGCCCAGGAAGTACCGTGTAACGATGGGCTCCCATGAGCCTGGAGGAGGACATGGAAAATGGATTTTTTAAATGGTCATCTGCAAGAAAAATCCAGAGTGGAATTCTTGTGTCTGGTCAGCTCTATGGACAATTAGGGGCTAGTGTTGCGTGGAAGAGACATAGGTGCCTTTAGACCAGCTCTCTACCTCTGGCTCGCTCTTTTGGTTTGGTTTCGTTTCGTTGGTTTAACTTTTATTTTATTTATTTTTTAATTAACAAATAACAACTGTACATATTCACAGAGTATGTAGTGATGCTTCTATACATATAATAAATGGTGACAGATCAGGGTAATCAGCATGTCCATATCTCAAACATTTATCATTTCTTTGTGTTGGGACCATTCAATATCCTCCTTCTAGCTATTTGAAGCTATATAATGTGTATTGTTAGCTAGGTCATCCTACAGTGGTATTGAACACCAAAACTTATTCCTCCTAGCTAGCTATAATTTTGTACCTTTTAACAAATGTCTCCCCATCCCTCTTTTCCCCCTACCTTTTCCAGCCTCTAGTATATGCTGTTCTACTTTTTACTTCTTTGAGATAGCTTTATTTATTTATTAAGCTTCCACATATGAATAAACATGTGGTGTTCAACTTTCTGGTCCTGGCTTACTTGACTTAACGTAATGTCCTGTAGCTCCATCCATGTTGCTGGGAATGACAGGATTTCATTCTTTTTTATGGCTGAATAGTATTCCATAGGGCTTGTTCTTAACAGACTATGTGAAGGAGGTGATCATCCAGGCTTTTTGGTCTTATAAAACTTAATCCGGCTGGGCACAGTGGCTCATGCCTGTAATCCCAGCACTTTGGGAGGCTGAGGTGGGTGGATCACGAGGTCAGGACAGCGAGACCATCCTGGCTAACACGGTGAAACCCTGTCTCTACTAAAAAATACAAAAAATTAGCCGGGCATGGTGGCGGGTGCCTGTAGTCCTAGCTACTTGGGAGGCTGAGGCAGGAGAATGGTGTGAACCCGGGAGGCGGAGCTTGCAGTGAGCCGAGACAGCACCATTGCACTCCAGCCTGGGCAACAGAGCAAGACTCCGCCTCAAAAAAAAAAATACAAAAATTAGCTGGGCTTGGTGGCATGTGTCTGTAATCCCAGCTATTCAGGAGGCTGAGGCAGGAGAATTGCTTCAACCCGGGAGGTGGAGGTTGCAGTGAGCCGAGATGGCACCACTGCACTCTGGCCTGGGCAACAGAGCAAGACTCTGTCTCAAAAAAACAAAAACCAAACAAACCTAACCCACTTTCCATCAATCCATCAATCAGCTTTCAACGAGCACCCCTTTAATGCTCCGCACTTTTGCACTTGGGCTGAGCCCTGCAGGGTCACACATGAAGTGGAAGCCATAGTACCTGCCTGTGAGGATGTGGTCTTGGTGAGGAGGCCAGACCAACACCCATGAACGCATCACAAACCACAAAAGACCATAGAAAAGCAAGCATCAGACTGTGCATGGAGTGCAAGCTGGTGCAGTGGGAGTCCCAAGGACAGGAGGTGGACAGGACAAGGGCTTCAGCACAGAGGTGAGGCTTGAGCTTTAGAGATCCCAGGGGTGGCCTTGAGATCTACATGCTCCTTTGAGTGTAAAGGGCTGATCGTTCTGAGAGGAGGAAAGGCATCACCCCTCACTTTCTGGGTCCCCTGCTCCTTGCAGGACCACCTGCACAACACCACGGTGCTCAAGGGCTATCAGTGAAGGAAAAGGGAAGAAAGGAACAAATGGCCTGTGGCGGGGTAAAAAACAACTCCAGCTCTTCCTACCAGGCCAACTTTTGTGACTGGCTCCCAGGCTGCCTTGCCTCTGGGGTTCAAGGGAGGCTTGTCTTCTGAGAGTCGGTAGGATTAGACAAAAACTCCAGCTCTGTTCCAAGGGTCTATCAATATCCTCATAGCTGGGTATGTTAAGTGCTGGTATATTTACCCTGTTTAATCATGGTTCCATCCCTCTGAGGAAAAAGCTGATTACAGCCACTTGGGGAGAGAGAAATAACAGTGACCTTCTGCAGAACCAGCGATAACTTATTCCTTGTAAGGAGTGGATAAACAAAATGCCCCACACTCATCACTCAGGAATGTGCACCTCTTTGTGTGTTCTTCCTAACAGTACCTAGTAATTGGGCTCAACACCTCAGTGCAGCATTTCCTGTCATCTCTGGGACAGCAGAGTGGAGGTGACCTCCCTTCCCACTCATTGGAGAGAACATTAATTGCTAGAGGTAATCCTAACCATAAAGTTTCTGGATCAGAGTTGCAATTGCATTGAATAGGAATAAAAGGCTGTTAAAAGGAAGATTTCTATTATCTGAGAAATCAAACTTTCTAGCAGCTTTAACACCTATTCACAATGGGTTTTTATTCAATCCCCATTAAAAGAAGTCAAAAGTTACAGGAATCAAAGCCAAAGTCCCTCCAGAAGCTAACATAGTAATAAAACCATCAGTAATTTTAATGATTGTTTACATATAGTGCCTCCTCTAGGTCAGGCACTTTACTTATGATCTGTTAATTCCTGTATTAACCTAGTAATTATACCCAATTTTATAAGAGCAAATATTAAAGCTCAAGGAGAGATTACGTCATTTGCCAGAGTTCACACAGCTAACAAGTGGAAAAACAGATTTGAACCTGTTTTCCTGACTCCAAAGCCAGCAAAGTTCTTTCAACTGGAGCCAGAAATACCCTAATGCCCATGGGTGACCAGGGTCCCTTCTGGGCCATGTGGTGTGGAGAATGAGTTTGACCACCCCAAATTGTCTTGTTCCTCAAGAGGATTTCCCAGACCTTCAAGGAATAAAATAATGTTGTGTTTTCTCCTAAACTGGTTTTCATCCAAATCTTGTGTTGCTCAGAAAAACATGGAGCCAGAAAGCCAAATTCCAGAGTCCTCTCTGTGGTCATCCCGGGAGGGGCCCAGGCAGCAGGGATATCCTAGGCCTATTCATGAGATGCTCCAGGTTTAGCCTCCCTCTCCCCGGTTGGCCTGGCAGCCTGTTCACTGGCTGCTCTCATAAGCCACCCAGGCTGCGTCCCTCCAGCTCCCATCGCTAGTCAGCTGGGCCAGACCCCACCCCTGTATTCAGTGTGGTTGCCAGACATGCAGCCCCACCATGATCCCCATTCTTCATTCAACCAATATTATGTACCCATTATACATGCAAGGTACAGTCATAAGCTCTTGGGGGACAAGACAGAGATAATCCATGATCTCTGTGAGTGGTCATTCAGGAATATGGAGTGAATGCTCAACCAGTTACTCAACTAATTGCTTAATTACAATTGTATAAATCCTTCAGAAGTTGCCAAGTTGCTAAGGGAGTGTGCAACTGGGGTGGGGATGGGGGGCTTGACTAGGACTGAGGGATGAGGAAAAGCCTCTCCTAGGAAGAAGACAAGAGGGCTGAGGCACACAGAAAGAGGGGTCAGTGGTACAAAATGAGGCCAGAATGGTCAGCAAGGCTCCATCTTGAGGGCCTTTATAGGGCTGGAATTTATCTTAGGAACAAGGAGACTCCATTGAAGGGTTCAGGTTGTGAATGATACATGTGTATGGATCAGGGAAGAAAAGAATGATATGTCTACCAAAAAATTCTGAATTGTGCTGAGAATTAACAACTGTCTTTTTAGCCTTTTGTCTCCCTAAAATAGTAAGTTTCCAGTAACTCACAGGTTGACAATTAAAGGGGTTGTAATAGATGTCCTTTTAAAAAAATAATTTTTTAATAGACAAGGTCTTGCCTGTTGCCCAGGCTGGAGTGCAGTGGCACAATCAAAGCTCTCTGCAGCCTCAAACTCCTGGGCTTAAGCAATCCTCCTGCCTCAGCCTCCTGAGTGGCCTGGACTAAAGGCATGAACCACCACACCCAGCTAATTTTATTTTTTGCAGAGACTTGTTCTCCCTGTGTTGCCCAGGCTGGTTTCAAACTACTAACCTCAAGCAATCCTCCTGTCTTAGCCTCCCAAAGTGCTGGGATTACAGGTGTGAGCCACCATGCCCGGTCCAATAAGTGTTCATGATAATGTGGATTTGTTCTTGACAATCAGGACTCAAGCCCAGGCAATCTTCTGCAAGTCAGAGTATTCACCCACCCCTGCATCAGTCTGAATCTGGAAAACTCTTCTGGCACAGCCACGTTTCAGTGAGTAGGCCCACCCTGCCCCATTCAGAGGGGTGGATTGGAAGAGGCACTTAGGGCCAGTCTGGAGGAAAGAGACAAGGCAAAGAGTAGGATGGTGCCGGGACCTCAAGGACCGATTCCTTTTATCAGCGTTGTCCACATGGGTTGCTCTTCTGGGCCCTAGGAAAGCATTAGAGACCCCCAGACATGATTCTCAGAGTCTGCCCTGACATGTCACCCCAGAAGATCGAGGTCTTTGGTCCTTGAGCCCTTTACTTTGAACACGAGAAGTGTTTGCTCGTGGGATCTACACAAGTCTTTTTTTTTTTTTGGAGATGGAGTCTCGCTCTGTCACCTAGGCTGGAGTGCAATGGCACAATCTCAGCTCACTGCAAACTCCGCCTCCCCGTTCAAGCGATTGTCCTGCTTCAGCCTCCCAAGTAGCTGGGATTACCGATGCCCGCCACCAGGCCCGGCTAATTTTTGTATTTTTAGTAGAGATGGGGCTTCACCAGGCTGACCAGGCTGGTCTTGAACTCCTGACCTCAGGTGATCCACCCCCTCTGGCCTCCCAAAGTGCTGGGATTACAGGCATGAGCCACCATGCCCAACCTCAAGTCTTTTCTGATCCTAACATTCTGGGACCTAATCACTTCAAAGGAGACATGCCATTTCCAGCTGAGGCCCCAAGAGGAATGTTTTATGGTGGACAACTCTGAGGGCTGGCATGGGGCCTGGAGAGGGAATGGAAAGGAAGAAGGGAGCTGATGGGAGGTCCACAAGGACTTTTGTTGAATGGTGGGGAGGGGGCAAGGCAGAAAGCAACTTATGGCATGATTCTACCCAGAGACAGCCCAGCCTTTGAAAACTTGCCTCGCCCAGAGTGAGAAAGATTTAAACAACACACACACACCCACACACACACCCACATACGCCCCCCCATCATACATATATTCCATGCATTTCTTAATTAAGGGAATGCTAACATTTCTTTAAAGTACAGTTCTTAAAATGATATTTGGAGACCACATTCTTTAACTTGTGAGAATATACCTCCAACCTCTTAATAAAATTGTGATTAAAAAAAACTTTCTCTAATTGTGGCTAAATTTGATGTCATTGATTAAAATGTATGCCAATTTGCAACATTAATAACCTTGTTGCTATGCCTGTTCTACCAAAACCCTTTTCCTAGTATTTCTTACATCACCACACATCTGAAAAAGTTTCTTTCATGCGCGTCCGTGTGAAGAGACCACCAAACAGGCTTTGTGTGAGCAACATGGCTGTTTATTTCACCTGGGTGCAGGCGGGCTGAGTCCGAAAAGAGAGTCAGCGAAGGGAGATAGGGGTGGGGCCGTTTTATAGGATTTGGGAAGGTAATGGAAAATTACAGTCAAAGGGGGTTGTTCTCTGGTGGGCAGGGGCGGGGGTCACAAGGTGCTCAGTGGGGGAGCTTCTGAGCCAGGAGAAGGAAATTCACAGGGTTAATCACTCAGTGAAGGTGGGGCAGGAACAAATCACAATGGTGGAATGTCATCAGTTAAGGTGGGGCAGGGCCTTTTCACTTCTTTTGTGATTCTTCAGTTACTTCAGGCCATCTGGGCATATACGTGCAAGTCACAGGGGATGCGATGGCTTGGCTTGTGCTCAGAGGCCTGACAGTTTCCACTGGGCTTCTCCCCTCCAAAGAGTTCCTGGGATGGCCTTGGGATCCACGTGGTGGGAATCAGCCCACAGGTGGGGGAGGGGAAGGTGCTCTTCACCTGTGTTGCATCAGCAGCGTGAGCTGCTGCTATCAAGTGTTGAAAAGAATGTGAGACAAAAAGAGATAATATTTGAAATGGAAAGAAAATAGTATTACTAAGCCAAGTGATCAAATATTGCCAATTTTGCTTGCCAGCTATCATGAACTGATAACAAATTAGCAAAAGGCCAAACTTACATGCACGAAGTTGTCCTAAGCAGTGGCCAGATCCAGACATAACACATATCTCTAGATATCATTCATGGCTTACAAGCTTTGTAGTCTTTGCCCTGTGATGAGGCTATCCTCCCAGCGGGGTAGGAGGAAATGATTCCTTGTGCTCTAGCTGGTTGTAGTGGCTTATACTCTGGCCAGGAGGTCAGAAAACTGTCACAGAACCAACTCTACTCATTATTTGCTGTGTGCTTTGGCCAAGTCTCCTAACTCATTGGAGTCTGTATTTCTTTATCTCTGAAATGACAGCAACACTCAACACACGTTGACTGAGGACAGACTGTATGCTAGTCTGAACTATGTGTGAGTGAACACATAGTCATCACTTCCATGAGAGTGGAATAGTCGATATAAAACTCAGTACCACATGTGAGTGACTCCAAATATTACAGCATCCTCATTTGCTAAATGAACTCTTAAGAAAAGGTTTTTACTTTTATATTTGTTGATATTAAAATATATCAGGATGTTAATTAAATAGACAAATGTCTGTGCATAATAATGTGTTATTTTAATTACTTATAGGTAAAATCACATGCTATTCATTAATTTGTAAATCTTGATTAAAATGTTGAGTTTTCATTATATATTTAAAAATCACAGCCAGGCACAGTGGCTCACGCCTGTAATCCCAGAACTTTGGGAGGCCAAAGAGGGCAGGTCACCTGAGGTCAGGAGGTCAAGACCAGCCTGGCCAACATGGTGAAACCCCGTCTCTACTAAAAATATTTTTTTAAAAATTAGCCAGACATGGTGGTGGGGACCTGTAATCCCAGCTACTCAGGAGGCTGAGGCAGAAGAATTGCTTGAACCCAGGAGATGGAGGTTGCAGTGAGTTGACACGGTGCCACTGCACTCCAGTCTGGGTGAGATAGTGAGACTCCGTCCCAAAAAAAAAAAAAAAAAAAAAAAAAAAAATCACATCATGTTTATAATGCAGAAATACTGCCTTTACCCACTCACAATGCAATACTTTTAATCAAATTCTTCCAGTGCACTTTTGATATCAGTGTTTTGACATTCCCTATGGCCAGTCTTCAAGCCCATTTTTCAGAGCACAGCATCTTCATATTCATCTGGATTGCTTGAGATTCAGCACTTCTTGAATCTAAATATGATGTTGTCATTGAAAATTATACCTCATGCCATGATAGTTTTTTCCCTATTTGTGATCTCATAAGATAACTGTCACGCCTCTGAGCCCAAGCTAAGTCATCATATCCCCAATGACCTGCATGTATACATCCAGATGGCCTGAAGCAACTGAAGATCCACAAAAGAAGTGAAAATAGCCTTAACTGATGACATTCCACCATTGTGATTTGTTTCTGCCCCACCCTAACTGATCAATGTACTTTGTAATCTCCCCCACCCTTAAGAAGGTTCTTTGCAATTCTCCCCACCCTTAAGAAGGTTCTTTGCAATTCTCCCCACCCTTAAGAAGGTTCTTTGTAATTCTCCCCACCCTTGAGAATGTACTTTGTGAGATCCACGCCCTGACCCCAAAACATTGCTCCTAACTCCACCGCCTATCCCAAAACCTATAAGAACCGATGATAATCCCACCACCCTTTGCTGACTCTCTTTTCGGACTCAGCCTGCCTGCACCCAGGTGAAATAAACAGCATTTTTGCTCACACAAAGCCTGTTTCTATGCAGCCACAAAAATTGATGAGTTCATGTCCTTTGTAGGGACATGGATGAAGCTGGAAACCATCATTCTCAGCAAACTATCTCAAGGACAAAAACCCAAACACCGCTTGTTCTCGCTCATAGGTGGGAATTGAACAATAAGAACACATGGACACAGGAAGGGGAACATCACACACCGGGGACTGTTGTGGGGTGGGGGGAGGGGGGAGGGATAGCATTAGGAGATGTACCTAATGCTAAATGACGAGTTAATGGGTGCAGCACACTAACATGGCACATGTATACATATGTAACAAACCTGCATGTTGTGCACATGTACCCTAAAACTTAAAGTATAATAATAATAAAATAAAATTAAAAAAGAAAAGCCTGTTTGGTGGTCTCTTCACATGGACACGTGAGACAATAACCACATATCCTTCAAGTATGGTATATTAATAATGTTGACTTTCAACATGATCTTTATATGGTTTGTTTACTGTGACCTCCAACACTCAACAATTGAGAGGTCAGAGCCTCAGGAATAATTGCCAAACGTGTCAGATTTCTTTGCCACTTTTTTTCCTGTATTACCAGTAGTCTTCCATAAGATCCCACATTAGCATTACTTTAGATGGCTTAAGACTAACATATGTTCATCAAAAACAAGGTTGGTGTCTGAAATAAAGTGATTGAATGCTTTGTGTTCTGTAAAGACTCTACTATAAGATGACTCCAACAGATAATTTTGAGGAGAAAAGGCATAATTATATGTGATAATTATAATAAAGGCTAGAGGGCATTAATAGCTCCAGATGAAAAGTGTTCAGAGATAAGAGAGAGTATAGACTAGCTATATGTTTAATCATTGAGTTGTTCATTTTTCTTAACCTCTTTACCTAGAAAATAAGGCCAATCAACAATACCTCAGAATGTTGCTAGGAGGAGTAAATGAGGTTATAAATTCTAGCATAGTGCCTGGCTTGAAGGTGTACTTAGGGTGAGGGCCATCATTCCCTGAGTTCTTCCAGCTCTGCTCCCACTTGTGACTTTATGGGATGTTAAAGGAAAAGGAACAGGGGCAGGACAAGACAGGAACAAAGTATCTTTGCCCATTGTTCAGCTGAGACAGATTAGAGTTTTTCCAAAGGTGCTTTCCCAAGAACCAAAGGAAAACTAAGACCTAAAGACACAAAGACTGTAGTTACAGAGCCCCTCCCCAGATCTCAGTGTCATTGTTCCTTTCTGCATCCTTCAGTCCTGTGGCATTTTCCTCTGCTAGTCTCACTTGTACATGCAGCCACTATGGAATGCTGGGGCCATGTGAGAGGAGGGGATTTGCATAACAGTAGAAAACCACTGGGATTTGGAGTAGGGTGAACTGACTTTAAGTCAGCCTCTACCTTTCACTGGCTTTAAGATTTTGCAAATGTCCATTTGCCTCTCCAAGTCCCAGTTTCTTTATCCTTATGTAAACAAAAAAGTGAGACAGATCTCAATCAATTTATTTTGTCAAGGTTAAGGACATTTGCAGAAGAAATAAAGACAGAGTCACAGAAAGAGGAGAAAGGCCTGTGCCTTTCTCCAAAGATGATTTTGAGGGCTTCAATATTTAAAGGGGAAAAGTGGGCTGGAGGGGAAAGAGGGAGGGTATGGTAATCCAAGGGAGGGTATGGTAATTCAAGAGAAAAGGAACAGATAGGGGAATAGTCAATTATGTATTTGTTTTGTGCTCAGTAAATTGGCACTTTGCATAAGACAAGGCTAACATAGAATAACTCTGTGGAGATATTTAACCTCTTATCTGTAGATATCTGCTTAGGAACAAAAGGAAAGTCAGCTTCTTGCATAACTCAGCTTTCAGCTTAATTTTTTTCCTTTGGCATACTGAATTGAGGTCTCGAATTTTTATTTTCCTTTCACATTTCTCCACCCTTTTCTTTTTAAAAGCTTTCAGAGAAAGCATTTTAGAAGAAAGTGAGTCTCTGGTATTGGGTTTTATCTGATGTCTGATGGCAAGGACAGTTTATTCCTAGACGGATAGGTCCCAAGTTGTTAGGCAAGCTCACCTTTAGTAAGTTGTGAAGCCTTACATCCCACAAAGGAAAAAAAAAACATAGGAGAGGGAAGAGAGAAAGAAAACAACAAACAAACAAAAAAGGAGAACAATCCTGGAAACCTGATATAGGCCATATTACTCTGAAGTCCATACATCAGTAGGCAGGTATGAAAGTGTTTTATCTATATAAACAGGATGCTATTATTTTCTTCCAAAGTTTAAGTTGTCTAGCTTCAGTTTGTATGGCATTTAAAAAAGCACAGTTTAGTTTTTCGTGATTTTCAAATCAGGAAAAATGGGGAAAAAAGGAAAAGAAGGAAACAAATTGAAAACATTATTTTGGAGACTTGTAGCCAGAAAAAATTTTAGAATTCAGTCCAAATTGTAGAAAACAATAAAAATTAAAAAGCCTTAGGCAAGGTTAGAATCTAATAACAGGTGTACACAGTTTATTTGGAAACATAACTTTTCTCTCTCCAATTCCCCAATTTTATTAAAGACAAAATCGTAGTAGGACCAATTTATTTGTAAAATAAGTTTTAGTTCTATTATACTTGCCTTAATTATTTGCATAAATTGCAGCAAGAATAATCACTTGTCATATAGGCTGTCTCTCTTTTTTTTAAATTGGCTTTGCTGTAACCTTTTTCATAAGGAGTCTAAGATTAGACCTTCTTAAAAGCCTTGAGCCCAGCCTGCAGATACCTGTGTGAATTGGGTGAATTTCTCTCTTTTTAAGGTGCCAAGAAAACTTGGGGTTCCTAGGCCTGCCAGAAAGTGACATTCTTCACTTAACACAGGTCAGGACCCTGTAAAGAACAATGTATAAAGCCAGTTTTTCAAGGGGCTTTTATCAGCTCTGTAGGTCAGCCTCCCTTTCTCAAGGCAATCTGAAAATGCCATTTCAGTCAAGGCCTTGGTAAAACAACCAGTGTCTCCAATTATGCCCTCTTATAAAAGAAAACAGATCCTTATTGAACTTATGCAAATAATTATTTTGTCATAAATTAAGAATACTCAAAAAATAGTTTCCAAATTTTGGAGAAATTAGGTTGAGGGAAAGGATATGTTTTTAATTTTGCTCATAAGAGCATACTTTACTCAGTTGTTAAAAGCTGCAAATAGCTTAAAAGAAGAGAAAGTTTTCTTGACTTTGAAGAACAAAACAAAAAGAATCAGCAAATGTTTTAAACAAAAAGTCATAAAAGATTATTTCAATCTTCAGTTAGTTCAGTCCATTCAATTAACTCCTGTTCTGCTCGATATTGGATCAACAATCCTCATGAATACATCAGACCTCCCTGAGAGTCCTGGAAGTTTTTCTCTATTCCAATGGCACAATCTCTCAATTTACCAGAAACCTATATTTAAGAGTACTCCTCAGAGTTCTATAGCTGATTATAAACGGCCCTATAAAAGGATCAAAGTAGGCCAGGCGTGGTGGCTCACACCTGTAATCCCAGCACTTCGGGAGGCCGAGGCGGGTGGATCACCTGAGGTTGGGAGTTCGAGACCAGCCTGACCAATATGGAGAAACCCTGTCTCTACTAAAAATACAAAATTAGCCAGGCATGGTGGTGCATGCCTGTAATCCCAGCTACTCGGGAGGCTGAGGCAGGAGAAGCACTTGAACCCGGGAGGCGGAGGTTGCGGTGAGCCGAGATCGTGCCATTGCACTCCAGCCTGGGCAACAAGAGTGAACTCCGTCTCGGGAAAAAAAAAAAAAAAAAAAAAGGATCAAAGTAAATCACAGATGACAAAGATCTTAGACCAGTCATGGTTAAAGACACAATTGACAAAAAAATTGTTTACTTCTGTGGCATACAAAGTTTTACATAATCGTCATAATTACTACTACTGATAACATATACTAAGACATATCAGAATCACAGGATTCTCATATAATTTTGGAACAAACACTAATAGCACATTTATGTAAATATTATCCAAAGAAGATTAAATACCATTTTGTATTTGACAATGCTTCCTTTATTATTTTATTGTACCAAATAAACCAAATACATTTCTTTTGGACTTCATGAGACCTAATATCAAAACATTAATGAGGTCAAAAGGACTGAATTTAGAATATGATTTTGGAAAGTTTGTCAAATATCTAAAGTTTAAAACACTTGATATCACAAAATAGGATCGCAGGTCATTATAAAGACAGTCATTCATTTAGCCAAAGTGATAACTCGAAGATTTCAAAAAAAGGCAAAAACCTTTATTCTTTGAGAGAGGAGACTTACTTCCCCAAACAATAAGCCCTGACAAAGACAGCATGAGGCCAATTAAATGTCTCACAAATCTTATAAACAAATCTATTAAATTTTAATCACTTGACTATAACATATAATTTCTATAAACTTTTTTATAATATTTTACAATTTTTTAAATTAAAGTGTTAGTTAATACTCCAAGAAAATCTTGTTAATCTGACACAGGGGCCCAGATGCTGGCCTTGCATCCATGTAACGTTGATATTAATGTTTAATTCATAGAGAAACTTTAAACTAATTTTATTTCTCAAAATCAGCCCTACAATCTCATGTGCCTGTCTCTTCTGTGGTAGTCCCAGGGCCTAGAAGGGTTAAATAGTTTTAATTTCTGGCTCTGTGTCTCATGAACAGTTTATTTTGATAGTCGTCTTCTCCTGGGTTGGCAAATAAGGCTTTAACTGCTGTCAGTGTTTAAGATTTAACAGGATCTGGAGTCCTCTCTAGATCCAAAAGTAAAAGCCCTGTAACTTAACAGCACAGGACTTCAAAAGCAACACAGAGAGTTACATGGATATAATAACCTTAATGTTTTTAAATCTTGGTTTTCCTAGGACTTGCATTAGTTAGACATAGGAAGAGTAGGTCCTGGGTCATAAGTGAAAGTTTTCAATTTCATAGAAGAATTTAAAGCCAAGAGCACAGAATGTTATATTGGAAGAAAATATTTCCTTTAGACCATTTAGATAAAACATTTTTAGTATCAGGACACAATGGAAGTTAGAACCTGAGGAAAAAAATTACAAGAGCTGACGAAAAAGTTGAAGGAGAACATTATTGTCTCAGGCCTTCTCAAAGGGAAGAGAAAACTGAAAATAATGACATGCAATAAAAGTTGAACTTTTGGGTTAAAAAAGTTAAAAGCTCTTATAATTTTATTAAGATTAAATCAATACCTTCAGATAAATTTGTTGTTCCAACCAACTCTTTAATTTGTTAGTGTATTGTTAAATACCAAAGAATATTATAATTTCCTTTTAATTATAGCCAATTTGATCACATAAAGTTCTTTTTAATAAATTCTCTTTTCACAACCCTTATTCCAACTTGCACAAACATTTATGACATGCTTAGATGTCCTGTCTTATCCTAAATATCACTCTTTCTTAAATAACCAGTTATTTTATTTTAGGTCAAAAAATTTACCATACAAGATCCTTTCTCATATAAAATGATTTTCCTTTTAATCTTTCTTACCCCAAATACCTCTTTATATGTATAACTTTCTTTACATCTCTCTTATTTACTGGTTCCCTTTAGCTTGTTTTATAAACAACCTTTAAATAACTTTTGAGTTAGACAAAAATTGTTTCCTTTTAATAAGAACACATTGTTTTTTAGAAAAATGATTTTCTATAATTTTTATTTAAAAAATTGGAAATGACCCAGGTATTTAATTAATATATATTATTTAATTTAACTTTAGGTTCTAAATTATATGACAAGTTTATTTACAAGCATTTATTCTATTACATTTGCCTATTTAATTTGTTTAAATAGTTGATCTAGATTACATATGAAAACTGTGATGGTCATCATTTAGAGTTATTTCCCTGTTAACAATTTTTATAGGCTGTGAATTTCAGGTGTTTACTTAAGTAAGAATATTAAGGTTAAATAAATGTTTTGGGTTTTTTTTGGTCAATAACTCAGGATTTAGCTATTTTCATTAAACCAACAATATTAAATGCTTTATTTATCGAAAAGTTACACAAATATAATTCTCTTTTGGGCTACATTTATAGCTTTACAACCCTCATGCCAAATCTTGACACCTTATAGTATTTAAGAGAAAAAAATATAAAATTGCTTGACCAATAAATCTAAACAATAATGTATGTTGGCGATTCTGAACACATTTCTAATTTTATTTTACCAATAATTTTAAAGCCAGTTTATTTATTAAAACTCTACTTAAGTCACATTAACTTGAAAAGCAACTGGGCTTATTTACTGAATTTGTGAGTTCTCCTTTATTTTTAAGCCAGTTTGGTACCTTGTGGCCATAAACATAACAATACACATGTAGGTATACATAAACACACCTAAGCCCACACACACTCATACAAATAAAGATCCTATAGCTTTTACTTCAGAACTCTAGCCATGAGATACCAATACAAACTTAACCAGTTTACCAAAAAACAGTTGGATGCGAACATGGTTTTTCTCTCAACATCAGTAGAAAGGTCCTCTGAACTAGAAAAAAATTTACATTTTCTTAAGCAAAAACCACATCCTCATGTTTTTATAAACTTCCCCAAAAACACATCATACTATCCTACTAATCTAACTTTTAGTAACTCTAATTCCCAGTAAAAAACCTAGGATTACTTAATTTAACTTAACATGCCTTTAAGATTTTAAATTATTGGAGAGGATTTTGAGACAAAATTTACCAAATTAATCTTACCAAAGATTACTAAAGTCATGTGAACTGAAAAGCCTCTGAGCTAGCTTCTATTAAGTTGATGAACACTGACTTTTCTTTAAGCCAATTAATTAGAGCTCTTTCACATAATTGATAGTGAAATATTATTTCCACATGAGACATAGGAACATATAGACATAATAGACACCCAGACAGAGGCAGATCTTACAGATTTAAAAGTTCTCATTTGCCTGTTTTCAAAACTTTTCTCTATTTTAGACTGTTAATCTCATGATTATCTGTTCCATGTCCTGAACAATTGTTAATGAGGCAACTGTAAATTTGCATCCCAAAGACATGACTTAGGTGAAACAGTGTAGAAAATGTACATCTCAAAGGCACACGCTTAGATCTAAACAAAGGCAATGTCTTTTATGTGAACTTCAAGCCATTGTAGGGACCCAGAAGCTCTTACTAAGTGGAGATTTCCTGTAAAGATGTAAATTTCCTTTGCAAAGAATTTTATTAAAGTGACTCAGTTTGATAGGTGTTATTTTCAATTTAGCTTGATTAGATTACTAGCTTTATGGTAGATCCCTTTAAGGAATAGGGCCAAGAAAGCCTGTACAATTTTCTTAATTTAAATGTACAAAGAAATAAGTAGCCCCCTGTAGTAATGACCATTTCCTATAAACTGTCCTTAGCCATCCCTAAGATTGTGGTTCTCTGCCACCACTACACACACCAAGGCCAAATTCTCTCACAGTACAAGGTAATCTCTGGTACCCCCACCAAAGACAAAGACATCAGGTAATGCAATACAAGAAAGCAGAGCTTTAGACCTGAGAAAAATCTGCCCGTGACTTTTGAAACTCCACAAAGAAAGCAGGACACCCCGAAAAAGGGTGAGTGGCACCTTTATTCTGAGTTCTTTAAAGGGTCTGATTAGAAGCCTTCTCTATGTTTTGTTTTGAATTTGCTTGGTACCAAAGATGGCAAAAGGGGAAGGAGGAATAGAATGGAAGAAAAGTAAACAAAAGAACAATCTTTTAAGAAAGGAAGTGAACAGAGAACCTGTTTGAGTAGGTAGTTAGGCAGACATAAGCAAGGCAGGGCAGTGCCCTACCCCTCAACCAGGACTGCCAGGAGACTGTCAAGTGATGGTCAGGCAGTTATTAAACTGTCTGTCCAAAACAATTGGTCAAAGCCAGCAGCAGGGAAAGGTGGTCTCCCAATAGATAGAAAACACCTGAAGCTGGTGATCAGCTGCTGTCAATAAGATCTCAGGAGCTGGGTGAGTGGAGTCAAGCATGCGCATGCTAAGAGGCAAAATGGCAGTTTAGCTGGGATATGACCTTCCTCTAGGAACACTCTACTGGTAAGAGAACAACGCCTCAAGTGAGCATGCGCAAAAATTCAGCAAACACACTGTGGCTGGGGCCCCTCCCAAGTTCTGGGAGGCCGCTGCACATGTGGACGTCCCATCCCAAAGGAAGAATCAGGGCAGAAGAGACACAAGAGCCCGGAAGCATGCCAACATAAAAAAACCCAAGTTTACATTTGGATCTCTCAAGTTGTCCTCTTGGCCCTCTTCCAAGCGTACTTTACTTCCTTTCATTCCTGCTCTAATACTTTTTAATAAACTTTCACTCTTGCTTTATAACTTGCCGTGGTCTCTCATTCTGCCTTATGCCCCTCAGACGAATTCTTTCCTCTGAGGAGGCAAGAATCAAGTTGCTGCATACTCATATAGATTTGCTGCTGCTAACGAAACCAAGCGTATGATTCTTTCTTCTTTTTTGCAGCTGTGAGGAGTTTTAGCCAATTCAAAAACATTGTTCACCATAACTTGAAATTCTCATTTGGATTTGACCAAATAAGGTAGAGTTGGTCGAATCCAATGTGAGAAAGACTAAAATAATAAGGAAACAACAAAACAACAACAACAACAACAAAACCAATGCGATTACTGAGCACTTTAGTGTTAAAAGGAAATTAAGATCAGCTGGTTGTCAATCTTAACTCTTAGTCATTAAGCAGGATTTTCAAGACAAAACTCCAATTCAGCTACTTACCTAGGAGTGGCGCCCAGGCTCAATACTCCTCTCTACCATTTTAGAAGCAGTAAAATACTCAAACTCACCTTCCCTGTTGGATACAAGCTGAAACTCCAGAAAGGAGTTGCCTGCCATCCATTGTCATGGAAACAGGAAAACTCGCCTTTTTTGTTGGAAGTGAGTAAAACTCCAGAAAAGGAGTTGTACTTCAAAATAAACCTTAGATCTCAACCAAATTTGGGGTGATCAGGGATTCTCCAGAGGGAGTTGCTCCCAGACCTCAGAAAATTGTCTTATCTTTGAGCAACAAAGATAACCTAGGCTGGAACCAAGTACTGGTAAGAGATTTGTCAAAGGTCAGGGGCACCTCCTCTCAGAGTCCCTTCCGTCAGCCGCCAATTTGTAAGCCAAAAAATATCTGAGACAGGTCTCAATCAATTTAGAAGTTTATTTTGTCAAGGTTAAGGACATGCCCAGAATAAATAAAGACAGAGCCACAGAAATAGTCTGTGGTCTGTGCCTTTCTCCAAAGGTGATTTTGAGGACATCAATATTTAAAGGGAAAAAGTGGACTGGAGGGGAAAGAGGAAGGGTATGGTAATCCCTATATTGCAAGAGAAAAGGAGCAGGTAGAGGAATAGTCAATTATGTATTCATCTTGTGCTCAGTAAATTGGCACTTTTCATAAGATAAAGTGAACATAGACTAACTGCCTGTGGAGATATTTAACCTCTTATCTGCAGCTATCTGCTCAGAAACAAAAAGAAAGGCAGCTTCTTGCATGACTCAGCTTTTAGCTTAATTTTTTTTCCTTTGGCATAGTGAATTGAGATCCTGAGTTTTTATTTTCCTTTCACACATATAATGGGGACAAATGTCTTGGAGAAATTTTGAAGATTCTTCTCTCGGAAGATTAGATTGATCATATATCCAAAGTATTCAGTACAGAGACTGGCCAGTAAACAACTGTTAAGTCCTTTCTATTCTTTTGTGTATTTCCTAGAGTGGGCAAAGAATGGAGGGGACAGGTGGTCCATTTCCCTTTTTCTAGGGTAGCTTAGCAAGACACTAGTCATAGCAATAACTCTGAACCACTCCGTTTCCTTTTCTTAGTGAAGGTTTAAATTTTGTTTGAATTTTACTAAAAGAAATGCCTTGTCAAGGATGACTTCCAGAACTAGGGTTGGCTGCTTTGATTAACATCTGCTCTGGAAAAAGCACCCACCTCAAGTTCAAAGTCATTCCCTGCTCTTTGGAGAAGATAAAGTAAGCACATGTCTTCTCTCACCAGCACAAGGAAAACTTCTCCAGGTAGAGGAAGGGTGAAGACCTCATCCTTCAATCTTTGCTTCTTGAACCACCTTCACAGATTTCACAGGGGCTAAAAAAGTCTATCTTCTCCCAGGTCAGCAAAGAAAAGCAGCATCCTTTCTCTTCTGTAGTCAACCTTCATTCAGGCTTAATGGAGTGAAAAAAATTATAACCCTCTTCTCAGAGAGGACTGTCTTTGTTAAAGAAAAGACCCTGATAAACATCTGGGGTTAGAAGGTGAGACCCTGAATCATGACTTAGCTGAAGACAAGCTCATTAGAAGATAATTAAACTTTTCTGAATTAGAATTCAATGGAACTTGAACAGAAAAGATTTATTGGGAGGGTGATGGAGAAAGAAGAAAGATGGCAAGCCACGTGGTTGAGAGGCCAAAAAACTGCTAAGAACAAGGAGGTCTGCTTCAGATTCCAAAGTCATTTGCTCTGTTCTGATGTAACTATCTCCACAGCTTCCTAACCCCTTCAGGACAGTCTGCTTTACAGGCATTCACATTGAGTACGAGTGGCTTTTTTAGTGGAAGTCAAGTGTATAGGCCAAGTCCCACATGTGGGTCACTTTGATGTAAAACAAAGACAACATCTACAGACTGAAGAGCTGAGTCAGAAACTGAACTAATTCAGTGGAAGCAGGAACTCAAAAGCCAAGGCTGACAACAAGCAAGTCTTTTTAGAATTTGTGGATATTGTAGGGGTGATTTTTCTTGTCCACAGGTCTTTGAATTGGTATTTGAGCCCATCTTTATGCATCTTATAGGACAAGGTAGGATTCTCTGGGTGCCATGTATGTGGCATATCCTAGACAAACTCAGCTAGTTCATCCTAG
This sequence comes from Homo sapiens, assembly GCF_000001405.40. Classification (NCBI taxonomy): domain Eukaryota; kingdom Metazoa; phylum Chordata; class Mammalia; order Primates; family Hominidae; genus Homo; species Homo sapiens. Next base: position 94,670,794 of record NC_000001.11, read on the forward strand.
CATCTTTGGGATCTGCCTTGCCTCAGGAGTATCTGCTCCTAAGGCAGTGAGGCTCTCTACTGTGTAAGTGTGAAAATAACCATTATCTTGTTATAGAACCAAACTGGGGTCCATTGGCTCAGCACAGTAAGACCAGATACCCACACCAAGGTTCATAGCAGGAAAAAGGAAGGTATTTATTTGCAGGGTGCCAGGCAAGGAGGATCGAGCAGCTAATGCTTAAGTCCCAGCCTTCCCCATATGGCTTGTAGGTAAAGATTTTTAAAGGCAGGCATAAATTTCAGGAAAGCAGAAGTTACAGACAAAACCACAAATCAATACTGATTTAGCTAAGTCTCTGAACACCCGCATATTGATTTTGGCCGAAAAGGGTGGGATATGTTGAAGCAGGGGGCTCACAGGTCATAGTTAGATTCAAAGATTTTCTGTAATTGGTTAAAGAAGAGAAGTTTTGTTTAAAAATTTGGGGTCAGTGCAAAAGAATGTTACTCTGGTTGGTTATGACTTCCTCCAGGCCTCTCAGAAAGAAATTTAGAACAAAGAACAGTGCTGAGTTCAGTCCCCAATTCCCCCTTATCTGAGGTCTACATGCAAGAAGATCCATGTGGTGGGGGGTCCCAGTTTCTGAGAAGCAACTCAGAGACATGGTAAGATGTTATCTTTAGTTTTTGTAGGGGAACGAAACATTCTGTGATTCTAGCTTCCCTGGCTATTGTTTTAAGCTACTGTTACCTTCTTGCTTTTCAAGTTGCTTATTTACTTCTCAGAACTAGCTAGGTGCCTAGAATTTCCCTTGAAGGAACTCAGGATCTTCCTTTCTTTCCATGTTTGGGGTTGGGGCTAGGGAAGAGGTCCTTAAGAGGAATTCTCTAATCCATCTCAATCTTCTCCCATAGCCTGTCTCTCTCCCAGTTCAGAGTTTTAGGACCAGAAGGAGGAATTCTTCTCCAATTTCTCTTTCCTTCTTTCTGGGTCTCCAATCTTCCTCAGACTTTATGCCACCACTAGAGATGAAGGTAGCTCACCCCAGGTGGTGGTTCTCACTGCTGTCCGCAGTGGGTGTTCAGAGACTTAGCTTCCACCTTCAAGATATACAGAAAGAGTCCCACAGATGTTTAATGGCAGATCCCACTGAGGTAGCCCCAGGGCCTTTGCTGCCCATCTTTGGTGGGACCCACTCACCTCCACCTGTTCTGTTCATGCTTCCCAGACCCTCTCCCAGGGTTGGTGAGATCCTCCTGTTAACCACAGCATTCTCCCTTACCAGTTGGCCAAAAGAAGTGTGTGGGACGTCTATTGGGCGGTCACCACTCTCCCCTGCCAGGGACAGTATCTTCTGGCTTCTGCATATCAGATCATATCTCCAATCAGATGCCTGATTCCTGACTAGGGCCTTTATTTCTTCCAGACATTCCAGTGGGTTGGCAGAAGTCACCATGTTGCCTGTAGGAACTTCAGTCTTAGGCCCAGCCTTTGTCTTTTCTGTGGCCACTCCTGACCTCCCTTTATCAGTTGCTTTCTTGGAGGAATATTTAATAGAGAAGAGCCAGGGACCCCCAGGCTCAGGGGCTCCATCTGCCTTGTCTCTCAGAGCCTCAGCTACCTCTCTTGGCTGCCAGTTTGGCCTCTTGTCAGTATCCTACAGAATTTCTGCCTCCAAGGTCTTCTGACCTCCCCTGCTCTGTTTTTCTGAGGTGTCCCCCAACCCCTGGCTTTCCTTATCAGGGCCTTTTGTTTTTTGGCTACACTATTGGTTTGAGCCATTGCTGGACTTACGGGAACAGGAAGACAACAGGCGAGAAAGCCCTAGGTTTTAACTTCCCCCAGCAATGTATTCCTTCCATGCCCAGCCACTGGGCATTTGTAAAGTACCCAGAGCCTGGTCATGGCCGCGAACGCATCTTTCTGTCCTATATCCCATTTAGAAAAAAAAAATCTGCAGCTAGCTCACTGCCAGCGCTCATTTAATTTTACATAAACACGTTCCTTGAAGCTAAAGCAAATCTGACTGATTTTTCAATGTGAAAACAAAATATAAAAACTGTTCTTGGAGTTATTTCTAAACAGAACTTGTCTCTAATCCTAATATAACAGAAACGTATATGATGATCAGTATTTAATTTTATTTTTCATGTGGTAAATTTCAAAGCATGGGACAAAGGCAGAACATCCCATTCTGCACAAAAATATTGCGTTTCTCTCAGGACCTTCTTGCCATCTTTATCACTGTGTGCTCAGCAAACTTTGCAGCGACCAGTTGGATTCCATTTCCCTGATGTTGGTGGTATGCTCTTGGGGAAATGTCTTCCAGACAGGGAAGAAGCGTGACATCATCAGAGCACGGATGACCTTGAAGACTTTGCTGCCCTGGCCTGTGATGCTTTTCCAGCATTCTTTCACTCAGCGTCAGTCTGAAGTTTATATGGCTCATCGTGTGCTCAGGATTGTCCTTCCAGAACAGGATGTAGGAGCTTAGCACTGCAATGTTTAGAGGGTGACAAAAGAATTTCTTAGACCAGCTGGGCAGATGGCTTATGCCTGTAATCCCAGCACTTTGGGAGGCCTAGGTGGGTGGATCACCTGAGGTCAGGAGATCGAGACCAGCCTGACCAACATGGTAAAACCTGTCTCTACTGAAAACACAAAAATTGGCTGGGTGTGGTGGCGCACACCTGTGGTCCCAGCTATTCGGGAGGCTGAGGCAGGAGAATTGCTTGAACCCGGGAGGCAGAGGTTGCAGTGAGCCGAGATTGCACCACTGCACTCCAGCCTGGGCGACAGAGCGAGACTCCATCTCAAAAATAAAAAAGTATACATATAATTAAGGCCAGGCATCATGGCTTACACCTGTAATCCCAGCACTTTGGGAGGCCAAGGCAGGTGGATCACCTGAGGTCAGGAGTTAGAGACCAGCCTGACGAATGTGGAGAAACCACATCTCTACTAAAAATACAAAAATTAGCTGGGCATGGTGGCACATGCCTGTAATTCCAGCTACCCAGGAGGCTGAGGCAGCAGAACCACTTAAACCCAGGAGGTGGAGGTTGCGATGAGCCAAGATCGCGCCATTGCACTCCCGCCTGGGCGACAAAGTGAGACCCCATCTCAAAATAAGTAAATAAATAAACAAAAAAGAATTTCTTAGACGAAACCTTGTGCCTTTTGTGCTCAGTTGGATAGGAAGTGAGCATCTGATCAGCCAGTCCACTGTTCCCACATTCTCGTGATAATCCAAAATGACACATGGCTTCTTAGTCTTCTTTCCATTTCTGTTGTTTACTTCAATCACAGTATCATTGTGGAATGTTGACAACATTGTCACCTCCTTCTTGTCACACCATTTCAGTGCCATAAGCTCACCACAGAATTAACATTATGCATAGGAATGCTACATTTTCTAGGATTTGACATTTTCCGTGATCAAGAATGACTATATTTTATAAACGGAAACACCACTACTAAAAACAGAATGCTATAAATGGAATGATGTATTTTTTTCCAAAGTCAATATACCACAGCGATGCAAAAATAATAATAAAAGCGAAATATTCTGTGGCAAACTTTGGTGGTAAGATTAGGACTGTAATCTGTGAGTTATCTTGGGGTAAACTCTGCAGCAGCAAGTGTTCCGGGGCAAATGGGAAATGGGTTAAGAAACCCCTTTCCCGCTGCCTCTTTAGATTACATAATTCACTCTGGTTCTCCAGACGTTCTACTTTTAATAACACAAGCTAAAATTTATTGAGCACATCATATGTGCTAGGCACTGTGCTAAGCACTTAGCTTTCATTGAATCATCTAATTCCTACCACGACCCTGTAAAGCAGGAACTATTATTCCTTCACCTCAGAACTGAGGTGCTGAGAAGTTAGGTAACTTTCCTGCATAGCTAGAAAGTGATGGACTAATGATGAAGCCTGTGTTTTTTATCTCTATGCTCTACTGCATCTTACTGAGCCTTATTATGTCTGTCAGCCATTTCCTTTACCAAAGAGAACACCCTACTTCCTGCCCACCCAGTGAGTAGATAAGTATGTTTGACCAGCTGTCCTTAGCTTGGCACATGTAATGGGTATCAAGTAGTGTTTGGGGGATGGATGGAGAGGTAGATGAGTAGGGGGATAGGTAGGGGGGATGGGTGGGTAGATAATGGGCAGACAGTTGGATGAATAAGTGAATGTATGGGTGGATGAATGGATGATGGGTTGATAGATGAGTGGATGAATAGATACATGAGTGAGTGGATCATAGATGAATAGATGAGTGGATGGATGGATGAATGAATAATTGGATGATAAGTGGAGAGATGGGTGGATGAATAGATGTGTGGATGAATGGATGATGAGTGAATAGATGGAAGGATGAGTGGATGCATAGATTGATGGGCAAATGGACGGGTAGATGGACTGCCACATGATCAAGGGGCTTTTGTGAAGAAAAACATTTAGGAACACAAGAAGCCCAACTAATCTAGAGCTACATACTCTCTGGCTGATTTGTTTCCTCTTTTCTCCAGATCCTATAGTCTATTCTGTTTGTAGGAGGAGAGCTTCCTCTAGGTATCTAGCCCCCACAGAACAAATAGAGCAACGGTGTTCCCTCTAACAGTTGCTTCTGCCTATGTTTATTTTCATAGGTGCTTCACATTAACTTTGGAATTCAAAATGGATTTGCTCAGGGTGGCTTAGTTTTCAGTAAGGCTGGCTGTTCCTTGATTCTGGTGGGATCCTGTAGCCCAAACCTGACTCAGAAGCATTGGCCTGCGGGATACATTGTTTATGTCTGGAGGTCTGAGGCACCCCTATTGTGCAGAAACAAGGAAATGCACATTTCCCAACACTTCGGCTACAAAACAGAGGCTAGGACTGAATATAGTGTGCTCTTTTAACTCTGAAAAAGTTCATGAAAAAGTCGAGCTTGCAGGATGGGAACAAACTCCCTTATTAGGCCTTTCCCCTTCACTTCCAGATTCCTGTCTACCCTCATCCTAACTCCCACACAACTCCCAGCTCTCTCCTCTTGTTCCCCTGATTCCAGATGACAAACTCACTCTTGCTAAGGTGTTAGTGATTTACTTCTTTTCTTTACCATTAAAGAAAAATTTCTTCAATAAAAGCCATATTAAACTCAAAGCCAGAGTCACTCGAATTCCCCAAGCAAGTCATATCCACTGGGTCTGTCATTCAGGCTATTAGTTTTATGTATTCTTTTTATTAACATTATATTTAAATCAAATTGATCAGAAAATAACTCAAGCCCAAGTTCATTTCCCATTGACTTTAGTGTTTCTAGAGAGGTTCTTCCCGTCCTCCTCAGACTGAAGATTTGGGGCACAAACATGCTAACCTTTCTCACCAATCCCGGGACCCTCAGCCCATGTCTCACTGCAAGGTATGCAATTCACCAGAAGTGGCCTGCCCTGCTCCTTACATAAGGCCTACTTGCCCCTTCGGAGTGACCAAGGTGCTCTGGCCATGAGGCTGGGGCTGCAGTACTCCTCTGGCAGTGTTCTATCATCATCCTCAAGTACTAGGTTGGTGCAAATGTAATTACGGTGTTTGCCTTTTTTTTTTTTTTAAAGACAAAAACTGCAATTACTTTTGCACCTACCTAATAGTTGTAGTACAGGAAGGTGGTACAGGATGGTAGAAGAAGCCGGGCATGAAGGTACAGGAAGGTAGAGTTACCTCCGCTGGAGAGTTTTCAAGATGTTGACCAACGCGTGCATTTTGACATGGGCATAAAAGAAAGGAAAGAAAAAATTGCATTTGCCCTCCTTTGGTCTCCCTCTGAGCTTTTTGATAAGCTCTACATGCCCAGCTGTAATCCTTTTGCCTGATTGTGAGCTAAGATTACAGGTAAACTCTGTGAACTTTCTGCATGAAAAGTTATATATACAAAAAAGTTCCTTCCCTTGTGCTCTAAATCCTGTTTGCCATTCAAAGAACAGTGGGAAATTGTTGTCGTATCCGATCAGCCTATTTAATGTGAAAGCAGATTAAGTCTTTATGCTCTGTGAACTCTGGACAAACCTGCCCATGACAGGTGTGTCCCAGGCCCTGGCAATTGTTCATGCTGGGGCCCCAAGCTCCTTTTATATCTTCAGATGGAGGGAAGGTGTGCTTTTGGCAGGGAGGAAGTAGTCAGTGTGAAATTGGAGAAAGGCATTCAGTCTTCCAAGTGGACACAGTGTCCCCGCGCACGGCTGGCAAGCAGGGTGCAGGCTGATTTCAGCCAGCTCGGCCCCTCAGGGATAGTGTGTAAGGTGCCCCTGGCCCCTGGGGTTACCTGGCTTTGCTATGAGGATCTCTGGCTGCTCTGGAGAGAGTTAAAAGTGTCTTAGCTTTTGGAATGCTTGCTATAGATTTGCCCATATTAGACCTAAAAAGAGCAAGCGTGTCAGCGCTGGAGCAATGAGAGTATGTAGAGTTGGCAGGCTGGCCAGGGGGCTGCATCACCCCTGCGAGTTCAGAGGCATTTCTCATCAATGCCCGCTCAGCAAAAAGACGCTGAATCTCAACCCTGGCACATTGAAAATTTCTTTGAAATTCTCCAGCCCAAACAGCTCTTAGATATGCAAAGCATAATTGACAGAAACTTGAAGCTAGAAGCCTCCTTGAAAGGCCACCTATGCCAACCCCCAGGTTTTAGGCAAAACCACCCTTCAACTATTCTAGAAAATACTCCTTGAAGCTGATGGGAAGATTGCTGGCTTGAAATTTCCTTTTGAAAATATGATGGATGAACTCCGAGGGCATCCCGAATCCTTGTCTTTTTATTTTATTAATTTTATTGTGTGATGAAAGAAAAATTCTCTGAAGTCAGACGTCAACAACCCACCCCCACCACTATTCTCCTCCTCCTCCTCTTCGGTTGGTTCCCTGGGAGACCACCGTGAGACAAGATAAATGAGCAGCAAGGTTTTTGAAGCCAGTGCTCAGGAACAACACCTCTAAGAAAATAAAGGAAGCAGGACTGAGCTGCAGTACAACTGTCATGCAATCGGGGCAACCTCAGTGTAGCGACCCAGGCAGAAAGTACTTCTCTCTCCCTGCATCAAGGGATCAGTCTCAGGAAAGGAGAGGGATTGGTGTAGATTGGGTCCCGTGCCCACTCCCTGGTCCAATCACTGTGGCCAGGGGATGAGTGATTATGATTGGCCAGCCCCAGGTCACATGGCCACAAATATCAGGGGAACGGAAAAGCTTGCTGGACAGACGAAAACAACAGGTACCACACACCTCTAAAACTACCTCTCAAAATTGTGAAAAGACTAGTGAAAGTATACATAACTGTTTGGGAAGCCCAGGCGGGCGGATCACCTGAGGTCAGGAGTTCAAGACCAGCCTGGGCAACGTGGTGAAACCTGGTCTCTACAAAAATACAAAAATTAGCCGGGCATGATGGCGGGTACCTGTAATCCCAGCTACTCGGGAGGCTGAGGCGGGAGAATCGCTTAAACCCGGGAAGCAGAGGTTGCAGTAAGCCTAGATTGCGCCACTGCACTCTAGCCTGGGCAACAGAGCAAGACTCTGTCTCAATTAAAAAAAAAAAAAAAAGTATACATAACTGCCTAACAGAGGACGTAATAGGACACACCCAATAAATGGTCATTGTTGTTTCCTCCAGCAGCACCGTAAGAAGGAATACAAACAATCTTTCTTCTGCAGTCTTGGAGCAAACAGGTGCTGATAAAATCAACATTAGTTCAAGCCTCACCCCCAAAGTTGAACTGAGCCTGAACCTTTCTGAAGAATGAAGAATGTTTAGCAAACATTCCCCTCCAGTGTGCCTAAACTTCATGTATCTTTGTACTTCCTCGGCCAGATGGGCCTGGACCACCAGAAACGTCATAAGGATGTTTATCTCCTTGAAAACTTCGATGGTCCAAAAGTATTTCTGAAGAAAGACAGTCCCCAGTGTTTTTCTGACCTCTTCACAGAGCCAGAGCCAGGGCATTTGGATGAAGTGGGGAAAATTCCTGTGTCCGAACTGAATATCAGCATCCTGCAATGTCTTGTTGCCAAGAATGGGTCATGTATGTCCTTCTCCTCCTCAAAACTATAAACCTCTCCAGAACCTCCTGAAGAATTAAGGACAGAGAGTTCTGGGCCCTCAGTGACAAGCCCACCACCCCTACTGCCCTGCTCCAATGCTATGCTGTGGCCAATCAGATGTCCCAAAGTTCCCCAAACTCCAGGGTCACCTGCCCTCTACCTCCTTATCATGCTCACTGTTCCCTGTACGAGAACATGATGTTCCCATCTACCACTCCCCTAACTCAACCCTCAAAATCCCGCTCATTTTCAAGCCCACCCTAAAGCCTTTCCTACCCTTTCAACCAACTGTGGTCTTGACTACCTTTAATCTCCTTATGGAATATGTATTTTGCCTTATGCTATGTTAACTTGAATGATGATCTTCATAATTTATTTAAAGAACATTTATCAAGAACCTACTATGTATCTGTACTAGGCACTGGTGAGGAGATGGATGAGATAAAACGAACCCAGCCAATCTGGGGCTCTTAGCAGCCCAGGTGCAATGTATTTCAACTGATGATTTTCCAGCATTTTAAAATTCATATGCTTGTCCTACCTAGCTCATGCATTAGATAATTCAGTCACTAACCTGTTCTGAGTTTTGGTGTCCCTCGATGACAAAATGAGAGCTTCAGGCTACATGGTCACCGAAGATCTCTTCCTACACAGCAGTGAATCTCTCATGTTCTATTGTTGCCTTGTCAGCACTTCATCACTTTGCTCCTGTTTTTATCATCCAGCAATACAAGGTGTCCCTCTGAGCTTCAGAAAACTGGGAGCAGAAGTTTGGAATTAATACATAATAGCATATCTATGTTTCCTGAACATAAACAGTGTGGTGGTCAAGTTGGTGAAAAGCCATAACCTCTTATCTGGACCACAATCTCTTCATCTGTAAAATGGGACAGTGGGAGTAAAGGTCACTAAGGCCCCTTCCAACTCTGATACTCTGTGATTCATAATCATCCCCTCTTTTGCTCCCACAAGAGCACATCATGTTCTGCAAGGAGATGGCTGCCAAACCGCCTGGAAGAGGGAAGCAAACACTCATCCACCCCGAGCCTCACCCCAGGGAGACCAGCTGAGTTTGAAGAAAAGGCTGCAGTGGAGTCCAGAAGGCTTGGGTTTTAGCTGCTGGCCCCCATTCTCTGCATAAATTTGCTGTGGGAACCATTTGAACAACTTTAATCTCTGGAAAGAGCAACAGCCGACATTACTTGATTAAGTAACTCACCCTCCTTAACTCATCTCCCAGCTCCCTTTTCCCAGGTTTGGTACCTCCTGGGTCCTGACCACAGTCCCGTGGGTAGAATGAACCACTGTCTGCAGCACCATGTTGAAGACGGCAGCTTCAATCAAAGAACTTGTTGGCCAGCTACCTGTCACTCAAATAACTTGATGGATGATGAAAAATTTAGTCAACTAACACTGTTCCAAGCAGAGAAGAAGCTTTTTAAGTGGATCTCCTTTTAGCCTACTATATTCTGTCTTTGTCCATTCTTGCAGCTGTAACAAAATACCTTAGACTGGGTGATTTATAAATAATAGAAATTTATTTCCCACAGTCTGAAGGCTGGGAAGCTCAAGACTATGGTGCCAGCAGATTTGGTGTTTGTTGAGATATTGTTCTCTGCTTCCAGGGTGGCTCCTGGTTGCTGTGTCTTCACATGGCAGAGGGACAAAAGGGGTGTTCTCTCTCCCTCAAGCTCTTTTATAAGGGTTCTAATCCCATCTGTGAGCGCTCTGCCAAAGGTGCAACTTTTTAATACTATCTTAATTTGGGGGGCTAAGTTCTAACACATAAATTTTGGAGGGACATATACATTCAAACCATAGTATTTTTCATCTCCCTGTAAAATGTGCTGGCCAATGACTCTCAACATGAAGCCCACACCCTGTGCTTTAACTCCCACCAGCTGAGCTATACAAGCTATATGCTTACCAGGGGGCAGCTGCACTTGTCCCCAAGCCTGTTTATGGCAACAGTCCTTTAATTGTAACCATGTAATTTACTTGAGTATCAAATAAACCAATGAAATACAAGTGCAAAAAGAGATCTGTTGGTTATATAAAAAGAAAACTAAATTAAGGGCAAACAAAGGTAAATTTCTAAAAATATTTGCAGTCAGTTTTGATGTTTGAAGTAAGTGACGGTGTTTGATGAAAAATAATGAAAAACGCAGAAAGATTCTACACTCAGTCCTATAGTGTCTATATCTTCTTATTTCCCTTTGAAGAAGCCAAAACAAAAAAATTATAAATAAGACAGTGTATCTGTAGTTTATCAAACAAAAACAAAACACAAATGCCAATCAGAAGGACCCACACTGAAAGAAAAAAAGTCTTAACATCAAAACATTGACTAATCTTTTTTCTTTTTTTGAGATGGATTCAGACTCTGTCGTCCAGGCTGGAGTGCAGTGGTGCAATCTCAGCTCACTGCAACCTCTGTCTACCGGGTTCAAGTGATTCTCCTGCCTCAGCCTCCCCAGTAGCTGGGATTAGGGGCATGCACCACCATGCCCAGCTAATTTTTTTGTATTTTTAGTAGAAACGTGGTTTCACCATGTTGGCCAGGCTGGTTTCAAACTCCTGACCTCAAATGATCTGCCTGCCTTGGCCTCCCAAAGTGCTTCAATTACAGGCATGAGCCACTGTGCCCAGCCACGAACAATCTTTTAAGTTAAAATACAATATATAAGATATGTTTGAATCAGTTTTGTTACTTTTTAAGTACAAACCTAAAAATATTTTAACTGAACGTAAATGAATGACATTCTGTAGTCTGGGACCCAGGTATTTTATAGTTTTTCAACTTACGTTAATATTTTAGGATTGTCTCCATAGTTATTATTATTATGACAAATTTCAAGCATATATGAAATAGAAAAGTAGAGTGAACCTCCATATCCCGTTGTTCAAACTGTACCATCTATACTTCATCTTTTTCCTTTGCTGATGTAGTTTACAACAAACTTCAGACATGTCATTTTATCTCTACTTCAGGGATATCAGTAGATATCTCTTAAAATATGGAGATTTTCTTATATAATTGCAACACCATCATACCCAACATAATTAGCGACAGTTCTTTAGTGTCATCTAATATTTCTGCCTTTTCTTAGATTGCCCCCAAAATGTCTTTTCACTGTCAGTTTGCTGAAATCATGATATAACTACAGTGTACACATTACATTAGTTTGTGTCTCTAATGCCTTTTTAAATTTAGAACAGTACCCCCTTTTCATGCCATTAATTTATTGAAAAATCCCTTTTGTAAATAGATATATGAAAATTTCAAAGAGTTCAGAGAATTTCAAAGAATAGCAATTGACAAGGTTTTATCGGTGAGAAATCTCAAAAAATGCCAAAACAGACCCCAGATTTCTCAGGGTGCTCAGGGAGCTAATGTTGTCATGGCCCAGGGAAGAGTTTCTACCTCTTTCAGACTGACAAAATGAGCAGAGAACTGGAGACTGGGTTGAAAGATGAAAGGTTTAAAGTTCTGAAAAACAAAGATTCAAGCCGTCAAGAAAATGCAAATCAAAAACACAATGAGATACCACATCACACCCATTAGGATAACTATAATCAGAAAAAGATAATAAACAAGTGTTATTGAGGCTGTGAAGAAATTGGAACCCCCATACGTTGCTACTGGGAACATATTTTGAAAAACAGGCTGACGGTTCCTCAGAAATTAAACAGGGTGAACAATGACCCTGAAATTCCACTCCTAGATATACACTCAAGAGAAATGAAAACATATGTCCACACAAAAACTTGTACGTGACTGTTCATAAAAAATTATTCATAATAGCCAAAAAGTCAACACAATCCAAATGTCCATGATGAATGGATAAATTGACTGGTAGAACCACACACTGGAATATTATTCAGTCATAAAAAGGAATGAAGAACTGCTATGTGCTACAACATGGGTAAAGCTTGAAGATATTAGGCTAAGTAAAAGAAGCCAGCCTTCTGAAGGACACATATTGTATGATTCCATTTACGTGAAATACTCATAATTGATAACTGCAGAGACAGAAAGTAGATTAGTGATTGCCTAGGGCTTGGGAATTGGGAGGATTGGGGGAAGGATGACTGAGGAAATTCTTTTTGGAGTGATAAAAATGTTTGGAATTAGTAGTGGTAGTTGCACAATTCTGTGAATATACTAAAAGCCATTGAATGTACACTTTAAATGGGTGTATTGTATGGTATGTGAATTATATCTCAATAAAGCTGTTAAAACACACACACACACACACACACACACACACACACACACACACACACACTGGGTTTAGGAGTCCTTTATTAGCCAGGCTTGAGTGTAGAGGGGCCCTGCCCAGCAGGGGTTCACCTCTGCAGAGGATAGAAGGGAGCCTGCTTGGTGGCTGTTGGAAAGAGTGACTCAACAATGCCAGTGGGGGTCACCAAGGGAGAGCACGTGGTCACCCTCGCGGGTCCCTACAGTCTTCTGGAGTGGGTTGTTCTGGGTTAGGAACCAGATGGCCTCTTGACCCTGATTTCAGTAACGCCATGAAAGGAAACCCAAGGGGAACATGAAGGAGAACTGATTTTCCTTTTCATTACTGGCTGCCTCACTTCTTCTCAGGGCTGCACTCACCTTTATTTTCCTGCCTGCCTTCCTGGAGGGCAGTGAGACGCAGGCCCAGATCCTTCACACAGGGGAGCGAGAAGAGAGGGAGGAAGAGGCTGCCCATCAACATTGCCACCATGGCAGCCTCCTGCCCCTGAGAAAGTGGAAATGCCCAGGTATGACACGAAAGCAGGTTTTCCCAGGCAGCCAGGGGAAGCTAAGATCCCACGTCCCCGTGGCTTCAGGTGGAATGTGCTGTGGTGGGTGGGCTGTCGGGCAACATCCAGGCCTGAGGTCACAGAATAGGAACGGTGGGATGGCGGTGCAGAAGTTTCCTTGCCTGATTTTGAAAGTCTTATTCAGGCTGTTCAAGCTGCTAGTCTCATCAGAAATGGGTATCTGCCTGGCCCACACATTTCCAATTTTCCCTCTGGCCACAGGATCCTGTGCCCATTTGGCAAAGGAATAGGTCTCAGAAGAAGCATGTGGTCTCATGGAGATTACAGAGCTCAACTGGATCTGCAGAAAGGGCTCTGGGCCGGCTGGTAAAATGAAAAGATTCCATTTGTGGAAGGGCAGCGGTGGGTGGGCCAAATTCCCACGAGGCTTTGAAGATGCTCCTGGGCATCAGCCGGCCTTCCAGCCTCCTCCCTCCTCACTCCCACTGCTTCCAACTGCTGGTGCCACTCAGAAGAAAAGCGGCCACAGGCCACAGCCCTTCCTGGTAGCTCCAAGGGAATAGGTAAATAAACAGAAATAAGACAAACATAAATAAGAGTGTAACTTACAAAGCGTGTGTTCCCAGGGAGAAGAATCCAGAGAAAACACAAAATGTTGTCTAGAAGCCGCAGCCTAGATGCTAAAGAAGTGCTGTCTTCAACCCTGTAGAAACTGATACTCCACCCGCTTGTTCTTTCTGCTTCTAGTCCTGTGACCCCAGGAACCATCCTCTTTCCCTAGGACTATCAGCCAGCATCTCTCCTCTGTCGCCTCCAACCTGCCCTCTTCCCGCTCCACCGAGCACACCTGCAGGCAGGAGTGAGAATCGTTGCTATGTGGAGTGGGCAAGTGTCTTGACCACTGTCCTTCCCATTTACATCATGCCTGTCCTAGGGGTAATAACAATACTCACCTCACTGGGTGTGCTGAAGGTTAAATGAGAAAATGTATGCATCCAGCACAGAAAGCATAATATGTTTTCTTTTCTTTTCTCTCTCCTCCTCCTTTTTCATTCTTTCCACAATCTTTCCTTCCTTCCCCAAAAGTTACACTTTTCCAAGCTTAAAGCTCCATCTTGGCATCAACTGTAACCTGAATGTATGCCATTCACAGCTGATTTGCCGGGTGCTGTGCCACACAGTTCTGAACCCCAGTGAGGGATCAATCCACACCCAGTCCCCAGCTCTACCAGTCTCTGGAGCACTCTGCACTGCTCTCTCCAGCCCTACCTCATGCACACGAAAGGGGGCTTGGCCAAGTTTAGCATGTCATCACTGGCAGCCACACTCTGACCTGCAGTAACTTCTGCACTGGTTGACATTCACCGCTTTGAACATAGAAACAAGAGGCTCCCTGTAGCTGCTGCCTTTTGTGGGCTTCGCCATCGTCCTCCTGAGCAGGTTGGTTCCTGCGAGGGATGCAGCTGTAATGTGCTTCCTTTTTTACTTCTTTGGGCCCTAGCTGCACCAACAGTATGCAGATGTTCTGTGACTGTTACAAGGACCCATGTTAGGTGTCACTGAAGCAACCTAAGCAAGCATGAAGGGATGGGAGGTGTTTTTTGGTTCGTTCTACAACCCTGTAAATAAGACTCCAGCCCTTCACTTTGGGGCCCACACATCACAGTGAAATAGCCAGGCCCATCAGTTTGCTCCAGTGGAAAGCAGTGTCCCAGGGAGAGGGTGATCGTCCTCTTCAGATAACTAGAAACTGCCCAGGAAGCCTCAGCTGTGCAAGAGAACACTCACCAGCCATGTTCCACACACTGAGGCTGCTGCCCTTCACCTGAGGTCTCCTTGACTACATGGCGATCCCTGGTTGGCTGGTGCAAGGTGACCCGCCCTGCCTTGGCCCCATTCCTGCAGCATGGACCTCAGTGGGCGATGGAAATCACCCTTTTCCTGAGCTTCTAGAGTGGCTTTCCCCAAAAAGTGGGCTGTGTGGAGTCTTGTGCATGTGCTGCATAGTCTTGAGAAATGCTCCACCAAAGAGAGACAGAGAGAGAGAAAGAGAGAGATTCTATGGGCAATATATTTAGAAAATATAATTAGAAGGTATGTTATAATATATTCCTCTCCAACTGCTGTTCCCCCCATCTTGGAGGCTCTTAAGGTGTATGAGCTGATGAAGAGAAGGGAGAGGTCTTGCAATCAAGACGTCTGTTTAACATCATAGGGCCCAGTAGCTCCCAGATCAATGGAACACAGCTTGGGAAATGTGGCTCCAAGAGAGGTTCAGAAACCTGTTTGGACATCCAAGCCACATTTGGAGCCTCTTAAATACCACTTCCCATGCTCTGACTCACATGGGGTCTCGAAATCTATATCCCTAAAAGCTCCCCACTCTCTCCTTTGCCCTGCATGTGGGTGGTGCTGGGAACCACTCTTCTGGGACTTGGGGGCAGGGAGGAGGTTGGGTGGAAGTCCCAGGTTGCTGCTTTCTTTAGCAGTTATCCCATTCACTTAGGGCTTTCCAGTGAAGGAGACTGCTGCCAATTAAACAGAACTCCCCTCTCCTTGGTAAGAGCAGTGTTAGGAATGCCCCTTTCTGGAATCAGCCTCTGTTTTCATCCTAAGTAAATCTGAGAAGGCTCCTTGCTTGCATTTGGAACCTGTTCCAGCCTACAGGGAAGCATCAGGATTAAGAAGAATGAATAAATGGGCTGGGGCTGCACATCCAGGGTGTCATCCATGGTGGTGGGTCTAAGGCCTTGCCTGGCCCCCTAGGTCCTGCTGGGTCCTAAAATCCTCTTTCTATCCTGGTGTATTAGTCTATTTTCACGCACTGATAAGGACATACCCAAGACAGGGAAGAAAAGAGGCTTGATTGGATTTATAGTTCTACATGGCTGGGCAGGCCTCAGAATCATGGCAGGAGGCAAAAGGCACTTCTCACATGGTGGCAGCAAGAGAAAAAATGAGGAAGAAAAAGCGGAAACCCCTGATAAACCCATCAGATCTCGTGAGACTCATTCACTATCACAAGAATAGCATGAGAAAGACTGGCCCTCATGATTCGATTGCTTCCCCCTGGGTCCCTCCCACAACAAGTGGGAATTCTGGGAGATACAATTCAAGTTGAGATTTGGGTGGGGACACAGAGCCAAACCATATCACCTGGGCACAAAATTACATTTAATTGTCTCACACACTACATTGCTTCACACCTCTGTGCTTTGCTCTCAGGATTCCCTCTGTTGATACTCATTTACCCAATGCTTACTTTACTTGGATAAGTCTTTTACCAAAGATCGGCCCAGGTATCATTTTCTTCAGGAAATCTTCCCAAATATCAGGTTGGACCCAGTGTTCCTCCTCTGTCTTCCCAACATGCCAGGACAAAATCCCATTTTAACACTTAGTTCATAGGTGCTGAAAGGATGGGTTCATGAGTCCATGTGTTACTAAGCAATCAATGGGCTCGGTGCCCGATGCACACAGAAGCCAATACTATGGCACAAGCTTTTGAGAAAAGAAAAGTTTTATTGCTAGTCAACTGGCAAGGAGGTGTTATCTGACTGGATCCTGCAATTAGGTGTTGCCAGGAGGCATGATCTGCCTAGACCCTGCCGTAGAGTGATGCCAGAGCTTGATCTGATTGGAGCCTGAATTCTGCCATGCAGTGTCTGCTTCTTTTATCAGTCCCCCTCCTCAGTCCACTCCTCGGTTCCAGCCCTTAGAAGCCCCCTGTGGTTGCATATTTGCTTCATCTGGGCATGCTCAGGTTATGTGACCTTCAACCTGGGGGTCCATGGCAATTGAAAAACAACTCACAACTTTCTTCCATAAAAGTTGAGCCAGATTGGTCTGGTGCTGTTATACATACTTTCCCCGACCCCAGCTCCACCCACTTCTACTTGTAAACTCTGTGTGTGTATAAAATACAAGGTCTCATTTGTGAAAATTCTTGCTAAAATCTGTGTCATTTTAAAATGCAAATGATCCACCTATCCTTAATTCCTCAGTGGCCCTGGTGGAGCTCCTCTACATTCATGATTTTCAACTTATTGTCCTCTCCTCTCCCTTGTGAAGGGTTAGAACACCTCGACTGCACCTTAAATTTTTTAAGGTCAGAGAGTGTGTTTTATACATCTTTAAGCCCCTGAGGCCTAAATATTACCAGCTCATCTGTTGATAATCTCTTGGGAGACAGGTTTCATTTATGTGATTATTATCTTTTTGGTTTCACATCCAGAAATCTAAGCTAATGATTTTTTTTTTCTTTTGCAGGCTTCCACATTAAGGACTCAGAAATTTCTAACACTTTACAAGAGGGAGGAGTGAACAGCAAGTGGTTTGGAAATCACAAATTTGTAGGAGCTCAGCAAGTGCTACTTAGGTCTAAGGGACACAGGGCAGGTTTGGATTAAGAAATGACACCAGTTTGGGGCCGGGCGCAGTGGCTCACGCCTGTAATCCCAGCACTTTGGGAGGCCGAGGCAGGCGGATCATGAGGTCAGGAGATCGAGACCATCCTGGCTAACATGGTGAAACCCCATCTCTACTAAAAATACAAAAACAAAGTTAGCCAGGCATGGTGGCAGGCACCTGTATTCCCAGCTACTCTCAAGACTGAGGCAGGAGAATGGCATGAACCGGGGAGGCAGAGGTTGCAGTGAGCCGAGATCGCACCACTGCGCTCCAGCCTGGGCGACAGAGAAAGACTCCGTCTCAAAAAAAAAAAAAAAAGAAAGAAAGAAATTAAAAAAAGAAATGACACCAGTTTTGGCCAAAAAGTTCTTAAAATGAGACTTCACATTTTACAGAAATAACAATAATAACTAAAGAAAAAAAATCCTTTACCCTATAGATTAAATCTGTTTTCTTTGCTTGTGCAACCCACTTATTTTCATGTGGAACCTGGACATCTGAACTAGAAACAACAGCACCAGTCAGGGTTCAGTGGGAGACTAGTGGTACCTGTGAGAGGGAAAACTGAGCTGAGGTCAAGAAATTGACTATCTACAAAGATGCGTGGGATTAAGGGAAATTAGTAAAGGATGATGAGATGCCCAGGAACTAGCAACAGTCGGAAGCCATTACCTATGTTTCCTAGGTAACCTGGAAGGAGTTCCCAGAATCTGGAAAGAATGTAACAGCAGGGGAGCATTGTTCAACAGGGGCTGTGCCTTCGGTAGAAGAATGGAGCCACAGCCCCCCATAGCCCACAGGAAGCTGGGGGGAGAAAGTCCCAACCTCACTCTCCTCCCGCCTCCAGTCTCCTCCCTTGGCCAAACCCAACAGAGGTCAGAGATCAAAGGAGCCTATTGATGCAGATCCTCAACCTTCTGGAGCACAGAGGATGGTGGAGAGGGAGGAAAGGGGATCTAAAGGGACAAGTGTAGAATATCCAGTGCAACAGCTTTTGATTAGAAAAGAAAGTCATATTCCTTTGCTTAATATCCAAATCACAGCAACTCTGAGCCCCTACCTCCCACAAATTAGTCTTTTGCCCTCAAGCCCTGAAGAGGGTGTTGCACCCAACTTCCCTTACTGATAGAACACAAGCCCCAGACCCTCACCTGCCACTGGCTTTTGGCAGGATCTGTGACACTAAAATTACATCCGCTCTTTTCTAATCCTAGCTAATATGGGCTAAGAGAGGACAGTCTTAGGATTCTGGGAACTTCCTGTCCAGCTGATTCACAAAAGTCACAGACCAGCTGTCTTCTAAAGTAAAACTACCTCCTGGCCATGACTGTAATATGCTAGATTTCTGGAGCCCTTTAGAAAAATGGGCTCCTACCGGGCACGGTGGCTCACGCCTGTAATCCCAGCACTTTGGGAGGCTAAGGCAGGCAGATCACAAGGTCAGGAGTTTGAGACCAGCCGGACCAATATGGTGAAACACCATCTCTACTGAAAATACAAAAATTAGCTGAGCCTGGTGGCAGGTGCCTGTAATCCCAGCTATTCAGGAGGCTGAGGCAGGAGAATCGCTTGAACCTGGGAGGCAGAGGTTGCAGTGAGCTGAGATTGTGCCACTGCACTCCAGCCTGGGAGACAGAGCAAGACTCTGTCTAAAAAAAAAAAAAAGAAAGAAAGAAAGAGAAAGAAAGAAAGAAAGAAAGAAAGAAAGAAAGAAAGAAAGAAAGAAAAATGGGCTCCTTCTGGGTGCTTTTACTAAACACTAAATTAGAAAACATGTCTTTATCCTGCAGTCAGGAGACAATGATGTATCGGATGTCTGCTCCATATGAATTAAATAAAAGGAGATGTGAAAGTAAACAAAAAAATTGACTCTAAGTCATGAGAGAAACTTTTGCTTTCAAAATTTCATGAGCATTTTGGACAAAAGCATGGGTTATTTCTTATGCAAAATGGCATTGTCTGTCCTTCGATGGCACTGGTTTTGTGATTTTCTGAGCTTCAGAGCCTCATTATCCACTTACCATCTATTATTACTAATGTTGTCTTGAACTGAGACAACATGTTGTAACGAACCGGTTGTGAAATTTACTGGCAACTTCCAGACATGCCCACCCATCCCAGAGTAGGATAAATAGGGGCCTGGAAATATTTGGTATGCTACAGATTATCATTCTTAAAGGCTTACCACAAACATTTCAAGTTTAGAGCCCAGAAACATTATTTGAAGAATTCTGGCTAAATAGGCATTGGCAACAATTCTCAGAACCACTTTGGCTGACTTGGGAGCATGCATGACTCAACTTTCACCTCTTTTCCCTCCAATCAGTTATGGTAAAATCCTGTTTAATTTGTATTCGTAACCAGGATGGCTTTTAGAATGTTTCCCCTGAAGAAGGAGGAGATACGCTGGATTCTAGTGCAGATCAGAAACTTTGAGTATGAAAACACTGCGGGATTGGTATTAGGATGTTCTTGGCTACAAGTAACTAAAAATCCAATAAAAAAACCCTGACATAATGGAGAAAAATTCTGATTTCACACAACAAAAAACACTACCCAGATATGATAGGCTGGCTCCCAGGTTAGTGACACCATCAAAATCCTAACTTCTCTCCACTTTCTTGCTTGGCCATCCTCAGTGAAAATCTATTGGCCTGTCCTCAGGTTATTGAACTTGTGGTTATAAAATGGCATTCACTGTTGTATCACATGAAAACACAAAACTGTCCAAATTAAAAAATGTTTCTGCATTTCTTTTTAAGAGGGATGCAATCTTTTCTTAGAATCCCTTAGGAGACTCCTGTTCTTTCTTTCTTTTTTTTTTTTTTTGAGATGGAGTCTCACTCTGTCACCCAGGCTGGAGTGCAGTGGTGCAATCTCAGCTCACTGCAACCTCTGCCTCCTGGGTTCAAGTGATTCTCGTGCCTCAGTCTCCTGAGTAGCTGGGACTACAGGTGCGTGCCACCACACCCAGCTAATTTTTGTATTTTTAGCAGAGATGGTGTTTCGCCATGTTGGCCAGGCTGGTCTTGATCTCCTGACCTCAGGTGATCCACCTGCTTCAGTTTCCCAAAGTGCTGGGATTACAGGTGTGAGCCACCATGCTCAGGCGGCTCCTGTTATTTCTTATTAGCCTGAATTGCATTACTGTTCAGGCTGAACCTGTTACTAGCAATAACAACAAGGTCACTCTGATTGACATGCTCTTTGATAGTCACTGACAGCCCCTTTTTAGCCCACTCTTGTCCCTTCTATCACCTGAGGGAGAGCTATAAACCTTACATTGCTGTTTTAAGAGTGGGTTTGTACAATAGTTAGATACAGGTTAGTAATTTTCCAGAAACACAGGTTACTGAGACAAATGAGCAATTTCCCCAGCAAAACTGTCAGTCCCGTCAGGAAAAAAGGGAATGTTTTCTCCATCAAGTGGCAGTTGGCTGGCTTAAGAGGCCAGCAAGCAAATTCTATGTTTACAAGATCAATAATGGGGCTCCTGGAGTCAGAGATGAAATCTCACTATGAAACATCTTAGCTGCATCCAAGGTCAGCAACAGGGGACATTATTGTTAATTAGAGGCCCATGTGATGGCATTTGTTAAAGAAATGAATCTGTCCACCAGTAGCATACACCTTTTCACTTGTAGTGTAGCAGTCTTCCTGTTCCTTAGCTCAACTGGGTCTGAGTTCTTGTCTCACAACCAGGAAGAATGAGGCAAACAGCTACCAGAGAGTGAGTGGAGTAGAATTCATTAAGCGAAAAAAAAATTCTCAGGAGAGAGGGGATGTGGGGGGTGGTTTCCCTCCCCAAAGGGAGGAAAGTCCCCCGTGTGGCTGGGTCCAGGGCCTTTCATGGACTCAGAACAGGGAGTGTGTGCTGATTGGTTTGTGAGTATGTGAAAAAGGCTAAAGTGAAGACACCGCTCAAAGGTGAGCACAACAGTGTAGAAAACCAATTAAGAAAGGGTAGGTATACGTAAAATAGGTGAAGGGTGGGGATCAGTCAGAGGAAAGTGGACCAAATAGGAAGGCAAATTCTCAATTTAGTCCAAGGATTTAAGTTGTAGCTTGGCTTTCAGGCTTTAAACTGTCTTCAGCTTGGAGGTGGTATTTCACCAGGGACCCTCCCTTATCTGCCTAGGCATTTAGCTGTCTCCTGTCACTATCAGTAACATATGGCCCTTTGGGTTAAAGTCCTGCTCATAGACCTAACAGGTCCCACACTGCTACAATCATTTCTTCCCTACTCTCCCAGCTTACATCAATCTCTCCACCTATTTTCTATCCCTAAAATCCTACAGCATGTATAGGTTATATACTTTAATTTATTATAATAGTGATTCGTCTTAACCAGGGAGACAGTGTCATGTAAGAGTTCCTGTGTTCAAATCCTTGTTCTGCAACTTACTTGCCATGGAATCTTGGGTAAGTTATTCAATGTCTCCATTCATGTGTCCTTATCTGCAAATGGTATAGTAAGGGTGTCTGGTTTATAAAAGTGTTATGATTGTTACAGGTAAAATAATTGGTATACAGCAAGTGCTCAATAACTGGTAGCTACTATTATTTTTAAAATATTTATGCCCTTTAGCCCAGAAATTCTGCTTCTAGAATAAAGAATAAGTAATCATGATTTTTTATAAAAACTATATCTTCAGCATTTTTTATAATATCAAAAACTGGATATAGTCTCGGTATACAAGAATAGAGGATTGGTTAAATACATTATAATCTATCCATAAAATGGAACACTATTCAGTAATTAAATGTCAATATCTCTCTCTATATGACATGAATGTTCAAAAAATATGGTTACGTGAGAAAAACAAAAATAGAAAACAATATGGTAGTGAAGACCATACTCCTAAAAGGATGAGCCTCTCTGGAAGGGAATTACGCCAGGACACTTACCAAGATGTTAATGGTGATTAGGATTCTAGGCTATGTTTTTCTTATCTATACTTTCAATTTTTCTATAATCAATTTTTAAAAAATTGTCTATAATTATAAGAAGTCCATGTAGAAATTCAGACTCTCAAACTGTCTTATACTATTTATGTCCTGGCCTTGGCTGACTGTCTTGCACCAAGCTCCCTACTCTGGGAACTAGAGTGAGGCTGTTCTAAGAGGGGGTACTTAGCCAAGGGCAGCCCACCTTGGGTGGGCTCAGAGACCCACAAGTTGTGAGGAGCTCTGTCCAGCAGGGGGATGGTGAGCACGAGGCTGAGCAGCTCCCTTTGGGATCTAGACAAGAGCATGAGGGATGGAGTGGACGTCCTGGTAGGTGATAAGAACAAACCAGTACTTGGGAAAAGGAAAGGAATAGAGATCCCACAAGACAGAGAAACTGTGTAAATAAGAAAACGAAGGAGGTTTCCAACATTGCCTCAAGTTCCCAAAGGCTTGCTGATTTCTGGACCAATTTTCGTCCACTGGTATCCTTAAAGTCAATGCTAATTTCTGAGAGTATTTTTGAATGAGTCTCTGTGTCTCACAATAAAAACAACAGAACCATCAGTTCTCTTAGCATTGTCTTCCCAAATGGATTATGAATCTCTTTAGGGCATGCAGCATGCCTTTCACATCAAGCACATGGGGTTCAAGGCAGTGCACATGTTAGCTGACCACTTAATGCTTCATTC
The DNA here is from genome assembly GCF_000001405.40 of Homo sapiens. Taxonomy (NCBI): domain Eukaryota; kingdom Metazoa; phylum Chordata; class Mammalia; order Primates; family Hominidae; genus Homo; species Homo sapiens. Next base: position 94,693,673 of record NC_000001.11, read on the forward strand.
ATTCACCATTTATTCACTCAAGAACTATTGAATGTATGTTTAGGGGGTGCCAAGTGTATTTCTAAGCACTGGGGAAACAACAGTGAATAAGACAAATCAAAAAATCACTGCCTTCTTGGGACAGGGAAACATGTGAAATACAATAAATAAAATATATAGTAAGTTAGGGCATGAAAAGTGCTAATGAGAAAATTCAAGAAAGGGAGTACTAAGAGTGAAAAGAGGGTGGACAGGCGTTGCAATTATAAACAGCACAGTCAGAAAGGCCTCCCTAAGAAAGAATATTTGAGCAGAGTCCTAAAGGAGTTGGAGGAGCATGCCATGTAGTTATCTGGGGAAAAAGCATTCCCAGCAGAGAGAAGAGCAAGTGTAAATGCCCCGAGGCAATGAGAGCTGGTGTGTTTGAGAAAGACAGTGACACCAATGTGGCTAGAGTAGAGTGAACAAGGAGGAGAGGGAGGCCAGTGGAAACGGGTCCATTGCCTATAACTGATATAAGTTGTGTTGAACTTGACAAGACTGGAGGACAGAGAGGCCCAAGAAAGGCCAATGGTTGTCACAGAGAGGCACTTGTTGAGGTGAAGCCTTGACCTCTAACCACCTAAGACTGGAAAGTGGAGCCTGAGTCATTGTTTGGGGTCCTATCTTTAAGTAGGAGAGATCAGGGAGGGAAGAGAGGAGAGTCTGGATTGCATGTGGTCAGATCAGGGGGGCACAGAAGGACTGTGGCTTTTACTCTGAGTGATGTGGGGAGACACAGGAAGCTTTTGAACAGAGTCGAGACACAGTGTGACTTGGGTTGTCACAGATCACCAGGCTGCTGTGTGGAGAACAGACTGCAGGAGAAAGAAACAGGCTTTTGCAGCTACCCAGGGGAGAGATGATGGTAGTTCAGATGAGGATGGTAGTAATAGAGGCTGTGGGAAGAGGCAAAGCCACATTCCAGATGTGATTTGGAGGTGTAACACCACAGCAAACATGGTATCTTGAAGTGATATGACTCAAAACAAAGCCTCCGGCTTCACTTTCCAGTTTTAGATTGGAGGGTAAGCCAATCCCTCAACACATCCCTCCCAAAACCAACCTTCCACCTTTCTGGCACAGTATGACTCATGTCGCTTTTAGACAATAAGGCATTTCCATGGGCCATTGCCTGGATGAATCTTCTTTCCTAAGCTACTCCCATATTTCCTTCTTTCGGGCTATTCATCAGCAATTGTCTAAAATAATTGAATGAAGCACATTGTCCTTTTTGAGATCTCCTTATCAAGTCTTTGGTGAGCTCAGACAAAATAGCCAGACTGCCCTGTAAAATTAATTCACACACATCATAGTGAGTGGTGAAAAGCTGAAAGCTTTTCCTTGAGGATCAGGAAAAGACAAGGATGCCCACTTTCACCACTTCTGTCCAACATAGTGTTAGAAGTCCTAGCCAGATCAGTTAGGCAAGAGAAAGAAATAGAAGGCATCTAAAGTGTAAAGAAGGAAGTCAAGTTGTCCCTGTTTGCAGATGACATGATTGCATACATAGAAAACCCTGAAGACTCTACCAAAAAAAGAAAAATAAAAAGGACTAAAAAACAAATTCAGTAAAATTGCAGCATACAAAATCTACATATAAAAATCAATAGTGTTTCTATATGCTAACAATGAACTATACGAAAAAGAAATCAGGAAAACAATTGCATTTACAATGGCTAGGAAAAATATATACCTAGGAATAAAGTCAACCAAGGAGGTGAAAGATCTCTATGCTGAAAATTGTAAAGCACTGAAGAAAGAAACTGAAAAGGACACAAATGAATGAAAAGATACTCTGTGTTCATGGATTGGAAGAATTAATATTGTTAAAATGGCCATACTGCCGAAAGCAATCTGTCAATCTGTGGACCTATTAAAACTATGGAATCCCTATGAAAATACCATGACATTCTTCACAGAAATAGAAAAAAAATCCTAAAATTCATATGGAACCACAGAAGATCCCCTAATAGCCAAAGCAATCCTAAGCAAAAAGAACAAAGCTGGAGGCATCACACTACTTGACTTCAAAATATATTACAATGCAGTAGTAACCATAATAGCGTGGTACTGGCACAAAAACAGCACATAGAGAAATGGCACAGAATAAGAGCTCAGAAATAAATTCATGCTCCCACAGCCAACTGATTTTCTACCAAGTTGTTAAGAACACACATTAGGGAAAAGACAGTCTTTTCAATAAATGGTGGAAAATTAGATATCCACATGTAGAAGAATGAGACTAGATCCCTATCTTTCGCCATATAAAAAAATCAACTCAAAATGGATTAAAGACTTAAATGTAAAACTTAAGATATGAAACTACTAGAAGAAAACATGGGGATACACTTCACAACATTGCACTGGGCAAAAATTTGTTTAAATAAGACCTTAAAAGCACAAGCAGCAATAGCAAAAATAGACAAACAGGATTATATCAAACTAAAAATCCTTTTGCACAGCAAAGGAAACTATTAGCAGAATGAAGAGATAACCTACAGAATGTGAAAAAATATTTGCAAACTATACATCTGACAAGGGGTTAATTTCCAGAATACATAAAGAACTTAAACAACTCAACAGAAAACAAAAACAAATAACCAGACTTAAAAAAATGGGCAAAATACCCTAATAGACATTTTTCAAAAGAAGACTACAAATGGCCAGCAGGTATATAAAAAAATACTCAACATCACTAATCATCAAGAAAACACAATCAACACCATAATCAGATACTACCTCATTCTAGTTAGAATGGCTATCAACAAAAAGACAAAAGAGGCCAGGCACAGTGGCTCACACCTGTAATCCCAGCACTTTGGGAGGCCGAGGCAGGTGGATCACCTGAGGTCAGGAATTTGAGACCAGCCTGGCCAACATAGTGAAACCCCGCCGCTACTAAAAATACAAAAATTAGCCAGATGTGGTGGTTGGCGCCTGTAATCCCAGCTACTTGGGAGGCTGAGGTGGGAGAATCACTGGAACCCTGGAGGCGGAGGTTGCAGTAAGCCGAGGTCGCGCCACTGCACTCCAGCTTGGGAGACAGAGCAAGACTCCAACAATGGATGAACAGATAAAGAAAATGAGGTATATATATATACAATGGAATACTATTCAGCCATAAAAAATAAAATCCTGTCATTTGGGGCAACATGGATGAGCCTGGAGGACATCATGTCAAGTGAAATACGCCAAACACAAAAAGACAAAACACATGGTTTTACACACACATGGAATTTTTAAAAAGTTGATATAATAGAAGCAGAGAGTAGAACAGTGGTTACCAGAGACTGGGGAGAGAAAAGGAAGGTTAGGGAAAATTTTGTTTATGGATACAAAGTTACTGTTAGATAGGAGGATTCAGTTCTGATGTTCTGTTGCACAGTAGGGTGACTCTGATTAACAGTAAAGTACTGTATATTATGAAATAGCTAGAAGAGAGGCTTTTTTTTTTTTTTGACAGTCTTATTCTGTCACCCAGGCTAGACTGTGGTGGCATGATCTCGGCTCACTACAACCTCTACCTCCCAAGTTCAAGCAGTTCTCATGCCTCAGCCTCACAAGTAGCTGGGACTGCAGGCATTTGCCAACACAGCTAATTTTTTTATTTTTAGTAGAGATGAGGCTTTGCCATGTTGGCCAGGCTGGTCTCGAACTCTTGGCCTCGAGTGATCCACTGCCTCGGCCTCCCAAAGTGCTGGGATTACAGGTGTGAGCCACTGCAACCGGCCGAGAGGCTTTTGAAGGTTCTCACCAAAAACAGATAATAAATGCATGAGATGATGAATGCACTAACTACCCTACTTGGATCGTTATACAACATATATATGTGTGTGTGATATATATATGTGATATATAAAAATATATATAGTGTGATATACATAAATATATATATTTTTTGAAAAATCAAATTGTAGAATGAGGTGGTATCCCATTATGGTGTTGATTGTATTTCCCTGATGGTTAGTGAGGTTGATTATTTTTTGGAGTAGTGTGTGAGGTATTGCTCCTCACACAAGGGCATTAGCTGTGGGGGTCTGCCCGCAGACCCTGACCCAAACGACGGATGAATAAAATGTACACTGACACACAGATATTCTGCTTTGCCAGTCCAGCTGAGCGTCCGACCGCCTGCACACCAAGAGAGGTTTGTCACTGCGGTCGGCCCTGAGCAGCTTGCACTCCAGGCATTTATTTAGTATACAATTAATAATAGAAGCTTTGAGGAAACACACTTGTGGATAATTAACATTGTTAAGAGAGTAGTTCTACGAATGATTAAAGCTCAGGTACCACGGTCTAAAGTAAATACCATTAGGGGGCAATTTCCCTGGTCGACCTCCCTCACAGAGGGCCATCTGGCTCAAAGGTTAGTTAAAGGAGGTAGGGTAAACAGACTTAATTGGGGAAGCCTCTATTGTTACTAGTATTTACCCTATGACTTAATGCTCTGAGGTAACAGGCTGCCTTCAGCCTGTTCAATTATTACAAGCTATGTAACCTTTCAGCCTTCCAAAAGATTTGTGACTATTTCCTATGACTTTCCCTAATATTTCCCTTTAATATTTCTGCCATCATCCTGAGTGAATCCCAACACCCCATTAATATGTACAATGACAATGTGTCAATAAATAAATCATCTACACATTTTCTTTGACGATGAAAAACAGTTTCTCCATAGCCTTGGGAAGGAGCAGGGAAGGGAGGGAAGAAAAACAGTAAGGAATGCTTAAGTCCGGGGCTCCTGGTATAAAGCTGCCCCTAAGTTAAAAGTTGGGAAGAACCTCAAAGAGTGATTAAGGTATCTTTCTATGTCATGAGTCACCACTGAGAAACATCAAGTGGTGCCTTGAGACCTCCTAGACTTAACATGCTTCCATATATAACTAATAAATTACTAGGAAGAGACTTAGCCCCTTGATGAATGTCTTATTGAGACTGGACAACATAATTTCTGTGAAATCAATAACCAGCCGTTCTTCCTCACCAATACCCTCCCTAGCTAAACATTGTTCATTAGAAGAGATGAAGCAGCTTTGAAACATACATTATCCCCCATCTTTTTAGCTATTGCTGAGAAATTTTGAGTACGAATTAATAACAGGGAAAAGAATCATACTTAAAAGCATGCCGTAAATGGGGCTGTTGAATTTTTGAGTCAACCAGAACCAGAACTAATGTCTGCCTATATGCATGATTTAATTGCTCAAGGTCACTTTCAAGAAGCTGTGCTAAATGCTGACAGACTTTGTTGGAATTATCAGAATTTTTTCAGGCTCAGTCATCTTGGCCTACCTCAGGGAGAAGTCAGATAAAATGTCAGAGGTCTGACTACCCAAACTCCAAGTCACATATTTTCTTCCTTGCCTGTGCTCACTAGCTTCTTCTAAAGTCCATTGGTTTTAGAGTCAAATGATCTGCTTTTGAAATCTAACTTCAACACTTACTAGAGGCTTAAAATCATTTAACAAATATTTATTGAATACCTACTGTGTTACAGGCACTGTAAACATTGGTGAGCATACAGCTCTTTGAGCCTTGGTTTCTTCACATATAGATGGCACTAATAACCCTTCCTTTGACAGTAAACCCAGTAGGGGGCAGGATTAGTGATAGGATTAAGTGACATGGTGGGGCACAGTGGCTCACACCTGTAATCCCAGCACTTTTGAGAGTCTGAGGCACGCAGATCACTTGAGGTCAGGAGTTCAAGACCAGCCTGGGCAACATAGCAAGACCCCATCTCTCTCTCAAAAAAAAAGAACATTAGCCAGGCATGATAATGCACACCTGTAGTCACAGCTACTCAGGAGGCTGAGGCAGGGCAATCCCTTGAGCCCAAGAGTTCAAGGCTGCAACAAGCTAGGATCACACTACTGCACTCCAGGGTGGGCAAGAGTGAGACCCAGTTTAAAAAAAAAAAAAAAAGATTAAGTGAGATGTTTGCTGAACAGCCAGCACATAGTACATACACAGTAAGTGGTAGCCATTATTGTAAGAAAATATTCAGATTTTAAAAGTGGGTAAGAAACATTTCCTCAGCATACCACCCCTTGAACTAGCAAGTAAGAAACTTGATCCTCTTTGAGAAAGTAATCACAATTGGCCCCAGAACATTACACTCTTTTGAAATGGCCTCTTACTGTTCCATGCCCTATGATTCCATGATGGTTAACTTATACATCAACTTGACTGGACAATGGGGTCCCCAGATATTTGGACAAACATCATTTGGGTATTTCCGTGAGGGTGATTTGGATGAGATAAGCATTTAAGTTGGTAGACTATGTAAAGCAGATTGCCCTCTCTAATGTGGATGGGCCTCATCCAGTCAGCTGAAGGACCAAATAGAACAAAAGGCTAACCCTTCTCTGAGTAGAAGGAAATTCTTTCTGCCTAATTGCCTTTGAACTGGAACATCAGCTTTTTTCCTGCCTTTGGTCTTGAACTGAAACATCAGCTCTTCCTTGGTCTCAAGCCTGTTGGCTTTCAGATATGAACAAACACCATCAGCTTTCCTGCTTCTCAGGCCTTTGGACACAGACTGGAACTAAACCATAGTCTTTCCTGGTTCTCTAGCTTGCAGACTCACCGTGCAGATCTTGGGACTTGCCCATCTCCATAATTGCATGAGCCAGTTTCATCCCATTCCTTCAAGTTCTCTGGAGAACACTAACACATTTCCAACGTCTTTTTCCACTCCCCATAATTTACTCTGTACTCTAGTTGGGCTGGACCCAGAATGCTGCTTGGCCTGCCATGCTCTTATGTGTCTTCCTGCCTTTGCACAAACATTTCCTCTGCCCCCAAAGCCCTCCTCTACCCTAATCTTCAGGGTCAACTCCTGCTCACCTGTTAGAACTCAATTTTTGTGTCACTTAACTCAGGATCTTATCCTTTTGAGTTTGGGCCTTCTCCCATGTTAGCCAATGCTCACATCATTTTCATATACTCTTTTGAAATCACCTCTTACTGGTCCTGAGAAGAATGCCATGATTAACTTTTACAAATGAAGGTTTATAAGCCCCAACCAAAAAAAAAAAAAAAGGAACTTCAGATCCACCATTGAACAGGAGATTTCTTCCAGATTACGTGCTTATTACTGTGGCCAGCTTGCCTTTAAAAGCTCTTTCACAATTAGAGATGAAAACGCCATCCTTCTGCAGAGGCAGCCCTAGCTGTAGAGGGCTGGAGACATGGCCCAGGCAAAGGATATCAAAGGTATGTGTCAATCAAACCTCCCACAGGCCAGTGCTCTTCATCATGAAATGCAAAGGGAGATGTTGGCAGATACAGGTTATGTGGGATCCTCTGAGCTGAGATTCAGAGGGCAGTTGCAGCTCCTTCTTACCTCAGAAGCACTGCAAATGGCATCACAGACAAGGGAGAATTTCCTATTGGTCCCTAGGATGGTTCAGGGAATATGAGAAACCAAAAAGAAAAAAGATAACAGAAGATGCAACGATAAAAGTTGGGGCAGGGACTCCTGGGCATGGAGAAAAAGTGTACAGGAATGCCGGGCATTTCAGGCTGACCTAAGGAAGAGCCCTGGATCAAGAAAAGACTGCCTTCTCCTCCTAGACATCTGGAGTCCCCGTACCTCATCCTGATATCTGGTGACTCCTGGAGGTTTTCCTGGAGAGAGCGGGGAGTGTCTACTTGACATCGAAAGGTCAGTATTGGGGTGAACAGTGAGAGGGGGTTAGTGTGCTGTGGACACCAGTGAATGGAGACCTAGAGGGATGGAAATCCACATGCAGTGTAGGAGATGAGGCTTGCACTCCATGAAGCTAAGGCACCGACTGCATTTTGCTTGAAAAGTCTTATACTGCCAGGATCTGGAGTTCAGATAAAACTCTCTTGGCTACACCCATCAGTGGAGTTACTTCTGAAGTTGTTAAAACAGTGTTGTTATAACACTGCTAGAATGGCTATTAAGTTGTGTATGGCATGGAATAGACCAGAGAAACCATAGGAACTTATTACACCGATTAACTAAATTTTACCTTTAAGGTTTCTTCCAAGTTGCCATTTTCAAGATAGTCTTAACTTTAAAAACAAAAAGAAAGTATTTTCACCTCTTGCTTTACAGAAAGTAGACGAAAATATTATTCTAGATGAAATAAGTGTCTCCACAGCCAAGGATGTATCAGGGAGAATTGCATTCCCCTTGTTTCAACTTCTTTAAACATATCTGCCTTTAACAAATGTGCTGAACATGTGTTGCATACAGTATAATGTTTCAGTATATTCCAGTGATGAATTGCCCAGCACCTTATCATAAAAAATGCCCAGCACTTTTATCACTTTATCATAAAAGTAAATAGTACTGTGATTTTTAAAACTCCCAGTAGTTTGGGTACATAGAGATTTAATTATACTGGATCCCTTCACTCACACAGCATTGCTTATACATCTCCATGCATAACTTGGGTCCACACATCTAGCCTTGGTTTGGTTTTTCTTTTTGAAATATATGGTATATTACTGTTTCTTCAGTTTCATGTATCTTGCTAGCTGAAAGACAACTAAACGAAACTGAAGGCATTATCCTCCCTCCGATTCTCACTCCCTGCTGTGTCCCTGGTGGTGTCAAGGACACAGTTCTCATTTCACTTCCCAGTGTTGTTACTGCTGGCAAGCAAGGCAGGTAAACCACAACTAAATCCACATCCTGCAAGACCCCTAGGAGCTGATTTCTCAGCTCAGAGGCAAAAGAATCAGCAATGGCCCACACTCACCCACTGAAAACCCCTCTAAATGCTCCCCAGCTTTCAGAAGGCCTCATCTCATTCTTTCCTCAGACCCAGCAGGGGTCAGTCCTTGTTCCCAGCCTTCCTCAGGAGGCCCTGACCTCGGCCAGTGCTGAAAAAGGAGTCACTCATTGCCCTGGCTGGGCTTTGAGAAGGTCAGGCCTGAGGCCTGGGTGGCCTCACCTAAGGGAACAAACAGTACACAGAGTCACCCTTCACTGACCCTTGCTCATGGAGGAGGCATGATGTGAAAAGTCCCTGATCCTCCCTCCTTTGCTCTGGAATGTATCTTATTCCTTCCAGATGTTTTCCCTAATAATAGCTGCTTGATCTAATGTAAGAGTGAGTCTGTATTCCCCAAGTGCACTGTGGACAATGGGAAAATAATCCAGAAATGAGTGGGGAAAGAGTACTTGGGGGTTAAATAATCTTTTTTTCCTGGATGGTCCTCAGAGTTGATAACCCATAAGGCCTAAAGTTTGAAAGGAAGAACTAAAACTGTTTATTTGCCAATGACATAATGTCTGGTGTAGAAAATCCCAAAGAATCTAAAAACCAAAAATCAAGCAAAGAAAACCCTCATAGAACTAATAGTTGGGTTTACCACAGTTGCAGAATACAAGATCAATATACAAAAATCAATTGTATTTCTGTATACTATCAATGACCGTGTGGAAACCAAAATTTAAAACACAGTATTCATTTACATTATCACCTCCTCAAAATAAAAAATATGTAAGTATAACCAACAAAACATGTACAGGACTGCTGAAAACTTCAAAATGATGATGAAAGAAATTAAAGAAGAAGTAAATAAATGGAAAAACATATTGTGTTTATGGATTGGCAGATTCAACATAGTGAAGATGCCAATTCTCCATTAGTTTAACACAATTCTCCTGAAATTGACTTATTACTTTAACACAATTCTTATCAAAACTCCAGCAAGGTTTTTTTGAAGACTTAGACAAGATTATTATAAAAGTTACGTGGAAAGGCAATGGATTAGAATAATTGAAACAATTTCCTGAAAGAATTAAATGGGAGGAATCACTCTATCTGATTAAGATTTACTTCATAGCAACAGACAATAGAGACGATGTATATTAGTGAAGGAACAGATAGATCAATGAAATTGAATAGAAAAGCCAGAATTAAATCCACAAAAGTACAGTCAACTGATCGTCAATGGAGGAAGAATAGCCTTTTAAACAGACAGTGCTGGAAAAGTTGGACATCCTTAGGCAAAAAGAAAGAAAAAAATGAACTTCAATCTATATCTCCTATCTTATACAAAGGTAATTCAAAATTCCTTATAGATTTAAATGTAAAATGTAAAACTATAAAACTTTTAGAAAACATAAGAGAAAACCTTTAGGAGCTAGGGCAAGGTGAAGAGTTCTTAGACATGACACTAAAAGCACAATCAACAAAAGAAGAAATCCATTAAGTTGTACTTCATTTAAATTTTAAAATTTTGCTCTGTGAAAGACTATAAAAGAGATGAAAAGACATGCTATAGACTACTAGAAAATATTTGCAAAACACACATATGACAAAGGACTCATATCTAAAATACATGAACTCTCAACACTCAACAGTACCAGGGGCTAGGGAGTAGGGAATTGGGGATGTGACTACAAAGGCATAGCATGAGAGATATCTCTGTAGTGCTAGAACAGTTCTGTGTCTTGATTATGGTGGTTGTTACATGAATTTACGTGTGCTAAGAATGTATAAAATCAGATGCAAAACTAGCGAACTTTAAATAAGGTGTGTGTATTATACTACTGTCAACTGTCTGGCTGTGATATTGGGGAAAATTGGGTGAAGAGTACACAGTCCCCCTCTAAACTACTTTTTGTACCTTCCTTTGAATCTATAATTATTCATTACCTGGATAGTCATCAAGTTGTTAATCCACTCACAATAACTGAGACTTAACTCTATTCTCCCATTGTAGACAGCAAATCTTTACAGGGACTGAGGCTTATATCTCTTTATGCCCTCCATATTCTGGCCACAGCTGAGTGCTCAGTATGTTTCTAAATGATAGCTGTCCTTGATCTCCTTTGGTGCTTGCCTCAAATTGGAATCTTTGCCCCTGCGTCTTTACCTAAAACTGTCTGATGTATCCATCAGCCAGGCCCTGAGAAGCCCCACTTGTTCCAGATTCTTCAGATCCTCCTGGCAGCAGCAGGCCAGTCCAAATGAACATTCCACTCTGTACTTTCCAAGAAAGTGGAAGCTCCTTGAGGCAGGATCTCCTTCTGTCATGTGCACCACTGTATCCCCATCCCCTAGAGTAGTGTCCAATATATAGTAGGGACTCAGAAAATATTTGTGGACTGACTATCCATTAAAAAGAAAGAGAGAGAGAGAGAAAGAGAGAGAGAGAGAAAGTAACGAGCAAAACAATCTTGCATGCAATCTAGCATGCAAAAAAGTCATAGGTCAACAAGGCTCGCTCTTCTAATAGGAAGAAGGAAGCAATCTTTATATGTGTGTCTCTTATAGAGGCCCATCTAAAAACACCTTCATGAGCCACCCTATGTGCAGTGATTTTTCCTTCTTCAGAATTTGCACAAACACCTCAAAGAATTGTTACTGTGTGGTGCACTCAGTTGAATTCTATCCAGGCATTCACTAAGCCATACTGTGTGTTGGGCACTGTACCAGCAATGGGGGTTCAGAGATTAGCAAAGTCTGCTTCCTGTCCCAAAGAAGCTTCCGGCACAATCGGGGGAGACAGACAAGCAGATCATTCCTATGGGTGTGCCTAGGGTGCTAGGATGGCACAGAAGAGAGGAATCCCGGTATAGTCTGGGAACATTGGGGTGGGCTCCCAAGTTATCAGACAGATGGGGAGATGGACAGGCAGGCAGATGACCACTACTGAGTTTTGTGCCAAACACCATGCTGAATATTATACACATCCTCTCACTGAGGCTTCTACAACTCCATAAGGCCAGTTTTATTCTTTCCAACTCACCTGAATCTGGGAGGACAAGTAGGATCGGGCAGGTAAGAGGAAGGGGAAAGGTGATCCCAGGTTCAGAGAACATCATGAACAGAAGCAGGGAAGTGTGCACACCGGGACTGTCTGGGGACCTGCAAGCACAAGTCATTTGTATTACTGGGGCAAAAACTTGACTGAGATCAAAATGGAAAAGGAACCAGAAGTAACCAAAAGAATCAACCCCAGAAGGTTTTGTTTGCCATGCCAAAAATGACAACGGTCTTCAGACCAGTCTCTATGGAAGCCTGGCATTCATGGGGCTAGGCCATGAGTTACTGCACATGTTTGGTGCTAATTTCATTAAAATGTGTTTCAGATAATATTGTAGCAGATGCTGTTTGTACCCTGCCCATACTTCCTGCTCCTTGACATTGCATTACACACTAGCCCACTTCAAACTGCCAGCCCTTGCATTGCTTTGACTGAGTTTTCTTTGACAGACAGAGTCCACTGTGCCTGACCACATGGCCGGTTGCCCACACCCCACAGCTCTCAGACAACGGAGTTGGTTATAAAATTCCAGCTCCATTTCCCCTTGGGAGAAATAACTCTGAGCCACAGGTCCTATGCTGGCTCTCAGAGCTCCCCAGTGGGGTTAGCTCTGGTTGTCCACAGCGGTAATTTACTTGATCAATTTTCCTCCACTGGCTACCTTCCCTTTCCCATCTTTTGTCCTCACCTTCCTGCAAGGTGTTTCCTGAGAGCACCTCTTAGATGAGCTGCTTGCATTTAAATCCTGTGTCAAAGTCTGTTCCTGGGGCAACCCAAGCTAAGACACACACACACACACACACACACACACACACACACACACAGAGGCATAGACTATCTCTGGTAGGATTCAAAGAAACTGATAAATGTGGTGTGGCGTCTGGGAAGAAAAACATTTCTTGGGAACAGGGCTGAGGGAGGAGACTTATTTGTCACAAAATATACTTTTTTTGTTGTTTTCACCTTTTGGCTTTTGCACCATTTCCATGAATTTTCTATTTAAAAAAATAAAATAACTTCCAAAGCTTGACCAGAGGCAATCAAAGAAAACCAATAAATCCTGTTAAAATTAAATAAATACTTTTTTAAAAGCTACCCAAAATATGTACTTTAAATCATTTAAAAAATCAACTGTGATTTTACAACAACATAGTCACATGCGCTTTGTATCAAAACATTGTAACATGTTGGAGACCACCAACGTATTAACTCATGTTGCCAGGAAAATTCTCTTTGAGATAGTCTGAAAAATTTATCTTTTCTGCTAGTTTCATTCATAACTTTGAATGTTTAACAGAGGTGTCACTGATTAGTAAGATTGTAGCTCTATATAGGTGATTTCTTAAAATCCAGGTCCATGCATGTCCTCTCAATTTGTACAAGCATACTACTATGGTAAACTGAGTCACACTCAACCAAATTCACACAGGCAAAACCTAGGTGATCACGATCCCTCCCACTGCATAATGGTGAGTTGTGCAGTCAGGATCATATCACACGAGCACCTGTCCTGAGGCTGGGTTGCTTTTGATTTGACTTTTACATTTAACACAGGGAGTAAAAGCACTTAGATATTGTTAATGATTCAACTTAGAATCAAATTTTCCTCCTACTCCACATTTAAGGTATTGGGTCTGTTTAATTGAGCGCATCCTGAGATTTCAAGGCAAGCTGTTTAAAAATTAAAAATAAAGTAAAGCAAAACAATTTTATGACTTACTTCTGTGAATTGAACTTTCTCAACATTGGACAATAGAAACAAATGCAGGAATAAATTGAATACCAAGGCTGACATAAAACTGCAACTGTACCCATGACCATGAATGTCAAATGTTTACACTTCTTAAAATACTCACATTGTTCAGAGTGACTGGCTTTATAACAATGTGTGCCTATAAAGTACATATCTACCAATAAGATAACTTTTCATCTGTTTCTTCTATTGGTTTTGAATATAACATTTATTTGAAAAACAAGTTACATTTCCAAATGTTTGTGATCTCTGACGTGGATGACGGTGACCAGGGCCAGCTCCTACGCGGGCGTGGGCGAGTGCTGTGGCCAGATGTGTGCGTTTGAGGCAGGCCACCCTGGCTGCTGTTGGAAAGGGAACTGGAGCCAGCCAGCCTCCACTCTAGGCAGACGACTGGAAGGTGCTGGGAGTCAGGCTAGAGATAAAGATTTGGCATCGCAAGCCTGGTGGGAGGTGGTTGACGTCTTGGGTGCTGAGGCTGGAGCCCAGGGCGAGTGTGAAGTAAGAGGAGGAGGTCAAGATGAAAGCCTGAGAAGCCATCTTCAGCCGCTCTTTCCACAGGCATCAGCATCAACCTCTTGACTACGGGACACCCCTGGAGGAGTGAGACTTTGGAATCAACATTCTTGAACACCCCATGAGACCTAAAAAAAACCCCTGCATATAGCAGCTGTTCTGTAAATGTTTCTAGACTGACTTATTTCTTCCAGACAGCAAGGGATTGTATTATAATGAGAATCTCATTTAAACAAATTCATCAAAATTCCTGTATTATAGCCAAACTTGTTTAAATGTCTCTACCTAGGTGGAATTAGCAGCTGGCATCTTTTTAAAAAAATTATCACAATTTTTAAAAAATATGCATACTCTGAATTTCAAGTCAAGGCTAAATTTTAAAAAAAGAAAAAGAGAGTGTGTGCACACACTGGGCACTTTTGAATGGCATATTTTCTCCCTAAAGAAGAAACAAAACAAGGGAGGAAGAGAGGAAGAGAGGGAAAGAAGGAAGGGAGGAGGGAAGAAAGGAAGGAAGGAAGGAAGGAAGGAAGGAAGGAAGGAAGGGAGGGAGGGAGGGAGGGAGGGAGGGAGGGAGGGAGGGAGGGAGGGAGGGAGGGAAAAAATGCATGGTTTGTAGTTAACCAGGCCCTTAGCAGACATCCTATAGAGAAAGTACATGATGAAACATGCCTAGCCTGAGTTTCCTACCTACTCTGAATTTCTTTCCCCTCTGCTGATATTTAATAACTGGGCTCAGAGGATAATTCCTTTTATTTCCTCTCCCTGTCTGCTCCACTCCCCCGCAAACTCCTTCCAGGTTTCTGAAGCAGAGTCTGGGCCTCCCTGAGTGGAACTCGCCCAGCCAGATTGAGAGAGAGTCTCACTGCTCATCTCCCTGGGGCCCCAGTGCCTTGAAGCTACTTCCTGAAGGACCATGTGGGGACCTGAGAGAGGACACTGAGCCTGCTTTCATATTAAATGTGTGCCTTGCCCTGTTAGTTTCTTTCCCTGGGTGGGAACAGAACCACCAAGAAGGGAGAAATGTCTTCCGTGGCGGGGTGATTCCCACCCTTCCCCTCTCAGGAGGAACTTCCCGGCCACCCCACTGTCCGCATTGTCCCTGAGGGCTGGAGGTTGACCAATGTGGGCCTGGGATGGGCCTTACTGTGGTCCCTCACCTCCTCCCTCTGTCCCCATGTCCATCTGTGCAAACTCTGGTTGAGATGACTGTCACAGGAAGTCTGGAGGGAGGAAAGAAGTCACAGAAGGGCAACATCGGAGGGGAAGGAGGGAGGGAAGGAGGCTCTGTGGTGGGTGGGACCCTCCCAGCACCGTCCTCAGGTCCAGGGCTCCACTAGAGGGAAGCGAAGGAACATAGGTTTCAGGGACCCTCGCTTGCCTTTCCAGAGCCCTGTGTCTAATTTCGTTTTTGTAACTTTACATTCTTAAGAAAGTGTCCGCAAATTCTGTAGGCTTCAAGGCCCCGAAACCAAATCCAGATGGTACCACTAGCTGACTTTGAGCCACTTTTCTCCTGCTGCCACCTCCCAGAACCACCCTCTACACATTCCTACATCCCTGGCTCACTCAGCTGCAGCCGCTGGCACAGGTCTCCTTGTTCTTTGGACATACCAGGCAGTGGCCAAGGCATTAGGGCCTTGGCATTGGCTGTTCCCTCTGCCTGGAAGGCTCTTCCCCCAGGTGAAGGCTTTTCCCACCTCCTTCATGCAAGTGGTGCTTTCTCAGTGAGGCCTGCCCTGAGCTCCCTAGTCAAGGTGGAATCCCCGGCTTCTTTGACCTTGTGTTGCCTTCTACCTGCTAAGTTCCCACATCAGTTATCATCTGCTAACACAATTCAAAATCTAGTTATTTACTGTTTTCTGTCCTCCTCCCACCACTAGAACTTAAGTTCCATGAAGGAAGGGAAATTCAAATCTGTTTTGTTTACTGACGCGTTCTGAGCACCTAGTACCTAGCAGTCACTCGGTTCATATTTGTCTGATAAATGCATGAAATTGCAGGTCCTAAGGCAAGGATACTGCCTGCTGCAGTTTGAGGACAGCTCTGGCCAATAAGCATCCAAATGAGAGAAAGAAAAATTGCTTCTCAGGGGCAACTGGCTTTGCAGGCTATCATGGGCCAAGGCCATGGACACCAGTGCATCCTCTCCCTGCCTGTCTGTCTCAGGATGCATCATTTGGCTCTGGGAATGTGCTGCCATCTAAGAACTTGCCAGAACTGCTGAGGCTGGGACAGGAGAGGGGCTGAAGCCTGCCCAGGCCGTGACTGTCTCACTGGTACTGGGGATCGTGGGACTTGTCATGTGTGGTGTCTAGTCCTGGAAAAGTGTAGCTAATTACTAACATAGCAAAGTGCTGAGTTAAAGAACAGAGATGTTTACTCAGAGCTGGTGCTAATTTCCTGCCTTTGCAGTGGCTGCTGGACTGGGAGGTGCACATCTGGCAGCACTTGCTGGCCTGACCCAAGGATGCAGAGCTAGAGCTCCAGAGGGTGATCATCTTGTGTCATTTGAGTCCCACAGGGACACGTCACTGATTGGCATTTTACCCTGGCGCCGAGAAGAGGGCGTGGAGGACACCAAGATGTCCATGGGATTGGCAACCCATAGTCAGCCAGCCAAGACCACCCCTGCAGACAATGCTGATGACATCATGACGATCCTAAGCTTTATATAGTAGTTCACAGTCACCAAAGCTCTTTGTCATACCCTATTTAATTTTATGGTCATCCAAACCTGTAAGAAAGACAGAGCAGGAATTGTCATCCCATTTTCCACAGGAAGAATGTGAGGTCTAAAGGTGAGGCTGTGTATCACAGAGCTAGCAAACGTCATGCTGGACTGGCTTCAGCACTAACAACTACACCCTGTCCTGTGTGCTCAGAGACATGGGCCCTTGACACCCCTGGGTTTAACACTTGCAGCTTCAACTATATCCTAGAAACCTCAAAGGCCCCTGAGTGTAGTGACTTATCCCTGCACTGTGGCTGAATTTGAATCCTCGTTCGATGAGGCCAGCTTGGGAGTCACATGGCTCACAGTGTACTTGGCTTGACATTTTTTAATCACCCTGTGGGCACCCTAACCCTCCTGTGACAATTTAAAAGCAAAACAAAAACAAAAAAAATTGTTTGCTTTTGAAAAATAGCCATCAGCTGCAAGTCAGCTAAAATCAAAGAGGCAATGGATGAGTGTGAATTTCATCATTAGGGGTGTAGTTGTCAATGAGACGTACTCGCGGCTGCCTTCTGATACACACTTGCCAAGTGTCAAATGTTTTGTTAGGTGCTTTACAAATGTTGAGTCTGGGTTGTCAAAGCCTGTGCTTTGAAATTCTACATCGTACTCTTCTCCTTGGAGATGCAACCTAGCAGCCTGTGTAGAGGCCTATATTTCTGAGCTCACATACCTTCAGACTCAGAAAGGTCTCAGAAAGTAACTTGTCTCTTTGTCTGTCTCTCTCTCTGTCTCTCCTTTACCATTGTCCTTCCTCTCTTCCCCCAGTAATTTTATAGCCTTCTTCTCCAATCTTCTCTTTCTTGGGCTGACCTGGAAACTCCAAATTTTTCTCTCTTCATCTTGCAGAATAATCCATTCATTCAACAAATAGTTTTCGGATGCCTATTTTATGCCAGGCCCTATGAGCCACTAGGGAAATGGCAGTGAACAAAACAGACGTGAATCCCTGCCTTCCTGAGGAGTCCATGCTAGTGGAGGACAAACAAACAAAAACAAGGTAAAGTCAGGCAGGATAAAGCAGTGAGGGAAATAAGACAAGAGGAAGGGGAATGGGGAGTGATGGGGCTCCCATTTGAGATGTGAGATCAGGGAAGGCCTTCCTGAAGAAAAGGTATTTGGGCAGAGGCCAGAGTCGAAGAGAGGAGAAAATCATGTCATCGTCAGAGGAGGAACATCCCTAGTGTGGGAATGAGCTAAGCCTAGAGTTGCAGAGTTAACAAACAGGAGGAGGAGGACGAGAAACAAGAGGAGATGAACAAGAAAAGGGATTGTTTAGTATATGTCGCATTCAACATTTGGAACACACTTGTCTTAGTCTAACCATGTGTGCTGCTGTAACACAAAACCACAGACTGGTTCCTCTATAAAGAACAGAAATTAGCTGGGATTGGTGTCCAGTGAGGGCCCAGTCTCTGCTTCCAAAATGGCACCTTGCTGCTGCGTCCTCTTCAGGGGAGGAACACTGTGTGTCACCGAACAGAAGAGCAGAAGGGCAAACCCACTCCCTCAAGCCCTTCTATAAGGCCCCAGTCCCATCCATGAGGGCTCCACCTTCATTACTTA
Organism: Homo sapiens; assembly: GCF_000001405.40. Lineage (NCBI taxonomy): Eukaryota > Metazoa > Chordata > Mammalia > Primates > Hominidae > Homo > Homo sapiens. Next base: position 94,712,029 of record NC_000001.11, read on the forward strand.
ATCACCTAAAGCAGGGTTCCCAAGCCCTGGACCACCAACCAATACAGGTTCATGTCCTGTTAGGAACCAGGCCACACAGCGGGAGGTGGGGGCAAGCGAGCAAGCGAAGCTTCATTTGTATTTATAGCCACTTCCCATCCCTCGCATTACGGCCTGAGCTCCACCCTCTGTCAGATCAGCAGCAGCATTAGATTCTCTATGGGACTAGGAACCCTACTGGAACTATGCATGCGAGGGATCTAGGTCGTGCTCTTCTTATGAGAATTTAACTAATGCCTATGATCTAGCATGGAACAGTTTCATCCCCAAACCATCCCCACCCCTCCAACCTGTTGAAAAATTGTCTTCCACAAAACTGGTCCCTGGTGCCAAAAAGCCTGGGGACCACTGACCTAAAGGACTCGCTCCTTAATGCTATTACATTAGAAATTAAGTTTCAACATGAATTGTGGAGGAGACACACATTCAAACCATAACAATACTTATACTAAAATAATTACATGTTGTTTATCTGAAATTCAAATTTAACTTGGAATCCCGTATTTTATCTGGCAACCCTAGATTTTGGCTTAAGGAGTGGAAAGGAGACCGATGTGGCCACAATGGAGGAAGCAAGGAGAAGATGGAGGGAGATGAGGTTGGGGAAATTTGGAGAGGAGAGGGTGGTTGACATTTCAAACACAGAGAAGCCATCTAGGTATGCTTCCAGCTCTTCCAGTGGAATTGTCTCCACCTGTCCAAGAGAGAAACCCATGCTGAGGGCTGTGAAAGAGGAAATAGGAAAGAACATAGCACAGGGAACTCAATCTAGACTGAGTCCTAAAGTGGTTCAAGTCTGCAGCATCCCTTCTTCGAACGAGGTAAGATTCTTTGGAAACCCTGGGGTATCAACTAGGTCTTGGCTCCTTCACCCAGCAGAGCAGCTGGGTCCTGAGCAGACAAACTGAGGGAGGTGGAGTGGGGGCATGACCTGGGAGCCCAGAGGTTAGATTATCTCAAGACAGGTAAGGTGGGGGGATAGAGTCAGCAAATTCTCAGGGATCCAGAATCCTTGGTGGCTGGCTGTGGGCATCCTGGGAGGGGACAGATCAGCCCAGGGAGTCAAGAATTTGCCATTGGCCAGGACAGTTTATTTGAGAATCTGAACTGGAAGCAAACCTTGGTGACAGATCTGAGCTGTAAGTATTAAGGTTGAAACAGAAAACACCCTTTGAGGTTAAGATGTATATAAACCATTGGGCCTCATGCTGGCCGACTTTGGGATCTGGGGAAAAGCAAGATAAACCTAGGTAGACATTTCAAGGAAATTCTGCTTTAGCCCCTGACGCCTACTTCATAGTAGATGTTTAGTCCCTGAGGATTAAATGAGATGATGTATGTAAATCACCACGCTTGGTACATTGGTAAGTATGACATTAAATGGTAAATGTCCCTTCTTCATTATACTGCTGTTCCCAAATCTGGGACCTGAAGGGAGCTTAAGACACCCCCTACCCCCTTGGCCTGCACACATATACACACACACACACACACAGACACACACACACATATATGAGAGAAACTGCATGGTTAGATCTGAGCACTACAACTGAATCTCTTCCCTTTCTTGTAGATAGTGAGCTGGTAAGATTAAAATGCCTGGCACATAGCAGCTGCCCAATAAATATTGCTATATAAGTAAAAAGGAAATAAGTGGCCTTATTCTCTCTGTTCTCCCAGAGTTCAATTTTTCACTTTCAACCCGACAAAAAAGGAAGTAGGGCTGCCCGAGTGGGGCTATGGAGAATCAGGAGCAAACTGCTCCCCGCCCTTCCCAGTTCAGGGGTGTTGCTTCATCGCCCGACTGACACGCAGGCCAGAGAAGCAGCTGACTCCCCGCAGAGCTGCTGCCTTATAAGGACATTGGCCAGGCCTGCCAGGTGTGTCATCCCAAAGCCCTGTGATGGCCCCAGTGAGTCAAGGCCAGGGTGGATTTAAAAAACTCAGAAAAGCCATATGGGCAGCAAGTGAGAGTTTTCTCACTTCCTTTCCTCCTCACATGTTTCCATATGTTTTAAATTATTATCCCATTTACCACTTACCTCTGCAATTGGGAAAACAGAGAATAGAGTTTTTGATTTAGAAAAGAGGTACTCATAAGCTATTACTCCAGTAGCAAAGGAAATTCTCTCTCTGATTTTCTGGTGGGTTGCTGGCGGGGAGTGAGCTGATGAAATGAAGAAAGTATAGCCTGCGGAGAAGTCCCCTTAAGAATGAATATGTGGTGGCCCCTCCAGGACAAGGCAGGATCCAGCAGCGTAGAGAGCTGCCTCCATCCCAGGGCAGTGCGGGGAGACCCAGTCTCCCTCTGCTGAGGGAGGACTTGATGCTCGCAAAGGCAAGCCAGCAATGGGCAGGGAGACTTGGAGAAAAGTGGTCCTTTTGAAAGATATGAAGGCCCAAGAAGGGGCAGTGGTACTGAACAGAAGTGGCATAGAATCATAGCCAAGAAATTGGGCTTTGAAATCTCACAGACCTGGATTTGAGCCCCAAATTTGCCAACTTTAGCTGGGTGAACTAGAGCAAGTTAGTTCTTTTTTTTTTTGAGACAGAGTCTTGCTCTGTTGCCCAGGCTGAAATGATCATAGCTCACTGCAGCCTCGACCTGAGTAGCTGGGACCATAGGCACACCCCACCATGCCCAGCTAATTCGTTTTTATTTTTTGTAGAGACGGGGTCTTTCTATGTTGCCCAGGCTGATCTTGAACTCCTGGGCTCAAGCGATCCTCTCACATTGGCTTTCCAAAGTGCTGAGATTACACCATGCCTGGCCTTCATCTTTGTAAATCTCCATGGCCTACTGTGTGAAGTATTTGTTCATTTAGGAAATACCTACAGAGCATTTCAATGCCTTGCTCACTTTAGCTCATCAGAGCAAACCAGTGAAGTAGATTCTATTATTATCTCCATTTTACAGGTGAGGAAAATAGGTGACTTGCCCAAGGCCACACAGCTAGTAACTAGGAGAACTGAAATTTGACCCCAGGCAGTCAGGCACCAGGGTCTGCAGTCCCAAGTTTAAACTATGCCAAGAGGCTATAATTGCACCTGCTTTGCCTGATGGAATTCTGGAGGACTAAGTGGACCAGGGCATGTAAAAAGCTCTTATCACAGTGCCTGAAACATGGTCAAACTCAGTGAATGCTACCTATTATCATTTGTCTGTTATTTGTGAGGATTGCCCAGAAGTGGATCCTGAGAGGAAGGGTCCTGTGCAAGTGACTTAGTAAAGACAAGCTCCCAAAGAAACGGGTCTGGTACGGGAATGGGGCAAGTCGGCAGGGGACTGAGAAGAAGCCAAGCAAGGGTGCAACTGCAGGCAAGGTCTCACAAGGGAGTGTGTGAGATTTCTGAGTTTGTCCCCATGGAGACAAGGGAGCTGGGCTTTGTGGCGTTAAACTGTTGGTCTCTGGCTAAGGGATGCCCTAAAAAGATGGAAACTTCCTGGCATGTCTGGGCTCTGCACCTGTGGGCAAAGCAGTGTAGTAACCAGATGGCAGTCTTCCAAAGAGAGTCACGGGTATGGGGCTGTTTGAAGCAAAAGCACCAAAAAGCACTGGCGGAGTTCACAGAAACAGCAAAAATAGATCCAAAGGCCTCTGAGGGAGCAGGAACTGAGCCCACCCAAGACCACCCCTTGCATCACTCAGACCAGCTCACATCTTCCATTCTGTGAACTTCATTCCGCCACTGCGCCTTCAAGAGGGTGGACACTCACAGTTTCTGGGGGAAAACTTAACAAGATAAGAGTTAGTGAGACAAGATACATCTCTTCTCACACAAGTTTATGTAAACCATTCACACAAGTTTCTACAAAAGAATATTAATTGTGCCAGACACAGTGGCTCATGCCTGTAATTCCAGCACTTTGGGAGGCCGAGGAAGGCCGATCACCTTAGGTCAGGAGTTCGAGACCAGCCTAGCCAACGTAGTGAAACTCTGTCGCTACTAAAAATACAAAAATTAGCTGGGCGTGGTGGCACGCCCCTGTAATCCCAGCTACTCAGGAGGCTGAGGTGGGAGAATCGCTTGAATCTGGGAGGTGGAGGTTGCAGTGAGCCAAGATCACACCACTGCACTTCAGCCTGGGTGGCAGAGTGAGACTCCATTTCAAAAAAAAAAGAATATAAAGAATATTAATTGCAACATTAATAATAGCTAAAATGCAAATAAGTCAAACTTATTTGATCTCTAGGGATCAAACTTAGATCTCTAGGGATTTGCTTTTTTCTTTTAACAATTGCATAATATTCTATGGTATGGCTGCATACCATGATTTATTCAACTAAGCCACTGATTTATTATTATTCATTTAACCAAGCCACTACTGATGAAAGTTTGACTTACTTGCATTTGAGCTATTATTAACAATGTTGCAATTAATATTCTTTTACATAAATTTGTGTGAGTGGTTAACATAAACCTTTGCAGTGGTCCCTTGGCTGTGGCTGATATTCATCATCTCCCTGCTCTGCCACTCTTTCTAGAATCCCTCCACTCCCAGCAAGTACTTCTGGCGGTGTAGGTGGCTTGCTTGATGAGGTGATGCAGACTTTTAGCCCTAAAGGGTTTATCTCCCACACTCTAAAAAACATGAATCCTAACAGGTATCCAGAGTTGTCGCCCCTTCCATCTTAACAGGTTCAGTCAACATAAAGTCACCAATATGGTGGACAAAGTACACTGTACTTTCAGTTTCCTAAGAAAGGAAAAAGATGAAATTCCATTAGCCATAGTCAAATGAGCACGCCATCAATACCAAGAAAAACTGTAAACTCGTATTAATTAACCTGTTGTGATTTGGTTAAAAAGAAACCATTAACCAACAGGAGCCAGAGAGGGTTCTCTAAGAACAAGTCAGGCCTAGGGCACATTGAGGATGAGCAAAAGAGAAATTGTAAATCAGTTTATTTTGGTCTTGGTAACAAGTGAAAAAGAATGGTTGAGAGAAATGTAGGTGGAAGAGATAAAAAGGAATGGATAAAGTGTCTATTATTTGTAGATTCCTTTTATACAAACAATTCTTTTCCACTGATAGTTGAAAACTGAGCGTAGTTTTTTCCTGTCTGCTGGGTGGAAATAGATTGTGAAATGTTGTCTTGTGGTTTCTAAAGAGTAAGTAGAAAACTGCATTAAAAATGCAGCACTAATCCATGCGATGTGAGACCTGCCATCAGGAGCTAAACCACCAAGCCAAGGTCCCTCAGAAATTACCTGTGTGGCAGCCAGTTTCTCACATGCTAGCAGAGGAAAGTCTCTCAAATTGCCCTTTAATAAGCAAGAAGAAAAACTGTCTCCCAGATTGGCAGTATTTATTGTTTTTGCTATTACTATAAATATAATATCTGCTTGTAAAATCTCCAAAATATGAAGTAGAATGTGGAAGTCCCTAATAAGTCTAACTTGATCCAGTGACAATATGGTGATAAAACTGTTAGTGGTCTGATATATATATATACATTTTTTCACCTCTTTTGTAGAATAAAAGAATGAAAGGAAGGATGGATGAGCAGATGGATAAAATGCTTTACAATCTGCCTCTTTCACTTAATATATTGCGGACATCTTTCCTTGTAAAAACATAAATCTCTTGGGATTTGCTTTTTTTTCTTTTAACAATTGCATAATATTCCATCATATGGCTGCACCATGATTTTTTTTAACCAAACCAATACTGATGAAAGTTCAAATTATTTGCATTTTAACTATTTTGACAGTGTTGCAATTAATATATATATATATTTTGAGACAGACTTTCACTCTTGTTGTCCAGGCTGGGGTGCAATGGCGTGATCTCGGCTCACTGCAACCACCTCTGCCTCCCAAGTAGCTGGGATTACAGGCATCCACCACCATGCCCGGCTAATTTTGTTATTTTTCGTAGAGACAGCATTTCTCCATGTTGGTCAGGCTGGTCTCGAACTCCCGCCCTCAGGTGATCCGCCCGCCTTGGCCTCCCAAAGTGCTGGCATGAGCCACCGTGCCTGGCCTGCAATTAATATTCTTTTACATAAACGTGGTGTCTTTATCTGATTATTCCTGTAGGACAAATCTCTGCAAGTTCCAGGAATTGCTGGGTCAGAGATCAACCAAATTCTAAATTTGGAATTATTATTGCTTAATGGCCCTCAAAAGGGTCTACAAATTTACACTCTCACCAATGGTACATCAGAGTACCTGTTTCGCCACAACCTGCAGCTTTTATTGTTTACATGGGAGACAAGGAAGAATCCAATGTCTTTGGTCAATTTTTTCATAGGGAATTTGTCTTTTTCTTATTGGTTAATAAGAACAGATTGCTTATTAAGGACATTAATCCTTGGTAATATCAGGGAATATTTTCAGAACAAGCCATTTTAATGAAATAAATGCTCCTAATGGGAGAAAAGGTATAATATTGTGATGTAATAATTTCACATTCATATACAGAGAACCTCCTCAGCCCACCCTGTGCATAGCATGCATAGCAGATATGTGCTGCATAGAACACACATAGAAGATAGACAGATGAACCAAATTGATGATTGTTTAAAGAAAGAGATAAACTAATAAATAAATGCCATATAGTGCAAACTATTATAAGGGAGTTTCAGGCAAGGTTCAGTGCGGGACTAACAGGGGAACAGTCAGCTCTGGCCAGGAAGGGTGGGAAAGGCTCTGTATTTTTCCCTGGTGATCGTCTGTGGGTATCTTAGGTGGTTTGTCTTCTTGCTGATTTGTGAGAGGTTGTTCTGATGCACTAGAATGAGAAACAGCATGCTGAATTCTGTTGGGATGTTCTGAATTTGAGAATACGGTAGAGCGGGATGGTGGGAGGGATGGTAATTCCCATCAAACACCTTCACCTCTCCCATCCCCTGATCTTGTCAGATAATACACATCTCTAGAGGGGGAGTCCCATGAAACCCACGCATGGAGCCCAGTAGAGTGATAAGCAGGTGCAACCTGAAAATGAGGAGTGTAGGCTAAATCCCCAAAGCAATTGGCAGTCTTCGATGAGTTTTAAGTGGTGTTGGCGATGGGGGCTGCACTTCCTATTTGTGTCATAGAAGCCCTCTAGCTGCTTTGTGGAGGGGTTGTAGGAAAGCAACTCTGGAAGGCAGACCTATGTGAGGGCTGCTGGAGGACAAAGATGCTTGGGCCAGAACCAAGGTACCACACAGATTGGAAAGACATAGGGTGGGAACTGCTGACTGTTTGGACACCGGGGATGGTGAGCATGAGTGATGGTGCCATTCCCTGAGTTAGGAGGTGTAGAAGGAGAAGCAGGTTTGGGGAGTTTAGTGGAGAAGTAGGTACCTGTGGGGCTACTAGTGAAGATGCCCAGAGGGCAGCCACATACATGGATTCAGAACTTATAAGTCAGTTCTCAACTGGACCTTTGGAGGGAGAGTCAGCAGCCTGTTCCTGAACATTGAAACCTTGGAAATGGATGCTATTGCCCCTTGCAGGGTTAGGATGAGCAACAGGGCTGGCACAGAACCCTAGGGAACACCAACAGGGCAAGACAGAGGATGGAAGACCAAGACTACTGGGACAAACGCCAACTCTCTACAGGCTCTGAGATGCCACAAGAGTAAGGCAAAAACAACCTAAGACTCACTCTTTAGTTCATCTAGCAAACCCAAGCTGAAAATTTAAAATACACTCGAGATTTCAATGCTGGTTTAAACTGGCTAGAGTATGGAGTCCAGCAGTTCTTTTCCCTGGTATCATAGCTGCAAACCCATCCAAACTGTGCTCTGCTCCCAACCAGTTCTTTAGGATTGAAGGAATTCAGCTTCAGCATATGAGGCGTCTCTATCCCCTGATTCACAAAGTGACTTTTCCACAATCCCAACTAATTCTGTTTCCCTGAGCTGTGCTTCACCAATATACATCTTCTTCTTTCCCTGCAGCCCTGTGGAAAAAACGTTTCAACATAAGGAAGTGTATAATGTGGAGGAAAAAACCATCATGCCCTCTAAGGGTTCATGGTCTCATTGAAATGTGGCACATCCGCCAGCTTCCCAGGGCTCCCGGGCTGGGTGTTGGGGTGGACTGGGAGTCAGATGGTGATGATGTGCCCAAGTGCATCTGACTCTTGCCTAACAGAGGAGCAATTTTTAGCAAATGTTAAGGAGGATTTGCTCTCCCTTTAGGATGATCAATTTTTCCACTAGGCAAGACTCATTCAATTGCCTTTCCAGAACCCTTACACTCTAGTCTGAATCACACATTGGGAAATTAATAATTCACTATCTTGTGCCACCAGTCATGTCCTCAAGTGGATTCTAAATTCCTTGAGGAGCCAGAGGCCATGATGTTACTTCTCCTGGATCTCCCAAGTGCCCACAACTGGGCTACATCCATGGGAGACCCTTGATGAAGTGAAGTTGATCAGGGAATGCAGAGCACTCAGGCCCACATACCTCGGCCTTGGGGAGCATCTAGTGCAACCCCTTACAGATAGGGAAACTGAAAGCCACAGGGGTGCAGCAGCGTGTGCAGTCACACAGCCCATTGATGACAGAGCTGTTACACAAGGAAGTGAGGAGAAGCAGCAGGGTGACAGACCAAGAGTGTGGCCTTTGCCAGGCCTCCTTCACTTACTGGCCATGTGAGCGTGGGCTCCTTACCACACCTCCTCCACTTCCCCTGTTATAAAGCAGAAATCATACGTGAACTTCAGGCTGGGTGCAGTGGGTGGCCCATGCCTGTAATCCCAGCACCTTGGGAAGCCAAGGCAGGCAGATCGCTTGAGCCCAGGAGTTCAAGACCAGCGTGGGCAACACAGCAAAACCCCATCTCTCCAAAAAAATACAAAAATTAGCTGGGCGTGGTGGCATGCACCTGTAGTCCCAGCTACTCAGGAGGCTGAGGCAGGAGGACTATTGGAGCCCAGGGAGGTCAAGGCTGTAGAGGGCCGTGATCACACCACTGCACCCTAGCGGCAGAATGAGACCCTGTCTCAAAATAAAAGTGAACCTCAGCTGAGGGCATTATGAAGACCAAATGGGCAGACCCATAGAAAGCTCGTGGCACAAGGCCTAGAGTAGAATAAGTGTTCAATGAACATCAGCAAAAGGGAAATACATAACTCCAAAAGAAAAACACATAATTTCATTGAAGTGTTTGCCACCTCCAAGTATTTAGTATGAATTTATTAAATAACTTGACATTTTCAACTCAACTCTACTCATATAGAGAATGCAGCTGGGAGTCGGGCACTTTGAGTTTCCTAAGCGCAGGACTGTTCCTTTCCAAGCAAGAGGTCCACACGGCTCCGAACACTGTCTAGGCTGTACTCTAACATTATTGTCAGCACGATTGCCTGCAACAGTCAGGTCTAGCAGTCAGAGCTGGAAATACCCTGCTCAGATGAAGTAATGCAACCAGAGGGCAGAAGGGAGAAGTGGTCCCCACAGCACGGGGGAGGAAGCGGAGGGAGGGTTACAGGAAAAAGCTTTTCCTTTTCACAAACTGTCACTTTAACTAAAATGCAGTCTCATCTCAGCCTGTTGTAGATGCTTATTATACACTGTAAAATCATACTCACTGGAGGTGTATTCTAGCTCCCATCTTTCCTCCCAAAGCTATGCGATCTTGGGAGTTATGCAATTTTTCTGTGCTTAGTTTCATGGTTTGCCCTTCATTCTGCAAAATGGGGATAATAGTAACTTACGGTTAACCCCTGATTAATTACTGCATCAATTTAAAAAAACAATTCCTGTGAAAGATTTAGAACAGAGTGTCTAGCGTATAATAAGCATTCTATAAATATTAGTTGCTATTGTTTTTAAAATTGTCTATCCTATAGTTTTAATACAGCTGTAGAGTTATTATTTCAGGAGCAAAATCTTGATACCCTTTTCCACCTGGCTCAATTTAATCTGAATTCAATTAAAAATCAAAAGAGAATTGAATTTAGAGTTCTATTCATGAATACAAAAGGCTGGGAGGAAACACACCCCAAATGACACAGTGGATGTGGTAGAATAGGACTATGAACAGATTTTGTTCTTCCTTTTCACCTTCTGTATTTTCCATCAATTATTTGTATGATTAAAATCAATCATTTCAGACAAGAGGGACATCGTGAGCTGTGAGAAACATCTTCTATCTGTTGCTTTCTGTAGGCAGAGACAAAGGAAGGGGCTCCAGTTTGCCATTCTCTTAACCGAGAGGCTTCCTACCTCATCTAATGTGGAGATTCTACTGACCCGGGAAGCCTTCCCTCCTGTTACCTCAAGCCGGCCTCCTAGCCTTTTGCCTCCTCCCACCCACAGCCTGCCTGGTTGCAGGTTGGTGGGAAAGGAGGGGACAGGGGGCTGTACTCCCCAGAGGCCCTTCCACTCCTTGACTCAGGCCGGGTTCTGTCAGTTGCACTCTTCTGCTGAGATGTCCATCTTCTGTTTGTGCCACCTCTGCATCCTTGCCTCATTGCCCTGCCCACCATGACAGCCTTCTCTTTCCAGGACTTCAGCAACTGGTGCATCCTTCTTTCCCTTCCATAGTCATGGCTGCTTTCAACACACAGCTGTTGTCTGTCTGTTTGCTTATTTGATTGTTTTATAGTATGATTCCTTTAATAGAGTCCAAAAACTAGCAAACTAGACCATATTTATTGTGAGATGTATATGTAGGTGGCTTACTATAAAGAGCAGCAATTGTATCTATGGCACTGTTCATAGCACTTCATATACATTTTCCATATTTAATCTTTTAAACAACCTTATCAGCTTGTATCTTCTCATTATCCTTATATCACAGATGAAGAAACAGCACAGAGGGATGAAGTAGTTTGCTCAAGGATATATAGCTGGTGAGTAGAGGAACCAAGATGTGAATCAATGTCTTCTGGCTACAGATTCTGTGTCCTTCACCACTGTACCATGTTGCTTTGTAAAAAGCAGCATGGAAATAATTGTCCCAAAAGTCAGAATAGTAGGTAGCTTTAGGGGAGGCAAAGGATTGAAATCAGCAAAATATGTGGGAGAGATTCTGGGATGCTGGAAGTGGTCCCCATCTTGACCTACGTGGTGTTTACATAGGAATTCACTTTATGATTATTTGTTGAACCACATGTGTCTCTTATGTAATATACAGACGCTCTTTGACTTATGTTGGGTTCATCCAGACATAGCTCATCATAAGTTGAGGAGCCAATGCACATGGCTTTAGCACCATTGCAAAGTTGAAAAAGGAAAATCGTATGTCAAACCATCCTAAGTTGGGGACTGTCGGTATATTGTTGATGGGGTTGTGGGGGTACTGAGCACTAAACTCTGGAAGGCAAGTGGCTACACTACAGGTTTGACTTCTCAGGTCTACCTCGACCTGTTCATTCCATAAAACACTGGAGGCCCCTGCTTCATGTTCAGGACACTGGCACCAGCAAAGTTTTTGAGAAGAAACAGCTTCTGGACACTAGAGCAGCTGAAGTGCCTGAGGGGCCAGTGCCATTGAAATAAGTGTCCAGGCCTTCCTTATCCTGGGGCCTGGAGCCAGGGTGGGGTGGGGAGCTTCTTCTAAACTTTCTGTCCTATGGCTGAGGCCCCTGGGAAGTCTTCCAGAAAAATCTTCCAGGAAGACCTGGGCAAGGCACAGCCCAGGGCAGCAAGGCCGTAGTCATGCTGGAGCCAGAGGAAAAGGGCAGGGCCTCGCGTCTTCCGTGCTTGCATCCTGCCTGACCTGGGACCTCCCAGAATGCTGACCTCCATCTCTGCGCCATCTGAGACCCGCACAGGTGCAGCAGTCCTTGGATCTCTGCCTCCACAGAGCCCTAGCTCACTCCTCACTAAAAGGTGGTGAGGAGCCTTTGTCCACTGCTGCCCAGAATGAGGCTCTAGCTTCTTCACAAAGGGGTTCACAAGTAGTGAGGCCTGGGACTCCGGAGTCCAACCCTAATCCAGTCTGAGGCAGGCAGGACCCTGTGACATTATGTTCTTCTCACCGCATCTTGCACCTTACAGGGGGCCCCACAGTGTTGCAGGAGCAATGACTTGTGGCTTTGGGGAGGTCTTTGCTCTACTTCTGGACTCCGGCACTGGAGGCCTGATTCATATGCTGATGATGACACCAGAATTCCCCTTCCACTCCCTAACCAGGCTTGAAAGTCCAGCTTGCTTCCCAGCTCCCCGTCATGGCCTCATCCCTGCAGAGTCGGCACAGTCCACACTTCTCGCTGCCCATTCTGCTTGCTCTCCCTGGGCCAGCTACCCTTCTTTCAGTGCTGCTCATTCCAAATTGGCAGCTCACACCAGCCCCCTCTCCTGACTGCCAGATACCCTTCCTCTTCCTCCTCCTCGTGCTAATACTCAGTGTCTTAGTTTGTTTCGTGTTGCTGTAACAGAATACCACAGACTGGGTAATTTATTCATTTTATTTTATTTTATTTTACTTTTTTTGAGACAGAGTCTCACTCTCATCCAGGCTGGAGTGCAGTGGCATGATCTCATCTCACTGCAGCCTCCACCTCCTGGGTTCAAGGGATCCTCCTGCCTCAGCCTCCCGAGTAGTTGGGACTACAAGCATGCACCACCATACCTGGCTAAATTTATAAATTAAAAAGTTTATTTCTTATAGTTCTGGAGGCTCGGAAGTCTAAGGTCGAGGGGCCCTTGTCTGGTGAGGGCCTTTTTGCTGCATCCTCCCATGATGAAAGAGGAAAGGGCAAGAGCACACAAGACCGGACTCACTTTTATAACACTTCCTCTCTTGCAATAACAAATGCATGAGATTTGTTATTGATGATGTGATTAATCATTTATGAGGACCCATTAATCTATCCATTAACAACATTAATTCATTCATTAATCACCTCTCAAAGGCCCCACCTCCCAACACTGTTGCACTGGGAATTACGTTTTCAACACGTGAACTTCGTAAGCATTTACTGAGTGAATGTAAGCATTTACTGAGGGCTTACAATGTAGCAGACCCAGCATCAAAGTCTACAATATCTTATTTAATCCCGGTTAAGCACACCTCATGGCACTTGTTAGGGGTTCCACATGTACTGAATAAATGAGTCTTCACAATAATCTTTTGTGGAAGTTACTATTAATCTCTCCATCTCATAGATGAGAAAATGAAGACTCGGAGATGTTAAATAATCGGCCCACAGTCACAATGATGAGTGGCAGAGCTGGGATGTATGTCAATAGCAGGTCTGTTTCTAGGATCTATGTGCTTACCCACTGATATGCTGTCATTCATCTGTTCATTTAACAAATATTAATCCAGTACCTACTATTAGACACAGGAGTTGCAACGGAAAATAAAACAGACAAAATCTTTGATGTATAGAGCTAACATTCTAGTGAGAGAGACAAACATTAAACATGATAAGTAACATGTATGATGAATAGTGGTGAGAGCTAATAAAAAGATAAAGAAGGGAAGGAAAGAGTAAGGGGTGTCATTTTAGATGAATGAACAGGGAGGCTTCACAAAGAGGGGATCGTTGGGTAAAGCCCTGAAGGGGGTGAGGGAGTCAACTTAATCTAAGCAAAGGGCTTTGGAGCTAGGGTACCAGGTGCCAAGGCTCTGCGGTAGGAGAGTTCCTGACAAGTTCTAGGAATTGTGAGGAGACCAATGCCTTTGGAGCAGAGGCACTGAGTCTCCCTCAGTAATGGGAACTCAAAGAGTAGGAGGAGCCAGGTTGCATAGGGCCTTAGGTCTCTGTACAGAGTGGCATGAACCCTGAGTGTGATGTGATTCATCGGAAGATTACAAGGGGAGGCATGACGTGCTGATGTGGCTTTTGACAAGATTCCTCAGGCTGCCACACTGAGAGACATGGCAAATGCATCAGCATGGAGACCAGCAATCTGAACAACTGCTATGGCAATTCTTCAGATAAGAGATTATGGTGGCTGGAGCTTGGGTAGTAGCCATAGAAATGGTAGGAAGTGGTTTATTTGAAATACGTTTTCAAGATGGAACCCATAGGCTTCTAGCCTCCTGGGCTCGGCTGCCTGTTGGACACCTGCATGTTCCCCTCACACCTCAGACTCATCATATCAGAAACTGAACTCATTACCTTTCCCCTAGAAATATTCATCCCTCCTGTACTTTAATCCCTGTTATTACCACTCCCAGCTAGACAGTGGCCCAAGCCAGAAACCTGGGCACCATCCTCGATCCGTCTCTGTCCACCTTCCATTCTGCTTTCTCCTTCTTCATCCCCAACTCCACTGCCTTTAATTCAGTCCCACATCCCTCTGGCCTGGACTCTCAACAGTTTCCCTCCTCTGGCCTGGTTCAGCAAACTCCACAAGGAACCAGGATGATCTTTACTGGAAGCAGACCACATCCATTTAAAACTCTTCTGAGACTCTCTGCTGCCTGCTAAAGAAGTCCAAATTCTCTGGCCCAGAGATGTTCAAAAGAAATACAATGCAAGCCACATACATAATTTAAAATTTTCTAGTAGTCACATTAAAAAAGTAAAACAAAATAAGGTAATTGTAATAACATACATGATTAACCCAATATATCCAAAATATTATCTTAACATGTAATTGTCAAAAGACAAAATAACAACAAATTTAGTTTAATGATCTTAGTTGGATTTTATTTGTGATTCTAGAATGAGGCAACATCTTATTTTATAAAACAGAATAAGTGTTCCAATGGGCTGAGCAGATTTTATAGACAGAAAAGGGCTGAAGAAAGCAGAAACAGAATGAAAAATCAGAGTGGTTGTTTCAAAGCTGCTTTCCTTGTAAAGGTAAAAGCAGAGGGCACTTTCCTCATCATGCTGGCTAAAACTGACTCTTTTGGGGATTAGGCTATTATCTGTCTCTCTCTTGATTTCTCAGAAGGTCAGATAAACAATTTACTTTTGGCTTGATAGGGTGGAACTTCAGCACGCATAACTCCACTTTGGTTTGGTCTGCTGGGCCTAGTGCTCCTGCTCAGTCCAAACCAATGACATCTATAAATTTTATTAACATAAGGAATATTAAAAAGCATTAATGATATAGTTTGCATTCCTTTTTTCATAGTAAGTCTTCAATCTCTGGTGTCTACTTTACCCTCACAGCACATTGCACTTTGGACCAGTCACATTTCAGTCACTGAGGAGCAATGTGTGGCTACACACGGGACAGTGCAGCTCCAGCCAATCAACCACAGCCTTGCCCTTGGTATTCTCTAGCTCCTCTCCAGCCTCATCCCCACCCCCGCCCATGGTCCCTCACCTGCTTGTTTCCTGGGCTGCAGCAGATCTTATCCACACACCAGGTTGTTCATGATTCTCCGCCCTTGCACATCAATTTAGAGGTGTGCTGGAGCACAATCAAGTAAATCTCTTCCCAGCTCCCCATTCAGTGATGCCATATAGCCTGAAGTCAGCCAAGCTGGAAGCATCTATACTACAGAAACTGCAAGCACTCTAACACAGGGTGGAACGGGTGGGCCCATTGTGAAACATTTGCCAGCATATCACTGCATGTAATGACCACCACCCTGCCCTGCCACCACCATGCTCTTCTGCCACCCCTCGTTCACTGGATAAACTTGGCCATCAGTGATCTGTGTATGTTTGCCGCCCTACTAGACTTTAACTTCAGAAAGCAGAGCCTAGATTTTTTTTATCCAGTGCTTGGCATGTAGTAGAGTTCTTTCCTCCTCCTATTTTTCATTATTTTTCTGAACACTCTATTATAATTACCATTGTATATAAAAGACCATCAAGAAAATATGTTTAAAATATAATATGAATCCTGTTTCCTCTACTTACTGGTGTCATGGCCTCAGGCAAGGTACTTAACTGTAATGAATATTTGTTTCCGTATAGGAAAAGAGGTTTAAAAACATATTCACTGCAAAGCTGCTGCAATGATTAAACCATCTAAATTGTTTAGTCCAGTAATGATTACATATCACAATCACTCAAAAATGTTTAGGTGTTATTACTAAGTGTTTAAGTATCTATTGCTTGTATAAAGTAGTTTCTCAAAGCCTTTTTGTTAAAATAAATGTTGAATGAAATTTTAGAAATTCCTCGAGTCCGATTCGGAGAGTATGAGTCAGAATTCCAGCTGCAGACAGATGGCACGTACACTCAAAGGGGTGACTAAGGGTAGTTTATTAAAAGAGTATTTACAAAAGTCTAGGCAAGTTTAAGGGAACCCCAGGGTTGGCAACAGTCCATGACCACCAATCAGCCTGAATGTGCAAGGGAAAGGAACATTTACCTGAATGCAGTAAGAACTGCAGCTACAGGAAAGGTCTATCAACAGGAGCTGCAGCCCTCCTTAAATGAACCCAGCAAGCCATCAGTGGAGGAGGTGGATAGATATCCTGCCTCACTTTCCTCCAGCTCTCCAGAGGATCGCCTGCCAGTGCTTCCCAGTGGCACAACCCAGGGAGCCCATGGCAGACCCTGCAGGCCAGCCACTTGGACAGTGAGCCCGATGGAGAGGGCAGCAGATGGACTGGAGGCCCAAGCAGGGAATCACATACACAGAGAGTCTTCAAGTGGGACAAAACCTCCATCAGCCTACAGGTGTCCAGTTTTGCTTACATATCAAAGACAATAATCATTGATACTGGGCAGTGTTTCTTTGGTTTTAGCCTTGAAGGAAAGAATCAGATAACAAGCATTTATGTGGCTATCTGGTTACTTCTTCTTCTTGTTTTTTTTTTTTTTTGAGACGGAGTTTCACTCTTGTCACCCAGGCTAGAGTGCAATGGCGTGATCTTGGCTCACCGCAACCTCCACCTCCCGGGTTCAAGCGATTCTCCTGCCTCAGCCTCCTGAATAGCTGGAATTACTGGTGCCCACCACCACACCTGGCTAATTTTTGTATTTTTAATAGAGATGGGGTTTCACCATGTTGGTCAGGCTGGTCTCGAACTCCTGACCTCAGGTGATCCACCTGCCTCCACCTCCCAAAGTGCTGGGATTACAGGTGTAAGCCACTGTGCCCGGCCAACTATCTAGTTATTTTATCTGCAAGTGTATTCCCTCAAATATAAGAAAGCTGATTTTACTCTATGACCTTCCACTTTGTTGGCATCTCAGCATTCTTAGAAAAAGTTCTTTTCCATGTCTAACTTAAACAACAGAAATAAGCGCTACAACAGAAATATGTTGTATCTTAAACAGTTCTCCATAGAGCAGAAAAAGAATTGGTATATATAACCTTGATTAAATCACCACTATAGTATTTTTACCTTTACAATTGATCATCACAGTACTTTTCATTTTTGTCCTGTGATCCCCTTTCTAATCATCTATTCAGCTTCTAGCCATGGCCTGTCAGACATCCTACCCATGTCAGAAGAGTGGTTAAAATGCTGGTTTGATTATCTTTGCTTCTTGTGGAAGCCTGGAAAAAGATTTATAATTTTCTTGGAAAGGCCTGGAAGGAGGCTATAATCATTTCCTGGCTTTGTTCTGGAAGCTCTCCAGCTTCTCCACAAAGCCCTTATGCTAGACAGGATGGCCAGGAGATCAGTTTCACTTTCCTATCTATCCTAAGATAGCGGTCTTCTGAGTCTTTCCTTGTTTCTGCTGGCAATTTCTAAATGCAAGGGCTGATGCCCATTCCACAAGAAAGAGATAGGGAAGGAAGGGGGAAGGCAGCAAGTGTCTTGCCAACATTTTGATTCCTTCGGTAGAATGTAAGCTCCATGAGGGCAGGGGCCACATCTACCCACTCACCTCATGACCCCAGCGCTTAGCCTAGTGTCTGGCACATTGAAGGTGCTCAACCCTTTTGTAGAATGAATAAATGAATGAAGGCACACAATGTGCCGAACATTTTAAGATATTGGAGATCTTGTTTTTCAGATGGGAAAATGGAGAGCCCAATATTATTTAAAATGTCAGCAATGGGCAAGGCTTCAACCCCCAGTCTTCTGGCTTTTGCCATCCAGTACATCCCACTACTTCCCATCTAAAATGATGCCTTCCTTTGTCAAGTCACCTTGCTTTACCTTTGCTATTACCTCCCTCAAGTTCAACTTTTCAGTAGCAAGCCTGGACCCACAAGCCCTGCCACGATCAAGAGCCCCTCTCTCCACAGTTAACCCATCTATGTTGCTGTCTCTCATTGGCCTTGCCCCAGGGGTCTTCCCTCTTCTCATCTTAAGATCTGCAGCCTTTTGGGGGGTTTATGAGTGTATTGTAGAAGCTTTTTTTTTTTTTTTTTTTGAGACAGAGCTCTGCCTCCCGGGTTCATGCCATTCTCCTGCCTCAGCCTCCCGAGTAGCTGGGACTACAGGCGCCCACCACCACGCCCAGCTAATTTTTTGTATTTTTAGTAGAGACGGGGTTTCACCATGTTAGCCAGGATGGTCTTGATCTCCTGACCTCGTGATCCACCCACCTCGGCCTCCCAAAGTGCTGGGATTACAGGCATGAGCCACCACGCCCGGCCAACCCCCCGTCACCCAGGCTGAAGTGCAGTGGCATGATCTCAGCTCACTGCAATCTCCACCTCCCAGATTCAAGCGATTCTTGTGCCTCAGCCTCCTGAGTAGCTGGGATTTCAGGCATGTGCCACCACACCCAGCTACAGAGGTTTCTTTTTGAGTAAACTCTATGTGGGATATTAGAAACTGTGACTGCCTCAGAGCCACCACCTGCCTGTATTGATCTCCATAGCCCAGTGGCTTGCAGCTCCTGGTGTGCCAATGGTCTGGGTGGACGCCTGCACCACCTGAGGCTGCCCCAGGGTACCAGCATCAAGCTGCAAACTGGTTCCAAAATGAGTTTCCCTTTCCTCCAACCCACCACCATGAGTTCCTGGACACCCCTGGCCTAAAAGTCCCAGAAAATAGTGAGGACAGTGCCTTGTTTTGGTAGCCCTCCCCCACCCACTCCCAAGATCCAGTGTTTCTCTGTCCAGGCTGTCTGCCGCCTGTATCCAGAACTGACCAGTTATAGACCTCTACTACCTCTACTTGCCTTGGCTCCATTCTCTTTGGCAGAGACAGATGTGGAGCTACCAGAGCCCTGGGTGAAAGGCATACTTTTGCATTCGTGCAGGCCCTTCCCACCCATTTATAGGTGTAAATTTTACAAAGCCTAGATTCCTGTGTGTTGGCACTGGGACAGTGTTGTATTTAAGAAGCACAGGACAATATCCAAAATATAATTTAAAAGGAAATGCATTCTTTATTCATCCTCATGTAAGTCATAACAGAGAATAAACATAGATAGGAACTCTTTAACATTTACTAAATTCCCAATTTCTTTCTTTCTTTCTTTCTTTCTTTCTTTCTTTCTTTCTTTCTTTCTTTCTTTCTTTCTTTCTTTCTTTCCCTTCCTTCCTTCCTTCCTTCCTTCCTTCCTTCCTTCTTTCTTTCTTTCTTTCTTTCTTTCTTTCTTTCTTTCTTTCTTTCTTTCTTTCTTTCTTTCTTTCTTTCTTTCTTTCTTTCTCTCTTTCTTTCTTTCTTTTCTTTCAACAGGATCTCACTCTGTCACCCAGGCTAGAGTGCAGTAGTATGATTATAGTTCACTGCAGCCTCGACCTCCTGGCTCAAGCAATCCTCCTGCCTCAGCCTCCCATGTACTTGGGACCACAAGTGTGCACGACCATACTCAGCTAATTATTTTGTTGTAGAGACAGGGATCTCACTTTGTTGCCCAGGCTGGTCTTGAACTCCTGGGCTCAAGCAATCCTCCTGCCTCATCGTCCCAAAGTGCTGGCATTACATGCATGAGCCACCGTGCCCAGCCTAAATTCCCAGTTTCTTCTCTGTTCATAGTTCCTCCAATGAGACTTCTCATATCCCTGAAGAAAATTCCTCTACCCCTTGCTTCCATGACTGCCTTTTTCCTCCAGCCCTATTCTCCTCCTCTCTTAGGATTTTATTAGATAGCTTGACTTAGCTTCTTTCCCAGCAATAAGGAATCTTTTCTCTTTGGAAGAGGACAGAAATCAGGGGCTCTGTAATCAAAGATTCTCTTTAGAGAGATAGGGGAGAGGGAGAAGTGAACACCCACACAGAAATCAGCATTGCCATCACTTAGACATTTTTCAGAATAGGCATAGCTTCATTATTTTCTTCTTAGTCATTAACCCCTAGAAACATATTTTCAGTTGTTCTTTGTGATGTTTAAAGTGCCACATCAACAATTATCATCCCAGCTTGGAAACAGCCTGCTTGCTGGTGAAAAACAAAAACTCTATTCGTGGGACCAGCTCAGAAACAGGGCTGTGATAAGTTTGAGCTAGTAGATCTTACCTGGCTGAAGCAGGGAAGGATGCAAATACATCATGTCTCTTCTTTGTGTGCAAGAGCCTGTTCATCCATTCATTCACTCAACCACTGAACCAAGATTTTCTGTGCAACCATTATTCTTCTGCTAGATGCAGAAGAGACTGAGAAGAATAAGACTTGGCCCTCATCTTCCAAGGAATTCACCTGGAGTTGGGGCAAAATCACGTGATCACATCAACCATTAACACAATTTGGTGCATTATAGCAGACATAGTAGCCGGGGACCATGGGGCCACTGGGACAGCATAACTAACCCTGATATGGGATAAGCATGGATCAGCCTAAGAAGGCTTCCAAGAGGAGGTGTCATTTGATCTGGATCAAAAAAGAAAAGCAGAAGCTTTCCTGATGAAGAATGGAGTACAGGCACTTCAGAAAGAAGCATATAATAGGTGATGCCATAGTTACTTGAAAGAGGATGCTATTTTGGGGGAAGAATAGAAGTTCAGAATAGCTGGAGGGTATGTGGCACAGAGTGATGGGAGATGACACAAGCAAAAATGTGAAGGACCTTTGAAATTTTTGTATTGGGGGCCTGACACGGTGGCCCACACCTGTAACCACAGCACTTTGGGAGGCCAAGGTGGGCGGATCACAAGGTCAAGAGATCGAGACCATCCTGGCCAACATGGTGAAACCCCGTCTCTACTAAAAATACAAAAAAATTAGCTGGGCGTGGTGGCGCATGCCTGTAGTCCCAGCTATTCGAGAGGCTGAGGCAGGAGAATCACTTGAACCCGGGAGGCGGAGGTTGCAGTGAGCCAAGATTGGGCCACTGGACTCCAGCCTGGTAACAGAGTGAGACTCCATCTCAAAAAAAAAAAGTATTGGAAGAAAATGGAAAAAAATTAAAATTACCAATACCCCTCATCATTTCTTAAATCTTATATGAAGTAAGTCACAGTAGAAATCCCCTCTCTGCCCATGGAAAACCATTCGACCAAGGAAACCACTGCTAACAGTTTGATAGATATCCTTTCTTCTTCTTACACTTATGCAGGCATATTTAAATCACGTTTTAGAAACAAAAAGTTAAGTATCCTATACCTATTGATCTGCAGCTTAATTTTTTTCAGTTAGTATCATATTTTCACAGGTCAGTTTATACAAAACTATTTTGTTACTTTTAACAGGCAACAAGGAACCAGTAAAGGACTTTAAGTTTGGGAACAAGTGGATCAAATATGTTTTTTATGGAGCCTGGATGGGAGAAAAGAGGACCGAGGCAGAGAGTCCACTTAGGGAAGGCCATGGTGAGAACTCTATTGAAAAGGCCATAGGGATGAGATTTGAGATTTCTGAGGTAGAATCATCAGGATTGTGACAGGTGATGGATTGGCTATGAGAATGGCTTGGTGAAAGTTCTTTTGTTGTATGTAACAGAAGCCACTCAAGGCAAGAAACATTTCGAAGCCAGGATTCAAAGGCAGGAACGAAATCGGGCCTGAGGATGGCCTGGAACCCAGAACTAGAAAGCTATCAGGAGTCAAGATCACTGTCTACTATTTCTAGGGTGTAGATCTCTCATTTCAACTTCTCTCTGAAGGTCCACCTCATTGTCCTCTGTGTGACTACTTCCCCATGCACTGATGCTTCTCCCAGCTGCAGAGCAAGTGCTAACTTAGATCAGTCCAACCCAGAACAACAAAACCGGAATCTGGGGGGATGCCTGGCCATCGTGTGTGTGTACATGTATGTGTGTGTGTGTGTATGGTGTGTATCGAGGACTAAGCTCTGATTTTTTTTTTTTTACCATGCCTGGCCACTGCACGTGCGCACGTGTGTGTGTGTGTGTGGTGTGTTGAGGACTAAATTCTAATTTTTTTTTTTATCTTGCCCAAATTCCTATCTAAGGAGTCTGGGGAGTCATGCCCTACAAATTATAAATTCTCATCGATGAGTTTTATTTAACCCTATATATGGTGACTTACTTTCCAACCTGACTCTGGCTTACTTTCCAACCTGATTCTGGCATAACATTAAGAGACAAAGTAGAAAATCAAAATATTTTACCCCAAAACGTGTTTCTTTGCCATATTTTGAAATGGCCCTGCAAAGCTGTTCTTTGTGGGGGAAAATTTGCATCTGTAAAGAAACTTTATTAACATAGCTAGGTCTTTTTCTTCCTGACCTAAAGAGATTAACTAAGATCTGAATAGGAAACGTTTGACATCTATCGTCTCTAAGGGCAGCCACTATAAGACTTTGAAAGAATTTTGGTCTCCACAATCTGTATCTTAACCTGAACATTCCCTTTCTATGAATCCCAGGTCTTTAGACACAGGTCTTTAGACAAACTCAACCAATTGTCAACCGGAAAATGTTTAAATTCACCTGTAGCCTGGAAGCCCCCCCTTCCCCCCCATCCCTCTCCCCACCTTTGAGTTGTCCCGCCTTTCTGGACCGACCCAATGTATTTAAATGTATTTGATTGATGTCTCATGGTTCTCTAAAATGTATAAAACCAAGCTGTGCCAGGACCACCTTGGGCACAGGTTCTCAGGACCTCCTGAGGGCTGTGTCACGGGCCATGGTCACTCATATTTGGCTCATAATAAATCTCTAAATATTTTAGAGTTTGACTCTTTTCATAGACAGTGTTTTCAGAATTCCTGGGCAATTTCAACATAGAGCGAAGGTGAAGAATCTCCAGTTTGGCACGGCTCAGGGTCTTGGAGGCGCCATTTCCACGTTTGCAGGAGAGAGGATGTGATTGGCCCAGCCTGGGTCAGGTGTCCACGCTGGTCCAATCAACTGTGGCTGTAGACAGGGGCACCGGGACAGGATGGGAATAAGCAGGGGTTTTTTTTAGCTCAGCCTCTCCTGCTAAGGAGTGGAAAGGAAGGGAGGAGTGGCCCGGACAACATCAAGGTTCTGTAGTTCCACATGGCACAGGCAAATCAGGTTTCGTGTTTACCTCTTGCTCCTTCTTCCCAGGACAAAGCCCTGGCCTTAGTGGAAAATGAGTACTTTATATCACTGGCACGGGTCCCATTACTCCCTCCCTGCCCGAAAGGACAAAGGGAGTGGCCTCGTCCCTGGGCTGCAGTCCCCAGGCTTCCCTCCTCCACCAGGAGCCCGAGCTGCCTGAAGGTGCCTCTCTCAGAGCCATTTAACCAAGTCCCTCGGCAAAGAGCATGTCTGCTGGGAAGTGGAAGCAAACAGCTGTGAAATGATAGGCTGGAATCAACTTCTTTTTTGTCATCAGAATGAGTGACGGGGGAGTGAACTGTGGCTTCATATTTCCACCCAGATTTGGGGGAGGAAGGGAGGCAAGAAATTGCTGACCGGAGGAATTTGAATGCTAGAGAAGCTGGCCATTTGCTGTGTCTTCCCTCATATTTACTTCAACTGTTGTTAGGCAGTTCCTCCCACTCGCCTAAGACCCGTCTTCCTAAATGGAGAATTCCTCACACCCGGCCTCAACGGGAGGTGAAACCTGGGCTGCATTTGAAGGGACTTAGCCTAACCGCAAGAGATTCATGTTTCCTGTGCCTCCAACTCAAAGTCAGATTGCTATGGGGGCGTGGATCTTAACATAACTATCCAAACCCAAGAACAGCCCGAGGGTGGGTTGGAAGAGGCCTCTTTGTCTTCCTGTCTGCCAGGTCTTATCTTCTCTTTTCATATCCTGGTCTTGATCACCGCTTCCACAGTGTTTTTATACTTGGCCCACTTGGCAATTTATGCATGTGTTTTTGAGTGAATATTTTTCAGTTTTGTTTTTATTTCTCTGGAAAAGCTAAGAGGGTTATATTGCTGTGCCAAGACAGAGGACTTACTCTAGATTCAGAAGACCCAGATCTCAAGTCCCAGATCTTCCAATTGCTAGTTTTGTACCTTAGGCAAATGACTTCGGTCCCCCCACCCCCATTCTCCTGTGGCTGTGTTTATACTTCTCTTATTATAGCTATCCTATGTCTGTGTTTCCTAGGAAATTTTGAACATCTTAATATAAATTTTTATTTATCTTGGTAACAAACGCAGTGCCTAGTACATTGCCTGATACATAGATATACAAAAAAAAAAAAAAAAACAAAATGTAAATTCTCACAGTCTATGAAATTGGGACAATTACACCAAATTGTAAATATTGAATAAGACAATTCATGTGATTTATAAACTATAAAAAATACTATGTTTAAAAGTTGTAACAATGTCACTATAAAATTTTGCAGAGTTTTTTTTTTTAATGGTTCTCTTATTCTTACTGCATATTTGAAAAGTTTAGGGTAAGGAGTTTGTGAGGAAAACCTAGGATTTCTTATTTGCAAGAAATTATTTTATTAATTACATGACTTACTCTGTTTCTGGCATAAGCCTCTGTTCTCACTTACGGTGTTTTTTCATTTAACTAGTTACATTGTCTAATGGTTAATATTTGTGGTGTAAAGGATGATAGCTCTAAATGAGGGTTTGTCAACCTTTGCACTGTTGACATTTTGGGCCAGATAATTCTTTGTTGATGGGGAGGGGCCTGTCCTGTTGAGCAGCATCCCTTGCACCCCACCCACTAGATGCCAGTAGCCCTTCCCCCTAGTTGTAACAACCAACAGTATCTCCAGACATTATCAAATGTCCCCTGGAAGGGGGTGCAAAATCACCCCTTCTTCACTGTTGAGCACCATTGCTCTGAAGTTATGACTTATGCTTTTTTCTCTTGCATCTTCTGTTATTAACTTTCTCAATATTTTAAATGTATGTCTCTTAAGTGCTGCAAAATCAGACCACTCTGAAGTCCACTCAAAGCATTTTTCACTCACTTGGGTCTGAAGACAGGCATGTCCTTCAATGCATCTGATTACTCAGAGAAGATTTCCCTAGCTTGCCAGAGAAATTCCCTCTTTCTCCCTCATTCTTCCTCTATACACAAGGTTGGCACAGATCAATCCTAAAATTCCATTCACCATGACTTCCAAAAGCAAGTAGGCTTCTTGCTTTTAAAGCCTGTGATGTCCTACCTTCTCAGAGTTCCCTAGGTGAACACATAATCAAGGCCCCACTGTCAGCCTCCCTGCACTAGAGGGACCCTTGATTTACTGCATATGTACATTTGGGTGTGGTCACTTTATGTTATCATAAAGACAAGTCTCTCCTAAGTGAACAGACACCCATCTTTTCTTGCACAAGTGTACTTTTTTTCTTAGCCTCCCTCCCTTTCTCTGTGTTTGGTGTCTTTATGGACTTGTGCCAATTTACAGGAAGTGACTTAATTTTTCCACCCCATGGACGGCTGGAGCCAGTGTTACAGTCCTCTTGCTGCAGACAAGATGCCTACTTTCCTCCCAGCTTCCTGTTTACCTCACTTCAAGGAGCACCGAGGCCCAAGATTTTGTCTGAAATTCATTTTCTCCAAGATGCAAAAGCTGTTATTAATAACCTCCATTTGTTTGCCTACGACCTTGTTAAGCACGAATGTACCAAGTACAAATGGTACCCACTCCTCTGAGCACTTGGTACTCACTTAACAAATCCCTGTCTCCCTGATAGAAAGGATGCTGTGTCATCAGAAAATTGCCCTACATACTATGCACACAGCTCCCATTCCTTCTTAAGGAACCTCATTCCTGTGGACAAGAAAGAAGGGGGCTTGCTGTCCTCTGACTGCTTATGCACATATTGAATGCCCAGGGTCCGACACATAACAACACTTTTTTCTCCTCAGCTTTTACTTTAGGCTCAGGGTGTATGTGCAGCTTTGTTACATGGGAAAATTGCATGTCACTGGGGTTTGGAGTACAAATGATTTCATCACCCAGGTAGTGAGCATGGTACTTGACAGCTAGTTTTTTAACCCTCACCATCTTCCTACCCTTCTCCCTCAATTAGTCCCCAGTGTCTATGGTTCCCATCTTTATGTCCATGTGTACTTAATGTTTAGCTCCCACTTATAAGTGAGAACATGCAGTTTTTGGTTTTCTGATCCTGCACAATGGCCTCCGGCTGCATCCGTGTTCCTGCAAAGGACATGATTTTGGTTTTCTTATGGCTGCATAGTATTCCATGGTATGTATGTACCACATTTTCTTTATCCAATTCACTGTTGGGCACCAAGGTTGATTCCATATCTTTGTTATTGTGATTAGTGCTATAACGAACATATGGGCACATGTGTATTTTTAGTAGAATGATTTCTGTTCCTTTGGATATATACCCAGTAATGGGATTGCTAGGTCGAATGGTAGTTCTAAGTTCTTTGAGAAATCCCCACACTGCTTTCCACAGTAGTTGAACCTGTTTACATTCCTTCCAGCAGTGTATAAGCATTCCCTTTTCTCCACAACCTCTCCAGCGTCTGTGATTTTTTTTTACTTTTTAATAGCCATTCTGACCAGTGTGAGATGGTATCTCATTGTGATTTTGGTTTGCATTTCTGTAATGATTAGTAATGTTCAGCAGTTTTTATATGCTTGTTGGCCACCTGTATGTCTTCTTTTGAGAAGTGTTCCATGTCCTTTGCCCATTTTTTAATGGGGTTGTTTGTTTGTTTGCTACATAACATTTCTACAGTTGCTTTTGGCAAGAGTGATGGCTCAAGACTGCTATCTTTACAAAGTAGCTACATTTTAAATTAACATTCTGAAGATGAGCTGACATCTAAAAAGACAGGAGAATAGTTTAATAGGAACCCATCTGATAAGGAAATTTGGATGGGCTGTTTAATGGATCCACCATGCTTCAGAATAATTCCCTTCACATTGACAACCACCATCACCACCACCCCTTTGAACTCCTACTTAGTGCTTGATGTACATTATCTCATTTAAATCTCACAACAATCCTGATGAGGTTTTACTGGAAGTAAGTATTATTACTTCCATCTTATAGATGAGGAAACTAAAACTCAGAGATGTTGTGTGAACTTGACCAAGGTCACACAGTTGTTAAGTAGCAAATTTAGGATTTGATCCAAAGCACAACAAAGTGAGATGCTGGACATTAGCAACCAGAACAGAGATTTCTCTGAAACTCTGAAGAGGAATAAAGAGCTTCCTGTCTAATCCCAGCAACTATCACATTAAGAAAAAAATCTTAAAAACATCTCTTGGGGTAATATGAAAAATACAAGATTAGGAATCATAAGATCTGGGTCTTAATCCCTACTTTACTACTTTCAAGCTGAATGATCAGGGACAATTTATTGATTACCGCTGAGCATCGGTTTTCTCATCTCACATGGAAATTACAGGGCTATTGTGAGTAATTATGTTTTAACTGTTAATCTCTACAAAAATGTAGTTCGACCACAGGCATTTCCAAAGAGTCTCATCACCCAGATCCTGGGAAGAACCTGGCTTCTCTACTCAAGTCAAGTTGGACAGCCATTGCTGAGGCTGTCCAAAGACAATGTTCTCTTTCTCATAACATCAGCGATGACACAGGGAAAGCGAGCATGTCAGGCCATGGGGCTGCTTCTCTAATAGGCTGGCCATGTTTGGAACATAGGTCTGGGCCTCTTTTGGCCAGTAACCACAAGGACAGGACGAACAGACGCAAGGGCATGCCTCCAAGTGGCTGGCCAGCACCCGGGGGCTTTGGAACACTGTGGTTAACCTCAGGGCCTGGCAGGAGGGAAAAGTCCTAGCTCCCAAGTTAGTCGCTTCCACAAAAGTAAACCAAAATGAGTCATATGAAGATGGAGAAACCACCAGAGACAGCTTTCCATGTAAGGATCACAGTAAAGAATAAAAGCCAGCAATGGGAGAACTCTAAGCCCTTGGATGGCTGATGTTTCCTTCTTAGTCAGTATGTGAGATGTGTGGCCAGACACGAGCATGGGTATGTGTGTGTGTGCAGTGAGGGAAATCTGTGTGTATTCTTCTGCCTCCTCTGTGGCTGGTTTGCCAGCTGCTGCTCAACATCATTCAAGTGGATTGGAAACTTATACAGTAGTATTATTAGAGGGTGACCCTGGTTCTTTTTGATATTACAAAATTGCCCTTTAAAAAGCTTTTCTTGCTTTGACTCTGAGAGGGGGCATGGAGTGGGGTCCATATATTCTACCTGTGCACATATGCATGTAAATATGAGTGGATAAGCAAGGACAGCCAGAGCTCTTGAAAGTAAATGTCTCAGTAGACGGGTTGGAAGACAAAATTGAGGAAATAGTCCCAAATGTAATGAAGAAAGGATGGAAATTATGAGGGAAAAGTTGAAAGAAATGTAGGATCATTTCACAAAGTCCAACATCCATCTAGCAGGATTCCAGAAAAAAAAAAGTGAAGATGAGGGGAAACATTATCAAAGGAAAGACAAGAATTTCAGACTGGAAGGACCCACCGAATATTGAGCAAAAAGAGTAAAAAGGGACCCATATACACTGTGATAAAATTTAGAAATATAAAAATAATATTCTCAGTGATTTCAGAAAGTAGATACTCTAGAAAAATAAGAATTAGCCCAAGCTTTGCCTTCTTGTCAGTAATTTTGGATGCCAGAAGAGTAACCTAGTGAAGCAATCGATGCCTTTGTAGTACCAAGGGAATTTGATTTTCCATTTAGAATCATCAATCCCAGTCAAACCATTCAAATGTCAGAGCAAATAGTTTTTCAGAACCACACTACTTGATCCTTCAGTAAATAATATGTATACAGTTATATTATAAAAATTCATTATTGATTTTTGTTCTTCAGAATTAACCTATAGACAAAATAAAAACTCAACTGTTTATCCCCCTATTCTGAAAGATTACCTGTGTGCACACTCCAGTAAGATAAAAGAGGAATCTAAGAAAAAGAAATTCATAGGATCCAAGAAACATTAGAAATAATTTAAGGATGTAATTAAAATTTTAGAAAAATACGATGGTAACTGTGGTACATACCTAGAAGATGATGAGACAAAATTAGGTCATTCAAAATGGTATGCTTAAGAATCTGGATGATCTTCATGATATGGTAAAGAGGATGTATGTGTCTATTGTCAATTACTTTAAAAACGAAAAGCAAATAGGAGCCCCAGAATAAAACAAAAATCAGAATTAGAAGCAACCTAAATTAGGACATAGTTTGGAAAAACTGATTAGGGTAGGAAAAGAGAATTCATTTTCTTTTGCATTGCCTAGGATTATTTATTTCTTACTTCATTCTTCAGTAAATAATTTTTATATATTCACAGGATTGACATTGGGGAAGAAACTGTATATTGGTTTTCAATATTTAGAATCAAATTTTAAACAAAGCAGGGAAGACTTAACTATGGTTTCAGAGTAGAATATAATTATTACAAACCCAGTAAATACAAAAGAGAATCCAGGAAAGGCAGAAGTTAGAAGGTGAAGGAAGTAGGAAGGGTGGAGGGGAAAATGGGGTAATGAGTTCCTCATTTTTCTTGTAAGGAATCAAGTGGAATACAGTCTAAAATTATGAAGATGGAAAGACACAGAGGCAGTGGAGGATAACACACACCCTCATGTGGCAGGAGTCAATAAATACTGTTGAAAGTTGATAAATCAAAAAAGAGAGGTATAAGCATATTACTCAGTATTTTGTGGCAACCACCTAACGAACTGAAACCAGAACTGGTTAAAGTGGATTGCCGTTGGGAGTGGGAGGGAGTGAGGACAAGGAGAAGGAGACTTTGCATAGTGTTTTGTCCTATTTGAGTGTAACTTCCATCACATGTGGGCATTACTTTTAAAATAAAACTGGGAAGAAGAATAAGATTACCAAGCGTTGACATTGGGGAAGAAACAGAAGCTTTTATACCCTGTTTGCAAGAGTGAAAACTGAATTGGTCCAAGCTTTTTTTAAAAAAAGTCATGAAATGCTGAGAAAACTTGAAGTTATGTGTGTGCCTTTAGGAGTTCTATTTTAAGTAAGACATGGAAGTTTTAATACACTTATGCTGCAAACTGGGAAGTGCTAGGGAACCCACATCCTCCCCATCAGCCTGGCTGGAGCCATCTGGGACAAGCATCTATTTGTTACAGAAATTTTATACAGCAGGAGCTTGAGAGTGACTCTGTCACTTACCTCATGAATGCACAAACTCCTGAGAAGAGGAGCCGGAGGGAACGGCAGTGGCCTTTCCTGAAGAAATGAGGGATGCTTTTCTCTCACAACTTCATGGCAGGCCACAATTTTGTCTTACACCATATTGTCACAGGAAGAAATGCTGCCTGCGGAGACTCAAGAACAGGACACAGACCAAACAGGAAAATCCCAATGAGACCATGGATCCCTGGAGGGGATCCTCTTTTGCAACCCTCAAAGGCAAAGCACTTTGCAGGCAGTAGGCATTTATATTAGTGTGCTAGGGCTGCCATAACAGAATAGCATACACTGGGGGTGCTTACACAACAAATATTTATTTTCGTACAGTCCTGGAGGCTCAAGTTTGAGATTAAGGTGCACCAGGATTGGTTTCTGGTAAGGCCTCTCTTCCTGGCTTGCAGACAGCCACCTTCTTGGTGTGTCATCACATGACTTTTTCTCTGTGTATACAAAGAGAGAGAGAGATCTCTAGTGTCTCTTTTTATAAGGACACCAGTCCTATCAGCTTAGGATCCAATCCTTATGACCTCATTTAACCTTGATTACCTTCTTGAAGGTGTTATCTCCAAATACAGTCATATTGGTAGTTAGGGCTTCAACATATGAATTTGGAGGTGACACGATTCAGTCCATAACAGTATGGAATAAGCACCTATGGTTATTGAATAATGAATGCTCTGACTGCTTTCCTGGATACATGGGGGCCCTAATTTTTATGCTACATAATGGATGCTGTAAGGAGAAAGAAACTATCCTTCTTGTTCACACCCATCTTTTCCCTCCTCAAGGTGGATGTCATTGCTAATATGATTGCACTGCTAAGGTCATCAAGAGGGCAGTTTTTACAGTGTCCCTATGAGATGGCAGGGACTTGCTCACCCATCACTCAGCAAACATCCACATGTCCATGACCAGCTACTGCCCCCCTCACACCTGGCCCCACATTGGGACCTGGCTCATTCTATCTTCATCACTACCAGCTATGGTCTGAATTTTTGTGTCCCCTTCCTCCACAGATTAATATGTTGAATCCTAATTACCAACTCGATAGTATTAGGAGATGGGACCTTTGAGAAGTGATTAGGTTATAAGGATGGAGCCCTCATGGACCGGATTAATGGAAAGAGAAGAAAAGAAAAGAAAAAAGAAAAGAAAAGAAAAGGAAAGAAAGGGGTCCAGAGAGCTGCCTTGCCCTTCTACTATGTGAGGACACAGCAAGAAGGCATCATCTATGATCCAGGAAGTGGGCCCTCACCAGACACCAAATCTGCTGGTGCTTTGATCTTGAACTTACCAGTCTTCAGAACTGTGAGCAACAAATTTCTGTTGTTTAAAAGCCACCCAGTTTAAGGTATGTTTGTTATAGTCGCCCAAACAGACCAAAATGCTCTCTCTTTCTAACCAAGGGGTAATGAGAGGCTGAGATCTGTATTCATTTTTAGGGGTAAATAATGGGGGCTCCACTTCAGTTTATAGCCTTAATTGTATGCTCTCTGGAGGAGGAGAAAATGGGGATGGGCAGAGATGTAGAATAGATATTGTACACACCCCACAAAAAAATAGCAGCCTTTGTTTTCCATTTGCTGTCTTCTCTCTGTCCTACCATCTGTCCTCAGAGAGAAGAGGCCTCACAGGCAAGAAGAACACGAGAACACAGATGCTCCCAGGGTCCCTGGAAAAATGCCATCAAAATCTAGTGTACATCTGTAACAAAGACAGTTTATTGTTCCAAGAGGCTGCATGTTTCACCTAATAAAGAGTCATATAAACATAAGGAAGCTCTGGCCTCAAGCTACAAATGCATTTGCTCACTGAGTGCCTGACTGGAGGACAGACTGTGCTTCCTGAACAAACCAGAACCATATAAAAACAATCCTCCCTGAGTACACAGGACCCAAAGTGATTTCTCAGGATGCTCATTTCCTTTCACAAGTAGTCCCAGGTAGTATGTCATGTCCAGAGCAGTCCTGGTACTCTCCTAGAACACCACAGCTCAACATCCTTTCGGTTCACTGTCCAGAGGCCTAGCATGCTCATTTCCTCTCTAAACCCCTTGACTCTCAGAAATGTCCCTAACACATTTACAGTTTACAAAGTATTTTCACATGTCATTTAATTCTTGCAAGTACTCTGTGAGATGACAGAGACTCAATCATTCATTTATTCAGCAAGCACTAATCAAGGGCTAGGTACCATGCCAGACCCTGGGGAGACAGAACAAGCTAAGATGTGCTGCCCACACTTGAGGAGCTCACAGAACACCAAGGGAAACAGGCAATGCCCCGGCCTAGCTGCCATGGCAGGAGGGCACCACAACTTAAGAGAGCACAGAGGGAGTCCATTCTGGCTCAGGAGAACCAGGGAGGTTTCCTGAGGAATATGGTCTCATTCCTGATGGGAGTCAGAGCTGAGCAGGCAAAGAAGGGGACCAAAGGAATGCCAGGCAAGCAGGAGGGCATTCAAGTTATAAAAGAGAAAGCGTGGCCCAAGTGTGGTGCTTTGAGCAGCTGAGTATGGCTTGAAGTAGAGTGTGAAGTGTGGGAGGGGAGGTGGACAGGAGATAAATCCAGAGAGGAACTCGGGGCCAGATCACAGGTGAGTATATTTCAGGACATGGTAAGGAAATTTGGATTTTTACCCTAGGGAAATAAATAGGTAATTGCTAAGGGTTTTAAGTAAGGCAGGTACATGAATGAGCTGTGCAGTTTAGAAAGAGTAATCAGAATGGGTAGGTGCAGTGGCTCACACCTGTAATCCCAGGACTTTGGGAGGCCAAGGCGGGCTGATCACTTGAGTTCAGGAGTTCAAGACCAGCCTGGCCAATATGGTGAAATCTCGTCTCTACTAGAAATACAAAAATTAGCCAGGCGTGGTAGCACACACCTGTAATCCCAGCTACTCAGGAGGCTGAGGCAGGATAATCACTTGAACCTGGAAGGAGGAGGTTGCAGTGAGCCAAGATTACATCACTGCACTCCAGCCTGGGGGATAGAGCGAGACTCCATCTCAAAAAAAAAAAAAAAGAGTAATCAGCCAGTGCAGATGCTGGACTGAGGGAATAAGCCAGGAAGATCCTGAGTGGTCCAGGAGAGAGAAGAGATTTTCATTCAGAGCAGTGGGAATGGGGATGGGGAGTAGGGATGGTTCAGGATATATTTAAGAGGACATACAGGACTTGTGACTGGATGACTGTGAATGGTGTAGGGGAAGCTGGGGCAAACATCCAGATTTCTGTTTGGGCCCATGAGTAGATGATGGTGCCATTCACCTAAGTAGGATGAGGAAGAGGAACAGGTTTGGGAAGAAAGTGAACGATTGATTGGGCATGCTGAGTTCTAGGGACATATAAATCCCAAACAGAGATGTTTGGGGAAGTTTGGGTTCAGGGCTCGGCAACTCAAGGGAGAGGTCTGGCTTGGTGATATGGATTTAGGGGACTCTGGCATAGTAGCTGTAGATGGTGTCACAGAAGTATGTGAGGTCTCCCAAAGGGAGGATGCAGAAGCCTGATGTCATTAGACAGATGAAGGGACTGAGGCTGCCTGAAGATCTCATAGCTGGTCCATGGCAGAGCTGGGCTGGAGCCAGGTCTTCTGACTCCAAGCCCAGTGCCCTATCTGCCACACAAAAGTCTAGCCAAGGACTCCTGGATATGAGCCTGGGCTGTACCTGGAAGCCAGCAGGTTTTACCTCTGTTGTTTCCTTGTTTTATCTAATAGGAAGTAGCCCTTGAGCAGTGGCCAAGAAGCCCTTCATCATGTTGCTCTTGGTAGGCTACAAGGGTGAGTGGAGGAATAGTCTAAATACCTACTGGGGAGATACCCTTGGGTGAGACAAGGCAGAAAATGCTCACACTTGCCACCATGTTCACCCTGTCATTCAATCCTTACATCTGCTCTTCCTGGGTCACTCACCTTCCTGCTTACTTCCCTAGACTCTGCTCACATCAGGTTCTTTGCTTCACCTCCCCTCTCCATCAAAATCTTCTTGTTTTAGTCCCATCCCACCTCCACTCTATAGTTCTCTGCTAGACTATGAGATAAAGCAAGTCCTGCTAAGATGGGTACTAATCAGTTAATGAGAAATCCATCCCATGGTACCCACTCCTTTTAACCAGAATTCTTGGAGACATGTAAGTAGCATTGCTAAAGGCAATAATTTGAAGCAATTTGGCCAATTATTGAGGAAAGGATAGGCATATAGGCAGGAGAGGAAGTAAGAGAGAAAGTTGGGGCCCGATCACCATCGGTATGTTTCATATTACATTAACATGTTTGGAGTTGAGTTCATTCAACATGGTGATGCAGTGGCCTGCTGGTTAAGGCCCTCCTTGTCATGACAGTTGACATTCTATTTCAACACCTGTAAACAATAGGTGTGCCCTTCTGTACACACACACCGTAAGCATCTCTTGTCTCCTCATCTGCAATACAACAGAACAGAGACAGGGTGATTTTTCAAATCAAGGCCACAGGTCCCAAATGTTTTTCTCAAATTCTGTTAGTGATCTCATTGGTAGAACCAGTGCCAGGCCGGGCTAGAAATCCAATCAGAAACAATGTTTACTAAGGGCTGAATTAAGAAGGAATCTCTTGGGTGAGGGAGGGTTTTTCTCCCTTGGCAAAATATGATTTGCTGTTTTCAAGTTAATGAAAAGAAGGGGGAAAACAAAAAATAACAACTGAAAG
Source organism: Homo sapiens (assembly GCF_000001405.40). NCBI lineage: Eukaryota > Metazoa > Chordata > Mammalia > Primates > Hominidae > Homo > Homo sapiens. The sequence continues at coordinate 94,746,978 of NC_000001.11, forward strand.
ATCTTTTAAAGGAAGTACAAACTTGGACAGACCAAGGAACACTTATGAAACAGCCTGCCCTGCTGTCTGGTTCCAGCCTTGCAAGACTTAAGCCACAGTGACCCCAGGGTCACGGAAAGAAGCAGCCCGCTGGGGTTAGGGTTTGAGGAGGAGGAATGCTGTCCAGCACATGTGGGGCAGGGCGGCAGGTTTATCTCAAGGGCTCAAGATTCTACAGTAAGCCCCAGGGTATGTTGACTGCCTGTCTGGGTAGACATCGGGCCACCCAGTCCTCTAATGTGACTCTGGATGATGGGTTGGCCGCAGATGGTGAGGCGAGCCCAGCTGGCCTTACAGCTACAGACAGGAAATGCCAGAGCCCTGGGGATTGGGCATCATGGAGTTCATTAAATCACATGCCTTCCAGCTGTAAGGTTGTCCAGTCTCACTCCCATCAGTTGATGTCTGAATTCCCTCAGCAACATTCTTACCAAGTGGTCATTAAGCCAGTACTTGAATAGCCCCCATGACAGAAACTTTTATCCTTCAAGAAAGTCAGTTTTGTCTTTGGATAGTTCTGGCTGGAGGGGTAGGAGTTACTAAATCCCTCCATTACTTCAACTGCCTGGTGGGGGATGGTTCTCTGCACTCACACAGAAGACATTTCTGCCCATCCCAAGTGGCAGGAGTTGGTCTGAACACCTGGGTCTGCCAGAAGGCACATCATTCTAGTCACCCTACATCTCCAAGCATAGGTGACAGGGGCATTTTGAACTGCATGTCACAGGAAGAGGTCTGCTTTGTTTACCTCTGAATCTTCAGCAGCTGCCCCATGATTGACACTAGAAAAACTAGATAAATATTTCCAAAAAATGAATTTATGAACAAGCCTAAGGCTTTGCCATTTATCTCATCAAGAAAGAGAATTTGGATTTACAAAAGTCAAATGTGATTTTAAAGGGCATTCAACACTCAACAAAGTCATTCTAACCACTCCTCCCTTAACCCAGTGCACGCCACCTAGGGTAAGTACCAAATTTTGTGCTGTGCTTTTGCAATGGGTCTCTACTTGAAGAGATATACTATTTCCTTTATCATATTGTAAATTCCTCCAGGAAGTTTCACCAGAAAGTTATTCTGACTTATTGTATAACTTCCAAAGTTATACAGTGCAGGGCAGACATTGAATAGTAAAAATGTTCCACACTTGGTCTATACTAGGTACCCACAAATATTTATTGAATGAATGAGTGAATGAATGGCAGAGGGAAAGGCTTTGTTGTTGTTTTGTAAAAGTAGAGAAGTCAGATTATCCAAACTTTACTTCTTACAAACATAAACATGCATATATGCACACACACATTCCTTTCCTTCTCTTAACTTTGAATAATTCTTGGAGTGTTTTGACTATTCCCAAACTTATTTTTCAAAAATAAATATTTCCACCGTTTCCCTTAAATTAACCTACTGTATTTTTGGCCATTAATCATAAACCCTGGGTTTTATTTGTAGATAATAGTAAAAATTAATAATTAAGAATGTACATACTATAAACTGTAAAATAAGAACTAAAGTGACACAGTAAAGAATTATGGATAATAAATATTATTATCCATAAATATTATCCATAATTCTTTATTGTGTTACTTTAGTCCTTATTTTACATTTTATAGTATAAATAGTAGAGGAGATAAATAGAATACTTTTTAAAAATACTGAATTAGTCCAAAAGAAGGTAGAAAAAGAAGAAAAATAGAACAAAAAACAGATGAGACATAGAAAACAAATACCAAGATGCTATATTTAAACTGAAGCATCTCAATAATCATATCAAATGTAAATGGTCTAAACATCCCAATTAAAAGAAAGAGATGTCCAGATTTGATTAAAAATAAGCGAAAAGCAAGACCCAAATAAATACTACCAATAAGAAACCCACTTTAAGTAAAAAGATACAAATAAGTGAAAAGCAAAAGGATATAAACGGTAATCTTAAGAAAGCTGTAGTGGCTATATTAATATCAGAAAAAGCAGATTTCAGAGCAAAAAGTATTTAGCCAGGGATAAAGCTGTTTCCCATTTAGTAAAAATAAAGGTGCTAAATTATCAAGAGGACATAGGATAGGAATCATAAATGCTTATATTTGTAACAACTAACCTTCAAAATACATGAAACAAAATATGGAAAAATTGCAAGGATAAATTAACAGATACATGATTATAATAAAATATTTTAACACTTCCCTCTCAGTAGTTAATAGACACAGAAAGAAAATCAGTACAAATAACAACTCGAATAACACTATCAACCAACTTGATCTAATTGACATTCAGAGAACATTCCACCAAAAAACAAACAAACAAAAAGGTCAACATAATACAAATTCTTTTCAAGTGCATATAGAACATTTTCAAAGACAGACCATATTCTGGGCTATTAAGCAAGTCTGAATACATTTAAAAGGATTTGGGTCATACAAAGTATATTCTCTGACCAAAAATGGAATTAAAATAGAAATCAGTAACAGAAATATATCTGGAAAAAACTGCAAATATTTGGAAACTAAATTTCACACTTATAATCTCTAGGTCAAAAAAGAAATCTCAAGGGAAAATACAGTATATTTTAGAATACATAAAAATGAAAATACAACATATCCAAATTTGTGGGATGCAGACCAAGCAGTACATAGAGGTAAATTTATAGCACTAAATGCTCATATTAGAAAAGAACAGTCAGGCATGATGGCTCATGCCTATAACCCCAGCACTTCGGGAGGCTGAGGAGGCAGGATAACTTAAGGCCAGGAGTTTGAGCCTAGCCTGATCAACATAGCAAGACCCTCTCTCTATAAAAACTGCAAAACAAACAAAAAAACAAACAAAATTAGTCAGGTACAGTGGCATGCACCTATAGTCCCAGCTACTTGAGAGGTGAAGCAGGAGGGCCCAGGAGTTCAAGACTGCAGTGAGCTATGATCATGCCACTGCACTTCAGCCTGGGTAGCACAGTGAGACCCTGTCTCAAAAAAAAAAAAGAAAAGAAAGAAAGAAAGAAGGAAGGGAAGGGAAGGAAAGGAAAAGAAAAGAAAAAGAAAAAGAAAGAAAGAAAGAAAGAAAGAAAGAAAGAAAGAAAGAAAGAAAGAAAGAAAGAAAGAGAAAGAAAGAAAGAGAAAGGAAGGAAGGAAGGAAGAAAGAAAGAAAGAGAAAGAAAGAAAGGAAAAGAAAGAAAGAAGGAAAGGAAAAGAAAAGAAAGAAAAAAAGAAAGAAAGAAGGAAGGAAAGGAAAAGAAAAAAAAAAGAAAGAAAGAAGGAAGGAAAGGAAAAGAAAAGAAGGCCCGGGCATGGTGGCTCACACCTGTAATCCCAGCACTTTGGGAGGCCCAGGTGAGCAGATCACCTGAAATCAGGAGCATGATTCAGGAGCATAATTCAGGAGCATAAATCAGGAGCATAATTCCAAATGCTGAAATGCCAAAAAATCAAAATCCTGAAAATGTAATTCTGGAAAAAATAATTTTTAAAAATTCTTTAATAATATTTATGTTTTAAAAGGGTCTTTGTTTGAGAAATATACCAGAACACTTCATAGGCCACTTTACAAAATGAAATAGGCAATAATAACTATATGTTTTTCAAGCATAAACACTAGATATACTAACAACAGTTGCACAGATATAACAGTTATAAGCAGATGAACTGTATTCACAAAGAAATAGGTCAAAAGCAAAATGTATAAATGTAGATCACTATGGTTGGTAATTGTGTGCACCCATGTTTATAATTTCAGTTATCTGAAATACTGTGACAGATGACCTATGTCGTTTGATAAGATGAATCAAAAACTGCAATGGGTCACCACTGCATATGCAGTCGTGCAAAGAGCCTAGATCTCAAAAAATTTTACCTTTCACAAATGCAGTTGTATGAAGAGGAAATATCTTCACTTATTGAGAAAGCTTTGGTGTTTTTACATACAAGCACAATGGTTACACACAATCAGTGTTGTGATAATGCACTTTTGGGAAGTCAAATTTGCAAAAAAAATGCATAAAACAAATCAAAACTCTCCAAAAGTCTTTACATGGTTTATACCTCTAGTATTAGAAATGATGCAAAGAGAAATACTTAGCATAGCAAATTGTAAAAAATAATGCTGATACTTTAAAATAGTGGGGGAAAAGTAAGAAAAAAACTAAAAAACTAAAAAGAAAATTCAGCATATTAAAAATATATTACAAGGGTAGATTGTGGGCAATTGCACACACGTAGTCCATAAGAACAGGCCAACTTTCATGATCATTAACTATTTTCTGAAGTCTTGCATTGTGATGAATAGCTGCTTTTCATCTTTTAGGGCATGGCTCTCCTCAAAGAATAAGTTCACATTCATTTTCTTTTTTTTTATTATTATACTTTTAAGTTCTAGGGCACATGTGCACAACGTGCAGGTTTGTTACATAGGTATACATGTGCCATGTTGGTTTGCTGCACCCATTAACTCGTCATTTACATTAGGTATATCTCCTAATGCTATCCTTCCCCCCTCTCCCCACCCCATGACAGGCTCCCATGTGTGATGTTCCCCGCCCTCTGTCCAAGTGTTCTCATTGTTCAATTCCCATCTATGAGTGAGAACATGCAGTATTTGGTTTTCTGTCCTCGCGATAGTTTGCTCAGAATGATGGTTTCCAGCTTAATCCATGTCTCTACAGAGGACATGAACTCATCCTTTTTTATGGCTGCATAATATTCCATGGTGTATATGTGCCACATTTTCTTAATCCAGTCTATCATTGATTGACATTTGGGTTGGTTCCAAGTCTTTGCTATTGAGAATAGTGCCGCAATAAACATACATGTGCATGTGTCTTTACGGCAGCATGATTTAAAATTCTCTGGGTATATACCCAGTAATGGGATGGCTGGGGTCAAATGGTATTTCTAGTTCTAGATCCTTGAGGAATCGCCACACTGTCTTCCACAATGGTTGAACTAGTTTACAGTCCCACCAACGGTGTAAAAGTGTTCCTATTTCTCTACATCCTCGCCAGCACCTGTTGTTTCCTGACTTTTTAATGACCGCCATTCTAACTGGTATGAGATGGTATCTCATTGTGGTTTTGATTTGCATTTCTCTGATGACCAGTGATGATGAGCATTTTTTCATGTGTCTTTTGGCTGCATAAATGTCTTCTGTTGAGGAGTGTCTGTTCATATCCTTTGCCCACTTTTTGATGGGGTTGTTTGTTTTTTTCTTGTAAATTTGTTTGAGTTCATTGTAGATTCTGGATATTAGCCCTTTGTCAGATGAGTAGATTGCAAAAATTTTCTCCCATTCTGAAGGTTGCCTGTTCACTCTGATGGTAGTTTCTTTTGCTGTGCAGAAGCTCTTTAGTTTCATTAGATCCCATTTGTCAATTTTGGCTTTTGTTGCCATTGCTTTTTGTGTTTTAGATGTGAAGTCCTTGCCCATGCCTATGTCCTGAATGGTATAGCCTAGGTTTTCTTCTAGGGTTTTTATGGTTTTAGTCTAACATTTAAGTCTTTAATCCATCTTGAATTAATTTTTGTATAAGATGTAAGGAAGGGATCCAGTTTCAGTTCTCTACATATGGCTAGCCAGTTTTCCCAGCACCATTTATTAAATAGGGAATCATTTCCCCATTTCTTGTTTTTGTCAGGTTTGTCAAAGATCAGATGGTTGTAGATATGCGGCATTATTTCTGAGGGCTCTCTTCTGTTCCATTGGTCTATATCTCTGTTTTGGTACCAGTACCATGCTGTTTTGGTGACTGTAGCCTTGTAGTATAATTTGAAGTCAGGTAGCGTGATGCCTCCAGCTTTGTTCTTTTGGCTTAGGATTGACTTGGCAATGCGGGCTCTTTTTTGGTTCCATATGAACTTTAAAGTAGTTTTTTGCAATTCTGTGAAGAAAGTCATTGGTAGCTTGATGGGGATGGCATTGAATCTATAAATTACCTTGGGCAGTATGAGTCTTGCTCTGTCGCCCAGGCTGGAGTGCAGTGGCACGACCTCAGCTCACTGCAACCTCCGCCTCCTGGGTTCAAGCAACTCTCCTGCCTCAGCCTCCAAGTAGCTGGGACTACAGGCACACGTTACCATGCTCGGCTAATTTTTTGTATTTTTAATACAGACGGGGTTTCACGGTGTTAGCCAGGATAGTCTCGATCTCCTGACCTTGTGATCCACCCGCCTTAGCCTCCCACACTGCTGAGATTACATGAGTGAGCCACAGCACCCAGCCAGGATGGTGACTTTTCTAAATTATTTTGTGCTAGAAGTTCTTTATGCTCTACATTTCAAATATTCTGCCGTATACTTAGAACAGATGAGAGCTTTGGTCCAATCAAACATGCTGATTGACAGACAGGACACAGTGAACCTGCACACGGTGCTCTGTTTCCATTTGCCCTCTGTTTCATTATTCTACTTCTCTTCCAAAGCCTGGCTCTATGTTCCTTCCTTTGTGATTCTCCCCTCTCAGAATGAATCACTCCGTGCTTCCTTGGTCGCATAGTGTACATTTCTTTTAAGAGTTAATTGAATTTTTTAAGGTCAGACATGTAGTCCTTAAATATGGGCCTGTCCTAGTCACTAGAAAGCAAGCTCTTTGTGGACAAAGTCTGTCAGTTTTTTAAGAGCTTGCAGTAAGTGCCTTTATGAAGTGGCTGCCCAGCCCATAATACCCTCCTCTGAGAACTGCCTGCTCTGTCCACAGCAGCATGCTCCTTTCAGCACCTATGCTTGAGCTATAAGATCTTGTTCTCTGAGCTGGGCCAGAGTCTCTTCCCCAGAATTTGGAATTGGGGTAGAGCCATGATCTGGCTGTCTCTTGGCCCCTTGCCCTGCACACAGGCCATTCAGGCACTGTCGGGTGGCTGACCTGGTGAAGGTCAGCATGCAGGGAGAGAAGGCAGCCAACTCAGGGAGAAGCAGAGCAGGAAACAAACAACACTCTCAGGACTCCGGACACACCTCAGTCACCCTCTGCCTTGGGTGGCCTGAGATTCCCCTAATCCCTTCCAAACATCCTTTCTTTTCTGCCAAAGCTCTTTTGAAGTGGCATTCTGTTATAAGCCACCTGAAGAGATTTAATTTTAATACTTACACGACCACAAACCAACTTATACCTACTATTTTCAGTATTCTTATTTTATATTTATGCTTATTTTAATTATTCAGAATTCCTTTGTGAATTTAGTACAGCCATTTCCAATGGCAAATCCACATCAACTGCTTCTGTTTTTCCTTAAAGTAACAGCAATGCTGTCTTTTCTTGTCAGAGTGGAAACCACTGACGGAGGATGAGCTGAGCTGGATTTCCAGTAAGAGGGAGGAAAGGAGGCATCTCTTCCTATCTTGAGACATTGAGGCAAATATTTACACTTAGAAACGAAACCCATCCTGAAGATAAAATGTCTCAAAATTTCCCCATTTGGAATTGTTTTCTTATATTTTATCTAAATTCTACAGACCTTAACTCCAGTTAAAATCAGAAAAAATCAGAAATCTAGAGAAAATCAGAAAACAGTTGTTATTGGTCTCTCACATACATACAAGCTATCATTAAGGTGCTGTTTAACCCTTTGTTTCCTAGGCTAAATAACCCCATTCTTGGCCTTCACCCTTCATCGTCTTTTTGGCATGACCCAGACTGGAATCCAGTTTGCTCTTCCATTCCCTGCTGCTTGCATCCTGCTTGATTTCCACATTAAAACAGGATGTTGATAAACCTTCTCTTTCCTCCTCCCAAATGTCTTTAGTCACTTCTCTGCCCTCCCCTCCGTTCTCTCTGTCACTTCCAAAGTTCAAGCGCTCATGAACTCTTGCCTGTGTTTTATAACTAACACCTCTGCTCTCTCCTGTCTTCCTGCATCCCACATAGAACTGCTGACAAAGATGCCCTCCTTCACCAATGCGTTTTTCTAATGCCTAGTCATGATTATAACATTCCCTTGCTCAAAACCCTTCCCTCTTGCATATAAAATAAAGTCTCAGCTCTGTAGTCTTGCATTCACCCCACATTCTGCATCAGCTGGTCCAATTAATCTCCCACTACACTACCTTTGTGCTTCCTATGGTCCAATCAAGCATGCTGATTGACAGACAAGACACAGTGAATCTGCACACGGTGCTCTGTTTCCATTTGCCCTCTGCTGACTTTCATTATTCTACTTCTCTTCCAAAGCGTGGCTCTATGTTCCTTGCTTTGTGATTCTCCCCTCTCAGAATGAATCACTCTGTGCTTCCTTGGTCACACAGTGTATACTTCTTTTAAGAGTTAATTGGAATTTTGGCTGGGCGTGGTGGCTCATGCCTGTAATCCCAGCACTTTGGAAGTCTGAGGCAGGTGGATCACAAGGTCAGGAGTTTGAGACCAGCCTGACCAACATGGTGAAACCCTGTCTCTACTAAAAACACAAAAATTAGCCAGGCGTGGTAGCATGCACCTGTAATCCCAGCTACTCAGGAGGCTGAAGCAGGAGAATCACTTGTACCTGGGAGGTGGAGGTTGCAGTGAGCCGAGATCGCGCCATTGCACTCCAGCCTGGGTGACAGAGTGATACTCTGTCTCAAAAAAAAAAAAAAAAAAAAAAAGAGTTAACCAAAATTTTTAAGGTCAGACATGCAGTCCTTAGATATGGGCCTGTCCTCTTCACTAGAAAGCAAGCTCTCTGTGGACAAAGCTGGGCCCTATACCGCCCAGTAAGCTCCAGGTCCCTAATGTAATGTATGGCAGGCAGTGTGTGATCTGTGAATACTGGTTGAATCAAGTTTGAAAAAACATACGTATCTGCAGGCAAGCTGTGGGTCTACACGGTTTACTCTGGTCATGTGACTACTATTTCAGAAGATCCATGAGGTCAAATGACTCAGCAAAATTTTGCAGGCCAAATAACAGGAAATCCGAACTTCAAAAGCACACTCCATTACCACTGATCTAAAACACATGTGCCTGGAGATCCAGTGCTGGAGCTGGGGAGATTTTCTACAGCACACACCAACCGACTGCCCGCAGCCTGATACTGGGCCTCCAGGAGGGACTGATAAACCACAGGCTCCTCCGGTGTCTGGTCCCCCAGCAAGGGCACTTGCAAAGCCTGCAGATCCCTAAGCATGCATACAGAGCTTTGCCTCCCTTTTCCAAGAATTCTGTCCGCCTAGACTTTCCAGATCATCAAGACCTGCCCCTACAGACACTCAAATTTTTAAAAGTAAAATCTATTTTGATAAAACATATTCCAAAAGGAATACAATCCCACAATTCCCCACCTCCTTAAGACCTCTTCTTGATAGATCCAGGCTGACATCAGATATATTAATTGCTGTCTTTCGCACAGGATTGCCCATCCTACTACTGGAGAGGTAAAAATCATTGTGCCCTCAAATAAAAATTACCACAATAATAATAGCCAACATTTATGAGCACTTTCTATGTACCCAGCACACTAAGAGTTACTCTGCATATATTGTTTCATTTTTGCTTCGCAATATCCCTAAAAGGTAGGTGTTATTTTTCCCATCAGTTTCCAGATGAGAAAACCAAAAAGCAGTGAGGTTAAGTTACTTGCCCAAGGTTGCAAATTAAATAATGGAGACAGGCCCTAACCGAGGCCGTTGGGCCCCCAAGCCCACACAGGTAAGCCCTCCACTCTGCTGCCTCCCTAGGTACAATGAGCCTGAGGTACAATGACCAGCTGGTCCCAGGACTTTGCAGGCTTTAGCACCATGAAACACCAGGAAAAGCTGAGAGTTGATCATCCTCGCTTGAAAGCTGGAAAGCACTCCGCTAGAACCCTTGGCTTTTATAGGCCCTGTGCTCCTCTCCAATGGTCCATCCCTATCCGTTGAGGATGGGGAAGGAGGCCCTTTCCCAAGCAAGTCAAACTGGTTAAGTCCAGGTCTCTCTCTGCAAGGTCAAAAAGAGACACAGGGGCTCCCTAAGACAATTAATAATGCAGCTCTTTGGCCGGGCACGGTGGTTCACACCTGTAATCCCAGCACTTTGGGAGGCCAAGACGGGCGGATCACAAGGTCAGGAGATCGAGACCATCCTGGCTAACACAGTGAAACCCTGTCTCTACTAAAAATACAAAAAAATTAGCCAGGTACGGTGGCAGGCGCCTGTAGTCCCAGCTACTCAGGAGGCTGAGGCAGGAGAATGGCGTGAACCCGGGAGGTGGAGCTTGCAGTGAGCCGAGATCATGCCACTGCACTCCAGCCTGGGCGACAGAGCGAGACTCTGTCTCAAAAAAAAAAAAAAAAAAAAAAATAATAATAATAATAATAATAATAATGCAGCTCTTCTTTAAAGCATATTTGTTCAATACTAGTGGGAGTGAGAAACTTCTATGAGTAAAAATCATGCTTTTTCTTTATATTCAAAATGAGAGAATAGTTGTATACACTTATTATGGGCAATTTTCTAAACCATTCTATGTATATTAAGGCATGTTAAAGAGCTAATTATTTAGATAACGAAAGGGAAAGGAAACCCCTCCTTCCCAAGAAGCAGCATGGCACCATGCATTATTTGGTGTCACCTGTCAGCAAACCACAATGTGACTCTAGTCTCCGGTGTGGATGCAGGTCTCGGGGCTGAGGCTCTGCCTGCAGTTGTGCCCCATTATTTGTTTGGAAATGTCACAAATAGGAATGCTTCCATGAGAACCCTGACACCAGGAACTTAAAGGAACTGCTTACTTGCACAGGAACAGCTCTAGGCAGAAACCTGAGTTAACTGACACTGCGTTTCCAGTTTATTCCAGTGTGGTTTTAGTGCTCCTTCAAAACTAGTATCCCAAGCAGTGTCCATAAGCCCCAGAGACTCCCTCTTTAATTTGCCTGGGTCTGCTGGCCTGAGAAAAGTAACCGGGCTTTGTCACCAGTCTTTTCCTCAAAGACCTTTTCTGAAATCATCTGTGGTTGGGGAGGCTGAGGTTAATGGCAGTCTGGTCCCCAGAAAAGTGGGGCTGCTGTCTTTGGAGAGTGTTGCTTCCATATGACATTAAGTGCTCCTTTGAGAGTTCAAGGTTAACTTCCAGACAAAACAAACAAGGCTTTCTGCCTTGTTTGCATCTGCACAAGCTGGGACATTGTCTTGGCAGGAAGACTCAACGGTTTAGGGAAGGACAACAGGCAGAGGAAAGCTGATCAGCCTAATGGTAAGATTGGCCCTGCTCTGTCTCCCAGTGGCTCTCTGTTTATCTTGGACTCGCTTAGCAACGTCCAACAGGCTGGACGGAGCCATTCCCTGGAGGGTTCCTTGAGCCTACGCATCTCACAAGCCTCCCCCAGAGGGATTCCGCAGTTCCAAGAAGGGCAATGGCGTTTGAGGGGGCAGCTGGGTTACTCTTCAATGAACTAAACGACTCCTTTAGAAACTACAGACCAAATAGTATGAGGGTGCCTGAAAAGAGGAGTAATAAACAACAACAAAAATATGTTCCATGGAAAATTATAAAGGCATTTTTAAAGGACCCTGGGGCTCACATTTCTGTTCATTTTATTTTATTTTTAAAATTTTTTCCTTAAATTTAACTATTTAGGAAATTGATTTTTAAAACCACAAGGTCAAGATATTTTCCTCCTTCAAAACCAAAACCGAACCTAGTCTGTTTTCTTTCAAAGGAAGTTCACAGCATCTCCGTGGAGAGAAGTGGTCACCTTGCACAGGCATCTCAGTGCTACTTTGTCTCAATCTCCATACACAAAACAAAAGAGAAAAACCTGCTCACAGAATCTAATTTATAAGAATATAAAAAGAAGATGCAGACCAAAGAGGATAGCCTCAGAAATATTAAGCTGTTTTCAAAGTAATAAAATCTCATGTCAAACTAATAAGATCAAAACCAATCACAACTTCAGAGTTCACTTGTGTAAAGGATTTAGCTCCAAAGCATTGATGACATCTTTAAAGTTAAAATATACCCAGCTGCATGGAGTGGCTCACGCCTGTAATCCCAGCACTTTGGGAGGTTGGAGCTGGCAGATCACTTGAGCTCAGGAGTTTAAGACCAGCCTGGGCAACACGGCAAAACCCCATCTCTACTAAAAATACAAAATTTAGCCAGGCATGCACACCAGTAGTCCCAGCTACTCAGGAGGCTGAGGCACGAGGATCACTTGAACCCAGGAGGCAGAGGTTGCAGTGAGTCAAGATCATGCCACTGCACTCCTGCCTAGGCTACACAGCGAGATTCTGTCTCAAAAAAATAAAATAAAATAAAAATAAAGTTAAAATATATAGAATTGATGGCCTCTTGCACATGGACATACAGAGAAAAATCTCTAAAAGCCTTGTTCTTTGGCCCTTTGCATTCAGTTTAAAGCAAATTAGATACAGTAGAGACTCATTCACATATTGTTTACATATTGCAAACTTTCCTACTCTCTAAAATGTATTTGCAATCCCAAAATCTATACTTGTGGTCCTTTCAAGGTCATTAGCAAACACACACCAAGCAGCAAAAAATTTCAGTTACCCATCACACTCCTTCCTAGTTGATCTTAAACAAGAAAATTCTCTGCCTTCTTGTTTCAGCTGTCATACTGTAAACTGGGATCCTTTTCACAGTCTATTTAGTGCAAGCTTTTTCATATTTCTGTGCTTTTTCTTGGTGATTTTGCTGCTTAAAAGTGTCTCCAAAAAAAAAAAAGCCTAATTCATAGCAACAGAGAACAAAATGGTAATTGCCAGGGGTGGGGGACAAGGAGCAGGGCAAATGAGAAGACATTGGTCAAAGAGCACACATTTTCAGTTATAAGAGAACAGGTAAGTTCTGTGGATTCAATGTACAGCATAGGTAATGACAGATGTATTAATTTTGTTTTGGTAAGCATACACAAGCTTCAGTAGCCAATTTGTTTAAGTGGAAGAAAGGATATCAGTGATTGAAGATCAAATTAATGAAATAGAGAGAGAAGACAAGATTAGAGAAAAAAGGGTGAAAAGAAACAAACAAAGCCTCCAAGAAATATGGGACTATGTGAAAAGACCAACTCTACGTTTGATTGGTGTATCTGAAAGTGACAGGGAGAATGGAACTAAGTTAGAAAACACTCTTCAGGATATTATCCAGGAGAACTTCTCCAACCTAGCAAGGCAGGCCAATATTCAAATTCAGGAAATACAGAGAACACCACAAAGATACTCAAGAAGAGCAACCCCAAGACACATAATTGTCAGATTCACCAAGGTTGAAATGAAGGAAAAAATGTTAAGGGCAGCCAGAGAGAAAGGTCGGGTTACCCACAAAGAGAAGCCCATCAGACTAACAGCGGATTTCTCGGCAGAAACTCTACAAGCCAGAAGAGAGTGGGGGCCAATATTCAACATTTTTAAAGAAAAGAATTTTCAACCCAGAATTTCATATCCAGCCAAACTAATCTTCATAAGTGAAGGAGAAATAAAATCCTTTACAGACAAGCAAACACTGAGAGATTTTGTCACCATCAGGCCTGCCTTACAAGAGCTCCTGAAGGAAGCACTAAACATGGAAAGGAACAACTGGTACCAGCCACTGCAAAAACATGCCAAATTGTAAAGACCATTGATGCTAGGAAGAAACTGCATCAACTAATGGGCAAAATAACCAGCTAACATCATAATGATAGCATCAAATTCACACATAACAATATTAACTTTAAATGTAAATGGGCTAAATGCTCCAATTAAAAGACACAGACTGGCAAATTGGATAAAGAGTCAAGTCAAGACCCATCAGTGTGCTGTATTCAGGAAACCCATCTCACGTGCAGAGACACACATAGGCTCAAAATAAAGGGATGGAGGAAGATCTACCAAGCAAATGGAAAACAAAAAAAGGCAGGGGTTGCAATCCTAGTCTCTGTTAAAACAGACTTTAAACCAACAAAGATCAAAAGAGACAAGGAAGGCCATTACATAATGGGAAAGGGATCAATTCAACAAGAAGAGCTAGCTATCCTAAATATATATGCATCCAATACAGGAGCACACAGATTCATAAAGCAAGTCCTTAGAGACCTACAAAGAGACTTAGACTCCCACACAATAATAATGGGAGACTTTAACAGCCCACTGTCAATATTATACAGATCAACAAGACAGAAGGTTAACAAGGATATCCAAGACTTGAACTCAGCTCTGCACCAAGCAGACCTAATAGACATCTACAGAACTCTTCACCCCAAGTCAACAAAGTATACATTCTTCTCAGCACCACATCACACTTATTCCAAAACTGACCACATAGTTGGAAGTAAAGCACTCTTCAGCAAATGTAAAAGAATAGAAATCACAACAAACTGTCTCTCAAACCACAATGCAATCAAATTAGAACTAAGAATTAAGAAACTCACTCAAAACCGCACAACTACATGGAAACTGAACAACCTGTTCCTGAATGACTATTGGGTAAATAACAAAATGAAGGCAGAAATAAAGATGTTCTGTGAAACCAATGAGAACAAAGACACAATATACCAGAATCTCTGGGACACATTTAAAGCAGGGTGTAGAGGGAAATTTATAGCACTGAATGCCCACAAGAGAAAGCAGGAAAGATATAAAATTGACACCCTAACATCACAATTAAAAGAACTAGAGAAGCAAGAGCAAACACATTCAAAAGCTAGCAGAAGGCAAGAAATAACTAAGATCAGAGCAGAATTGAAGGAGATAGAGACACAAAAAAAAGCTTCAAAAAATCAATGAATCCAGGAGCTGATTTTTTGAAAAGATCAACAAAATTGATAGACTGCTAGCAAGACTAATAAGAAAAGAGAGAAGAATCAAATAGACACAATAAAAAATGATAAAGGTGATATCACCAACGATCCCACAGAAATACAAACTGCCATCAGAGAATACTATAAACACCTCTATGCAAATAAACTAAAAAATCTAAAGAAATGGATAAATTCCTGGACACATACACCCTCCCAAGATTAAATCAGGAGGAAGTTGAATCCTTGAATAAACCAAAAACAGGCTCTGAAATTGAGGCAATAATTAATAGCGTACGAATCAAAAAAAGTCCAGGAACAGATGGATTCATAGCCAAATTCTACCAGAGGTACAAAGAGGAGATGGTACCATTCCTTTTGAAACTATTCCAATCAACAGAAAAAGAGGGAATCCTCCCTAACTCATTTCTTGAGGCCAGTACCATCCTGACACCAAAGCCTGGCAGAGACACAACAAAAAAAGAGAATTTTAGACCAATACCCCTGATGAACATCAATGTGAAAATCCTCAATAAAATACTGGCAAACCAAATCCAGCAGCACATCAAAAATCTTATCCACCACGATCAAGTCGGCTTCATCCCTGGGTTGCAAGGCTGGTTCAACATACGCAAATAAAGGTAATCCATCACATAAACAGAACCAACAAGAAAAACCACATGATAATCTCAATAGATGCAGAAAAGGCCTTTGACAAAATTCAACAGCACCTCATGCTAAAAACTCTGAATAAACTAGGTATTGATGGAACGTATCTCAAAATAATAAGAGCTATTTATGACAAACCCACAGCCAATATCATAAAGAATGGGCAAAAACTGGAAGCATTCCCTTTGAAAACTGGCACAAGACAGGGATGCCCTCTCTCACCACTCCTATTCAACATAGTGTTGGAAGTTCTGACCAGGGCAATCAGGAAGGAGAAAGAAATAAAGGGTATTCAATTAGGAAAAGAGGAAGTCAAATTGTCCCTGTTTGCAGATAACATGATTGTATATTTAGAAAACCCTATCATCTCATCTGTATATCTCCTTAAGCTGATAAGCAACTTCAGCAAAATCTCAGGATACAAAATCAACATGCAAAAATCACAAGCACTCCTATACACCAATAACAGACGAACAGAGAGCCAAATCATGAGTGAACTCCCATTCACAATTGCTACAAAGAGAATAAAATACCTAGGAATCCAACTTACAATGGATGTGAAGGACCTCTTAAAGGAGAACTACAAACCACTGCTCAACAAAATAAAAGAGGACACAAACAAATGGAAGAACATTCCATACTCATGGATAGGAAGAATCAATATCGTGAAAATGGCCATACTGCCCAAGGTAATTTATAGATTCAATGCCATCCCCATCAAGCTACCAATGACTTTCTTCACAGAATTGGAAAAAACTACTTTAAAGTTCATATGGAACCAAAAAAGAGCCCACATTGTCAAGACAATCCTAAGCAAAAAGAACAAAGCTGGAGACATCACGCTACCTGACTTCAAACTATACCACAAGTCTACAGTAACCAAAACAGGATGGTACTGTCACCAAAAGAAAGATATAGACCAATGGAACAGAACAGAGGCCTTAGAAATAACACCACACATTTACAACCATCTGATCTTTGACAAACCTGACAAAAACAAGAAATGGGGAAAGGATTCTCTGTTTAATAAATGCTGGGAAAACTGACTAGCCATATGTAGAGAGCTGAAACTGGATCCCTTCCTTACATCTTATACAAAAATTAATTCAAGATGGATTAAAGACTTAAATGTTAGACTAAAACCATAAAAACCCTAGAAGAAAACCTAAGCAATACCATTCAGGACATAGGCATGAACAAGGACTTCATGACTAAAACACCAAAAGCAATGGCAACAAAAGCCAAAATTGACAAATGGGATCTAATCAAACTAAAGAGCTTCTGCACAGCAAAAGAAACTACCGTCAGAGTAAATAGGCAACCTATAGAATGGGAGAAAATTTTTGCAATCTATCCATCTGATAAAGGGCTAATATCCAGAATCTACAAAGAACTTAAATAAATTTACAAGAAAAAACCAACCCCATCAAAATTGGGCAAAGGATATGAACAGACACTTCTCAAAAGAAGACATGTATATGCAGCCAACAGACACATGAAGAAATGCTCATCAGAGAAATGCAAATCAAAACCACAATGAGATACCATTTCACACCAGTTAGAATGGCGGTCATTAAAAAGTCAGGAAACAACAGATGCTAGAGAAGATGTGGAGAAATTGGAATGCTTTTACACTGTTGGTGGGAGTGTAAACTAGTTCAACCATTGTGGAAGACAGTGTGGCGATTCCTCAAGGATCTAGAACTAGAAATACCATTTGACACAGCGATCTCATTACTGGGTATATACCCAAAGGATTATAAATCATGCTACTCTAAAGACACATGCACACGTATGTTTATTGTGGCAGTATTCACAATAGCAAAAACTTTGGAACCAACCCAAATGTCCATCAATGATGGACTGGGTTAAGAAAATGTGGCATATATACACCATGGAATACTATGCAGCCATAAAAAAGGATGAGTTCATGTCCTTTGCAGGGACATGGATGAAGGTGGAAACCATCATTCTGAGCAAACTATCACAAGGACAGAAAACCAAACACCGTGTGTTCTCACTCATAGGTGGGAATTGAACAATGAGAACACTTGGACACAGGGTGGGGAACATCACACACAGGGGCCTGTCATGGGGTGGGGAGTAGGGGGAGGGATAGCATTAGGAGAAATACCTAATGTAAATGACGAGTTAATGGGTGCAGCAAACCAACATGGCACATGTATACCTATGTAACAAGCCTGCGCATTGTGTACATGTACCCTAGAACTTAAAGTATAATTTAAAAAAAGAAAAAAAAGTAAGTCAGATTACATAACCCTCTAATCAAAAGCTCAACAGCTTCCCATTTCACTATACAATTTGCTCCCATCTCCTAAAACGTCTGTCCTCACTTCCTACTATCCTTCCCCTCACTGACTCCCTTAGGTCCCACTAGAAGTGTTCCTAATACACACTGGGTCTCCTTCAAGTCCTTACTCAAATGTCACCTTGTGCATGAGGACCTCCCTAGTCACACTGTCACCCTGTCCTGCTTTATCTTCCTCCATAGCACTCCTCACCACTCAACATCATCTTAATTATTTACCTGGTTTATTTCTTGCCACTCCATACCACCACCTCCCTCACACACAGACAGTCCCACAGAACACATAGTCAATTGTTAGCTACATGAGGACAGGGATCTCTGCCGGTTTTACTCACTGTTGCATTCTTACTGTCTTAAACAGTACCTTGTTGGCACATTGAAGTTCATTTATAAACATTTGTTGAATACATGAATGGGAATAAATACTTTAGTTGAAGTAATATCATCTAGGGAGCCATGGGAGAATTTGAATCCAGGTCTTTTGCTCTAGCTTTTCTACCAAGTAATATCCATTAAAATATTTTCAGCTATAATAATAGAATACCCAAATAAAATAATGAAGATAAAGTACTATCTTACAAAACAAGATATTCTGAGGTAGGTGTTTTCATGGTTGATTACTTCAGTAGCCCAGTGATGGTATCAAGGCCCTAGGTGGGTTTTTTGTTTTTGTTTTCTTACCTTTTCTCATTGCCATCCTTACTTATTGTAGCATGTTGTATTTCTCAAAAAATGCCACACCTACATATTTATCTCATCGCACATAATTTTCACACAATGTGACTGGCAACTGACACTCCTCCCATTAAGGGAAGGGTCTGTGTTCTCTCTTCTCAAATCTAGGCAGGGGATTGTGACTGTCCCAGTCAATGGAGTGGGGCAGAAGTGATGCTATGTGACTCTTGAGGGTAGATCACAGAAAGGATACAGCTTCCACCTGGCTCTCTGTTTTCAGATGCTTGCCTCTGGAACTCAACCACCATGTTGTGAGGAAATCCAGGACACATGGAGAAGCCAACATAGAGAAAAGCTAAGGCCTCCCTCCAACGGGGAGCATCAGCTTGTCTGCCATGGAGTTAGCTATCTTGGAAGTGAGTCCTTCAGCCCCAGTCAAGCCTTCAGATAGTTACAGCTCCAGCCAACATGTGATTGTAACTTCATGAGAAATCTCCAAGCCAGAACTGCTCTCAAATTCCTGACTCACAGAAATCATGGGAGATTATTATTATTGTTGTTTTAAGCCACTACATTTTGGAGTAATTTGTCAGAGAGCATTGGATAAATAACATACTTTGCATATTGTCCTTGGGTTTATCCCTTCATAGTTAAAGCATGGCTTCTTTAGCTCCTGATAGCACATCATCTTTTCAGGTAAATACAACAATATTTTGGATACAGAATTCAATTAATCTGCATAGTTGACATCAAGAAACTAGTAACTTCTGAATCCAAATCTTGATCCAGGATTGCATCACTAAGAGCTACAGGACTGGCTAGATGTTTATACTCTTTTTAATCAAAAGCAGGAAGCTACTCTAAAATACTTGAGACAATTCACTTATCTTTACCACTAGTAAGTTCACGAATGAATTTCTGTTTGGAGCATCCACTATGCTAAGAAGCCACGGATTTCATCAACGGAAACCTATTTCTAACATTAAGTATGCCAGTTAGCAGAGCCTCTACCATTGATCATAGATAAAGGTCATGGGAGCTCTTGTAGTAGCTGCTTCTGGAGTACAGTTTTCCTAATTCGAATGCTGGCTCTCCACCCTAGGGTGCAAATTCCCAATTTGGGCAAATGACTGTACCTAAGGTATAATGTAACCCATAATACACACATGAGATCATGATGCTTGTGATGAAGTATATTCAGTTACAGACAGTTTTATACCCAACCTGGCTTTCTTACATTTAGTTCATTCTCACCTCCCCTTTCAAGCACTCTGTCAATCTCAGTATTAATTTTCTCTCACTTCTGAGGAGTCCCATCCACTCAAACACAGGAATGGGTTTCCTTTCTGATATTCCTGCCAGTATACGTTCCAGAGACCTTGTTTTGGCTCCTGTGTCAGCTCAGTGCTTGCCTATTTCCCAAGGAAGACAGTAATCCTTGTAGACAGTTCAGTTCAATCCTATATTAAAGAAGGTTCAAACCTATATTAAAGAAGGACATATGCTATATTTCTTTAACTGCCTCATAATTTGCAATTAGAGTCAGTAACTCTCATAATGGCTGAGGCTGCTTGGAGCCTGCTGGATTAAGACCAGGATCATATTATTTTTTAATGGCTGCCTTTTGGGTTTTACAAGAAAGACACTGAAAAGATAACGAATACATTACATTCCCATCAAATATCCATGTTCTCCTCAGTCTCCATCTGGGGATAGATAGGAAATGCCCTATTCTCTCAGTGGCAGACATCAGCCAAGGTTTATCAAGCCATATGGATACATGGGCATTTACTAAGGAAGGTGGAGATGCCAATAAAGCAGGGGCTATGAAGGTTAACCCCAGGAGAGAGCCTGGATTCCAGGCCACTGCTGCCAACACTGTGATCCTAAACATGCTCCTTAACCTTTCTTGGCCCCTACATTTCCTTTTCTATAAAACAAAAGGTCATGAGATCCCTTCTAGCTGGAGAGGCTATTTCTGGCTACCTAGAGTTGTCACTTCTGGGCAAACCTGGTATTGCTGCCCTCTTTGTTGTTTCCATTTTTTATTTCCCTCCTCCCTCCTTTTTTTCCACAGAGTACCTACTATGATCTCAGAACAGTCCCTGCCCTCAAGCACTTCTCCACCTAGTAGAGGACATAGCAATGATAATTATTATAATCATTATTATTTTAATGAGAATAAACACTAAAATGCTAACTGCCAATATTTACTGGGCTCCCACTATAAGCCAGGTATTATGCTAAGTGCTTTTCATGCAACAGCTCATTTAATTTAATTCTTGCAATACCCCTAAGAGGGATGAACTGTTATTCTACCAGTTTGTGTTTCAGGGAAGTCAAGTGATGCACCTCAAAGCCCATAGCTCTTGCCTGATAGAGCCTTTTGAACAAATAAAAAATCACAGTGCCACACGACAAGTGCTATCATACTGGCATGCACAAAAAGCAGTGAGCAGCTACCAAGAAGGAGAAAAAAAGATCCCTCCCTACATGAATCTGGAAAGACTCTTTGAAGAGGTATCATTGAAGAATAAGAGTAACTTTACCTGATGCAGAAGAATCTCATTGCAAGATTAGATTAACCCGTAACTTAGAAAGTGATGAAGAAATAATAAGTATCACTGTTTTCTAATAATATTACAGTAAAGGAGATGACTTGGGTTTTCATCTGGCTATGTGTTAATGTGGATGATGCACGTTTTTTCACAACATGCACGCATACAAAGATACCCACTTCATGGTTTCAATTATTGCTTCATTTCCTCCTTTGTGCTAAGTGATGCTGCCTATTTGTTGAAAGGGTACAAGAGTTCTCTTGTAGTCTTCTGCCTGCCCTTCCCCAATTTTCCAGTCTATGGGTTTGTTAATCATGTGGTGATTTTCCAGGACAAGAACTTGAAAGTACTCTACTTAAGATACGTTATAGAATAGATCAGGGAAAACCCCTTCACTTTCTAGGAACATTAACAGCTGCGTGAAGGCCTCAGAGAACTGTTCCCTCATTTAATTTCTGGCTTTGACTTATACCTAGCCACATATTTCAGAGTTTAAAAGTGTGGAAATGTGATGTTTTTCTGCTGAATATTCATGTCTTCTTTAGATAATAGGAACTCAGTTTTTCCTGGGGAACCACTTTTCCCCCAGTCTCAGTCCAAGGGCTTGAGAGTGGTTACCCCCGTCCTAGGCCTGGCCAATCAAGGTAATAGTCATGATCCATTCTGGGCTGCAAAGCATCAGCCTTGGAACTTTGCTTGGTCTTCTTTGCAGCAAATCTAGTGAGATATGAGCTTGGTACTACAGGTGCCCATCATTGCCACAGTTGAGTAGAGTCTACCGAAAATGAGGCTAACACAAGCAGCCTCCTGTGTGGACAGAGAGAAAGCAATGAAAGGCATTAACAAGCCTGAGCAGAAACACACTGTATTAGCCTCGTTCACTGCCAGAGGGGCCCCTGAAGGGGACACAGTGACACAGTATCTACTGATACTGCCCTTATTCAAGAGGTCAGTGCTGTCCTTCACCCCTACCTCATTCCCTACACCCTGGCTAGAATCTCATAACTCCTCCAACAACTTAAAATCACTCTCTCACCTTTGTGTTAGATTTCTGTTTCCAACTCTGCCCCTGTCCCCTGCCAAGACCCACCAGCCTCATGGCAGAGACATCTCTTCATGTCCCAGCAAGTACATCTGTGTGGTCAGTCAGGAACCCTCTCAGGGCCAGTTGCAGCCCTTCCATCACCAGGTGACCCTATCTTATGACCAGAGAGCCTTAGACTTTCCACCTTCCCTTGAGGCCCCACGGTCTTCATGCCAAAGAATAAGGTGCCAGGCTTCTCCCTGGACATCCATGGCCTCAATACTAGTGCTGTCTGAGACTACTGGCTCCTCACACCAACCCCCAATCTGCAGAAAAGCAGGTTGGGATGTCTGAATGAGTCTACATGAAGGATATTCCTTCAAATGTGCATCAGCGTGCATGAGGCTGTTTGTTCTGTAAGATAGCCCAGCCATATCCCAGAGCTGATTAAACAACAATTATGCCACAAATATTATACCCAACATTATGATCTTCTAGGATAATACCCTGATTGTCTCTGAACCTCACTGAATGTCATGGTTGCTGGTGACCCACTGTGATGTTTCTGGGCCACATTCTATGTAGCTAAATTGTTTGGGATATTAACATACCTGGAAGGACCTTTCCCCAGTCCATTAAAAATCCTCTAGTCTTTTTAGGCCACTTAAGGAAGGGTCATAGCTAGCATGGTATGGTCTACAAACTTCAAGTCTACATTCCTGACATGACACCACCCTTCCTGGTAGGAACCAGCCACAAGAAGAAAGGCCACTCAGGTTTCCTAGCAATGCCTTATTTTGGACACATTCCAAGACAGCCACAGTCAAACCAAAGTTTCGGGCAGGTCTCAACTAAGACTGGTTTGTATTTCCAAAGTCACTTATAAGCCAAGTCCTGGGACCCAGAATGTATTTTCCCATGGAAACAGTGACATAGACTATAACAAAGTCATCATGCCAAGCCACAAGTGCCTACAGCTATCATGGTGCCAAGAGCACTATTTCAATAACTCCCAATCACTTTATGTAACATTGCTTCCATAGGAAAGCTCCAATTGAGTTTCAATCTCCAATGCAGGATTCTAGGAACACATTTCCAAGCCCCCACATTCATCTTGGCAGCATGAGAGAATTACCTCTTTTGATCAAACGTTCATTCATTCCCACAAATACTTATTGAAACTCTATTTTTCATGAGCCACTGCTCTAGGTGCTGGGGATACAACAGTGAACAAAAGTCACCCACAAAGTTCTGAAGTGGAAACACAAAGTGATCTGATACCATATTGGCCAGCATAATGAAGGGAGGGTCATCTTACTGTTTCTTCCACAATGGCCAGTGAGTTCCACAGGTGAATTTCCATTTTCACCCTAGAATACAGAAATGCAGACTCTTGGTTTCCTAGCTTAACAATGATAAATCTAGTCTTCACTTTGCATTCTATTTTTCAAATTTAGCTGTTGACACTCAAATTGATTAGAAGAAAATCATCAAGATAAGACACATTCTCTCTTCTTCCATGTGGCAAAAAAGGACCCTGGGGACACATTGAGTCTTAACTGAGCTTGACAGGCTTCCTTGGAAATTTTGAAGGGTTTGGGGAGAAGGGGAGGAGGGTAATGCCCCCATGCCAATGGAACCACCAGACCAGTGGATTTCCAGTCAAACCAGATGGCAAGAAAGGAGCTGCATTCTTCTGCTTCCCAGCTGCTCTTGGAGACTCTTCCAGGTAAGTTAATCTGGAATCTGTTTACCTCTCTAACATTTGCTTACTTCCGTAGCACACTGAGAATTCTGCTGCCAAATTGACTGTAGATTGGAGTTTGCACACTTCACTCTTTACTACCACTCATGTATTCACCCAGAGCACTTAAAGACTTCCCAAATTTAAAGGGATGTTTTCTAATTTTCAAGTACTTATTGTCCCTTATAAAGTGATCTTGTAAGGTTTTTTTCCCCCTTCTTGGTCTATGTTTAATGGTTTTTTGTGATTGAAGCAATGGGGAACAACTCTTCCTTACAGCGAAGAAAACAAACTCCAAGAGTAGTAAATCTTCATGAGACTTATTCCTTCTCCTTTTCCTTCTTAATAGGTTTATTTATCTGGATTAAAACTCACATTAAGCTTTTTTTGGAGGGTATTTGCAAAAGGCCTACACTAATAACAAGTGACTTTCCAATGGCATTATTAGATTATGAGCTTCCTTGGAACAGGGAGTATCTTTAGTTCTGCTGAAGAGTGCAGGATGAAAGTTAGACAAAAAATAATAATAATAATAACACATTTAACAGTTATGCAGATATTGCTCAAAAACTGGCTTTTACTAGCAGGGTGGCACATTTCTCTATTGACCTGATATCAGAAAAAGCAAAGCAGTCTTTTAAAGATTCAGACAAAATGTTTCTGGAATACATCTGTTGAAGAACATGGGAGAGGATAATTATATTAGTTGTATTAGGAAATAATAAATTCGACCTGCAAATATATAGAGTATTTAAAAATTCTTTCTTGATAACTTTTATTCCCATGGAGAGTAATTTTCCCAAATCCACTGAAATGAGTTCACATAACTCAATGTTTGTAAATAGCATCCCTCTGATCTCCTACAGAGCAAGTGGAACTGTATTCCAACCCCAGGGCCAGAAACTTGAGACCATGTGCCAGTCCATGGCACCAGAGTCCGGTCTGTCCCCATCTCTATGGCCACTGGTGCAAACATCAAGAGGAGAAGTGGAGGTGGATGGGCCTCCTCTTCTTTTTTTACCCTCCCATGGGGATGGGATGTAAAAGTGGGACCAGAAGAAGACAGAAATAAACAAGTGTTCTCCTGTTCCCTTTAGGAGTCTGAACATGGAAAATAGAGGCCCAGAACCTGCCAGAAGACAGCAGTTTCTGGCAGACATCCAGGAAAGCCCTCTTGTTGTGTCTTCAAAGGCAAAGTGTCACCTTTTCTGGTCTGCAGGGCTTATAGTCAATTTGACTCCATGCTTTGCCACTTTCTAGCTGTGCGACTTTGGAAAAGCAACTGAGCCTCACTCTTTTCCTTTATAAAATTCAGAATAATATAAATTTTACCACTTAAGGCCAAGGATTGAATGAATTAACATTTGTACAGCATAATAGAGGCACCATATATGTGGCACATAGTAAGCATGCCAGAAAGAGTAACTAGTATTGGGTTTTCCTTACATAAAATTACAAAGCCTATACTTTATTCCCCAGGTTGGAGAAGACGCTTTTCCATTTAAGCCCAAGAGATGCAGAGATTCAGCAGTTTATTGGCAATGTTTTGTACATGGCGTGATGGTCAGTAAGAGAATTCTAGCCTCTATTCAAAGTGTTAGACTCTGAAAACAAGTTTGGCTAGTTCTTTCTGTTCAAGAATGAATGACATCACTACCTCAGTCCTTGAAAACCAAATGAGAGAGTCATGGAGGGTGCTTAGCAGAGTTTCCCCACACATTTCTAGAGCATTTCCCGCAAGCTGACATTTCAACCCCAAGCAAATAAAAAGTTAGGCAACACTTTCCTTAAGTACCTTCTACAGAAAGAACACTGTGCTCTAGTTACAAAGCCATGAATGGTTGGGGAAACGGATGCAGTAAAGCATCCAAGGCTAGGCCGGGCACAGTGGCTCACGCCTGTAATTGCAGCACTTTGGGAGGCCAAGGTGGGTTAATCACCTGAGGTCAGGAGTATGAGAGCAGGCTGGCCAACAGGGCAAAACCCTGTCTCTACTAAAAATACAAAAGTTAGCCAGGCATGGTGGTGCACACCTGTAGGCCCAGCTATTTGGGAGGCTGAGGCAGGAGAATCACCTGAACCCTGGAGGCAGAGGTTGCAGTGAGCTGAGATCGCACCATTGCACTCCAGCCTGGGAGACAGAGCGAGACTCAAAAAAATAAAAAATAAATAATAAAAAAAGAACACCCAGGGCTAGATGTAAAGATGGAGCCAGTGTGGATTGAGCCCTGAGCTGGGCATCAGAAGAGCCTGGATCCTTGGCTCATCCCCTCCCCTTAATAGCTGCATGATCTCAAGTATGGCAATCGATGTCCCTAGGCCTGTGTGCTCAAGTGTACAACGCAGGAAGTGAATCTGAAGGTTTTTTCTAATTTGTGGTCTCAGTTAAGAAGAAAAAAAGGAAACATGAAAATATGTGAGATAAAATAACAGAGCAATACTCACTGCATCATAAATCCGGAGGTGGCTAGGCTGGACCAAAGGGGACATCAGGTAGAAAGTTAAAGTGTCTGTTTTTCCCAATTAAGTTTGTTTAAATGATTTAAATCCTTGAACTACACACTTTCCTAAGCTGATAGGAAGGAACTAGTACTGAGTACATTCGCTCACTGGGGCATAAATCTGAGCTGCTGGTGAAGGTTGGAAACTCTGGCATGTGAACCTATCAGAAGCCTTCGTAAGGAAATAGCCACTGATGAGTTCGTTGTGACAGAGGGCTGCAAAACCCTGAGACAGCCTGAGTTAGGAAAGAGGCTTCACCTCCCAGGAGAAAGCAAAATGATCTCATGGAAACCCAGGACTTACTGATAATCACCTGTAAATGAAGCTCTGCCTACGCGTCACTTTGCAAGGAGAATCAATGTCAACATAAGCAGACCCGCCTTGAGGGAAAACAAGGCAGGCTGCTGTACTGAGGAACAGGCTGAACTGGGGTGTGCCTCTCCCATGCCTGCTGCCCAGCAGTCCACCCTAAAGATAAACCAGCCCCAACTGGCTAAGACCTTATTCCTCCACAGCAAATGTGCACCCAACTAAACCTCTATGGTGGTTTCAGACACCAGTATCTGTAGGAGGCCGGCAAGCTGCTCATTTCAGCCCCTTTCAATTCAAGATTCTGGGTGCCCCCAAAGTTCAGCCTATTTACCTCTCCCAGATCATGGGTACCCACCCCTGTTCCCACCTCTGTTGGCAGGGCCTCAGCAGGAGGTCTTTCCATTTCCAAAAAATGGAAAGACCCTGAAGTGAATCATAAGTCACAGTGCTCTCTTGGGATCCCTGTTACAGGAAGTAGCGGGAAACAAGATGCCTTCTCATCCCCATACTGGTGTCAGCTGTCAGGAATGTGGTTTCTCAGAAACATACTGGGTGACAGCCTTTGCAGATACTTTAAGGTGAGAAAGCTCCCAAAAGGGCAGAGAAAGCCCATTCCCACCTGGAACAGAAGTCACCTAACACTGCTCTGATTAGGAAGAAATAGTAATCATTAAACCATATGCACCGCGAGAAAACATGCAAAGATGGATTCTACACAGGCTGGGAGTTCTCACGCCCTGCAGGCTTTCATCATCCTGACCTTTCCAACTAGAACGTCGTCTTTTGCTGGCTAATTTGTAACTGCCCTTCAAGATTCACTGGGGATCAGAAGGCTTCTCCCTGAGCACCTGGCCTGCCTCCCATGGCCCATGCACCCCCTGCCCTTGTTACCGTCATCGGCCAGGGCTTTCCCTCAGAGCAGTGTCTGAGTGGGCCCCAAGTGCCTGATTCAGTGTGTGGCAACAAAAGAGCTCAACAAAATATTTCAGACAAATCATCAATAATCAAATGAACAATTTTATTGGGTATTGTCCAAAGTAACATCCTGCTTCTAATTCATGGAAAAGAGCACAAATTGGCCATGGCATGAGAGAGCACCTTGAAGAGTGCTCCCAGTCCACAGCAGTTTGAAGCCTCTACGGGAAGAACAGTATTTTCTGAGCAATGGTGTTTCCCAACTTAGAGAGAGAGAACTGGTCCTTGAGAGAGGATAGATTTTTATTCCCATTAGATTCATTAGGCAACTGAGGCAGCAAAGTTTCATGGCCAAGTGTCATGATGGTGCAGAATTGCTACGATAGGGCCAGCTTTTCATTCTCCAACCTTGCACTTGTTTGGCAGGTGTCTCCAGTCTGCCAGGCACTTTGCTAGGCACACAGGTGGTGAACAAGACCGACTCAATCCCTGCTGTCATATAGTGGGTGTGCCAGGGACTGACATTAGATGATTAATAAATATATCATTAGATGTTGTCATTAATATTATAAAGTAAAAGTACAGGACACCTATACATGGTTACATGAATGGGAAGGGCCTGGTTGGCTGGCATTTATGAAGAACACACCGTATATCAGGGACTGTGCTGTGCTCAGACCTGAGGCAGTTTACCACGGCCCTCACACTGAGCTGGAAGCAGAGGATTGAGATGCTCCCATGGGGAGGTCCTATGGCTTTCATGCAGCCCCTGTCTCCTCCTTGTCAAAAGTGGAGATAACACTTTGCCTACTTGCTGCTAATCTTAATGTGAAGATCAATGATCAAGCATTTTCTCTTTTCAAAATACTGGGTAAAATTAACATTGAAAGCTTTTCTTTTCTGTAAAAAGCTTTTACAGAAATGAGCAGTGTTAAATTGAATTAAGCTTGGCCTAATGCTGCCTCCATACATATCTTAAGTTTGGCCTAAAGGTTTCTCTGTACATAGTGAGCTGTAACCTAACTTGATGTGTAATCAGACTGTAACTTACTCTTGTAACAAGCGGCCCGATGTCAGCCAATCACAGCAGCTGAACCCAGGTCAACCACAGACAACCCACGTTCAAACCAGGTTCAAATAAGCCAAACTCCAGCTTTAACCATAGGGCTAGTGCTGTACCTCACTTTCCCCTTCTTCCACTTTCTGTATTTGACTTCCCTTTTTCTGTCTGTAAATGTCCAGCTGTGTGGCAGCCCCTGGAGTCTCACTATATCTGTCCTGATTCTAGGGATGCCCAATTCATGAATTGTTCTTTGCTCAATTAAACCCTACTAAATTTTATTTGTTTAAAGTTCTTTTAATAGTGGTTATTTCCTTGAGTTCAGATTTATATTCAACAATCAGAACTCATTTCTCAACAATCCCAACTCTCATTTGTCATTATATATATATATACACACACACGCACATATATATACACACACATACATATATACATATATATGACTATATATATACACACACGCACATATATATACACACACATACATATGCACACACACACACACATATGCACACACACACACACACACATATATATATATATATGTACATGCCATTTTTTCAAAGACAGTAGCGCTGCTAAAGGGTAAAACTAATGGACTGAGATGCATGCTTTCCTTGGGAACACAGCATAGGAAGGTCACCGCTCCTTTCTCCCTCCCGCTTCCCTGAGGTAAGAGAGTTTCCTTCTCAGAGACCCGAGAGGAGATAGACATTTTGCTTTATGTTTCTCTTTCACACCAGTCTACCTCACCATGAGGTGCTGTGAGAATTACAAAGAGAATGTGATTGACATTGGGGATGCCCCAAATGTAGCCCTGGTTTTGATGCACTCACCTCCAGGTCAGGGAAAGAGTTTCCTTGTCCTCAAGCTCACGTGACAAAGATGTGCCTGGAAGAAGGCCCTGCTGGATAGGACAGAACCTGGCAGTCCTCTGAGGGCCCTTCCCAGGAGGTTTGTGCTCCCGAGGGCCAGGACAAGCTGGCATTGGGGTGCAGCTCCGTGATGCACCCTGGAGCTGTGGAGCCCCAGGAAGGCTGGCCTAGGGGAGCTTGTGCCAATAAAGGAGAGTTTGGTTCATGCCCTGACTCTTTCCCCAGGTCTGGCTTCTCTCCTGCACAGCCTCCCTCCTACCTGGAAATGCTGGGGACTCAGCACCAGGTTCTGCCTTCACAGGAGAGGACAATGAAGATGCAACTAATGTCTGTGTGGCACCTGATACAAGAAGCTTGAAGGGCTTCCTCTAAAAAGAAAGCAGCACAGAAGAGGCCATCTGCAGAGCAGCAGGTGTGTGCATGGCTGTCAGGTCTGAAAAACTCACCCCTTCCTTGGCAAGGGGAAGAGCATGTAGTCATGTGATTCACAGGACCCTTTCATGACTACAGCAGCATTTGTTCTGCATCACCTTCCAGGCAGGTAAGGAGCCTGAGGCTCAGAGTTGGCCAAGCTGCCTGTCATGGCACAGCTAGGTGGTGACAGACTCAAGCCAATTGGGCATGTTTCTGCTACATTGCTGCCTTCCCATGACCCAGGGCCTCCTACTATAGAGAAGGGAGAAACCAATTACTTGAGAGTGTCCTTTCCATAACCATATGGCCTGCTTTCTCTCCCTCCCCTCCTAAACCTGAGAAACTAGCTCACTCTAAGTTGTTAATGACTGAAAAGCACACCCTGCAGCATATTTGTGATTTACAAAAACAATGCCCTAATAAAAGGACCAGTTTTTACAGTTCTAGGACTGTAAATGCCAGGCAAGAGATCTGCAGAAGAGGTATTTGAAGACCTCAATGGAGGGTCTGACTCTTTCCCCACCCAGAGAGTGAGCTTTTCCATCCAGAGCAGTGCCATCACTGCTTTACTCTGTGCCTTTGGTGCAAGGCACAGTGCTTACCACATGGCAAATATTCCCTAAGATATCTGGTGATAGATGAATGAAGAAGTGGATGGATGGATGGATAGATGGATGGATGGATGGATGGATGGATGGATGGATGGATGGATGGTTGGGTAGGTGGGTAAGTGGGTGGGTGTGTGGATGGATGGGTGGATGGATGGATGGATGGATGGATGGATGGATGGATGGATAGATGGATTGATTGATGAACTACCCCCAAACTACCCTTCCCAGTAAATGAGTCATTCATTCACTTACTCCAGTTATGTCTACTAAGAACCAAGCCTGCAGCAGGCAATAAACCATGCACTAGAGATATTGCTGTGAACTAGACAGTGTTTAGAGTCTAACAGGGGAGTTGGTCATTAAACAAACAGGGGCCAAATAGTTATTTAGTGATAGTATGGACTAGGTGTGCTAGTAAGGCTAATGGCCACAACTGTATGTTCTGATCATTTAGGTATCCAGCTGCTAATCTGTAATCTAATTTTTAATCTGGCCATTATTCTTACCAAATTCTCATTTTTTAAATATGCTTGGTGTTGTTTAAACAAAACCTATATGATTTATTTTCAACCCAAAAGAGTAATGCTTAAGGTACATGAAGGAAAACCAAGGCACATATATCAAAGCTCTAGAGAATCAGGTTTCAGTTCCACTAAACTATTTCCACCAGCCTCTTCAATGATTAGGATTTTAAAGCTCAAAATAGTTTCCACAGCAGTATTACAATGATATAAAAATTACATGCATAGAAACCCTAAAAGGAAATCACAAAAACATAAATAGTAGATATTTATTAAATGGTATAATTATAGGTATTCTTTTTACTATTGCCATTTTTTAAGTTTTTTATTTAATGGATGATTATTACTTTGTAATAAAATGAATTTTTTAAAAGACTGTTTAAATGTATGATAGATGATCTCATTTTCCTTTTAGAATTATTCATATTGCAAAGTCTACAGTATATTACACTTAGTGGATTTTCACTATGTCTTTCTTTTATCTCCCCACTATGTATTTCTTGAATGAAGGAACAGATGAATGAGTTTTGAATTCTAATAAGACCAACATATGGAAATTTTTGTCTTAAAGTGTTGCGCTCATATTTTCCAAACAGCGATCAAACTTGAGACCTTTGGGCTTCCTCGAAAAAGACCTATCAAAAGCTTGTTTTAGTTGTCTTAATCAGTTCTTAGTTATTTTTGCTTGTGAATACGAGTTTTGAATATAATAAATGGATTGAATTAAAGAAAATATGTTTAAACACATTCTGAAATGTATTACTTCTCTAATTTCTACTATTTAAAAATTATGTCTCCTATTGAGAACAACATTCTGCAGGCTTCTCAAGAAATCTCACTTGTTATCAACAAATATTTGGATCCCATCAGAACATTTGTTTTTCATTTGTAATTGTATTTACTCTGGAGTCCTTCTGTGAACTGTTTGGTTATGACTAATAAGTTAGGAACAATTAGCTAAAATTCATTCAATCATAGGAATTTACATTTGGAGGGGTCATTAATGGTCATTTAAGTCCAGCATTTCTCCCAAGCAAGAATCCCTTCTACAGTCTTGGTCAGTAGTCTTTGGTGTCTGTTTGAATACCTCAGATGCTAAGAATCTCACTGACTCCCATGGAAGCTGAGTTTGTTTGTTTTTTTAAATGCTTATCTTCATGCCCATCAAAGATGAAAGTTTTATTTTGTTTGCATGTACACTTCTAATCCCCAGCACAGAACTCAGCACATCAAAAATCTTCAGTAAATGTTAATTGCCTGAATAAGTGGAGGTTTGAATCCATTCATTCATTTAGTGTATTATTGAATGTCTACTATGTGGTGGGTATTTATCTGAAGCACTGGGGGTACAGCAGTGGACAAGAAAGACATGGTTCCTGGCCCATGAGGTGTTTTCACTCTAGCTGGAAAGACTAATCTACCCATATTTCCCTTTCCTACTTAAATCTTAGACATATCATCAGTAGGCAGATGGAAGCAGCCACTATTAGGACAGGTTGAGGAATAAGTAGCAATTTCTTACACATTCTTAGAGATTACTTGAGAACCTCCAGGGAAGACTACACTTCCTGTCAGGCTGGGCTGGTGGATGTTCAAGTCAGTATTGTTTGAATATTAAAGAAATGTAACCTTATTTTATCCCTATAGCTGATGCAGCAGGACATTCAATACAAAGAGAGAGAAGATGAAGCTGTATTAACACATACATATATGTTCTACTTATTGATACATTTATATATATGTATACACACACACATTTATTCTTATTCAAACACATACACACTCACATAAAAATGGAAAGATATTCACCTAATTTTTTAAATGATTATCTCCAAGTAGTGGGATTATAGATTTATTCTTTTAGTTTTTCTATATTTGACACATTTTCTTCAGCAAACAAATATTACTTAAATAAGCAAAACAATTGTATTAAACACACACACACACACACACACACACACCCACACACAGCAAGTCCGGCTAACTGGTCACGCTGCTGATGCCTCCATGCTTTGTTCCTGCAAATGCCTTCTCCCTCCTCTCTCCCTTTCAACATCTTCCTCGCCCTGTAAATAATCTCAGCTCAAGCATCATCTCCACTAGAAAGCTCTCCTGATGCCCACCTTCCCCAGGGACCCTATACCCCACTTTCTTTGTGCACTTGCTGAACTAGGTAGAGACATTTATGATGGTGCCTTACAGCTATGCATGGCCTGCTCGCCTGATTGCCAGTGCCTGCAGGCCTGGCTCTGTGCCGCTCATCTGCACAGTGCCTCACCCTCAGTAGGGAATTGGGAGATAAGGGATGAATCCCTGAGCCTCTCCTAGGTCACTGATATGGCTGCTCATTGGTCATTCTCCTCTGTAGCTGAGATCACATTGCCCTCCTTACAAACTACTGATGGCTCCTTACTGCCTACTGAAAAAAATGCAACATCTTAGGGCATCCAAGAGCCTCCACAATATGATACCAGCTTGTACCCCATCCCAGGAGTACTCATCCAGCCCTAAACAGGTCATGCCTCCCCACCTTTGCCACTGCTATTCTTTTAAACTAAAATGATTTTCCCCATCTCTACCTAAGGAGTGTCTAAAAATAATTTCTACTCATCCTTACACTAGCTCGAAAGCCACTGATGCTCTGATGTGCTCATCAAAATCTCTGTTGGGAGTATCTGCAATCTCATATGCCCTGGGGTTCCTGTCTGTCCCTACAGCCACGTAAAGTAAGCACCATGAAGGCAGGGGTCATGCCTTAATCTTAATTTAGGAGGCACTCACTGAGGAGCTGTTGATTTAAAATGATTTGGAAAAGAAAAAGTCCACGTTCTCTTCCAAATGAAGGGCTATACAAGTTACTGTGAATGGTTTTAATACAGAAAATGAGAGAAAAGAGATCCAAAAAAATAAAGTGAAATGGGATAGGTTACCAAACAAAGAATGAAACCATATAAGTAGAATTTGCTTTAAGATAAACATTTAGGTATTGAATATCTGAGATTTCTGTTTCCTTGTTTTATGAGCACAGGATTGTAGGAGAGTCAGCGAGCAACCCCAACACCCTTAAGTTCTTAGGTGGTATTTTTGGCTAGAACTAGAAACCAAATGGACACCAGGCAGATTAACAAGATAAAAGCATACTAATTGTATTGGTTTTAAGGAACGTAGGTGTCATGCCAGATCCCTATTGACTCCAATAGGAATGGCACCATGTCTGAGAGGCCAAACAAGAGACCCAGAGCCAGCAAACGAGACACGGGGTTTTATTAGGGAGAAATTACATACAGGAATAGTCCAGTGGTGGAAGACTGAACAGGAAACTGTAACTGCTTGAAAAAAGCATGTAGTTTAGATAGCACCTTCACTTAGCACGCTCCCCCCGACAACCTCCATGTGGCAACCCTCATTTCTTAAGTCATTGCTGGCAGGTGCATCTGCCGTATAGGGTCATTCTCAGGGTGTGAATAAGTCAGTGCTGTCAGATGCAACTACTGTGCCCGTGGGATCTTCACAAGAGAGTGAAATCCAAAGAAATGCCCAAAGCAAGATGTCTTTATACTTTTTAGACAAAGAACAATGAATTTGAGAAGAAATGACAAGAAAAAGGGGATCTGGCTAGGGGTAGTAAATTTTAAGGGAGTCATAGGAGCTATATGAGGGGACATAAAACTAGTGGACGACAGGGGTTACTTCGGTAATATTTATTTAGGTCCACTGCAGCCTTAACTTCCCAGTCTCTGGTAATAAGGACGATTTTCTTGCCCTGGTACATGGAGGTCCCCCTCCAAGAGGAAGCTTTATGGCTTGCTGCATGCAGGGGGAGACAGGACAACTGGCCCTTTCTGAAACTACAATTTCTTCAATGTTTGTAACTCAAAATAATAAATATACCAATGTGGCATATTTTGAGATTGCACATTCTTCATTCCTTCAGAATTCAAAGTCACAGATGTTGGCTTTGTCCTTGACATTGCCTCTGATAAGTTTGGTGATCTTCACCAAGTCATCAAACCCTTCTGAGCTTTAATATCCTCCTCCTTAAAATGTATATAAGAATCAGTAGAAACAATAGCTACCACAGAGCTGTAAAGAGTTCATAAGGTGCTACAGAAATGTAAGGCATTTGTGAATGTGGTGTAATTTTTTTCAATAAATAAATATTAATTGAGCATCAATTATATGCCAGGTGCTAGGAAAAAACAGAAAAATAGCATTAGTGGCATCTACTTGCTTCCTTCCTTGCAGGCATATACTTTTGCAATTTGTTTCTGTCCTTCAGTGACATCAGTGCATAATGCCAGTTTCCCTCTCTTGTCTGTGATAGGGAAAGAGAGAAAGGAGCACACATAGCTCCCCACACATTCCCTGGCCCCAACCCTGCCAAGCCCTACACTGTAGAAACACAGAGGGAAGGCAGACAAAGGAGAGATTATGGGTATTAATGCTCTGGGGAAAATGCAAACCAGCCTGTTCATACCACCGGTCACAGAGTTTGATGATAGACCATGAGCTGTGACCATGAAAGGGATGCTGGCTTGACATTAGGATCAGTATATTT
This sequence comes from Homo sapiens, assembly GCF_000001405.40. NCBI lineage: Eukaryota > Metazoa > Chordata > Mammalia > Primates > Hominidae > Homo > Homo sapiens. The sequence goes on from NC_000001.11 coordinate 94,782,459, forward strand.
ATAAGCAGATCAGGAGCTTATCCCATCATTAGAGCCTTTTGATCTTCCTTGCCCACCAAAAGGAAAAGCAAGACACCATCAAGTGAGGAGCCTGGGCCAAAGGTACCATGATACAGTCCAGTGCCTGAGGAATAAAACAGCCCCCGCCCTAGATGCTGCACTCAGATGGGAATGGAGGGAGTACTTGGGCACCTCTAGAATCATTCATTCAATCAAGCATTCAAAAAATACCTATCAAAACAGTGATAGGTATCAAAACCTATCAAAAAACCTGTCAAAACCTAACCAAAAAAGGTTAAAACACTGACTTTTTGCTGCACAAACCTGGGTTCAAAACTTAGCTCCACCCTTTAAAAGATATGGGACCCTAAGCAAGTTGCAGAACCTCCCTAAACCCACCACTTCATCCAGAAACTAGGATAACACTAATAGCTACCCTTAGAATTGTGGTGGAGATTAAATGTTACGGAGCTCTTAGCACTGTGCCTTGCAACTGCTAAGCATATAATGAATAATTGTTATTATAATCATCATTATCATTGATATGTGCCAGGCACCATCCTAGATCCTAGGGCCAAAGAGTTAGAGAAAAAAAAAAAAGTTATTGCACTCACTCAGGCAGACTACTCACTATAATACAATATGGTCAGTATTACAACAGGGCTAGGAACAAAAAGTTGTGGGAGAAAAGGGTTTGAGGGAGAGGGGTGGTGGCTTCCCAGAAGAGACAGTGTTTTCATTCAGCCTTAGAGGATAAGTAGGGATTTCACCAGGAGAAAGAGAGAGAATAAGGTAAGGCATTCCAGGCAGAGAAAATGTCCAAAGCAAAGTTATGGAGGAAGAAAGGAGCAAGGTGAGTTGAGACAGCTGCATGCAGTGCATCCTGGTCCTTCCTCTCCTCTAGTACATTGCAGAGAATCACCTTGTTCTGCTCAGAAAACACAACCTGGGGTGTGCTGGGCTGATAGAGAGATTCCAAAGAAGGAAGTGCCCAGGACTCTGGCACTCTTTCTGCTGCTTGGAATTCACCCTTCAGCCATTCCAGATGCCTGATTGCCAGGAGGAAGAGCAGAGTTGCCAAGGTCCTAGCTGAGGGAGAAAAGAGGGCAGAGCCTCCCCAGAGCTGGAAGGCCCTTTCAGCAGAGCCCTGGGGAAGCCACAGTCAGCTCCACGGCAGCAATCCCTGTAGGAGCAGCCAAGGAGCTGAAGCGCAGCCAGCCAGGCTGGCCAGCCAGCCTCCACCACAACAGTCGCTATTTACTTTGGATGCTGGCCGTCCCCACAATTCACACACAAGATTTATTACCAGAAAGTAAGTCATACAGGCTGCAGTAATAACATACTTCCTAAACGCAAGCCTTCACTCCTGTGGCTAGGGCAGGAGGATAGGACAGGAGGAATATCATCCAGTTATGGGGAACATCTATCATGCCTTATATGTTTAGAGAACATTTAAGTTCCCTAGGGAAGTCTTTCTCTGTGTCTTCAGCAACTTTGGTATCTGATCACTATAACAGGGTAATAGGCTGGAATTTTCTTTTTCTTTTTTTTTTTCTTGAGACAGAGTCTCGCTCAGTTACCCAGGCTGGAGTGCGGTGGTGTGATCTCAGCTCACTACAAGCTCCGCCTCCCGGGTTCATGCCATTGTCCTGCCTCAGCCTCTCGAGTAGCTGGGACTACAGGAGCCTGCCACCACGCCCGGCTAATTTTTTTGTACTTTTTAGTAGAGACGGGGTTTCACTGTGTTAGCCAGGATGGTCTCAATCTCCTGACCTCTTGATTCGCCCGCGTTGGCCTCCCAGAATGCTGGGATTACAGGCGTGAGCCACCGCGCCCAGCCTAGGCTGGAATTTCCAACTGTGTGTATACTCCCTGTCTTTTCCCTGACCTCTTATTTCAATCAGGAAACAAAGTTTTGTGATTTCTTGTAAGGGGATTCTGACAAAGTGGAAAGCAGACAGCAGACATCAATTCTAGAGCAACGGAAGTCAGAGGCCAAGGCAGGAAGAATGTCTTTAAGGAGCAGCAAGGTAGGAAATGGAGATTCCTAGAAACTGGAAAGAAGGTGGCAAGGTTTTAGAGAGGAGCCGCTAAGTGGTTATGGATTCCTGGAACTGAGCTTGGCCCTGAGGGGAAGAGAGAATTACCACCCAGCCACCTGTGCCAACAGATAGTTTCTGTCCATTGGAGACAGAAACAGGCCATTGGCTGGCCTGGTAATATGGTTTGGATGAACCCAAATCTCATGTCAAAATATAATCCCCAATGTTGGAGGTGGGGCATGGTAGGAGGTGACTGGATCATGGCGGGAGGATTTCTCATGAATGGTTTAGTGTCATCTCCATGGTATTGTCCTCACAATAGTAAGTTCTTGTGAGATCTGGTCATTTAAAACTGTGTGTCACCTCCTCATATCTCTTGCTCCTGCCTTTGCCATGTTAAGTGCCTGCTCCCGCTTTGCCTTCTGCCATATGAGTAAAAGCTCCCTGAGGCCTCCCCAGTAGCAGATGCTGCCATGCTTCCTGTACAACCTGCAGAACTGTGAGTCAATTAAACCTCTTTTCTTATAAATTACCCAGTCTCAGGTATTCCTTTATAGCAATGCAAGAACAGGCTAAAACACCTGGTCTACTACATTCTTATTTGCACTGTTTAAGCAGAAGAGTTCCAGGCAATACGAACTTAGTCTAATTTAAATCATAAAAACAGAGTCGCAGTTTCTGCAATCAATTCCTAGACTTGAGCCAGTTTACAGATCCCAAATGCCTTGAAAGAAGGGGAGGTTTGAGCTCCTTGAAGAAGTACCCATTACACTGCCAAAAGTTTATGCCATTAATCTTTTTCTCAGCCCTCCCCAAAGGACCTATGGCCTTCTGCCAGGGTGACTGTGCATTAGGGAAAACAAAATAATCAGACTTTTAGGTGATTATTGGACACTGACTTACTGGATTAGTGACACTAATCTTAGGAGACCCAAACCATCACTGTGGTCTATCAGTCAGAATATAAATTTTATTTATTTATTTATTTAGACATATGGTCTCACTCTGGTTGCCAAGGCTGGAGTGCAGTGGCATGATTTTGGCTCACTGCAGCCTCGACGTCCCCTGGCTGAGGTAATTTTCCCACCTCAGCCTCCAGAGTAGTTGGGACTACAGGCTCATGCCACTACATCCGGCTAATTTTTTTGTATTTTTAGTAGAGACCCGGTTTCACCATGTTGCCCAGGCTGGTCTTGAACTCCTGGGCTCGAGAAATTCACTCCCTTCACCCTCCCAAAGTGCTGGGATTACAGGCATGAGCTACCATGCCGTCCTAGAGTGGGAACTTCTGAAACTCAGGTAATTAGTGTAGTTTTAGCTCAAGTCACAGTGAGTCCAGTGGGTCTCCAAACGCATTCAGTGGTCATTTCTCCAGTTCCAGAGTAAATAATTGGAATAGACATATTCAGCAACTGGCAGGATCCCCATGCTTGTTCTCCGACTTGTGGAGTGAGGGCCATTACAATAAGAAAGACCAAGTGTAAGCCACTAGAATAGTCTTTACCTAGGAAAACAGTAAACCGAAAGCAATACTGCATTCATGGGAGGGATTCTAGAGAATGGTGCCACTATCAAAGGTTGGAAGGATGCACACGTGGTGATTCCCACCACATCCTCATTCAACTTGCCTATTTGGCCTGTACAGAAGACAGATAGATACTGGAGAATGGCAGTGGATTATAGTAAGCTTAATCAGGTGGTGACTTGAATTTCAGCTGGTCTTTCAGAAAAGGCTTCATTGCTTGAGCAAATTAACACATGCCCTATTACTGGTATGCAGCGACTGGTCTGACAAATGCCTTTTTCTCAATACCTATTAATAAAGACTACCAGAATTGATTTGCCTTCTGTTGGCAAAGCCAGCAATACACCTTAACTGCCTTACCTTGGGGTATATCAACCCTTCAAACCTAAATGTTATATTATAGTCTGCAGGGACTTGATCATCTTTCCATAAGACCACTGGTTTATTACATTGATGAATGCTGATTCCACCTAGTGAGCAAAAAGTAGCAATTATACTAATTAGTAAGACATTCGTGTGTCATATGGTAGGAAATAAATCTAACAAAAAGGGCCTTCCAACACTCCTTTATGATTAAGAAAACACTCAGCAAACTAGAAATAGAGGAAAACTTCCTCAAGTTGATAAAGCATATCTACAAAAAAATCTACAATATAATACCCAATGGTGAGAAACTACAAGCTTTCCCACTAAGTTCAGGTAAAAGGCAAGAATGTCTCTTCTCACCACTCCTTTTCAACATTGCACTGGAAGTCCTAACATAATGTGATTTTTTAAGGAAATAAAATGCATAAAGACTAAGAAGGAATAAATAAATCCGTGCTTGTTCACAGATAACCATGATTGCCTATGTAGAAAATCCAAAACAATCAACAAAAATATTCCTGGAATTAATCAGCAATTATAGCAAGTTTGCAGTATACAAGGTCAACATATAAAAGCCAATTGCTTTTCTATATACCAGCAATGAATAAGTGAAATTTGAACTTTAAAACACAATATTATCTACATTAGCATTTCCAAAAATGAAATACTTAGGTATCAGTTTTGTTTTAAATGTGCAATATCTATATGAAGGAAACTAAAAAATTCTGATGAAAGAAATCAAAGAAGAACTAAATAAATAGATATTTCATGTGTATTGATAGAAAGACTCAATATTGTGAAGATGTCAGCTCTTCCCAGCTTGACCTATAGATTCAATGCAATACAAGTCAAAATCCCAGCAAGTTATCTTGTGAATATCAACAAATTAACTGTAAAGTTTACATGGAGAAGCAAAAGACCCAGAATAACCAACAAAATATTGAAGGAGAAGAAAAAAGACAGACGACTAATACTACCTGACTTCAATACTTACTATAAAGCTATAGTAGTCAAGACAATGTGGCATAGTGAAGGAATAGACAGATAAATGGAATAGAATACAAAGACCAGAAGTAAACCCACATTAATATTGTCAACTGATTTTTTACAAAGGTGCAAAGGCAATAAACTGGAAAAAAGATGATCTTTTCAATGATAGTGCTGGAATAAATGGACATCCATGTGCCAAATATAAAAATCTAAACACAAAAATTAACTCAAAACAGCTCATAAACCTGAATTTAAAGCATGAAACTATAAAACTCCTAGAAAATAACATAGGAGAAAATCTAGATAATCTTGGGTTTGGCAATTACTTTTTAGATATGACAGCAAAGTCATAACCCATGAAAAAAATTAATAGGCTGGACTTCATCAAAATTAAAAACTCAAAAGACCCTTTAGGAGAATTAAAACACAAGCCACAGACTTGGAGAAAATATTTGAAACAGATGTATCTGATAAAAGACTATTACCCAAATAGTCTCATTCACTTCTGTTAAGATTGCAAAATAGTATAACCACTTTGGAAGTCAGTTTGACAGTTTCTTACCAAACTAAACATACTCTTACCATATGATCCAGAGACCCTGCTTTTGTAGAAATTAACAAACTGATTGTAAAATTTATGTGAAAATTCAAAGGACTGCGAACAACCAAAAAAAAAAAAACTGAACAAAAAGAACAAAGTTGGAGGACTTAAACAAAATTTACTATAAATCTATAGTAATCAAGACAGTATGCTATTTGTGTATGGACAGACATAATTGATCAAACAGACAGAATAGAGTCCAGAAATAAATCTTCATACTTACAGTCAATTGATTTTGACAAAGGTGACAAAGCAATTCAATGAGGGAAAAGAGAGTCTTTTCAATAAATGGTGCTGGAACAATTATATATTCATATACAAAAAAAACAAAAAAAATCTTAGACCCTCATCTCTTACCATGTATAACTCAAAATAGGTCATAGGTTAAAATGTAAGTCCTAAGTCTATAAAACTTCTAGAAAAAAAAAACAGAGAATCTTTGTGACTTTGGGTTAAGCAAACACTTGTTAGATGTGACACAAAGCAAGATCCATAAAAGAAAAAAAATTACACTGGAATTTATCAAAATTAAGTGTTTACTTTTCAAAAGACATCACTAAGAAAATTAAAACAGAAGCCACCATCAGGGAGAAAATATTTGCAAATCACATTTCTGATAAAAGACTTGTATGCAGAACTCTTACAACTTAATAATATAAGACAAACATGAAGAATGAAATTAGACTCCTATCTCTCCTATATACAAAAATAAAGTCAAAAGGGATTAAAGATTTAAATCTAAGACGTGAAACTACAAAACTACTAGAAGAAAACATTAGGGAAATGCTTCAGGATATTGGTCTGGGCAGATTATTTTGTGTAAGACCTGAAAAGCACAGGCAATAAAAGCAAAAATAGACAAATGGGATGACATCAAGCTAAAAACCTTTTTGCACAGCAAAAGAAACAATCAACAAAGTGAAGAGACAACCCACGAATAGGAGAAAATACTTGCGAACTATCCGTCTGATAAAGGGTGAATAACTAGAATACATAAGGAATGCAATGCAATTGTTTTTAAAAAATCAAATTTTGAAACAAGCAAAAGATCTAATAGACATTTCTCAAAAGATGGCATACAAGTGGCAAACAGGTATATGAAAAAATGCTCACCATCACTAATTATCAGAGAAATGCAAATCAAAACTACAATGAGATATCATCTCATCCCAGTTAAAATGGCATTTATTAAAAAGATGCTAGTGAGGATGTAGAGAAAGGGGAAGGAACCCTCATACACTGCTGGTGGGAATGTAAATTAGTGCAGCCACTATGGAAAACAGTATGGAGGTGCCTCAAAAAACTAAAAATAGAACTACCATGTGATCTAGAAATCCCACTACTGACTACATATCCAAAAGAAAGGAAATGAATGTATCAAAGAGATATCTGCACTCCCATGTTTATTGCAGCACTATTCAAAACAGCCGAGATACGGAATCAACCTAAGTGCCCATCAATAGGTCTATGGATCAAATGTGGTGTATATACACAATGGAATATTATTTGGCCATTGAAAAAGAATGAAATCCTGTCATCTACAGCAACATGGATGGAACTGGAGATCATTATGTTAAGAGAAATAAGCCACACATAGAAAGGCAAATATCACATATTCTCACTCATATGTGGTAGCTAAAAAGGTGGCACTCACAAAGACAAAGAGTAGACTGGTGGTTACCAGAGTCTGGAAAGGATGGAGGGGAGGGAGGAATGAAGAGAGCTTGGTTAATGGGTACAAATACAGAGTTAGATAGAAGAAATAAGACTTAATGTTCGATAGAACAGCAGGGTGAATATAGCTAGCAATCATCTATTGTACATTTCAAAATAGCTAGAAGAGAATAAACTGAATGTTCGTAGCGTCAAGAAAAGATAAATGATAATGGTGAAGGATATCCAAATATCTCATATACCCCCAAAATAGATACATCTATTTATCAATTTAAAAAGACAACTCTGGTCAGGCACAGTGGCTCATGCCTGTAAATGTCAGCATTTTAGGAGGCCGAGGTGGGTGGATTACCTGAGGTCAGGAGTTTGAGACCAGCCTGGCCAATATGGTGAAACCCTGTCTCTACTAAAAATATAAAAATTAGCCAGGTGTGGTGGCAGGCACCTGTAGTCCCAGCTACTTGGGAGGCTGAAACATGAGAATTGCTTTAACCTGGGAGGTGGAGGTTGTGGTGAGCCGAAATTGCCCCACCACTGCACTCCAGCCTGGGCAACAGAGTGAGACTCTGTCTCAAAAAAAGAAAAAAAAAAAAAGACAACTCAGTTTTTAAAATGGGCAATAATGTAAATAGACATTTTATCAAAAAAGGAAACACATATGACTAATAAGCATACGAAAGGATTTCCAACATTAGTAGTCATTAGGGAAATGCAAATTAATACCACATCCACTAGAATGACCATAATAGAAAAGACTGACCTTACTAAGTCATAGATTGTTGGTGGGAAAATAAAATGGTACAGCAACATTGGGAAACATTTTTGCAGTTTCTCAACATGTTAAATACACACTTACTGCATGACCCAGCAATTTCGCTTCTAGGTGTCCAGTCATCAGAAATGAAAACATATGTTCACAGAAAAACTCATATGCACATGTTCATAGCTGCAGGATTCACAATAACCCAAAACTAGAAACAATTTAAATGTCCATCAACTAATGAATGAATAAGCATATTGTTGCTTATCTATAATGGAAAACTACTAAACAATGGAAAGGAACAAACTACTAATATGTGCAACAGCATGGGTAAAACTCAAAATATTATTAAGTGAAAAATGCCAGGCACAAAATATAATATATTGCTTGACTCCAGTTACATGAAACTTCTAGAAAAGGCAAAACCATGAAGACAGGAAACAGATCAGTGGTTGCCTGAGGCTGAGGGTGGGAAGCAGGATTGACTGCAAATAGACACAGAGAAAACCTTCTGGAGGTGATAGAAGTGGTCTAAAACTGGATTGTAGTTATGGTAGCAAATCTGGAAATTTACTAAAAATCAACTATGCAGTTACAATGGATGAGTTGTACGGAATACACATATATTGCCATTACTTTTAATGACAAAACCACAATTACTTTTGCAACAACCTAATAAATTAAACCCCAATAAAGTCATTTTTTTAAAACAGAGCTAATTCTTGCATACTTCAGTTTGTAGACTTAAATTCATACTGATTTCATGAGCTTTAATTTTTCCCAGGCATAAATCATCCTTGCTAATATGAAAATCAATTTGGACAAAAGCTTTCCACTTGCCTTCCTCAACCTGTAATTTATTTTGAAAGCACAGAAGTTTCTGTTGCATGCCTCTCCTTCAAAACCTTTGCTGTCTTCTGATTATCTCACCTGGGAGGGCTCAGTCACAGGGTCAGAACGAAAGAATTCACAGTCATCATGAAGTGCAGGTACTATTCCATCTTCTATGTACCATCTTCCAAATCTATAGCAATGATTACTTGGAGCCAAGATCACTGAATTTTAAAGACTGAGAAATTCATCACAAGACTTCTAATTTCTCATTAACTCTCACTTTTATTAATTTAGAGATGAAATTAAATTTATTACAAAGCTACTCTCTACCCTTCCAGATCCAGAGCCACCCAAGGACTGAGTTCAAGAATCTTAAAATCCTAGGTAAAACTAACTGGCCCATTTGGCCACACTGCAAATCCTTCTTTCTTCACACTTGAAAAGTTCTGTGGGTGGTTTAAAAGATATTTTTAAATTTTCACAAAACATATAACCCAAATCAAATCATGCTTATGATCTCTTTCTAAATCTATAAATTTCAACTTATTTGAATCACTGATGAAATTATCACTCCAAATAATACAGCTGGATGAAATCTGAACCAAACCATACCTACCAGTCTGTGCAACGAAATTCAGAGCAAAACACACGCACAATTCTGGCAAGTGTTCATTGCCCACATCTACTAGCAGGAGACCCATGACTCTATTTACAAATCGTGGGTTATACATGAAATGTAACTTTTATGTCAAGATAATTATCTCTCCAAAGGAAATAATGACAGTTATATCTTTCAAACTTGCTTTCCTTTTCTTTTTGTTTGAGGCCACTCAGTTCTTCCCAGCTACTGTCAGCACTGCTTCCCTACAAAGGAGAGTATCTGACACGAGGCTTTTATTGAGAGACTGTTTCAGTTAAAACCTCTCTGAGATTCTGAATGGCAGAAAAATTGTCTCCCAGAAGAAACTTACCAGATCTAGCAGAGTAAAAGTCATCAAATGACAGAATCTCAGAGTTGAAGACCACCCACCTAACCCAGGAATCATCTCTACGATATCTCTTGCATTCATCTGTATAATTCTAGGAAACCATGACTCTCTGAGTCCAGAATTCTATAGTTTAGTCACTTTTTCTATTTTGTTTAGCCATTTGAATATGTCAGAGAGTAGGGATCAATTCTGGCTTTTTTAAGCTAGATGGCTAAACTTCTGAATCTAGGGAAAAGTATACCAAAAATAAAAAATAAATGTCATTAATTTAAGCACCCAAGAGAAAACAGCCCATTCCCTCTCCCTAGGATCATCCCATTGACCATTCAGCAGTCGTTTCATTTCATGGCCTTCACATAATGTGCACGGAGGCCACTTCCCACCTACAGGAGGACTGATGAGCATGCAGCAATCTGCAGTTTCTGTTCCTCGTTCACAGTTTTTATTTTCATAAGGCCATGATAGGTACTTCCTCCACCCAATGTGGTATATTTAAATTGTGAATCATTATACAGGAAGTAAAAGGAATTCCCAAAGCTCTATACATATATCCTTTGGGTTTTTTTTTAATTAAATGAGGTTTCATGAATCAAAAATAACACGTACAAATTATGTAATAAAAACAATTCATAAGGCAGGCTTTCAAAGAAGGACTTAGAGTGATTATCTATTGTAAGTATCATTGTGCCAAACAGTTATTACTCACAGGGCTGAGGGTGGCTTGCATTCTCTCTAAAAATAGATCTTTCCATGAAAACACATAATATGTTCTTGTTGCTGTTCGAGGTAAAAACTACAAAAGAGGATATTTTTATCCTCTAGGCAGTTAACTTTCATTCCAAATAGAACCAACCAAATCATTTACAAAAGGAAAAAAAAAGGAACCCAGACATCTGGAAATTTGCTGTGTTTCTTTTCCTGCAGTTTACATTTCTGAAATTCCTTTCCTTATTACATAAAACCATACTCTCTAACCAGTAATATCCAATAATGAATGTCCCCAGTTTGTAGGCAGTGACAGTAAATTCAAGCATCAAAAACAAAAGAAAAATAAACAAAAAGAGAGAGACAGAGATCATTCAAAGAATAAACAGTCCACTCTAACACATCTTTTTCTGTCATTTCTCTCCCAGGCTCCACATTGAAAGGCAGTGCAGTGTTGCAAAAGAGCCTGATCTGTAATTAGAAAGGGCTGACTGCAAATATCTGTGTGAGAACACTGGCTCCATCCCTTACTACCGATGTGACCTTGAGCAAGATTCTTAACTAGCGGTTCCATTTGCTCATCTGTAAAGTGTGGATGATGGTATCTCTCTCGTGGCGTAGTAGGACTAAATTAGATACATGAATAAAGTGCTTAGCACCCTGCCTAGCACACGGCAGTTAGCAAGTAGGATCCTTGCTCTTAGACTTGAGCAGGATTTTGAGGAAGGAATGGCTGAAAACTGAGGGAAAAAAGAAAAGAAAGAAGTGAATGACATAAACAACTGAAGGAGGCAGTTCTGCCTGGTGGCCTGCCCAGATATTGGAACCCTTTGTCCGTATTGATGCATTTGATACTACATATTTGCATCTTGGTGGCCCCAAAATCACACACCAGTGATTTTTCCACCTAATATATTTGTAAGGTAGCTATTCGTAAGCTCCCATTTTTTTAGAGGCCAAGCTGAAATACTAAATGTTGAAGGCCCCAAAGGCAAAGCCAGGCAGGAAAGCCACTGCTTACTGTCATCATTCTGCTGCTTCATCCATCAGCACCAACAGTAGGTCTAATTGTTATTTTCTATTTTTTTTTTTTTTTGAGACGGAGCCTCACTCTGCCTCCTAGGCTAGAGTGCAGTGGCGTGATCTCAGCTCACTGCAACCTCTGCCTCCTGGGTTCAAGAGATTCTCCTGTCTCAGCCTCTCGAGTAGCTGGGATTACAGGTACGCACCACTACACCCGGCTAATTTTTTTGTATTTTTAGTAGAGAAGGGGTTTCACCATTTTGGCCAGGCTGGTCTCGAACTCCTGACCTCAGGTAATCTGCCTGCCTTGGCCTCCCAAAGTGTTGGGATTACAGGCGTGAGCCACCACACCCAGCCCATTTTCTTTTTTTTTTTTAATCTCTAATACGTAAATTTAGGTGAAAATTTAAAATATTCATGATAATACTCTAAATAGGTTAAAAAAATGTCCACATCACAAGAACTAGCAGGTGACATGCACAAATGAAAACACAATTTTATTTTGGGATAAAAATTATGCATCACATTTGTGCTGGATTTCAATAATTCAAAATTTTTAGAATAAAAGCCCTACTCCCCATGTGTAGATCTTAGCAGTCAATATTATTCTTTTCTATCTCTTTTTCTAAGCAGTAACATCTAAAATTACTGAACGACAGGCAAACACTTTAGCAGACCTACCTACCTACCAGGTTCCCTCCCATCCAGTCCTATGATGCATGGATGACCCTAAGAGACAATTTCCTAGTGACTGTGGCCCATTTCTAGCACAATTACTTACCAGGAATGAAAAGAAACCCAAGAAGAAAGCCAGCAAGCCATTGAGAACAAATTGCAAAATACATGGTTTTTAAACCTTAAAGACAGGTTACTGGGATCAATAATCCGCAAGTTTGAGAACCACCATCCTGAATGCTTGAGATATCTTAGAAGCACTGCAGTCCTGAATTAGCAGAAAGTCCAGAACTGGAGGGGGTTTCTCATAGAACTTCCTGAAGGATGCTAATTATCAACCTAAAACCCAAGAGATGGCACTTTCTCCTTAATCCCAACCCCATAAAAAGCAGCCTGGGAGCCATTATGCAGCCATTATCTTTCCCAAAACACACAGAAGAGAAGGGGAGAGAAGAAGAAAGGGAAAATGAATGAAATCAGTGGAGGTGAAGGGAAAGGGCCGGACGGGAGTTTTGCCATCCTGAGTCTAAAAAGCTGAATGAAGGAAAGACACATTATGTTCAGGCAAGGGGGGTTGTGTGCCTGCAATTCCACACCAGCCTGATGCCTCTCAGGCAATGTACTATGGGGTGCCCACGGCTGGGATAATCCATCCCTTCCCTTTGAGAAAGGCAACAACCTTCCCATTTCCAGGCAAGACTCACAACCTCATACTCACTAGGAGTGTAACTGAGATTTCCCAACATTGCATTTCTATTCCTGCGGGAAACACTCAGTGCCTTTGTGATCAGTTTTCAGATGGCAAATAGGATATTTTTCTCTTTCTTAAATTGGCATGGTTTTAGGCCCAGCACAGTCAGATAATAAAGACTTGGCTTTTAGCCAATTTTATTTGACAAGAAACTTGAGAATTTCCAAAAGCGTAATATGGGCATTGATTCACAGTGTCTTTAAAAACTGTATACCAAAACACACGTGCACATCTAGCGTGCAAATGCCTTGTAAGCGTCATGTTTTTCTACCCGTCTTGGTCTGCTGCCCTGCTTCCTGTCATCGTGAACAGGATGTGACCCAACAGGATGTAGTGCTCCCTTGTTTTCTGTTTTCCAGCTCTAAATAACGATGTCTGGGTTGGATGACTTGATCATTGACCTCTAGTGACCATGGACAACCAGAGGAAAATCCACACTCCCATAATCTGAGACTCAAAGCCTGGAAGGTGGCTGGACTTTCTATTCTTTCTCTAGGTTGCTGGTAGTCTTCTCTTTCTAAGTAGGTAAACTTGGGTGAACAGCAGGTAAAAGCCGAACAGCTGATCCATCATCTGACTGGATCCGTAACTGTTCTTCTGCATCTCTGCAGAGCTGTGCTGCTCTAGTGGGGAGCACTTTGGACACCGCAGGAGAATATGACAGGGACCATGGGCTGACTCACAGCCCACCCACCACCCCACCACTCTCCAGCCCCCTTGCCGGGCACTCCACTTGACCATCTGAGATCTCGGGCACTTGCCTACCTGGATGTGTGGAGAGGGTCTGATCCTGACCATCACAGCTGGCTCCTTCTAAAGGGCTGTCGTTTATTTAGTGCCTATCAAGGGCCTGGCCCTGTGCTGGGACTTCACAGACCCAACAGTATATTATTACTCCATTTTATAGATGAAATAGAAAGGTTAGATAACTTGCTCAAGGTTAAAGCTTTTTCTACTCTGGCACTCTTCTAAAGGAGCAGTAATAGAGAAACCTGGAGACATGGGAATTGCCAGTATGACCAATAGCACACCAAGGACAAACACTGTAGAAAGACCAGAATGGTCACCTTTGACTCAACCCCAGCTCCTCTTAGTCACCTGCCGTGCATCAATTTGTCCAGCCCTTTGGGAAGTCATTTAAATCTCTCACCTCTTCCAGTCATTCAGATAACATCTGCTATAGACTCACTACTCCGCTGTCTTTATGTCCCCACTGCAGTCCTGTGTACCAGAGGCTGGTCCTCTAAGAACCACCTGTGAGTGTCTGTTCTATCCTGCAGTCCTCTCCATGCACAACAGAGAAACAAAAAAACAGGAAGAGGGCCCGAGCGCCGTGGCTCATGCCTATAATCCCAGCACTTTGTGAGGCCGAGATAGGAGAACCACTTGAGGCCAGGGTCTTTACAAAAAAAAAAAAAAAAATAGCTAGGTGTGGTGGCATGCACTTGTAGGTCTAGGAGGCTGAGGCAGGAGGATCACTGAACCCCAGGAGTTTGAGGCTGCAGTGAGCTATAATTCTGCCACTTTACTCCAGCCTGGCCAACAGAGCAAGATTCTGTATGAAAAGAAAAGAAAGAAAATGGGGAGAGGGAGGGAGCGCTGTCCCAGGCTGGCGTTCTCCAGCTTTCAGAGCTGAAATCCCAGTGGTCAGGGCTCAGGCCAGCAGACTACTGCCTCACCCCCATCCGCATTACTGCAGGCTGGCTTGGGCCACCAAATGGTACATTTCCAGTATCCACAATGTAAAGAAACCTCTGTCTTATTGCAAAGCATATTATTGTCCACTGGGCCATAAACAGAGGAAGGAAGATGGGTTTGGGAAAAGGCAGGAGGGAGTTAAGAACTCTATTGGCAAGACACATTAAATTTGGGGTTTCAGAGGACCATCTAGGTAGAATTTCCAGTAGGCAACTGGAACTCTCTATCTGATGGAACTCTGAAATACTAAATAGTACCTTGGTTCTCCCACAGTATAATTATATTCATGAGAATCGAAACTATCTCCCATAATGTGAATCTCTTCACCATAATTTACCACTGAATAAGACCCAAATATGCACTGGATTTTAAAAACTGTGATTTATGCAGCTAACAGTTCATAAGTCAAAATTAGAATCCTTCCCTAACTCCATACTTAACCCTGAATTAACCTTCAGATGACTATGATGTTTTTAAAATATGTGGTGTTTAAAGGGCAAAAACAGAGTCTATTTGAACAGTTAAAAGAATTTTAGTAATCTATGGCATGTGTTCTCAGCCTTAGCCACAAATTTTGATACCTGAGCCAAATAATCTAGAGATTATTTGGTCCAGAAATTAATTAAAGGATTCTTTTTAAAAATTCTAATTGCACTAAAGGTTGAGAAACAATGAACTCTAGTTTACTCTCTCCAAAAATATAATTTTCCAAAATACTCAGCCTCTCTAGTGATTAAAGAATAGGATAATAACTCGTCATCATCTCATATTGTCAAATAGGCAAATACTAAAAAGAATCCTACTATCCAAGCATTAACAGAGTGTGTTTTCAAACCATGAGTTACTACCCATTCATGGATCATGAACTTAACCCCACCGTATCTGGTATTTTAAAAAATGTTTTTGAAAAGAAAAGGAAGAGGAGAAAAGAGAGAAAATTTATTGCGCCTAGTCAGGAAAATATGAAAATTTATTTCAGTTATACTTGTGTGTGTGTGTGTGTGTGTGTGTGTGTGTGTAAGTGGGTCACTATACAAAATGTATGTCTTCCAGTGAGTCAAAAGATTTGAAAAACACTCTAGAATGTTGAGAAAAGCACACTCCCCTGGGCTGCTAGTGGCAATGTAATTGGCACAATTTTTCCCAAGGGCCCTTTGGCAGCAGCCTTGAAAAGCTTCACTTTGATCTGGGTGTTTACTCTTCTGAGAAATTATTCTTTTGAAATAACCTCTCAAATGCACATTTGCATGTAAAGATGTACACGTCACTGCTGTTTTTCACAGTGAAAACTTCAAAATATCCAACCGTATGAATTACAGTTAAATACATTATCCATGAAGCAAAATACAACGCAGACATTAAGAATAATGAAATGGATTGATATCTATTGATTTGGAATGATGTTCAGATACATCAAAAGAAAAAGCAGGTTACAGTACAAAACATTAGGCACAGCATAATCTCATTTTGGGAAATGTGTACTGTATTTATAATAAATCTAAGCCATAGAAAAGAGAAGTTAGGAGTACAGGCAAAGCATGACCTTCCGGGTTCCCACATCCTAGCTCTGCAACTTCCCGGCTCTGCAACTTCCCAGTTACACCATCTTGGTCAAAAAACTGAACTTCACAAGATAATCCTTGTACCTACCTCAGAAGATTGTTGTGAGAATGAGCTGAGTTTATACAGGTAAAATTCTCCAAGCAGTGTCAAGCATTTGGTAAGCACAAAAGAAATATTAGTTCTATCTATACCAGAGAGAGAATGAGAGATTTCACATCAGAAAATCTTAACAGTGGCCATTCTCTGGGTGCTGGGATTACGAGCAAATTTCATTTCCTTCTTTATACATTTTGTATATTTAAATTTTATAATCAGAAAAAGACAAGACAGCATAAAAATTAAAAGTATATAATTTTCTCTTAGGGTTCTAAAGTGTCTTTATTTTGATAACTTTAGGTTAAAAAAACAATACTTAGAATGAGAGTAACAACATGTTCTCCTTGGATTGTGCTTACTTCTTTCAAGAAATTCGGTTTGAGGGTCTTTTGCCCAATCAGGCAATGAACTCTGCTCTGAAATTTCATTTCCCTGATTGTGGAATTCTTTCTGTGACTTCAGAGGCTGGTACAAAGATTTTGCTTTCCAATCTCCTTCCGTAAAAGGTTTTCTGCTTTCTCTCACTCTATCAGTCTAGAGTCTACTAGCAGAAATCTGTATTAAATTGTCCCATTATACAGGCCTGAAAGCGACTCTCTGTCTCAGTATCATACCTTAGACGATTCCATTTCTCATGAAATGATGATGACATCATGTCCAAAGAACACTTCAAACTGAGTTGTCCTTTGTGTTTATCCATGAGTTAAAAACAGGGACCTTAAATGGCCTTGTGTGTGGGTGGGGAGACTCATTATTAAAGAAAATGGGGAATTACAGAAATGCACGGAAAAAAAGGATTTAGAAATCATCTATTGTTTCTCAAAGTCCATTATTAACACACTAGCATATTTCCTTTCAGTCTTTTTCTTTGTAATCTTAGATTGCTTTAGACAATTTATAGACACAATTAATCACTTTTTTTACTTGATATTATATGAAAAGTGTGTACCATGCTATCATATAATTTTCAAAAATATTTTAATAACTGTGTAAAGTGTTCTTGAGTGAATAATTTAATTATTTCTTTTTTAAGGAACATTCTGATTGTTTTAGCTATTATAAACAGAACTATAAATAAATTTTGTACAAATTTTGTATGAAAACTTTAATCTTTTTACATATGTAAAATTGTTTTTTTTTAACATGTGTAGAATCCAAAAAATGGAATTACTGTATCAAAGGTCATGAGCTTTTTAAGTCTTAGGATAGTAGTTACAATATTACAACTGACCTGTTATCAAACTACTCTCTATTACAACTGACCCTGTTATCTAATTACTCTCTTCCATTGGAATTGGCATCATAAACTGGTATAATGCTTTAAGAAAGCACTGGTAATATGGATTAATTTATGTGCAGCCAGGTTCCAAAAAGGATTTGAAGCAGTTTACAAAAGCAAACACAGTTAAATAATTTGATTAAGTAGAAAAATCCAGGTAAAAGGGAAAAGTAAGAAAAGAAACAACTAGCATTTATTGAATACTTATTGCATATTAGCACTGTGTTAAATTCATCGTATATAATTTCATTTAATTCCTGCAGCACAGAGGTAAATATTATTATCCCCATTTTCTAGATAAGAAAATGGAGGCCTAGGCCAGGTGTGGTGGCTCATGCCTGTGATCCCAGCACTTTGGGAGGCCAAGGTGGGCAGATCACATGAGGTCAGGAGTTCAAGACCAGCCTGGCCAACATGTTGAAACCCCATCTCTACTAAAAATACAAAAATTAGCTGGGCATGGTGGTGGGTGCCTGTAGTCCCAGTTACTTGGGAACCTGAGGCAGGAGAATCACTTGAACCCAGGAGGCTGAGGTTGCAGTGAGCCAAGATCACACCTTTGCTCTCCAGCCTGGGTGACACAGCGAGACTCTGTCTCAAAAAAAAAAAAAAAAAAAAAAGAGAAAATGGAGGCCTAGAAAGTTAATAACTTGCTCAAATTCACAAAACCAGTAAGAGACAAAACAGTCAAAGTCTGGAATTTGAGCTCTCATCCATTATGCTGCACTTCATGTGGGGATGTACTAAAGTACATTTATTAGGGCTAAGCCACTTTCCAGTGGTCTATGCAGCGACAGAGGAAAATTTAAAGATTTGTGGTATTCATATGTTAAACACAAACCAATTTCTTCTCAGTGTGAGCATACTATTTCATTGCACTCTCTCCAACATTTGGATCATTTTATTTTTAACGTGCATACAGTACTTAAGACATTAGTCAGCGAATGCTATATCACTGTTGTTTTCATTTTAATATCAGGAGTTTACATCTTTCATATGATAATTTATTCCTGTGTCTGCATGTCTTCCTTTGTAAACTGGCCAACATTTTTGCTCATTTTTCTGTTGTTTTCCCCTAAAATTTTTATGATCCTACCTTAGAATAAAGATACAAGGTTTTTAGAAACTATTTGCAGTAGATATGACAATCCCTAGTTTTGAATTCCTATCATTTTACATTAATTTATGTCTGTAGTCAAGTATTTTCCAATATGATTTTCTATTACTTGAAAACTTAGTCCTTCATCCTCTAGAAACTTGGCAAATAGTAAAATTTACATCTGTGAAGTCTTTCTATGATACAATGCCTGTTTAATTCTCATTCATCCAGAATATATTTCAAGCCATGATGTAAATTGAGAACCTATACACTTTCTTTTTATTATTACTGCTTATTTATTATTTTATTCATTTATTTTATGTGTAGCTTTGTTCCAACAAGAATTTTATTTATTCATTATTATTTATGTAGTCCTTCTGTCTATAACATGTAGTTAATTCTTGCACAGTGTATGTAATATGCAGTATCTTTAGGCCACTGAGTGTACTCCACAGAAGTCATCCTTCTGTCACTGTAACCCTATCACGTGCACTGATAACACAAGTACTCCCAAAATGACCCAGTCTCCTTTTGAATTTGATAAATTGCCTGAATATACACTTAGGTAAATTTTAACAATACTTTGCCAAGCCTTCTACCCCACGAAATAATCCTAGTGGATTTAGTTTGAAATAGCATTAAATGTACAAATTAACTTTGAAACAAGTCCTATCTTCACAATGTTTTCCTTTCTTGACATGATGGGCCTTCTGTTTATTCCAGCCTTCTTTCGCATTGCTCATTGAAATTTGTGCCTTTATTTCTATCTGTTACATTTGTTTCCCATTCTGCCCCCACTTTAGTTTCACTTTGTATCTTCCCATTTCCTTAGAGAATGAACAGCCACACATAATGCAATAGGACTTTTATTTAGGGTAGATGAGAAATCCTAGATCAGTTTTCATTTTACTAAACAATTAGTTAACAGAAGCATTGCCTAAGAGGCCTGTGCTCTAACTAGAACGGCAGAGTTCTCCAAGTCATTTGTTTCAT
The DNA here is from genome assembly GCF_000001405.40 of Homo sapiens. Classification (NCBI taxonomy): domain Eukaryota; kingdom Metazoa; phylum Chordata; class Mammalia; order Primates; family Hominidae; genus Homo; species Homo sapiens. Next base: position 94,802,122 of record NC_000001.11, read on the forward strand.
CTGGTTAATAACCACTTGAAAGCCCTGTGCTCTCTTTCAAGTTACTTGGCTCCATCTTCTGGTTTGAATTATGAGTACTTGGAGTAAGGGCAGTTAAAAGTTGCCAGAGCAGGGCTGAGACTGGGGTGAGGTGAGTTGCGCATCTAGGGTCCAGATTTAAGGAAGCGTCTGCTCTCAGGCCCCCTGGTGCCTCGTCCACCACACCTGGTCCCAGCCTGCCCCAGGGAACCGGCTGCTGTGAGCCAGCTACCATCTGGCAAGCAGTTGGGAGAGGGAGCCACCGTTTCCCCCATAGCTCTGCCCTGGGCCTGCACAGTGGGAGTTGCTGTCACCGTCCACAAGGAGCACTTGGCCCAGCCTGGCTAATGGGCCCCACTCTTGTTTCTCCAGGTCACTTTTGTGTTTTGTAGATGCAAGAGCCATCTACAGCTGGAACCGACTGACAGCCCAACACCATCTAAATGCTCTTACAAGATCCGTAAAGCCAAATCATTTCCATTTGAGAAGCACTTTGTCTGAACTGTGTTATTGGTCCATGGGTCATGACCTCCCTCTAGCCTGTGCCACCCTAACTGCCCTTAACTGTCCAGAACAACAACCACCCCTGCCCCTGAAGCCTTCCCTGAAAGGCTTCAAGCACAAGAGCTCGTTTTTTAAAAATCCAAGAAGAGCTGAATATGAGCAGATGAAAGCAGCTATAATAAAATGATTATAAAACCTGTATGGGAGGGGGGTTTAGATAGATGTGACACTTGATTCCACAGTCTTTCCATGCTGTTCAAATGCAGAGAGTAAAATATTTTTGGTTTTGTGCTATTTACACTTAGTAGTGTTCCAATATCTTTAATTTGTGAGTATTAAAAACATTCTTTAGTTTTATTATTTTGAAATGAATACTCAGTAAATCTTCCAAAGATGTAGAGGAGGGTTGGGTAAGAGAAACTTATATAAACGTCTTAGTTAACAAAGTGAGGGATATTCTCCTTAGTTAGAAATGGCTCTAAAAACCGAAAAACTAAGATTATAAAATTTAGAATGAGAGATAAAAGGAAAAAGAAAAGCAAAGCAAGGTTGAGGAGCAAATAAGAGGGAAGAGAACATCAGAGAGCAGAAATGTGGCAGGAGCAGGAAGAGGCCCACACACAGTAAGACCCCGGGACAGATTCGAGGCAGCAGACAGGGCTGGGGCATTCAGTGTGGGGCAAATGGGCCTCCCCACCACCACCCCACACAAATTGCTCACAATAATCCTCAAAATTAGCACTTAGTACAATCATTTTTGTTACTAATAATGACTGTATGCCTTTGAGAAAGTTGAGGCACACAGTTCCCCCACTTAAAGCAGCAATATTGATCTATTTCATTATAATGTTATTTGTCTCTTAAATCACTTGTTATAAAAGCAAATAGATATATCAACCCATAAAAGACACAATGGTTTACATTCTTCATGCTCTGAGTGCTGCTGTAAGCCCTGTGACAACAGCTGTGCTTTTTGGCAGTGAACATGAACTCACATCTGTCAGTGCTGTCAGCCATGGAGCCCTCTCCTGTCCCATCCTGAGCTGATATCCAGCACTGTCTGTGGTTTACCCCACCATGGCCTTGTTGCTTGTAATTTAATTTGTGTCCTAGAAAACAACTATGCCTGGATCAGCCCTCTACACATACAAGGTTTCTGTGAAGGGAGCGCCCAGGGTCATCCAGTCAAATTGGATTAGGGCCTAACCTAACAACTCTGTTTTAACTTAGCTACGTCTTTACAGGCCCCGTTTCCTTTTCTGCTTTCCCTCTCTCAGAACAAAGACAGCACTGTTGTGAGACAGAGTAGGGATGGGACTTGACCTCCCTCCCCCATGCCCCACCAAGGACTTTTACTGCAAGCTGATCGGTCTGTGGGGATCCCGATCAGACCATCCAGACCTTGCATCATAAATCTGAGGTATTAGGGGTTAGGGCTTCAACATATGAATTTGGGGGGACACAATTCAGCCCATAACAAATGTGAACTTTTAAAAAGTTAACCTCAGTTATCGAGAACTCTTGCTCACCAATCTAGAATCTCATTTTCTGACAGCCTCACACAATGGAGTTGGCACTTCTCTGGCATCGTTGTCATGCCAGACCCGTTCATGACTGTGGCAGAAGCTCCTGCAAGTGCAACAACTTGTGAAAGATGCACAACATGGGGTGGGTGGGGAGCAGGAAGGACAAAAAGAGCCAGAGCTGCCTGATTGTTTTGTTTTCCCACTATCCAATAAGCAAATTAATATTATTATATCTGCAGCACTAGTCTATAGGAATTCATATTCTAGGTCAGAGTTATTGCTTTTTTGTGTTCCTATAAATGATATATACAACTTGTTTTAAGACAGATTCTGTGCCCTGCCTTTAGAGATCTTAATCTAGTCTGGGTGGGCCCAGGATCTGCCTGTTTCAGCAACGCCCCAGGAGATTCTGTCTTGGGAGCCACGCTGCTAGTGGTGATAAAGCAGTGCCGTCTGGGCTGTGCACCAAACAAGGCCCCAAGACCCACAGCTCCCAAGTCAATCAGCTGATGGACTTTGAGTCAAATCAGCTGATTCCTTGAGTTGTACAAGCACATTCTCCTAATTTGCTACAAATTAAACAGGTCTGTTTCCTATTTCATTGTTAACCTAGGCTTTTAAAATTTATATAACATTAGCTATGGGTTATTGAACCTATAATAACCAAACCAGTGGAGGCTCACGCCTATAATCCCAGCACTTTGGGAGGCTGAGGCAGGCGGATCACTTGAGGCCAGGAGTTCGAGACCAGCCTGGCCAAAATGGTGAAACCCTATGTCTACTAAAAAATTAGCTAAGCATGGTGGCACGTGCCTGTAATCCCAGCTACTTGGGAGGCTGAGGCAGGAGAATCGCTTGAACTCAGGAGGCAGTGGTTGCCATGAGCCAAGATTGCGCCACTGCACTTCAGCCTGGGTGACACAGCGAGACTCTGTCCCAAAAACTAATGACAATAACCAAATCAATAAGTTGCTTTGGGGCCAAGTTATAGTATAGGCAAACAATAACAATTTTGCAAATTAGCCATTGTTATCACCGTTTTAAAGATGGGGAAACAGAGGCTTACAGAGAATAAGTAATTTTCCCAAGATCACACAGTTGGCAACTGTCTGAACCTAGTTTCGAACCCTGAGTCAGCTCAATTCCAAAGGTCCAGTGATTTCCAGACAACTAAATAATGCACCATTTAAAATTCTTCAGTAAGAACTTGCAGTCAGTGCTTTTAGTCTATACAGGATATCAGTTTGTTCCAGGCAGTGCTAAGATGTGTAACAATATTGAATGTCTTTCATTTTAAGACAATTGTAAGATTTAATGAGGACATCAGTGTAATAATAGCTTTGGGGAAGCATAAAACACCACAATAAATATATATGTCAAATATAAGATGCCTCACTATTTGGAAATGTTAAACATTTTGTGAAAAATAAAACATAAAGATGGTCGGCTGGGTGCAGTGGCTCACACCTGTAATCCCAGAGCTTTGGGAGGCCAAGGCAGGAGGACTGCTTGAGCCCAAGAGTTCAAGAACAGCCTGGGCAACATAGCAAGACCACCTCTCTACAAAAAAATATAATTAAAAAATTAGCTGACCATGGTGGTGCACACCTGTAGTCCTAGATACTCAGGCGGTTGAGGCAGGAGGATTGCTTGAGCCAGGAGTTCAAAGGTACAGTGAGCTATGATCACACCACTGCACTCTAGCCTAGGTAACAGAGCAAGTCCCTGTCTCAAAAAAAAATAATTAATTAAAATAAAGATGAGGGAAAATACCCTAGAATCAATGAAGAAAACCACACAGTTTGTCTTGACAACACAGCCACTGGCCTGCAGTGCCATCTGCTGTAAAGAAGTGGCAACTACAGTAGCCCTCAATGCCAGGGTTTTACCAGGGCAGGAGGGCTAGTAACCTCTTCGTTACCCAGGTGTCTCAGAGTGCCAGTGTCCACGTCACGGATATGGAATAAAGGGGGAAATACAAATAAAAGTAAAAGATAAGAGGAAGAAAAATAAAGAAGATGGAAGAGAAAAATAAAAATAAAATAGGGAGGTGGTGTCATCATCCCTGTCATTAGGAGACTACCTCTTACCCGCCAGGTATTTTGCACATTTTATCTACAACCTATTTTGTTGATCTGTCTTACCAGGGGCTTGCCTTTTTTATTTTTCCAGTCTTTTCAAAGAACAAGCTTTTATTTTTATTGATCATCGGTATTGCGTTTTTGTTTTGTATTTCACTCATTTCTGCTAGCGTTTCTTCCCTCTACTTACTTCGGATAATTAGTTTCCATACATATGCCATGTGATTTTAAATCCTAGCATTTCAGAGCTGGAAGGAGATCAAGAAAAACCTGGCTCTCCTCTCTCATTTTACAAAGAGACCCAGAGAAAGAGGAAATTTGCCGTATGTCCTACAGCTGGTGCCTCGTTTCCACACAGATGAGTAATTGCTCCTCCTCCATTCATACCATGTTCCCCTCTTCCTCTTCTTTCCCTCCTCCCTTTCCTTTTCTGCTTTCCCTCACTCAGAACAGAAAAAGATAGCATTGTTGTGAGACAGAGTAGGCGTGGGACTGGGCCTCCCTCCCCCGTGCCCCACCAAGGACCTTTACTGCAAGCTGGTGGGGACCCCAATCAGACCATTCAGACCTTGCACCATAAATCTTGTTCAAGACGCCACACCCACTGATTGGAGGGTCTTGAAGAAGCTAAAATAAGCAGCTCTCACCATCAATCCTACTCAAGGGAGTTAACCCTATCTCCCGCATGCCTCAAGGCCAGAAGAATGGAGTAATCTTTAACCTTAGCTTCATTATGGTAGGAAAAATCACACCCAGGGGTGAAGATTGAACATGCTAATGAGACATGTGACATGTGAAGAAGCATGTTATGAACTGCACAGGGGCTAAAATTTCCCCGCCTCTACATACCTAAACATCACTTTCCCACCATAGCCCCTTTAAAACTGCCTCTCTAACTCCTCCAGGGCCAGCCAGACTCAGTCTCTCTCTCTCTCAAGCCTTGTTTAGGAAAACTCTTTTGGCCTCGGGTCAATTTCTATTGTATTAAAAGCCCAAGAACCCATGGCTGGTAACAGTTGGACTGATAAAATTCAGGATAAATAGGCAAACTTCCCCCTTAAAAGATCTAAATTTAAAATCATAGTGCATCAAATTTTGTACATTTGTGCTGGAAGTTAGTGGTTTTCCTGTTTTTACAACACTACACATGTACTCCAAATAGACAAGGTTACCAAATGCAAACAAATTTTAGAAAACAAAATTCAACCTGCCTCTTTAGAAGCTTATACTTGTACCTATTAAAAATGGTGATATTCAGCTGGGCATGGTGGCTCACACCTGTAATCCCAGCCCTTTGGAAGGCTGAGGCGGGCAGATCACGAGGTCAGGAGATTGAGACCATCCTGGCCAACATGGTGAAACCCCAGTCTTTACTAAAATACAAAAAATTAGCCGGGTGTGGTGGTGCATGCAGGTAGTCCCAGCTACTCGGGAGGCTGAGGCAGGGAATTGCTTGAACCCAGGAGGTGGAGATTGCAGTGAGTCAAGATTGTGCCAATGCACTCCAACCTGGGGACAGAGCGAGGCTCCGTCTCAAAAAAAAAAAATGTTGACATTTATTTCAGATATTTGGCAAAAAACAAAAATAGATGGTATCTTGGCAGTCAAAATGTAAACATAGGCCAGGTGTGGTGGCTCACGCCTGTAATCCCAGCACCTTGGGAGGCCGAGGTGGGTAGATCACGAGGTCAGGAGTTCAAGATCAGCCTGGCCAATGTGGTGATACTGCGTCTCTCCTAAAAATACAAAATTAGCTGGACGTGGTAGCAGGCACCTGTAATCCCGGCTACTCAGGAGGCTGAGGCAGGAGAATCACTTGAACCTGGGCGGTGGAGGTTGCCACTGCACTACAGCCTGGGCGACAGAGTGAGACTCCATCTCAAAAAAAGAAAAAAAATGAAAATGTAGTTTTACATTTCCAGTTAAACAAATGAACATTGCAGGTCATAAAATTCACTGAATGTTGCAGTAAGCTGGCTCTGGGAAAGATAAACAGAGGCTGCGGTTTGACCTGTGGGCCCCTGCCCTGCCTTTCATGACACTGCTCTCAGCCTTCAGAAGCCCTGGTGGCCTTGTGGTGTAGCTCTCTTCCTCTAAAAACCTGAGATAAGAAACGTATCTGGCATTAGTCATTTACATCTTATTATGGATTTATTACTCAAATGCCCTCTCCCAGGGCCATTTGTATTTTAATTTTTTCTCCAATGTGTGTTAAAAAGTTGTCCTCTCTAAGACAGCATTTTAGGTACATTAATCAGGTAGGGTAGGCACGAGAGAGGAGGGCTTTTCAAGTGCCTTGACAATCATTCCACCCACTTACCTAAGACCCTGCATATTTCAAAACAAATTAAGTTGTCCATGTCGTCAAAAAATGTAGTCTTTAACAGCACTACCCAGAACTGCTGCGTTTTTTTTTTTTTTTGGCCAGTGTTAATACTTGTTACACACACCACACACACACACACACGGGTACTTTGGTCAAATCTCTAGTATACTGATGAACACTGCAATAAATGGGATACAGAACAATATTTCTAAACCATATCTAACCACAGGATATTTTTTTCAATAGCGCCTCCAGGTCTACCGTTCCTCAGAACATGCAAGAGAGACCAGGTCATAATCTCCCTTCTGTTCAGTCTCCAGCACCATAAAAGAATAATTTGAAATGCCTTCCTGCTAGAACTCTCATTACTCATTAAAAGACACAGAAAGAAGAAAATGGTCTCTCAAGACTGGTACTCAGAGTGTCTCAGAGTGCCAGCAAGTGCTTCAGCAAGAGGCATCCCAGACACAGGTAGAAATGCTTGGTGAAGGTAAGTAGGAAATTTCTTGAGGTTGTTCATAGGAAGGCTCTGCCCTGCACAAATGCAGAAATGTAGGAGACAATAGATGTGATTAACATAAAAACACCACTAATATCCAACTAAATGGAAATGGTGAGACAAAAGAAAGCCAACAAATTAGACCAACCAGTCCCCAGCAGTTCATACATCTTATCTTCAGTAGAATTCAAGGACTTAGCAGTCTGACTGTTCTATCCTTCTATACTATGGTCAGAGAGTCTATGGTTAGATTGTTTGGTTTAGTCTATAAAGAACCAACCTCAATTTTATTTTATTTTTATTTTTTTAAACTTAAAAAAAGAGAGAGCAAGAGACAGGGTCTTGCTATGCTCCCCAGGCTGGTCTTGCATTCCTGGCCTCAAGCAATCCTCCCTCTCAGCCTCCCACAAGGCTGGTATTACAGGCATTAGCCACTGCACCTGGCCTTTTTTAACTTTTATTTTAGATTTAGAGGGTACATGTGCAGGTTTGTCACCTGGGCATATTGCATGATGCTGAGGTTTGAGGTACAAATGATCCCATTACTCAGGTAATAAGCATAATAACCAGTAGTTAGTTTTCTAATCCTTGCTCTCCTCGTTCACTCCCCCAATAGTCCCTAGTTTCTATTGTTGCCATCTTTATGTCCATAAATTCCAAATGTTTAGCCAACCTCAACTTTAAAATCACACATTAAAAAAAAGTGTAGAGTTAAAAAGTTCCAGATGACTCCCTACCATACACCATCATTTTTTGTAATATCCCCTAAAAAGCAAACTAAATTATGTTATTTAAGGAGTGAAATAATCTAAAATAATAAGTATGTTTAAGTAGGCTGGGCGCGGTGGCTCATGCCTGTAATCCCAGCACTTTGGGAGGCCGAGGCGGGCAGATCACCTGAGGTCAGGAGTTTGAAACCAGTCTAGCCTACACAGCAAAACCCCGTCTCTACTAAGAATACAAAAATTAGCCGGGCGTGGTGGTGCGTGCCTGTAATCCCAGCTACTCAGGAGGCTGAAGCACAAGAATCACTTGAACCCAGGAGGCAGAGGTTGCAGTGAGCCAAGATCACACCACTGCATTCCAGCCTGAGTGACAGAGTGAGACTCCGTCTCAAAAAAAAAAAAAAAAAGGTATGTTTAAGTAAGGGGGTAAACAAAACTGAGAACAGTGGTTACCTCTGAGATTGAAAGCTTAGCAGGAGTTGTGTCCAAGGAGAAGCATTATGGGAATATTCTAGTTATTTAATTGGGTAGTGAGTTTAGGTGTGTTCATGTCATTATGCCTTATAACTTAGTATATACCCCATGTGTACTACAGTTTTTATTATGCAATGTTTGATATATGCAAAAGAATATATTAACATAAATAATGTAATGTGACATATATAATCTTTTGTAACTAAAAAATATTTTTTAACCAAACTGAAAGTCCCTCAGGGCTAAAGGAGAGACTGTGTTCCAAGGAACACATTTAAGAAGGGAGCCTGGTGGCTATACTGTTCCCTTGCCTCACCTCCCCATAAGAATTTTCCTGCTGGGGCTGGGCATGGTGGCTCACACCTGTAATCCCAGCACTTTGGGAGGCCAAGGCAGGTGGATTATCTGAGGTCAGGAGTTCGAGACCAGCCTGGCCAACATGACAAAACCCCATCTCTACTAAAAATACAAAAATTAGCCAGATGTGGTGGAGCATGCCTGTAATCCCAGCTACTTGGGAGGCTGAGGCAGGAGAAATAGTTGAACCTGGGAGGCGGAAGTTGCAGTAAGCTGAGATCGTGCCATTGCACTCCAGCCTGGGCAACGGAACGAAACTTCATCTCAAAAAAAAAAAAAAAAAGTATTTTCCTGCTGGAATCTTGCTGCCCCCACCAAGCCTACCCTTGCTCCCTGCTCTTCAGAGGTACAAGGGGAACACAAGCCCCTCTCCTTCCAGTCCTTTGAGCACAACCAAGACAGGGTAGCATTTTCTAAAAGCTGTTCTACAAAGTGGGAGCAAATGAGAAAGATACAATCACAGAAAGGCAAACGGCTTCTTGGTGTGGCATGCTGGGCCCTAACGGCTGAGTTAGTTCTGCCCTCAGAAGTATACCTTCTCTCCCTCCCTCCTTCTCCCCCTTATTTTCATCCTCCAGTGATACTACATGGCTGGGGGTCCCCTGCTGCTCCATGCCCCTAGCCCTTTAGCCATGCTCTCTCTTCTGCCTGGGAAGCCCTCCCCACCTTTCTCTATCTTGCCATTTCTTGTTCATCTTGCACCATTCAACTCAGGCCCCCTCTCCCAGGAAGGCTTCTTGGAACCCTGGGACTGGGCAAAGAACCCGCATCAGCCTGCCTCATCATTAACCCTCAACTGAGCTTGACCTCGCTGGAGTGGGCAAATATTCCTTCTTGGTGTTCGTGCCCCTTGAGTTGGCCCAAGTCCTGGCACAAAGCAAGTGCTGAGTCAATCCCTGTTGAATAAAGATAGGCTAAAATTAATCAAGGTTCCCCCAGAGACCAGATTTCTAATCCAAAGATTTCAAGGAGAAAAGAAGGTCTTCTGAGGCTGAAACTTCCTCATCCTGAAATGACCAGGATCCAGATTTAAAGAGCTGGGAGTCCTTTGCACACACACCTTGCTTGGTTTCCTTCCCCCCACCTCCCTCCCTGTCTCAGCCAAGTGCTCCCCAGTGCCTCCTTATCTATCCAGTATATCTTGGGCCATTTCTGGACCAAGTACAAAGACCCAAGACCTCTTGCATCCTTCATCTCATCTCTGGCTTCCAGTCTGAGGTACAAGCCCCCATGGCTGACAGGAAAGGCAAGATGGGGAAGGATCTGGTCCTTCTGAGTCAGTGATCCTGCCCGCACTGGAGCCTCTGATAACTGACTCTTGTAAGGTGAGCCCCTTCTTAGTCTGGGACGAGAAATTGCTCCATCAGAGTCTAACATCATGGTATTTTATCCAGAGGGCATCAGGCCCAAAGCATGGTGGGAACTCAGCCACAGGAGCTGATGAGGAGGGTAAGGAAGCCTGGGAAAAGTGGGATGAAGGGTGGGAAGTTCTGGCCTTTCTTAGTGCTGGCCCCAAAGTACAGTGTCAATAAGATTCACAGGCTGAAGCTTAGGTCAAGCTTCAGTCTGCATCTGGGAGACCTGCCCCAAAGAGGTAATAGTCAGACACTTGAAAGCAAAGCAGGCAACCTGAGTGGCCCTAACTGCATCTTTGTGTGACCAGATTGGGACAGAAGCAAGATCTCAACATCTTCAGAGAGCACCTAGAAGTTTTAGAAAAAGGTGCCAAAGGCCTTTGGAAGAGATGCAGATTAGAATATAAGACAAACATGAAAATCATGAGAAAGTTAGGAACAGATGGGCAGGAGGGGAATGTGAGGTATAGGATGAAGAAACACACAGAGAAGAGGAAAAACTGTTAAGGCCAAAGTGCTACAGAAGCTCCAGGGGCCTGCATGGGGTTGGAGTGAAGAGATTGAGGGTGGGAAACTGTGAGAGCTTGGCACCTTAGCTGAGCCAATAGATCTGGAGATACAATGATCCTAAGGCTAAGTAATGATGTTGCCTCAGTGAGGAATAGAGAGGGTCAGGCATGAGTGCCCAAGCTGTGGGGGGTAGAGGGGAGTAAAAAAAAAAAAGGCAGAAACAAAAGAAACAAGGTAGGTATGTTCAAGAGCAGGTGCATCCATACAGAAGTGTTAAGCATGTCTACTTCCCAAGTGGAAGCTCAGGAGGTGGCATGCATTGTCATCATCTGTGGGAGTACAGTCAGGGTGGTGGGAAAAATTGTAGAGGAAAAATTATAAAGATAGTTATAGAAAATAAACACAAACCCTCCTGGAAGGCTGGGGGGTTTGCATGGCTTCAGTACCAGATTTGGCTGAAGGCAGCCTAATCCTCTTTACCTTTAGTTGATAGCAAAAAAGCAAACAACAAGGGAATGTGTGGAGTTGAAATAGCTTGTTTACTCTTGTGGTCCTAAGACCAAACTGATCAACCTCAGGTGCATAATTGCTCTCTGCTGGGGGGTGGGGGGGTCGGCAATGTTAATTACCCTCTAGTGGTGTTTACTCAAGACCTTTGTCATTTAATCTGTACTAAATAAATGCAAACTTTGCCAGCTTATGGGGCAATGCTCCAGACTCAGAACAGAGCCCCTTAGCTGGACTGACAGCTGTGTTAGTGTATGTCTCTCATTCGTTGCTGGGTCAGGGTCTGCAGGTCGGACCCTACAGTCATCGTGTGTGTCTGTGTGTAAAGTTAGAAAAATAACAAAAGTAGAGAAAATAGTTTAATGAACCCCCAGCAATTTAACGAAGTTTAATGAACTTCAGCAATTATCAATGGATAGTCAATCTTGTTTCCCCATACCTCCAACCATTCTCCTTTGCCCTGGATTTTTTAAAAAGCAAATCCCAGAGAGCATATCATTTTTGGTATGTAAATCTAAAAGATAAAGACTCCCTTATTTTAGACTTAGCCCCAGTGCCATCATCAGACCCCCAAATTCTTTAATATAAATTAGTTAATATCATCAAACATCCAATCACTGCTTACATTTCCTACAGTGTCCTCTAAATGATCTTTCATTTTTTCATTTGGTTTAATCTGGATCTAAACAATGTCCACACATTGTAATTAGTTAAAATATTGGTTTCCTTTAATCTGTAGGTTTTCCACATACTCTTTTCTTTCTTGTTATCTTTTTGCTGTTGTGGTGGAGATTGTTGTCAAAACACAATGTCAAAATCGATTTTCCCATTCTTGATTTTGCCGGTGGCATCCCTGAGATGTCATTTGACTTGTTCCTCTATTTCCTATATTTATAGCAAAGTTGGTAGTCAGATTCCACTGGATTTTTCTGGCATGACAATTTCACAGGCAGCGATACGTTCTTCCCTGGGAGGAGGTTGATGGCTGACTGCCCCTCTTTTATGATGTTTGGAAAACTGTGATATCCTAATTCTTTTATTCCTTCTGCTTCTATAAGCCACAATATGTCTATTAAGAGAAACTTCCCTCATTGATTATTTGATTACCCTTAAGTATTGTTCGTATAAGAGAGGTAGAATATGTGTTTGATTCTTTCCCTTTAAGTTTTTGAAATGAGTTGGTCCCTAGAATTTTCTAGAGGCAATCAATAAGGATTTATTTTCATTTGGTATTATTGAGAATTTATGAATATAGACATATTCAATGTATTTCAAGGATGGGATATTTACAAGGGTTTTAGGGTCTGGCATAAGATGGGTTTTTCAAGGCAGGGATGCTGATTTAATTGGCCAGTTTGTTATATAATAAGTTGAGAACTGGCGAGAACAATGAAGGGTAGGAAGTTGAAGCGAGTTTTGAAGGGCACAGTCATGTGGTAACCCAGTTGAGTGATCTACGTATTATCCTGATGACAGCTATTAACCATTAGAGCCTATTGCTCTAATAGGTTTTTAGGAAATTCCTAAAACTGGATTTTTTTAAAACAAATAATAAATTTATCTGAAATGACATCTTAGTTCACAAGTGTAATAATAGTTCTTTCTTCCTTTTCTTTTTCTCCAGTACAATCTTTACTTGGTTTTGGTATCAGGTTGATGCTGGCCTCATAAAATGACCAGAGCAAATTTTGCTCTATTTCTATTTCTGGAGCAACTTGTATGTTATAGAAATTAACTGTTTCTTAAAAGTCCCTTAAAAGCCTCTAGATCTGAGTTGGGGTGGGGGGAGTTTAGGAGAGATATTTGGCTGCCATTTCAATTTACCAAACATTTAGTGGTTTATTCAAATTCTCTATTTCTTCTTATATCAATTATGGCATTTTACATTTTTAGGAACATAACCATTTTATTTAGGTTTACGTATATTAGGGCTCATAACACTTTTTAAATGTTTTAATATATTTTGTTATTTCCTCCATTATTCTGTCTTATTTTGAGTCTTTCCTCTTTTTTCCTGATCAGTCTTGCCAAAGTTTGGTCTTTTAATCTTTTCCATGGGACTGACTTCTGTTTTATTCATCTTCTCTACTTTTCTCTGTGTCACTGATTTCTGCCCATATCTTTATTATTGCCTTTCTTCTTGTTTCACTGTGTATGCTGTTGCTTCTTGTGTTGAATGCTTAGCTACTTTATTTTTAACCTTTTGTTTCCTGATAGATATAACCCATACAGTTCCATCTAACTGGTGTTTTAGCTGTGTCCCAATTTGACATGTAGAATTTTTATTAACATTCAATTTTAAATATTTCTTAATTTCCTTTATGACTCAAGGATGTTGTCTAGTAAGATGTTTTTTGGTTTCCAAATGAGGTTTGGGTAGTTTTTGGTTTCTGTTTGTTTGTGGGTTTTGTTTGTTTTTTGCTATTCTGCTGATATGGTTTGGGTCTGTGTCTCCACCCAAATTTCATGTCAAATTGTAATCCCCAAATTGGTGGGAGGTGATTGGATCATAGGGGCTGAGTTCTCATGAATGGGTTAGCACCATCCCCTCAGTGCTATTTTCATAATAGTGAGTTATTGTGGGATCTGGTCATTTAAAAGTATATTGCACCTTCCCCATGTCTCTCTCCTGCTCCAGCCATGTAAGACATGCCTGCTTCCCCTTCGCCTTCCACCATGAATGTAAGTTTCCTGAGGCCTCCCAAGAAGCAGAAGCCACTAAACTTCCTGTATAGCATGCAGAACTGTGAGCCAATTAAAACTCTTTTCTTTATAAATTACCCAGTCTCGGGTATTTCTTTATAGTAATGCAAGAATGAACTAATACATCTGCTGTATTATTTATTGTATGTGAAAAATTACCACATATGTAGTGACTTAAAACAACATGCATTTATTATCTTATAGTTTCTGTTGGTCAGGAGTCTGGGCACAATCTAACTGGGTTCTCTTTCTTTTGTAATGTCATGTAATCATGGGAATGACTTTCCATCACATTTACCGTGTATTTTTGGTGTATTAGGGGTCTTCAGAGAAGCAGAACCAATAGGATGGATGGATGGATGATTGATAGATAAGATAGACAGACTGATAGATATTATAAAGAGATTTATTATAATGAATTGACTCTCATGGGATTATGGAGGCTGGCAAATCCAAAATCTGCAAAACCAGTGTTCTAATTTAAGTCCAAAGGCTAGAAGCTGCTGTAGAACAAGGAAATGTCAATGTTCCAGTTCAAGTCCAAAGACCACTAGGATGCTGTAGACGGACAGCCAATATCCCAGTTCTAAGGCCATCAGGCAGGAAAATCCTCTTACTAGGTGGGTGGAGTCAGCCTTTTGTTCTATTCAGGCCTTCAACTGATTGGATGAGGCCCACATACATTAGAGAGGGAAAGCTGCTTTACTCAGTCCACCAATTTAAATGCTAATCTCATCCAGAAACACACTCACAGAAATACCCAGAATAATGTTTGACCAAATATCTGGATACCCTATGGCTGACCTATTCAAAATAATACATAAAATTAACCATCATAATTGGTTGAAAGGTACAGGTCCCACCCATATCTGAAGAAGGGAACTACATAAGGGTGTAAACACCAGGAGGTGGAAATCATAGGGGCCTTAAAATCTGTCCACCACACATACTGTTATTCATTACTTCTAATTTTATTGCACTGTGAAATTTATTGAGCCTCCCTTTAAGATCTAATACACAGTTTATGTTTTTACTTTAATGTTTCACATGTACCTGAAAAGAGAAAGGACATGTATTCACTGTTTGATGGAAACGTATATGAGTTATAAATATCTAATGGCTCAAGTTTATTAATTAAATTGTACAGACCTTGTATATTTGCTTTCTGTGTGTATGTGTGTTGGGAGAGGAGAGGAAGTATCTACTGTCTACTTGATCTATTGGATACTGAGAGGAGCCAGTTAAAAATCTCCAACTATAATTCTGATTTATCTGTTTCTGCCTAAATTTCTGTTAGCTGCTGCTTAATAAATATTAAAGCTGTATTGTTGGGCACATTTATGACCTCCCTTATGAACTTTCTATCTTAAGTTTTATTTTGTCAGGTTTTAAAATTACTACATGAGCTTTCTTTGGTTCACATTTGCACTATATCCTTTTCAAGCCTTTTAACCTTTTAGTGTCTGTTTTACACAAGTTTCTTGTAGAAAACATATTGCTGAATCCCTTGCTTTCATTCAATTTGAAAGACTGTTTTTCTTAATTGGTTAGTTTAAGCCACTTACATTTATTGTAATTGCTGCTCTATTTAGGAGGCAGCATAGAATAGCTCTAAGTATGGTTCTAAGTATGGGTTCTAGATCCAGACCACCTGGGTTCAGGCCTTGGTTCTGCCACTTTCTAGCAAGTTAGTTAATCTCAGTTTCATCATCTATAAAATGAGGATGATGAAAGTAATAGTACCTTCCTCATAAGGTTATTATGAGGATCAAATAAGAAACACCCAGAAAAGTATCTGGAACATATTAGGTACACTGAAAGTAAAAATTATTATTAGTAATTTTATTTCTGCTATCAAATTTCATATATTCTAATTATTGCACTTTCTTTTTATTCCTTTTTCCTCTGCTCTCTTGCCTTTCATTTGATAAAATTTTCTTCCACTGCTTTAAAAGTTACATGTTTTATTCTTTTTTAACGGTAGTTACCCTTAAGACCTACATTCACAAATATTTATCCCTATTGATTTATTAAAGTTAACAATTTTTTTCGTCTTCCTCCCATATGATAGTAATTTAACCCAGTACTACTCTAAGTACTCTAAGTAGTACTGGGTTACTTATCTCATCCATTCCAGAATGAGATTTGAGCCCACATGTAAATCAACACACAGCTTCCTTCATTGAGAAAGTCTTGCTACGAAAGTGTCAGCTGAATCAAAGAGTTTGCTTATGACATAGCTGATATGCATTCTGGTACAAGCTCCTTATCTCTTAGAGAACAATTAAGTTTTGTGAACCACCCTTTGAATGGCACTATTTTAGATCACTGTCCTATCATTTTGGCCTCTCATTCCTGAGTCCCACACCCCTCACAATATTGATATTGTCTATAATTTTAGGTCTGAATCATTATAAATACACTGTTCTTTGTTTTTAGACTTTTGAAAAGAGTTTTTGTAAGTCAGGTTTAATGAAATACAGTTTACATACAATAAAATTCACCTTTTCTAGTGTACAGTTCTACAAATTTTGACAAACAGATACCACTGGGTCATCAGTACCATTCTCAAGATAATGGAATATTTCCATCACTTCAGAAAGTTTCTCCAGATTCCCTTCACCCCCAGCACCTGACAACCATTGATCTATTTTCTGCCTTTTCCAGAATGTCACATAAATGGAATCATAGAGTAGCTTATTATATCTGACTTTTTTTCACTTAACATGCATTTGAGATCATCCATGTTTTTGCATATGTAAGAAGTCTGTTCCTTCTTAATGCTTAGTTGTATTTCATCGTATAGATGCATCACAGTTATGTATAGCCACCCACCAGTTCCTGGACACTTGGGTGGTTCCTGGTCTTTTTTCTAACACAACAATAAATTCAGCCTAAATATTTGGCCACTCTCATGCTATATCTATTGTATCATCTCCTGAATTTGTTTCTCTTCTTGCTTGATTATGTCCTCCAAGAATGTCATTCAAATGAATCTTTCATAAGAATATTTTTATTATTAATACATTCTCACATTCTAATGACAATATGGCTTAATAGAAAATAAGTTCAAAGTTATGCTTTTAAATACTTACATATAGAAACATTTTGCTTGAGATAAACCTTTTCAATCTGAAGGTTTTTTTCTACCTTGAAATTTATCTCCATTATATCTTCAAATATTTCCCCTTCTCTGTTTTTATATTTCTTCCTTTCTGTTCTAGTTTTACCCTAGATATAAGCTAGAAAATTTACAAATAAGCTAACTTGTTTTTTAAAACATTTTCTACTGCCTCTGGAGGTTTGCTGAAAGTGCTCTTCCAATTACTAATTCATCGTCAGCTGCATCTTTTAGACTATTGCACATTACTAATACGTAGCATCAATATTCATTCTAATTATTATTTTTATGCTTAATATGTTTTAGTTTCATATTTTTTCCTGATTCATATTGCTAATATCATAACTCATTTTAAATAAATTTATCATGCTTATTTAAAAATCTTGGTCCATCTGCTCTACTGATCAGTTTCAGATGGCATATGTTATTCAGTTGTGGTCTTTTAACAGTAGTTGCACTCCTCCAGTGTCTAATTCTTTGTCCTATGAATTCATGTTCCCCTGGGGTTTCACCTACTCTGTCTGATAAACATGCATCCAGGAAGGCCCAGTGAGT
The DNA here is from genome assembly GCF_000001405.40 of Homo sapiens. Classification (NCBI taxonomy): domain Eukaryota; kingdom Metazoa; phylum Chordata; class Mammalia; order Primates; family Hominidae; genus Homo; species Homo sapiens. The sequence goes on from NC_000001.11 coordinate 94,819,383, forward strand.
TTGCAGTGGGAGGGTGGTGTGAGCCCAGAAGGAAATCGCTGGCACCAGAGAACCACTGTCTATCATTCCCAGTTTCTCCCACTTACCCAGATCTTTCCTCCAGTCAGGTTTCTACCCTTAGGGAGAAGCAGCACCTAAAGGAAGCAATTAACCTAGCAACCCTAAGGGTGGCAGGGGGAAGGGTAGAGGCTTGATTGAGAGGAGGTGGGGGGAGGTCGGCCTGCAGTTTTTTTTGTTTTTCGTTTTTTAAATTCCTCACCCCAACAGTGCTTTTGCGCTGGTCTGACACTACCTGGAAAACTATGCCACCAGTCGCTTCAGTGGACACTACCATTTCAATTGCGAAGTCAGGCAATGATTGTCCTAAGGCAAGGTGGGAGAGAAGTCAGAGTAAACCACCTCGAGAGCGCCGGTCTCCCGGAGTGTCTGGGTTCGACTCCTGCCTCCACAACTTACTGGGTCTCCTCGAACAAGTTGCATCACCAATGGCCGTGCCTCAGTTTCCCTCCTCCGTAGATTAGGAATAACAATAGCAGTGAGAACAGAATCCAGCACACAGTAAATGCTGCTTACCTGTTTGCTATGTGGAATACGCCACTACACTGTTGCTCGGCCCTCAGGAAGGGTCTGCTGAGACTTTCTACTTCCTGCTCAGGGCAGAGGCCGACCACCCGCCCAAGGTCGTGGCGGCGCCGGCTCAGCTTTAGTCGTCAAAGTGCACATCCTGGGAGCCGCTGCCTCGAGGTGGTTGAGGCGAGAGGGCAGGGAAGCGTCTGAGCCTCTTCCTCCCACCAGAGCAGGACCCCAGCTGACAGCGGGTGAGCTGGGCAGAAACCCATGCCGGGAAGAGGCGGACCCAGTGGACCGCAGCGCCCGCAGTCGCCGGGCCAGGCGCAGAGGCGAACGGGAGGCGGCGCTGCACCGTGCCCGCCCCTCCCCGGCCCGGCCCCGGCTCCAGCCCCAGCCCCAGCCCCAGCCCCGGCCCCGGCCCCGGCTCGCGGGCGCTGCGTCTCCGCGTACAGGAGGCGGCGGCGGCTCCCAGTCACCGGCCCCCGCCGGCGAGCGCACGATGCACTGCCTGGGCGCCGAGTACCTGGTAAGCGCTCGCAGCCTCGGCCCTCGGGGGAGGAGCCCCGGGGAAGGGTCGAGTCCCCCGCCTTCACGCACCTTCCCTGCCGGACGCTTCCGCCTTTCCCGCGCCTCGGGGATCCCGCCCCCGCTTAGTACCTTGGGGCCACCTGGCGGGGAGGAACCTGGACCCTGCTCCAGTGCTGGGGCGGAGGCGGGGGAGACGCGGGCCGCGGGGCGCAAACTTGGGGTCGTCCTCAGGTGCACCTCCAGGTAAGCACTTGGCGGCAGGGGGCTTAACATCCGCTCCGCGCAGAGCAGGTGTTTCAAAGGCTGTGTGAAAGAGCTTCAGGTGGCCACGTAAAAAAATAATATTAATTTTAAAAATTTAGAAAAAGATTGGTTACTTTGGCCCCTCTTCGAGTAGATTTGGGTTCGGTTTCCAGGTTGAGTCCACCTGTTTATCTTCTTTTTCTCAACTCTCCCTTTTTCTGGAAGGTTTCTGCAGAAGGAGCCCCTAGGCAAAGGGAGTGGCGACCCCAGATTTATAGGAAATGCACAGATACGGCATGGTTATTCCTGTTCTTTCTCTTTTGGACTGGTTTGGTAAGTGTGGGTGCTTGGTAGGAAAGAGGCCAGAGTGTGTGTGCACGTCTGGAAATAACTCTGTCCCAAATGTAAATCGTAGTTGGTGCTGCAGTGAGAGACTTCTGCCGTTAACCCACAATAAACATCAGTTTGTACTCGGGAGAATTCTTGTCCTAGACTCGCTAGAAAGGCTGTCTTTTTGCTACAGGCCATGTTCTAAGGGGTGACTCCATTAGGAAATGGGAATTAACAGTTTGCAATGTGATTGCTATTTAGTAAGGCCAATGTGTCTCCTTTTACTCTCCGAACTTACTGAACAGAAGTTCTTTTAGCACCTGCCACACCCCCAAATCAAATATTCCTCAAGCTTTTGGTGCACCTTTAACAAAGGAAAAGCCAGGGTAAGCCTAGAAATAAACTGCATTTCCTTTAGCTGAACATCACACACACACGCGCGCGAGAGATATGTTGTGTTTAGCAGCCAACACTGTTAACCATAGCTAACAAGGAATGATTTTTCCCACTCTAATTTCGAGGTATGTATGATTGCTGGTAAACTCCATCAGGCTATGCGGTTATAATCCTGAGAGAGTCTGTTGGAAGCCGAATCTTGCTGCTTTTATACTTATTTTAGAATTGTAGGTAACAGCAGAAAACGTCTCACCCGACATTTTCAAAGGCCACTTTCACGAAATCATCCATGCCAGGATAAGGCATGCTATTTGCTGCATGGTAAATGATTAATTTATAGAGCAGGGTAATAACTACCAGATAGTAATTACCTTTGTTGAAAAGAATTCCATCTGAATAGGCCCTAAAATATCATGTTTGTTCTTTCCAAGTAAGAAAGGCATTTGTTCACTTATGACCCGTTTCACATAGACAGGCTTGGTTACAGGCACAGTGGAAGGTTAGGTCTGAAACACATAATCAGATGTTTTTTGTTGCTTACGTTGGAACTCTCCCCTAGGAGCTGGGAGAGACAGTGCACCTACAATACCTTCTGCTTAACTTCGCAGATGGTTGGTGTTTTTATCTGAGACTGCTGTTGTATAAATGCAGGGAGCAGCTGGCCTGCCTTGTGCCTGGCAGCTTTGACCTCAAGCTGTTATTGTGATTTAATGATCTGCCGTAGCCCCTCCACAGCTTCAACCTAGGACCTCACTACCAAACTCTCAGCCCAACAGCTGAGAATCCTGGGGAAAATCTTTGTAGATGACCTATCACAGCCTGAAGAATTGTGAACCAGCTGAGAGGTGGCACGGAGCTGGAAACTGCTTTAAAATTACATTTCATTTGCAAAATAAGTCTGAAGTTTTAATATATCCAAGTTCTCACTATGGCATTCTGTTTTAAGAGTCAGAGTCCTTTCTTAGCTCACTGGCTTTTAGTGTCTTTTGCAACATTTTTTATTTGCAGGTATTTAAAACAGAGCAAGGAGTGTTTTGTTTTTGGACTTTTTTTTCTGCCTCTGTTGTTCAGCTTTCAGGTCTTGTGACAGATGTCCTGACTGGTGATGGTGTGCCCTGAGTTAGGGCTGGACAAAGGCTTGGGGGAAGGAGCTGAAATTATAAGCAGAGATGGTTCTTGCAAATGCAGCACCAGCCTGTGTTTATATTTGCATTAAACATAAGGAACAAAGTCTCAAAGTCTGGACTATCTCTGCCTCTACTTACCCCTCCAGTATCCTCTCCTGCCCTGCCTTTTCCTATCATCCCTCAAGATTCCATTTTCCTGATTTTGCAGGCACGGTTGACAGTGACTACCTTGGTGGCCAATGTACTAGACCAATGTACACACCTCCTATATCACCTGTCATATAGAATCGCAATTGCATGTTTGAAATTAGGACAATGAAGGTTTATAGTAGTAGTTTCTTGGAAGGCCGAGGCAGGAAGATCCCTTGAAGCCAGGAGTTCAAGACCAGCCTGGGCAATAAAGCAAGACCCTGTGTCTACAAAACATAAAAAATAATAATCATAAAGTCATAGTTTTATTAGGAGGGACTCAGGAATCCTCAGAAACCACTCCCACCTCTCCCACCCAGAAAAACTTTCCATTCTTCACCACAGGCTTTCCAAAGGAAAGAATGATGGTAAATGGAAAACATCACTTTGTTATTAGATTACTGGTGAGCTGGGCAGAAGCACATGACCCCTTTCCTCCCTCTAAATCCAAACACAGTCCAGACCTTACTACACTCCAACTCGAAAGGACGAGACAAGCATGTCAAGGCACAGTCAGCTTGCCATGCCAGCCACATTGGCAAACAGAGTCACACCTACTCCACAGCCTTTAGGTAAAGGGTGAGTGACACACACTACTAGCAAAGGTGACCCATTCATTCTAGAATCTGACCAGTTAGACTTAGGAGGATCTTGGAGAGTGGGAAAGGACAGGGAGCCTCCTTCCCCAGGAGGTCTGCAGCCCGTAAGTCCTGCTTGCCTTCTAGGCTGGGTTCCTGGAGGCAAGGAGTAGGTTCTGGTCATTCCTGTGTCTCCCAGTAAGAAAGTCTCAAGAACACACTGGGCACTTGAAGAATGTTTGTTATTTTGATTTCTAAATTAGTAATAAATGCAGAATGTCTAGAAGGTATTTGAATTTAGGACAATGTACCTTTGCAGCATAAGGTATCAATACTATATATTAATGAATAGTGTATTATATCTGTTCTCCTGGAATGAACTTGTCAATATAGAGTATTAAATGGTATCCTATATATTGCATACAGTACTGGGAAACTTACTAAGTTTGCATTATGGGAAGATACATATTCAATCTTGGCAGAGAGCCTGTCAGTATGTATTAATGGCACAGTTGTTTGAACTGAAATTTCAAATATTCCACATTCACTATGAGAGTGGATAAAAATGATGATAGATTGCAAGATGTTCTTGTCCAACAGAATTCCTGTGGTCCTTTATTTTGTATGTCTTAAGCAGTTACTCCAAAACACTATTTGCAGATTGGTGAACAGTGTTTCAGTACATATCAACTGTGTTGCTTCTGCAGAATCCCTTAAAAGTAAGAAAAGAAAAACAAAAAAAGTAGTAGAAAAAAAAAAAACCTTGGGGAAAGAATTAGCATAGCCCTGAAGCAGTTAAATTAAGCAAGAACATCAAGGGAAGAAAAATTGAATTGTCCCAGTAAAGTTAGACCAAAAAGAAAAATGATAGACTCTTAAGGAAAAGGTTAAAAAGCACAGAGGTAAGAAAATGGAGAGAAATCTGTTTCAGTGGATTAGATTCTCTCTCTACCTAAATGTATAAGTAGCAGAGGAGCAGGATGCTGATAGATGGGAGTTGCTGACACTGTTACTGACGGAGCAAAGCGCTATGATGCTGGAGAGCTTCACGTTCCACCAGGCTCCGTTTTATATCAGCATCTGCAGGGGTGTGGGGCACTGTGCGCTCAGCCCTTTGGCCAGGCTCTCATATGCCCCCGTTTTTGCCAGGTGTTTATCATGGGCTACTCGGTGGTGGCTGGAGCCGCGGGAAGACTCCTCTTTGGCTATGACAGCTTTGGCAACATGTGTGGCAAGAAGAACTCCCCCGTGGAAGGGGCCCCTCTTTCAGGGCAGGACATGACCCTAAAAAAGTAAGTATCTAAATAAGTCCCCAGTCTGTAAGGAACTGTACCTCAAAACTTTGTATAAATTCATCATTTGGAGCCTGGAAACTTTTCCCATTCAAAACTCTGTCAGCCTATTTTATAAAAAGGAAGGCTGTGTATATAGTACAGGTAAGAGTACAAGTTTTAGAATCATAGTCCTAAGTTCAAATTCAGCCCATGCTACTTTTCAGCTGTGTGATCTTGGGCAGAGTACTTAACCTCTCAAAGCCTAGTTTTCATCTCTCTAAACTAGTTATTATACCTACCTCACAAGGTTGTTTTAAGGATTCATGAGACACTGCATGAGCTAAAGTATAATAAACGTTAATTGCTGCTATTATTCTCCATAATGAATCAGAATCATGTTACCAATCGTATATGTTTGAACCCTACATCATCCACACATTGTTTCTACGTGGAAATACCCGAATGCCACCTGGAACACTGGGGACCTGTGTCCCACCCCTGCCCCAGCTATGGCACTGTGGTGTTGCATTCTTCCCCCTACTCCCTTACCCCACCTCCCACAGGGAAACAGAAAGGGGAGAGAAGAGATGGGAATTCCCTAGAGGGGAGAGAAATCCCTGACCATGAACTTCTAAGATGGAGACTGCCTTGTAAGAATTTTTAAGATTTTAGCTCTTGCTTCACATGACAGAACAAAAAAATGATGTTTTATTTTTATTTTTTATTTTTTTGAGACAGACTCTCATTCTGTCACACAGGCTGGAGTGCAGTGGGGAGATCTCAGCTCACTGCAAGCTCTGCCTCCCGGGTTCAAGAGATTCTCTTGCCTCAGCTTCCCAAGTAGCTGGGACTGCAGGCGCCCGCCACCAGGCCTGGCTAATTTTTGTATTTTTAGTAGAGACGGGGTTTCACTGTGTTAGCCAGGATGGCCTCCATCTCCTGACCTTGTGATCTGTCACCTCAGCCTCCCAAAGTGCTGGGATTACAGCCGTGAGCCACCACACCCAGCCAAAAACGGATTTTTAGGACTCAATAATAAAAGTAGCTCCTAGAAGAGAAATCCTAAGGATCTAAATAAATCCTGAATATAAGTTTGGAGTCACCAAATACAAATCTCAGACTAAGCCTCTTATCCTCCTGAGTGTTGCTCCTAAGGGGGCTCTTGCTCTTTCTGGGCATGGACTAATTACGGAGCATTTTCTCCTGCACTCATAGAGCCACTTACAAAGAAGACAGGAGGAGGAAGGGCGACTTAGATGCCCATGTGCTCCCATTTCACATTGTGTTCATAATGCAGTGTCAACAAACAGTCATTCCTGGTTGAAGTGAGTATACATTCCATTATTCTCAAAAGCCAAAAGGTAGAAGCAACTCAAGTGTCCATCAATGGTTGAATGGATAATCAAAATGTGATATGTATATTACAATGAAATATTAAAAAGGAAGGAAATTCTGACACATACTACAACAGGGATGAACCCTGAGGATGTCATGCCAAGTGAAATAAACCAGTCACAAAAATACAAACATTGTATGATTCCACTTACATGAGATATGTAAAGTAGTCAGATTCCTAGAAACAGAAAGTAAAATGGCGATTGCAAAGGGCTGGAGGAAAGGAGGGTGGGAACCTATTGTTTAATGGGTACAGATTTCAGTTTGGGAAGATGAGTTCTGTGAATGGATGGTGGTGATGATAGCCCAACAACGTGAATGTACTAATGTCACTGTACACTTAGAAAGATTCAGATGGGGCTGGTGCAGTGGCTCATGCCTGTAATCCCAACAGTTTGGAAGGCCAAGGCGGGCAGATCCACAGGGTCAGGAGTTCAAGACCAGCCTGGCCAACATGGTGAAACCCTGTCTCTACTAGAAATACAAAAATTAGCCAGGTGTGGTGGCAGGCACCAGTAGTCCCAGCTACTCAGGAGGCTGATGCAGGAGAATCACTTGAACCTGGGAGGCAGAGGTGGCAGTGTCATTGCACTCCAGCCTGGGTGACAGAGCGAGACTCTGTCTCAAAAAAAAAAAAAAAGAAAGATTCAGATGGTAAATTTTATGTATATTTTAACACAATTTTTAAACTTCTTCAAAAATATGTATATCACACACCCAGGAAATCTGTTCCTCATCTCCTGTTGCACCACCTTTCTCCCATCCCCAACAGGAGGGAAAAAAACCTTCTGGGACCCCTTCTCAAGGTCTCTCCCATAAAGGGCAGCCTACGGGGTCTTCCTCTGCCATTCCTGGGGTCTTGGAGCCTGGATAAGTGGTAGGCAAGGGTTTGGAAGCTGTAGCTGCTAGCGCATAACCTGCTGATGGCAACACCAGTTTCATTCTTGTCCCCCCTCTGCCCTGCCCCTGGGGAGCTGCAGGAGGGTTCTCCTGAGTGTCCTGGCTCTCAACCTGGGAGAAGGGGGAAAAGACAAGCCTTTGGTTCCCAGCCTTGGCCCCCTCCTTTCCACTTCTCACTTCCCTGTGTTCAGTTATTCTCTGAAGCATATTTGAACACTCTTGGGTACAAATGTGTTCTCCGTGGAGTCCATTGAATAGTTTGTGCATTGGCCTGATCTAGCAATCAATGGACAGTTTAACCAATTGCTTCTTTTCCTCAGATTTTCTCAGGTAACTCCCTAGTGCTATCCCCTAGACAACACTAAATCTGGAGAAATAAAGCTTTGTTAATGTTTTTGGATAGTTTCCAAGCTGCACAGCTTCATGGATGACCACCAGTAGGCATCATAAATGTTCAATTATGCTGAAACAATTATGAAAGTGTGCCTGGGTGATCCCTGCATTTGATAGCATGTGGATATTTTTTAAGGCCCACAATTAAGACCAGTGAGAAGCAATGCTCTAACACATTCTTCTGTTTCATCTATTTCCTAGACACGTGTTCTTTATGAATTCCTGCAACCTGGAAGTCAAAGGTACGCAGCTCAACCGCATGGCCCTCTGTGTATCCAACTGCCCTGAAGAGCAGCTTGACTCCCTGGAAGAGGTCCAGTTCTTTGCAAACACCAGTGGTAGGCACTAAGGCCTGGTTTGTTCTTTTCCCCATGATGGGGTAAGCTGTGGGGACCTAGATGAGATCATTTACCCTGACTCTGCTTTCTCTGGAAAGCTGGAAGTTTTACTTCCTTGTGGGTGCCTCTTTTTGTGTGGAAAAGGCCGTAAGCATTTTCTCTTGAGCTTGTTCAGGTTATTTTTTTTCTATCTGGATTTATCTGAAGCCCTAGCTATTCCGTGTATGCTCCCTGCCACTGCAGGGAATGGTCATCCACAGAGAGAGAGAGGAGACAGCCCACATTTAAGACCCAAAGGCGGTGTCAGAAGGAAGGCAGAGAGCTCCATGCACGTGGGCACATCCGGTCCTAGAGATGTACGTGCAGGCTGCGCGTAGAATTGCTGACAAATTGGTCTTTTCATGAGATTTTTGGGGCCAATAGATACTTCCACTGAGCAGTGGGATGTCACAAGTTGTACCAGAAGCACTTGTATAACTAAAATACCTTGTACTGGGTCCACTGTTTAGAATTTTATCTGTCTGAGAAATGGTTTGCCAGATTTTTAAAAATTATTTGCAAAGCCAGGTTTAAACTATCAAGCTTCTACAAGAAATTGTTTTCAAATATGCTTCAGATTATTTTAGGACCAATCATATAACTTTTAGTTTTGAATTTGGGGTTTTGAAGAGAAAGTAAGGAAGAGAGGCCCTCACTAGACCTCAGATTGTATGCCTATTACTTTTGTGTTTCTGTCACCCATAGACCTTGTAGTTGATTCTTTCTCCTTTCTGGTTTGGTAACATGGCTGTGGTTTCCTTACTGACTCACCTGGAAAGAAGGTATAATGTCTGTGTGTTCTGCTTCCAGGGTCCTTCCTGTGTGTTTATAGTTTGAATTCCTTCAACTATACCCACAGTCCAAAAGCAGACTCACTGTGTCCCAGGCTACCAGTTCCTCCAAGGTAAAAGCTTCCATACTTTTTCCTTAACTCTAAACAAAAGTTACTGGGTACTTGGTGTGCATCTGTTACTCTTCTAGGCATTGTGGGAAGGAGATATCAGAAGAGCCCCTGCCTGCAGGGAGCTTACAGTCTACGGAGGCCAGCGATAAAAACATGGAGGGACTATTTGCAGTATGCCTATGGACAGTGGATTAGAAATCAGGCTAAATAAGGAGAAAACTCAGCAAGCAATAAAAATACACGTAGTCTTCAAAGAACACTAGAGCTAGCAAGAAGTAACTTATGAATTATTACTAACGGGGTGATTTTATAAATTAGTGTGTATTTTTTTCTACTCCAATTATTTATTGCAAAGTAGAAATCATTTACTTTGGCCGGGCATGGTGGCTCACACCTGCAATCCCAGCATTTTGGGAGACTGAGCCAGGCGGATCACGAGGTCAGGAGATGGAGACCATCCTGGCCAACGTGGTGAATCCCCATCTCTAAATATACAAAAATATATACTATTTTTTTGTATACTAAAAATATACTAAAAATACAAAAATTAGCCGGGTGTGGTGGTGCATGCCTGTAGTCCCAGCTACTTGGGAGGCCGAGGCAGAAGAATCACTTGAACCCAGAAGGTGGAGGTTGCAGTGAGCCGAGATCGCGACACTGCACTCCAGCCTGGTGACAGAGCGGGAATCTGTCTCAAAAAAAAAAAGAAAATCGTTTACTTTTGGCTTTTTATCATAATTAGACTCTGTTAGTTTTTATTGCTCTAGATATCTTCATAAGAAACAGACCAGATGGACAAGGCCAAGTGATCACCACACCTTTCTTAATGAAAACAGAAAGCACAGGTCCTTATCAAGAGTACACTTGGTGGGCTCCTTGCAAGGTCTTATTCACCCCTGTAAATTAGTGTACTACCTGGCACATGGTAGGCACCTTACAAATATTTGTAGAATAAAGTTGTAATGATGGAACGGTGGTTGCATTGCCATGGCGAATGGCTCATGTTTACACCTTTGAGAAGGCTAAGGGGAAAAATACAATGAGTGTTTATTGCCACCATTATGATGCTGAGATGTACTAAAGGAAAACTTGTATTGATTTTGAATTGTCATTCTTTTGAAAAATGTGAGTATGTTTACAATGTAGGAGACCTCTCTGAAAAATCCCTGAGAAATAATGATTATTTAATTAAAACAAAGCATTATTCCAATCCTCTAGGGTGGTGTTTATTGAACTCTTGTTTGGGACTTACAGTAAGAAATTTATTACATCCCAACTCCTGTATGCACATACCTTCATATGTCCTTACATATATAAAACAAAACTAGAAATCTCACAAAACAACATTTACCCTTATTACATATGATTCACACTCTTAGTTACTACTCTGTTGCCTTTTTAAAAATAATGTATTTCATAGTCTTATAACTGGTTGCAAGTGAAGCTTGAAAAATGCTGAACTAGCAGGTGCTCACAAACACAAAGAGACTTGAGAAGGTTTAAATCACATCGGAGGCAGAAAATAGCCATTTTGTGATATTCTTTTCTAAAATAAATACTCCATGTTGTAAGTAATTGAAGGAGGAGAGAACTATTTGCTGAGGAGAATACCCATTTCATTTTTCTATAATATTCTTTTTTTTGAGACAGAGTCTTGCTCTTGTCACCCAGGCTGGAGTGCAGTGGTGCGATCTCAGCTCACTGCAACCTCCATCTCCCAGGTTCAAGCAATTCTCCTGCCTCAGCCTCCCAAGTAGCTGGGACCACAGGCGCATGCCACCATACCCAGCTAATGTTTTTATTTTTAGTAGAGATGGGGTTTCTCCATGTTGGCCAGGATGGTCTTGATCTCGTGACCTCGTGATCCGCCTGCCTCGGCCTCCCAAAGTGCTGGGATTACAGGCATGATCCACCACGCCTGGCCTATAATATCTTATTTTTAAAATTCTGGTAATTGTAAATGTGTTTATGATATTTTACATTCTGGTAAAATGTAAGGTATCATAAACACATCTTAATGAAACATACTGAACCCAATTTAAAAAAAAACTAGAATGTTTTAGTAATAGGTGGAAGGAAAATTCTCTAGCACTTGGAGAGGAGGACTTTTTTAAGAACACAATTTGTAACTGTAGATGTAACTACGGATGGAATTGAAAGAGAATGGAATTTTTAAGGTTGTAATTTAACCAGAGTTGGATAAACTCTCTTCTTACTATAAATGGGATGGCAACCATAATTCCACAGGAAGCTTATATCTTGATACTTATGATGATAATGGCAAACATTTATTGAGCTTTTGATACTTTTCTAAACCCTTAACATAATTTGGGCCTCAGAAAACGTCTATATTGTAGGTATTGTTTTCATCCCTATCTTACAACTGAGAAAACTGATGCAGAGAGGTTTAAGTTCATACATCCAGCAAATGGAAAAGCTGGCATTCAAACCCAAGCAGCGTCTATGTTTGAGTCAAGACTTGATTTTATTTTGACTGGTGAGTGGCCTTCCTAGACTCACATCAAGCTGGGAGAAAGAGTCTCCGTATCCTGTGTCATAATAGCACCATTTCTTCTCACTCTCAAGCCAGCCCTAGTCCTTTTCACCCTAAATGCAAATGTTTCCAATACTAACTTTTCAAGTAAAGACAAAACCCTTGACTGAGTGGCCTTTTTTGGACAGAAAGAGAGAGAGAAATAGCCTCAAGGGCTCCATTCCCTTTTCCTGCACAAGCAAGTGTTTGTTTAAGGTGAAAATGATCATATTTATCATGGAATAGCAGTGCCAAGACTGAAAAGCTGGAAAACATGAGAAGGGTGGCTATAGGGCCAAAGAACATTTTCTAAATACCTCTTTTTGACTAAACTGATTGTTTCTTCCTCGTCTGTCGGTCATGTGAGGTATAACGTACCCTTTTCGAGTAATGGCTAAATATCAAGGAATTTGTGGACCTAGGTATGAGCTTTTAAGAGCAGTGAAAAAGCACTACAGAAGATAACAAGCAAATAGATCTTTTTTCACTTTGGTGTTCAACATGGTAATGTATTTTGAGTCCCTCATGTATTCAAAATCTAAAAGGCGTGGATATTTTCCCCCCAGTAAATTCTAGTTCTACTCTCCCACATAGGTGCCTGTGCATGTCACTGCATGGTTTGCTCAGCTGAATTCCATATACCTGGTGATCTAAATATACAGGCAGCTTACCCAATGACTTCCTGCAAGTTTGAGTGGCTTTGCTAATGGGAAGAAGAAAAGCAGAAGTGGTGAAGAAACCTCAGGCCATGGCCTAAAGATGCATCCCTGTGAGCCGGGCATAGTGGCTCACATCTGTAATCCCAGCACTTTGGAAGGGCGAGGCGGGCAGATCACCTGAGGTCAGGACCAGCTTGGCCAACAATGGTGAAAGCCCGTCTCTACTAAAAATACAAAAATTAGCTGGGTGTGATGGCAGGCGCCTGTAATCCCAGCTACTTGGGGAGGCTGAGGCAGGAGAATAACTTGAACCTGGGAGGTGGAGGTTGCAGTGAGCCAAGACCACGCCATTGCACTCCAGCCTGGGTGACAAGAGCAAGACTCCATCTAAAAAAAAAGATGCATCCCTACCCCAGCTAATGAAATACTCTAAATCTCGAAAGGCGTAGCAGTTACATAGATGTGTATGTTTATCAAAGTCTCTAATTTTATGTTTAAGATCAGTGTATTTCATTGTATATAAATATTGCCTCAGTAAAAATAAGAGGAATTCCTTACATTCTGAAGTGTATTAAGTTAAAAAAAAAACAAATAATAGAACAGTGTGCAGTATACTTTTGCATAAAAAGTGGAAAATGTAAGTATAAACCTATAAATATATATATCTAGGTATATATTTGCTTGTATAACCATTATTACATCAAGCATGACTTACAGGATGTAGTCAGAAAGCAATTTAATTTTTGTCTTTCTCTGTCTCTTTAAATTTATTCAGTGGGACTAGTTTTTTCTGCCCCTGAATAAAAACACAGGCAATTCCCAAGGCTTCTCTGGTAACTTTTAGGTAATACATACTGAGTCACTTTAAGTTGCAACAGACACTTTCAATTCAATAATTAAAATGTTCAGCCCAGACCAGGCACAGTGGCTCATGCCTGCAATCCCAACATTTTGGGAGGCCAGGGCTGTAGGATTGCTTGAGGCCAGGAGTTCAAGACCAGCCTGGACAACATAACGAGACCATGTCTCTACAAAAATTTAAAAATTAGATTGGCATAGTGGAACATGCCTTTAGTCCTAGCTGAAGCTGAGATGGGAGGATCTCTTGAGCCCAGGGGTTTGAGGTTGTAGTGAGCTGTGATCATGCCACTGCACTCCAGCCTTGGTGACAGAGCAAGACCCTGTCTCAACTTTTTTTTTTTAAATTAAAAAATATTCAGCCCAATGTGATAAACTTCTCACTTGATCGGAGGTTCAAACTTCTGCCCCCTGCACGCTTGGCCCAGGAGCAAGTGGGAAGGCCATAGTCCAGGAAGGAGGCTGTAGTCAGCCTCCCTTCTCCTCTGTTTATTCCTGCCCTCCTCTCCCAGCTTGCTGAAACAGGTTTTGTCTAAGGGGCTGGTGCAGCAAAAGTGAAGGAAGAAAATAGTAGCAGGAACACATTTACTTGTCTGATACTAGCACCAGCATTCTCTGGGCTTGGGAGATGTCCCGGCCAGCTCTTTCCCTCATGGGCATGTTTTGGGTTCTTCGGGGCTCTTTCAGCTGCAGTGCCTTTCATGTAGTCTAATGCATCTGTGCTCTGGCTGGTCATGTGAGAGGCTTTCCTCAGTCCTGAGGCATTAATTAGCTACCTCAGAGAGCAGCCACCTCCAGCTCCTTCTGCCAAGGTCCCCACAGCCTTCTACAGGGCTGTCTTAGACACGATCGGTGGCACCCCATCACTGGGACTTGTGCACATGCAGCCCACAACTAGACCCCAGGAAGCCCTCTGCACCCTTTGCCCTGACAAATGCCCTGGGGGCTCTTAACTCCCCAGCTGTAGCTCTCTGCTCTGCTGTTAAAGCCGCTCACCCTCCAGATTTCTTGGGGTGGCTCAGACCTTAAGCCAGGGGATTCCCTAAGCTCTCTGAGTTTTCCATGAAACCCTTCTCATCTGACTTAGGAAAATGGGGATGGAGTCACATGACAAGTCTAGTAAAAAAAAAAAATTTCAACTCTTCAAAAATTACTCTTCTAATGATTCTCTGCACTTGTCATCACCTGTGCAGAGTAGATTTTACTATATGCAAATAAAAATTAAAATCAAGATGTCAGGATCTTAGGATAGTGTGTAGAGGGTGACAAATTAAATGACTAATAAGGAGCTGATGTGAGTAACTTTGGAAAACAGCTTTGTGACTAGATACTGTAAGCTAAAGACAAAAGGAACTGTATACAAACACTGTACTCCAGATAGTACATTTGTTTGTCACATAGCTACTGGTTAACAATTGTTTTTCTCATTTTTTAAAAATTCCCTAAACAATACAGTATAATGGTTAGCAATTCTGAAATTACATACTAGAATCGATTATAGGGCCTAGAATCAGTAATACCCCACCATACCCAATACCCAGATCATGGTTTCTAATCATTGGTCTTCAAGGGTTCTTTGGAGAAATGGCAGGTTCTAGGACTTGGATAAGGAAAATACCAGCTACGTCTGGTATCATCATCCTGTAGCATCAGAAAGTAAGGAAGTGCTCAAGAAAGAAAAAGAATGGGTCTTGTCAAAAGGACACAGATGACTCGTAGTGGCCAAAGCTGGAATAGATTGAATAACACAATTAAGATTATAACCCAAAGAAAAGAATAAATGTTGATGAGGCCATACTGATATGAATAAATAATTGAATAAATAAATAAATGGGGGGAAGGGATAAATCCTTTTTTTCTTTTTTTTTGAAACAGTCTTGCCCTGTTGCCCAGGCTGGAGTGTAGTGGCACGATCTCAGCTCACTGCAACCTGTGCCTCCCGGGTTCAAGCAATTCTCCTGCCTCAGCCTCCCGAGTAGCTGGGATTACAGGCACCCACCACGACACCTGGCTAGTTTTTGTATTTTTAATAGAGATGGGGTTTCACCACGTTGGCCAGGCTGGTCTCAAACTCCTGACCTCAAGTGATCCACTCGCCTCGGCCTCCCAAAGTGCTAGGATTACAGGCATGAGCCACTGCTCCCGGTGAAAGGGATAAATCTTTACTTCTTCCTCCAAGAGGTGGAATTTCCCTCCCTTTGAGAGTGGGCTAGGCTTAGTGACTCATTTCCAAGGATAGAGAGGGAAAAGAGAAAAATAACAACTTTACAAGGAGAAACCCGGCAGGTACCACCTTAACTAGGTGATCAAGGTCAACTTCACCAGTGTTGTCATGTTCCTCGATAGGATTCTATGAGAAAGGCACTTCACCTCTGTGGCACTGTCCCAAAAACCTGTTGACTGTAGCCTAATCATGAGAAAACATGAGAGAAATTCTACAAATTAAGGGACATTTTACAAAATACCTGACTATGAATCTTCAGAAATGTCAAGGTCACGAGAAACATGGAAAAACTAAGAAACTTGTCACAGGCCAGGCACAGTGGCTCACACCTGTAATCCCAACACTTTGAGAGGCAGAGGTGGGAGGATGGCTTGAGCTCAGGAGTTCAAGACCAGTTTGGGCAACATAGCAAGACTCTGTCTCTACAAAAAACATAAACTGTCATGACCAAAGAGGAGACGTGACAATAAAATGCCATGTGCTATCCTGAATTAGATCCTGGAATAGAAAAAGGATGTTACGGTGAAATCCAAATAAAGGCTGTAGTTTAGTTAGTAGTTTAGTGACAATGTTAAATCTTAATTTTCACAAATATACTGTGGTTATGTAAGACATTTACATTAGGGGAATGTGAGTGAAGGATACACAGAGGAACCCTCCACCATCGTTACAATTTTTTTGTAACTCTAAAATTATTCAGAAATTTAAAGTTTACTTTTAAAAATGCTCTGCTTATCAACTTCCAACTCTTTTATGCTCTCAGCATGGATGTGGGTTTAAGAATAATCTAACCACTTTTCTCCCACCTCTTTTTTGGCATGCCCTGAATGGTGGAGTCTGGCGTCTCATTTTGGAGTAGAATTTTTATTATCTTTGAGCTCAGCCGCAAATTCCATTTAAACTTCCTATGATATTTACATATGCTAATAAAAGTCTCTAGAATGGTTTGCAAGAAACCAAAAATCATGGGTGCCTGTGAGGAAATGTACTTCGGTAGCTCAAGGACAAGGAAAGGCAATTTCTTGCTGTTTGGTCTCTTGTACTTTTTGGAATTTAAGCCATGTGAATGTATTACCCCTTCAAAAATGTAATTACAAAAAACACCGTTTGTGTTACTCTTCTCTTGAACCACTATCCAGTGACTCAGGAACTGTTTCTGTAATATTGAGACTTCTGGAGAAAGATTCTTCCACGTGTTCTATGTTGTGCTTCATTAGAAGCTTGGGAAGTCATTTCTTTTCTTCAGGGCAATGAAATCTTTTAACATTTGGATTCTCCTTTGTTTCATTCTTATACATTGCACAAAATGATTGGTGATTGGGTTTTGAGCAGCTTTTTAGATAATTTGACACTTCTTTGGTTGGGATTATTTCCACCATTTGGGGTTCATGGAAAGAAAGAAGAACAGGACCCTGTGAAGGTATCAGTGGCCTCATGAAGATTCATTAGAATGCATATTGCTAGGCTTTTTTACATTTCAGGAAGAAGCTAAAAAAAGGTCAACTTTCTCATCTACCCAAGGCAGTTATCAACTGCAGCATCAATCACACATTTACTATCCATTTATTGAGCACCCACTGTTCATAGCAAGGCTCTCAAGCCTCATATGCCTTCCTAAACAGGACGGAATTAAGCTAATAGTGTCATTAACACAGCTTCTGTCTCATCCAGTTCACATCCCTAATAGTTCCTTACAGAAATACAATTCTTTTGTTGGGGTTGGTAGTTTGTGTCTAAGAAGGGCTAAGACAGGAGAATAAAAATTGTGGTTCCCACTGGGCACAGTGGCTCATGCCTGTAATCCCAATACTTTGAGACATCAAGGCAGGTGGATCGCTTGAGCTCATGTTGCCCAGCCTGGGCAACATGGTGAAACTCTGTCTCTACAAAAAATGCAAAAATTAGCTGGGCGTGGTGGCACATGCCTGTAGTCTCAGCTACTCAGGAGGCTGAGGTGGGAGAATAGCTTGAGCCCTGGAGGCAGAGGTTGCAGTGGCCCATGATCGAGCCACTGTACTCCAGCGTGGGTGACAAAGGCAGAACCTGTCTCAACAAAAAAAAAAAAAAAAAAAAAAAGAGGTTCCCCATAAATAAAATGTAGTATATGTACACATACCACAGAGTAGTATTTAGCCTTAAAAAAAGAAGAGATCCTGCTATTTGCAACAACGTGGATGAACCAGAGGATATTATGTTAAGTGAAATAAACCAGGCATGTAAGGGCAAATCCCATACATGACCCCACTTGTATGTGGAATCTAAAAAAGTCAAATTCATGGAAACAGAGAATAGAATTGTGGTTATCAGGGATGCAGGCAGGGGAAATGAGAGATGCTGGTCAAAGGATACAAGTTTCTGTTACGTAGGATGAATAAATTCTAGATATATAAAGTAAAGCATGGTGACTATAGTTCATAATACTGTATTGTATATTTGAAATTTGATACAACAGATCTTCAGTTTTCTCAAAATATGATAACTATGGGAATTTATGGATACATTCATTAGCTTAACTGTAGCAATCATTTCATGAAGTTTATATATATCAAAATATCACATTGTATACCTTAAATATGTGCAATTTTTATTTTTAAAAATGTTGCTCCCCAAGTTTAGGTTTTTGGTTTCTGTGGGTTCCCATAATCAACTTCCTATTCAGAACATCAGCTAATCGATGTAGCAGAGCATACTTGCCTGGCTTTCTAAGGTGTGCTCTGCAAATGGCATGCTAGACGCCTCTCTATTACTGTAGTTCTTAAGCTTTTTTGGTTATTGAGAATGTTAAATAAACATCTTTTAAAGATAAATGTTAAATAAACATTTTTGCCATCTTTTTTTCTCTATTTTTAGCAAGTCATTTCCCTTATTTAACCGATGTGTCCCTCAAACACCTGAGTGCTACTCCCTATTTGCATCTGTTTTGATAAATGATGTTGACACCCTCCACCGAATTCTAAGTGGAATCATGTCGGGAAGAGATACAATCCTTGGCCTGTGTATCCTCGCATTAGGTAATTCTCAGTTAAGTTAATTTTAATAGTTGTTTATGGAATGCCAAAGTTCCTAGCATTTTATATGTTGTACAATGAAAATTAGCCTCTTGTTTTAAATATAAAACTCTGTATTTTTAATAGATATTTTCAGTGTTTCAGATTTAAGTGGGATGGGGGCAATACGAATAGAGGAGCGGCTGGCCCTCTGGCAGAAAGCCTCAGTGGGTAGGGTTGCCTTGATATACTGACTATGTTCTAGTGTCTGCTCCTCACTGGGGATGGGTATATAAAGCAGATTGCCAATTTGTGGATGGGACATGAAAAATACAACTGTCAGGGTGACCAGAAACCATGTCTTCTGGCCAAACATGCCTCCACCTGTAGGTGGATCAGAAAGCAGATCAGAAAGCTGCTTGGTGAGCAGGGCAAGGACATGTATGCATCCATGTTAAATGGAGTCAGACTGCAAGGGCCTGCTGTATCCTGCTCCTCTAAGGGACATACCTGCTTTGGGTTGTAGACAGGTCAAGGCCTTCAGCCTTCTCTGGGCATTTCTGGAAGCAGCTACCCACTCTTGATCTTTTGAGTTCCCATTTTCTATGTTTCAGTTGGCTGAAATCAAGAGCCAACTTTCTCTTTGAACAGGTGAATACACTCTGCCCCTTTAGACAGTGGTAAGAGCCTATTGTCTCCTCGCTTTCCAGTGGCAGCCCACAAACCTCTTGGTAGAGAGAAACTCTTTGGTCAGACATTAACATATTTCTAACAGTTAACAAATTGAGTTTTCCACAATTTCATTACTAAAAGGTTCCTAATTCCTGAATGCTTGGGGATATTTAACTAGTCACTATTATGACTTTCAGACTTCTTACTTAGGCTGAAAATGACTTCAATTGACTCAAACAAGATGCTTTGACTCCCAAATACTGGCTTGGTTACAATATATAACAAAAAAACCTCAGGTTATTCCTGATATCTTATATAATGACCTAATGTCCCTGCAAGGACATTGTCATGTGCTTATTAGATTCATAATGGTATTAACAGCTGTCGTTTACTGAGCACTTACCATGTGCCAGGCATTGTACTTATTCTTCACTCATTAAAACCTCATCAGAATCCCAGTACCACTCATAGGAGATGAAACTGAGGCTTAGAGAGGTTTAGGACTTGGCCAGTGTTGCACACCTAGGAGAAGAGGTGGCAGAACTAAGACTCAAACCCAGATCTGTGTGGTCCCAAAACCCACCTTACTAAACATAACTCTGATCTAGATGCAATCCTGATTTCCTATGTCGAAAATAGTACATACAGCTTATTTCATGGTTAGGATCTTAAATTCTTCATTTTAAAGACATTATTAATCTTTCATATTTAATAAGAGTACCTTAGAACATGTAAAGTTAGAACTTTACATAAGCCCAGTATGAAGTCAAAAGATTTAAGTATGATAATTTTAGATGGTTCATTTGGACTTGTAAGAAAAAAAGATTTGGGCATTTGAGAATAATATTGCTATAAAATTTTTTTTCTTTCTTTCTTTTTTTTTATTGAGACAGAGTCTTGCTCTGTTGCCCAGGCTGGAGTACAGTGCCATGATCTTGGCTCACTGCCAACCTCTGCCACCCGGGTTCAAGCGATTCTTGTACCTCAGCCTCCCGAGTAGCTGGGATTACAGGTGCCCGCCACCATGCCTGGCTAATTTTTGTATTTTTAGTAGAGATGGGGTTTTGCCAGGTTGGCCAGGCTGTTCTCGAACTCCTGACCTCAGGTGATCCACCCGCCTCGGCCTCCCAAAGTGCTGGGATTATAGGTGTGAGGCACCATGCCCGGCCAAATTTTTTTTATTTTTGAGAAGAATACTAGGACTTTCAGAGACAGGCTTACCACACTTGATTGAATGGTGCATCAGAGACTGCCCCACGTATACCTTGTTATTTTTATTTAGTGTTTAGTAGATATCCCAAGATATTTAGAGATTGAATACAATCCTCAGCCGTCACTGTTCTGGAGGGTTTTGTCATCGCAGTACTACCATCATCTCCCCTATCCTTTGTTGCTATTGAGGTTTATGTGTTTTGCTTAATTTTTCAGCCTTGTCTTTGGCCATGATGTTTACCTTCAGATTCATCACCACCCTTCTGGTTCACATTTTCATTTCATTGGTTATTTTGGGATTGTTGTGTAAGTATTTCTCTACTTGACTGATTTCTTTTCGATTAAATGAAAAGCCTTTACATTAAGTACAGAACTTAAAAGTTGGCATTTTTAAGCTACATGGAGTCTTAAAGAGTATCTAGCCCTGTCACTTTACAAATGAGAAAACTTGGCCTCAGGGAGGACGATGGGAGTTGCTATGTCTCACAGACAGTGCAAAGTTAATGACCAATCTTTTTTTTCTTCTTTCTTTTCTTTTCTTTTTCTTTTTCCTTTTTTTTTTTTTTTTTTTTTTTTGAGGCAGGCTCTCACTTTGTTGCCCAGGCTGGAGTGCAATGGCGCGAACGCAGCTCACTATAGCCTCAACCTCCTGGGCTCAAGCGATCCCCCTGTCTCAGCCCCCCAGGTAGCTGGAATTACAGGCACATGCCACTACACCCAGCTAATTTTTGTATTTTTTGTAGAGACGGGGTTTTGCCATGTTGCCCAGTCTGGTCTCCAACTCCTGAGCTCAAGCGATCCGCCCACCTTGGCCTCCCAAAGTGCTGGGATTACAGGTATGAGTCACCACGTCCAGCCATATCTGTAGTTTCTTCTGCTGTGCTATGCTGCCCCTGAGATGAGCTTTCCAATACCGTGATCCTGTATCCATAACGTTAAAAGAGAATCCCAGTACCCACTGGGAGCATTTTAAAGGATTTCTTCTGAATGCGCACCTCACCCATTGGCACGTGGGTGCCCACAGTTGTCATGTAAAGGTTCTGACCAGCCAGAAGACACACAGGCCTGCATGGAAGCAGAGTCCTGGAGACCCTGTACTGTGCCCATATTTCCCTCCCGGTTGCTGGATTGTGGATCTCACCAGCAGTTGTTGGGAAAGAGGTCCGAGGGACAAGGGCACGCAGGAGGCTCAAGGCAGCAGCCATTTACCAACTGGTGTGGGGTACAATCAGGTGTCACTTAATGACAGGAAGGGATGTGTTCTGAGAAATGCATCACTCAGCAATTTCCTCATTGTGTGAACATCACAGGGTGCACTTACACAAACCTAGATGGTAGAGCCTACTACACACCCAGGCACATGGTATAACCTATTACTCCTAGGCTACGAACCTGCACAGCATGCTACTGTACAGAATACGGTTGGCAGCTGTAACAGAATGGTCAGTATTTGTGTATCTAAACACATCTAAGCACAGAAAAGTACAGTATTATTAATCTCATGAACCACCATCATATATGCAGTCCATTGTTGATCAAAATGTCATCATGCAGTGGATGACTATATTTTAATTTTTAAAAACTGATGTGATTGTCATGTTTCTTTCCCCTGAGTCATCAGCTCTGCCCTCAGCAACTTAGAGCCCTGTAGCCCTGTGTCGGAGGACAGGCACAATGACTTCTGAGGGTTGTTTCTTCCTGTCCACTCCAACCTTCCTATAGTTACTGTGGATATGGCATAAGGTGGTATTTCGTACCTAAATGTGGAGTACTTGCAATGTCAGGGCATCTTCCAAATGAGCTTCTGACTTCCATGATTCCCACAGGCCGTGTAAATTTTCCTGGTTTTGTGGGTGAGCAGCCAATATCCAGGCTCCACAGGAGTTATCACCACCAGAGCTTGCTTAAAACATTTAGACAGTGAGCTCTGGCATTGTCCCTCTCACCATCCTGTCCATGGGGTTTTCCTCCTGCTCGCATCCAGACCCAACCTGTGGGTTAGGTGCCTGTGTTCTGGGGTCACCATCCTGGGTCTCCCAAAACAAGCATCATCCCAGAACTTGTGGGTCCTCTATGGGTTGCCCTGGCTCTGCCCAGCTTCTCCAGAGGGCAGCAGTTGCTTGTAGGGTCCGGGTATTTGGGACCCACTGCCAGAGCAGTGCCACGCGGCCGGTGGGCAGTGGCTGGACTTCCTGTGTGATTCTGTGTGCTGGGGAAAGGTTACCTCATGGCGTGTGCCCTGAGCTCTGCTACTGTTCTCTTTTCTAGTTGTCTGCGGTGTTTTATGGTGGCTGTATTATGACTATACCAACGACCTCAGCATAGAATTGGACACAGAAAGGGAAAATATGAAGTGCGTGCTGGGGTTTGCTATCGTATCCACAGGCATCACGGTAAGAAATGCTCTTCTAGCAGTAGGTCAGGTAGCCAGCCAGGACTCTGAAATCCAAATCATTGAATTCTAGCCAAAAACAACTATAATTTGTTTTTCTTTTGATTTAGAATGTGCCTTCTTTGGATTTGAGATACCTGTATAGGGATAATTCAAAACTCTTCAAAAATAAGAAAAAAAGGTTTTAGTTCTTCCCAAGTCATTTCTGCCACCTCCCAGAGACTACTGTGTTATCCTTGCTGTTGCACTGTTCTCAGCCCCAAGGGGCTACAAGGTGGGCATGGTGGGTGGGCGGAGGCAGGCTTACGGCAGTTCCCATTCCCTGTTTGTGAGGTGCGGCTCCCCTTTGCCAGTGTATGCTCAGCTTCCGCTGCCCTCTAGCACACAGAGCCCTTTGTTTCCAAACCCGCTGGCCACTGGGTTATTTTGGTGTTCAGAGAACTTGCTGCCTCCTCAGTGAACTCTCTAGCTGAAAACAGGCTGACTTAGAATATTGAGGGAGCAGGTATTAGTTACTGGTGGTGGGTGGTTGGCAACCAAATGTCATTCAGGACCCTCTCCAGGGGCCGTTAGGAAGGCTCAAATCACAAGGCCCTGGGGCGGACCCCACACTGGCTTCAGGTCCCCCAGAGTCGTCGTTGCTGGTGTGTTGCTTACTGACTGTTCTGTGGAGCAGCTGCAGCCAGGGGTTTCCACAAGCCCATTGAATCTTGCAGCAAATGCAGATTCTCACACCAACAAAATTCTCTCATAGGAAATCCTTCTATTCTCATATTTGGTAGTTTTCACATTTTCTCCTTTCCACGGTGAGGTTTTGGGTTTGTGATCTTCACATAAAATGTGCCAGGGAGTAAGGGTACAATAAAGTAAAGCACCTGGTTGCTCTCGCCTCAGGCAGGGACCAGACCAGACACTCAACAGAGTCTGCAGAGGAGGCTGGAGATGAAAGGGCTTCCCCATTCCCCAGGCTGGGCATAGGGGAAGAGGAGCAGGGCTGGGGGCTGGGGAGGGTCCAGTTCCTCCGTCTACCCTCCACAGGGCTCCCTTTTTGTTTGTACACTGCACCATTTATGCCACCCAGATTTCAGGGCCGGGGCAAGGTTAGGGAGAGGGGAGGCCATGTGAGCAGGGAGGCTGTTTTCACCTGGGTCCATGAGTTCTGCACAGGGGCTACTCTATAAGGCAGAATTGAGTCCCAGCTCACCTCCCGTTCATTTGTTGTGAGTTCTTACCAATTCCCGGTTGCTAGATGAGCTAGTTCACTCATCCTCAGAAAAGCCCAGATGGAAGTTCCTCCTCAGCCTTTACAACTGAAGGGTCTCCTCTGGGTGTCTTGCGGGGCCTCTCCTGACACCTCTCCCTGCATGGTCAGGAGGCTGTGCTCCCAGATCCTGGAGCAGCTTCTGCAGTTTATCCACTGTCACTGTCTTTCCTCCACTTGACTGTTGACGGCAGAAACGCTCCAGCAAAGCTGGAAGAGAAAGAGCATCTCAGGCCAAGGGCACAGCATGCATGAGGTCACATGGGCAGGGGTGTGACTTGCAGGAAGTTCCCTTGATGGAAGCCTGAGATGCAGGTGCAGGGAGGGTCATGTCACAAAGGTCCTGATCTGCAATGATGATAGGTTTGATCTTTCTCCAGAGGCACTGGGGTGCCGTAGATGGATTTTGAGCCGAGAAACACCATCTTTGTGTTTGCGCTTTACAAAGGTCCCCTTAGCTGTGGAGTGGAGGAGGGACTGAGGTGGGGCGGGGTGGGGGGGGTGGTCAGGGAGGTTAAATGCAGAAAGCTAATGAGGTTATTGGGGTCTAGAAGAAAGAGGCTGAGACTTGAGCTGTGGCATCAGCGGTGGAAACAGAGAGGAAAGGAAGGCATGAGCGGTATTGAGGAAACTGAACCAGAGGTGATTGAGACTGTACTGGGCACTTTGCCAGTCCTTGACCATAAGAATGGCCCTGCTCTCTAGGAGCCTAATCTAATGGGAAATTCAGACGAGAAAACATTTATAGAATATGTTAAATAGTACAATAGGGTAAGTGTGGAATAAAATGGGAGCACACAAGAGGGGAACCTAACTTACTCTTGGAAAGTCTAGAAAAATTAGGGCCACTGGAGGTAAAGAATACAGGGGGAAGAGGAGGTTCTAGTATGAAGATAATGAATTTGATTCAGGATAAATTGAGTCTGACATACTGTAGGACATCCACGGCCTTGTCAATAACTGATGTGCTTATTCTTCCAGCACCTAGAGGAAAGTGAGGCTGGAGGTTTTTATTTGGAGGTTGTCAGCATCTAGGAAGGATGCTGAAAGCACAGAGGAATAGGAGATACCCCCAGAAGATCTCAAGAAGCAGCAATTAAAGAAGTAGGAGAGCTAAAAGAAAGATCATGGAAGCCAAGGGAGGAAAATGTTTCGAGAAAAGAGGAGTGGACAAGGGATCTAATGCTATGCTGAAGTCAAGCAAGACCTGGAATGTTTCCATGGCATTTAACATTCAGGAGGTCACATGAAGTGACTTCAGAGAGAGCTGTTTCAAAAGAGTGTTGGGATCTGGATGTTTGTGGGTGGTTGAAGAATGAGTTGGGGTATGGAAATACAGATGATGGGTGTAGACAAGCCAAGAAGCTCGGCCATGAAAACAGTAAGAGACGGCAGTGGCTGGATGGGGATGGAGGGGTGCAGAATGGTTTGTTTCATTAATATGAGATTTGTAAATGTTTATATGCAGGGAGGGAAAGCTAGAAGAAGGCACAGAAGGTGGCTTTGAGTCTTTTTGCCTCATACTCATATTCCCTTGACTTTTGCAATATCTTGGGTTCTGTGGGATGTGGAGGGGAGGATATAAGACAGTTCCTTGACATTAGAAGACCTTATTCTCATTTTATCTTTTTCACTGACCAGACTACAAGGCCCTTTATGGAGGGACTGTGTCTTCTTCGCTATTATGTCTATTAAGATCTATTCCAGGGACCAGCACTTACTAGATGCTCAGTTAGTGTTTGCGAATGCATCTGTAAAATTATAACAAAGTAGTGAGTAACTATCTTAAAAGAGCTGTTTGCTGAGATGTCATAATAATAGTAGGGCTTGCTTTAAGCTCTACCCAGTTCTCCATTATTTGGAAGTAATTTACTCAAATCCCTTTCTCACCAGGCAGTGCTGCTCGTCTTGATTTTTGTTCTCAGAAAGAGAATAAAATTGACAGTTGAGCTTTTCCAAATCACAAATAAAGCCATCAGCAGTGCTCCCTTCCTGCTGTTCCAGCCACTGTGGACATTTGCCATCCTCATTTTCTTCTGGGTCCTCTGGGTGGCTGTGCTGCTGAGCCTGGGAACTGCAGGTAAGGGACAGTGGGTGTGGGTTCCATCACCTTGGAGTCATACACAGAAGACCATTTTGGAACCACTGGCCTGTTTCTGTAGGCACCTAACCCCTCATTGAGCCAGAGGTGTCTGATGACAGCAGCGTTGGTGCTTGGGGCTCTGTCATGGGGAAAAGTGGGAAGTTCTTTTACCTCTTCTATATTGGTTTTAAAGAAGCTGGGTTTGTGTTTCATGAGAGAATAAATTCAGTAAGGACTGAAAGCTCTAGGAAAAACTACAATATGAACAAAGGCCAACAGCAAGAATATTACCAGATGTCTCCAGGTATGAGTTTTATCCAAGGTAATTTGCCAACCCCTATCAAATCAGTAGGTGACAAAGAAGAACCCAGGAAAGACTCTATTAAAAATATATTGTGCAGCCGGGTGCTATGGCTCATGCCTGTAATCCCAGCACTTTGGTAGGCCAAGGCAGGTAGACCACGAGGTCAGGAGTTTGAGACCAGCCTGACCAACATGGTGAAACCCCGTCTGTACTAAAAATACAAAAATTAGCTGGGCGTGGTGGCGTGCACCTGTAATCCCAGCTGCTGGGGAGGCTGAGGCAGGATAATTGCTTGAACCTGGGAGGTGGAGGTTGCAGTGAGCCGAGATTGCGCCACTGCACTCCAGCCTGGGTGACAGAGCAAGACTCTGTCTCAAAAAAAAAAAAAAAAAGTGTTATGCCCAGCAGAGCCAGTGTACATTTAAAGCAAACTCATAGTTCACATGCCTTGGTCCTGAAAAGACAAGATTCTCTCCTCCATCCTTTTTTCATATCCACACAGTGGTTCTTCACCAGGGCTATTTCTCAGAATCAGCTTTGGTGCTTTATTAAAATACAGTTATCTGGGTGCCAGCCTCAGAGATTGATTCACGTGGTTTGCGGTGGGACCTAGTATATGTTCTTGTAAAGCTCCGTAACAGGGCAAGCATATTCTAAAGCAGCACTATTCAGAGTGCAGTCTGAAGCCAGATAAGGAGCTTAGCTAGAATGGACGTCATTCCATTGCTTCCTTCATTGAGAAAGTTTTGCTATGGAAGAAACTGTCAGCTGAGAAACGATGTGCTTAGTGATGCAGTTGATCTACATTCTGGCACAAGCTTTTTATCTTACTAACAATGTGAGGTTAGACAGCTTTTCTGTGGACCACACTTTGAGTGGCACTGTCCAGATCTTTTCTAACTCCTCTGTTTGATTTTCTTAAGGCCCAAATTCAGTACACATGGATGCAAGTACAAAAGAGTAAGTGGCTTCCTGATACTGTCACCAGACTGATAAGGACCACAGCTGATGTCAAATCAGCAAGGCTGATGCAGTTCCTTAATGTTTTCTCAAGTTTATCTTGTCCCTTACTGGCTCCAGTCATATAAGTAAGAACAGCTGCCATGTAATAGATTCTTAGTAAACTCAGTCCCCTTCCTTCTCCTCTGGAGCTAACTGAGGCCACAGTGCCAAGATCGTCAGCAGGCTGCCTGGAAGGCATGGCCCTTGGAGGCCTATGTTTCCACCTTCAGAGGTGCATAGGGGCAGTCTTCTACTAGGGGCTCCCTGGAAGCTCGCTGAAGGCCTGCAGTGAACTTCTGATAATTACCCAGGGAGGAACATTGGTCAAAAGGGTATAATCCATCAGAATGAGGTTTGTCTGGAAGTGAAAGAAAACTCAAAACAACAGTGGCTAAAGTAGGATGTAAGGTAATTTCTCT
This sequence comes from Homo sapiens, assembly GCF_000001405.40. NCBI lineage: Eukaryota > Metazoa > Chordata > Mammalia > Primates > Hominidae > Homo > Homo sapiens. The sequence goes on from NC_000001.11 coordinate 94,847,193, forward strand.
GTCACACAGATGAAGTCCACATGGAGAGGATCCATGCCAGCCTAGTTCTCTAGCGCTCAAGGACTCAGGCACCCGCTTTCTTCTTCTGCAGCCTCTGCCCTTGCTTCCACCTCATAGTGAAAGGCTGCTCAGGCTCCCACTGCCATGTCTTATTCCGACCTTGAGGAGGGTGGCAGGGAGGAAAGCGAGCATGCCCCTCCCAGAAGTCACAGGTGGCGCTTCCACCCACACCTCATCAGCCAGGTCCCAGTTACATAGCAGTGCTTATCTGCAAGGGACACCAGGAAATGTAGTTTCATTTTGGGCAGGCACGCACCAATCAGAGGTTCTATAACCAAGAAAAGAGGGGAGAATAGATATCGTGAGACAGGTGAAGTCTCAGCATTGGATGGCCTTCCTCTAGCGAGCTTGAAGTGGGCTCAGCCCTGGTCAGAAGGGAGGGCAGTGGCCCCGGTGCATGAAGGGAAACAAGCCTTTGTTGAAAATGTCCTAGATTCTAATCTCTGTACTGGATGCTTTCTTATGTTCTGTCCCCCAGGCATCACAGTCCCCGTGTGATGTGGGTATTGTTATGTTCAAGTTACAGGCAGGAAAATTGAGATTCTGAGGAAGTCATGTGCCGGAGGTCATACAGCTGGGAGGCATGACGTGCTGTGACTCTAGAGCTTTGGAATGGAGCCTGTGCTCTTTCCACTACCTTACACCTCCCTTGCATCTGGGATCCAAAGCTAGGAAATAAAAATAGGCCTCTTTAGGCCGGGTGCAGTGGCTCACGCCTGTAATCCCAGCACTTTGGGAGGCCAAGGCGGGCGGATCATGAGGTCATGAGATCGAGACCATCCTGGCTAACACGGTGAAACCCCGTCTCTACTAAAAATACAGAAAACTTAGCCGGGCGTGGTGGCGGGCGCCTATAGTCCCAGCTACTCGGGAGGCTGAGGCAGGAGAATAGCATGAACCCGGGAGGCGGAGGGTGCAGTGAGCTGAGACCACACCACTGCACTCCAGCATGGGCCACAGAGTGAGACTCTGTCTCAAAAAAAAAAAAAAATAGGCCTCTTCAAGTTTGCTCAGAATGAAGCTGTATCAGGGACCACAGCAGTTGGCTGGTGGATGTGGGCTGTGCCCATAATGTGTCTGGGGCTGGAGGTTGACAGCTAGAGCCAGCTGGGGATGAGGTGTGATGGAGGTGGTGGCAGTGGCCCTGGGCAGCAGCACTGTAGGGCTTGAACCCTAGCCTCTAGAGAATCATCAGAGAAACAGTGAGGTCTTAGGAAATATGGCTCAGGACCAGTGAAGGACCCTCCTCTTCCCACCTCCTTAGGTGCAGCTGGCCCAGCCAGGGGGCCCCTTGTTGGCTGTGAATCTGGATAAGGGGAACTGTGTCTGTGGCTAGACCCCATGATGTTTTGGAGCAGGGATGGTTTTAATTTAATTCAGAAGTATTTGGTGGGCACTGTGGGGATGAGGCGCTGAGCACGGCACTAGGGAGAGGTAGGGAACAGGATTGAGGTCGACTCTCTGCCCTCAGTACTTATAGTCAAGCAGGATGGTCCAACAATGAAACGTGTGATCGCAGTGAAGATTGATGGATGTGATGATCAGAGAAATCTGGGGAGCTATGGGAACACCAGAACAAGGCCGTAACCCATGCTGTGAGTCAGGGAGGGCTTCTTAGAGGGCAGGCTGGAAATCGCCAGGTCAGAAAATACAGAAAGAGGCAAAGGGGGATGCAGCAGAAGTCAAGGCAGCACAAGGAGAGGACCTGGCCACAGAGGTCAAGGGAAGAGCCCAGGCCAGTGAAGTCAGAAAGGAGCAAGCCCCAAGGCTGACTTGGGCATGAACTGCCAGCCTGTGCCCCTTAACTGCCAGCCTGTGCCCCTGACTAGGTCTAGGTTGGGCCCAGGGCTTAGTAGCCTCCACTGCAAGAGAGACCTGGAGGTTATTCTTCAGGGCTGAAGGTAGCGTGTCATTCTGCAGCCACCTCTCAGGATCACACAGTGAAGTGTGACGATTCACTGTTAGTGCAAGCAGCAAACAGCGAGAACAGTAGAGGGGCCAGAAAGGAAACTGGGTGCCCCGGACCTATGGGAGGCATCTATGAGCAGGTCGATTTTAGGCTTCTCAGGAGAGAAGGTGCTACGCAGAGCCACCACCCCCCTTCCCCACCCCGCTGGGGTCAGGCATCATAGAAACCAAATCACCCGTCCCCTCCTTCCACCTGCCTGTGGCCGACCCAGGTGCACAGGGTCCCCTTTGTTCTCAGAGGCCTTTTCACCAGTGCCAGAGAGCCTGGCTCTGCGGCTGGGCAGATCAGCAGCTGAATCACTTTTTGATCTTCAGAAGATGCCCCAGCTAACACTTGAGAGGGACTCTGAGCCGCTTTCACCTCTTATGAAGAGGCGCCAGGTGATCGGGTGGCGAGCCCGCTGCACAGTGCCCGATTGTCTCATTCCACGTCCCACAGGCAGCTTCAGCGGGGACAGACACACTCTTCAGTTAGCGCCCAGTTTTGTGTGTGGGCGTCCTCAGTACATAAATAGTTGTTTGTTTGTTTTTGTGTTTTGTTTTTTGTTGGTTTTTGTTTGTTTGTTTTTCTTGAGACAGGGCCTCAATCTGTTGCTCAGACTCAAGTGTAGCATCAACCTCCCGGGCTCAAGCGATCCTCCCATCTCAGCCTCCCCAGTAGCTGGGGCTGCACATGCCACTATGCCTAGCTAATTTTTGTATTTTTTTGTAGAGACAGGATTTTGCCGTGTTGCCCAGGTTGGTCTAGAAATCCTGGGCTCAAGCAATCCACCTGCTTTGGCCTCCCAAGGTTTTGGGATTATAGGCGTGAGCCACCCAAATAGTTGTGTCAGATGGTTGAATGAATACTATTTTTTACTGCATTAAAAAAAATAGGAGTGAACTTGGGTTGATCATTTTTGCCCAGATGGGCTATTTTTCTAATGACTGTTAATCATTCTTTTGACTAGTTGACAAATTCTGACTTGTTTGGGGATTTTTTTTCAGCAGGTCATATCAAGCCCCCATCTTGCACCACCCAACAATGACATTTAGTAGTCCATTGGGATTTGTCTGGTACCAGCAATAAGACAGTAATTACTAAAATCCAATAGGAAAAAGTGAAAACTGTGGTAACCTTGGTAATCTGGTAGGTTGGAAAGAGCTCAGATGACCTGGTCACCTCCAGTGTTCATTAAGGTGGTCTGGAAGCTCCAGAGTCTGTACAATAGAAGAGAACCATATTGGATTTTGGCAGGGAGTGGACTTCCCGCGAGGTCTGTGCTGCAGTTAGAAGATTTAATCACAGGACTGCACACAGCATACACCGTGTACTTGGGATACACAAAGGGGTGAGCTTGGAAAGGAGGCAGCAGGGTCAGACAGAGAGTTTTCCATAGGTTTCCCATCAAATGACCTGGAACCCAGGCTGGCTCTGCCTCTGCTTCCTTTTTGCCATTTTTGCAATGGAAAACTGATGTAAGGTTGCCTCACAAGGATGTTAGGAGGCTGAGATGAGACAAGAGCTTTGCTTTGCAAATAAGGGACCATATGTATTTTTTATGTTAGGAATTAATGTTGACCAAGGAACATCTAGTACCTTCAGCTCTGTAGTTTATTCTTTGCTTTCTCTGGCACATTCAATAACACAATTTAGAAGAAAATTGTCTTTTTTTTAAGTTTTCAGAGATCTAGAAGATAATTGAAGTTATTTTGCAAAAGCCTGCTAGTGGCCCAGTCTTGTTCTAGGAAAAGAGTAAAGGGAGGTTGCACGGGAGAGAGTTGAAACAGCTCCTGCATTTCAGAAGTTCCTGGTCCCTTTGGGAAGGTGCAAAGGAAAGCAGTCTCCATGCACATCCCCATACCTTTGCTCCTGCTGGGATCTTCCTCTAGAATCCCCTCCCCTGCCCAACTCTCACCCCAACTCTCCCCCTAAACTGCTTCCCCAAACTAGTCATTCTTCAAGATTGGTTTGAGTATTATTATTCTTGGAAAATCTCCTATAAATTTCTCAGCCATACTTAGATATTTCTCCTCCATTTTTTTCCTTGCATATTTTATATTCTTCATTCTTTCAACAACTATTTATCTCATGCCTGCCCTGTCAGCCCTGGAGTCACACTACATGCCCTGGGTACTTGAGATACAGCAGTGAACAAGACAGCAGTTCTGCTCTCCAGGCCTGACATTCTACTGGGTGGGCATAGAGGCAGTGAATAAGGAAATATGCATCCCTTAGTGATAAATGCTATGAACAATAAAGCAAGATGTATTGTCATCCCACAAGAGGAAGAACACGTGAGGGCCAGGACCATGCCTTTTTCTTTCTGTGTCTCTTAGCTCAGTTCCCTACCTGAATGGATTCAGTTAGGGGTGCTGACCCAGGGAATAACATCACATCAGTGTCATGGTTGTGAAATGAGATGGATACATGAAGAACTCATATATTGCAGGCTGCCTGTCAATGAGATTTTCCTCTCTTTTTTCCTAATCCTCATGCTGCCAGAGCCGAAGCTGAAGCCAGTGGGAGACACAGGCAGGATGAATGTCAGCAGGCTGGGGCTGGCAGGACTCTTGGGCCAGTTTGCTGGACAAGGCCAAGTGCACAGAATGTGCTGGAAAGTAGAACCCCTCCAAATTAGGCCTGCTTCCCTTGGGGAATTATCCTGACCAGCTGGACTGCCTTCCATAAGGAACTGCCATCTATAACAATCATTATATCACCTTAGTCTTTTGAAATGCTTTAAAGCTTGCTAATAATATCCAGACTTACAGCTAACTGCACTATGAATATCTTTCAGATTATTTTGATGCTCTCAAGGAAGATCTCTAGAAAATTGTCTCCAAATCTCTTTAATAGAATATATTACTTGAGGAAGATATATCCATTCATTCATTCAATCAACAAATATTTATTGAATATTTACTGTGTGTCAGACCCTATTAAAAATGCTGGAGATACAGCTTTTCTTCCAATTTGGAGGGTAGAAGGAGACAGGCTTTAAATAAAGTAAGTCAGTCAATGTTATAGTACTTTAAAAGTTGATAAGTGGCATGGAGAAAAATTAAGCAGAAAGGACAAATAGGAAATGCATGAGGGGGCAGGGTGTCATTTTAAATTTGACGATCAGGGGTGCCTCACTGAGAAGGTGATGATGCAGAAAGATTTGAAGTAGGTGAGTGCAGAGCCATAAGACCATCTAAAGCAAGGGGAAACATCCCAGGCACAGAGGCTGGCAAGAGGCTGGAGTTCTAGGGCACAGCAAGGGAAGCCTATTCAGCGAGAGTGGAGTGGGCGAGGGAGAGCTTGGTTCAGAGGGGAGTCAGGGTGCACACAGTCAGATCCTGGGGCCTTTCTGGCCTTTGTAGGAACTTTGGCTTCTAACCTGAATTGGGAAGAAGTCTTTACAGGATTTTAAGCAGAATAAAATCTTGACCTGACTACATTTTAATAGCAGTGATTCAGTAAGAAGAGGATGGTGGCTTGGAATAGGTCATAATGTTGGAAGTGGCATGACATATTAGATTCTGCATCTATTTTGAAGGTAGAGCAAATTGGATTTTCTGGTTACATGAAAGAAAGAGGAGTTGGAGAAGACTCTGAGGGATTTTGGCCTGAGCAACTGGAAGATAACTTTGCCATAAACTGATATATGGGGCAAGAATTTGAGTATAGCATTTTAGGGGTAGATCAGAAATTAATTTTTAGTTGCTTTAATTGAAATGTCTTTTAGACCACCAGATGGAGATGTCAAGTAGGCAGTTAGCTATCTGAGTCTGAAGTTAGTGGAGGAGGTCCTGGCTGGGATTCACATTTAGGAACTTGGGAACATATTAATAGTATTTAAAACCATGAGATTAGAATGAATGTAGATAGAGAAGGGAAGAAATCCAAGGACTGTGCTTTGAGGCACTTCAGGATGCCCGGGAGATGAGGGAGAACAAACAGAGAAGACTGAAAGGGAGTGACCAGTGGGTCGAAGGAGAAGGGGTGGAGTGTGGGGCCCTGGAATGCAGGTGAAGGGTTTCACAGAGATGTGCGCGGTCCAGTGTGGCAAGTGCTGCCGCTAAAGGAAGAACTGAGGATTGACCACTGAATAATCATGATTGGAGTAGGTGAAGAGAAAGTGGGAGGAAAAGAATTGGAAAGAGTAAGTATAGACAATCTTGAGGAATTTCACTGTTAAAAGGAACAGAAATGGAGAGGAAGCTGGAAGAGGAAAGAGTCCACAGTAGATTTTTCTTAAAGATGGGAGATAGTTGCGAATGATTCAATAGAGAGAAAGATTTTGATGAAGAGGGTGAAAATTATTGAAGAGTTATGTTCACACAGGTTAGAAAGAATGGGATCTGGTGAAGTGTGGCCATAGGATCATGGGCCATTTATTAATATCATGTTCTGGGAGAGGACTCAGATTATGGACCCGTGTTGATAGCAGGTTAGGTGTGAGGTGGTCAGCACTAGCAGAGGTTTTCTGATTGCATCAGTTTTCTCAGTGAAACAGGAGGTAAGATCATGGGCTGAGAGTGAGGATGGGAAGGAAGCTCTTGAAGGTTGAAGGGGGAATTTATAAAACAGTTGGGCAGAAGAAGGGGAAACAAATGGACCAATATGGGAGCATGTAAGTTTCTGATAGTAACTCAGATGGTATCCTCTCTCTGATTTTTTTTTTTTTTGCCTCATTTATTGTTCCGCCTAATAGCTGAGGTCCAGCATAATACCAGCATGGAGTAGATGCTCAATAAATGTTTAAGTTAATTTCAGAATTGGAATTCTATCTACCTATATCTCATTTATAGCTAACCCTGTGTGGCACTCACTGTAGCTGACCCTATTGCACTTACTATTCTAAGAGCCTTACCTGTTTATTATACTTAACTCATAACAGCTATGTGTATTGCACTAAAAGCCACAAGACAGGACGAGATCACCAAGGGTGTGAGAAGTAGGTATTACCATTCTCCGATTTCAAGTGATGAAGCAGATTTCAAAAAAAGTCCCACTATTTGCAGGAGGTTGCTTAGGGGACAGTGCAGAGATGTGACTCTCAGCCTGTGTGACTCTCAAGCCCAAGCCAGTAATCACTGTCCCAAGTTCATCTTGCCTACTCTCTTCTTCACCATCAGAGAGCTGTGGCCCACATTGTTTGTCACACATTTCAAAGCTGAGCCTGGAACCAAGCCTTCTCACAATTCAGTGCTCTTCCCACCACCATCCCCTGAGATCTGTCATATCTTGGGATCTACCCATAGTCTACCTCCCATTAACACCCATTAGCTACCCATGATAGTAGCTGTAGTGCCCAGTCCATAGAGACAAAGCAACTGTCATGTGATGAGGGGATCTTGCCTGCATTCACACAGCCATCCAGGAGAGGGCAGTCATGTGTGCCTAAGCACGTCTACCCCACCCACAGGCTCTGCAACCGCAGACTCCGAGCTAGATCCAACCTGTTTCCCGGCTTTCGCCCTGAAGCCAGAGCGCCCCTGAACGTTTGTCTAAACCAATGGTTCTCAAGCCCCCCGCGCCCCCCGGTGACTTTTTGCCCCTGATATGGCATTTGGCAATGTGTGGACACATTTTTGGGTTGTCGTGGCTGTGGGAGGGGAGGGAGAGCTTCCTGGCATCTGTGTAGAGAGGCGAGGCTTGTTGCTAACACCCTCCAGTGCGCAGGACAGCCCCAGCCCCAGCCCCAGCCCCAGCGAAGATCTGGTCCACAATGTCGGTGAGAAACCCTGCCCTAAAGGAAAGTCCTAAACAGCCCCAGGAACAAATAGAAGATGGCTTTGATAAGGATGTTCAGAAACAATAGTGATCACTCAAAAATAACTTGCAGGTTCTGCTTCTTTGGGGAGTGCCAAATGCCATTCTTTGGGGGAATGCCAAATAATGTCTAAGCGGATCTTGACTCATCACTTCAGCTGCTCCCACCGCTGACTGTGCCAGGTTGGGAGGTGTGCGTATATGTGCACTTGACAGCACAGGGCAGCTGAGAGGAGAGTCTGGCCCCCATTAGCGTCCAGGTCCTGTAGGACATACTTACCTTTGTCTGTCTGAAGAAATCATCCTTCCTGTTCTGTGGAAATATTCTCCGCCCGCAAACTATTCGTGATATTGTAAACCTAGTTTTGCAAAAGCATAATCTGTCGCTGATACTGCTGGGCCTTGTAGGAGGAGCAGGTACTTCTTCCCTGGCTCAGAGCACTTCTCATATTCCAGAGTGGTTCTCAGAGTCCACTGACCTCATCTACCTAACAGGCATTCTGTTTGGGAGGGGCCACCTCCTCTGGAATTGGGAATGTTTCCTGAAGCATGCCCTGAATCACCCCATCTTAGAAAACCATAGGCATTTATCCATGCCTTACCCAAAACAGAGATTGCCTCCAAGCCAAAGTGAGCCCAGCATTCATAAAACATTAACCTCTCTATAAATCAAGCTGTTCCACTGTTTCTTACAATGTAATTCTTGTTCAGCAGAACATAGAGCTTGGGAATTAAGATCAGCCTTAGTCAGTGGAATCAGTTTTTGATCTACAGCACGGATATCCTCCCCTTTCCTTCACACAGACCCTACTGTGAATATCTAAGGACTCCTGAATGACGAGCCTAAAGTCAATTTATAGCTATGGCAGGAAATATGAAACAATCTCTAAATGTTCTTCAAGCTATAGGTTTCACCAAAGACCAGAGCATGCATCTTCTTCCCAGTAGTAGTTGTTTTAAAATCCATAGTGGGAAAAGATCTAGAAATCATATGCAGCCACAAAGCTGGGATTTGGATTTACCAGTGAATTTACCAGTGGATTTACCAGCAGAGTAAATTTGGATTTACCAGTGGATTTACCAGCAGAGCTAATTCAAGGACTTCTTTAGAGGAGAGAAAAGAAAGCAGGGTATAGCCACGTGAATGGCAAAAAGTTGTTACGGTGACCTTGCTGGCCTCAGTTGAAAGTAGTACTGTGCTCCTGAAATTTAATGATAGTAATAAACCATTATCACTTATGGCGCGATATGTCTATGGGTTGGGCACTATACCAAGTACTTTCCAAGTACTCTCACTCCGTGCTCAAAATACCACCAGGAAATAGGTATTCTAGATAAGGAATCTAAAACTCCTCCAGGTATTCCAGATAAGGAATCTAAAACTCCAGGAAGCCAAATAACTTGTCCAGGGTTACCCACAAAGGGGTAAAGCTGGGATCTGAACCTGGGAAGGTTAACACTGAGGCCCAGTAGATATTTTAAATGTGCTAAGAGAGTTTGCTCTTGAAATGAAATCTGAAATAGATCCTTTTGAGATAACAAAGACCCTTGTCTCTTTTATAAAGTTTAAATTTTTGGTGAAGTAGGATTCTATAATGTGATACTAAAAGCTTTGTGTGGTTTCATCAACGTGCTGAGTTTGGTTTGCATCACAAAGTCATATGGTAGGAAAACTACGGATTTTTAGAGTCCCATGTGTTTAGGTTTATATTCTCCTTCTACTAATTTTGAGCTCTGAGACTTTACAAAAGTTACTTGCCTCTTCTTCTTCTTCTTTTTTTTTGGAGACTGGAATCTTGCTCTGTCACCCAGGCTGGAGTGCAGTGGCGTGATCTCGGCTCACTCCTACCCTCGCCTCCCAGGTTCAAGAGATTCTCCTGTCTCAGCCTTCCGAATAGCTGGAACTACAGGTGCCTGCGACCATGCTTGGCTAATTTTTGTATTTTTAGTAGAGGTGGACTTTCACCATGTTGATCAGGCTGGTCTTGAACTCCTGACCTCAGGTGATCCGCCCACCTCAGCCTCCAAAAGTGCTGGGATTACAGGCATGAGCCACCACACCCAGCCTACTTGCCTCTTCTAAACCTCAGTTTTCACATCCACAAAGTGGGATGAGTATTATAGCATATGTCAGGTGTCTTGGAAATTGCCTACCAATGGTCACTGTAATTATCACCGTTGGTGTTATTTAGAAGTTAAATGTGTGTTTTTGATTTTGATTTTTGTATATTTTAAATTATGGTGGGTACTTGATTTTGGCATTTGTTTTATGTAATGCCAAAGGCCAAGCATAAAGAAACATGGCTTGTTGAACCATGGTTCATGCTTAGGAAAACATTGGTGTAAAGCATGTTTGTGTTTGAAACTTTAGGAGCTGCCCAGGTTATGGAAGGCGGCCAAGTGGAATATAAGCCCCTTTCGGGCATTCGGTACATGTGGTCGTACCATTTAATTGGCCTCATCTGGACTAGTGAATTCATCCTTGCGTGCCAGCAAATGACTATAGCTGGGGCAGTGGTTACTTGTTATTTCAACAGGTAGGTCCAGTGTTTTTTTTCTATTGGTTTGTCTATGTGGTTTATCTATGTGCTTCATGTTAATATCTCAAAAGATATTTGGGAATGTTGACCTAGCCCCTTAAAAGAAGTTGGCAAGAATAAAAGAGTAAGCTAAAATTTGGGCTGTATTCTCATTTGGTGGTGAGAAGAAATATTACACCCTAAATCTGTCACATTTCCAACCTTTTTACTTTAAGCTAGAAAATTTAGAAAGAAGACAAACAGAAAAGAGATCATATTGCTTAGACTTGAAAGATAAAAAGGGGCTGCTCTGCCTATGGAGTAGCCTTTTTTTTTTTTTTTTTTTTTTGAGATGGAGTCTTGCTCTGTCATCCAGGCTGGAGTGCAGTGGCGCGATCTTGGCTCACTGCAAGCTCCGCCTCCTGGGTTCGAGCGATTCTTCTGCCTCAGCCTCCCAAGTAGCTGGGACTAAAGGCATGCGCCATCACACTCGGCTGATTTTTGTATTTTTAGTAGAGACAGGGTTTCACCATGTTGGCCAGGATGGTCTTGATCTCTTGACCTCGTGATATGCCTGCCTCGGCCTCCCAAAGTGCTGGGATTACAGGTGTGAGCCACCGCACCTGGCTGCCATTCTTTTAATATTAAAAAAAGGAAGGGTGGAACTCCCCTATGAATATCCATCCTAATTGACTTCAGACAAAAAAATTACTGGTCTATTTTGAATATACTTCAGTAAATTCTGTGAGCCTCAGTTTGTCCTCTGCAAAATCAGATAACATTTGCTTGGGGAAAAAAATTAATCCTAAAGGAATTGTATGTAATTACAAAATATAATTTATATTATAGTTAAGAACCAGTGAATTAGTTACACACTTCTCTGCTTATATCCCTATCACATCATGAAAGCAATTGAGGACACACACAAACACACACACCCCTGAACGCTTTACCTCTTCTGTGTGTGTGACTCACCCCAGGGCAGTGAGAGCCCTCAGGACAGAGGAACCCAGCCAGGGCAATGGCAGGACTGGGCTCAGAAAGAGAAGTTTACTCTTCATAGGGCTGATCCTCCTCCAGCCTCTCAGACCAAATGAGAGAGAAACATGAGCTTCATTGGGAGAGACTATCTGCCAGGGGTGATTCCTGCCATTGAGCAGTTTCCTCCTGATGATAAGGAGCACTGTCGGGTGTTTGTTTGTTTGTTTGTTTGTTTGTTTGTTTATTGAGACGGAGTCTTGCTCTGTCGCCCAGGCTGGAGTGTAGCGGCACGATCTTGGCTCACTGCAACCTCTGCTTCCTGGGTTCAAGTGATTCTCCTGCCTCAGTCTCCCGAGTAGCTGGGACTACAGGCGCCCACCACCACGCCTGGCTAATTTTTGTATTTTTAGCAGAGCTGGGGTTTCACCATGTTGGCCAGGATGGTCTCGATCTCTTGACCTTGTGATCCACCCGCCTAGTCCTCCCAAAGTGCTGGGAATTACAGGATGAGCCACGACACCCGGCCACCACTGTGGGTTTTTAATGTAGTGGTGCAGTTCCGGAGCCTCCATCATTAGAGACTCCAGAGGACTCACAGAGGGGCTGTTGCCCTTGGCATTGAGAACCTCCAAGCAGCCGGGGGTGGGTTGTGTGTATTGCTTCCTCCCAGGTAGGGGAGCAAAGAGAGTATTCTAACCAAATTTGCCAGCAGGTAATATTTGCCTGACAGTAATTTTGTGTTATCTTAGAATAACAAAATCAAAGCATTTTCAATGAGGACTTCTAATTTGGACTTCCAGTGAAGCATATGCATTTATCTCCTAATCTCTTCCCTTTCTCCAGCCACTCAAAAAATCATGAAAGATTGAAACAGGCACAAACACACCAGGACAGTAAGAAACAGAGAGGCAATGACAGCAGATAAGAAACACCAACCAAATGGTGAGAGCCAAAGAGAGGGAGGTGGAGCAGTGCCCTAAGCCCGCTGGAGAAAGCAGAAGCAGCCTGTCCGTGTGTGTTGGCTGCATGAGGAGGACAAATAAGATGCAGCCTGAAGTGAGCCACAGAATCCCAGAGAGGCTCAGGAATTCAAGTATAAAAAGTATTTCCAAAGATTAGCTGAAAGCCTTCCTCAGGAGTAGTTAGACCCCCAAATTCCACACCAGCTGAAGACAGGAAAATTTGTTCTCCAGAGAGGGAAAGCAGAGAGGGCCTGGACTTGGGGTATCAGGTACAGCTGAGGCTGGGGGCAAGTCTCTGTACTGAAAGCAGGGGGAGTAAGTGAAAGCCTAAACACTGAAATGAGGTCCCCCACATACACCAGCACCCCACATTCCACAGTTCAGCTCCCAGAATGTTGGCAGCTCATTTGATATTCCCTAGGAAGAGGTTAGAGGATGCTTTTGTGGAGAAACTGCCTAACCCAAAGTAAAGACCTACAGATAGTGCCATATGGGGTCCCCCAATGAAATGGATTCCCTGACTCCTAGCAAAACAGTGAAGCTCATCAGACAACAAGCAACATGCCTCACACAGAGCTTCCAGGTCATTCTGGAGAGCCTCACTCTTCAATTTGAACTGTTTACCAGTGATTATTAAACATGATGAATGCCTCTAAGTGAAAGAAGAGATCAAAATGAACAAATAAAATGAGCTTAGGGAAAACGGAGACAATGCAGGCTGCAAAAGGAAACAACAAAGCAAACTATAATATTATCAGAGAGAACAAAGATGTATTGCTAGGATCCCCTCCCACCAACAAAAGAAGGGCATAGTGAGAAAACAAGACTCTTGAGTAATTAAAAGTATGATTACAAAAGTGAACATTTTCTATTGAAGGATTAAAATATAAAGTGGAAGCACTCTTTCAGAAGGTAGAATAAAAAGACAAAGAGACACAAAATAAGAGAGAAAGGATTAAAAGAGGATAAATTTGGGAGACCCACTATCTGATTAATATGAGCCCAGAAATACAGAACAAAGAAAAGAAGAAAGAGAGGAAATTAACAAAGAAAATTTGCCAGGGCTGGAGGACACAAGTAAAAAGAAGATTCCAGAAGCTTCCCGAGGGAAAAAAGATCACAGGCAAAGGATCAAGGACCCAGAATAGGATCTGACTTTCACCAGCAACTCTGAACCAGAAAAACAGTGAAGGAAGGCTGTAGAAGTCTAGTGAAAGATTATTTCCAACCTAGAATTGTATAGCCAGTCTATACCTAGTATAGAGTTGTATACCTATTCTTACTACCAGTCAAGGGTAAAGAAGAACAAAGTCATGCACAGGCAGTCCCAAGATTTCCCTGCCCTCATCCTTTCTAGCAGGGATGTTCCCCACTGAAACTCATGTGTAAGCCAGAGAGGAAAACATGAGTTTCAGAAAACAGGCTTGAGCAGAGCAGAGCAAGGAATTCCCAGGAGGGTAGCTGCGCAGCAGGCGTGGAAAGCGTCCAGTCCAAGGTAGACAATGGGCTCCAGGAGAGATGTCACCATGAAAAGAAAATGGAACTGAGGGAATACCAGGTGTGTTCGAACACGTTAAGAAAAGCATTACACGTTGGTGAAGCGTTCGGTGAGGCCCATGGAAATCCAAGCTAATAAAAAAATGTGAAACAATTAACTTCAGAAAAAAAAAGTTGTACAGGAAGGGAATCTAATTGGAATATGCTACTTAGATCAGTTGTGAATATTATTTACAGCACATATTATTTATGTATGAATAACAAACACTAAGCATTAACTAAAAGCTTTGATGTAATTACATTGGAAGAATGGGAACATGAGTGTGAGGAGATTGGGGGAGTTAGGCTATGTAAGAAAATAAAACCAGAATCTTTCATAGTAGAAAAGTCAGTAGACAATATCTGAAGCCAAAAAACCAAGAAATAGCAGTAAGAACATGTAATTTTGAGGTGTGGAAGTGAGTTCTCTAATAACAACTAAAATATTATCTCAGGGAGAGAGAATTATGAATGGGGGAAGAAAACTGCTGTTTTTCCTATTAAGCCTAGCAGTGATTTTTGGCTTTGTAAGACACTTTACATATTACTTTGATTAAAAAAAATTAATTTATAATATAACACACAATGATTTATTTTTAGCACAACTATTGCATTTATTAAAGAGCTCTGCTTCCTTTTTGATTTTCTGCCTAATTTTGAAACCTCAAGATTTTTCCTAATCTTCAAAGTTCACAATTCTTCGTATCCTTTTCTGGCCTGCACTCAGGGTGAGGATTAAATATAGCCAGGGTGCATTCATCTTTGTCATTCATTTATGCACTACGAGGGCTGAAGAGTTCATACAAATACCATCAGGTACCAGGATATGGGCAATCTGTAGAATTTACTTTTTACAACCATTTGCTTGAAGAAGGATCAACTGAGAGCCATAAAGGTGGTGTTAGGGATGTGATAGGAAGGAGCTAGAACCCTTCAGGGTGGTGGAGGGACACTTGAGGTGTGACTTCATCATCATTTTCAAATATACAAAAGAGGGTTTCCAGCTGCTCTATATCTACAGATGGAGAAGAGGAAATGGATTCATAGCAGAGCCTAAGGAATTTAGGTAGAGATAGATGAATTTCCTAACCTAGCAAGAGTTACCCAGGCCAGCTAAAGAATCCTCTTCTTTCTAATAAAGACGATTTTCATTTTCTGTAGAATAGGAAAGAAACATACAACCTTCTCAGCCCTCCAAACCCCATCTTGCAGTGATTTTGTTGTAAGAAATACTGGAAGAGACATGGTCTCTACAGGGACCACACAGTCCTTTGCTGGGACCAGCTTTACGTTGGAGGCCATTTGTCCCATGCAGCCCACACCTAGTCCAGGAGCCTCAGCACAAAATTAATTCTCCATAATGTCAGAAGAGTTTTTAGTGAGCACGAGGCTGGATCTAACTAGAGCCAAAGCTTGTCTCTAGGACCATGATGCGGCTTGCCTGGCTGTATGCACTCTGTTGTCTGATGGGAGTAGAAATTACAAAACAGTACTTTGTACCATGACCCAAAGGTGTTAGAGGACTTGGATGGATGGGACCATTAAACCCTTTGCCCCACAGCTTGGATTGATGTGGTATTTTGGGCAACTGGCTTCGTTGTTCTGGGAGCCAGGCACCATTAGCACTCAAAGCAGCCACACATCCAAAGGAAGGGGGAAGCTGGGCTTCATGGGGCATATGCTAGAGTCGCCTTACCCTCTAACACTGCCCGTGTCTTCCTTATTGCCACTACCCACAGAATTGGGGTGGATGTGGTCCAGTGGGAAGATCTAGAGAGAGATGAGGAAGGCTGACTGGGGGCCCAGTCCTCCCCAGCCTCCTAATACACTCATCGCTGGGTTGCCCCATATGCTCAACACTGGAATGTTGTCCCCCAGGTCAATTCTTAAAATATGAATAAGTCCAGAGGTAAGTATTATATTTAGCATCACTGGGTGTGTCAGATCCTCTTCCTGAAGGCAGGTTTGGCTGGTTGTGAGGGAGACAGAGCTGGAGGCACTAGCCCCACACACAGCAGGGGAGAGGTGGTAGGATGACGTTACCTTTGAACATGGAAATGAGTCTGAGACTAGGTGGGGGCCTCAGAGACACACCACTTCATTAGCCTTTTTTTTCTGTAGGGCTGTTTCTAGTTTTGAGGGCAGGTATTGAGTGACTCCTGGCTCCAAGAGCTGGCTTGGGTTGAAAGGGCCCTCTTTTTAAGTTCCGTCTCCCATCACGTGATAACCCAGCTTCTGGAACCTCTGCATCTTCTTCCAGCCAAGCCAGGCAGAGCCTCCAGCCATAACCAGGATGTGTTACAGACTAGGGAAGCTGAGGCAGTGCAGGTACTCCTCTGCCTGAAGTGGTTAACCCCATCACAGTGAAACCTCAGAAAGCTGATGCCTAACCCCAAACTCTAATACCTGGAGGGCTAACCCCAAGGCCCTCATTCACAGAGGCCTATGAATCATGTGTTTCCCTACCAGATGGAAAGCAGGTGTTGTCCTCTTCTCCCTGCCTCCCCTCTTGAGCACCATAATAAGTTCTAAGGCACACAAATCTCCTCAATGGAAAAGTAAACGTTCTTCCTTAAAAAAAAAGAAAAATGAGGGAAGGGAAAAAAAAGTGTGTCAGATTTTCCTGGCCTACACTACTCTTCTAGTTTATCAGATCTAAATGAATTCCTATTAGCAATAGCTTCCGTGGTTTTTCCTACTTTAAATAACACTGTGTTGAAACACACATCCTTTTTTTTTGTGGGACAACTGGGTTGCAGTTTTTCAGCTCCCAATATTACTTTCATGTTCTCTTTTTCTTCCTGGCTGATTTGAGTAACAGCAAAATGCAGCCATTGCCAACTCTTGAAACATTTCTGGCTGCCTTCCTTTTCCTCTCTCAAAACCTAGGCTGCTGTCAAAACCTTAATTCATAGTGACTTATTAGCAACCAGAGCAAGTTGTAGAATAATCCATTATAAAGAAACCAAGCTTCACTTGGAATCTGTGAAGTTGCTTCTCAGAAAGACCTTATTTTCTAGAACTGGCTTCAGCGGGAATTCAAAGGGTCACCCGTGGGGTGGCATCAGCCCCCACTCCTTTGTTTTATCTTTCAGGGTTAGGGGAGAGTGATGGCTGTGCCCATTCTGTTCTTTCTCACTTTTTTTTCCCTGCCTGTGAAACTGACTTGTACACATTCTTGGGAGCTGCGTCATGACAAGTCCCGTAAATGATTCACACTGAAGTGACCTTTAAAGAGCAGAGTAGAAACCAGCAGGATTTGGGGAGCCTAGAGCTGTGTAGGAGCCAAGCACCCAGGGCTTTCTGTCCCTTTCCTGTAAGTGGGAGCTCACTATTACCTCTCTGGCCACTGATCCTGGTCATGTGATTTGGTGATGATTTTTAATCACCAGGTGAATGCTGGCAATATTTATGTATACTCCTGTGTAAGTTAAACCTTGGAGATTGTGCCGCAATTAAAATTCTGAAAGTGAAAATGAGATGAATAGGCACCCTAAAGGGTTGGTGGATGGGCTCTGCATTATGAAGAGGGAAACTTTTTTAACTCATCAATTTTTTTAAATTTTTTCTGTTTTATTTGTAGCATTAAGTGGCACCAAAACGAATTAAATTAATACAAGAAACAATTTAACCGAAGCTACCAAGGAGTATAAAAAGTTCGCCAAATGCTTATTATGTCACAACTTTCTAAGTTGTTAGTACCACAGATGATTGGAACCAGAGAGCTTTTGCTGCTTTATAAAAAGTGTTTTTAAAATGCTATCCTTTTCCCTATTTCCAGAAGTAAAAATGATCCTCCTGATCATCCCATCCTTTCGTCTCTCTCCATTCTCTTCTTCTACCATCAAGGAACCGTTGTGAAAGGGTCATTTTTAATCTCTGTGGTGAGGATTCCGAGAATCATTGTCATGTACATGCAAAACGCACTGAAAGAACAGGTAAGGCTACCTCCTGATACACAGCACGTTCTGTGTTTGGGTTGCCAGAAACTTAATTACTGGAAAACTACAGCAGGTCCCAGGACAGAAATGTGACCTGTGACAGCGGGCCGTGCAGAAAGCTCCTGCACTCCTCAGCTCCCATCCCCCGCCTCTCCCAGCAAAACTTTTATTTTCCCAGAGTCTGTGTTTTGTTTATGGTTTTGTTTATTGGGTTTTCTCCAACTCGGTGGAGATGGCGTGGGGAGGGAGTAGTTCTGAGTTAGCTGATTTTCCTTCTTATGTAAATGCCAAACAGACGGGATGAACTCTTAAGGTGAAATTTAAACAAGTTTTTTTGTGAACATTTATCATGCCTTTTTAAGTAAAAAAATATACCATAAGATAGGAATAATATTTGTTCATTTCTGTTTTGATGCTAAAATATTGCCTGCCTTTTGTGTTTCCTAGAGACAGTCATGGGAAATTCCTGGTGTGTGTGAGGAAGAACGAGGGAGAAAAGGAGAGGGTTTGAATGAGAGTGTGTATGTGTGTGTACATGCGTGTGTACACATGCGCTTGAGAGTGAGAAATGGGCAAGCTGACCTACATCTCAGCTCAAAGGACAGAGAACTGTAGGGCTTTTGTGCCTGGGGGATTTCTCCTCCTAGTTTTTATTTCCATGCACATTTGGTTATGAATGCCAGTGGAAACCAGAACACCAGGAAAACAGCTGTTCTCATGGTATTTCTGGCCTGCCAAACAAGAGAAGATTGGACTTTTCCCAAGTCTTCTGTTCTCACACAATGTTAATCTCTTCCCCCGTCACCACCTTAGAGTTGGTGACTTGGTCAGTTTCACAAACTTACCTGATTCCAACCTTTTGAGTATAGCTATGTGTCCTTAGTAAATTCAGGACATTTTACCAATAGGTTTACATTGTATTTTGGAATTGTTTTCATTTACTTTTTAAAAAGATATCTGAATTGTTGATATTTTAAAATCTATAACCAAGATTTAAAGTTAGTTTATCAATTAGAAGCAATTGATTGGATAACACATAAAATTATCTGGCTTCCTTATCTGGAAATGCATGCTAAGCAGTTGCCCCTGATTGTAGAATATTTTCTTGTATTTCTATTAATATTTTGCTTGGCCACATTTTGATGACTTGAAGAGGCATTTCCATATCCAGGGCAAAACTAGCTACTTTTGGCTCCTGCATTTTGAAATCAATCCTTCAGTCTTAGGAAACTTGCAGGATTTCTTGAAGAACAGGACAGCGTTTTATTTTAAATCTATTTGTGATATGTGTGTGTGCGCATTGGTAATAGATAATCATAAATTAATGAGCAGCCGGGAGCTTGCTCTCCCTCCTAAAGCTAGGCATTTTAAACTCTCTGGGGAAACGGCCTTTCATAAATCTAAAAGAGAAGGCCCAAGGACCTCAGTGGAAGGCCCAAGGTCTCTCTGACTGAGGTCTAAAAGGTTATTTATCACTTCCCAGATCCCACAAGGACCAAGGGCCAAAATTGCTTTTAGTGATGTCACTATTGGGAAAATGTGTCCTTTCTTAGGTTAAAAAAAAATTTCTTCCTCAGCAGCCTTACTGCCCCACACTGTGTCTACAATTTAAATGTCTCACACAGCCACTGTGTGATTTTCCCTAGTTAAATAGGCTCATTCACCAACACAGCCAGGCTGAAAAGTGTCCAGATCAAGTTTCATCCAATTGAATTCACATTGGGATGAGAAAATGTCCATATAAGGCTGAGTTATTCCTGGGGTCCTCATCCTAGGCTATTTCAGGATTGTTTTCAGGGATGTGTTCACTCTGGAGAGTGGGTAGGATGCCTCCGAGCACCCTTCCCCCAAGAGGTTCATTAAAGTATTCATTCTTAAGCTATGCACAAGTTCAAGTTATATTTCAAAGGAGTAATTTATCCCTCGAAATTTAGTCCTGAAAAAAATCTCACTACAGGATTTATTTCCTCCAGAGTTAAACTTGATTCTTTATTTATGTGGGCACATAACTAGTACCTACAGTGTATTATTTGTTTTTTTTGTTTCTGGGATGTGGATTTTTCGTGAATATAAACTTTGGTTTGAAAAAGCAAAGTGTACCATTTCAGACACTTAAGGGCAGATGAAGGGGGAAGAGAGGTTTTTTTTTTTACTGGAACCAGAAGGCCTGCTTTTGTTTTGCTGTTCAGTATGGACTAACCTCCCTAATAGCACCCCTAACACGTAAGTCCACAAGACAGAAATGTTGCTCCTCAGTAATACTAGAACCATAATTAGTAGTAGTAGTATGCACACAATAGAACTTCTCCCACGCCACCAGTGTTTCCCCAGGTGCATAAGTAAAAACTGTGTTTCCTCAGAAACTGCCTGCTTTTCTTCTTTCCTGTGTTGTTTTTGACTCTGTTCCTTTGTTCTCAACCTGATCCAGCAGCATGGTGCATTGTCCAGGTACCTGTTCCGATGCTGCTACTGCTGTTTCTGGTGTCTTGACAAATACCTGCTCCATCTCAACCAGGTACGTCTCTACCTCTTGCCTCAGGAACACACAGAAGGGTCCAAAGGTGGGCTTCATCTCTTAGGTCAAGGTTTGGCAAATTCTTCTCTAAGGGGCTAAATTGTGTAAACATTTTAGGCTTTCAGACCAGTCTCTCTGTCACAACCACTCAATTCTGCCATCATGGCAGGAAAGCAGCCATAGGTAAAATGTCAATGGGATGGATGTGGCTATGTTCTAATGAACCTTAACTTATCAACACTGAAATTTGAATTTCATATGATTTTTACATGTCAAGAAATTTTCTTTTTTTGATTTTGATTTTTTCTCAACCATTGTAAAATTGTAAAAATTGTTCTTAGCTCCTGCCAGAGAAAAGTGGGCGGTGTGATGGAGCTAGCTCCTGAGCTGTAGTTTGCATACCCTACCCTAGAACCATAGGCCTTTAAAGCCATGCTTCAAATTCTAAAAGAAAGTTTTTCTCTTTTCAGAAATAAAGAGGGAAGGGAGTATTTAGAAACCCTAAGCATAATGAATATATATCAACTAAGAGCTAATTTTCAGTGTCTTCTCTAAGAACTATAATTTTCCTGAACTAGGAAAAGAATTGCCTCCCTAATTTTCATAGATTTCACCAGTCTTTCCTTTTCAAGCTGTAAATATGCCTTTAAAATTATAAAAATTATATCTTGCAATTGTTTGGATTTCAGATTTTTTTCCTTTCCTGAATTTTTCAAATTGATGGAAATTTAAATATGTTGTATTTCTCTATAGAGCATTTAGGAGATTTTAATAGTCCTTAGTCAAATTTACACAAAGCAGTATTTTTGTAAGTTAGCAAACTGTTTTATAATTTAAATGTTCACAGAAATCTCACTTAGAAAAGTATTTCTTATAATTGCCCCCTCCCAAAGAAATGTACCTTTAGAAGTAAAGGGACTAATTAGACCACCTATGTTTAATGTCTTTTAAGGGGTATTTAGAATACTTTTCATTATTCAGGGAAAAATGTAGCCTTCTTATAGTAAGGTCTATTTTTAGGCTCTTAAACTTGGAGAACATTTTAGAGTATATTTAGTTTTCATTTGGATTGCTATAAGCCAGCATGTATAAAACACAATCAAATACCATAGGACCTTTCAGAATGGGGGGGAACATATAACAAGTCAGTCCAAACCGTTTGAATACATTTGTCGTGGTGTAAGATGTTATAGCTATTGTGTATATATCCAGACGGCAACTTCATAAATATTTTGAGATGCATTGCAAAAATGTATTAACTATGATAAAATATATATGCATGAAAAATAAAGTCTAAGAAACATATAGATAGACTAGAAAGACAAAAGCAATGAATGGGACCATTGATATACAAATATGTTGGCCATATGGCCCTACAAGGCCCGAGGGTTGACCTGTTATCCCCTCTCACTGTACTACGGGAATTCAGGTACTTTCCGCATCCCTCTTTCACTCATGGTTTTCATACTGGCCCCTGGAAGCCTAGAGGCTCCTGTGGACACTGTGGGGACCACCACATTAGGAGGGCAGAGAAATGGCTGAGGTGGAGGAAGGGTGGGCCCTGGCCCCATATACCATGCCTATACTGCCTGGCCTTGCGGCCTGAGCAGCTCCACTTTATGTGGTTTAGGGGTGGGAGTGTGGGAGTGTACTGAAGGTTTCATTTGAGGACAGGTCTCTGCTGCTGAAACACATTTGAAAACCTCTGGTCCCATTTTCACATTTGTTTCCTCTGCCCTGTTATCCTGAGATACGTATTTTCCTGCCTTCTGAACTTTCACCACCTTAATTAATCCAGGACCATTTCCCTTGGTAATTCAAAATGTTTCCAAACTCATAAGTGACATTAATGTTAACCACACCTTAATGACCATTGTGAAGGTGACGACTCCTTTTAAAAGCTGTGTCAATGGAAGTAATGATCCCTGATTCACAAAAAAACTAAGCCAGCCTTGATCCAGCTCCTGTAGTGAGTCAGTGGTGCAAACAGGGATAGGTCTTTCAGATTCTAATCATGGTGCCTGTGCACTAGGCTGTGGCTAAACCTGCTTTGTAGTGTCTTTTCCTTGGGGTGACTCCTGTAGAACTGGGTGTTGCCAGCTGATATGGGTGATGCTCAGAGGCCTAAGGTTCAGGAGATTGGGAAGAGGAGGAAGAATGAAAAAACAAGAATTGATGTGAATATTAATGGAGAGGGAAGGGTCACCTCTGGTCTACATTGACTACTGGAAAGCAGAGTGAAATAAAAATGTTTAAGAATAAAGATGATTGTAAATGGTGATCAGAGCAACTGTCAGCCTCATTTGGCAGTAGACAAAGGAAAGTGAGCATAAAGTGAGAAAAGGAATTTAGATTCACCTTTTCAGAAATTTCCTTGCATTGGAATGACTTACTAGGGGACATTGTGGCATCTCTGTCTCTGGAAATCAGATTTAAAAAGGCTGAACCCTATTTTATGTTCCTCATTTTGTGGAATAGGAGCTGGAAAATACTAAAAGAGAATGAGATCCATTTGTTACCATCAAAACTCAGATGCTCATCTTTATTTAACATCAAGGAGATGGTTGTGTTTTCCCACTGCTTCTTAAAAGCCTAATCCATCTTCACTAAATCCTAGTAGGGAGGCAGGTGGCAGTTGCTGCATTTTGTGAACACCCAGCCTAAGGCTGCACAGGCATTCACTTACAAGGTGGGGAATGAAACTCTCAGTCTCATAATTTCTCATTTACTTTTCTCCCTACATCATAAATACTGAGTGTGTGCATACTGAAAAAATTACATGTTCACCTCACACATGCGTTCATCCAGCAACCATGTGTTTATGCTGTATGCAGACTATTTCTACCTGGGCATAATAGGGACCAGGACCATGGTGATACAGAGGTGATACAGAGTCATTACTGTATAGTGCAAAAGGCAAGCCTCCAAGAAATTGACAAGCTAGTTGTTGGGAGCCAGGGGCCAGTAAGTGGTATATGCATGAGACATTTATATGACAGTACAGAAAAGTACATGTTTAAGTGTTGGGATAGGGCTGTGGAAGTTCAGAAAAGGGGAATCTTGGTCACTGGGAGAGGTCATTTGACTCTGTAATTAGGGGAAATTTCCTAGGAGAGGTGGACCTGAGTATAGAGCACCCACTGGAGATCACCAGCTACTAACGACAGCAATAACAGCTGTGGGTATTGGCAATAAACTATTTTGCCAGTTGTATGCTGAGCACTTTTCCTGCATTATATCAGTTGTTAGGTTTTTTGTTTTCGTTTTTGTTTTCTTTTGTTTGAGACGGAGTTTTGCTCCTGTTGCCCAGGCTGGAGTGCAGTGGCACAATCTCAGCTCACTGCAACCTCTGCCTCCCGGGTTCAAGTGATTCTCCTGCCTTATCCTCCGGAGTAGCTGGGACTACAGGCACATGCCACCACATGCTAAGTTTTTGTGTTTTTAGTAGAAACGGCATTTCACCATGTTGGCCAGGCTGGTCTTGAACTCCTGACCTCAGGTGATTTACCCGCCTTGGCCTCCCAAACTGCAGAGATCACAGGCATGAGCCACCATTCGTGGCCAGTTGTTAGTTTTTGAGATAGTGTCTCCAGTTTACAGATAGGGAGATTGAGGCTTAGAGGAGGCACATAGTGGCAGAACTAGGATTTGAATCCAAGTCTGTTTTCCCTCCAGGACCCAAGCCCTTAACCACTGTGCATTTTTAAAATAGCCAGAGGAGGACTCATGACCACCACCTGGGGATGTGAGCAAAGCCAGAGTCCAGACAAGTAGAGCTGGCAGAGCACATCTTGTTACACAGCAGACTTTTGTGGAGGAAGACGGGAAAGGTGAAGGAGCAATGAAGATGATGAACTCACTGTAACTGTAATCAAGCAGTTATCCATCCAGAAAAGGCTGGTCAGGGTGGCCTGGCCCCTCCTCCTTTCCTCAGGCAAGTTAGTGGTCAAAGCGTCTGGGAGTGTTGGCTGGCCATTCTCAGAGACTTTCAGGCAAAGGGACCTTACAGCCTCCCCTCTCCCTCCCAGCACTTTCCAGGGGCCTGGCTAAGAACCCCACTGTGAGACTACAGGCTAAGCACTCAGCAAGAATGGTGTACTTACTGTTTCTTACCAGGTCTGCACACAGTTCCTCATGGAAATGTCTCCCTAAGTGCACATCTCTTGTCCATTGTGGACACAGGCCTCTGTCCCAGCCATGATGTTGGCTTTAGGTCAATGTTCCTCTAAGTATGAAACCCACTGGTGAGCCCCAGGACTCTTCCTGATGGTTCCAAACTGATCTGAACATTCTAGAAAATCCTTTTTTCAATTTTTATAGGCAAATAGCAGGATTCCATAGGTTTTTCATTTTTGCATACAACAAGGAGCTGTTTGCCAATCAATAAAGTAAAGCGTGTGTTATTAAAGCTTACTAAAATGTGTTCTTTATAAATCCAAATTGGTGTCTTAACATAGTTTCTTAAGGACTCAAACTCATTACTCTTTTCAGACATCTAACTGCCGAGGCAATGCCTGGTGACCCTGCAAAATTTATGAATGCACACACGTAGACAGTTGGGATTTGCAAACTGGGAAAAGAACACTTCGCTACCACCAGTGTTGCCTTGAGTTGACTGTGTTGTTTGGTTGCAGTCATTCTTGTCTTGATGTTTTACTTCTGTTGAGTATTCCATTTATTTTTTTATTTTTTATTTTTTTTGAGACAGAGTTTCACTCTTGTTGCCCAGGCTGGAGTGCAATGGCACGATCTCGGCTCACTACACCCTCCGCCTCCCAGGTTTAAGTGATTCTCCTGCCTCAGCCTCCCGAGTAGCTGGGATTACAGGCTTGTCCCACCACACCTGGCTGATTTTGTATTTTTAGTAGGGATGGGGTTTCTCCATGTTGGCTGGTCTCGAACTCCTGACCTCAGGTGATCCACCCACCTCAGCCTCCCAAAGTGCTGGAATTACAGGTGTGAGCCACCGTGCCCGGCCTTTTGTTTATTCATTCTTTTTTTTTTTAAATCACTTTAAGCATTGCATTCCTCTTCAATGCTTTGTTCTTCTTCCAGCAGAAGTGGGAATGGGTATAGGCAATGAGCTGTGGGCTAGTGTCAGAAGTCTGAGAACCACCATATCTATACCAGTCTCCTGGGAGAAGCTTCCAGGTAAAAATGACTTCAGTCAGGTATAGCAGCAGTTTGCCTCTGCCTCTTCATTATTTGAGTAACTTGGGTGAGTCCCTTAAACTTGCTGAGCTTCTGCAATATGAAAGGGTTAGATTCAGTGACCCCCAAGGTTCTTATGTGGCTTTTTGACCCTTGTCATGGCATCCAGCCCAGAGCTGGGGGCATGCACAGTGCTGCCCCACAGCATCAAAGCCATGAGATGCTTTGTGTGGGAAATGGGGGGAGAGTGGAAAACAATATGAGCTGTTTGTTTTCCTGTGGTGTTCCAAAATGACAGGCTCATTTCTCTTCATGATATACCTTGTATCCATGGTGAGGACTTATCCTAGAACCACAAAAATCAGTGATGTTTCATGTTGCCTCAATTCTGAGGCACTGGAATCTTGTAGAGTTGTCTGAGAATGTGAATGAACAAAGAGGAGCCATTTATCTGTATCTACTTACAGCGATCCTGCCAGTAGTTCTGCTATAACATATAGTGATAAATAAAATAACTGGTGATGAGATACTGGTCAAATGCCAGGCAGCTCAGTCATTCTCAACAGTAGGAGTGTACTGTAATGTCCAATGCCTTTCACAGCCCTTTTCTGCCTTGGGCTATCATGCAAGATAGCTGCGAGCCTGATGGATCTGTGCTGCATCCCCTTGAGGAGGGAACCAAGTGACCCCGATGCACCTTGATGCAGTGTGTAAAGCGTGCAGCTTACTTTCCTTTGTCATCCCTCTAGATAAGATCTAGTAAGTACATGTACAGATTGTTGCCTCTTGCTATTTGATCAGAAATGCCAGCAGCTTCCTGTCTTTCTGACTGATGAATATACTGGTCAGAAAGGTCCCAGATAATCTTGTGAAGGTCAAGGCAGAGAAAAACCTGCTGCTTCTGGGGAAATATACACCTCTCTCCCCTTCTTACCTCATAGTGCCTCTCCCCAACCTGCTCTGCCTGCCAAGACTGTTTTTAGTGAACATAATGTTGGTCTCTGTCTTCTAAGCCTTTGCGGCAGACTCAACTTTGTAGTATCTCCAAACATTCTCTTCCCCCGCCCCTTTCCTTGCAGTTAGCTCTGTTTCAATGACTGTCTTTCTCGTAGTCCATCAATAGCTAAAGCACTCAATGACTTTTCCACATCAGGTTTGGTTGGTTCATCCCAAGCCAGTTGGCAGATCTCCAGTGACTCCTCCTTTCTGCTCTCCCAGAGCAGCATGTGCATCTCAGAAAAAAAGTAAAAATATTGTACAGTTTATCTCACTAGATTAGGAAAATGATGTAAAGTTTCTTAAGAAGAAACAGTTCTTTCAGAAGCTGGCATTGCCATAATAGGTAGTCTCATCACGTAGCATCCAGACAGCCATTCTTTCAGTGACAGCGGTGGTTCTGAATCCTCCACCCCTGCTGACTGGTTTAGAGCTATTCTGGGCAGCCAGCTGATGTTGAGAGCTCTGGAGAGATGCCTCGTGTGTGCGTGCTTCAGAAAGAAGCTCACATGTGTGTCAATATGATAGTTTGCATTAAGGCCCATTTATAGACAATGGTAATCCCCACACCCAGCTGTTGTGTGGCAAATGCTACTACCCTGGCTTTAGATAGAAAGGAATTAAGACACCTATTTTTCAGAGGCCCCAGGCTGTCTGGGAGAAAACAAACTGAATCCTCATGTTTCCTGGTGCATGGTTCAGAAGCTGCCAGGCATATGGCTGTGGCTTAGTGTGGCTTTCCTGGGAGCAGCCTCTCTGGAGCCTAGCTCCCACCTGCTGTGGGCATGTTACAAGACTCAGGGCTCAGGAGGGTGAGGCCCAAAGCCCTCTTCTCCAAGTGGGCCTTAGTGCTCAGTCCTTTGGGGTAAGGCCCAGTGAGCAGCCGCCATGTTAAATTGGACTCTGAAGTGCTTCCTGACATGAAATTTCAGTGCCTTCTCAGAGAGGGAAGTAATGTTTGTTGAATGAATTATTGCATGAGAAAGGGAGGGAAAGTTATATAAGGGCACTCAGGCAGCTAGGAACTCCTGCGAGGCAATTGAGTGGTCAGTGCAAATGACTTCGACTTCCTCCTAAGTGTGCGGCTCCCGAAGACAAGAATACCAGCCACTCACTGGCACTTACTATGTACCGGATACTGTGCTACTTTATGTGTATCAACTACCTATAGCCTCACAAAGTAGCCTGTGTAGTATTTTTTAAACAGATGATAATACTTTGGTTCAGAGAGCTTAAGTAGTAACCTGACCTAGGTTAGACAGGAGGAAAGTAGCAGAGCTGACTCTTGAAGTTTTGAAGACCCAGTAAGTCATTTCCTCTTCCTTGTCCAAGTTCTGAATAATTGTGAGATGTAAGAGTCAAACAGATGAAGATTAAAAATATCACCTTGAATATGAAATCATCTGATTGGAAAACTACCACAGGAACAGCTGTAGGCAAGTCGGCTTGTCAATGTTTTACCCCTGAATCAGAATGACCAACCCACCTTTTACCAGGCCCAGCCAACAAGGTGAACCTCTCTATGGATCTGAGAAAGGATGTTCCTGGTGACAGGTGGATCGCAAAAGAGAATGAGGAAGGGCCTGAGCCCGCCTACACTCTGCTGCTCCCTCCAAATTTGCCCAGTCCCTTAAGTTCACCTCCTTCCCTGAAACAAATGAGAGGCATTAGCCTAAAGGAAGTCCCTGACCACAGAAACCCAAAGCCAGGGAAATCAAGACTAGCGCCACAATGGGATTTAGAGCCAGGTTTTCACCAGTCCACTAGGGCACTCCTTCCACAGGGTAGGGACTCAGAAGCCCAGAACTTTAGAGATCATGAAACAGCCTCCCCTCATAATAGCGGAATCTGGGGTCCAGAGGGTTTGAATGCCTCACCCAGGTTACATGGTGGGCAGAGCTCATTCTGATTCCATTCCCTATCCTGCATCTTCTCTTCCTTGCCCCTTCTGAGCCTCCTGGAGGACAGACAGGTGTGTCACTTTACACAGTATGTCTACATGAGCTGCCCTGGGGTACCTTTTGGCAGAAATCTATGTAAATCTCCCCCATATCTTGGGCAATATGGAGGAGGCCATGCTCATGGAGGCAGAAGGGTGAGGAACATTTGCATCCTGGGAAGTTTGGGGTCTCACCTTTTATTAATGGTAGCAAGGGCAACTGGGACTGTTTCCAACAACACTAGTTGAAAAGGTCAGCTAATCCAAGGAGTTGCCATTTGTGTAAATCTGAGCCTTCTTTCATAAGTCTGAACTCCATGTAGAACATGAAGCAAACCCTTTATGTTCTTTGTGCCTTCCTGTCATGACATGTTCTAGGTACACTGGAAATATGCTGAGGGAGACTGCCCAGGTTTTTAACTTTAAGAAATCCACCTTTGAATCAGCACATCCAGTTTCCTCATAAAGAAGGAAGCAGGTGACATGTGAAAACACTGTGTTCTGATGAGCAGTGTTCAGATGTGGGGATCTGGCAGCTGAAACTGACTCCTCCTATGCCCTCCCACCCACAGGTTATTGTGTGCAGTGGACACCACGCTGCCTGGGCTAGGCCGGGCCGGGCCGTCATCTGTGATCACAGCTAGGCAAGGGCTAGAGTGGGGAGGTGCCTCAGAGTGGAAAAGGGAACTTTCCAGTCTAAGTTGTTAACATTACTCCCAGTGCTCAAGAAATGTGAAGAAGATAGATTAGCTTCAACGTTTCCCAAATTCACTTAGTGTGGAAAATAAAATGAAACCATTAAATAGCTCCTACACCAAATGTCCTCTTCCCTTAGGATAGAGAGCAGGATTCTTTGGGGCATTGCTCTTTGTCTGGAACAGTTGTTGTCCAAGGGGTCTGACTGCCCACCTTGAAGTCCATGCTCTTGTAAGCAAGGCAGTGACTGTAGGCACGTTCCTCGGCTGTCATTCTTATTTGTCCTACGGCATTAAGACTTGTTGAGAGAAGGAAGTGATGACTGGCCAGAGACTAGAGAATGCATTCATAAAAAGAAAAAAGCATATGAAAGGAGATGTGAGTCACTGTGGCTGAAGGAATACATGCCACTTTGATTTAGCAGTCACTAAGTCATGTCCTGCTACAAGCAGGACTCCCATGACACCCCAGGCCACCACCACCTGAGTCTCATCTTTGAATGACTTCTACATGCTATGAAGAGCAGCTGCAGATTCAGATGTGCAGATGATACTGTATCATGTCTCTCAACCTGATTTCTAACTTTGAGTTCTCATGCCACTGGACGGGTGGAAAATTTAATTTGTTATTCTTGAGCTATCCCTCCTCGGAGTTATATGAGGTTTCAGGTGTCCCTAGACATTAACAGATATAGGTTGCCCTTGAGACATCATCCTCCCATCTTTATGGCCACTCAGGCCCTGCTTGGGAAGTAGGAATCTTTTACCTATGGTCACCTATGGTCCTATCTGCCTTGATGTGCTAGCACTAGGTGACTACCTGTCCTGGTCACCTAGAAGCCCCATGTCTCTGGTACCCCCTCACTCCCAGGCAAACCAGGACCCTGGAAGTGGTCAGAGAAGAGCCTTGCCACTTCTCCAAGCTGTGTTTAAAAAAAAGGTCGGGGGCAGACCTGGACCTTCAGTCAAGACCCATAGACCTTTGTTTCCTCTTCCCCCAGCCCAGGAGAGTGTCATTTTCTAATGTGGGGCTGGAGGAAACCTGCACACTCGCCTGCTGCTCCAAGGTGTTTGGTCTATATTGGGAAACCTCTTTCTTCACCTTTTCCCCTGGTAGGTAAGGGCTTAAAGAGCCTAAATTTTGGAAAACAAAAGCCAGTGAGAATTGAAGACTGGATGTCTTCTTGCCTCCACTCCCCACCTGGCCCCCTAACCTTAACTGGGGGAATGAGCACAGAGCCCGAGTCCTGCTTGAATGGGGAATGTGGAGAGAAGAGAAAGGAGAAAATACACAAGGCGGAGAAACAGAAGCAAAGAGAGCAAAGTCAACCATCATACATGTCTTAGGGATGGCTGGACATTCCTCCTTCCATTGAGAGTCCCATCTCTACAGACATTTGAGAAACAAGTTTGTGAAAAGTAGAAGAGGAAGCGGCTAAGAGAATTTTGCTTCAAACAGCTTTCTTATCTAGGTGGGGCGAAAAAGTTCCCAAAAGTTTTGGCAAGTGGATCCAGGCTTTGACAATGTTTCAAGTGGTTTCCTCTTCTCTGTCTCCTGCCTTCTACAGAATGCCTCAGTTGGCATGGGTGGGGTAGAGAGAGCATTTGCTAGACTTGCATTCATCCCAGGAACAAGACAGCTGAGGTTGAATGACTTCATCGGGATGCACCCCAGTGTGGGTGGAGAGGGGTGCTCTGGGTGTGTTTGCCATGCCCACGTCTTGCTTCCATCAAAGCAACAACAGAGAAATTTGGGCTGGACGCGGTGGCTCACACCTGTAATCCCAGCACTTTGGGAGGCCAAGGCGGGTGGATCACGAGGTCAGGAGATCGAGACCATCCTGGCTAACACGGTGAAACCCCGTCTCTACTAAAAATACAAAAAATTAGCCGGGCGAGGTGGCGGGCGCCTGTAGTCCCAGCTACTCGGGAGGCTGAGGCAGGAGAATGGCGTGAACCCCAGGGGGCGGAGCCTGCAGTGAGCCGAGATCGCACCACTGCACTCCAACCTGGGCGACAGCGAGACTCCGTCTCACAAAAAAACCAAAACAAACAAACAAACAAAAAAAAAACAGAGAAACTTGGTTGGGGCCCAAAGAATGCGAGGCTCCTGACCTCGCTTAGTGCCCTGTCCCCAGTCCCCAGCCTGGAGCTTGGCCAAAGCGGACCTTCCATGTGTGTCCATGGATTGAAGAATGAATATGAGGACCCGAACGCCCTCAGTATCAGCCCCGGGTTCATGCTGCCTTCACACAGCTTTTTAACATATACCAAAAGGAGCAGGGAGGCAATAAAGGAAAAATAAATACTAACTCAAAGGAGCTGCCCTTTCTTGTTGGACCTGCTGTAACCACACTTAGAACTGACTACAAGGGAAACTACTTTCTGAGCAGAAGATCCAGTGGAGAGAGGAAGCTAAAATGGGAGGGACAGATAGTCTTTGAGGTTCAGAAAGAAAATATCTGTCACGCTACAAAGCCACAGTAATGAAAATGGTGTGGTACTGGCATAAACATAGATACACTGTGCTACATAGATCTATAGACCATGTGAACAGAATAGGAAGCACAGAAATAATGCCTTGCATATGTGGCCAAATGATTTTTGGCAAAGATACCAAGACCACACAATGGGGAAAGGACAGTCTCTTCAACAAATGATCTTGGGAAAACCAGATATCCACAAGCAAAAGAATGAAGTGGGACCCTTACCTTATACAGGAAAATTAAAATGAACTAAAGACCTAAAAGACCTAAAACTATAAAACTCTTAGAATAAAATACAGGAGAAAAGTGTCAGAACATTGGATTTGGCAGTGATTGCTTGGATATGACACCAACAGCACAGGCAACACAATAAAAGTAGACAAATGGGACCACATCAAACTTAAAAACTTCTACACATCCAAGAAAATAGAGTGAAAATCATCCTATAGAATGGGAGAAAATAAATTATATATGCTTAGAAGTTACTGTCCAAAATACATAAGGAACTTCTACAATTTAACAACAACTACAAAAAAAAAAAACCCGATTTTAAAATGGGCAAAGGACGGCCGGGCGCAGTGGCTCACACCTGTAATCCCAGCACTTTGGGAGGCTGAAGCGGGCAGATCATGAGGTCAGGAGTTTGAAACCAGCCTGACCAACCTGGTGAAACCCCATCTCTACTAAAAGTACAAAAATTAGCCAGGTGTGGTGGTGCATGCCTGTAATCCCAGCTACTTGGGAGGCTGAAGCGGGAGAATTGCTTGAACCTGGGAGGCAGAGGTTGCGGTGAGCCGGGATCATGCCACTGCACTCCAGCCTGGGCGACAGAGCGAGACTCCGTCTCAAAAAAAGAAAAAAAAAAAAAAAAAAGGCTGGGCGCAGTGGTTCATGCCTGTAATCTCAGCACTTTGGGAGGCGGAGGTGGGCAGATCACGAGGTCAGGAGATCAAGACCATCCTGGCTAACACGGTGAAACCCCGTCTCTACTAAAAATACAAAAAATTAGTTGGGTGTGGTGGCAGGTGCCTGTAGTCCCAGCTACTTGGGAGGCTGAGGCAGGAAAATGGTGTGAACCTGGGAGGCGGAGCTTGCAGTGAGTCGAGACTGCGCCACTGCACTCTAGCCTGGGCAACAGTGCAAGATTCTGTCTCAAAAAAAAAAAAAAAGAAAAAAAAAGGAAAAGGACTTGAAGAGACATTTCTTTAGAGAAGCTATACAAATGGCCAATACAAAAAGACACTCGATATCACTAATCATTAGGAAAAGGTAAATCAAAACTGCGATATATCACCTCACACCCATCAGGATGACCACTATCAAAAGAACAGAAAATAAGTGTTGGTGAGGATGTGGAAAAGTTGGAACTCTGTGCACTGTTGGTGGAAATGTAAAATGTTGTAACTGTTATGGAAAACAGTATGGAGTTTCCTCAAAAAATTAAAAATGGGTCTATAATACTATATGATCCAACAGTTCTGTTCCTGAGTGTATAGTCAAAAGAATTCGAAGCGGGATCTCAGAGTTACTTGCACACCTGTGTTCATCACAGCATACGCTCAATGGCCAAGAGGTGGAAGCAGCCCAAGTGCCCTCAGCAGATGAATGGATAAAGAAAATGTGATATAGTCATACAGTAGAATATTATGTATCCAAGTATATTTCTTCTTTTCCTTAAAAAAGAAGGAAATCCTGTCATATGCTACAACATAGATGAACCCCAAGGACATTATGCTGAAGTATATAAGCCAGTCACAAAAGGACGAATACTGTATGATTCCATTCAGTATTTCCAATCATCCATATAGTATGATTTCTTTCTCAACCTCAGTACTGATTCCATTCATACAGTATTTGTCTACTTTTACTGTATTTGTCAAATATGGTATTTTGACTACTTTAGATACTTTAAATGCTGAATGTAGTAGTCAAAATACTGTATTTGGCAAACACAGTAAAAGTAGACACTGTATGAATAAAATCATGCAATATTTGAAGTATCTAAAGTAGTCAAAAATCATGGAAACAATGTAAAAAGGGCGCTGGGGGCTAGGGAGAGGGGAAATTAGTGTTTAGTGGGTATAGGGTTTCAGTGTTGCAGGATGAGAAAGTTCTAGAGATCTGTTGCACAACAATGTGAATATACTTAACACTACTGAACTCTACAGTTAAAAGCGGCTAAGATGGTAAATGAATGTTCTACATTTTTTTTTAATGACAAAAAAAAAAAAGGCAAAGAGCTGGTGTGGTGGCATGCACCTGTAGTCACAGCTACTCCGTGGGCCAAGGCGAGAGAATTGCTGGAGCACAGGAGTTCAAGGCCAGCCTGGGCAATGTCGTAAGACCCCGTCTCAAGAGAAAGAAAAGATATGTTACTACAGTGAATGTCTCTGAAGCAAATGCCTTTAAATTATAAACGTTTTTCACTGCAAGGTGGACCAAACTATGTTACCAAACGATAGTTATTCCCAGCAGCCAGTGACTGGATTTCTGGCCAGGCTGTCTGTCACCAGGCCTTCACCAAGCAGCCTGGCAGGGCAGCTCTGGCTTCCTCACCCCTAGGCTCACCAACAGTGTGCTTGTGGAGGCACATGCACCTGACTTGAAATTATCTCCCCAAAACATGCAACACATGAAAAACATGAATGTTCCAGTTTCTGCTCTCCACCTCTCTCCCACCATTTCCTCAGTTCTGGGCTTCAAATCAGAGAAGGTTGACATTCTCTTAAGAACCAATCGGCCAGGCGCGGTGGCTGATGCCTGTAATCCCAGCGCTTTGGGAGGCTGAGGCGGGCGGATCACAAGGTCAGGAGATCAAGACCATCCTGGCTAACATGGTGAAACCCCGTCTCTACTAAAAATACAAAAAATTAGCCAGGCATGGTGGCGGGTGCCTGTAGTCCCAGCTACTCGGGAGGCTGAGGCAGGAGAATGGCGTGAACCCGGGAGGCGAAGCTTGCAGTGAGCTGAGATCATGCCACTGCACTGAAGCCTGGGCAACAGAGCAAGACTCCGTCTCAAAAAAAAAAAAGAACCAATATTCTGCCGGGCACGTTGGCTCATGCCTGCCTGTAATCCCAGCACTTTGGGAGGCTGAGGCGGGTGGATCACAGGTCAAGAGATCGAGACCATCCTGGCCAACATGGTGAAACCCCGTCTCTACTAAAAATACAAAAAAAAAAAAAATTAGCTGGGCATGGTGGCACGTGCCTGTAGTCCCAGCTGCTCAGGAGGCTGAGGCAGAAGAATCGCTTGAACCCAGGAGGTGGAGGTTGCAGTGAGCTGAGATCGCACCACTGCATTCTAGCCTGGGTGAGAGAGCGAGACTCCATCTAAAAAAAAAACAAAAAAACAAAAACCAACCTTCTAAAGTCTGTAAGTCCCATAGACATCCACTGAGTTGGCCCAGTATGCCAGGCACCATGGTAAACATTTGGCATACACAGTCTAAGTTTATCTTCTCTAGGACTCTGCGTATTAGGTAGGTATTATCCCCATTGTACAAATGAGGAAACTGAGCCCCAGAGGATGAAGAGCATGTCCAGGGTGACAGCACTACTATGTGGTCATCCTCGTGGCTCCAAAAGCTGTGGCCCACTGGCTTTGCTGTGCTGCCTGGAGTTCCTTGCCAAGGATAAGTGTAAAGAGGAGGAAACCAGGGAGTGGCGCTCACTAATAGGGACGAGCCCATCTATGTCATCTTCCTTCTGAGGAAGCTTGAAGTCAGTAACAGCCCAGGCATTCCCCGTCCTCCGTGTTTCCCATGTCACAGGTCCACTGTTTAATTTTGCCTTCCAGAAAGCCAGGCCTTGCTTCTGATTTGCTCCTTTCCACCACTGATTATGCACAGGTCAAATGGGATTAAAGGATGTAACAGCACTCCAACTGGGAAAGAGCTTGGGGGATGAAGGTGACACTTCGACACGGTCCTCTAACTTGGACCTGCCTCTTCGTTAGGAATCATTGTTCTGGTGGGCTTTCCCTGCTGAGTGCAGAGCTTTGCTGGCAGATCAATGAAGGATCAAGTCCAGCAAGATGCCGTTGCCTAATGTGGCCTTTTCTGAATTTGTGGGAGGACAAGGCTTATCTAAAACAAAGAGCACTGGCTATGAGCACCTGATTCCTGTTCCATCTTTGTCGCTTCCTCTACCTGGTCACAGCCTGTCGAGATTGCCAATTCCTCATTGGTGAAATAAGAGCATTTTTCTAGGTGATATCTAGGATGCCTTTTAATCCAACCATTCTGCTGAAAGAACAAAGGGATCAATCAATTGAATTTGGGTTTCATATGAAGAAATATTATTCAGAAGACATTATTGGTTTGCCAGAGGATCTTTCTTTATCTGTTCAACAAATATTAGCCCCACAGAGAGGCCAGGGGTCAGAAGGCATTTCAGCAGAGAGAACCGCATCTGTGAGTGGAGGAACCGCAAGGGCCTTCCAGGATGGTGTGAATGCAGTGGCCCACAGCAGGTGTGTGAAGGGGCAGGCATGGTGGCAGTGCTGGATACACCTCATTAAGAAACAAAGACTAGGCCGGGTGCGGTGACTTATACCTATAATGCCAGCACTTTGGGAGGTCAAGTTAGGCAGACAGCTTGAGCTCAGGAATTCGAGACCAGCCTGGGCAATATGGCATGAACCCATCTGTACAAAAAACTACACAAACTTTGCCAGGTGTGGTGGCGCATGCCTGTATTTCCAGCTACTCGGGAGGCTGAAGTGGGAGAATCACCTGAGCCTGGGAGGAGGTTGAGGCTGTAGTGAGCCATGATTGAGCCACTATACTCCAGCCTGGGTGTCAGAGTGAGACCCTGTTTCAAACAAAGCAAACAAACAAAGACAACTTAGATGTAGAGACTTTCATCATCAAAGAGGCTATAAGTGTTCAAAACCCTGACAAAGTCAGAATAATGAAACTCACTAAAATCAGGATGCAGGAGAAGGCGTGAGAGGACTCAACTTTCTTATCTACACTGCCTAAACTTAAAACCCTATGTTAAAAAAACAATAAGTACTCTAACTTCCTAATGTTTCAGAAGACTTTTTTAAAACCTACGTCTTGTGTGTGAAGGTGCAATTTGTCTGAAATTTGGGTATCCCTTCAGTGTCAGTTTAGTTTCATTTTCGTTTGTTGAAGTCAAATGAGCATTTGTCCTTTTATTTAAAATACCATGGAGAGTATGAGTTCATTATCGTAGCGCATGCTCAGTGTATCCAGCCTGCCTTTCTTCCTCTGTGTATATTCACAGAGGGGTGCTGGGGTGAAGGCCAAGCAATGTTAGCAGTGGTTATTTCTAAGGGGTGGGATCACAGTGGCCTTCTTGCTTCTTTGTCTCTGTGTTGTTTGATTTTTTTAAGATTAACATGGAAATAATAAAGCCATTCTAAAAATTAAGCAAAAAGAAAAGTTTTAAAAGAGCAAACAAAATAGCACGACCCTGTTCGTGGCTTCATAGGCAGCTCTCATGTTTGTCCTTCCTTCTTCCACCCCACCTCCCACCTGGCTGCAGCCCCAGGGGACTGGCTGCTTTCCCTCCTCACCATCTCATTGGATGTTTGTTTGCATCCTGGTGACCGGTGCATTCCTGAAGGGATCTGAACGGTGAATGCAGGGCCCTGGAAGGCCCAGAGGCTGTGCACTGCCTCACTCCACATGTGTTTGTGATAAAAACAGGGCTCAAGATGAAACTGGTCTGGGACGGTTCCTGCCAGTTTTACTGTAGGTCCAAGGAAGGCCCCTGGATGTATGGGGATGTATCTGGACTCGGATTTCACTGTATTTTTTTTCAGTTCTGAGGAAAGTATGAATGCCAGTGTTATTTATTCACTGTTCAGTTTCTCAAGTTTGTTTTAGTAGTTCTTGCTTTGAGAATAAATATCGGAACTCTGTGAGGAAGGCATTCCAGAAATAAAGCTGGCTATTCATGGCATGGTTTTTGGCAAATACCTTCCCTCCACTACGGAGGGAAACTCTGTTTACCTTTTTGAAGAGTCGGCAGAAACCCAGGTTCACAGTTCTGCCACCAAAAGAAGAAAGCAGTTCAGTTCAGTGAGAGGACAGACTCAGCATGATGGACAAAAGGCTGAGCTGTGCTGGCTAAGCGTTTGATTTCAGGAGTAAAAAAACGCTCTTTCTATGTTAAAGCTGCAATTAACGTTCTTGGATAGCTCTCACAGTAACTTAAATAGGTAATCTAGATTTTCTCTTACCTAAAAGGACACTTAAATCTCATTTTCTTCAATAATTACAATTTTCTATAAAATGAGAATAATACCGGCCAGGCGCAGTGGCTCACGCCTATAATCCCAACACTTTGGGAGCCCGAGGCAGGCAGATCACATGAGGTCAGGAGTTTGAGACCAGCCTGGCCAACATGGTGAAACCCTGTCTCTACTAAAAATACAAAAATTAGCCAGGCGTGGTGGGTGCCTGTTGTCCCAATTACTCAGGAGGCTGAGGCAGCAGAATCAATTGACCACAGGAATACAATCGC
Organism: Homo sapiens; assembly: GCF_000001405.40. Lineage (NCBI taxonomy): Eukaryota > Metazoa > Chordata > Mammalia > Primates > Hominidae > Homo > Homo sapiens. The sequence continues at coordinate 94,885,182 of NC_000001.11, forward strand.
GCCATTGCACTTTAGCCTGGGCGACAGAGTGAGACTCCCTCTCAAAAAAAAAAAAAAAAAAAGAGGCAGCAGGGAATAATACCACCCATGGTGATTATTTCACTGAGTTGTGGTGAAAACAGATGAGATCTAATGAGACGATGATCCGAGGGTGACTGGCCACGAAGCACAAACATAAAGCATCATGGAACATTGGAGTTGGTGGAAGTCTTTTCCAAGCAGCAAAGTGAGGGCCCTTGAGAAGTGACGTGATTTGGTGGAAGCCGTTCCGCAAGTCTTTGGAGGCAACATGACTGGAATCCAGCCTCTTTCCACTAAGCCATCCTGCCACATCCTCAGCTGTTTTCAATGGTGCATCTCATGAGAACACCACTTTGTTATTTTGAACTTTCCAGGAGAAAAAGCACAAAGTACAGCTCAAAGTAAAGTTTTCCAGCAGATGGGCCTGAACGAGTTAGAGGTCCACTTCATGGAAGATGGACGCAACATCTATGACACGCGTGGAACCGGGGGCACACTACTTTACCTCTCTGTGCTTTAGTTTCCTTAACTACCTCATCGGGTTGGAGTTAAGAGGACTAAATGAGTGAATGTGTTCGGGGAGAGGTAGCATAGAGCCTGGCACATAGTACATGCAAGATTAATGCCATTATTATTTATTATTAGCGTTATTATTTATTTACACACAGAAGTTGCACACCTGCCTACTGACTGGAAAAGAAAAAGGCCACAGATGGAAATTAGAAAGTTGTAGCTATCATTAGGTCTGTGCCAAGGCATTTGGGATATATCACTAAGGCATCCACCGAGGTGGGGGTGGAGGGGAGCCAGAGTGCCTGGAGGAGTTACTATTCCTAATACTCCTATTTTCTCCCAAGAAGAACTCACGGTCTTTGGGCCTAGCCCCTGGCTTATGACTGCTGGCGGGTCGGTGTGCTCAATGGCTGCATGGCCACCACAGCATTTCCACCCAACTCCAGCAGAGCCCCGTAGGCATTGTGGAGGTGCTTGGGGAGTCTCCTAGGCTTGAATAGGAATGAGCCTTGGAAGGTGCAGAGCTTCGTGGCTCAGCAGAAGATGGTGATGAGGGAGATCTGACCTGAACTTCCCCAGGGCAGCCTGGGAGAGCTTCCAGAGGCACAGGCTGAAAATCGTGAGTCCTCCTGAAACTTCCTTTCACTGCTCTTGCTCCACACTCTGCATCAGCCCCACCCACCGAGGGCTGACCCCCGACTCTTCCAGACCTGTTTCCCATTTCTCCTCTGCTGGGGCCCCCCAGTAGCCTGCTGGTATGCTCATGTCTGTGGCTCATGTTGCTGGCTCCTGCTGCTGCCTCCTACCCTGCTGGAGACAGGCAACACTGGGGCCAGCTCGTATGCCACTTCCATGAAGCCTTCCCTGATCCCTCCTGCTGGGCCCTCTCTTCCCCTCTCCCTCCAGCTTGTGGTTCTGCTCTTTGTGGCCCTCACATGTGCACTTGTGCTATGTATTTCATTGTTTTGAAGCCCTCACAGCCACACAGGGCGTCCTCATTGTGTTCTTCCCCCAGTGCTTCTCAGCCACTCGGGACAGTCCCAGGTGACCAGTCCATTAAAGTCTGAAAACTAATCCACCTGTACCTGGAGGGAGTCTTGGATCCCAAGCAAGGGAGTGAGAATTGGGACATAATATTGAGATACTACCAATGCCAACTTGGGAATCCTTCCTCGTATCTGTCTTGTGTGTTTATAGCTTCAATTTCAAGACAGAAATATCCACCCACCTGTTTTGTGATGCTAAAGAAGTATGCACACTGAATTTTGGGAATAAATCAAAAGCCGAATGCCACTACCTCCTGCTTGCTTGTTTAAAGGTTAGCCTTTAGGATCTCTTAACTTCCACAACCAATAAAACGTGTTTCCTAGTCCTTATTATGGCCAATCATTTCCACATTTTGTTAGAGTCTGCAGATTACCTTGGCACGTTAATCCTGAGTTCTGTCATCCCAGGCAAATACAAATGCTCAGAACAAGGACTTACGATGAAAATGTTAGTGCACTCCATCTTCCAGCTGCCTGACAAGCAGCTTCTACTCAGAATAAGTATAAATTAGCTAATGCTGAAGCTGCAGAAATGTTTAATCCGTATCCTGTGTCTTGAGTGATTCCTCCCTCCTCCCCCTATTCATTCAGATGTTAATTCTAGATCTCTCTGTTGCACTCAGGGTTGAATCTGGTAAAATGCTAGTGGTATGGTACCTGCAGGAAGGCATATATAATTTCTCTATCAGAGTGCTTTTAATGCCTTCTTTCAGTGGGCCTGATACATAAGAAAAGATAAATGCTTATGGGCCCCAAAACTCTTTGGAGTCAACACATGCATGAGAAAGTATAATACCTTTTTAAATTTTAATCATTTTAGCCAAAGAGCGAAATCTGTTTTTACTACTTATGAGAGATGGTGCTAAATTAAATACGAGGCAGTGATCTGCAGAAAAAGAAGTCCCCACAAAAACAGTGCTTCCCCATGGGAAGCAAGAAGCACTTTAGGAAGCTTAGAGTGGGGAAGTGATGGGGTGGTGGGCTGGAGGCAGCCTGAATGAAGAGAGGAGGCAGAGACAGAGGCTGAGCGGCAATGGTGGAGCTGCTGTAAGACGATGCTGGGGGCTGGCAGGTGGTCTAAAAAGCCCTTTCCTGGATCCCTGTGGGTGTGAGGGATTAAAGCCTACAGGTAAAGCAACTACAGGCCCCTGCCACACCTCCTCAGGTGCTTAAAGAGTTGCCTCTGTGTTCCCAGTTGTAAATGAGATCATCTTTGGTGATGTCTGGATGATAATAACCACTCTTTATTACACATTTTCTCTGTGCTTTACAGGGAGTAGGTTCTTTAATCCTCCCAACATCCCTTTGCGGTAGGTGCTGTAAGTCATTTTATAGATGAGGAAATTGAGGTCTTAGAGAGGTTAGATCATTTGCCCAAGACCAACAGCTAGTCAGTGGTAGAATTGGGATTTGAGCACAGAGACAGTCTGGCTACAGAGCCTGTGCTTACCGTAACCACCATGCTTTTAAATAGCAATTTTTCCTAATGAAAATTGATAGTGTAATGTCCAGAAGGTTAGAATTTAAAAAATTAAAATAAAACGGTCTCTGTCTCATGGATTCACCAGGGGACCTGGGGGAAATGCCCTTGATCTTGGTTTCCAGTCTATAAAAGAACAATTATGCCATTCTTCACCCACCCATCCTACAGATGTGCTTTGAGGATGAATGAATAGATTGGTCATCAGGGCTTTGAAAACCCAAGATGATTGAAGATGCCTAGTTAAATAATATGAGTAAATGAGTTTCCACATCCCTGCACAAGACTCAGGCCCCCAAACTGGAGCAGCTTTCCAGCAACAGCTGGTTTGAGATTTTCAAAGCAAATTTCACGCACATTCTATGTAAGTCCAAAACCAAAATTTCCTTGTGGAACTTTCTTTTTTTTTTTTGCAGGAAATTCATCTGACGTCTCACTGAAAATCTCTAAGGCAAGCATGGTGCCCTATCAGGGATATGGTTTCCAGCCTTTTGTCTTTTTTTTTTGAGGCGGAGTCTCGCTCTGTCACCCAGGTTGGAGTGCAGTGGTGCGATCTCGGCTCACTTCAACCTCTGCTTCCCGGGTTCAAGCGTTTCTCCTGCCTCAGCCTTCCCAGTAGCTAGGATCATAGGCATGTGCCACCACGACTGGCTATATATATATATATATACACATATATATGTATATTTTGTATTTTTAGTAAAGACAGGGTTTCACCATGTTGGTCAGGCTGGTCTTCAACTTCTGACCTCTTGATCTGCCCCAACCCCTGGCCTCCCAAAGTGCAGGGATTACAGGCATGAGCCACCGTGCCTGGCCCAGCCTTTTGTCTTTAAGAACCAAACATTCTTCTCTTGCTGGCCTTGAAGAGGGAGTTTGGTAAATTGGGTCAGTTAATTCTGCTCCCTTAACCCTATGCTTGTTAGTGGTCTTCATCTCTTCTACTTACTCTATTAGGACCCGCACTGTGGGAGGCTGATTACTGCAGTAGACTCCACACTGATTTCCTTACGATGTGTCTGAAGGGGTGTACAAAAGGGTTAATTTGTATATCATGAAATAAAAAACTTTCATCCTTTATCCAAACCAAAAGGAATGACAACAACCCAAGCAGGTAGTATTCTCATGTATTTTCCCAGGAAAGTTATAAATTCTTGTTGTAATCTGCAATGCAAGTAGCATTTTTAAAGATTTCAAGAGACATAAATGGTCTTGAAATGTAGTCATAAGGGGAAGGTATTTTGGAAAAAATAACCTGAGAAATCGTCTCATGTGAACATAATCACACACACACACACACACACACACACACATTTGTAGTCTTTGATATAGTAATCTTGTTTCTGAGAATTTATGCTTAAGAAATTATCTAAAATCAGGAAATCAAGAGTTCATTGCATAGTTGTTTATAACAGCAAAACATTTGAAACAGTCAACATGTCCCAGCTACACACATGCACGTACACATGCACATATGTATATCCCAGAATATGCGTTAAAAATTAAAATTATAAAAGCCATGTAGTAACATAAAAATGCTTATTATACAAAGAAAAAAGCCAGATATATAATCATGACACCATACCAGTTACACTGTATATTTTTTATTTCTAGCTTTTTTTTTTTGAGATGGAGTTTCGCTCTTGTTGCCCAGGCTGGAGTGCAATGGCACGATCTTGGCTCACCGCAAACTCCGCCTCCCGGGTTCAAGCAATTCTCCTGCCTCAACCTCCCGAGTAGCTGGGATTACAGGCATGCACCACCATGCCTGGCTAATTTTGTATTTTTAGTAGAGAAGGGATTACTCCATGTTGCTCAGGCTGGTCTTGAACTCCTGACCTCAGGTGATCCTCCCGCCTCGGCCTCCTAAAGTGTTGGGATTACAGGCATGAGCCACGGCACCTGGCCTATTTCTAGAATTTCTATTCAATTTGTTTTCTACTCTGCCTCTTCATTTTTCATACTGTTCTGTTTATTCCTTATGGTCACTGTTTCTTTCACTATTTTCTTAGTACCTTAAACATACCTCTCTAAATACTTTTTTTCCAGGTTGTTCTCAGGGTAGATTCTGTTTGTTGTGATGTTCATTTCCATGGGTCCTCTATAAAATTTTCCTGTGAGCTCCTCGTCTTCTCCAAGGGTTGTTATCTGTAGGACTCCTCTATTCCCTGGCCTGGGAGGTGGCGATGTTGCTTTGCCTTTGCAAAACCCTAGTAATTTTAACACTCTTAGGCACATAGTGCATTTCTGTACCACCTTCCTGGAATGGCTGACTGAGGCTGAATTGAGTATGAATCCTGAATTTGTTGAAGGAGCTCACTTCCCTAGCAAGGGCCTAATTGCATGCCTGTTGCACCTTTGGGTTCAGCTCTCACAAACCATTAGATCCCGCTTGCTTTCTGGTACCTAAACTTCCTTTCCTGCCCTCAAACTCTATTGTGCATTAAAAAATAACTTATCGCCAGGGTGGTGGCTCTCGCCTGTAATCCCAGCTACTCAGGAGGCCAAGGTACAAGAATCGCTTGAGCCCAGGAGGCAGAGGTTGCAGTGAGCCAAGATGGCACCACTGCACTCCAGCCTGGGCAACAGTGTAAGACTGTCTCAAAACAAGCAAATAAAACCCTTATGCTTTACCCATCATTTCCACATGTTTGTAGTGGGACATTCATATTAACCATAAGTACCTATTTATCTTTTCTATTTGCTGCAACTATATGAAAATATATATGGATATAATCAGACTGGAAAGGACTTTGAAAATGGTATTTGTTATGGGTAGAGAGAGTAGGTTTATTGTAACTCTAGTTTGCAAACACTCTGTATTAATATATTGCCTTAAAAACAATTGTTATAAGAATTATCTTTTAAACAATTCTCTTCTGTTTCAGAATGCATATACTACAACTGCTATTAATGGGACAGATTTCTGTACATCAGCAAAAGATGCATTCAAAATCTTGTCCAAGAACTCAAGTCACTTTACATCTATTAACTGCTTTGGAGACTTCATAATTTTTCTAGGAAAGGTGAGATATCTTGACTAAATAAAGGAGCCTGGGATTCTGAAAATTAAGCCATACAACAATTGGTTTGAAAGGGAACTATATTTCTTGAGTACTTACTCTATAGTGGGTGCTGTGCTTCATTATCTCATTTAATCCTCAATCCCATGAGGTATCCCTACTTTGCAGAAGAGAAAATGAAGGTTTAATAACCTTTCCAGGGTACTACAATAGGTAGAGCCAGAATTTTAATCTTAGTCTTACTCTCTTACCTGTGATCAGTTCTACCATTCTGATTCCCTCTTTTTCAGGTCTAAAATGAAAATGCTACTAATCTCAGAAAATGAACGTTTGTGGGTTTCTCATTAAGAATATATGGAAAGAGTATTGAAACCTGGACTGGGCACAGTGGCTCACATGTGTAATCCCAGTATTTTGGGATACCGAGGCAGGCAGATCACTTGAGGTCAGGAGTTTGAGATCAGCCTGGCCAACATGGGAAAACCCCGTCTCTACTAAAAATACAAAAATTAGCCGGGTGTGGTGGCGGGTGCCTGTAATCCCAGCTACTCAGGAGGCTGAGGCAGGAGAATCACTTGAACCTGGGAGGCGGAGGTTGCAGTGAGCCGAGATCACACCACTGTACTCCAGCCTGGGCAACAGAACGAGACTCTGTCTCAAAAGAAAGAGGGATGGTTTCTAAAAAAAGTTTTAAAGTGAATAGGCTTATTTTGGTGTTAAGTGAAAAAGCAGAATAAAAAGCTTGTGAGATATTATTACATTTATATAAATACAAAAGCTAGGCACAGATAAAATTACATATAACCTTCCTACTCGCCATTAACTGGGTTTCCTTTTGATACAGCTTTTCATTTTTTCCTCTATTTCATTCTGCCAAAATTTCTGACAAGCATTCTTTACAATAGTGCACACACACGTTGCACACAGGAACGTATATTAAACCATTACTTGTAACTGACAAAAACATCTAAGCAACTGATTCATAAAGATTTTCAACAAACTCTTCTTTTGCACAGGTGTTAGTGGTGTGTTTCACTGTTTTTGGAGGACTCATGGCTTTTAACTACAATCGGGCATTCCAGGTGTGGGCAGTCCCTCTGTTATTGGTAGCTTTTTTTGCCTACTTAGTAGCCCATAGTTTTTTATCTGTGTTTGAAACTGTGCTGGATGCACTTTTCCTGTGTTTTGCTGTTGATCTGGAAACAAATGATGGATCGTCAGAAAAGCCCTACTTTATGGATCAAGAATTTCTGGTAAGCAAACATTTCATTTCCAATTGCAATCTCCATGCTCGCAATCTTGAAAGTTTTGTAAAGCTGCACACACGAAAGAGGCTCATACCCAGCCTCTCTCTTCTAGAGGGCTCTGAGGCTTCTACTACCCCCGGGCCTGAAAGTGGGATTTGCGCTGAACTCTCCAAGGCTGAACCCACCTCCCTTTCTGAGAACCTTCTCCCTGAAGAAGTGAAGCTGAACAAGAATGCTGATCAGATGGATTCCTAAGTAGCAGCAGCACTTCTTACCCTGGGCAGAAGATGTCCTGAACACAGTAGTTCAGCTCCCTTTGGTGCTCATGGCATGATCTGGCCTTTTGGGTGGTCTAGAAGTTTAACAGTTGATCTTTTTCTAAAGCATTTTTGCATCTCCAAGCATGATGTTCATACCCACTATATTAGGGAGAGCACACTTGTGTGCTCCTCTGTGCCAGTATTGACAGATCTGCAATTCTCAGGCCCTTTATTAGCCCAGGCACACCAGTGTGAGAAAAGCCACACCCTCAGCGGAGCGCCCATACTGCTTATATCTGGAAATAGCAGGCAGCTGTTTGCAACAGCCTTTGCAACACAGTTGTTGCTTATTTGCCTTATCCTGGGTAGACAGGGATATTTTAACAGCTGAATGATGTCTCATCTCTTTTCCTTGTCTGAGTTATATGATATTTGCATACTTTTCTTTCATTCTGTTGCCATAAAAATTAGGTGTTAAAGCCCTTTTAGCTTTAAACAGAGCATTTAATGCACTCTTTGGTTCAGCAGGCACTCAATTTTTTAAGAACCACTTCTACAATTTATAATTAATGTATCCTCATCCTTCTCCATATAAAACATAAACTACAAATTTTACTTTTTTTTTTGAGACAGAGTTTTGCTCTTGTTGCCCAGGCTTGAGTGCAATGGCGCAATCTCAGCTCACCGCAACCTCCACCTCCTAGGTTCAAGCGATTCTCCTGCCTCAGCCTCCCAAGTAGCTGGGATTACAGGCGTGCACCACCACGCCTAATTTTGTATTTTTAGAAGAGACGGGGTTTCACCATGTTGGTCAGGCTGGTTTTGAACTCCTGACCTCAGGTGATCCATCTGCCTCGGCCTCCCACAAGTGCTGGGATTACAGTTGTGAGCCACCGCACTCAGCCAAAATACAATTTTTACTTTTTACTTGTTTATTGACTTATTTGTATGTACTCTAAGGAAAGTGCTTATGATGGTGGTATGTAGCTAGCCAGGTCTCCATCCCCTGATTTACTTTTCCAGTTAAAAATCCACCTTGAAATCCGGGCACTATGGCTCACACCTGCAATCCCAGCACTTTGGGAAGCCAAGGCAGGTGGATCACATGAGGTCAGGAATTTGAGACCAGCCTGGCCAACATGGTGAAACCCTATCTCTACTAAAAATACAAAAATTAGCCAGGCACAGTGGCAGGCGCCTGTAATCTCAGCTGCTTAGGAGGCTGAGACAGGAGAATCGCTTGAACCCGGGAGGTGGAGGTTGCAGTGAGCTGAGATGGCGCCATTGCACTCCAGCCTGGGCGACAGAGGGTGACTCCGTCTCCACCACCTCCCCCCCAAAAAAAATCCACCTTGAAATTTACCCCTTAAAATAGTTTTTTCAACAGAAGAAACTTTCTTAAGGATCCAGTTATCTGAAATTTAAGGCCAAGAACTTGTAAATGGCTATCATTGGGACTCAGAAATTGATACTCCATAATATGGCACTTTGACATGCTGAACTGAAGAAGCCTCAAGAACTCTCTGACCTTCTCCCAAAGCACAGGATGAAGCTGTCATCTGAATGAAATCCCCTTATCTGCCTAAAGTCCAGACCCACCAAAGAAAAAAACCACCTCTGGCCCCTTCCCTGAGTTTTCCATTAACTGGACTTATATAGCAGAAACAAAGACTAAATTCAGTCAACACACCTGGACAGACTTTTGTCACAAACCACTGTCCTGTGGGCCCAACAGACTTTGTTCCCAGCCACTAAGTGTTCTTCAAGCTCATTAAACTCCCCTAAAAGTAATTCACCACCCCCATAAAATCATCCACACTTCCCCATCTCCCTTTCCCAAAAACAGAATTATCTGTACCCCATTTAGACACTCACTGTGATTCTCCCCTGTGCTACTTTATATGCCATTTCTCCTGTTAATCTGCCTTTTGTAAGTTAATTCTTCAGCAAACCGTCAGAGGGCAAAGGAGAAGTTTTCCCTCGGCCCCTACGTTATCAACAGTACAGACACATAATACTATTCTAACTTGTTCTTTTGTTTTTCAGAGTTTCGTAAAAAGGAGCAACAAATTAAACAATGCAAGGGCACAGCAGGACAAGCACTCATTAAGGAATGAGGAGGGAACAGAACTCCAGGCCATTGTGAGATAGATACCCATTTAGGTATCTGTACCTGGAAAACATTTCCTTCTAAGAGCCATTTACAGAATAGAAGATGAGACCACTAGAGAAAAGTTAGTGAATTTTTTTTTAAAAGACCTAATAAACCCTATTCTTCCTCATTGTCTTTGTCATTATTGTTTGACCAGGTAACAATACTGGAACTATATTAGTTTACCTTTTTTTGTACAAATTAGGACAGAAAAACTCTTCTAAAACCATGTTTATATGCATCAACTTACAAAGTACACTATGTAAGAACTGAGGTAAGTTTGTAAGTGCACAACTAATAAATAAACCTTTTTAAGATAAGGATTTTGTTAGCAGAAATCTCTGGATTTTTTTTTTTAAAGGGACAGCATCTCACTATGTTCCCAAGGTTGGAGTACAGTGTCTATGCACAGGTGCCATCATAGCTCACTGCGGCCTCCAGCTCTTAGGCTCAAGTGATCCTCCTGCCTCAGCCTCCCAAGCAGCTGGGACTACAGGCATGCCACCATGCCCAGCTTGGAAAGTTGCTTTTATACAGAGTAGGATACTTCCCTACTCAGCCAATCCTGGAAATATGCTAAATGGATTAACTTTTCAAAGTACAATTCTTAGATTTGGTGACAATAAAAGCCAAAACTGTCTACTCTAACATGAACTACCACCTGAACTGGGCATGTACAGGAGAGGCAGGAGTGTAACCAATGATTTAGTCTGTGCACATGCTCTTCCTTTTTTTCTGAATACTCTTCCTCCTCTTTGCTAATGGCAAACTCCTACTTATTCTTCAAAACCCAGCTCTGATAGCATCATGCTTCTGCAATGCCTCTGAGCAGCATTACTTGCCCTCTCTTCTGTCCTTTTCCTCCATGCTCTTCTCTGATATGACTGTGAATCCACTTTCTGTTATGTCTCTCCACCAGATCACATTCCGTGATGGCACACACAATTTATCCAAACTCCTGATACACAAGCACTCCTCTTACAGCAGACATTCTGGAAGAAGTGGTTTTCAACCACAGCCCCACCTGAGAAATTACCTGGAGACAGATTTTTAAAAATACTTCTGCCTGGACCTCAGAGATTTATGTAGATGGGAGTGAGGGGAAGAGCTTTTCGTTTTTAAAACTCTAACCAAATAGAAACATTTTAACATGTTGATTGGCAGCCTCATGGGAATCAATCTGACTTAAATGGCAGGGCAGGTAGTGTGATATAAGGCTTCCCTTCCCTAAACTTTGAAGAGTCAAAGATGACAAGGAAAGCCTTAGAACTCAGGTCTACTTTAAATGCAATGACTTTTTTCTTAAATGCCACCATTGAATTAGGTTGACTCCAATAGTTTCCTTTACAAGCAGTTTCCCAGAAGCATTAAACCTAGTCATTGTGGAATGATGAGCAAATAGCCTTCACTTTTGTGGGCTCATCAAACCATGTGTATATACTCCTCATCTCTCAGCAAAAAACAGACGGTTTTCGCCCCCAAACCTAATAGAGCCAATCCTATTAGAAGACATGGCTTGGCTGAGACAATGTCGGAAAGTGTGAGTTACTAATTTTCTTTTAGTGACTGCATTTTTGTCACTATGACACCTAGCTATTGTTTGTCCTTCCCTCTGTCAGGACTGAAGGTTTATGTTTCACTATAAACCCTGGCTTATTACCAAGCAGCACATCCTATGGCTGACCTAGCATGTTTCTTATTCATGTTTACTTACCCTAAGATAGGAAAATTCCCCACCCCTCCTGTCAATATTCCTAAAGATTTTAAGATTATTCCAAGTTGAATTTAAGATGAATCTGGGCCAGCCAAGTCAGTGAAATAAGCAAGGGTCAGAAAATGATTAGAATTCTGTCATTTACTATGTGTAATGGTTTCCTAAGCCTCAATCTCCTTAAGCATAGAGTGCAGTGTTGTGTGAAGTAAATAAAATGTTAATGTACCTTGTAACAGTACCTAGGAAAAAGGTACTTAAAAAAAAATCTGACCCTACCTATCTAGAAGCTAGCCAGAAAATAATCAGCCTGTGGTTCATATGAAAGTTCAAAAAAAATATTTATTTATAAAAAATACAATGGGATAAGTTTATGCTGAGAAATGCAGCAATAAATACAGTTGAAGAAAACAGAGCAACTCTACATTGATACATTGGCACAAACAGGAAGAGCAAATGCATCACCCAGGCCTAAATGTCCACAGGCCACTTTTGTACATGCTCTTTTAGAAACACCACTCTGAAAAGATCTTGTTCGCTAGGTAAGAGAATGAGTACACATATAATCACAAATGCACACTGATCATGACTTTATTTAAAAATTAGCAAACAATACTGTAGAAACATTGATATGTAAATTTCTAAAATGCTGCATCTTAAATTTAGTTGGCAAAGACCACATTTAGCAATAAGCATGAGTTTAGTCTTCCATGTAGAAACCAGATACACTAAACTGTAAAAAAAAAAAAAAAAAAAAAAAGTTTCCTATTGTTTGAAAATACCAGTTTAATATAAGATTGTAAAAATGCATAGATTTTTGCATAAAAGAACTGGCTGTACAAGAGTACTCCCCTTTCACAGTATTCCTTTTTACTTCATATGCGAGTTATTGATTATGCTGTAGGATTTAACTATTACAGCACTAAAAGGCAACTATTGAGGGAAGAGGCAGAAAAAGGAAAAAGGAATGTACGTAAGGCAATTTTTCTTAAAAGTACAATAAGCTTAATAGTGTTTTAGGAAGACAAGATAAAAATTACTCAAGGCTAGCTTGGTTCTCACTGAATAAAAACAAAGGACTAAATACTGAGCTCCTTCTGTGTGGATCTAATAATCAATGCCTTGGTCGCTATATTGGTAATCTCTGGGGTAGTCATCCTGGTACTCGCCATGATACTCATCAGGGTATTCTGCCTGATAATCACTATCACTGATTTCCGAACCATTTGTTCCTGTTCCTTGGCTTCCGTTGTGAATGACAGGTTCTGTAGGAGCAGCACAGTATTTGGGATCATATACTTGCCGCCCAAGCCCATACACACTCATTCCTTTCTGGGAAGCAACTTTGTTGGTACCCATCTGTAGGGAAATTGTCGAGTTGTCCACCGGCTGTAATGTTAGCTTCTGATCATAGATGTCTCTTCTGGTACCTGGTGCTAACATCCCTGCCTGGTATTAGAACATAGTATAAAAGTTAAAACAGCAGCTAGAATCTATTCTTGTGAATAATTTATAAATTATAGAATTCACATTGAATATGAACAGTAATACATGAACTTTCATTTGGTTCAGGGGTAAAGCTAGCTTAACCAAAATATCCTGATACCGAATCACTTCCATGAAGCAATATTCATTGGCTTTTGAGCTAGGTGAGACCTTTCTTCAAAATCCTTGCTCTGCTATAAAATTACTATGTGGCCTCAAACACGTAAATTTAGCTTTAGGTTTCTCAAACTGCAAAATGGAGACATTACTACCTACTCTGGATTTAAGAGAGAATGAGACATAAAGAATGTGAAATCATAATGCTTCCACACCAGAAAGTTCCATGTGAATGCCCATGGGGACCACATACATTATCTGGGTTACCAATTTCAAAAATTTATAATATATTCAACAGAAACTATGTTGAGCAGATCTTAAGGACTTGAGTCTTTTCAAAAGGCTGAGATACAGAAGAACCAGCCACTTCACAGCCACTCCCCTCTTTTTCAGAGTACAGTAACTCATACTTCATCTCTCTACTTACATCAAGCACACACTTCCAGGTTCAGAGTGGGTAGAAAAGTAAACGTGAGTGGCAGCTATGAGAGACATAATGCCGCACCCGGTAGGATGTGTTCCATAAGGGCAAAGTTTGATAAATCTCCCTTGGACTCGGTAAGAAAATGTTTTTCAAACCCTATCCCAGCTGTTGTTGGATGTGAGACCTGTCTGTTCTCAAATGGTTGTTGAACTTCCTTCTGAGGTGCTGGTGATCTATTTTTAACAAGGAAATATTTCTATCTTGGATGTGGTATACTGGTATTTTCACCATGTTGCATTTCCATCTCCTTATATTGACACATCTAATAGGAATGCTAGTTAAATCCTTCTTAGTGGAACACCAGGTAATTTTACCTATTAATTAAGGGCTCCTTAAAAAAAAAAGTCAGCATTTAAATGAGCAATATTTTACTTGGATTTTGGAGCAAGAACACTGTAATAAACATATCTTTTTTTCTGCTGGCTAGGTAGAAAGGCCAGCTGTTCTAACTGCCAACAAAAACCACGAGACACATCATGCTTTTGCTGCTATCGAAAAGGTCTTTTGATTATTTTGCTTTCCCAGCAAAGTCCACATTCCTGAAGGAATATACTCTAAATAAACTATACAAAAAATACCTACTTTAAACTTCTGGTTAATAAAAATAAGGTAAGTGTACTCTTGTACACGTATAAAAAGGTATTGCTTACCTGGCTGGCTCCTTTATTAGTGCCCATCTGCAGACTAATTGTGGTCTGGTCAAAAGGTTTGTCAGTTTGCATTTTGGGATCATAAAGATGCCTCCTAGTCCCGTAAGCTGTCATACCTGCCTGGCTGGCACATTTGTTGGTTCCCATCTTTTAAGTTAAAAATAAAATTGCACAAATTATCAGATGTCAACAATATACACAACACAAACAAAACTTTCCATGCTACCAAAAAGACAGAAGGGGCACAACCGACAAGTTACTGAGCTGAGGCTCCAGTCAACTCTTCTATGTGTCTACAAACAAATTTCAAGTGCTAACTTTAAAAAGAAAATTTTAAAGTCACTATAGATAAAAACTCATACATAGAAGAATTAAACACACTTTAACAGGTGGACTGACACACCAAAAGTCATTACAGTGGCAGAATAATTTCCTCTGCTACTCTTTCCCCAGATAACCAAATTAAGAGGTACCAGCTTCGGTTATTTCAACAGAAGTAATCCTAGGCCAAGCAATATGCTGTTCTACTCCAGGAATGTTTTACATAAAATGTGAAAGCAAATGCCAAGTGTTTTCTCTGGGAGCTTAACAAGGGCTTTTTAAAGTTTCAAAATCACCAACATTTTCTCCAGAAAGGAACCACATTTTATTCCTGTAACTCCCATGTCCTTGGACAGAGCTGGAGAAAGGTGGAATGAGGAATTTGAACTCAGCAAAGTTCAGGGAAACAATAATTAATTTTTCTTCCCCACTGAGAACAGTATGGCTTCAGGACCAACCATTACACCCTGTTCCACTGGTTAGGCACACTTTTCTGATGTTGGATCTTTTTTCTTTAAAAATAAGATTAAAGAAAATCTTTATTACTAATATAAAATCTGTTCATTGAAGAAAATTCAGAAAACACATATAAGCAAAAAGGAGGGGGGAAAAATCATTGTGATACCACCATCCATTCACTGTCAACATTTGTGAATATCCTTTTAGCTTTTTAACCTATGTGTCTATGTATATATCTATAGATGCACATATATACAAATACATACAAAAACATGTGCATTTTTAATTTTAAAAATCCATACTGACCACAGTATTTGATGATCTGATTTTTTTCCCCCATAACCTATCTTTTCAAACTCTAGTGTATAATTTTACATTACACTTTGCTTTTATGGAGTTGTAATTCAACCAACTGACTACTGTTCTGAAATTTAGGTTTCCAGTTTCTCACCACCAATACAATTTTGTACTGTGTAAAAATAAATCTAACTTGCATAGACTCAGTAGAAAGGGGCACTGTATCAAGCAGGTACAGTGGCTTTTGGAGAGTAAAGCCAACAGCATTTGGGGAATTAGCAATGACGTTTCCATGACCAGTGAAGAGAACAATGAAGAGAAGGAAAACATCTGAACTACGTATTTCAGAAGAATTTAAACTGACAAATTCTAACAGGGCTTGGCTGCTATATCATGATTTGGTACTGTAAATAAGTGACTTTGGCATTAAGGTCGTGTAAAATTGCCTAATTTGGTCAATAACATTAAGGAATTTATAAAGTACATTTCTGGCTGGGTGTGGTAGCTCATGCCTGTAATCTCAGCACTTCGGGAGGCCAAGGCAGGAGGACTGCTTGAGCTCCAGAGTTTGAGACTATCCTGGGCAACAAAGTGAGATCCCATCTATATATAAAAGATAAAACAGGCCAGGTGCAGTAGTTCACGCCTGTAATCCAAGCACTTTGGGAGGCCGAGGTGGGCAGATCACCTGAGGTCAGGAGTTCAAGACCAGCCTGGCCAACATGGTGAAATCCTATCTCTACTAAAACTACAAAACTTAGCCGGGCATGGTGGCTCATTCCCATAATCCCAGCTACTTGGCAGGCTGAGGCAGGAGAATTGCTTGAACCCAGGAGGTGGAGGTTACAGTGAGCCGAGATCGCGTCACTGCACTCCAGCCTGGGCAAAAGAGTGAGACTCTGTCTCAAAAAAAAAAAGATAAAATAAAAAATTTAAAAGTGTATTTTTCTTTTTTAAAAAAAAAAAAAAGACAATATGATTCAATTAAAAATTTTCGTTTCCTGGAGAAATAATTGTCAAGTCAGGTGGCATACCTGAGGTTTCCTCTAAAAAATTATCACTGTCTTATGGGCTTTATAAATAGATATAAATTGTATAAACTACACCCCCCCCCCAGTACTATAGTACTTCTGTCTATTCTTAGGAGAGGCTTAATATTTTGCATGGTGAGAATTAATCATATTGAATAAGTAATTGAATAAGCAACACCACATTACTTACCTGCAGACCAATTACACTTTGGCCAGCTTTTAATTTTCCTTCATCAAAACGTCTTGTTTGTTTTTCTGCATACTTAACTCCAATGTCAATGGTTGTATGGAATCCTTTTGTTTTAGCCTAGACAGAAACATGCACACTAACTGAAAAGGCCAACAGAGTTTCACAGAAGGAACAACAAAGAAATGATATGTCCATAGACAAAGGGGCCCAAACTAGAGATAAAAAGTATTTAAGGCTGTTCAATAATATACTGCATCATTTGAAATGTGAGTGTTCTAAGTAAGCTATCTAGTACGATGCAGCTGATGTCAGCAGCCTTTCCACAAAGCTACTAATTACAGAAGAGACAGGCCCCGCCCCACCTGGTCTGAACCCCCATGAAAAAGCAATGATGCAATTCATCACCAATGTGGTGGGAATCTGTTAACCAGCCATTAAAGACATGTACGTACCAGACCTGCTAGAGCCACCAGAGTAGTCTGAACCTGGGTCATGTTTCCATTCTCAAAAAGATCATTTGCTTCGAATATGTCATGTGGCTTCATACCATAAGCCTGAATAGCTTTAATAAAGTTGCCAATATTCTCCAACTATAAAGAAGAAGAGTTTTATAATTTCTGGAGCTAAATATTGACATTCATAATTTCTAAGAATTCCAAGTCTTCATAAACAGTTATAAGACGCTGCCCAGAAAGCTGTTTGACAAGGATTCAACCAAATACATACTAAGCATGGCTCTCTCTGGAACAGGAAAGAGCAAGAAGAGAGTGTGTCTCTCACTGTGGGTCACATCACAGTCTTAATATTTTTAAGCAGTTACGTGTTTTCAGTTTTTATGGGCAAGATCTTCCTTATATATTTTAAAAGGATTCTGTATCAGAGCTATCCAGGCCTGGAATTTTATTTGTCAAAAGGTGTATAATTACTCATACTAATAAATAATTCATTATGTGTTATTTTAATTTCAGAATACATTTGTGGTTACTAAATACTCATTCTCTCATATCTCCAAACACATGTTCAAGACCAGTAAGTATCCCATTTTCCTTCCTCATACACACTCATGAACTAAGGTTATGTCTGATACAGTGCTCTGCAGTCCACTGTTAGTTATGTGGAATGCCTTGTTTTTTCCCTTATCCTTAAGGTCTGGGTTGCATTTCTCTGTGTAAGCTGTGTCAAGTCCTTTCTGAATGTACACAGACTAAATATAGGAAAACTTCTAAGCTAAACGTAATAATTACAGAACTAGTTAAATAAGTAATTACAGAACCATTACAAAAGGGCAAAAAATTAAATATGCACAAATTTCTGCTACAATGTCTATGTAAAAACCGTAATCAAAAAGTTAAAAAAAAAAAAAACACAAAACCAAAAAACCAAACCTGAAATCAAGTTTTCACTACATAAAATGCAACCAACTAGAACCAGAGGTGGTTGGTTTGGCTGTTACCTGAGGCCAGTTCAGTGAGGACTCGTTGACCTTCTTCACTGAGCCTGGCTGTAGCTTGTTTATAAGTCTGAAAAGAAAAATATGAGAGACATCTTATTTACTGGCACACAAAAACAAGGATTGAAATATCAAGTTGCTCCCTTTAGCATCAGTAAGGGAAAGCATTAAAGATATCTGTAGAATATCAAGGTCTGACACCCTGGGCTGAGAAGGAGAGTGAGAGAGAAGGCTGTGGAAAGAACTGGAAGAGCAGAAACAGATTCTGGAGGGCTGTAACTCACTCGCAGAGGATGATGCCATCCTTTAAGCCCAGCTGGAAGTTGGGGCCAATGCTCATGCCTGTCACCTCTTCTATCCAATTGCGAAGATCTTCTTCTGCCTGATGATCATACTTGGAAGCAATCTGAAATACAGGTTAACTCACTTTAGAAGAATTTCACAAAAGCATCAGAAACTGCCGACTCACAACGCGCTCTGCTTTCACTAGCCATTAAGACCACAGCTGTGAAGTGTAGTAAATGACACTCAATAGATCTCAATGGCAAACTTAACCGTTACAACTTCAGTAACTAATAACAAATTTTTGGTGAAGACCGTGTCATACAAAATTTTGAACAGACCATGGAGAGGCTGGGACTGACAAGGAGAGAACATCAATCAAGAGACATCAGATTTCATGATCCACAGGAAGTGACAAGGATTTAATGGTATGTTACAATATGGCACTCAAACTTTAAGGTTTAAGTCATTAATCACCCTATTCCAAAAAAAGCTGGGGAAAGGATTCTGACACATGCAGTTATTTTACAGAGTATCTCACCTGGCCAATACATAACATTCCAATAGTTTTGTTGACTGGAAAGTTCTGGTATTTGCCTTCTATTCAGCCAAATACACACTATATACTAAACACACACACACACACTTTCCTCAGTACTAATTACTGTACAATATTTAAATTCTGTTTATGTAGTCTCTATCCTATTAGACTTCTTACAGGCAGGAAAAGCATCTAGTTCATTCAGATTCTTAGTATCTAGAATTGAACCTGACACCCAAACATGTGATAAAACTAAAAGAAAGTTTAACTTTTTACTTGCAGAATTCAAAAATAAAGGCCAACTTACCAACACAAATGCTATGCTATTATACATGGTAAAACTATTAAACATAAGTTTTGAAAGATCCCTTTTTAATAAGACCAGACCTCAATTTAAAATAATTGAAAAAATAAAATTTAAACAAAATATTGTGAAAAAAATCACATGCCCAAGTTCTTAAGCTATCCCTTGTCCTGGAGTCCCCTTAAAGTGGCTGGTCAATCAGGGTTATGGAGAACACAGCTGAGGCAGGCATAGTGGCTCACACCTGTAATCTCGGCACTTTGGGACTGAGCTGGGTGGATCTCTTGAGTCAGGAGTTCGAGACTAGCCTGCACAACATTGAGAGACCTTGTCTCTACTAAAAATAAAAAATTCAGCTGGGCTTGACGATGCATGCCTGTCATCCCAGTGACTTGGAAGGCTGAGGTAGGAAGATCACTTGAGCCCACGAGATCGAGGCTACAGTGAGCCATGATCACACCACTGCACTCCAGCCTGGGCAGCAGAGTGAGACCCTGTCTCCCGCCCCACTGCCAAAAAAAAACCCACAGCTGGGAAGAAGGAAAGATCCAGTATCATTTGTCTTCTCATTCAGCACTGGTGAAAATGCCAAGTATACATAGGAAATGCTCAGGAGATAGAGATCATGAGCTTGGGAATCAATTACATCATTGGAAATGGGAATGAAGGTAGAAATGTCTGCTGTGTCCATAAGACATAGGGAGGTTTAATCATTGGAAGAAATGAAATGGCATCTTGACATTTTAGTCACAAAGAAGTCCCACAAGTTCCAGTCTACACCACTCACGGAGGAACCAAGCAGAACTGTGGGAAATGCCCTAGGTTCATAGTGCCAGAGCATATAGGACTGTGGGCTGCATTCAGGTCCTTTCCAAGGGAGAGAGCCTGATCACCAGGATCAGGACAGACATTTACGAACCTGGCCAGCTTACCTGTAAGTCACCCAACAGTGAAAACCAACGCTGAGTCTTAAAAAACAGATTCAAAGCGTACACTTGATCACAGTTCCTTTTTGTGTCCATCAAAAGCCACAACAGCCTTTTAACTTCTCAAGGTAGGAAAAACATCCCGTTTCCCAGGTCAAGTAGGTGGAAATGTCTACATTCCAGGTCCCCCTCTTGAAGGCTCACCATGCACCTGAGCCTGAGAGATCCCCTGGCACATAATCAGACCACTCCTGGGCTGTTTTCAGGGCCTCTTTTCCCCTCCCCGCCACGCCAAGGCATGAAGCTTCTGCTTTGACTGAGAGAGGGCAAATGATTTCACTAAATTACTGTGGCATTAGGGAGATGGCAGTTCTTGATCCTTTGCACCCTTTACCCAAGTTGGAGAAATGGCTCTACAGCTTTGACAGAATAATGGATAATTGATTTGAACTGTAGATTTACTTAACCAGAATTACAAAAGAAAATCCAGTAAGTTTATATTTTCATATTAAGACGACTAACTTTGCAGTGTTTCATGGATCAAGTCTGGCCTGGAGGTTAGTTTATAAAAGACAGTCTTAAATACAATTTGTTTTCCAGGCTAGTCTCAAACTCCTGGTCTCATGCAATCCTCCCGCATCAGCCTCCCAAAGTGCTGAGATTACAGGCATGAGCCACCACCCCCTGCCTCCATTACTCCTATTATACCTCAGATAAATATTCTTGGATAATATATCTCCTCCAACACATCAAATAAACCCATTTTTATGGCACTTTTAGAAAATAAAACAAAAATTGGCAGACACATTTTTTAAAAATATTTTTTTTTGAGATGGAGTCTTGCTCTGTCACCCAGGCTGGAGTGCAGTGGCGTGAACTCAGCTCACTGCAACCTCCACCTCCCGAGTTCAAGCAATTCTCCTGCCTCGGCCTCCCGAATAGCTAGGATTACAGTCACACACCACCACGCCACGCTAATTTTCATGTTTTTAGCAGAGACGGGGTTTCACCATGTTGGCCAGCCTGGTCTCGAACTCCTGACCTCAGGTGATCCGCCTGCCTCGGCCTCCCAAAGTGCTGAGATTAAAGGCGTGAGCCACTGCGTCCAGCCGATAGACACGTTTAAGTCTTGACTATATTTTTACACTGGGGTCTTGTTCTGGGTGCCTAGAAAAATAAATTCTCACTATATAAACTGGAGGTGGTGGTATGAAAGGGGATAGGCAAAGAAGAAAAGGAGAAAAGAGTACTCCTCAAGCATTAACTATGGAAAGCAAATACTAATTGTAAGGTGATTTTTTTTTTCCCCAAAAGTGAGGGCGTTCTCAACTAGGAGATATATTTTGATCAATCTGAAGAAAAACATAATATGCTAGGGTGAGAGGAGTTCTGCCTTGGCGCCATGCCTGGCTCCATCTATCTTTGCTATGGGCCTGGGTTAGTTCCTCTAACTTCTCTCGATCCAAGAGGAAGTCTAAACTGGATGCCTGCACTAGGTCCGTTCCTACTCTCAGCTATCTACACAATTTGGTCAAATAATAAAAAACTGAAGAAGTATTTTCTCGTTTCTTCAAATGTAGAGAAAAATTATGTTAGAGTAGTTTGGGATATTTCACAGGATGGTGATGGTAATTCTCATACCAAATGACATCAATTAATATTTAAGCAGAAAAACATTAAAAGCATATTTATGCATCCTTTGTTCAAAATGTGTCCAACAGATTTGGTGCCATGCCCCAAACCACGAAGTGACTACAGACCTAACTTGAAATATCCTAGTAGATCCCAGTAAGAAGTTTTCACCTTCTCTGTTGACAGTTCTTGTCAAGGAAGTGATGAGATAGAAAAATCAAGCACTGGAGTCAGATGGACCTCAGTTCAAATCCTGGCTCTACCAATGAGTGGTTGTGGGGGGGAGCTCTGGACAGGTGATGCTGTCCTTGAGACTTACCATATGACCACGTGCACAGAAGAAATTCGTATGTACAAGCATGCAAAACTCAAAGCCCCATATGATCAATTAAAAATTAAGACTAGGAATGCAGCCACATCAAATAACTGTTGGTGTGGGCTAAGGGTTTCCTTTAAGTAAAGGAGCAACAGGATTCTCCTATCCAAATACTTCGAATATTTTTCTAGTAAGTGAGCTTTATGCAGTCAGGCCAGCTAAACAGCATTATCTTTTAAAATCAAGGAACTGAGAGCAATTTAAAAAAGTAATCTTTGGCCAATAAAAATGATTTACTATCTTCATCTAAAAAGCTTTAATTTCTCAACATCTGGCAGAAAAACGCTGACATTTTCTTTCTCTCAACAAAAGAAAGTTAGCTTAAAATAATTGCTTAAACTTACCTCATTAATACTTCATGGAAATTTCACTCTAATTTACTTAAAAATTACTCTTCCTGACAGGGCGCAGTGGCTCACGCCTGTAATCCCAGCATTCTGGGAGGCCAAGGTGGGCAGATCGTGAGGTCAGGAGATCAAGACCATCCTGGCTAACACGGTGAAACCCTGTCTCTGCTAAAAATACAAAAAATTAGACGGGTGTGGTGGCGGGCGCCTGTAGTCCCAGCTACTTGGGAGGCTGAGGCAGGAGAATGGTGTGAACCCGGGAGGCGGGGCTTGCAGTGAGCTGAGATGGTGCCACTGCACTGCAGCCTGGGCAACAGAGCAAGACTCCGTCTCAAAAATAAGAAATAAAAATAAAATAAAAATTACTCTTCCAAGTTGTTGATAAACATCCTTTTCTTTATTCTTCTTCAAGATTTATTTTCTTGGCCTTCCCAAGCTGCTTTCGCAGACTTTCTGCCTGGCTCTTTCAAATCCACAGCAGCCCCTCTCTTTATATGCCCACCTTCCTTTCTTAAACACGCACACATTCTCCAAGCAGTGCCTGACAGCCTTCTTTGCATCAAGGAGCACTTACAAATGATCCAGAGACCGAGGAGAATACTGTCTAGGCACACCTGCTGGAGACTCCTCCCCGAAACTCTCCAACATCCCTCTAGCCAGATACAATCAACATGTGAAGATAATGAAGACCAAGAAAAAAGCCTCCTAGGGCATAGGATACAGCTGATCCTCCTCCCTACATTCAGCGATTGGCCTGCTCTGCTCTCGCTCCTCCGACAGCTTCACCTGCTCCTCTTCATGTTCCTGTGCCTGGGTCCAGGGCTCATCCTGTTGTGGTCGTGGTGGCGGCTTCAGCCCTTAGAGCTTCCCTTGGCTCTCTCCTCAGGACAGCTAAGAGCACCAGTGTGGAGTCACCCTTCAGTTCAAATGCAGATCAGTCCTTTCTTGTTTCATGACCTTTCTTTAGCCCTCACTTTCTTTTGTAATTCTAAAATAATAATTGGTTTTTTGTTGTTGTTTGTTTGTTTTTTTGAGACGGAGTCTCGCTCTGTCACCCAAGCTGGAGTGCCATAGCGTGATCTTGGCCCACTGCAACCTCCACCTCCCGGGTTCAAGCGATTCTCCTGCCTCAACCTCCTGAGTAGTTGGGATTACAGGTGCCCACCACCACACCCAGCTAATTTTTGTATTTTTAGTAGAGATGGGGTTTCGCCATGTTGGTCAGGCTGGTCTTGAACTCCTGACTTCAGGTGATCCGCCCACCTCAGCCTCCCAAAGTGCTGGGATTACGCCCAGCCAATTCCAAAATAATAATTTTTTTAAAAAAATTAGGCTGGGCCAGGCATGGTGGCTCAGGCCTGTAATCCTGCAACTTTGGGAGGCTGAGGCAGGAGGAATCCTTGAGCCCAGGAGTTCGAGACCAGCCAGGGCAATATAGGGAGCCCGTCTCTTTAAAAAAAAAAAAAAAAAAATAGGCCAGGTGGGTGGCTCATGCCTGTAATCCTAGCACTTTGGGAGGCCAAGGCAGGAGGATTGCTTGAAGCCAGGAGTTCCAGGTTGCAGTGACTGATAATCATGTCACTGCACTACAGCCTGGGTGGCAAAGTGAGACTCTGTCTTTAAAACAAAAATAAACAAATAAATGATATACAAGTATGTAGCGCATGCATTCTCAACAGGGGTGGTGGTGTCCCAAAGAGGTGAAAAGTGTTTCTTGTGGTGGTTTCTACCAATGGTGAAAAAAATCTTAAGACAATACAAAAACTTGGGACCCTCCAAAGCTCAACTCTACCCAACAAAATCTTATTCCTTTGTACTAAATCTAGCAAGGGATAGGAGGTAACTAGGAACAATGTCTAAAACAACTCTTGGAGAAGGTGATCATGAAAACAAGGTTAAGAAACACTGAGATAACACTAAAATGTACAAGTCTCTCCCCCCACAAATCACACTCCATTCCCAGAGGGAAGGGCCTATCCTTCAGCCAATTATTCTTCCAGCCCACAGGCACACATATCACATATCACTATTAATCATATATCCAAGAGCTCTGGACTAAGACCACCTTCAGAAACACAACCCCGAGGGCCTATGTGTCCTAACAGTGAAGGCAGACACTAGAGCAGATACAAGCCTACCAGCTGCTGGGAAACAGCCATGCCCCTCCCTGGCTCTGAAATTTGAGAAGCTTCCCCCTAAGAACCCTCAGAAAGGGAGAAAGAGTAAAGGGAGACCTAGCTTCAAAAAGCACCTCCACAGCTGACCCAAAAGCTCGATTCCTGCGCTGTTGAATGGTACTTCTCGGTGTACGCCGAGAGCATTCAGCTCAAGTACCATTTGAAAAAAAGATGGGGGCACATCTGCCATGAGGTAGAGTGATGACATTCATGTACAAGAACTGTCTGATGCCCCCATTACACCCAGGACATTCCAGAATCTACTGAAGAATGAAGACTGCTTGTTTTTCACATGGATTCCTTCTCACAATGTATTATCATCACAGAGCTTGTTCAAACCTGGAAGCAGACAATTCCTGGTTATTGTCCCCAGTGATTACAACAGTCTCCCTAATTTCAGCTGTGGCTCCCCGTTTTGAGCCACCAGGATAATCCTGCATTACTCCAAACTCTCTAAGTAAACTCGTATTCAACATTAGCTTCTGTTTTTCAAGTGTTCCGTGTGTTCCTTAGATTCTTCTTTCATCTTCTTTCTCCATTAATCCTTCTTTCTGTCCTTCATCTAAATGGCTAGTTCATATCAGGCACAGTTCAAAGGCAAAGTCTCTGTCCTAAAAGCTTACATTCTAGCAGAAAGAGACAAATATTAAATACGGTGTATTAAAGAGTTCACAAAAATATATATAAAATAGGGTGTTTAAAATAAAGAGAGAACAATGGGGGCTAACATGGTCCCAAAATAGGAACCAAATAGATTTCCATCTCAAGTATCAAGATTCCTCCTCTCCTTCCTTCTCACTATCACTTGCTATTCTTGGTATCTCATGCAAGGACAATGAACAGGTTTCAACATTTTCATCTACCCTGTCTCTCCGCAATGAATCCTATAAACATTTACTGAAGATCACACGCTTTCAAGTCAAACTTCAAAACCCTGTGTTCCCAAGTTCCAGTGTGACCTTGGCAAGTAACTGAACCCAGGTCACCCCATTTCTTGTGGGTAGACTCCTTCCTTCCAGGGCCACTGTGAGGATGAAGCCTGTTCAATAGGAATGGAACCCACCGCAATACCTGACACACAACAGCATGCACGCCCTCCAATTTTATCAGCTCCAGGTACAGAGCATTCTATTAACCAAACCCCACTGCAACTTGTTCAATCCATTGTTTGCAATAGCAAAGAAAACCCCACTGCAGACAGGCTCACCTGGGATGCCAGCCTTCACCACTGTCCACTCCCTTTACCACTCTTCCTGAGGCTGGTTCCTGCCTCTCTGTCTTTGCTAAAGCTCTTCTCTCTGCTTAGAATGTGTTTGCATCCCGAATTCTTATTCTTTTTCAGATTGTTGCTGACAAAAAGGACAAAGGAACTATTTTACAAAATCAGGCATGTATCTTATGGGGGGTGGGAGTGGGAATTCTAGAGAAAAACATTTTACATTTGGGACAGTGATGTCAAGATAGAATGCATGCTTTTCTTGAGGTCACCACAGAATCTAAGACTCATTCCATGGCACGAACGTGCTAAAGATTTGATGCGGAGGAACTAGACATTTAAAAGCTGTGGAAAATCATGCTCGCCTCAGGTAAACAGAAGTAAAGTCCAGGAGCATTTTAAAGCCAGGTCCTCCTCTCAGAGGTACAACTGTGTCTTCAGATCAAGGTATCAGCATATGGCACCAACCAGCACAAATTTTTCCCCTCCAAATGTCTATAATCAGGTAAATACAAAAACATTATGACTCAATATACAAATATTGTGAGACTGACAAGAAATTAAAGCTTCAAAAATTACTAGGACGGGTGCAGTGGCTCACACCAGCAATTTGGGAGGCCAACACTGGAGGATCACTTGAGTCCTTTGAGACTAGCCTGGGCAACATAGTGAGACCCTGTCTCTACAAAACCCACAAAAATTAGCTGGGCATGATGGCACACACCTGTGGTTCCAGCAACTTGGGAGGCTGAGGTGGGAGGATCACTTGAGCCTGGGAGGTCAAGGCTGCAGTGAGCAGAGACTGTGCTACTACACTCCAGCCTGAGTAACAGAGGGAGACCCTGTCTCAAAAAAAATATAAATAAGCCAGGCACAGTGGCTCATGCCTGTAGTAATCCCAGCACTTTGGGAGGCCGAGGCAGATGGATCACCTGAGGTCAGGAGTTTGAGCTCAACTTCGCTAACATGGTGAAACCCTGTTTCTACTACAAAAAAATTAGCTGGGCGTGGTGGCACACATCTGTAGCGCCTGTAATCCCAGCTACTGAGGCAGGAGAATCGCTTGAGCCTGGGAGGCGGAGGTTGCAGTGAGCCAAGATCATGCCATTGCACTCCAGCTTGGGCAACAAGAGTGAAATTCCATCTCAAAAAAAAAAATTTTATATATATGATTAAAGAGGAGCTGGTCCAGTGCCTAAAGCAAAGAGTATAACAAACGGTAGAAAGATGCAGAGCTAACAGAATGTCAATTTTGTCTTCTCTGTCTAGAAAATGACCTTTAGACTGCAAAGCTTAGAACACATATAGTTTATAGTGGATTTTTGAAAGTTCAAATCTAAACAAGGAGCGAACAAGTATAGACACTGGATTCCCAGAAGAATCTAGACTCAGAAATAACAAGTAACAAAAAAGTGGGTATCAAGCAGCTCACTGTGAGAGAAGCCTTGGCAAACGGTAGTAACTAGAACCTAGAGAGAAGCCTGCTCCCACTCCATCCCCACCCAGAGGGCAAGGATCTATTACTGGCTGAAGAGCCCGGCAGGCGCCCTCCTAGAGTGGACTCTTGGGGAGAGAGTGTGCAAGCAAGCACTCAGGGAGAAGGGCAGCCATCACCAAGGCTGCATGGACACACAAGGCATGTCCAAGAACACCTGCCCATGTCCCCTCCTTGAGGGGAGGTCAGGCTCCTGTTCATCTTAGTAATCCTCATGCCCATGCCTGATACATAGTGGGCACTCAATCCATGATTTTTCACCCACTGACAGGATTACCAGCCTAGGGAAATGCCTCAGATTTAAAGATCTATCTTGTTTCGGAAAGGCATCTGCATTTGAATGTCACTGCCTTTTATGGGCGTCACATCTCCTTGATCTGCCAATCTGGTAATCTTAGATGGCCCACTAGGGATATAATTGCATTACTTTCTCATAAAAGTTCCTTATGTCTAGCGCACTCCTGAAGTCCAGTTTAGTAACCCTAGAAGGAGGGTACAGTCAGAAGGAACACCATGCCCACTGTGCTGATTATGTCATGGCAGAGGAAACTCGTGGTGATGTGTACCTCAATGTTTGGATTTAGATGTGTTCTCTTCTGTTTTGGTCATTAATGACTTGGAAACTACTTGGCATACTTATTAAGGAAACTGGGAATCAGAAGGATCTTTCTTACGTTAATACACAGTTTATTCAAAATATATGTCAAATCCTGCCCCAAAGTTTTAGAACTAGTAACACTTACTCAGTGAGTTGAGTAAGTTAAAAAGCCAACACTATCTTGGTCTGCATAGTTATACAATTCTTCATAAAATAGTATTGCTTATTTGTTTAAATCAAAACAGCCCCATGAGGTAACCAAGGAAAGCATTATTTATAAGAAACGGGTGCGCATGGAGTTCATGTGAGCCATAAAACCTCCCAGAGTGATCATCACCATACTTTATAGACTGGAGAAGTCAATTTGACAAAGCAAGGATTAGAATCCTTCTTCTACACAGAGTTACCTTGTCTACCTGGCCAAGTGATTCTGTTGGTTAAAACAGGAGGAGCTAAAGCTTTGTAATCAAAGGAAGTCAGTTACCAATCCCAGTGTACTCTGGTAGGTTAAACCACATCTGTGGCAATACTATGATCAATTCTGAGTGATGCATTCTGAAGGGACACTGATAAGCTGACATCAGTTTCTAGAAGGAGTAAACTAGGTGGGGAAGGGATTAGAAAAACCATATATAGCCTATTATGAGAAACTGGCTAGCCAGGAGTGGCTACATATGACCTGGAAGTTTAGGAGAGGCAGGTTAGCTCCCATCTAAATATTTAGATGGAAGTCATATAGAAGAGAGAGTTGATTTATTCTGAGTGACACACAGAGGACAGGCCAGGGAAATATATGGAGAAATTCCTGAGAGATGGACTAGAAGCAAACAGGCATGGAAAAATATCATGTTTTGAGTGCCAATGAAGCACAGGCAGGAAGAGATGACCTCCAAGAAAGCTTGTTGGAGAACATTCTCTCACTGGGAAGAAGGCCAGCCGGGTCTTGAATTTTAGAGATCTGTAGAGATTTTGCTGAAAGGAGATCTTAGCTGAAGCCCCACAGGTAAAAAGAGGTGAAAATAGAGATGTTCCTCAAGTTTTTGTTTTCTTTGTCTCACCACTAGAATATTTAAGAGTCTAACAAACTCATTCCCGCATTTGTAGGTATCAGCTCTTTGCCACTCTCCAGATTGTCAAGCACTGTCTCTTCAGCAGGACCTCTAGGTGCCTCCAAAATAACCCTTGAGTCAGGAGCATGGGTAACACTGAAGAACTGTCATTTATCTTTCCATAACGACAAGGCACATGACCTGTTTGCAACTTTTCTGTAGTTTCAGAATGTACACTCACTCCTCATCAACTCTTCAGCAAGCCCGCTCCATAGGACAAGCCTCAGTCTACTGTGACTCAAGGAAGGCATGAAATCCACCTCAACGTCATTGTCCCAAAAGTTCGCTGTATTGTTCTGAAGGAACTTGTCTCAACCAGCCTGGGGAACCCTCATCTCACAGATCACTGACCACCCGCATCCCCATGCTCCCATCTGCCAACCCCAAAACTGAGTCGAAACACCACGCGGCTCCTTTACTGAAGGTTATTATTGGGACAAGGCATGAAAGTGGGCCAAGGAGAAATGGGATCTCAGCCCTTTGGGTCAGCCTTAGTAAATCTGGAACTCCTCTTGGAGTCTAGATCCAGGTCTAGATCTCAGATTGCAAATGCTTTTTTGCTTACTACAATGGAGTCTGTCCATTTGAGAAAGGTGGCTTTACACAACCAGCTATGAACAGAGAGGAAATCGAATTTTAAACATGGGATAGATGCTGATGGAATCTTACAGATATGTTAACTGTGCAAAAGAGCACCATTTTTTCCCCAATGAAAATGAGAAAATATGACATTTCCATTACAAAGTAGGATAGAATTTCCCATTTTCTCTCTTTTTTTTTTCAAGACAGTCTTGCTCTGTCACCCAGGCTGGAGTGCAGTGGCATGATCATAGCTCACTGAAGCCTCAACCTCCCAGGCTCAAGCGATCCTCCCACCTCAGCCTCCTGAGTAGCTAGGACTATAGGCATGTGCCACTACAGCTACCTTTTTAAAAATGTTTTGTAGAGATGGGGTCTCCCTGTGTTGCCTAGGCTGGTCCCATTTCCTCCTTTTAAAAATATTCATACTGTGCCTTATGAAATACCATACAAAGGTATTTTGTACTTTCTGAGACCCTAAGTAAAAAGCCATTAGGTTCATTTTGCTTTTAATGAGGATGTGTGAAAAAAAGATGAAGTCAGAGGCAAGGCTCAAACACCTGCATGCCACCAAATCCTACACAAATGCCACCCAAAGATAGGCTGGATGCAAACTGAAGTCCAAGCTTCTTAAACACCAAGACAAAGAGGGACATAATCAACTACAAGATTCAGAGTTCCTCTAAAAGAAAGTCAGCCTGAACATGGTTTCCCCTTTCCAGTCCCGAAGTCTGCAAGGATCTTATGATGAAGTCACAGGGGACCCTCCACATCGACAGTAAAGGTGAACTCCATATTTTACATAATTGTAATGCAATCTGAGAGCATGGATGAGGGAGAAAATAAGTTACCCTGAAAGCATTACATCTTCCATCAGAGTGCTATGCCCCAACACAAAGGTCTCTTGGAGATAATACAGTAAAGGCTTGCTACAGACAACCAGGCTCTAACAAAATAAACCCAACTTCCCATCCCTTCCAGATCAAGGGCCAATGGAAAGAGGAGAGTGAACCAGTGCCCAAGCTCCAAAGGGGCAGCCCAATCAGCAGTGCGCTCACAGGGAGGGCTTAGCCTGGGCCATCTCTTCCTATTCCTGCTCTCTTCCCCATCGGACATCAGTGGCTCTAGCATAATAAGGTCAGGAGCAAAGTGACACCCCTATTTCAGATGAAAAGAGGACTTCTCCACATCAGTGCTGCGTTTTCATGGTCCTCTTCCCTTCCCCTTCTGAGCTGGGCCCCTTCTCTTCCCACTGACCCTCCTGCCCTTCTGCTTTGCCCCCACACACCATCTGTTTTGGGCTGTTGCCTTTACTTGGTCCATCAATGGGCACAGGCTACCCTGTCTTCCCTGAAATGGCAAATTTTTAATTGAACCTGCTGCCAGCCTCATACACTGTCCTGTTTGTCATTTATTTCATGCCAAGCCTGCCCATTTCCTCCCTTAGTACTCTCTCCTAACCCCTGGAAATTTGCTCTACCGACGATCTCTCAAAAGGTCACCAGTGCAGCCTGGGCAACACGGTAAAACCCTGTCTCTACGAAAAATACAAAAAATTAGCCAGGCATGGTGGTGCACACCTGTAGTCCCAGCTACTCGGGAGGCTGAGGCAGGAGGATTGCTTGAGCCCAGGAGGTCAAGGCTGCAGTGAGCCAAGATCATGCCACTGCACTCCAGCCTGGGGGGAAACAGGGGAGGGGGATTGCAGGGAGTGGGGAACAGAGGACGATCCTGTCTCAAACAAAACAGGTCATCAGTGACTTCTCAGTAGCCAAATCCAGTGGCCTGTCTCCAGTCATCCTCTGGGCCTCTCTGTAGCACCTAGTATTTTCCAGGAGGGCCCTCTAATCTCTCCTCCTCCAGCTTCTTGTTAAAGGACTTTATCCTGGGATTTCTTGCTCTGGTCTGCCCTCTCTGGACTCAGTACCCTCTCGTCTTGAAAGATGTCAATTCTCCCTGAGCTCTGGCCTCAGATTAAAATGGTTAGGAGCAAGGGCTCTGGAAACTGAATGCTTGAATTAGAAGCCCATTTCCACCATGCACAAAGTTTCCTCTGCTTCAGTTTTCTTCCCTGCCAACCAGAGATCATTAACAGCACTTACATCAGAAGGTTACTGGGAAGAATCAATGAGTTAATTCACATAAGTTGTAAGAACTCAATAAATGTCAACACTTATCCTTCCATCTATGCTTTGCTGGCCATTCCAATCAAGATACTGGAAAGATTTCTTCCTTTGAATTCAATATATCATTAAAAACCACTTACTTGACATGATTTGATAGCCATTTTGATAAGATATCATTTTAAAGCTACCTAAAGCTTCCTGGATTTTTTGTTTGTTTGTTTGTTTTTGAGATGGAATTTCGCTCTTGTTGCACAGGCTGGATTGCAATGGCGCGATCTTGGCTCACCGCAGCCTCTGCCTCCCAGGTTCAAGTGATTCTCCTGCCTCAGTCTCCTGAGGAGCTGGGATTACAGGCATGCGCCACCATGCCTGGCTAATTTTGTATTTTTAGTAGAGATGGGTTTTCTCCATGTTGGTCAGGCTGGTCTCGAACTCCCGACCTCAGTTGATCCGCCCACCTCAGCATCCCAAAAAGTGTTAGGATTACAGGCGTGAGCCACTGTGCCTGGCCAAGCTTCCTGTTTAAAAAACTATTATCAAATAATTTGTGGAAAAAACGCCCTCATCCCAGCCCACTGTCAATTCCCACCTGAGTCTGCTGGGGACGAGGGATGGAGTAGGGATTACAGATGTCAATGACTCATGACTTGGTAATAAAGAAACTAAAACAAGTTACTTTTTTCTTTTTTTAACATCAAAAGATCCTCCTCCTCTTTCTTACCATTGGTAGGAACTAATTTTTTTGGAGAGCAATTTGGCAATATCAAAATACATTTAAATGTTATGTCAAAAGTTACACACTTTTCTACACAAGTACTTTTAAAGGAAATATCCACCAGCAGGGAAGCAGTGAATAATCAGTGGAAATCCATACAACAGACTATAATTCAGTTTTCAAAATGGTTGAACAATATTCAAAGCAGTACAAGCACTTAGGGTAGGAGTAAGGTATACAGGATACTTTCACTTATTTACTTTTCTATTTTGGAACTGTTGGCATAAAGAGAAGTGGTTCTCATAAGCAAGGAAGATGGCACCCTGAGGTAGATGTACTGTCTTCATGCAGAGATGACTTGTCCAAAGGTTGTGGGCTCAGCAGGGATTCGGACCCAGATCTGACTCCAAGTCTAAGTCTTTTCCATCATTGGATGCTCCCCTATCCCTACTCTACAACAAAGCTGAGAGACAGGAACTCTCTGTACTATACACAGTCTTAGCACAGGCAACTATGCTATCTGCCTGAAGATGCTTAGACTCTGGCTTAACATAAAGTCCTTTTAACTCATGGAGATGTGACAATATATCCAAATGTACCCACCACCAATATCATCGTATCAGACTAATGCACATGAATATATTGCCCAGTTGTAGAAAGGACTAATTGGGCCGGGCACAGTGGCTCATGCCTGTAATCCCAGCATTTTGGGAGGCTGAGGCAGACAGATCACCTGAGGTCAGAAGTTCAAGACCAGCCTGGCCAACATAGTGAAACCCCGACTGTACTAAAAATACAAAAAATTAGCCAGACATGGTGGCATAGGCCTGTAGTCCCAGCTATTCAGGAGGCTGAGGCAGGAGAATCACTCGAACCCGAGAGGCAGAGGTTACAACGAGCCGAGATCACACCACGGTATTCCAGCCTGGGCGACAAAGTGAGACTGTCTCCCAAAAAAAATAAAATAAAAAAAAAAAAAGTCGGCAAGGGGTGGGAGGAATTGATTTAAACAAGCCCATAGGAATCCTTAGTTCCAAAGCGCATTGCCAGCACAGTTCAAAAGTTCATAAGGCTGGGTGCGGTGGCTCACACCTGTAATCCCAACACTTTGGGAAGCTGAGACGGGTGGATCACTTAAGGTCAGGAGTTCAAAACCATCCTGGCCAACATGGTAAAACCCCATCTCTACAAAAAATACAAAAATTAGCTGGGCATGGTGGTGCGCGACTGTAATCCCAGCTTCTCAGGAGGCTGAGGTGTGAGAATTGCTTGAACCCAGGAGGTAGAGTTGCAGTGAGCCAAGATCGTGCCACTGTACTCCAGCCCAGGTGACAGAGCAAGACTGTCTCAAAAAAAAAAAAAAAAAGTTCATAAGATATTTGGCAGAGCTGTTTCAGACTAAAAACACTTTAACTCTCCCACTGGCCCATATGAAGACCAACCTCCTGCCACATGCATGTTTTTTGAAGGTGATGTAAGACCAACTGCAGGAAAGGGTGTCACTAAAGAAGAAAAAGAAGGGGGGGAAGCTCAGAGATGAATAAACCTTGAAATGAAAATCTGGCTGGCAAATAATGCGTCTGTATGTAAGCAAGGAGAGGTAGGGATGGGGTTTTTAAAAAATACAACATCCAATTCTTTGAAGAAAGATAAGGAAAATCCACCCCAGTATTCAGAGTAGAGAATGGAACCATTCAGGGGAAGGCATCTAGCCATAGGTGGACTCTAAAGAGCAGCCCTAGGGTTCCAGCTCAGCTGCTAAGGCCCAAAGACCACAGCAAGCTCACAAGATGATGCCTAATGTACATATAATTTCTACACTCAATTAGAAGCAGAATATGATTGCTGTTGCTATTTTTGCATTCAAAGTGGAATCACATGTTTGAATTAACCAACAGCAGGACAGAGACTTGCTACACATGGTATTGATTGTTTTCTCTCCTATTTCCTCCCACAAGAAACAAAAGGAGACCAGGAAATTGTGCACTAATGAAGCACACTCTATCCATTCACAGAGCCTGGGTAACATTAAGGGTGAGAAGCTGCAGATAATGGAGAAAGATCAGTGTCCAAACATTTGGGAGTGGAGGCGGGAAGAAGCAATGAAGCCATAGCCCGCCCAGTGTGGCCACTCCACAGCTAGAGTTCCCTGGAAAATTATCCAGCAGAGGGGAAATAACCATAAATGCTTAGGTTACAACTGACCCAGAAGAGTCCTTCCAAGCACAAAAGGCCTCCTCTTTTCTCTGCATTCATGCCTCCAATTCCCTGGCCTTCCCACCGCAGACACAGCACTCAACAGTCACGCCCACACCCTGAAGCTTCCTGGTCCCTCCCTACCTTGTGGGGGAAAACTAAGCATTAGTCTTCTCCACTCAAGGACTTGCTTCACACAGGTCTAGGTAGAGACTTCATAAGAACACATAAACTCAAAGCCTCCAGATTCAAGCAAGCCAAATTCAAACACTTGAAGGAAAATATGTTAACCAGCTAGCTGTGGAGGAATACAAGCCCTATCTGAAACCAAGAAAGGAAAGATATATCTTATTTAAAAGGAATCAACCTGTTAGAAAAAGCAGAATACAACCAAGCCCGGTAAGCAAGACCTCTAGCTCTACAGAGAAGTCCTCAGCCCTAAGGGCAATGTGGACAGAATGGTGCAGATCTACAGACCTGGTGCTTTCACTGTGGAAATGCCTCACACGCTGCCTGGTGGTGGAGTCCTGGATAAGGACTCTGGGGCAGATCACATTCCTGACACAGAAATGAAACACAGTAGTACTGCTTGGTGTCATGTCCCCTATCCACCAGAAATCTCAGGCAGATACAAACAGATTCGTGAATGAATATTAAAGTTCTAGAGATAATATCAACATCCAGAAGAGAAAAAGCAGCTCAGAACACAAGACTGAGCCTAATTAGCAGAGAACCAGTCAGCAAAATGAAACCATGGCTAAAATTTATATAATGTGGGCTTTTGATTCCAGGCATTATTCTAAACACTTTACATGGATTATCTATCTGATTTCTCCCAACAACCCTATAAAGATGAGTGTTATGATATCCTCATTTTACATACAAGACAGGCAGGTTAAGTCACTTGCCAAAGTTCACAGTAAGATGCAGAACCAGGAATCCAACCCAGTTCCCACAGTCCATGTTCTTAACCACTAAGCTCTACTTTCCCTGACAAGAACCTTGTATGACAGGTATGGAGAAGTCTTCAAGTTCAAAAGGGTTCACATGGCCATAGGTTTTTGTAAAACTTAAAAGATATTTATATATTTTTCATAATGAGGACCCCCAAATTGTATAAACTTCGTCCCCACAAACAACCTGGATCTACCTATGAGTTCCAAGAATCCTTAACAAAAATCTGAGGGTACAAGTACACATAAATAAGTTAAGAGCCCATTTGGGCTATAAAATAAGTTCAGAGTTAAGGAGAGCCAATGCACATGGTATATGCTACAGGAGGGTAATGCCTAGATTTAAATGGAACTTGCCAACAAATTCTAAGGACAAGCTTTCTCCAACCACCACCTAGTTTCACTGAGAAAGAAAATGCAGGGCTGGGCACAGTTGCTCACACCTGTAATCCCAGCTCTTTGGGAGGCCAAGGCAGGTGTTATCACTTGAGGTCAGGCGTTTGAGACCAGCCTGGCCAACATGGTGAAACTCCAACTCTACTAAGAATACAAAAATTAGTCAGATGTGGTGGCAGGTGCCTGTAATTCCAGCTACTCGGGAGGCTAAGCCAGGAGAATTGCTTGAACCTGGGAGGTGGAGGTTGCAGTGAGCCGAGATCGTACGACCTCACTCCAGCCTGGGCAACAGAGGGAGACTCCATCTCAAAAAAATAAAAAAGAGAGAGAAGAAAATGCATTTCCTCACTCTCCTGAATACAATGCTAATGATGGGTGAAAAACCAAAACGATCCAATTGTGCTTACTTTTTTTATGCCGCAGATCAGATTCATTATGACTTTAAGGATACACTGTTAAAGAGGGAAAGGAGGCAGGAAACACTAACCCTCATGTCCCAACCTGGAAGGGAAACAGGCACTGGGGAAAAAAAAAGCCTATACCTCTGTTGATGGTGGGTATTAGCGATGTCATCATTGTCAAGATTGTTTCTGAAATCTAAAGGACTGTCTAGAGACAGAACAATTTCCACAAATGTTAGACTGTAAAAAATCAGTGAGCCTGACGATAATCCTCGTTAAAACTCCAGAGTAAATAAGGATGAGAATTTTAAAGAGGAAGCATGGTATCTCTTGTCACTTCAGCAAAGTGTATCTTATTTATCTGTTTTGGTCAAGACAGGAAAACAAAAACTAAAGCAGACCAACAGCAATAGCTGGTTCCTACCAGGAGCAAAGTCCCTGGCTGAATGGCCCCTTCTCCAGCAGTATTCAGGAAAATGCAGGCACTGGACAAATCCTTGCAGAGGACACCTCTACCATTCCTAACTTGGAAGTCTAAGAAAGAGCCCAGTCAAAATATCTATCTTAAGAAATAATCCCAAAATCAGCAGCAAAGATGAAAAATTTCAACATAATATTAACTATTTAACTACTTAAGAAAAACAAGGCTAGGAATGGTGGCTCACACCTGTAATCCCAGTGCTTTAACAGGCCAAGGCAGTAGGATCACTTGAGGCCAGAAGTTCAAGACCAACCTGGGCAACATAGCGAGATCAAAAAATAAAATATTTTTTAGAATATTTTCTTTTTAACCACATCCTTCAAAATCATCACACTTGCACTACAGAATTATCTTATTTAGACTACAGAGTTAATTTCTAACTTCTTATGTCTAGAGATAGCAAAATCTATTCCCGATGAATAAATTCATTAAATCAACAAATATTCAAATATTTATTGAGCATATGCTATGTGCTAAACTATATTGTAAAATATCGATCTTGAGACACACCCGCGAATAAGAGAGCTTTATCTCTGGTGGGAAGAGACAGATAATAAGCAAACAAAAAAAGATTTTAATTAAAAACCAATTTCTGAACTTCCAAGTTTAAAAAGAAAAAAGCTAAGCCCACCAACACATTTTTACCAAGATTCTGGTGCTCTACCAGCAAGACAAGGCAAACCACCCTCGAGTGTAATTTATAGCTGGGTCACCCTGGGTTACTCTGATCAGAAGTACCCTCAGAGCAGCTGTGCGTCTAAAGCGCACCCGGCAAACAAGCTAGGAGGACTTCGCGGACACTGGTCCTATCTAATTATTACTGTATGATTGTTTAACTTCAACAACCAAAGATTTTGGTAATAAGCCTTTCAAGAAGGTTTTTAGGTGTTGAGAAATACCATTTTGTAATCAAGAAGATCCCGTGGGAAGCTGCTTTGCTCAAATCAGACATTCCAAGGGGGCAGAAGACTGGAAGAATGTGCATTCCAATTCCATGCTTCTTAATATTCCAGTTAGCTTCCTCCCAAAAAAACATACCGAGGTAAGATTATTTCAGCTCCCCATTTGTCAATTTATTTTTTCCACTTTCCCTGAGACCTGTAAGAAAGGTTCCTGCGGCATTTGCTCTAAACCTGATGAAGACATGCTTCACTGCGTCCTCTCTTCCCATCCAACTTTACGGGAAACTACCCCCAACTCCAACATTTTGCCAGGAAATACTGTGCTTCCCTTGAGTACCTGTTATGTTTTTTCATGGTTTACGAGGCACAGAGTTGTTTCACTTTTCATTTTGGTTCCCAAGATGCATTCAAGGGCCTGGTTCAACCTGTAGAATACCTGTAGGGCCCATTATTTTATGAGTGTTTCCATCCTCCACCGAACCATCCCTACCAGTGTCTGCATTTTCCCTGGCCCTTTTACTCTCTGATAGTTTTTGTAAACTCTAAGTTATTGATCATTTGGTGTCATTTTTTTCTTTGTTATTAAAGAAACTTTGTTCATATTCCAGGCTGAAAGACTGGAATTCTTAGGCTTTTTTTTTTTAAGGCTGTTTTCACACATCTTCTTGCCTATTAAAAAAAGTAAGCTTGTGTGTTCTGCCATGTATTATCATCTTACCAATCAAATGTCTTAAAGATTTTTCTCTGAAATTTTACTGATTAAAGTATTTAAAATCAGAGACTTCCTCAATTCATTGATGAAATGCTTTTACAGCTAGAATATTATATAACAAGACCAAAAGGTATTAATACAAACCAAATACTTAAAGAGGCAGGGACATACAAATCTTAGAAATATAATACTAAAAACTAATTTTCTGTTACTAAGAGCTAATAGCTACAATACAGTCACTGAGTTGAGTATAAGCCAGACACATCTCCACAACATGGTGTCTGGGGGTGGCAACTATTGTTTTCCCCCATTCTACAGAACAGAAGCTAGGAGAGAGATGTCAAGTAGCTAGCCCAGCATCACAGAAGGCAGGAAGTGGCAGAACGGGGACTAGAACTCACATATGCTAGACTCCCAGGTCCACTCCACACTGTCTCCCCAGGATGTTTCTATACTTCTTTGTTAAATGAGATGTGGGGGTAGATGGGGGGAATCTAGCATTCAAGCAATGTATCAATTATGCAATAAAGAAAAAGCAGGAAGGAATCAAAAGGTGTCAAACCACGCAATGTCACTTTTGTATATACCCACCTTTCACCCGGGAGTCCTGAGGCCTCAGTCAAAATGCAGCATCTCATACAAAGGCCTAGCAAACATGGCTATTTGATTCCCAGGCCCAGAACAGATCAGAAACAGTATGACATAAATAATCACAATGTCAAGAAGTGACAGGTGGGTAGCAAAAATGGGAGGAAGGGCTGGGCGCCATGGCTCACGCCTGTAATCCCAGCATTTTGGAAGGCCAAGGCAGGGGGAATCACCTGAGGTCAGGAGTTGGAGACCAGCCTGGCCAACATGGCAAAACCCTGTCTCTACTAAATAATACAAACATTAGCCGGGCATGGTGGCAGGCACCTGTAATCCCAGCTACTCGGGGCGCTGAGGCAGGAGAATCACTTGAACCTGGGAGGCGAAGGTTGCAGTGAGCTGAGATCGCGCCACTGCACTCCAGCCTGGGCGACAGAGCAAGACTCCGTCTCAAAAAAGAAAGAAAAAAAAATGGGGGGAAGGCGACAGACAGCAGAGTTTGTGTAGAACATCCCTAAGTACTTCACTCAACTAAGACATCGCTTTTAGAGTTAAAATTCTTAGAATAGTCCAACTTCTGTGACCTTGAGCAAATCTTTCTGAGCTTCAGTGTACTGATCTGTAAATGATGTTGGATAATCCCAGCAATCCTCCTCACCTTACAGGACTGCTCTGCTGTTAAGATCAAAAGACTTCCTATGAAAGAATACTGTCTGAAAGGACTACAAAAATGAAACGGGTTATTAAAAAATGGGTTTGGTGCTTAAAGGGATAAATCCACAGCTTTCATAACTAACTTTCCAAAGGTTCTAAAAACTGAGGTTTTACCGTTTTTAAATATTTACAATAATTACAGTGATCTAGCCTGTGTATGCATTTCCTTGGATCTGCTCAGTATTAAGCAGGAAAAGGGCAAAAGCTGCTACATTAGTCAGCAAAAAAGAAATTAGCATGGATATTATTAACATCCAAGAAAAGTAAGTCACTTGAAGGGCTGCCAACGTTATCAGTACCTCATTTACAATGCAAAAGGTAGTAGAGACTCAACTGCTGCCAGCCAAGAATCACTGGGGGGAATTACAATGAATGTGCACAACCAGGCCAAAGTATCACATCACATCCAACATTTTGGACATGCCCATTCCTCTGAAGTTTCCTAAAGTTCGGTTTGTAAATCCTGGAAGGAAGGAAACAGTAACTTGTTACAAACTTTTCAGTTGGTGAGGTTTGCACTCAATCATACACAAACCATTCACCTTTCTGCTCTCTAAAAAAATTGTTAGCAAACTGTTGTCTAATACGGGCAACACGTTTGAAAAGGTAAAGGACCTAAACATTTCAACTTTAGATACATAGACTAAAATCAACTCCTTGCTTCAAAGACAGTATGATGTGCAGACTAACAGCGGGAGACAAGAGCCACAACTCTCCCTTGGGGTTTGACAACGGTGCGCTTCATTACCTCTTTACATAATTCGCTTCACACCGCCTACCCCCGCAGCCCCGGGATGTTCCAGCTCTGACAATGCCAGTGCCTTCCACCAGCGGTCGGACGGTGCGGTGGCAATCCTGACATGCTTGGGCTCCCGGGAGGTTAATGGGAATTAAACCACAGGCAGCCCTCCTTTGTGGCGCTTTGGCCAGAACAGCAGAAAGGAGACAATGAGCGTTCTGTGCACAGTTCCGCGCCGATTGGCTGGTCTCTCCCCCCAGAAACCCCTGATGTCATGGGCTTGGAATGCAGGGAGGGAGGAAGGAAGGAGAGGATTTGGGGAGGGGGACGCCTCTCATCTCTTTCCCAGGCCAAAAGTCCTAAAGATAAACCTAACGCATTCTTGGGCTCAGTGGCAAAGCTGAGCGTCACCAAATCCCAATCGCTCCAAACTATAAGCCGCCTCAGCAAACAAGCCCCAAACAAAAGCAACCCACAAAAATAATCCTTTATGTCGTGAAAGTCTAATGTACTTCAAACTTCTCAGTGTTTCATAAAAAGTCTCAAGCCTAAGCAGATATCACTCGCACAGTGGCGCGCTCAGGCTTTGTCTCCATTTCCCGCAAAAGCAACAGCAGAAGCAGCAGCAGCAATCTGCCTCCAAATGCCTCCCAGGCACCGAGATCGGAGACTGTGATGGGTCCCGGACCGGCTTCCGTTCCTCGGGGCCCCTGGGGTCGGCGGGACATTAGGCGGTCTCTCTCCCCGTGGGGAGGCGCGGAGTCCGCCAGCACCCGGGGCCCGGGCAGATGGCGGGGGCTGCGGCAGCGGCTCGCCGGGTCCCTGGCCGCGCAGACGGGCTCCGCCTAAGGGCGAGTGGCCACGCAGGAGCGCCCCCTTCCCGGAGGGCGCGTTCTGCAGTCACCAAACGGCCCCCGAGACCCCCGCAGCCGGAAAGGCTGGCGCCGCGGGACTCCAGGCGCCCGGGAACCCACCGCCAGCCACTAGTCCTGTCCCACGGCGCGGGAACAAAGCCAGGCGGGTGCCCGGGAGCCGGCCCCGCAAGCCCGGGGACTGGACGCGACCGGGACAGGCAGAGACGCTCGCGCCGCCTCGACGGCCCCTCTCCAGGAAAACGGTGAGCCACAGCGCGAAGAGCAAACGAAGCACGGCCCAGCGCCAGGCCAGCCCAAGGGTGCCCCGGGGGCCCCCGCGCCCGCCCGAGCCAGGCGTACCTTGTTCTTGACTTCGGCCGAGAGCCCATAGGAAGGGCCCTTGTTGAAGTGGGTCATGGTGGTTCGGGCGGCGGGAAGAGACAGCGCTGGGGTCCGGGGTCTCTCGCACTTCGCTTCCCCGCTCCTGGCCCCGAGGAGTGGCCGCCGCGGGGGATGCTCGAACTCCCTCCTCTGGGAGGCGCAGGAGACGGCCGCGGGGCGCGGGCGGTGCCTGGGCGACTGGGTCCAACTGGGTGCTACAGAGCCTCGAGCTCCGCTGCGAAGCACCCGGCTGCCTCGCTCGCCGCCCGCACCTCGGTTCCCCACAGGCCGCCCCCGCCTCCGCCTGGGCCTTCGAGGATTGGCCGCCGGGCCCGACCAATGGAGGGCCGCCTCCTCCCGCCTCTGCGCCGAGGGGCGGTGCGGCCAATTGAAGGGCCGCGGGGGCCGCTTTCCCTCCCGCTCCCTCCCCGCGAGGTCCCCGGCCCCCGCCCCAGCCCTCACGCCACCGGGGCCGGCGGCTAGGCGGCCCCGCCCCCGGGCTAGGCAGGGCGCCTGGGGGCTTCCCAGCCACAGGCCATTCACGTCAACCTCCAGGCATCCTCCGCGGCGGGCCGGACCGGGCCGGCGGAGGGGAGCGGAAGCCCACCGGGGCTGGCCCGCCGCTGACCCGCCGCCTCCGTCTGCCTCCTCCCGGGCTCTGGGCCCAGCGCGCCCAGATGCCGGGCAGGACCCCTCCGCCCGCTGCTGGAACACCAATAGCAGCGTTGGAGCCTCTGGGCCGGAGGAACTGGGGCCTCCACCGACACCTGCTTCTTCCCTCACCTCGCAGCCTTCCACACCTGTTGATCTGACCTCTGCCCCGCTGCCGCCCAGGAGTAACCTAAGGCTTTTGGCCTGATTCGAGCTCACTCCGTCTAAACCTCTAAATGCGGTGCGAAAAAATCCTGGGGAATGTGCCATGCAAAGCCTGGGCATTTCAAGTGCTTTTCTGGATTCGCATCAACTCCTCTTTACAGGCATCTTTATCCGGAATTCAGCTCGTCCCAAACCCCACGTGGTGTAGCTCTGCTTGTGTTTTTGAATCCCGGGGCCTCTTTGAATCAGAAGCCCTTTGTATAGAGATAAGTATCCTTTAGGCCAGAATCAGCCTCCATTTTTTTCGCAGTCCCATTTCCTACCCGTAATACTTTCTTCTGATTTTAAAGCCATTTGATAGAGAAGGGACAGGGAACAGAACCTTCGCCCCCCGCCTGAGCAGCTGGTAGACTAGATATCTTCCAAACATTATCTCATTTACTTCCCTGGAGTTACAAATAGGTAGATTTCATGTCCGTTGAGGGGTGAGAAAGCTGAAACTTTGAGACTTAAGAATCCTGGCCGAGGTCAGCCTCCTCCGAAGCTTCATCTCTTGCCACCACTTTCTGGTGCACACCTAGGACAGATTTCAATCCCTGAGATCCCAGGATGAAACCTATGTTTGCCAAATACCAGCTACTGTGCCAGAAGAGATCATGGAACCAGGTGTGGAAAGCTGCTTGAGAAGAGGAGCCAAAACATCATAGTTGAACCGTCCTGGAATAGAAGTGAGTAAGGTGAACCAGGTGTGGTGGCTCATGCCTGTAATCCTAGCACTTTGGGAGACCGAGGTGGGAGGATTGCTTGAGGCCTGGAGTTCAGGAACATCCTGGGCAACATAGCAAGATCCTGTCTCTACAAAAAATCCAAAGTTTTTTTAAATTAAAAAAAAAAAGTGAGTAAGGCAGCTTGAACCGGAAATGCACAAAACTGCTATCCAGTTTGCAAGGCTTTTCCCAATGACTTTGAGGGATGGAACCTGAAGGAAGCGGGAGGAGGCAAATAGGGAGGAAAGTGAAATGATTTATAAATGACTTGCTAATTTTGTCCAAAGGGAGTAATGATAATTAGGGCATTCTTCCCACACGAAGATGACACAATTGACCCAATATCATTGAGGCTAACAGTTTGGGCTGTTTTTCCAGTAGTATGACAGTGACGGTGTGTCAACCGCAGGACCTCACCCACATTTCTTTGGGACCTAGGAGTGTGGGAAATAGCAGCCAGATTTGAGGTACAAATCATGGTGTCCAGCCTGCAAAGCCTTTTTGCAGCAATCTAAGCCTGACTGCTCCTGTTGTATGCTCAAAGTCATTTTAATCTACTTTAGCTTATTGTAAAATGTTCAAGAATTGTATTTTGTCTTGAAAACCATGAATTTTATTGTTTAGGGGGAGTTATTTTTTAAGGAGTGCAGGATTTCAGTTTTGGATGATGAAAAAGTTTTGAAGATGGGTAGTGACAGTGGTCACACAACATTGTAAATGTACTTAATGCCATTGTACACTTACGTGACTTTAAAGTAAACATGAAATTTTCTACATTTGTTTGTTTGATCAACTGTTATCCTCCCTAAGGTACTTGAAGTTCTTTCTGACATTGCCACTGGAACTTACTATTTAAATATTGTTGGTCCTCTTGGATTCCATCAGTACTCCAGAGACTTCCTTCGTTTCTAATTTAACTCATTGTGTAAGAATACGTAATGCTGTTGTTAGCACTAGGGAATGTATCTGAGTCTCATGCACCAAAGTGTGTTAGCAGCAGCAAATCTGTATGGGTCTGCAGCAACCTCAATTCTTGCCTCCTCCAAAGAAAGAATTCTACCGAGAGGCATAAGGCAGAGGGAGAGGCCAAGGCACGTTTTAGAGCAGGAGTGAAAGTTAGAGCAAGAATGAAACGAAGTAATGTACACTTGGAAGAGGGCCAGGCGGGCAACTTGAGAGATTCAAGTGCGCTGCTTGACCTTTGACTTGGGGTTTTATACATTGGCAT
This sequence comes from Homo sapiens, assembly GCF_000001405.40. Taxonomy (NCBI): domain Eukaryota; kingdom Metazoa; phylum Chordata; class Mammalia; order Primates; family Hominidae; genus Homo; species Homo sapiens. The sequence continues at coordinate 94,929,670 of NC_000001.11, forward strand.
GCTTCCAGGGGGTTGTGTCCCTTTTCCCCTGATTCTTCCCTTGAGGTGGGCTGTCTGCATGTGCAGTGGCCTGCCAGCACTTGGGAGGGACCACATGCTCAGTGTGTTAACTGAGGTTGTACGCATGCTCACTTGAGGCATTCTTCGCTTACTAGTCAAGTGTTCCTAGAAGAAGGTCATATATGAGTACCAGTTAAATGCCACCATTTTGCCTCTTAGTTCACACCTGTGAGCCCACTCAGCCAACTCCTAAGATCCTATCCAGAAGCTGCTGATCACCAGTTGTAGGTATTTTCTAGCCATTGGGAGACTGCCTTTCCCTGGTGCCGGCTGTGACCAGTTATTATTTTAGAGAGACAGTTTAACAACTGCCTGACCACCTGATGGTTGCGTGACATTCCTGGTGGGAGCGGGGAGCCCTCTCCTGCTCTGCTTGTGTCTGACTACCTACTGTGGCACTATAGAATCAAATGAGAAAAACTTAAAATTTGGGACAATTTTAACAGCTTTATTGAAGTATATTGATATAACAAAGTATATTTAAAGTGTTCAGTTTGATACACACATATACACATAGATACACCTATTTAAAAACCCATCACCACAACAGACAAAGGACATATTCATCATACCCAAAAGTTTCCTCATGTAGCCCCTCCCTCCCAGTCTTCCTTACCTCTCCACCCCACCAGGCAACCCCTGATATGCTTTATGTAACTATACATTAATTTGTATTTCCTAGAATTTTATATAATTGGAATCACACATTGTATATTCTGTTTTATCTGGCTTCTTTCACTCAGCAAAATTATTACGAGATTCACTGACGTTGTAGCATGTATCATTAGTTCATTCCTTTTATTACTGAGTAGTATTCAACTGTAGGGATACACCAGTGATTTTACCCATTCCCTTATTGATGAACATTTTGGTTGTTTCTAGATTTTGGCTATTGCAAATAAAGCTGCTATGAACATTCATGTACAAGTCTTTGTATGGACATATGCTTTAATTTCTCTCCCATAAATACCTATAAATGGAATGGCTGGATCAAGTGAAAGATGTATATTTCACTTTTTAAGAAACTGCAAACTTTTTCCAAAATGATTGTACCATTTTACATTCCCACCAGTGCGTATGAGAGTTCCAGTTCCTCTGCTTCCTCACCAACAGTTGGTAGGTCAGTTTTTTTAAATTTAGTCATTCTTATAGATGTGGAGTATGGTATCTCATTATGGTTTTAATTTGAATTCCCTTAATACGTAATGATGTTGGGCTTCTTTTCATGTATTTATTTGCCATCTGTGTATCTTTTTCATGAAATGTTTGTTCAGATCTTTTGCCTATTTTTATTGGATTGTGTGTTTTCTTATTATGGTATTTAACTTGTCACTGTTAGGATACATTTCAAAAATCCTGACCAAGTTCTAACAGTAGAATGTGTCAGTAAATGCTCAGTTTAAGTAAAATGTCACATTGCAAACTAACTACCAGGGTGTGGCCCAGCAATCTTAAGTACTTTCCCTGGAAGTTTCTGTAATATGCAGAACACTTTCAATTGAAATAAATGCTGTTAAGGAGGTCAACTCAACCTTTCCAAATTTTTATTAATTAAAAGCAGTTGTTGGAGAGTTGTAGAAAAGTATTTTTTCACAGAGGCAAATTTGTGGGTCATATTGCCATACATCTTGCCACGAAAATAATAACATAAAGTGTTTTGAAGAATTCACCCTGTAAATCTGTCAGAGGCATGTGAACCAAAGCAACTCCATCTTGAATAGGGGCTAGGTAAAATAAGGCTGAGACCTGCTAGGCTGCATTCCCAGACGGTTAAGGCATTCTAAGTCACAGAATGAGTTAGGAGGTCAGCACAAGGTACAGGTCATAAAGACTTTGCTGATAAAACAGGTTTCAGTAAAGAAGCCAGCCAAAACCCACCAAAACCAAAATGGCGGCAAGAATGACCTCTGGTCGTCCTCACTGCTACACTCCCACCAGCGCCATGACAGTTTGCAAATGCCATGGCAACATCAGGAAGTTGCCCTATATGATCTAAAAAAAGGAGGCATGAATAAGCCACCCCTTGTTTAGCGTATCATCAAGAAATAACTATAAATAAGGGCAACCGGCAGCCCAAGGGGCTGCTCAGTCTGGAGTAGCCATTTTTTTATTCCTCCTAATAAACTTGCTTTCACTTTACAGACTCGCCCTGAATTCTTTCTTGTGTGAAATCCAAGAGCCCTCTCTTGGGGTTGGATCGGGACCCTGTTCCTGTAACAAGTCCACAATGCCAGAGAATTAAAGAGAACCACAAAGGTATGGATCAGTTATGGTAAAGGCAGAAGGGACCCTAAAAGGCTCAGAGGCTAAGGGACTTTTAAGCACCTGCTATGTGCTAAGCACTATTAGAGGCACATAACAGGCAGTGAGATCAAAATTCATCACCCAAATAGGGGCATTTTTGAGAGTGAAAGGGCACTATTAATATTTTTTTGTTTCAGGCAGTCCTGATAAAGCCCCTTCATAGTGTGCTCATTTCACCCTCAAAAGTGTCCCGTTGAGATGCTAAATCACAGTCACCCCACTTATAGGCATCACTTGCAATAACCCTATAATAATCAATATTATCTATTCCTACTTTATAATCAAAAACTAAGGTTTAGTATGGTACACAACTCGGTCAATATCAAACAGTTAACAGAGAGCAGAGTTGGGATTTGAAACCAGGCCTGGTTTAGAATGATTGCTCAAAAACCAACTTCCCAGACTCCTGAAGAATCTGAAGTCACCCTTTTTTGAGGGGGGCAAGGGGGGATGCTTTATGGAATTTATTATAAAAATGCCCCTGGCCTGGTGCAGTGGCTCACACCTGTAATCCCAGCTCTTTGGGAGGCAAGCGGATCACATGAGGCCAGGACTTCGAGACCAGCCTGGGCAACATGGTGAAACCCCGTCTCTACTAAAAATACAAAAATTAGCCGGCAGGGTGGCACACACCTGTAGTCATAGCTACTCAGGAGGCTGAGGCGAGAGAATTGCTTGAACCCAGAGGTGCAGATTGCAGTGAGCCAAGATTGCACCACTGCACTCCAGACTGGGAGACTGCACTCCAGCAGAGTGAGACTCTGTCTTAAAAAAAAAAGCTCCTATCCTTTACATCTTTTTCTTTATAATAACAACTTTGTATTGGATTTGGCAGTGATCCTTTGTTGTTGCCCATCTTCATTTGAAATCAGTTTTTCCAAAACACATGTGAGCAGCCGAATAGAAGAGATGCATAGGATGAGGTATGGGAGAAGGGGAGCAGAACTGCCACGGCCTCTCTGTCACGCCCCACTTCAGGAACCTTCATGGGTTCAGCTACCTGGAAGCTCCCTGAAATTGCTCTTGTAAGGTACATTTGCTCCTTTTTCCCCTCCCTTTGGAGAGTGCTCACCAGTTACTCCAGGTGATACTATTAGTACATCCATCGTGTGCCACCTTTTCCACCAGAGGCAAGCATGTGGCGGACGTTTCAAAGGGATTACCTTATCCCCCACTAGGCCAAGTACTGGGCTCAAGGAGGCACATGACCCAAACAAGGTCCACCGGAGTTCTTTATGATAAACAGATATGGAAGCTGAAAACGAAGTCAAACCGACTTAGACAAAAAGTGGACTTTAGTGGTTCATGTGACATACAAGTCAAGGAGATGTAGCATTGGGCATGGCTAGAGTCAAGGACTCAGTCAAAGGCATGACAAACCAGGGTGTCTCCACATACCTTTTCTCTTCTGCTAACTCCCTCAGCCCTACCCACCAGGGGAGAAATTTACCACTGAAAGGTCCAGGTTTACATCCTAATCTTCTAAGTGAAAAACTTCCCAATGGTTCTAACAAAAGTCCCAGAATTGAGCCTCACTGTCACCTACATATTTCCATGCTAATCACTGCAGCTACCAGGAGGAAGGCACTGCTGGCAGGCCTGGGTATGTGCCTAAAGTAGGTGTGGAGGTAAGTTGGCAGCTCGGCCAGCACCACAGGAGCTGAGAGAGGGAAGACGCACAACCCCAAAGGAAAATGGGGGAAGAGATGCTGGCGAGGCAAATAAAGATGATGCCCACTGCACAAGCTCTTCTCTCTCCAGTCTGTATTGCAAGGCCGCTCACTTCCATGGCCTCTTTAGAGTCCCACACTTGATTTTTTATCCGTTGTTTTTTATTTTATTTTTTTTATCTCGAGGGTTCCTAAACTTGTAAAAGCTTCAGATCCCTCAAAATCTGAAGGTATCCTACAAGAGAGTCACCCAGAATATCTACCTCCCTCTTCTCAATTTAGGAACCAAGTGTTGTCAGTTGCTCAACTACATTGCCTTTCGTCCACTCCCAACAGCTTGAAACTGAGGTTCTTATTGCCACAAAATGGCATCCTGCCCCTAGCCTTTTTCTCCTGATTCATCTCCAAAGCCTTACAGCAGGGCAGTTCCTTTAAAAATTAAAAACACTATTACCATAGACCTCTAGGAATATACCCAACCTAACTGAAAGCAGGGTCTGAAAGAAATGCTTGTATACCTTTGTCCACCAAGATGTGGAAGCAACCTGTGTCCATCAGTGGGTGAATGAGAAAACTAGAAGTGGTATATACATGCAATGGAATATTATTTCCTTAAAAAGGAAAAAATTCTGACATATACTGTAACAAAGATGAACGCTGAGAACATTATGCTAACTGAAATAAACCAGTCACAACAGGATAAATACGGTGTGATTCCATTCTACTATACTATATGGTATTCCGAATACTGCATGATTCAGCTAGAGGATGAAGAGACCAGGTAGTGGGGAGTTACCATTTAATAGCTACAGAGCTTCAGTTTTGCAAGATGAAAAAAGTTCTATGGTGGTGATGGTAGCACAACAGTGTGAATATACTTAATGCCACTGAACTGTTCACTGAAAAATGGTTAAGATAATAATTTTTATGTGTATTTCACCACACTTTTTAAAAATCTGATGCCTCAATAGCTTTTCTAAATATGCATGGGATCATAACTACCTTACTTAAAAGTCTAGTGGCTCTTCATTTGGCCACGGGCCAAGCCCAAGCTCTTTGACTTACAGAGTCGCTATAATGATAATTTTTAAAAATCATGTATGCAAAGCACTTAATTATGCCCCAGTGCCTGACACAGGGTAATTTCTCAATCATTGGGTGTTATTAGCATGCTTATTACTAAGACTATTATCTGGCCTCTCCCTGCCTCTCCAATCTTGTCTTCTGTCACTTCCAACCTTGTGCTTTAATTCTAGAAACAGCCCTGAATTGGCCACGCTGTTTCACACTTAGGTATCTTTGAATACGTTGTTTTCTCTGCTTCTATTTGTTAACATTTATCCTTCAAAATTGGATTCAGATATCACCTTTCCCAGAAGGCTTCCTTGTCTCACAAACCTCCGTGAGATTTATTCAGCCCCTTTTCTATTTGTCCTTTCTATTTTGTAAATGTTCCTATTGTTGCTGCTGACACAGTGTCATGTAATTTATTTGTTTACATGCCCCTTTCTAGACTGAGAGTAGATTTAGGGCAGGAAACTATGTCTTCTTCACTGCATCATTCCCTAGGATCTTATATTGAATCTGGCATAAAGTAGATGGTCAACAATTGCTTGCCTGATGAATAATATGATGAGCACTTAGTCATTTTTACAAATCTTATCCCATTTAATATTCAAAATTACAATTAGAAGGAAATATTATTGTCCTCATTTTTTTTTTTAGAGGAAGAAACCGAGGCTTAGAGAGGTTAGTGACTTGTTTAAGGTCACAAAGCACTAAGATCAGAACTAGAGCTTAGGTTTTTTTTTTCTGCTTCTGAAACCTATGTTTTTCTTGGCACATTAAGTCATTATAATCTATAGTTTCCTCAGACAGGAAGTGTAAAGAACACAGAAAAGCAAGAATTAAATTCTGGGGTGGCTCAGAAATTTGGAGAAAAAGAAAAAGCAAGTAAAATCACAAACAAGTACAAAGAATACTAAAATGAACTCAGCAAACAAGGAAGAAGAAAGTTTTAAGGAAAAAGCTGAACAAACATACAACGTAAATGCAGAAAGGAAAAGAGCCTTTTATTTTTTCAGTATGGTCCTTCTCATGGAGAAGCCTCAAGCCACAGCTCCAGTAGAAATCACATTCTGGGGTAAGGAAGGGAAGAGTCAGTGAAGAAATGGAGGGAGCAGATTTAGAAAACCGTGTTTAAGGCCAGGTGGCAGTGGCTCATCTCTGAAATCCCAGCATTTCGGGAAGCCAAGGCAGGTGGATCACTTGAGCCCAGGAGTTTGAGACCCACCTGGGCAACATGGTGAAACCCCATCTCTACTAAAAATACAAAAATTAGCCAGGCATGGTGATGTGTGCCTGTAGTCCCGAGGATTGCTTGAGCCAAAGATGTCAAGGCTGATTGAGCAGTGATCCTGCCACTGCACTCCAGCCTGGGCGATGGAGTGAGATCCTGTCTCAAAAAACTAGAAAGAAAGAAACCAGTGGAAGGAAGCTGAGAAGGGGGCAGTCCTTAACAAGTAGATAGCTGGGTTGAGAGAAGCAAAAGCGAATTTATAGGGTTTCTAAAGGCAGGGGCCAGGAAAGCTGAAGAGGTGAGAGTTCTGGGGGTGGAAGGGGCTGGCAGGAGCTGAGGGAGTGAAGTGCTCATTCTGGACATGAGGAAGGAAGACAGACCACCTCTCCCTTTGAAACTCCTCCTGCCACTTTCTCTTTCTCATGATAGCTGTCCTTCCTCTCCTCATTCCCATATTCATTTATTCTCACTCTCTCTCTCTTTCTCTGTGTGTGTGTGTGTACGTTGTTTCTTCTCTCTCCTTGCCTTATTCCTGCTTGAAACAATTGGGAATACCTCACTAATTTTATCTATTGTCGTTCAGGTTCAAAGACATTGCTGATTCTCTAAATTTGGTGTTAACAATAAAACACAGTGTTTTGACAGCAGCCACAGGACTTGGCAGTCCCAAAAGGGAATTCTGGAAGAGAGGAGAGGCCTCAGTCAGGGTTGTCTTTTTCTGGAGTTCATAACCTTCACAAGACTTTTATGCAATTATTTTTGTGTGTGTATGTACTCACCTACATTTTTAGGGAATAGGATTCTACTACATTTATTTATTGTCAAAGGGAAGGAGGATCAGAAAGGTTCCAGGCCCCACTGCCTTTTATAATACCTCTATCAAATACAGGTGCTCAGTTTTAGCTTCTTTATGATAATTTGTGTTCTTGATTTCGATAAGGATACAGCTTAAAAGCTTTTATTCGTAAGAAGTAGGGTTAACATCAAGAATCTCAACTCAGCAATCTTTTGAAATGCAGAATGACTCACATTCCAGTGTCACATTCCAGTCTTTGTTGCTTATCAAAAACCTTAGATAATTTAAGATGGTATCAAAATACTAATGCAGTTTAATTCCTTTGTAAACAGTGTTCACTCTGAAACGTCCCTATTGAAATGCAATTCCTTTCACTAGTTGAGGCAGTGGGAATAAAGTGTATTAATGGTCTAAATTTCATCACGTAGCACTGTTCTGACAAAGAAAATTATTTGCAGATTATGCTGAAAGTTGCTTAGCACCTGTTTCTTAAAATAAATGTGTTTACTTTTTGGTAGTGAAGACGCTTGGAAAATAGGCATTTATTTCCATAGTATTAAAAGCATTGGCCAACTGTAATGGTTCCCAGGGGGAGGATCACTTGTGGTCAGGAATTCAAGACCAATCTGGGCAACATAGCAAGACCCCATCTCTACAAAAAATTTAAAAATTAGCCACACAGTTACAGTGAGCTATGATCATGCCATTTCACTCCAGCCTGGGCAATAGAACAAGACTCTGTCTCTATAAATAAATAAATAAATACACTAATATAGTAAGCAGAAAACTCAAGTAACATAATTTTTTTGTTAAGTTCCCATTAGATGACTCACTTCAGGAGGGCAGGAACCATTCTGTTCGACATTGTATTCCCCACACTTTATACATAGTAATCATTCAATAAATGTTTATCTTGTTAAAATAATTAATTGGGAAGCATTCTGCTGAGACTGTACCAGTGCCTCAGGTTCCAACACAAGCAAACTAAAACCCAACTCAATGTAAGCACTAAAATGAAACAAACTTAACCAGTTAGAAATGACCAACTAACTTCTAGATGAGGCCAAAGGGACTTTTCACCTTAACCTAATTTTTTTTTTTTTTTTGGCCTTGCTTTCACAAACACCTTATAAATGTTTCACCTCATGCTCCCTGGGTGGAATGCTAAACCCCTTGCCGCCTGGTACTGCCCAATTCATGAATTGCTCTCTCCCCAAATAAACTCTGTAACATTTTCATGTGCCTAAGTATATCTTTTAACAATCTAATCAATGAATATAAAATAACAAGTTGATAACAATATCATATCATGCTCTAAAGCATCTTCAGAGGTATATCATTTGGTGAACTTTATTTCATGAAATTGACTCATTAACTGTTTGTTGAGAGCCAGTCCTGCATAGGGCTCTTCCAGGCCCTGGGAATACAATCGTAAATGAGAGGGTTAAGATCCTTCCTTAGGAGCTTTTGGTCTAGTAGGGGATGGGTTACAGGCCATAGTCAAGCAATAGCATAAGGAAGATTATTTCAGGGAGTCAAGAGCACTGTGAAGATAGTGAATGGATACTATGCCGGGGAGTGTGTGTGCTGCTTGAGAGAGGGTGTCTGGGGAGGAGGTGATGTTCAAGCAGAGATGTGAATGTTGAGAGGATAAGGGAGAAATGCATTGCTGGCAGAGGGTGTCGTCAGGGCAAGTGTATTGAGAGAATCAGCTTGAAACAGAAAGAAACAGAAGTGGCTGGGGGCATTGAGCAAGTGGGAGAAGGATGAAGTGGGAAGGGTAGGCAGAGATCAGATGAAGCAGGGTTTTGAAGGCTATGAGGATTTTGGCCTGAAAGGAGGAACAATGAGGATCTGTGATCCTGAAAAACCCATCTGTCTTTATTTTCTGAATTAAAGGTTAAAATAAGACCAGATTAGTTAAGTATTGAGGTGATTTAGAAATAGAAATTCTTGAATGGTGCATCTAATAACTCACCTGAAAAATAAAATTAGGTAGGTGGGCACATTTTCCAGCCATTTTAGATAAATAAGCACTGATTATAATACTTGCTCAACTGAGAGCTTTATGATTCAGAGAAGGAATGTGGTCAACATAATAGGAAAGAATTTTTCCATTCTTTTTTGTGTATTTAGAATTGGCCACTATACTAGTTTCCATTTCTTTCTCCAACTTTGCATTCTAAATAGTTTGGATCATGATCACAAATTAAAATAAATATATATATATATATATATATATATATATATATATATATATATATATTTTAGCCTCACCTAAAAGTTTTTTTCTTTCAAAAATATTTTTAGAGAAACTGCTTTGTAAACTGATTTGAGCAATTTTTGCTTTCAGTTCTCAGCTTGAAGAGGATATGGGTGTGATTTATAGGCATTATTCCAAATGCCAAAAAAAAAAAATCATTTTCAGCTGTTAAAATTTTCCTTTGAATTGCCTGGTTTTACTGTTGTCTTACCAGAAATGCTGTGGTCTGACTGTGTCTTCCAAAATTCATGTTGAAACTTAATCTCCAATGCAATAGTATTAAGAGCTGGGGGTCTTTAGGAGGTGATTAGGCCATGAAGGCTTCTCTCTCATGAATAGGATTGAGGCCCTTATAAAAGTGGCTTCACACAGAGTTCAGCCCCTTTTGCTCTTCTGCTTTTCTGTCATGTAAGAACACAGCAACAAGCTGCCATCTTGGAAGCAGAGAACAGCCTTCACCAGATATATACTGAGCCCCCCGGCAACTTGATCTTGGAGTCCCAGCCTCCAGAACTGTGAGAAATAAATTCCTATTGTTTATAAATTACCCAGTCTCAGATATTTTGTTATTGTAGCATAAATGGACTAAAACAAGGAAAAAAAGAAACAGGAAAAAAAAAACTTCAAGAAACTTAGCTACTTAATTATTTTCAGAAAGTATAATGGTTTTATATATACAGTTGATTCTTGAACAACATGGGTTTTTTAACTGCATGCATCCACTTACACATGTGGATTTTCTTCTGCCTCTGCCACTCTTGAGACAGCAAGACCAACTCCCCTTCTTCCACCTTCCCAACCTACTCAATGTGAAGATGATGAAGATGAAGACCTTTGTCATGATCCACATCCACTTAATAAATGGTAAATATATTTTCTCTTCCTTATAATTTTCTTAAGGACATTTTCTGTTATTTAGCTTTCTTTATTATAAGAATATAGTATATAATGTACATCGCATACAGAATATATATTAATTGACTACATTGTTGGTAAGAACTTCAGGTCAACACTAGGCTATTAGTAGTTAAGGTTTTGGGGAGTCCAAAGTGATGCATGGATTTTCAACTGCACAGGGGGTTCACACTCCAAATCCCCATGTTGTTCATGGATCAATTGTACATATGATTTATTTCCCTCTGACATCGTGTTCTCTGGAACATATTCTTAATGAAAGTTTTGAAATACAGTAGGCAGTACAGGGTAGAAGTTAAGAAAACAGCCTTGAGTTTGTCTGCTGTGGACCTTAGGTAGATTATTTACATGATCTTTGTAAGCTTCAGCTGTTTCATTTGTAAAATAAGGTTGTGTGGGATTTAAATGATAATATGTTATTATTTCTAAATATATCTTCCCAAGGTGAAATTAAACTTGCTTTAAAAAAAACTGTGAGCTAACTACACGTATTTTCTTCATATTTTATCCAGTCTGTAGTATTCTGTTATAGCAACAGAAAGATGAAGTTTACTGCCGGGAGCAGTGGCTCATGCCTGTAATCCCCAAACTTTGGGAGGGCGAGGCAGGCGGATCACTTGAGATCAGGAGTTCAAGATCAGTCTGGCCAACAGGGTGAAACCCTGTCTCCATTAACAATACAAAAAAAAAAGTAGCCAGGTGTGGTGGCACACACCTAGAACCCCAGCTACTCGGGAGGCTGAGGCATGAGAATCTCTTGAACCCAGGAGGCGGAGGTTGCAGTGAGGCAAGATCGTGTCATTGCACTCTCCAGCCTGGGTGATGACGTGAGACACTGTCTCCAAAAAAAGAAAAAGACTAATTTTAGTTAGCTCATGGTTCTAGAAGCTGAGAAGTCCAAGAGGATGGTGCTGGCATCTGGTGAGAATCTTTTTGCTGTGTCATAACATGGCAGAGGGCATCACATGGCAAGAGAGCAAGAACATGCATGTCAGCTCACATCTCTCTTCCTCTTCTTGTAAAACCACTAGTCCCATCATAGAGGCCACACCCTGATAACTTTAATCCAAATTACCTCCCAAAGGCCCCTACCTTCATCAACATATACATTGGGGAATTAAGTTCCCAACATGAAATTTGGGGGACACATTCAAACCATAGCACTAACACTAACTCTCAGTTATTTATCTTATACCCCAGTTATTTGTGTATTCTTATCTTGGCATGTATGAGTTAAACCACCGTTAGTTATTATCACATGATTAACTTTGGTAATAACCGCTCTTTTTTCATGGGTGCTATTCCCATCTTTAAATCTTCTTTTCTTTTTTTTTTTTTTGAGACGGGGTCTCACTCTGTCACTCAGGTTGGAGTGCTTTGGCACAGTCTCAGCTCACTATAACCTCTGCCTCCCAGGCTCAAGTGATTCTCCCACCTCAGCCTCCCAAGTAGCTGGGACCACAGGTGTGTGCCACCACACCTGGCTAATTTTTTGTATTTTTGGTAGAGATGAGGTTTCACCATGTTGCCCAGGCTGGTCTCAAACTCCTGAGTTCAGGCAATCCACCTGCCTTGGCCTCCCAGTGTGCTGGGATTACAGGCATGAGCCACTGCATCTGGCCTTACACCTTTTGTTCTTCTTCTTTTTCAGAGACAGGGTCTTGCTCTGTTACTCAGGCTGGGGTGCAGTGACTCAATCAGAGCTCACTGTAACCTCAAACTTCTGGGCTCTAGCAATCCTCCTTTCTCAGCCTCTTGAGTAGCTGGGACTACAGGCATGTACCACCATGCCCAGCTAATTTCTTTTTTTCTTTTTTCTTTTTTTTTTTTTTGAGACAGAGTCTTACTCTGTCACCCAGGCTGGAGAGCAGTGGTGCGATCTCAGCTCACTGCCACCTCCACCTCCCAGGTTCAAGCGATTCTCCTGCCTCAGCCTCCTGAGTAGCTGGGACTACTGGTGTGTACCACCATGCCCGACTAATTTTTATATTTTTATAAAGATTAGGTCTCTATATTTTTGTAGAGACAGGGTCTTGCTATGTTACCCAGGATGTTCTCTAACTCCTGGTCTCAAGTGATCATTTTGCCTCGGCCTCCCAAAGTGCTGGGATTACAGGCATGAGCCACCACACCTGGCTGCATAGTATCTTAAATCCATGGGATAGGGATTATATCTTATATCTGTTCCTTACTTGTTCCTAACTGAGTTCTGAATACAAAGCAGGTGTCCATTTATTATTTATAAGTTAAGATTACAATGTTACCTCCTGAGGACTGCTGAGTCATTTATACAACCATCCAAAAGACTGGTTAATACGTAACTTAAAAAGTTGCTGGCTCCTTCAGATGTAAGCCAAAAATACAGTTCTAGTCTGCGTCAGCCCACAAAGGATGAACAAAGGTTGGCAAGTGCTGCTCTTAAAATGCACACATCTTTTTATCCAATTTAGTCATTCAACAAATATCTGTTGAGTGTCTACTGTGTACCAGGTTCTGTCCTAGACTCTGAAGAGACAGCAGCGAGACAGACAAAGTCCATGCCTTGAAAGTCATGATTTTCTCTGCTTGAGTTTTATCATCTGAACTAATTCAGAAAAAGTCAAAACGATTGTTCTTAGGTCTTTTACTTAACCAGAACCACACGGGCCCAAGGACAGCTGCACAATCAGCCTTGCCTTTCTATTACGGAACATACCTGTGCTTCCAGAATAAACTCCAAACATCTAACTGTACAAAGTCTTCTTCACATAGAATGTCTCACTGACAACTAGGTTGGCAAAAAGGGCTCTCAAATTCCATGTTCTAGTCAGTGGCCTGCTTTTAGTAATTCAGTAAAGCAGCTGTATCCAGAAAACCTTTTTTTCTATGGTCCTCTTTCTGTCTTACTGTCTTACCTGGCTCCCTCTCACCGAGCTGATCAGTCATCTTCTCCAGGAAGCCTCCTTTGTCCTGCTACTCCGTCTGGGTAAATACACACTTCTGGGTTCCCATGACTTTTAGTTTTTAATCTATATAATAGAATTTAATGCCCTGTATTACAATTGACTGTGTATGCTCCTTAGATTTAAAGACTAATTCTTTTATTACTGTGATGACTGTAATAAAAGAAAAAAAGTAAGAAGAAAGGGAGGGTGTGTGGTGACATTGATAAGAATTCTCTCCAGAGCCCATTTTTTAGAGTCAGATCCATTTGTGTCAAACCCAGCAACACCAATTATTAGTTGTGAAGCTTTGAGCACGTTACTTATCTCAGTTGGGTCTCTTGACCCTGGCACTAATCATTTGCTTAATGAAAGAATAGTAATCATTATTAGAGGCTTGATTAATTATGATAGCATGACTCTGTGCAGGCACTGTTTTCAGCACTTTTTACAAATTTCCCTATAACCTAACATAACCCTGTGAGGTGAGTAATGTTATATCCCTTCCATAGATAAAAATGAATAAACTGTGGCCCAGAGAGGGTGACCTGCCCAGGTTAGTCAGAGGGGTTCCAGGGTCCATTCACTTAACTATTACACTCTAGTTGCTGGCTGCAAGGGAGAATAGGGGAAGAGAGACAAGGATGAGCTCAAAGAACCCCCTGCTTCCATCAAGAAAAGCGTCCTTCGCCACTCTCATTTCATTTACTGGGAATTATCCTGCCAATACCCCAGAAGTGCCGGTCTTCAGTCTAACATTCCTTCTGTTATGGTCTGAATGTTTGTGTCCCCTCAAAATTCTCATTGAAATTTAATACCGAAGGTGATGATATTGGGAAGAGGGGTCTTTGGGGGGTGATTAGGTCACGCAGATGGTGCCCTGTGAATGGGATTAGTGCCTTATAAGAAGAGGTAAGAGAGCTAGCCTGCCCTCTTTACTCCGTAAGAGGATACGAGAAAAAGTTGGCAGTCTGCAACAAGGGAAAAAAAACCTTCATCAGACACAGGATCTGCCAGTCCTCGATCTTGGACTGCGCAGCCTCCAGAACTATGAGAAGTAGATGTTTGTTGTATGAGCTTCTCAGTCTATGGTAATTTGTTAGTGATGTCCATGCTAACTAAGACAGAAATTGGTACTGAGAAGTAGAGTGCTCCTTTAACAAATACCTAAAAATGTCAAAGCAGCTTTGGAATTAGAAGTTTCAAAGTGCATGCTAGAAGAAGCTGAGATTGTCATGATGGGATGTTTAAAGTCAATTCTGGTGAAGGCTCAAAATAGTAAGAGAAGAGCTCTAGAGGAAGCTTTTATATTCTTAGATAATATATAAGTAATCATGGACAGAATGTTGGTAGAAATAAGAATGATAAAGGCCATTTTGATGAGGTTTCAGATAGAAATGAGGAGCACATTATCAGACAATGGCCAAAAGGTGATCCTTATTATAAAATGGCAAAGAATTTGGTTGAGTTGTGTTCATGTTCTAGTGTTTTGTGGAAGGTAGAATTTGTGAGTGGTAAAATGGATATTTAGCTGAAGAGGCATCTAAGTAAAGTGTTGAAGAAGTGGCTTGGTTCCTCCTAACTGCTAACAGTGAAATGTGAGAAGAGAGAATGACTTAAAGATGGAATTTTTAAGCAAAAGGAACTGGAACATAATTATCTGAAAAATTCTCAACCTATCTGTATTGCAAAAAAAATATGAAAAGCACGTTTGGAAGAGGACACTCAGGGTGTGTGGCCAAGAAACCATTCAATAAGGAGATTAGGTGTGAACCATGAATTTACTCAGCTCCCCACAGATAAACTGACAGTTTAACTTGAAGGGGAAGGAGAGGGAAGGAATGAAGGAAGGATGTCAGAAGTCTTGGATTTTGCAGGACAGTACCTTAGAGCTATTTGGCTGCAAATGTGCACTATTCTCCAAGACAAGGGAAGAATGACCATGAAAGCGATTCACAGATCATCAGGGCTGCCTCCTTAGTTTTGAAATGAGGAGCTGTCGCCTTGTTTTCAACAGGTCAGATGATCCTCACTCAAAGCTGTGCAGGCTTGACTCCAACCTAGCAAGACCTTTGGGGGCAGGACCCCTGCCTGTCAGAGCCACAGGATAGGGACTGCAGCCTCAGTGGGTGTGGAAGGTGAGACTGCCACACAGCGGGTCCCAAAGGCAGGACCGTTTCTCCAGCAGGCCTGGAGGGCAGAGTGCAGAGCTAGGAGACTTAGGAACCCATGGAGTTTGCCTTGCTAGATTTGGGCTTATTTGGGACCCGTCACACCTTCCTTCTTCCCTATTTTTATCTTTTGGAATAGGAATATCTACCCTATGCTTGTTCCACCATTGTATTTTGGAAGTACATAACTTGTTTGGTTTTATAAGTTCACAGCTGGAGAGGAAATTTGCCTCAGTATGAATTATATGTGGAGTCTTACCCATATCTGATTTAGATAATACTTCAATGAGACTTCAGACTTTAGATTTTGGAGTTGATGCCAGAATGAGTTAAAAATTGGTGGTGAGGCTGGGGAGCTGTTGGAATGGAATGACCAAGTGTATTTTGCATTTGAGAAGGACATAAGTTTTCAGGACCATGAGCAGAATGTGACAGACTAAATTTTTGTGTCCTCCAGAAATTCATATGTTGAAATCTAATCCCCAGTATGGTGGTATTTGGAGGTGGGACCTTATTAGGTCATGAGTATGGAGCCCTCATTAATGAATGGGATTAGTGCCCTTATAAGAAGAGATCAGAGAGCTAGCTTGCTCTCTCTACTCCATGTGAGGATACAAAAATAAGTCATCAGTCTGCGAGCCAGAAAGAGGGTCCTCACCAGAACCCAACCATCCTAAGCTTGAACTTTCAGCCTCTAGAACTGTGAGAAATAAATTTCTGTTGCTTATAAGCACCCAGTCTATGTTATTTTGTTAAAACAGGAAGGTGACGAAGACACCTTCCTTTTTTCTCAAACTCTCTCCTAGCTACTAAACAGATCTCATATAAACACACTAATTATGTCTGTTTTGCGGATCTAGCAGGAAAACACAGCTCCGAATACTAAAGAGCCTTTCTTCTTTATTTGTGACTGTCATCTTCTCTGACAGACCAAGCAGCTTTGGAAGATCTGTGTGGGAAAACAAGGTCACCACCTAGCCAGCCAGTCTATCTTCACACTCACAGGAGACTTTATTAATTGACAGAGAGATGTCAGTTTCTCTTCCAATTTCTGAAATTTCCTTTTCACTCACTATTCCATTTAATGCATAGGCTTGGCTTTTACACATTATACATAATTTCCTTCTAAAATAATTACACAAATACCTCTAAGAATGGTGGGTCTCAATATAGAAGCATGGTCAATAAAGTAGATGACCCTCCGCTGAAAATGACCCCCCGCTGAAAATGACCCCCCAACTTTACCCCCACCCACAGTAGCCCCCGTAGCTAGGCTTGTATTCTTTTACCCTCCCCTCTAAGTTTAGCTGATTAGAAGTCTGAAGATGCCCCAATCGATCCTCTTACCTGGGTATTTGAAGTTGAATTTCTTGTTTGGTCACTTAAACTGAGGTCTTATAAATTTAGAGCAATCTTATACGTAGAAAAACAGAGAAAGCAGGTTTAAAAGTTAGGTTGCAGGTTCTGGCTTCCTCAATAAAATCCCAATATAATACTAGCTCAAATGAGATCTATGTTTCCCTCTTATATAAGAGTCTGAGGCTAAGCAGTTGGGTCAGGGCTAATAATCACATTAGCTCCATGGAGTTGGGGACCCAGGCTCCTTTCACCTTGTTGCTCTGCCATTCTCCACCTGTAATTCTATTGCTAGGTTAAAGACAATTACTTCAACTCCTGCCATCTTATTCACACCCAGGCAGCAAGGAGGGAAAAAGAGGAAAGGAGGCGCCCATTCCTTTCTATTTAAGAGTGTAACCTGGAAGTTGTACATATCATTTCTGCCCATATCACATTGGCTAAAGCCTAGTAAATGCCTACAATTAACAGCAAGGGAAGCTTGGAAGTGCATCTGTCAGCTGAGTGGCCAAGTGTTCAGCTAAAACTCTCTTTTCAGAGAAAAAGGGGAACAGTGACATCATAGGTACAACAAGCAGCCTCTGCTCATCTCCACAGATAAAACTGATCTCCAGGAAGTGAGCACGAAGTTGAGGCTCAGAATAAAAGCAGCTGTGAGAGACTTGGGGCCTCCAAGAGACAAGGAGAGCAACACTGGTTCCTGTTAGCATCCAGTTCTTGGGTTTTATCCCTCATTGAGACGCAGAAGCTTTCCTTCCCTTGTGTATAATAAATTCCTGGCTTTGCATAAGCCAGCCCAAGTGGCCTTCTGTTCCCTGATACCAAAACGTCTTGTCTAATACAAACTCATTATATGCTCCTGGAGGGCAAGGGTCACATTTTACTTTTTTATTCCCGACCCAGGGTTTAGGTAGTACCAATGCTCAGTAAATAAATACTGATTTGACTTAATGTATTGCCTCCTTCTGCAGCTGGATGCATTTGCTATCTGTCTCCATCATTTTTTGCCAGTTATAGAATGTAGGCCTCCAAATTCCCTCAAAAAAACAGAGAAGGTGGAGTCATGAGGAGATCAAGAA
The DNA here is from genome assembly GCF_000001405.40 of Homo sapiens. NCBI lineage: Eukaryota > Metazoa > Chordata > Mammalia > Primates > Hominidae > Homo > Homo sapiens. Next base: position 94,947,504 of record NC_000001.11, read on the forward strand.
ATGTCTTAATTTGAGAACTGAAGAGGAAAATACTAACAGTTTTGGCACAGCTCTTCCCTGAAATCTGTCAGCACTAAGGGAAGGGCCAGCAGCAATAATACAGCAGCAGTCTTCATGGCACTGTCAGGCAAATCAGGAGGGCTACAAGGGCCTGCTTCTCTCCCCTGTGTGGACAAATGCTTGTGGCTGTGAGTTAAATACCAACGCAATCAGCTCACTCTCAAATGAAACTGCTCTGGCCCAGACTTGGAGAACAGTCTTGCATGAAACTTTTTTTTCCAGTGTTTTAAATTTAACCAGCTGGAAAGAAGTATCATTTTATTAAATCTTTTTGGCCGGGCATGGTGGCTCACGCCTGTAATCCCAGCACTTTGGGAGGCCAAGGCAGGCAGATCACCTGAACTCAGGAGTTCAAGACCAGGCTGGCCAACATGGCAAAACCCCGTCTCTACCAAAAATACAAAAATTAGCCAGGCGTGGTGGTGTGCACCTGTAATCCCAGCTACTCAGGAGACTGAGGCAGGGAGAATTGCTTGAAACCAGGAGTCAGGGGTTGCAGTGAGCTAAGATTGCGCCACTGTGCCTGGGTGACAGAGCAAGACTCTGTCTCAAAAAAAAAAAAATCTTTATAAAATGAAAGATTTGCTTTTTTTTTTTTTTTCTAGACGGAGGCTCGCTCTGTTGCCCATGCTGGAGTGCAGTGGCACGATCTCGGCTCACTGCAAGCTCTGCCTCTCAGGTTCATGCCATTCTCCTGCCTCAGCCTCCCAAGTAGCTGGGACTACAGGTGCCCGCCACCACACCCGACTTATTTTTTGTATTTTTAGTAGAGACGGGGTTTTACCATGTTAGCCAGGATGGTCTCGATCTTCTGACCTCATGATCCGCCCACCTCGGCCTCCCAAAGTGCAGGGATTACAGGCGTGAGCCACCAAGCCCAGCCTGAAAGATTTGCTTTTTTAATGGGAAATCTGCATTCTATCAAAGGGATAAAAAATAATGCTCGACTAGTTCATTTGATACAAAGGCCAGCACAACACTACCCAAATACATGCTTTTGTTGATCATCTTTGACAGAAAATAAAGCACGGGGTTTTGAGAGGTTTGCCTAACAAGGGCTTTTAAGCTGCATTCTGTGGTATCATAATAAAAACTGCAGGGTTCATGTTAAACCAAATAATTTTACATGTCAGCCTGGCATGTAGAAGGTATTCAGTTAGTTCTTGCTGAATAAGTATATTTCAAACTGTTGCTGAAAGAATAGTCTAGAAACATCTATATGTGATACATTCACATTTGACTCTCAAACCATACAGAATTCGTTAGTGAATACCAAAATTAGCTTCACAGACACTGGGAAGGAAATCAAGACTATTGGGGAGGGAACGGGGTAGAAAGGGAGGTGTGTGGAGTAGGAGTGGGACCCAGGGAGCTTTTAGTGTACAATGACCGAAAAATTGTAAATTACCGCATTGCTGCCTTCTGCTTTATACCAAGTTTGTCCAACCCGCAGCCTGCGGGCTGCATGCAGCCTAGGATGGCTTTGAATGTGGCCCCACACATATTTGTAAAGTTTCATAAAACATTATGAGATTTATGCTTGGGCCTTTTTTTTTTTCTCATCTTATGTCATTAGTGTTAGTGTATTTTATGTGTGGCCCGAGACAATTCTTCTTCCAATGTGGCCAAAGGAAGCCAAAAAGATTGGACACCCCTGCTCTATACATTACAGTGTATAATTTTATTTTATTTTATTTTATTTATTTATTTTTTTGAGATGAGTTTCACTCTTGTTGCCCAGGCTGGAGTGCAATGGTGCAATCTCAGCTCACTGCAACATCCGCCTCCTGGGGTCAAGCGATTCTCCTGCCTCAGCCTCCCGAGTAGCTGGGATTACAGGCATGTGCCACCATGCCCAACTAATTTTGTATTTTTAGTAGAGACAGGGTTTCTCCATGTTGGTCAGGCTGGTCTCGAACTCTCAACCTTAGGTGATCCGCCCGCCTTGGCCTCCCAAAGTGTTGGGATTACAAGTGTGAGCCACCGTGCCTGGCCTACAGTGTATAATTTTTACAGCACTAAAGACTCTTAACATTTTTATAATTTTAAAGAAGGGTCACTGAAGACACAATGCTGCTTGGAGCGTTTTTATCCCTTATTCATTTAAGAACACTTTTTCAAATTGTATGTTTCTGAGTCATTTTTTTAAAATGATATGTTTGTTTACCTACATTAAATTAGATGATGCTGTGATACCACTCTTTCCCAAATAAATGTGTTTCCTTTAGAGATAACTAGTTCAGCCCATCCCCGGGTTCAATGAGTCACTAAGAGGACTCATAGGACTCAGCCTACTATCATGTAACACTAATGGCTATGATTTATTTCAGCAAAAAGATAACAAGCAGAATCAGCAAAGAGAAAAGGCATCTGGGGTGAAGTCTGGGGAAAACCAGGCACAAGCTTCTAAGGCTCCTCTGTCAGTAAAATCACAAAGGATAAATTAACCCCCCAGCAGCAAGTTCTGTATGTGAAAACAGGTGTGAAATGTTGCCAACCAAGGGAGCTCATTAGAGACTCGGTGCCCCACGTTTTTACTGGAGCCTGGTCATGTAGGCAGCCCCAACCTGGCACATATGGAAATACTGGCTTCCCAGAAGAAAGCAGGTGTTCAGCACAAACCACATTGTTTGCACAAACAGTCTGGCACAATGAACCACTCTTATCAGTTAATGGTGGGAACCCTTGCAAAATCTCAGTTCTCTCCCACATACCAGCCAAGGGCCAACCTTGCAAGCCTGCCTTTTCACAGGCAGTAGTTCGGGCCTGTTATGTTAATTATTTTCTGCACAATATCATCAACAGAGTGTCAATAATCATGATAGTGACATTTACAAGTTTGATGGGGTTCTTTTTGCCCCCAAAGCTGATGTCTAGTCCCTTTCTTTATCATGAAATTAACATTTATGGAGCCCTTATCACATGCCAGGCACATGGTTTAAATCTTTTAATATTTACAGTAAATGGGTCCTGTTTTTGTCACAGTTGTACAGATGAGAACATTTAGATCATATCATTTAGAACATATCATTAGACTTGCCCAAAGTCTCACAACTAATATTTGTAGTGCTGGGATTGGACCAGGAGGGCCTAACTCTGGAATAGGCACTGGGGAAGTTCTCAACAGTTTCACCACACACCTTCCCTTTCTTTTCTTTCGTTTCTTTTTTCTTTTTTTAATATGGTCATCAAAAATAATTACACATTCACACACACACACACACACACACACACACGCACACACCTATATCTCCCCATACTGTATGGACAGAACACAAATACAACCAGGTATATAACCTGGTGCAGACTGGCCTTCCAATATGTGTTGAGATGAATGAATAATGAAGCACAACATCTGAATGTCTAGCATTTAAGTACCGCATCCTTAAAATATCAACATCATGTCAACTCCTGAAACTCAGTAGAAGGACCCTAATGAAAGAAAACCTAGACAAGCCTCACCAATAAGTGCTTTAGTTACCTGTCCATTTGGACCTGTTTTTTGTTTTGTTTTGTTTTGTTTTGTTTTTTATCTTTTGAAGTTGAGAAGATTGAATGTCACATTTGAAATAATGCACATATTCATCACCAACAAGTTTTTTGAGTCCTTAAAATGTGCAGTGCACAGAATTACTGCCCTTTTTTCAGAGATGTGTCATCAGCAGCTCTGCTGGAACTACCCTAGAAAATTTGGCCACGGTTCTTGCTCTTGCTGTGTCTGGTCAAACCAGCAGGTTTGATCTGGGACTATAACTTCAATATGTGCCACCTGTGTTTCCATCAGAATGGAAGGGATTATAGCCCTCATCAAGTTGGACTAAGTGGTCTTCCCTGAATGGATTATCCAAGACAGCGCTCAATGAAAGAAACCACTGCTAGCTCTCTGCACATAAAATAAAATTTTTTTAAACTTCAAAAAAATTAAAATAAAAGCCAAGAGCCATAAACAATTGAAAGCATCTGATGCCTGCCTGGTGTTCCCGGTTCCTGCTGGAGCTCAGCTTCAGCCCAGGTGAGACCAGACGCTGTTGTCATACAACAGGCTTAGCCAAACATGTGGATTTGATTTGTCAGAAAGTTAAATTGGGGACTCTAGTGCCTTTTGAAAGACGTAATCTGCTCCAGAGACCTTGCAAAGGGCATGGCTGACCTTGCATCTGTTGTGAAACTGGTAATACCCTCAAGGCAGGGAGGAAAGCAAGTTTTGACAGAGCAGAATTGAGAAGCATGAAGCTGCCAGGAAAGCAGAGGCAGCATAAAGTAAGATGATAATGATAACTGATTTCTTCTTTGCAATTGATTCTTTCAGGATGCTATCCCAAGGTAATAATAAGACCTAATGTATACGATGCTTTACTGGTTTTTTTCAAAGGGCTGTCACATGTATGATCTCACATCCTCTTCACAGCAGCCTGGAAAGGAGGCCAGATCTGCATTATTACGCCCATTTTGCAGATGTGACATAGGCATAAGGATAATGTGACTTTTCCAATATCTTGGAACTAGTGACTTGTCTTTTAATCTTGGTCAGTGCTGCTCAGTCTTCAATGTCCAGACAAACCACTTCAGGATCAGCAGGTTCAGTAGGCCTGGGGTGGGCTCAAGAGTCTTCATTTCTAACAAGCTCCCAGCTCATACAATAAGAAATCAGAATGCAGAATGCATTACTTTTAAATTGGTTATTTGTTCTTATTCTGAAATAAAGCCTTCATTCACAAAAAGCATAAAATTGCACAGATGCTTAAAAATATTATTATAGTCCATATACCGTATGACCTACTACCTGGGTAAGAATTTGAACATGACCTGAAGGCTTCTCCCTCATGGCACCTCACCCCCATTAGCCCTCTCTCTCCTCCCAGGAGAAAACACTGTCTTGGCTTTTGTAATAATTATTTTCTAGCTTTTCTCTAGGAAATGGATGTTTTGAAGAGTTTTTTTGTTGTCGTTTCCCTGGTCCCTGATACTTTGAAATCACCAGTATTTCACACATGATAAAGGTACACAGGCCAAAGAAGTAGATCTTATCTTTTGAAATCTTTAGTAGGAAAATCCCCTAGAGGAGTCCAACTGGGGCTTGCTCTGCAAAAGTGTTCATAAAGAGACGGTATCACCTGCACAAAATACTAACTTTAGGACTGGGGTGTCGTGGGAAAAAAATGGACCCTGGCTCCTTGCTACTATATCAAGTCAATATTTAACAAATCAGTTAGAGACATTCAGAGTCTAATTCTGATGGCGGGACAGATAAGAAATGTCAGTATCCAGAGGAGATAATGAAACAGATGAGGAGGACTTTGCTAAATGTTCCATCTGCCTTAGGTAGTCTCGCTTACAGTGTTTCCTATTCCTTTCATTTGACGAAATCATCAAGCCTAATTTTCAAGAAAACAAAATTTCCTAAAACAACTGCCTGTAAATATTATCTTTCCTTTGTTCAGCCCCCAGGCTGATTAAAAGTTGGACTGGCAGCACATTCAAAGGGGCAAGAACATAAGAGCTGCCAGTGGTTGTATTTAGTACCAGGTGTCTAGGAAGTCTTGATGTAACAAACAGAAGGATGGAAATTTCTCAGATAGCTTCTGACTAGGCCTGGGAACTTAACAGAGAAGAAGGCCAAAAAAGGCTCCTGCTTCTCTAGAAACTGACCCTCCCTCAGGCAGTCTCTACTATGTGTGTATCAGTTAACTATTGCTGTGTAACAAATCATCCCAAAATGTAGTAGTTTAAAACAACCACCACCATTTCTCATGATTCCTTGGTTTGGCTGGGAGATTATGGTGCTGGTCTTCCCTGGACATACTTTGGCTGAGGGCCAGCTGGGCTAGAAGGACTAACATGGTTTCATGCACAGAGCTGACAGTTGGTGCTGGCTGTTGTCTTGGATACCTCAGATTTCCTCTTTTTTTTTTTTTTTTTTTTTTTTTTTTTGAGATGGAATCTCGCTGTATCGCCCAGAATGAAGTGCAGTGGTGCAATCTCGGCTCACTGCAAGCTCCGCCTCCTGGGTTCACACCATTCTCCTGCCTCAGCCTCCCAAGTAGCTGGGACTACAGGCGCCTGCCACCAAGCCCGACTAATCTTTTGTATTTTTAATAGAGACAGGGTTTCACCATGTTAGCCAGGATGGTCTTGATCTCCTGACCTTGAGATCTGTGCACCTTGACCTCCCAAAGTGCTGGGATTATAGGCGTGAGCCACCACGCCTGGCCGGATTTCCTCATTCTTAAATGTTAGACCCAGGGATGCTAAATATTCAAGATTTTAATGAGCCTCGGTTATTAAACCACTGGTAGCTTGAAATCAGCCATGGTGGGAATACTTTTACCACAAAAACATAAGCAAATGCTGTAAATCAAGTCTCTTTCTGTGGAATGCTGGTTTACCGGAACACTACTGCCTACATCTGTGTGTGCCTTGTAGAGCCCTTGCACCACGTGGCTGCTCAGTATGTCTGTTAAATTGAATCCTCAGTTAAGAGACAGAGAGTTGTAAACAATGCTGCAGTCTTAGTGTCAAAAAATATCCAAAAACTTATAAAATTAGGGAACTAGATCCAAGATAGCTGAGTTTCTTTTGGGGATATGCAGTGATCACCACACACACACACACACACACACACACACACACACACACACACACTGTCTCTCTCTCTCTCCCCCACTCTCTCTCTTTCTTTCTCCCTACATATTGTAAACAGCATCAGCAGCTCTGTTCATTTAAACTGTTAACAGTTTTTGGATGGGGAGTTTCTGACTCTGGCATAAGTGTGTAATTATACACTTATATCCTGAAATATAAATGTAATCATCTAGTTTCCCACAGGACAGGAGTCCATAAAGCTACACTGATGTGTCTGAGAGAGATATGAAGGTGAAGAAGAGATAGGACAGTCAAGAGGCATGCCTCGCCGTGTATCTTTATTTCTGTCCTCACTGTGTTGTCTGTGTTCTGGCATATTTTGACTTGCGCCTTTCTATGGCTGCCTCTGCACATATCTCCGTCTCTTCTGCTGTTGACTAGAGTGGGTAGTTTGTCTAGTTTTCTCTGAATTTGTTTGGGTCCCCCTCAGATCTCTATCCTGGTGAAAGAGGAGTATGCATAGCAAGTTTGGTTAGTTGCCTTTTCTGCATAGATTGCTATGTTTCTTGGCTAAGCATTCCCCCGGGCCTTGGAAAGCACTGACCCCTGCATTTCCAGGACTTGTTTGCATCCGGAAAATGACTAATTAGGTCCTTGGGACTTCCTTACATTCCTATCCCAGGTATCTTCTTTGCTTCTTCCACTGCCTTTTTTTTTTCTTTTTCCTTTTTTGACTGGCCAGAGAAAAGTAAAGAACAAAAGTAAAGCTCATAAACATAGACTATCCACTTTTACTTGTGTTGCAAAACAGTCTCCTGTGCTGCTGGCTTTCCTTCCTTTGCCCAGTCTTAAATGTTAGCGCTCCCCAAGGTTTTGTCTTTTGACCTTTGACTTCTGCCTCCTCTCACTTACTGGGTGGTCCTGGGTGATTTAATCCACTCCCTATTACTGAAACTGATGGCCCAAGCCAGACAGCCCCAGAGCCATGTATTCACTTACCTACTGGACATCTCTAATGGAATATCCCATATGTTCTCAATGCTTACATTCTGATCGACGCTTATTGCCTATTTCCTTAAACCTCAGCTTACAGGAGACATTCTAGACATCTTCTCCCTCATCTTCAGACCCATCCTATTGAGTCTACCTGTTTCAGTTATCCATTGCTGTATAAAAAACTACCCTAGGCCAGGCGCGGTGGCTCACACCTGTAATCCCAACACTTTGGGAGGCCAAGGTGGGTGGATCATTTGAGGTCAGGAGTTCAAAACCAGCCTGGCCAACATGGTGAAACCACATCTCTACTAAAAATATGAAAAGTAGCTGGGCGGTAGTGGCACACACCTGTAATCCCAACTACTCAGGAGGCTGAGGCAGGAAATTCGCTTGAGCCTGGGAGGCGAAGGTTGTAGTGAGCCAAGATCATGCCACTGCACGCTAGTCTGGGCAACAGAGTGAGACCCTGTCTCAAATAAATAAATAAATAAATACAAATACAAATAAAAAACTACCCTAAAACTTAGTGGCTTAGAACGATTTATTATTTCTCATGATGCCATGGGTTGCCTGGGTATTCCTCTGTTGGTTTCCCCTGGGCTCCTTCATGTGTCTGCGTAAGTTAGTGACAGCTGGGCTGGAAGGCTTAAGAGGGCCTCCCTCACACGTCTGACAGTTGACGTTGGGGAATGGTTGCTGGCTAGAGAGCCTCAGTTCTTCTCCATGTGGCCTCTCATCTTCCACTAGGCCAGACTGCCTTCCTTGCATTGGAGTCTCAGGGCAGCTTTCCAAATGAACAAAGGCAGAAGCTGCCAGGCCTGTTAGGCCTAAGCTTCAGGACGCTTAGGTCATGTCTGCTGCATTGTATTTGTCAAAACAAGTCACAAGTCCAGCCCAGATCCAAGAGGGTGGAAAAACGAACTCCACTCCTCCAAGGGAGAAGCAGCAAGGTCACACTGCAAAGGAGCATACAAACTGGGATGGGAGGAATTTATGAGCATAAAACAAACTAGCACACTAACATATGAAGGCCTGTGGAATTTGTTCTCTGTCAAGGTCTGTCCCAATCTGACCTGTGTTTTAGGATGATAACTCTGGTGATTTGTGGATATGAGTTAAAAAGGTCAGAGATTAGAAATAGGAAGCCCAGCAGGGAGTACATTTCAGTAGGCTAGGCAAGAAGGAAGAGGGCATTGTTCATAGGCTAGGGATGGGGAGTGCATATGGAGAAATGGACATGAGATATTTCTGAAGTAGAATTAGAGAGAGGCCAGTGTTTACTATATGCTCTGTACCAGCATAGGTGATATAGGGAGATGTGAGTAAGATATTAGTAAGAGCCAGCCAACAAATAGATACTCAAATATTTGGTTAATGAGGAACTTAAAATCTTTTTTGGAAAAAAGGAAAACCTAACAACAACAAAAAAAGATTCTAGTGAACTACACGTTTACTTCATCTGATTACAGAACCTCTCTTTCTCGTTTTTTTATTTTTTTGAGAAGCAGTCTTGCTTTGCTGCCCAGGCTGGAGTGCAGTGGCACGATCTCAGCTCACTGCAACCTCTGCCTCCTGGGTTCAAGTGATTCTTGTGCCTCAGCCTCCTGAGTAGCTGGGACTACAGGCATGCACAACCGTGCTTGGCTAATTTTTGTATTTTTAGTAGAGACAGGGTTTCAACATGTTGGCCAGGCTGGTCTCGAACTCCTGACCTCAAGTGATCTGCCCACCTTGGCCTCCCAAAGTGCTGGGATTATAGGAGTGAGCCACAGCACCCGGCCACTTTCCCTCTTCTGAACACACATTATACTTACCATCTGTCCTGTTCTCTGCACATGTAATAACATACTGCCTTCTACTGTTTTGTTTTGTTTTTTTGAGACAGAGTCTCTCTCTGTTGCTCAGGCTGGAGTGCAGTGGCGCAACCCTTGGCTCACTGTAGCCTCAACCTCCTGGCTCAGGCCATCCTCTTTTCTCAGCCACCTGAGTAGCTTGGGTTCCAGATGTGCTCCACCACACCTGGCTAATGTTTTGTAGAGACAGGGTCTCGCTTTGTTGCCCAGTCTTGTCTTGAACCCCTGAGCTCAAGCAATCCTCCCACCTTGGCCTCCTAAATTGCTGTGAGTAGAGACATGAGCCACTGTGCTGGCCTTCTATTATTATTTAACCTTTTTATTTTTGTTAACCTTATTTTTCTTGCTAGATTTTAGATCTGTGAAAGGTCTAATGATGTGAGGCCACTCAGGAAATGCACAGAATAAGCTCTGTGCCGTATTAGAAGGAAACAAATTGGATGGGGACTCTTGTCAGAGAAAACACCAAAGAGATTAGAGTTGCAGTGGAATAATTCTTAAAAACACACGTAAGACAGCAAGTGTTCACCAAGAAGACTGGTGGCTACCAAATGCTTGCTCCCTTTTCCGTAGCAGAAAGTTGTTGTTGGGAAGTGGCTCTGCAGTCAAGGGCCATCTTCCCCAGCCCCACCATTCCTCTCCATGGAGTCATGTGATTCATTCTCAGCAAAGGAAAGTGAGTGGGAATAGTGGAGGCCACATCTGGGCCACCATGGTTAAAACGCAGATTTGTCTTCTCTATTCTCACTTTCCTTTCTGCCAGCTGGACATAGAGGATGCAGAGGGCCTGGAGGATAATGGATCATGGGTGAAAGAAGTTTGGGTGTCTGAATTACTGCATGGTGGAAAAACTCCCCCCAACAGGGAACTCTGGCTTTGGGCTGCTCTTTGAGAGAGACATAAATTCATTGTGTTCAGCCACTGAAATGTGGGAGGATTATTTGTTACAGCAGTGTATTAGTCAGGGTTCTCCAGACAGATAGGACCAATTGGTTATGTATACGTATAGAAAGAGATTCGTTGAGATTTATTGTAAGGGATTGGCTCATACAATTATGAAGGCTGGCAAGTTCAAAATCTGCAAGGTAATTAGCCAGGCATAGTGGCATGTGCCTGTAGTCCCAGCTACTTGAGAGGCTGCGGCAGGAGGATCACTTGATCCCAGGAGGTCAAGGCAGCTGTGATCATGCCACTGGACTTCAGCCTGGATGACAGAGTGAGATTCTGTCTCAACAATCAAACAAACAAACAAAAATTTGCAAGGTAGGCCAGCAGGCTGAAGACCCAGGGAGGGCTGATATACAGTTCAAGTCCAAAGACCATGTGCTAGTAGAATTTCCTCTTGCTAGGGGAGGTGAGACCTTTGTTCTATTCACCCCTTCCACTGATTAGATGAGACCCACCCACACCATGGCAGGCAATCTACTTTACTCAAAGTTGACAGATTTAAATTCTAATCTAATTCAAAAGCACCATCACAAAAACATCCAGAATAATGTTTCACCACTATCTGGGCACCGTGGCCCAGCCAATTAACCACCCCAAGCAGCTAACACTTCCTTTATTTGCACCAAGATGTGTTGCGACTAGTAGCCAACTCATGCAGAAATGTCATATTTCTCACTCCTCTGTCTTCACTTAGAGGCTGTTCCTACCCTGGTAAAGAAAGGCACATTATTTTCAAGGTATAGTGAATACCTCAAACTTTCCACCACGATATAATGACTTGTTTGCAAAAGCCCTGGAGAACAGAGCATAATCATGACATTGCAATCCATTATGTCTGCATAGGAAAGGATATGGTCACCTGGGTTTTATTAAACAATTTCTGTCTCTGCCTAGAATCAGAATCAGGCACAGCGAAGATTACCACCAAGGAGCCTGCCCCACGTTTCCATTTTCAACAGAAATAAATGATGGGTTATTCTTGTAGTTGAGTGCCCTTTAGAGTGAGGTCGCCTGACTTCTGTTGTGTTCACTGTTGTGCCTCTCATGTCTTGATTCTTATGATGAAGTTTATAAGCAGGGTAGAACAACAGGACTGAAAAGAGGATAGATATAAACCAGTACCTTAGGGAACAACTAGTAAAATTAGCTTCCTTACCTTTGGCAGCAAAAATGGGCACTCAAAAGCTAAGCATCTCCCCTGCCCCTTGCCATGTTTTATAAGAAGTGGAGGGGAATTAGTATTATTTCTTGGCTCTAACAATAAAACTAAAAAGTTTACTACAACCAGCATTCTGATCAATGCCCTGTAATAATCTAGGTAACTTACTACCCTCTTTATGAAGCCTACCCTTACCACTCTAGAACTCTTTATTTCTTTTCTTTTCTTTTCTTTTTTGAGATGGAGTCTTGCTCTGTCACCCAGGCTAGAGTGCAATGGCACAATTTCAGCTCACTGCAACCTCCGCCTCCCAGGTTCAAGTGATTCTCCTGCCTCAGCCTCCTGAGTAGCTGGGATTACAGGCACCTGCTACCACGCCCGGCTAATTTTTGTATTTTTAGTACAGACAGGGTTTCACCATGTTGGTCAGGCTGGTCTCGAACTCCTGACCTCAGGTGATCCAGCCTCCTCAGTCCCCAAAGTGTTGGGATTACAGGCTTGAGCTACCATGCCCGGCCAGGACTCTATTTCACAGGCATTTATTCACAAATATCAGTTGAGCATCTACTATATAGTGCTATATAGCATTACATCAAGAATTGTAAAGAACTCGAAAAAGCACAAGTTGTGCTCTCATACATCTCAATAAACTCAAGATATAATATCCACGTACACTAACTTTGTGTGTGTGAGAGTGTGATGCTTAAAGGATAATGCTATTCTGCTTTTATTTATTTTTTTAATTTTTTGAGTCACTGTGTTGCCCAAGTTGGAGTGCAGTGGTGCAGTCACCACTCACTGCAGCCTGGACCTCCTGGGCTAGGTGATCCTCCTGCTTCTGCCTCCTGAGTAGCTGGGACCACAGGCACACACCACCACATCCAGCTAATTTTTTAAATTATTTGTATCCATGGTGTCTCTCTATGTTGTTCAGGCTGGTCTCAAACTCCTGGGCTCAAGCAATCCTCCCACCTCAGTGCTGGGATTACAGGTGTGAGCCACTGCACCTGCCCAAGTCCAGGAGGAACTTTAACCCTCTGTGTTCCTCTTGGACTTTCCTTGTCTAGGATATCTGAACACTGTCTATGGCCGGTAGAATGGGCTGGTTTTATAGATCCTCTACCTTGAAGGCCAATCTGCCTCTCTGATCTCTTTTTAAAAATCCCTTTTTCCTCTGAATTGTAATGGAATTACATAATCACTACTGAGGGGATCTGGGACAGGGACAAGAGGGGATAGGGAGATCTTCTCATTTGTGGGGGAGAGTGGGAGTGTCCGGCAGCCCAGGGGCCTGTGGGTCTGGTCTACTTCCTGAGAGTCCCTCCCTGATTCTAGAAGGAGGACAGGGCAGACATGGCATGAGGAGGAAGCCTGTTGACTTGTTGACTTGCAAAGAATCTTAGCAAGGTGCCAGAGTGAATGCACCCGGACACGGGGAAGCCCACCATGTGGACATAGCTTGGTTGCTGCATGTGTAACTAGAAAAAATACAGTTGTCTGTTGCCGGCTTCCTGCTTCTCCCTTTTTTCCCCATCACTTGTTCTTGAAGCTAGTGGGAGTTGGATTCTTCCTGTTTGACCGTGTTGGAGTGATATCCTAGCCTTCAGCTCTGTGGCCTGCAAGCCCCTCAGGCCTCTCTCATACCTTAAAGAGGAGAGATGGGGTCAGGAAGAGACTTCCTACTCTCACTATATAGTGCAGCTCTTGATTTATTTATCACATTGAAATGTTTGTTTGTTTGTTTGTTTATTTATTTCAGACAGAGTCTCACTCTGTCACCCAGGCTGAAGTGCAGTGGCGCCGTCTTGGCTCACTGCAACCTCCGCCTCCCGGGCTCAAGCAATTCTCCTGCCTCAGCCTCCAGAGTAACTGGGATCACAGGCCTGTGCCACCACGCCTGGCTAATTTTTCTTTTTTTTTTTTTTTTTTTTTTTTTTTTTTTTTTTTTTAGGGGAGACAGGATTTCACCATCTTGGCCATATGGTCTCAAACTCCTGGGCTCAAGCCATCTGCCTTCCTTGGCTTCACAAAGTGCTGGTTCACAGGAGTGAGCCACCACGCCTGGCCTGGATTGAAAACTTTAGACTGAGGTTTAGGTACTTTTGTTGGGTTCAACCTTCAGTAATTCCTCTAGGCTAGGGTTCAATCCCAGTAACCAAGCTCACCAGTCCTTGCTCCCAAATATAACTGCTACTTTTCTCTTTTTTTTTTCAAGCTGAACCTCAAAAAGTTAGCCTGGCGAGGGGAGGATGATGAGATTTCCCCTGTTGTCACATAAACAAGGAAGTAAAGGGGGCCCCTTGTGCTCTCAGAACTCCAAGCATGAAACGATGTGAGTCTAAGCATTTAAATCACTTATCTGGGATGAAGCATAAAAAGCTTGATTTTTTTTTTTTTAAACCAATTAGGTTTTAGCCTCCATGATACATTTTGGGGCCTGTGGTTATCACTGCAATTACACTTCAATTCATGCATTGGATACTTTGAAAAGGTTTAATAAACAATAAGAATATCAGCTGCCATTTATATTTATGCTTCTAGCACTGTCCCAGGGGCTTTAATATGGTACCTATAACCCTTCCAATTATTCTCATTTTAGAGTAGAGATAACTAAGACACAGGGAGGTGAAAAAAATAAGCAAACAAAAAAACCTGCCCAAGGACACACGACAGGTCAGAGGTTAAAAAAAAAAAATTAGCTGGGCGTGGTGGCGCACGCCTGTGATCTCAGCTACTCTAGAGGCTAAGGCAGGGTTCACACTCCCGGCTCTTGGTTTACCGAAGTTCTCATTTATTCCACTATCTCATAAGAAAAATGAAGCAAATCAAGTCACACTTTAAATCGACTGAGGAGATTTTGCTGTAGAAAGGAATCTGGTAAATCCCTTCATCAAGTAAATAATCCTTTGTGTGTAAATCTGGACTTATATAAAGTATATGTTTTTTGGCATGGTTAAGGTGAGCTACCATGTTCCTTTCCGGAAAGTAAAGATGATTTAAGGAATATGAAGGAGGCCTTTGTTCATTCCTTTGATGGATATTTATTCAGTGCTCCTCTGTGGGAATGCTAAGATGAGAAAAGCAGACGGTCCCTGTCTTCAGGGAGCATATCATTTTTCACTACCCCTTGTTATTGGGTTGCTAAAAAAGAGAATGTCTATTTTATTTGTGGAAGTAAGTCAGTAGTTTAAAAAACTTTTATTTTCTTTTCTGCTTATCGCAGTAATACATCTCATTAAAAAGTGTAAAAAAACCAAACATTATAAGAATGTATAATACAAAAAGTTAGTTTTCAGTATTGCCAGCCCCAAAGAAACAACCACGGTTATAGATGAAAATTTTAACCCTTAAAACTCTTTCTCCAGAGGAGAAACAGAGAATACCATCTAGTAATTTCCCTATCCTGGCTCCTGCAGTACCTTCAGGACTTGGAGATTTTTTTTTTTTTTTTTTTTTTTTTTTTTTACTGGGCGGCTCCTGACCTTGGGGAAAACAGAAACACAGCTGAAAGTAAATATGGAACAAAACTCTGGCCATGGGGCCTGAGAAAGGCTTTTTTCCACTGCCTTTTAAATGTATTTTCATGAAAAGACACCAAAGACATTTAAAGTTAGGATTGTTCTAGAAAATCCAGGATAGATAGCCACCAGATGTCTATGGGGAATCAGGGCACACCACAGTAAACACTCAATAGATATTTGCTGGAGGGAGGAATGAAGACTGTACTTATATTTAGAAAATTAAAACAACCCTGAAGTACATGCTGGATTTTACAGGTTTTCGATTTATCTCCTCCTCTTTTTTTTTTTTTTTCCCCATGCAGAGCAAAGGGAAAAACAGCTAAGTGTTTCCTGGCTGAATTTTATTTTGCTTTCAGTTTCTGCCATTTCAGTTCCTGTTATCGTGCTTTGAGGTGCACTGAACTGCAGCAAACCCAGGGGATCCAAGGCTACGTTGAAAAGCCTTTGACCACAGTGCAGGGAGCAGAAGACATTAATGACGTGATGTCGACACAGCCCGCACTCAGGATCCTCCAGGAAAAGAACACAGAGATAACCCCGGATCGATGGTACTTTTTGAAAATGCTTTATTGCAAAAGAGTGGCTAGGGTTTTACAAGGGCTATGAAGAAACATATTAAGGTTAATAAAGCTTTTTATTGAGTGTTTACTGAGTGTTACTATGTGCTTTACATCTATTAACTCATTTCATCTTCAAAACAACCCTATAAAGATGTTACAACTATAATCCTAACCTTACAAATGAAACAACTGAGGCACAGTGAAGTGCAGTGGCCTGCCCAGGTAAAAAGCAAGACAGAATTTGAACCCAGGCAGCCTGACCCCAGGGTCCAGGTATTAAACCATTCTGCTATAGTGCCTCTAAGATAACAGAGAAACTTGATGAATTACTGGGTTACTGAATTTTAGTTTACATAGGTTGTTTTTTTCCCCTTAAGAGTAGAACAAAACATACCTGAAGTATGGAAAATAACATTTATTTTATTTTATTTATTTATTTGAGATGGAGTCTTGCTCTGTCACCAGGCTGGAGTGCAATGGTGCGATCTAGGCTCACTGAAACCTCCGCCTCCCAGGTTCAAGCAATTCTCCTGCCTCAGCCTCCCGAGTAGCTGTGATTACCGGCATGCGCCACCACGCCCAGCTAATTTTTGTATTTTTAGTAAAGACAGGGTTTCACCATGTTGGCCAAGCTGGTCTCGAACTCCTGACCTCAGGTGATCCACCTGCCTCGGCCTCCCAAAGTGCTGGGATTACAGGCGTGAGCCACTGCGCCCAGCCAAAAATAACATTTAGAAAAGTTTTTAGCCTTGGAGCCCTGGAGGCAGAGGCCGCAGTGAGCGGTGATTACGCCTAGGCACTCCAGCCTAGGTGACAGAGCAAGACTCTGTCTCATAACAAATGACTTCCGATGGGACAGCCCAATGGGAGCTATAGAAAACCAATGGGAAGTAAAATTGGATGACTTATGCCCTTGACTGCAGGAATGCAATCACCGTGGGTAATGGGAGGATAAATACGAGAATGGAGGCAGGGATTTAAGCCCTGCCATCCATGTTTACTAGCTGCAATTAACCCTGGGAGTTTCTTAGCCTCCAGAGTGGGCTTCCCTCTGAGTTGTGGGTTGGCCCCAAAGATGCCAAAATTTATTCCAGTTATAAGTTATATTTTAACCAAATTTCTGGTCTCCATTTTTCCTTGGAGAATCACACAAGAAAGGAAATAAGACTGAGTTTCCCCAAAAATAAAATTATGTCATTTTTCTTTTCTTTTGAATTCCATTGATAAGCTAAGTGTAGAAAATAGTCCACTGCTAGTGTCAAACTTGTAGATGAGAAGCACAGCACATCAAACAAAAACCTCAAGGTGTAAGAGTCTTTTTTTTTTTAATCAAAATTATGCAAATAACACATGAGGCTGGACGTGGTGGCTAACGCCTGTAATCCCAGCACTTTGGGAGGCTGAGGCCGGGCAGATCATGAGGTCGGGAGTTTGAGACCAGCCTGACCAACATGGTGAAACCCAGTCTCTACTAAAAATACAAAAATTAGCCAGGCGTGGTGGTGCACACCTGTAATCTCAACTACTTGAGAGGCTGAGGCAGGAGAATCACTTGAACCCAGGAGGTGGAGGTTGCAGTGAGCTGAGACCGTGCCATTGCACTCCAGCCTGGGCAACAGAGGGAGACTCCGTCTCAAAGAAAAAAGAAAAAAGAAAAAAATAACAGATAATAACCTGATCAGGGAGAAAATTCAAATGTATAGAAACCCATGTTCAAAAAAGTTAGAGTTCTTCATTTCCTTAATTTTATCTCCTCCACGGGGTAAGTATAAATTTAAGTGAAGAAAATGATTTTAATAAAGTCAATTTAAAAAATTAGCTTCTGCTCTGAAAACCAGAATGACAAAATTTAGCCTTAGTTTGTGTTCTTGTTGTCATTTATTCATTGATAGGCGGTATCTCTTTAGCTCTCATGGTAGTCAAGCTGTTATCTGAGTTTCAGGTACTATAAATGTGCTTTAATTGTGTAGTTTTTTTTTTTTGTTTTTTTTTTTTTTAGAGACAGGGTCTCATTCTATTGCCCAGGCTGGAGTGCAGTGGCATGATCATAGCTCACTGCAGCCTTGAACTCCTGGGCTCAGGCTATCTTCCTTCCTCAGGTTCCAGGGTAGCTGAAACTACAGGTGCACACCACCACTCCTGGCTATTTTTTAAAATTTTTTGTAGAGATAGGGTCTCACTATGTCGTCCAGGGTGGTTTTGAATTCCTGGCCTCAAGTGATCCTCGCACTTCAGCCTCTCAAAGTGCTGGGATTTCAGATGCTACCATGCTCGGCCTGTGTATTCTTTAATAGATCTGCATGATAATTCAAAAGTCAATTGTTCTCTCTTTAGTGCTTTGGGTAAAATGCAGTGGAGTGGAAAGTCGGCCTAGGAGCTAGAATGCCTTAGTTTTAGTTAGGGCTTTTGTGACCAGCCACCTGTGTCTTGGAGTATCTTTGGTCCTGTGTCCTCACCTGCTAAAAATATAAGTGAGGTGTCCAGTTATAGACCTTCTATCTCTAAATTCTGTGTTTTCACATCCGAGGTTTTTTTTTTTTTGTTGTTGTTGTTGTTGTTTTGAGATGGCCTGGCCTGTTGCCCAGGCTGGAGTGCAGTGGCATGATCTCGTCTCACTGCAACCTCCACCTCCTGGGTTCAAGCGATTCTCCTGCCTCAGCCTCCTGAGTAGCTGGGATCACAGGCACACACCACCACACCCGGCTAATTTTTGTATTTTTAGTAGAGATGGGGTTCTACCGTGTTGGCTAGGCTGGTTTCGAACTCCTGGCCTCAGGTGATCTGCCCCCCTCGGCTTCCCAAAGTGCTGGGATTACAGGTGTGAGCCACCGCACCTGGCCTCACATCTGAGTTAGTAACTTCTGTTGGTGGTACTCAAAGAAGAAGAAAAATATCTAATTTATTTTTCTTTTGCTGACTGCAAGCAGAATTAGCTTATTTGTGCTTTGGCAAACTACTACTCCTATGGTTCTGTCTTTTGTTTCAACCCCATAATGGCTATTTTGTATCTCAAACTTATATTCACATG
Organism: Homo sapiens; assembly: GCF_000001405.40. Lineage (NCBI taxonomy): Eukaryota > Metazoa > Chordata > Mammalia > Primates > Hominidae > Homo > Homo sapiens. The sequence goes on from NC_000001.11 coordinate 94,966,211, forward strand.
ATTACATCTGATTTATTTTGCATGTCAGTCTAACCACTAAGCATATGTCATCACGTTACTTAATTTATAACAGAACATAAATTTGCTGTGTTGGCTCCTTTAGTTAAAATAGAATCTAGTAATTTACAGTCACCCACAAAGTAATTCACAGTGAAGAATACTAAATAACAATTAACAATGGCCAAGAGGCTCAGGAGAGAAAAAAATTCAAGGCAGATTTCTGTTAAAAAAAAAAAAAACCATTTTCTTAAAAAAAAAATCTACTATCTTGTTTTCTATCTTTTTTTCTGGCATTCCGCTGTCCACAGAGACAGGTTTTTGTTTTTTGTTTTGTTTTTTTATTTTTGAGACGGAGTCTCGCTCTGTCACCCAGGCTGGAGTGCAGTGGAGTGATCTCAGCTCACTGCAACCTCTGCCTCCCGGGTTCAAGCTATTCTCCTGCCTCAGCCTCCTGAGTAGCTGGGACTACAAGTGCGTGCCACCACACTCCGCTAATTTTTTTTTTTTTTTGTATTTTTAGTAGAGACGGGGTTTCACTGTGTTAGCCAGGATGGTCTCAGTTTCCTGACCTTGTGATCTGCCTGCCTCGGCCTCCCAAAGTGCTGGGATTACAGGCATGAGCCACCGCACCCGGCCACCAGAGACAGTTTTATACTCTTCATTTTTGGAAGAGCCCCTCTCTAAAAAGCCTCAGAATCTTTTAGTATCTTTCTGCAGGGGGAGAGGGGAAGGTATACAGAGAATCTAATGAAATCTATAGCTGTCTTCCAGAAAATACATAGATACACGTAAATCCCCAAAGTCATAGCCATTTCCATGGACTCCAGTTTAAGAATCCCTGGCTTAGAAGTTGGGGAAAACAAGATCCAAAAATGTTGGACATATGATTACTGACTATATTATACAGCAAACAATGGTATAAGCCAGAGCCTTAGTATTCCAAAATATTTAATATATAATTTGGATAGGGAGTAAATTAACTCCTATTTACAATCCAGTAAATTTATGAAAAATATCATGTTAACAGGTTTGGTTAAACAAATCTGGGTTTGAGACCACTGTGCCGCTCTCCAGAACAGTAGCAGAAAAATGTAAGGAAATCCTTCCATTGTTACTGACTCGTTTCCTTTTCAGAACTGGAATATACCTTTTAACATGCATTGCCTTATACTTAAATCTATACATTCAGCATTCTTATATAAGTCACGACTCTTTCTTTCTTTCTTTGTTTGCAATAGAAAAGTCCCTAAGAAAACAAGGATTCATGTGGTAGCCCTTGGATACTTTAATTATGTGACTAGACAATAGAGGGAACAACAAATTCATAAAAACCGTGACATTCTAAATCACAATTGTCAAGATTGATACCAAGTTAGAGCCTCCACAAAAATCACTGATGCTTCTAAGAATTCAATGACTTCTGTTGCTCAAATCAGATCACTCTAGCCAACGTTGATATGAAGAATGTATGGGCAGCTCCCCAAAGACCTGTTGCCACTTACTCCAGTGTTTTTAGGACAGAAACAGAAAACTTTTCCTGGTGGTTTATAAATCCTTCTAGGAGTTCTCACTGGTTTACGGACAAAGGCAGTCTTTTAAGAAAACTTTGTTTAAAAAAAATTATAACTGACAGGAGGCTGTAGTAACAATTTGAAACATGAAATACATACATGAAATACATAAAAAGAAAACTAAAGCAAAAGAAAGGAGACTCCTATTAGGAGTCTGGAGTGGCTTTATTAAGCCCATGACTTTAAAGCATGTTGAGAGGCAGACAAGTGACTTCTCTAAGCATAATGAATGGAGTTTTTCCATTAAAGAAAGGCTGTACTATTACTCTACATGTCCAGCAAAAACTAGTTTCATTTCAGAATTAATTTTTTCAATAGTAGAAATTACATTTTTTCTACTTTCCTCTTGGCTCTTTCCTTATTCCTTTCTTGGGTCTTACGCTACGTGTTTCACCAAATGGCCAGCTCCTGTTTACTCTGCTTGCTCTGATGAAAAGATCATTTGCTGCCATGCGAGTGGGAATCTCCCAGCTTTACCATTTTGTCTGCTGGGCCTCTCTCCTGTTCCTGCCACCATTACTGGGGTTGACACTAAGAAACGCTCACAGGAAACTGGTGCCAGTGGTGGCGTGGGGATGAGAAGGAAGCCAAACAAGAACTGCAGGGAACTAGAAGGCCTACACTGGGGGCGATCTTCAGAAGGCTTCTGCTGAGTAGTGAAGGTCGGGTCTTCTGCATTACAGGGTGCCAACCATTGGGCAAGTGTATGCTTCTTCACATTATCTTTTGGTTCATGTATCCATGTCCTCAACTAAATTGAAAGTTCTTTGATGGCAGAGACCAGGTGGTAGATGGTTGCATCTATTCATTTGGCTTCTCCCACACACTTTCCTATTCTTCTCTTTTGGGTTCTTTGGGTAATTTCTCCCCTACCCCATATGGCATTGATGGGGCTATCAATCACAGTCCCAGACCTCCCTGGTCATAATGATTGGTCCATGGGGACTTGGGCAGAGCTAATCAAAGGCTTCCCTGCTATTGATAAATGAGTATCGAGAGAGGCATTCATTCTCTGTTCTTTGGGGTTGCTGAGTTGGGAGATGTGAACCTGAGGCTTTTGGTGATTGTTTTGCTTGCCAACTAGAGAATGCCTGCATACAGAATGAAGACAGGAAGAGAAGAGCAGGGCCAGGAAAAAAGAGGAGGCCAAAATAGGGCCCTGACAGTTATTATTTGAGCTCTTGAATCTATCAGGCTTTGAAATTGGGTTGAGACCTAGACTTTGTTTATCTGAATCAAAATTATTTTTTAATTTAAGTTGGGTTTCTATTATCTCAACCTTAAAAATTTTAAGTTAATTTCTTTTTTCTTTTCTTTCCTTTTTTGGGACAGAACCTCACTCTGTCACCCAAGCTGGAGTGCAGTGGTGCAATCATAGCTCACTGTAACCTCGACCTCCTGGGCTAAAGGGATGCTCCTGCCTCAGCCTGCCCTGTGTAGGTGGGACTATAGGCGCATCCCACTACACTCAGCTAATTTTTAAAAATTTTCTTGTAGAGATGGGGTCTTGCTATGTTGCCCAGGCTGGTCTTGAACTCCTGGCCTCAAGTGATCCTCTGCCTCCGACTCCCAAAGTGCTGAGATTACAGGCGTGAGCCACGGTCCCCGGCCACAGATAATTTCTTAAGGTTCATAATGAATCAACAGCATTGTTATAGTGCCAAGTGCACCATAGATGTTGGTTGGTGGAAACATGATTTGTTCAAAAACTGATTCCAATTGTACTTCAGCAGAGGGCAAAAATCTTCAGAAGATATGGCAAAAATGGTACAGGAAAATCTATTCTAATGCTTTGTTAATATTCCCAGCCCAGAGATACGACACTTTTGGGTAAGGGCCGACAGGAGGGACGGGGCGGTGCAGTGAGCACAGGGGCTAAAAAGCACAGCATCCAAAGTCAGGCAGGACTAGGTCTCAATGTTGGATCTGCCACCTGGCAGCTGTTTGACTTGAGGCAAGTCACAGAGCATCTCTAAATGTCAGTTTTATAGAGAAAAGGGAAATAGTACCTATAGTTTACTGGATTGTGAGGATTAAATGTAAGGCAATTAATACAATGCTAAGAGGCACTGTGAGTATCCAATAAATGCTTATTATAATGATTATCAGTGTCTTGGAAGGAGACATTGCTATGAATTAAACTTTATAAAATCATACAATTATTTTTAAAAATAGAGCTGAGAGGCCCTTTGAGAGCAAAAAAGTACTCATCTCTCTCTATATAACACTAAAAAAAATTTATTAGTAATTTAAATCCCCTGCATTTCCCCCACAGCCTGCCTTTGGCTGCATGCAAATTTAAGACATGAGACAAAGTTCGATTCCTCTATATAAGAAAGGGATGGATTGTAAAGTCCATTGATTGTTGTATCTGCCAGCACCAAGAATATTCCTGGGAAATGGTAGATACATTAAAAATATTTGGTTTTTTAAAATTAATTTTTTATCTTTTTAGATTAAAAAATTTTTTTTTTTAGAGATAGGGTCTTGCTGTGTTGCCCAGGCTGGTCTCAAACTTCTGGATTCAAGTGATCCTCCAGCCTTGGCCTCCCAAAGTGTTGAGATTACAGGTATGAGCTACCACTGCCATGCCCCGGCCAAAAATATTTGTTGAATGAAGCCAGGTGCAGTGGCTTCATTCAACAAATATTTGAATATATATATATATATATATTCAATATATATCTCTCATATATTAAATATGTTAATATAATATTCAAATATATATATATCTAAATATACAAATATTTTTGACAGGGTTTCCTGTCACCCAGGCTAGATAACAAATATATATATATGTGTATATATATGTGTGTGTATATATATATACACATATACACACACACGTTAACATATATATATATACATATGTACATATATATTTGTTGAATGAAAATAGACTTGGAATAGGGAGAAATCTTGAGTGTGACTGGAGAAAGGAAAGGGAAAAAAATACCTTTGTAAAGGGGAAAGGAAGAGAGAAAGAGAATTTGGGCAGCTGGTAGAGGAAAAGGGTATTTGCGGGGGTAAAGTATTTCAAGAAATCTTTAAGGATGTTTTGCTGGTGATATATGATACAACCCAACCTCCCCCACACCCTCCGAATCTTCAGTAAAAACCAACACTGTTATTCAAAGCCTTTGGAATCATACTTAGGGGATTTTAGCATGTGACAATGCAGGCAACTGACCTCCAGGGCAGACATGGGGCCCAGGAAGCCTGATTACATCTGTATTGTATCCAGAGGAACAAACAGGGCCCAGAAAGGTTGCCACTAAAAGTATGGCAAAAACCACAATTACTTTTGCACCAACCTAATACTAACTACTCTCTAGGGCTGCTGTGAGGATTTAGTGAATTAATACATGTAAAAGACTCAGCATTGTGCACTCACTACTATTATTACTGTTAACTTTAGATACTTGCGGTTAGTATCCAAAACATATCAAAAAGTGACTACTTGGTTTTAAGTACATCAAATTATGCCTTCTAAAAAATATTGTAATATTTTAACAGTTTTTTCCATAAATTTGCTTTTTCAAATTACCTATAATGTGATGGGTGTTTCCTTATGAATAGTAATTGAAAATATGTTTGGCTAGATTTTATTTCTATGTCTCAGGATGTCCTTGGAGGGAAGGCAGGGGTCTTAACATATCAAAAGTAATTTCCTGGCTTTAGAGTTTAAAGGAAATAAACAAAGACCTACTTATTTGATTGGCCAAATGCTCGCTCGACAGGGTTAAAATCTAATTAAAGTATCTTTTAGATGTTCCGTGGTTGGACTAGCAGCTGTAGGTCAGAAGTTCAGAACAAAAAGTGAAATCCTAGGATTAACTGTCATACTCTTGTATCAAATATTTTTCTGTTGATTCAACTTCCCATGGTAATTTTTTCTGGATGAGGCTTTGCCACCACTTGTGTCTGCCACCTTCTGAGTTGGCACCGATAATGTAGTACGGAGTAGAAAAGCAACTTATCTGATGGAAGAGCTTTTCAGGACTGTCTCTGTGTCTCATGAGAGACACGGGTACCTGCAGATTCTGTGGATTTTGTTGTGTGGAGCATGAAAGGGAAGAGTCATGGAATCACAAGAATGACAGGCTAAGCCCTGGCTCTGCCACTAGCCAGCTGTGCAACCCTAAGCAGATACTCAAGCTTTCTCAGTTTTATTTTCTCCAGAAAAGGTGGTAATGATAATACTTAACTCATTAGGTCCACCCCTAACATTTCCAGGACCCCTGGCAAGAGTGTACACAAAAACCTCTGCCACAGCCCCCCTCCCTTCTCTTTCCATCTGGCTCCATCCTGCCCTCCACACCTCAGCTTGCAGGTCCTAACTCCTGCCACACCATTCCCCACTGAAAACCACCCATGCCATCTCTCAGCCCAGGGGCACAGTTCACTTGCATTCCATGGGGCAAGGGGCCCAGGCAAATCCTAGAAGCAGGCTCGGGCCACTGAGGCAGGGAATTTTGGGGCCTGGGCAGCCAGAGTTTGGTCTAGAAAAGTGTGGCCCTTCCAACCCCATAGGGAGGAAAGTGGCAAATATGTGTCTTTAAAGTGTGGGCCTCAGTTGCTTGGGTCTGAGAATTAAATGAGTCAGTGCACACACAGCACTTCTGACATCGAGCGGGGAGTGTGCCCTTGGAGAAAGGGATCCTTCAATAGGAGTCAGTGCCCTTAAGTCTCCTGTAAAGGTCTTGTCAAATTGATGTTGGAACACCTCAAATATTTACCAAACAATGAGGAGCACAGTCCTTAGGTGGATAAAGATTATGGTGACATTTCAAACTCGATAACAGTGTATTGAAAGGCCCAACATAGACTATTTCAAGTCAGAGAAACCTCTTCAGGTTCAGATTTGCAGACTGATCCTTTTCTCTTCTTTTGTTTGAGATGGAGTCTCAAAATATTTGATACTCTGTCGCCAGTCTGGAGTGCAGTGGCACAATCTCGGCTCACTTCAACCTCTGCCTCCCAGGTTCAAGCGATTCTCCTGTCTCAGCCTCCCGAGTAGCTCAGACTACAGGCGCGTGCCACCACACCCATCTAATTTTTGTATTTTTAGTAGAGACGGGGTTTCACCTTGTTGGCCAGGATGGTCTTGATCTCTTGACCTCGTGATCCACCCACCTCGGCCTCCCAAAGTGCTGGGATTACAGGCATGAGCCACCGTGCCCGGCCCACTTTTTTTTTTTTCATGAGTTAAGCATGAAATAAAAGTAATTTTTAAGTGTCCTTTCTTGTTCTCATTTAAAAACCTAGTTTGTTTCATTTATCTATAATCAATACATTCTTTGGCTTTTTAGCATCTGAAAATTTCTTACATGATATATATTTCTAGAGCTTTTAATTATGGAAATGCTGAAACGTATATGAAATAGAGGGAATATAATGGGCTTATTTGTGAATCTCCATGTACCCACTGCCCAGTTAGCTTCCACACGCATGGCTAATCCTGTTTTATCTATAAACTCTCCTTCCTGCCCCACTCTGGCAATGGATTTTCAATCAAATCTCAGGCCTCTTATCATTTCATCCACAAATACTTTGTTTTTTATAAGATTTTGATGAAAACATTTTAAGCTTTTTCCATCTGGCTGCTTTAGACTCCGCTTGTTCAACTGGGCTGTCAATGGACCAAACCACGAGTCTTTTTAGATGCCTTGCATGGTTTTAGGTCCAGATAATTCAGGGCAAATCGGTTTGAAAATTGAACCTCTTTTAATTTGTCTGCCAGACTGGAACTGAATAAGGGAACATTTTGGATACTTTTTATTCCTTGCTGAATTTCTGCCAACTCTGTATATGGTATTTCCATAAAAGTCTTGTTTTTCTCCCTTTTCTTTGAAGAATGAAACTTCTTTTCCCTTTTTCTGAGAGGCGGGAAGAGACTGTCCCCAGAGTCCATTCCTCCTGCGGCTGCTTGGCTTTCCTTGGGCTGTATTCCCTTCCTACTCTGAGTGTGTACGTTCTGGGGGTTGGCAGTCCAGTGGGGACCCAGACATGGGGATGGTGGGCCTTCTTGATGTCATACAAAGATTACTGCACTTCAGTCACTGGAGCTCAACTGAAAACTTAAAAAAGTTCTCTTGGGCTGGGTGCGGTGGCTCACGCCTGTCATCCCAGCACTTTGGGAGGCCGAGGTGGGTGGATCATGAAGTCAGGAGTTCGAGACCAGCGTGGCCAAGATGGTGAAATCCCGTCTCTACTAAAAATACAAAAATTAGCCGGGCGCAGTGGCGGGTACCTGTAATCCCAGCTACTCAGGAGGCTGAGGCAGGAGATTCACTTGAACCCAGGAGGAGGAAGAGGTTGCAGTGAGCTGAGATCGTGCCACTGCACTCCGGCCTGGGTGACAGAGCAAGACTCCATCTCAAAAAAAAAAAAAAAAAAAGTTCTCTTTACAGTCATTGAATTTTAAATCATTATCCTAAAAAGATTGAGAGAGGAAAAAAATGATTTCAAATTGGACAGAATTTTTTTTTTTACATCTCCTTGCCAGAAACATTGTTCTCATTTTCAGTTGAATGGCTTGGGTATTAATTAAAGCTTCATGCTCAGCCACTATCTCCTTTTCTACATTCTTGCTGCTAATCGTCATATATGTAACACATGACTTCTGTTTAAATGCTCAAGTTTATTAGAGTGGAAAAAAATCTCAGTTATACAGGAAAGGAAAAGAGATTAGGAATCAAGTCCAACCATGTGCTTATTCATCTGCATATGGTTAAAGATTTAAAAGAATCCATTGGTTTCTTTTTCACTGCTGCATGCAGGCCAAGGAGAAAGGAGGAAAAAAAATCATTTTCCTATCCATGGTGTAGAAATACATCTTCTGCCTTTTGCCTGGCAGGCAAAAAATTTCTTCCTCTTTTAATATTAAGCGAAAGTACCCAAGCTTTGGAGAAACTGTCTCCTTCTGAAAGGTTATTTTTCTAATTACCTATTGCTTTGTGACAAATTATTCCAAAACTTCGTGGTGGAAAACTACTACCATTTAATCATGCCTATGAACTCTGTGGATCAGCAAATCACAGGGCACAGAAGGGAGAGCTTTTCTCTCTTCCAAGGTGTCTGAGCCTCAGCTGGGAAGACCAGAAAGCCTGGAGTGACTCAAATGGCAGGGCTGGAATAATCTGGAGACTTCTCCTCTTGCATGTCTAGTGCCTCCAGTGAGATGACTCAAAGTCTATACTAAGATGTGACTGTCAATTGGAATGTCTACAGATACCATAAAATTCACCCAGTATACAATTCAGTGGCTTTTAGTATATTCACAGAGATGTACAACCATCACCACTGTCGAATTCCAGAACATTTTCATCACCTCCAAAAGAAGCCTCATACCCATTAGGAGTTGCCCTCCATTTCCCCTTCTCACTGCCCCTGGAAACCACTAAGCTACTTTCTGTCTATGGACTTGCCTACTCTGGACATTTCATATGAATAGAATCATGCATTTGTTGTCTTTTGTGGCTGGCTTCTGTAACTTAGCCTACTGTTTACAAGGTTCATCCACACTGTAGCATGTATTAGTACTTCATTCCTTTGTGTGATCGAGTAATATTCCACTATATGGATATACCACATTTTGTTTATCTGTTCATTAGTAGAGCATTTGGGTTGTTTCTACTTTCGGGTTATTATGAATAACGCTGCTGCGAACATATAAGTTTTTGTGTAAATACATGTTTTTAATTCTCCAGGGTATACACCTATGGGTAGAATTTCTGGGTCATATGATAACCCTATGTTTGATTTTTGTGAAACTGCTGAACTGTTTTCCACAGCTGCTGCACCATTCTACATTCCTACCAGCAATGTAGGAGGGCTCCAATTTCTCCAAATCCTTGGCAGCATGTATTTTCTGGGTTTTCTTGGACTATAGCCACCCTAGGGGGTTGCTGCCCTTAGTTTAAAAAGAGCCTCCTGGCCGGGCGCAGTGGCTCACGCCTGTAATCCCAGCACTTTGGGAGGCCGAGGCGGGCAGATCACGAGGTGAGGAGATGGAGACCATCCTGGCTAACACAGTGAAACCCTGTCTCTACTAAAAATACAAAAAAAACAAACAAAAAAAAAATTAGCCGGGCGTGGTGACAGGCGCCTGTAATCCCAGCTACTCGGGAGGCTGAGGCAGGACAATGGCGTGAACCCAGGAGGCGGAGCTTGCAGTGAGCCGAGATCGCGCCACTGCACTTCAGCCTGGGCAACAGAGCGAGACTCTGTCTCAAAAAAAAAAAAAAAAAAAAAAAAGAAAGAAGAGCCTCCTTAACACACCAGGGGAGCTACCACTGATGGAGACAAATGTGACTGAGGGCTTGAGGGCTTACTATTTAGCAGGCTCTGTGCTAAACACTGTACATACATCATCTGAATGTTTAGTGCTCCCTACAACTCTAACGCAGGTACATTATGCTTATTTTACAGAAAGGTCAAGTAACTTGCCAGAAAAGGGATAGAGTTTGGGAGATGTGGATTTCCCATATTAAAAAAAAATTAGAGAACTTGGATACTAAGGTAGGAGTTTGGTGGCCCAAGTGAAAGGTTATTATTATTATTTTTTCAAAACAAAACAAAAAACATCTAGCTGATTGTGGTTGGCAGAAGTCTCAGATGGCCCCCAGAACGGGCATGGTGGCTGACGCCTGTAATTCCAGCACTTTGGGAAGCCGAGGTGGGCGGATCACTTGAGCCCAGGAGTTCGAGACCAGCCCGGCCAACATGGTGAAACCCCATCTCTGCTAAAAATACAAAAGTTAGCCGGGCTGGTGGTGCACTCCTGAAATCCCAGCTAGTCAGGCGGCTGAGGCACGAGAATCGCTTGAACCAGGGAGGTAGAGGTTGCAGTGAGTTGAGATTGCACCACAGCACTCCAGCCTGGGTGACAGAGTGAGACTCCGTCTTAAAGAAAAAAAAAAAAGATGTCCCCTAATATTCCACCCCCTGATTTACATGCCCTGGATAATCTACTATCCGTTAGTATGGGTGGGATCTGTGAATATCATGACATGTCATTCCTCTGATTATGTTACATTAACATGGCAAAAGGGACGTAATTATGATCCTAATCAGTTGACCTTGAATTAATCAAAAGGGAGATTACACTGACTCAGTCATGTGAGTCCTTAAAAGATAGGAAGCAGGCCACCACAAATCCTACAACTGCAAGGAACTGAATTCTGCCAACAACCATCTGAAGGTATCTGAAAAGGATTCAGAGTTGCAGATCAGAACTCAGCCTTGGCCATCATCTTGATTTCAGCCTTTTGAGATCTTGAGCAGAAAACCTTCTTTGCCTGGATTTCTAACCTACAGAGATAATGTATTGTTTTAAGCCAATATATGTGTGGCAATTTTTTACACAGCGATAAAACTAATACACAGATCACTGACTGACTAAAGAGGAGATAGGCCGGGCGCAGTGCCGCATGCCTGTGATTCCAGCACTTTGGAAGGCCAAGATAGGAGGATTCCTTGAGACCAGGAGTTTGAGACCAGTCTGGACAACATAGTGAAACCCTGCCTCTTATTTTAAAAAAAGAAGAGATGAATTCGCTGATGTGACATTATGTAAAGCAGCAGTTCTTAAAATGTGGTCCAAGGTCCTGGGGAGTCTTCAAGACGTTTTTAGGGGTTTATGAGGTCAAAACTATTTTCATAGTAATATTAAGATGTTATTTGCCTTTTCCTTGTCATTCTTATGATGGTATAGTTTTCCAGATGCTACAAGATGTGTGATGATATTGTTCTGACAGCCAGTGGAATATGTCCTTTTATATTCTTGCGTTTAAAATTTTTGTCTAGTTTCTACAATGGTAAATATTGACAAATATAGCTCACACAAACAAAAGCTCATTGGGATATATTTTTTTTTTTTCTGAGGCAGGGTCTCACTCTGTCACCCAGGCTGGAGTGCAGTGCCATGATCTCGGCTCACTGCAACCTCCACCTCCCAGGCTCAAGTGATCCTACCACCTCAGCCTCCCAAGTAGCTGGAACTATAGGTGTGCATCACCATGCCTGGCTAATTTTTGTATTTTTTTTGTAGAGATGGGGTTTTACTGTGTTGCCCAGGCTGATCTCAAACTCCTGGGCTCAGGTGATCCATCCACCTCGGCCTCCCAAAGTGCTGGGATTACAAGTGTGAAACACTGTGCCCAGCCAGTTTTCAATAATTTTTTAGTATAATGAGGTCCTGAGATCAAAACGTTTGTGAAGCACTGGTCTAGATAAAATATAACTGAAGTGAGCCTAGACAAGTCTGAAGCTATAATTTTTTTCTTTTTTTTTTTTTGAGGTGGAGTCTCGCTCTGTCCCCCAGGCTGGAGTGCAGTGGTGCCATCTCAGTTCACTGCAACCTCCACCTCCCTGGTTCAAGCAATTATTTGCCTCAGCCTCCCAAGTAGCTGGAATTACAGGCGCCCGCCACCACGCCGGCAAATTTTTTGTATTTTTAGTAGAGATGGGGTTTCACCATCTTGGCCAGGCTGGTCTTGAACTCCTGACCTTGTGATACACCCACCTTGGCCTCCCAAAGTGCTGGGATTACAGGCGTGAGCCACCATGCCTGGCCAAATAATTTATGTATTTAATTAGTGCCTATGTTTTGTACAGAGCTGTGGTGTAAATACTATCAAAAGTGGAACAAGGATACAAAACTAGAATGAGGTACAGTCCCTGAAGACAAACATAAATAATCAGCAATAGCATTCATTATTCCTTCCACAGGTGTTTCTAAGAACAAGGACTGCAATTCGATGGTATATAACTCAGCACTAACCTTTGGTATGGGTGGCTATGTCACAGAGTTATTTAGAGAATTTGCTCAAGCTAAATGAAGACAAAGACTTTGTGGGTGGGGCAAAATCTAAGTTGGGAGTGAAGTAGAAGGAGGACAAATATTTAAGGCATTATCCTTTGGAACTCAGGTAAAATACCACTTTCTTAGAAAGGCCTTTCCTGATTTCCCTATCTAGAACACCAACTACCTTCTACTCCGTCATAGTACCCTGTTACCCCATTTATTTCCTTTTGAGGACATTTTTTCTTTTTTCTTTAAAAAAAAAAAAAAACACCTAACGTAGCTATTAAGGTAAGCCTGGCTGGAGCTAGAATGCCTTGGTTCAAATCTGAGCTTTGTCACTTTCTAGTTCTATAATCTTTAATAAATTACTTAACCTCTCTGTGGTGTAAATATTATAAAAAGTGGAACAAGGGCCGGACGTGTGGCTTACACCTGTAATTCCAGCACTTTGGGAGGCCAAGATGGGTGGATCACCTGAGGTTGGGAGTTCAAGATCAGCCTGGCCAACATGGTAAAACCCTGTCTCTACTAAAAATACAAAAATTAGCCAGGTGTGGTGGTGCATGCCTGTAATCCCAGCTACTCGGGAGGCTGAGGCACAAGAATCGCTTGAAGCCAGGAGGCAGAGGTTACAGTGAGCCAGTAAGGTGAGATTGCACCACTGCACTCCAGCCTGGGCGATGGAGCGAGACTGTCTCGAAAAAAAAAAAAAAAAAAAAAAAAGAAAGAAAAAAGTGAAACAAGTATACAGAACTAGCATGAGGGGAAGTCTCTGAAGACAAACATAAGTAATTAACAAAATCATTCATTTGTTCCTTCCACAGGTGTTTCCTCAGTTCCTCAATAAAACTTGCTCATCAAGCAAGAAATTTTTGTTGAAGAGCTGGCTTAGGTTGTAACTATGGGACTGAAAAGGAAAGGGTAGATATGAACTAAGTCAAAGGCAGAATCAATAGGTGATGACAAAGGAGAGGAACAGTAAAAGTAATTTCAAGGAGAGAAGAGGAAGACGAGAAAATTCTGGGGATAATGAAACAAAAAAGGCAACCAATTATAATTGGGTAAAGAAAGAGTGAAAAAGCAAAAATGATCCCAAAGTTTGTTGCTTGAGGGACATGATAGAAGCTAGTGGGCTAGCATTAGTTAACTACTCCAGTGCGAAAAGGAGGAGCTATGTCAAATTCATGTTTAAAATGAGTGGGCAGCAGGAACACAGTTGTAGATGATTTGTTTTTAGAGTGCTAGAGGGATGGGCCCTAACAAAAGAATGTTGAAGGCGGACAAGATTTGGGTGTCTGCTCATTGTGCGCCAGGGCTGAAGTCATGGGAAGAAACCCCGTGAGGCTCAAACGCTGACCTGTAGGGAGAAGGACAATTTTCTTTAACACTTACAATGATGTTCTTATTGTTGGTAAAAGGTGCTTAATACATTGCTATCAAATGCCTTTTGGGGGATGGGGCTTTTCAGAAAAAAAAAAAAGCACTCATTCAACCCAAGGAACTGTATAGTAAAGGGGTACGTTTCTCAATTTTAACTTACCATGTATCTTTGAAAGGTAGAATGATGTGTTCCAAGTTGCTTTTATAAGGGGAAGCTTGGGTCATCTCCTTCCTAGCAAGGACATCTTGCTATTCAACTCACAATTGTCACCACTCCTCTTGTTGACACGGTTTCATAGCACTCTTCGTTCCAGGCTAAAGTTTCCTGTCATGATTTTTGGGCATCCTTTTTGAAACAGTTAGACATTCTGACCTGGCAAGCTACTGAGACCTTTTAGGATAGCTGGACTGTAGATAGAAATCTTCCAGGGAAGTAGGTGTGGGCAGGATGTGTGGTTTCCCTGCCTCTCATTTGAAGACTGATTCAATTAATTTTTTCATGAACAGTCTCCTACAGTAAAAGTTGCATTCAGAGTGTTCTAAGAGAAACTGGAAGGGACAAGCTAGCTACTCATCTTCTTCAGTTTGAGTTGGGACTGGCGCACTATCTTTCTGAATGTCACAGAAATGCACAGCAGGGAAATTGTGCCACCAGCCCCCTCTGCTAATGGGACCTTGAGGACTCAAATTAGCCATAACAGTAACACACAGCAGAGCATGCACTTGTTTACCAGAGTAATCTGAATGATCAGGAAGATGCAATAACACATGTCTCAGCCTGGCTCTGAATGAGTACACAGCAGCCTGAACCTATGAAAGATATAACATTTCTAAACTTTTGGTGATATAACACATACACATTCTTTCTCTGACATTCCAGGCTAACCACTGTCTTAAGTTAAGGCTCTGCAAAACATCTGGGACATATGTTTCTGGAAAAAATTATAGCATCTTTTCTACAATTCTCTCTGGTCTGATCTTTGTTAAGCTCTGACCTGACAGAAGCCTCTGCAGCAGGATTACCTGTGGGGGCCCAGGGAAGCTGCCCCACAGCACAGAGAGGCATTCACTAAACGCAGTTCACTTTCCCTTACCATTCATTTACCTAGTGCCACTCAGGGAACAAAGTACAGAGCAGAGAAAGCCTTAAACAGCAATAAAATGCAGATGCTGTTGTCCCTGAAAAAATCACTTTCTTTCTAGAACAGTCAAGGCTTATTTCACCTCAGCCCCTGGTTGTATGATACTAATACGCTCTGATACTCCAGGGAAGCAACCAGTGACTGAGATTTGAGGATTAAAATCAAAGCACAATGAACTATCATTTGGCTGCCCCAGGCCCACTAAATCCAGACAGCAAAGTGTTCTCACCATTCTGAGACACCTTCGGCTACACATTTCTCCAGCCAAAAACCTAGGAAGATGTCCGGCTGACAGATGCGCCTGTTACATGATTCAGAGAAGACAGTTTTTTTGTTTTTTTTGCTTTTTTTTTTTAAAAAAAAAAAAAAGAAAAAAGGCTGGATCAGCCTCAGGATTTTAATCTTACATGATCGTGGATAATCATGTCTCTTTTCACAAAAATTCAATCACTTCACTAATCACTATTTATTAGATTTATATCATACTTATAAAGCAAAAGATTTAAGAGGAAAAAACCTATATATACTACAGGAGAGAATCTTCTCTTTTCTGTTTTTTATTTTGTTTTGTTTTTTTTTTTTTTGGCTGCTTTGTTAAAGAAGCAGAGGTTAGAGGGAAGGAAATGGAATTCCTGTTTTTGAGGAGCTCCTGGGCCAGGCACTGCACTAACTATTGTACTTCTATTCCAGTAGACATGGCACCACTAGAAACACAGTCTCAAGCAGGACCAGCGAAAGAATTCAGAGGGTCTAAAATATAAGTTCATTGTTTAAAAAAATATTCAGAAGTTCAAGAGAGTCACAGCAGAACATTAAACCAAGTGGAGGCCCTCTTCAGTGCAGAACTCTGTGTGACTGCACAGGCCACACACCCGTGAAACTGGCCCCACTAAGAAGTCAGGTTTACCTGAACTTGAATTCTGGCTTTGCTACTTACTACTCATGTGATCTTGGACAAGTCATCTGTAAAATGGGAATAATAACAGTCCCTACATCATTGAGTTTTGTTTTTTTTTTTTTTTTTTGAGACGAAGTTTCACTCTTGTCACCCAGGCTGGATGGAGTGCAATGGTGCAATCTCGGCTCACTGCAGCCTCTGCCTCCCGGGTTCAAGCGATTCTCCTGCCTCAGCCTCCCGAGTAGCTGGGATTACAGGCATGTGCCACCACGCCTGACTAATTTTTGTATTTTTAGTAGAGACAAGGTTTCACCATGTTGGTCAGGCTGGTGTCAAACTCCTGACCTCCAGTGATCCACCCGCCTTAGCCTCCCAAGGTGCTGGGATTACAGGTGTGAGCCGTCATGCCGGCCTAAACAAGAGATTTTAAAAGATACTCTGTATTAAGGCCAACTACTCAAAAAGCAAGACTGAAGTACAAAAAATGATACTGGTTTATGCTCAAGGTTCTGGAGGCTTGTGGAGTGCAAATTGTCATGAAGCCAATTTAATATAACTGCTTCCTTTATGCTGAAAGGATTCACTGGGGACATCACTGTTTCCATACAGGAAATAAAGCCTTTTGTATCTGAACCAAAACTCAGAAATACTTTTTTTCTCTCTTCTTTTACAATGCAGAATACTTTACAAAAAAAAAAAAAAAAAAAAAAAGCTGTAGGACAGGAAATATTACTAATCATACAAACTCTATATTTAGTTCTGTAAAAAAAATACTACTAAAACAGCCAGAAGAAAATTTGCAGGTAGTAATACATATTTTTATCTAGAAAAGAAATTTGGTTTACAGAGGCATAAACATTTAGTAGTTACGTTTATCAATGTTTGTTTCATAAGAGAAGCCTCAGTTTCTTCACTGAGTCATCTGTACATTTTTTATTCCTTACCATCAATAATTCTCAGGACTGTCAGACGCCTTTACAAGAAACATGTAGGGTTTTTTTCCCCCCAATTTGAGTACATACTACTGTTAACTGCAAAATTCTAAAGAAGTCAGTTGCCATTTGTCAAACAATTCGCCCAAGGTACACCGATTTGGGATACTTTTCTTTCAGAGCCGGCCACTGAACAATGAAGTAATCTGAGAGATGAAACAGAATCTTTCCGGACATGGATAACGTTTCTACACGGCAGATGCTTTCAACGTAGACAATGATCACTTTCTTTATTCCTAGTATCCCAAGGAGAAGGGCAGATACACAGATAGGAACACATGTTCCTGGTCCGTTACACAACACCTGAAAGAAAAAGTTGAAGGTCAAATGAAAATACAGAATAATAATCTAAGGGAGGCATTTTGCATTAAGAACAGCCTGATTTCAGAGGGGATCTGCTTATGATTCTAATAAGTCCTTCTCTGTCAAGAACCAGGATGCAGCAAACAGCGCATGTTTAAGCCCATGCACTTTGGAGCCAGGCAGAGCTGTGTTGTCTTGGCTCTCTTGCTTACCAACTGTGTGACTCAGGGCAAATCACTTAACTTCTAACTTCTAGCACAGTTCCTGGTGCTCAGTCAGCACTCATCGGACAGGCATGTGTTGCTCTTCTCTGACTGCTCTGTGGACCTTGAATGTCACATAAAAATACAGAAAACAAAATCAACTGAGATTCACTGTTTTCTTTAATGTACCAACTTATTCTTGATTTGGGAGAAAATATCTTTAATTGACTATGAAGATTTTTTTTTTTTTGAGATGGAGTCTCGCTCTGTTGTCCAGGCTGGAGTGCAGTGGCGTGATCTCGGCTCACTGCAACCTCTGCCTCCCGGGTTCAAGCGATTCTCCTGCCTCAGCCTCCTGAGTAGCTGGGACTACAGGCGCCCGCCACCACACCCGGCTAATTTTTTTTTGTATTTTTAGTAGAGATGGGGTTTCACCATGTTAGCCAGGATGGTCTCGATCTCCTGACCTCATGATCTGCCCACTTCAGCCTCCCAAAGTGCTGGGATTACAGGCATGAGCCACCGAGCCCAGCTGAATTTTTATAAGCCATTGAAGAAAATAAGAGAAAACCTGTTTCAGAGAATTGTTGGTAAGATATTACTGTTTTCAGAGGAAAAAGCATTTTACACAACATCTTAATTATATGCTCATGTTGACTGAATTAGTAAAATCTAATAAAGCACTTTATTCCACAAACCATAAAACAAGAGGTTTGTGATTGTCTACACATATCTATTGGGCATGCTCTATGTCACATGATCTTACCAGCCTAAGGTCCACAAAACTTAGCACCAGAGAATCTTAGAGTTGGAAAGGTTCCCATATATACTGTCTATATTGTTTATACCACCCCAGCATTTCAAGGACTCTCCCCGACAGAAAGAGAGCCATCTTGCCTCCATGTGAACATGGTCAGGGCTGTAGGGTTTGAAAAAGGTCACCTGGTCTAGGCTCCACCAGGAGGTGTGACCACCTGAAACACCATTCACAGAGCTTTGGGAAAAGAGTCTGTTTTAGATGAGACCAATCTTCCTTATGTCTTCCTCAAAGCTCTCTACCTACCATCTACAAATCCCCTTTCTGTCTTTTATGGAGAATTTGTCTTCAGACTTTCCCTTGAATTACCAGCTACTAAGCTGCTGTCCAGACTGGTCTTTAATCTCCATTAAGTTGCCCCTATAACCCTTCTTCATAGTCCCCCAAGGCAGTGTAATAGAAAATGGAACTGAGAGTCAGGGGAACAAGGTTAAACAAACTGCAAACCAGCTCTGTGATTCTGGGCAACAGCATAAAGAACAATCACCACCTCGGCCCTCACCACTGCTATTTATTCACAACGCACTATGGCCAAGTACTGCACTAAACATTTTACGTGTATTACATTTTAATTAATCGTCACAGCAATCATAATTTGAGACAAGTTCTCTTTTTTTTCTTTTTTTTGTTTTTAATAACTCTGTATCATTCCAATTTTAGTATATGTGCTGCCAAAGTGAGCACAAGCAAGTTGTATCATCCCTTTTTGCAGAGGAGAAAAGGCAGGCACACAGAAGTTGGGCAAGTTGCTTGATCACATGTTTAGGAGGTGAAGGAGTTACGTTGCTTCAGGTCACTTTTTTTTTATTTCTAGCAGTTACCTTACTAGAAAATGGGTAGGCTGGACTAAATGTCTTTCAGGGTTCTATAACTCTACAATTTTCCTCTTTGTCTTAAACCTAAATTACAAACTTGCTCTGAATCTTTTCAATGTTTAGAATTCCAAAAATCCAATTATTGCCAGGCACTACTAATATTTTGGACTGGATATTTTAGTTATGGGGGCCTGTCTTGTGCATCTTACTTAGCGTGCTTCGCAGCATCCCTGGCCTCTACCCACAAGATTCCAGTAATCAAGACAACCAAGAATGACTCCAATCACTGCCAAATGTCTCCAGTTGACAACCACTCTATTAATGCACTCCCTAATCCTTGGATTATTTGTGTTCTTTTCTTAGTCTTTGTTTCAATAATACAGAACAAAATAAAAACTACAGCTAAAAAATAATGCAAGGATTGCTGGATCTTGAATGTCACAGAAAGAATTTCACATTTGTTCCTCTTTAAAAAAATGCACAAATCCATGTGTTCATTTCAACATCTAGTCAACTCTCTATACACAAACTATGTATACACAGCTAGAGATGTCTGTATATGGGAAGGGAAATGACTGGCATTGCTGGGAGATGCATTAACAACCTGCCACAGGTCAGAAGTAGAGACTGTTAAGATAAAAGTGTAAATTAAAGGTATTTTGTTTATCTCTCTTGCATCCGTATATTTGGAAGCACCTTACTACAAAAGTCCCTGGTACAATAAAACCACAAACCCATAAATCAAGGACTGAAAAAAAAAAAGCAAACTAATCTCAAAGGAAACCTAATCTAAGGAAAGCTACTTTTAATTACACAAAGGTTTTACCTCTTTTTGCAGCAGCCTAGGCAAAAAAATAAAAGTGGATTATGGAGTCTTCATTATTCAAAGAAGCATACCAGAGAGACTTATTCCAAGCATTGAACAAAGCAGAACTCACTGAGACAGTCTAAGTAAAGATGTTAAATGATATAATGATTGGAACTGTCTTTTTAATTTTAAAAAACACAGAAATACTCTTCATACTTCCATTTCTCAAAATATAAATTATCAGTGAATGTGTCTCACACCACCACCCGGGCCATCTCTCTTCCTCACTACTCTGTAAGCTCCTTATGGGCAGAGTCCGCTTCTAGAACAGTGTATACTCTGCACCTAGAACAAAGCAGCCATTCACTAAATTTTGCTGAAAGGAAGAAAGAAAGGAAGAAGCAAGGGAGTATAGAAGGAGTGGGTCTTTGCTTACCCTATATTGACTCAAATGTTTCCTTTGCCAAACTTGACCATCTGTAATTCTAACCATACACTTATGTGGTTGACTGACAGCTTTTTTTTTCTTTTTTTCTTTTTTTGAGACACAGTCTTGCTCTGTCACCAGGCTATAGTGCAGTAGCACAATCTCGGCTCACTGCAACCTCTGACTCCCTGGTTCACGTGATTCTCCTGCCTCAGCCTCCCGAGTAGCTGGGATTACAGGTATGCATCACCACACCCAGCTAATTTTTGTATTTTTAGTAGAGACGGGGTTTCACCATGTTGGCCAGGATGGTCTCGATCTCTTGACCTCATGATCCTCCTGTCTTGGCCTCCCAAAGTGCTGGGATTGCAGGCATCAGTCACTGCGCCTGGCCCTTTTTTTTTTTTTTTTTAACCATCCCACATCCATCACCTTTTCCTCGGGAACGAACCACTGTATCCTTCGCTCTCAATTTAAGTGCTTGTGTAGACCTGACTCCACACCCAGCTGTAAGGAGAGGATGTATGACTCCAGTCTGACCAATCAGAGCATCGAATTCCCCTGGTGAAAGTCACTGGTTCAGGGAAGAGCACACAGTCCAGTCAGAAACCACAAGACTTAGCAGAACACTTGCTGGAGCTGCTGAGAAAGCCGCACATTTTCTACTGTTCTGGAACTGAGGAGGATGTGGCCTTGGTGCTATTGACATCCATTTTGCCACCATGTAGAGAGCTTGAGAATGAAGCCATCACAAAGCAGAGCAGAGCCGAGAGATGAAGACAGGCCAGGTCCCAAAGGCAGCATTACGATCCATGAATCCAGTTGTGCCTGAAGGAAACCAGACCTGTCCCTAGACTTGCCAGGTAGGTGAGGGAATACATTCTATTTCTGCTTAAATCATTTGAATCAGGATTTCTGTCACTGGCAATAGAAGCATACTAAGTGACACAGCCCTTTGTTTTGTTCAACTCCCTGACTAGCCTCTGACCATGTGCAGCACCAACCAGTAGGGGTTCAATATGTGTCTGTTGGATGATTAACAAATCAATAAATAAACTTCTCTAAAAGCAGGAAGTCTAAGATACTAAAAATAATATGTTATGGGTTTAGAAAACGGAAAGAGGACAGGACTGATATAAATACAAGGTCATGAGCATAGATGAGCCAGATCAAGGATCAAGAGCAGTTTCAACAGGATTGTTGTTCTGTAGATTTGGGTCACCACAGGTCAAGTCCCATTGGCTGAAACATAACATTCTGCATGTATGAAAAGACATATTTTCAGGAAACTCATGGATAAGAAAAATAAGTAAATGCATAGAAAAGATGTATTTAACTTGAGTAGTCTGAATTTGACTCCTGATCCAGTAAAACACCCCCGCCAAATATGGGCTAAGAACTTTGGCATCCTGGGTTGGTTTGTAGGTCAGAGATCACGGAGTTGAGGGTGACCCGAGAGAGCATATGAAGGTAAGACTGAAAGGCAGCTGAAGAGTCCAATTAAGGCTTCAATTTTAAGAGACTGGACAGAGAAGCAGAGTCCAACTCTAAGGCACTGGCCCAAACACAGACTTTCTGATAGCCTCTTGCTGATGGAGGTGAAGGCTGGAGAGAGGTCATGAACTGTAGGAACACAGCTGCAGGGAAAGCTTTATTGAGCTCCTGGGGCCATGGATGAAGGTAGAGAACTGGAGCCCACTGTCAAAGCTGGGCTGGCTCGGGTAGGTAGCCTACCTGGAGGTCAAGGGTTCTGTCAAAATCAATGCTTCTGTTTATAGGGTATTGGCTCCATTACGTAGACAGGTAAATGGGGAAATGAGGAAGGGAGAAAACACTGACATGTAGGAATTGTCAATAAAGAAAGAAAGAGAAGAAGCTTGGCTGTAAAGCTGAACAGGAAGCAAAGTCAGGAAAATGCTTTAAGAATGGTTAGACAAAGAAGAAGAAAACCACAAGGTCCCTTGCCTATCCCTAAAAGTGTGTCAAAGATGATGAAATGATCAATACCATTTCTTGCAGGTAGCAGAGCTACAAAGATAGAGACAGAGAAAAGATCTTCAGATTTGGTCAAGAGAAGAGTAATGGAAACCTCAGAGATGGCTATTTCAGTGAGTCATTGGACCAAAATACAGGGCAGGGGAAAAGTAAGCATGCTGTGGGAGAGGGGAGCTCAGGTGTCAGCTGGATGGGCCAAGCAGGGCTGGGGAAAGGGTTTACAGAATGGAATGAATGATCTACATGTGAACATAAACATCAGTGAGAACAAACTGATAGTGAAGGAGGAAATGACCACATAGAAAAGGGTAAGTTCTTTCAATACCAGGAGAAAATAGTAAGTATTCAGAGTATTTGGTTCATGAGGTTGGTTTGGGAAAAGTTGTACTGAGAATATGATAAAAGATAAAAATAGTGGCATAGAAAGTTTGCCCCTCTTTTAAATATTAACTTTTCATCTCAGTGTGAAAAATACAGAGAAGCACAAAAAAGAACACAATCCTTTTAATCTCACCAATCTTAACATTTTGGTGTATTCTCTTCTAACTTACGTCTTTGTATATATTTATACTCTAATATATGTTCATATATGCATATTTGCAATTGTGAGAGCTTATACATAATATTAGTAAAGTTAGTTATATTTGTTTTTAAAATACTTTTTAAAAACTCACGGTTTTTAATGACTGCATATATTTAATCCTATGGAGATCTCATAACTCATTAACCATTCTCTTGTTAATGGAAATGGTTATTGTTGGAAATTTAGGCTGACTCCTTTTTTGTTATTCTAAATCATATTGTTATGAACATCTTTGTGTATAAATCTGTGATCCCTAAAGTTTAATTTTGCGTTAAACTATATACCAGAGTTCTTGCTGAGTGAGAGGTTGGAAGAAGTAGCTTTCAGGATTTAAGGAAGTTGTGGAAAGTTTAATACAACAATTATTATGGATCAGGAATGGACCATGTGGTCTTTTTTTTTCTTTGTTTTGTTCCTGTCTAGAATTTGTTTAAGCAATTTCCCAGAGTATGAGCTGTGGTTGCAGGCAAAGCCCCTTTCTCACAGCAGAAGTGAGATACTCCTTTCTAGGCCTCCTTACAGCTAGTAGATGGGCCAGTGACTTGCCCAGCTATTTCTGCCTAGATCTGACCAGGAGCTAGTGCTACAGAGGGGCAGGGCTGGAGGAGACTCTGTTCTGGTAGCAAAGGTACTGCTGGCAGGGGTCCAGCATCCAGTGCCAGTGGTGCCAGCTGCAGCGTTCACTGTCCAGCAACAGTAGCAGCAGCATCTCCTGAAACCAGCTCTGTGGCCATAGAATTTCATTCATGGTTCTGGCTGCTCAGTTCCCACTTTGTCCCTCTATATTTTCTAAGCCTACTTAATTGACATTGCTGGTAATTCCAAGAGTTCTCAATAGCCTTCACTAAATCCTTTTTCTGTTTCAATCAGCCAGAGTAGATTTCTATAGTTTGCTATCAAGAACCCTAACTAGATGGGAGGAACAAAGATTTGAGAGCAGCAAATGTAGAGACAGAGGGGGCCAGATCACATCAGAGCAGTCACAGGATTTCCTCAGACAGGGCTAAAAGCACTGGACCATGGGCATAGGAGTCAGACAGGGCAAAACATGGATGGCGACTGCACAGCAAAAAGAGGCTGGGAGAGTGCTCCAGGGTACGGAAAGGATAAGCAAAAGGACTTATCTAAGACAGGAGGGCAAAAGCAGTGGGACAAAAGCCTCAGGCAACTAGAAAGAGAAGAATCTGAGAGTAATCAAGGGAGTAAAGAAGAAAATGCAGTTAGAGTCAGGTGGTATATAACATGCAGAGGTTACAGTCAGGGGACAGGAAGGCCGGGCTGAAGCCTGGGAAAGGCAGTTGCTGAATGTCAGCGATCAGTGGAGGTGGACAGCAGGAAGGAAAAGGATGTGCAGCAGATGGGGATGACGTATTTGCTTGGCTCACATGATGGTACATTGTATTTCTTCTTTTTTATGTTTATTTAATCATCTGAGGAGTAACAGTTAAACAGAAACATCAAAATATCAAGAACAACATTAAATCACCAAATAAATTCTAAACCCTCGAATCCCTGACTATCTATGAACCCAAGGTCTCTTACAATTCTATTGGTAACAGAATTTTCAGAGATGTCATCATTGTGTATACAGCATTTTGGGGTCTACTTTTCCACGTATACAACTACATCCATTCCATGTTTCTACATAGGCACAATTGTGCCACTGCGTGAACGTACTACAGTCATCTAGCCACTTGCCGATTTCTCTTTACCCAGAATAGCTTTCATCTTCTTTTAAACCATACCAAAAAGGTAAGCAAGTTATAAATTGTTTTCATTTAGGCTAATGCACTAATGTTTTAAGGATACTGAATTTATTGGCTCATCCTCAAATATTAGTTACTTGCATTTTGCTTGGTGACAACTCAAAAAAACTTTCCAATTTAATCAAAAAAATAACTGAGAAGAACAGTAAACTTCGGTTCTGTAGGATCTTGCCCAGTTGATAAGTTCCCTCTAACTTGCTCTATCGATTATTCTGGTCTGGTCAGAATATTCCTGCTTGTTGTGCATTGACATAATTCATCAAGAGGCTGAATAACATGGTGCTTATGCACCAAGGCTTTGCAATCATGCAGACCCTGGTTGGCTGCTTAACAGCAATGTGACCTGGGACAGTTTACTTACCCATGCTATGTCTCAGTTTCCCCTGTCATGAATTCATTCGTTCAACAAATATTTTATTGAGCAAAGATAATATGACAGGTATTGTTCTGAGCATTAGGGATTTATTAGTGAACAAAAGTCCTTGCCCTTGTAAGGTTTACATTCCAGTGAGTAGGCAGAAAATAATAGATATGTAGTCATGTGTTGCTTAACAATGGGGATACTTTCTGAGAAATGCATTATTAGGTGATTTCACTGTGTGTGCACATCACACGGTATACTTATAAAAATCTGGATGTTACACCTACGCTAAATTGTATAGCCTACTACTTCTCCTAGACCACAAACCTGCACAGCATGCTACTATACTGAATACTGTAGGCAACTATAACACATGGTTAAATATTTGTAGATCTAAACACATCTAAACATAGAGAAAGTAGAGTAAAAATACTGTATGAAAGACAGAAAATGGGACACCTGTATAGGGGACTTATCATGAATGGAGCTTGTAGGAATGGAAGTTGCTCTAGGTGAGTCAGTGAGTGGTGAGTGAGTGTGAAGGCCCAGGACATTCCTGTACACTATGGTAGAATTTATGAACACTGTACACTTAGCCCACACTAAGTTTATGAAAACATTTTTGTTCTTTCTTCAATAATAAATTAACTTTAGCTTACTGTAACTTTTTTTACTTTATAAACTTTTAAATTTTTGAAAAAACTTTGATTTTTGTAGAAATATTTAGTTTAAAACACACATTGTACAGGTGAACAAAAAGATTTTTTATATCTTTTTTTTTAACTTTTAAGCCTTTTTGTTAAAAACTAAGACACAGACGCACACATTACCCTAGGCCTACACAGCATCAGAATCATCAATATCACTGTCTTCCACCTCCACATCTTGTCCCACTGAAAGGTCTTCAGGGCCACTAACACGCATGGAGCTGTCATCTCCTATGAGAACAATGCCTTCTTCTGGAATACCTCCTGAAGGACCTGCCTGAAGTTGTTTTACAGTTAATCTTTTTTTTTTAAATAAGTAGAAAGAGTACACTATAAAATAATGATACAAAGTATAGTATAGTAAATAAGCCAGTAATATAGTTATTTATTATCAAGTATTATGCACTGTACATAATTATATGTGCTATACTTTTACATGACTGGCAGTGCAGTAGGCTTGTTTACCCGTGCTACATTAGGACATCTATGATGTCACCAGGTGATCGGAATTTTTCAGCTCTATTATAATCTTACGGGATCACTATTGTTTGTCTGTCATTGACTGAAAAGCAGGATAAGGAAATGGGGTGATATAGAAGACAAAGACTTTCCTGAGGAGGTGACTTACTTACAAGCAAGTATCTGATGAATTGGTAGGGTATTCTGGGCAGAATCAGATACTGATAAGAGCAAGAGGCAGTAAAGAGGATGACGAATGAAGATTTTGTGGACTGACTCGAAGTTACTGAGGACCAATGGAAGAGGAGGGTTGAAGAGGAGGGGGAGCTTGAGACAGATTATAGCTAAATAGAAATGTTATACCAGGGTGAAACTGTATCTCAGGGTTCTGAACTTCTTGTAGTGAATAACCTAAACAAAGATGCAGGGCAAGACAGAATTGGTCCTGCCAGTTCTTAGTGGGAGGTGGAGAGTCAGTTCTAACATATTCTCTTCTTGGGAATTGGTAGCGGTGAAGTGGAGAATGTTAGGGATGGGGAATGCTAACCAAACCAGAAGCAAATGTAACACAGGGGAAATGCTATCTGCTGGGGAGATTAAATAAGATAACACATGAAAGCATTTAACACAGTGCTTGCTCCACGGTAATGTGTCAATAAATGGTAGCTATTATTATCCATCAAAGAATAAAGTAGTATACTTGTGGCATTTTTCAAACTTTAAGGGTACTGTGTGGAACAAAGGCCAGAGCCTTATGAAACACATAGACTATGTGGGCTATGCTAATCTTGTCCTCAAGTCCTGTTACTCTGTCACAGGCATAGCATTGACCTGGCATGACTTAGCCTACCCTTCAGGGCATACCAGATAACAATAACCCAGCCATCCACTTTGGTCTCTTTGTCTTCCAGTCTTATATATCACTTGGAGTAGACTGGGCAGGGCAAAAATTGAGGAAGGGTCACAGAAAATAGTGCTCTTGGTAATCAGGCTTCTTCTATCTTTTTATATAAATATATATATTATAATATATTTATATATTTATATATATCAGGCTCCTTCTATCTTTATATAAATATATATTTTAAATCTTATTTATATTTATATATAGATATTTAAGTATTTATATTTAAATATTTAAAAATATTAAATATAATTATATATTTTTATATCTTTACATATTTATATACATTTATATAATATATAAAGATATTTGTAATTTATATATATTTATACATGTATAAAGATAGAAGAAGCCTGATTACCAAGGGCAGTATTTTCTGGACTTCCACCAACGGTGGATGCCTAAAGGATTCCTGAGCTTCCCCTACTCAGGATCTGCAGTGACCCTGTAGTATACTTCTCAGACCATGGCCAAATGGCCTTGAAGGTCTGTAGCCATAACATGGTGAACAAGTCTGATGACACGATGAATAAGCCTGAGCTTGTCCATTTCAAAACAAGAGTTGTCAATTTTGCCCTCGTACTAGACTTCCCAGCCTACTTGCGAGCATGCTGATTTTTGGGGTTTGGGCTAAGCTATAAGCAGTGCAGACATCCAGACATCAGGCTCCAAAATCCCCTCTACAACTTAGGGATGCACAGCTTTGGTTTCAGTGCATGTCAGTAGCATCCTACAGACCCAACGTGCTACACAGTCTGCACGTTCCATGCATGTTCATGGCTGCTTCCCTGACTGTAACTGCAGGGAAGACAAAAGAGCTCAGAGGTTGTCAATGCCACACTAGGTTGGTATTTCATTTTCTTGCCCTGATGTTCCATCACGAAAAACAAATACATAAATAAAGACCTAAACATTTTTTTGGTTGGAATGGTCAGGCCATGCCTGCTTAGCATCGTCACTACAGATCTTTATCAGGCTAACCAAACATTGTTTTCCCAACCTTCCTGGCTGCTCCTACTTTCAGTTGAGGAAACCGAATCTTTTAGTTTTCCTGTTCTCTGGACCAAGGTGATGATTTCCTGGCTTCTTGATCTTTTTTTGTTTTCATTGTGTTTTCAACTCTGAAATGTTTTCACAGAGGGTTTTAAACCCTACTAACCCAGTATTTTTTCCTTTTGTTTTCTCCACACCCTGAAGTAAGTGGCTTCTCAAAAGCACAGACAGCTAGAGCTAGATGAAGCCTCAGGGAATAATTTAGGTCAATCCCTTTCCTTCAGCTTGAGGAGTAAGGGAAACACACTGACATTTTCTGGGAAACTGCCACTTGCGAGGTATAGAGTCTACATGTGGCATTTTGCAAAATTACCTCATTTAAACCTTAGAATAGCTCTGAGAGGTAGATGTTCTGTCTTCCTGTTTTAGACAAGGAAGCTATGGTACAGAGAAATTAACTGGTCTATGTGAGATCATACAGTTAGCTAGTGACATAGCTGAGACTCAAACCCAAGCTTTTTGAAGATTAGGCCAGGGTTCTCCTCTCTACCATACTGGCCTGGCTGAGGCCTGCCAACTAGGTCCAGCTTTTGTTAGAAGTGGGCTTAAGGCAAGAGGGTTCTAAGAAAGGTTATGACACAGGGAATTTAATTAAAGGTTAAATTCTGGCATTTGTTATTAACATTTTATATAGCTTTAATAGAGATATCAGTAGCAGACTATAACATGCTATTATTACAGTAATATGGATTAGGAAAGGTTTTCAGCAGAGAAAATGGTGAAATGGTTAACATTTTCACAAGAAAAGGGAGTATTCGTCCTAAACAGGAAGAACTGGCTTGAATTCAAAGTGATTATATAACTCCTGACTTCAATCATGGCACTCTCTTAAGTAGGTAAGTGATATTTTTCCTGTGACACTTCCTTAATTTTTGTACACGTACCTATGTATTAAATTTCTATCTTGCTGAACTGAAAACTGGTCAACAGTGTTCTTTATTTTATGTGCAGACTATTTTTGCAGTATAAAAAATAAGCTTAAGAATTTTTATAGAAGATGATCTGATTCATTAATTCTGAGTCAAAGGATATGTAAGAACACTTCTCTATGAGATTCTGTGCATGTGTGTGTGTTTATGTGTGAGAGAGAGATACAGATATACAGAAAGAGACAGACACATTCATATATTCAAAGATAATGAAACAGAGGCAAGGAGGTAGAATATGACAAGTTGAGATCCTAAAGTTGCTGTACTCTTGGTGTGCTTAAAGAACGTGGTATTTTGGGCAAGGCGCAGTGGCTCAGGCCTGTAATCCCAGCACTTCGGGAGGCCGAGGCAGGCAGATCACTTGAGGTCAGGGGTTTGAGACCAGCCTGGCCAACATGGTAAAACTCCGTCTCTACTAAAAATACAAAAATTAGCTGAGCGTGGTGGCACGTGCCTGTAATCCCAGCTACTCAGGAGGCTGAGGCAAGACAACTGCTTGGACCTGGCGGGGCAGAGGATGCAGTGAGCTGAGATCGTGCCATTGCACTCCAGCCTGGGTGACAGAATGAGATTCTGTCTCAAAAAATGTATATATTTTGGAGCCAAGTTTGGATTCCACACATTGACTAAGCAGTCAAGGTCTGCCAATA
Source organism: Homo sapiens (assembly GCF_000001405.40). NCBI lineage: Eukaryota > Metazoa > Chordata > Mammalia > Primates > Hominidae > Homo > Homo sapiens. Next base: position 94,995,784 of record NC_000001.11, read on the forward strand.
AAAACGTCCTTCACTGTCAGTGCATTCAGGCTTTCAAAGGTTGTTTCCTTTAATTGTCCATCACACATTTCCCAAAATCCTAGCAGTGATGCATCTCACCCATCAGTAACTTACAGAAGCTGAATGACACTGCTTTGTTGAAATTAGGAGGTTTTTGGAGGGTTTTAAAAACTGACTTCAAGTTTAGCTGCGTTACATTAAGACTGCTTGACTGCACTAATGACGCTTTCCTACTGCACATGCAAAAGACAAGAGCATTGGTAGGACTTCAGGAAAGCAATGAGTTTATCCCAGTTCTATTCAGAGAGGATCCCACTGAAAGCAAGTAGAGGAGTGACTCTATGCTAGTGTTTCTCACACTTTCACGTCACATTCATCAGGGGTACTTAACAGAAATGTAGATTCTTTCTAAATCAGAATCCCTGGGTCTAGGCACCAGGAATATACATTTTAAACAAGCTCTCAGGTGATTCTGGTGCACACTGGAGATTGGGGACCTCTGCTCTACACTATAGGAACAGGGCTGGCTATGTCCAAGCATGGTACCCCTACTTTCAGTCAACCTGGCAGAAGGGGTCTGTGTGTGTTAAAGAGGAAAAGCAGTGGGAAGAAGGAGATGTGGGCACTGGTGATCCATCAAAGGCCAATCTCTCTCATCCTGCTCAATACCACTTTAGGGGCAAGCAGCCCTGCTGAACCCATCTGGGAGGGGCTTTTCAGTGAGCCTGAGGTTTCCCATAGCAGAGAGAACTGCCAGATATTGGAGAACTCAGCCAGAATGCCCTTCCATGTGATGGTTAGGTGTTCGGAGTCATCTCTTAGAAGGCAAGTATCCCTGGGTGGAGTTCTATCCAAAGGACTAGAAGTTAGTTCCCTAATAATCTGTTAACACTTTATTTTTATTTTTATTTTTTTGAGATGGAGTTTTACTCTTGTCACCCAGGCTGGAATGCAGTGGCACAATCTCGGCTCACTGCAACCTCCGCCTCCCATGTTCAAGCGATTCTCCTGCCTCAGCCTCTTGAGTAGCTGGGATTACAGGTGCCCACCACCATGCCCAGCTCATTTTTGTATTTTTAGTAGAGACAGGGTTTCACCGTTGTTGGCCAGGCTGGTATCGAATTCCTGACCTCAGGTGATCCACCCGCCTTGGCATCCCAAAGTGCTGGTATTATAGGTGTAAGCCACCGCACCCAGCTGTTAACATTTTAAAAAAGGGTAGTTGAGAGCATCCAGAGAATATGGACAGGATATAAGGAAGACACCCAAAAGTGGAAAAACAGAAAGACATTAATAGGGAGGTGGCGGGTGGCAAAGCACCATATCCCCTGCCACTTAAGGTCATCTTGCCTGCCAAGGTGTCCCATTCCATCCCTGCTAAAAGGGCATGTGAGAAATGGTTTGCTGCAGGTGCTTCACATTACAACCTGGGTCTTTGGGGAGGTGAGGGCACAATAAGTAGGGCCTCATTGGTGGGGCTCAGTCTGTCAGTAGCACCAGAGTGGACCCTCTCCCAGAGTAGTCTTAAAGGCAGGGGCAGCAAGTTTTAATCCAGCAGTTGATCTGGGAGACAACTTGCCTGACTAAAAGCCGAATCTTGTTAAGGAAGAGATTCTCAACCACTATGGTGATAATATTAAACCTCTGAGTTTTCTAATTCAAATATGAAGCCCCTGTTTATTGAAACAGTTTCTGCCTAATTGCAAACAAGATGGGGTATTTGAGGCACTGATGGTCCAGGGAAGGGATAGCTGTGAAAGCATGGGCTCTGGAGCCTGACTGCCTGGGATTGCATCCTGGCTCTACCACTTCCTGCCTGTGTGACCGTGGGGGAATCATTTCACCTCTCTGTACTTCAGTTGCCTCATCTGTAATATGTGGATTTGAGTAGTGCTTCCCTTATGGGGTTTTAGCGAGGATTAAGTGAAGTAAGATCTGCAAAGAACTTAGATCCTAGCACGTCTTATATTTGCTGCTTTTTTTATTTTTAGTTTCTCCGTACAGGGCTGCCTCACAATAAATACCAAAAGGTGTGTCTTGTAACTGAAGCGGGGAGGAGAATCTTTGTGGCATCTGTATGATTGATGTTCTTTCAAGATCGACAGTGGCTCTTTTGACTGCATTACAGTCTTCTCTCCTCCTCCAAATCCCACTGAGGGTATGGCTGGGCCACAGTCCAGGCATCTCCTGTTGGGGCAACAGGTTCTCAGGTTCTCATTGAAGAGCCTTTTAAGGGGAAAAGAGGTGGTGGTGGCAGAATAAACCCCTATTTTGTGCAGTTCAGCTAACAGGGAAAGTAATGCACACCAAGTTATTTACTGGTAGGGCTTCTCAGGGTAACATTTAAAATAAAATTCTGTTGGAGAATGTAGACAGTCTATTCTAGGGCATAAAAATGGAATTATCTTAACCAGGATTAAACCGCACTTCCTGAGTCTGACGGAGCGTTTCCAGGGAGAGTAAGTGCCATGTAGCCTTCTATGCCAGTTGTCCATTGTTGTTCCTGACTCCCACCTCCACTGGCTGTCTAACCCCATTCAGCCTTCCCTGCTGGCCCACTATGGTGTAAGTCTTTGAAACAGAGAGCTGGGTCTGAAAACAAAACCAGGCTCCCTTTGGTTGGGGGAAGTGCTGGCAATGGGAAGATATGAAAGAAAACTGGATAGAGGGACACTAACTTTAAATGTGATGTTAATTATAAGCAAGTGTGCTAAAATCCATGTTAAAATTCTAATAACTACCACCAGCTTATCACTGTGTGTTGTCTCATCTATATGACTTTATTAAAAAATATATTTATGAATTAAATAGTTACAACCTGAGCAGAAGGGCAGCACAGTATAACAATAAAGTACAGATGCTGTAGTCTCAGGCTGTCTGGGTTTGAATCCTGTCTGCCACTTGGCCTTCAGACTTTGGGTAAGCCAATTTTCTTTCTAATGCCTCAGTTTTCTTATTCACAAAATGAGGATAGACATGGCAGGTAACTAACTCATAGGGTTACTGTGAGGATTAAATACGTATAAGGTATTATAGTGGTACTGGCATTTTACCTGGCAGTTGGGCTTGGGAAGATGAGTAAGCCATCAGAGAGCTTACAATCAAGAAATGGTATTGTATTCAGCCCCTATCGCATGCTTTGTACAAAGCAGGTACACACAAAAAAATCTCATGGGAAGCCTGCAGAAATTACTCATACATTGTTAGGTGTCTAGAGGTGCTGGCAAGTTTAATATCACAAAATCTCTCAGAACAAACACAGGTTTTATATAATACCTGTACAAATATGAACAAAACTTTTGAAACATGTCATTAGTTAAAAACTCCATGCTCCAGTCCTGAGAGTCTTTAAAAACTATGAAACATCCTTATAAAAAGCAGACTACAAAGAGAGAGCTTGTCCCAGAGGTCAAATTCCCTCCATTCAGGCAATTTAAGGCAAAAGAAAAATGCAATTTAAATCCCTCCACCCCCACCAAAAAAGACATAGTCCACAAAGTTAAAAAAAAAAAAAAAAGTCCTCTAGCTAAGTATCCAATTAAATATTTTCAGTAGACCCATTTTTTTTTTTTTTTTTTTTTTTGGAAAACCTGAAATGAGGCTTCAAGTGCTTATCTGAATGGTTAGACGTAATTATGAGGCAGGAGTATCTATAACATCCTGGCATTCTTGAAAGCATGCAGCCCCCAAATGTCCCCAACACACCAACTTACTCCTTTTCCACTCTTCCTTTTCCCTCCTCTCTCACTCTGTCTTCAGTCAGTGAAAGGCAAATCTCTGTGTTATCCCATTCCTTGCAATTTTAACCTGCCAGGGGATTCCCTCTCCAGCTCCCTCCTGAGGGACTGGTCCAGTTCTCTTACTGGCCAAGTCCATCTCTCCTTTGGCTCCAGCTGTCTTTCCCACGCTGGATTCCTCATGGAAACCTTCTTATCCTGCTGGGAAAGGACCTCTGGCAGCACTGCCATTTACAATCTTATTATTTTAACTTTAGGAAACAGCTCTCCTACTATGATACATTTCTCTCTTTTCCTTTTCTCGCCCAAATCCTGCTAATTTTACTCAGAAAGCCTCTCAAATCTGGGCCTTGCTCTTGATCTCCACCATCCCTGCCTGGCGCAGGCCATCTCTCCTCCCACCTGGTTCCCACAACCCTCCCACCCACATTCCCAGCCCCAACCCCTCCTGCTCCATTTCACTCTTTACAGTGCTGCTACATGCCTTTTTCCTAAAATGCAAATCTAGTTTATGTCATCACTTATCGTCAATGGCTTCTTCCTGCCTTCAAAATAAAGTCCAAATATCCTGGATTAAAAGTTCCTTCCTAAACTCACTGCCTATACTGTTATTCTTCATTATTGTGGTTTGAAGGCTCACCTGAATTATTTTCTACGGTAATAGAGAAGCTGCATAATATTGTTCCAGTTACTAAAACAACAATAAATGTGAGGAATCAAGAAATATATTTCTGGCCAGGCGCAGTGGCTCATGCTTGTAATACCAGCACTTTGGGAGGGCAAGGTGGGAAGATCACTTGAGCCCAGGAGTTCAAGATCAGCCTGGGCAACAGGGTGAGATCTTGTCTCCATAAAAAATAAAAAAAAAATTAGCTGGGTGGCATGCACCTGTGGTCTCAGCTACACTCAGGAGGCTGAGGCAGGAGGATTACTTGGGCCTGAGAGGCAGAAGTTGCAGTGAGCTGTGTTCATGGCACTATACTCCAGCCTGCGTAACAGAGCAAGACCCTGTCCTAAAAAAAAAAAAAAAAAAAAAAAAGAAATATATTTCCTGTTGGTAGCCATGCATTTGGTGATCATTTAGGTACAACCAGTTGTGCACTTCTAAAGCAGACTTAATTGTTCCAAATGCTTTCTTTGTTCAAATTAATCAGTTCTGTAATACATAAACCAGGATTAGCAAAGATTTGGCCAGTGTGAGTTAATTCAACCTATGCTTACTGGAAATCAAAAGCTTTAGGACCAATATGCCACACTAAAAAAAAAAAAAAAAAAAAAAAGGAATGAAGAAAGAGAAAATCACCAAATTGAAGGTTCAGAAAGAGAAGAAGAAGAGAGGGCACAAAGACACATACCTACCGAATGACCAATTCCACCTCAGGCTGCGCCTGATCAAAAAATGGCAGTTAACACACACTCATATTCTTTGTAAAGAATTTGTAATTTCATTTTAGTCTCCACAGCCACAATAGGAGGTAGCTATGATTATCCATATTTTAAGGTGAGAAAACAGGCTTGCAATATTTATTTTGCTTACCATGGTAATCACTGGTTAAATACAATGCTTAAGGTTAGGGGGTAATACTCAACCCTCCTGTTTCCGTGGAGGGAAGGGAATTTCCAAGCCCCAGGTGGGAAGAGTACAGTCTCTTCTTTTCAGCCTTCTCAGTCTATCCTTCCCTAAGGAGAAAGAGCAGCTTGCCTGATCAGTGAGTTTAGGAGGACAGATTGAGGATGCTCAGCCAGCCCCCATGGGTTTTTTCACTTTTTAAATTCTTTTCAGCTTGTCGGTTGTCAACATGTGACCATGCTCTACACCCCGACTGGTGTGCTGGATAGGGAAAAACAGAGGCAGGCCTGCTGTCTAATTTAGGAGAGAAGTATTAGTAAACCTAGGGTGGCTGCATATATAAGCATCTTCCAACATGGCTTTTATTGTTGATAAAGTGAATAATTTGATTTCTATGGCTTCTTTTTTTAATTTTTAATTTTAAAGACAGAGTCTCACTCTGTAGTCCAGGCTGGAGTGCAGTGGTGCCATCTCTGCTCACTGCAACCTCCGCCTCCCGGGCTCGAGCAATTCTCGTGTCTCAGCCTCCCGAGTAGCTGGGATTACAGGTGTGCACCACCATGTCTGGCTAATTTTTGTATTTTTAGTAGAGATGGGGTTCCACCATGTTGGCTTGGCTGATCTCGAACTCCTGACCTCAAGTGATCCACCCGCCTTGGCCTCCCAAAGTGCTGGGATTATAGGTGTGAGCCACCAAACCCAGCCGTTTCTATGTCTTATTTCTCAACTGGTTATGAATATAAGTGGAGAAGACAGAGGGCTATTAACTAGCTTCCTAAAAGCCAAATACAAGGCATAAATATAGGCATTCAATTAAATGAATGAATGAATTTGTCCAAGGCCACATAGCTAATAAACTATAGAGTAGAGACCTGAATCTGTGTCTGACAGAAAGGCATGATTTTCTAAACTTCCACTTTGGTGCTTCTCATATGATGTTCTATTTCCAGGCTTAAATTCATGCTTCAATATGGTTGCCAGGAAACTGGAAACACTGGTTGTTGCAGGCACAAAGTACCTTAAAGACAGAGGTATGCCTAAGAATGTTGCTGATAATCTATTTTTCTACAACAGTGATGAGGGATGAGTTCAGCAATGACTGCTTGTTGTCAGCTATCTCATGGGCCAATATTGATAAAGCCCTGTAAGTACCTGGGGGGGGGAACCTGGAAGGTGGGGAGAAGTAGCGCAAGCGGCCCCAGCAGCAGCATGGAACAGATCAGGGAGGAGAAAGACAGGCAGCCTCGCCTTAAGTTGGATGAGCACAAGAGGGGTGGGGCAAGGGACTGAGGACCAGGGGAAGGAGGCTGAGCGGGTTGGGGATGGGGAGAAGGCAGGGGAAGGAGGATGAACATAAAAACGCCAGGACAGCAAAAGCCTGAAGAGAAAAATATGTCCAAACAAAAAATATAAAGGGGAGACAGATAAAAGAACAGGAGTAAATCACATGCTACGAAAACAGCCACAAACGGATTTTCCATTTCATGTCAAAATGATGAAAAGTGAGAGCTGGCCTGTGTGCCAGTAGCCTTCAGAAACTCAGAAATAAAATATCCCATTTGAAAATAGTTTGGGGAGCCAGTAGATGACAAGATTCCTCCTGCAGGCAAAAGTGAATTAAAGCAACGATAGTATCTACTGCTCCTTCCCCACTCCCACTGTTTGGCTGGCAAGCACATGTGAGCTCAGCAGGACTCTGTAATTGCTTTTTAAGAGTATCCGGTAGAACTCAAGATTGTGTGTTCACAAACTCCATATAAAAACAGGGTCATCTTTGCCTTCCACGAAGTGTTTTTCACCCTGTTTCAAGGCCCAGCTTAGTCTTTTTTCCCCTTACTAAAGTGGCAAACAAAGAATTCTCTGACACACTGCACCCACTGCAGATGAAAGCACTTAAGTGTGAGTGAAAGCAACAATGTTGAGAGTGACATTTACTAGCTGAAAACAGTGAAATCAGAGCGTTCCAGTTCACGGAGATTAAATGTCAGGCTTTAAACATTTAGCAGAGTATTAACTATGGAAGTTTTAAAGTTTAGGATTCGGTTTTATATTGCAAACAGCACTTAAAGCAAGGAAACAAGTGGTCCATAGGCTGAATAAACATATTTATTTTCAATTGAAAGTGAATGAACTGCAGGGCAGTTACTGAGCTCAGTGCAACAATACCAGAGGTGCTCACTGTCCTTCACCATCCCAGATTAATAAGAGAAGGGTGACATTCCTCACACTTCATGTTTTGGAAGATACAAGTCAAAGTCCAAAACACAGGGGTTTGCAGGCACATAATATTCCACAGTGGTTGTGGACTTTAAAAGTTCAAGAGTTGTTATATTATTGTTCTAGAACGAATGCCCTCATTCTTTTTTTTTTTTTTTTTGAGACAGGGTCTTGCTTTACTGCCCGGGCTGGAGTACGGTGGCACCATAATGACTCACCACAGCCTTGACCTCCTGGGGTCAAGTGAGCCTCCTGCCTCCACCTCCTGAGTAGCTGAGACTACAGTGTGTGTCATCATGCCTGGCTAATTTTTTAAAAATTTTTAAATATTTTGTAGAGATGAGGTCTTGCTATGTTGCCTAGGGTGGTCTTGAACTCTTGGCCTCAAACAATCCTCCTGCCTCGGCCCCTCAAAGTGTTGGGATTATAGGGATGAGCCACCATGCCCAACCTGAATGCCTTTTAATGCACCAAAAAAGTTAGAGAGGAAAATATAGCACTTTTGTTTTCTTTTAAGATTATTTTCCATGGATAAATTTATGACAAAATTAGCTATAATTTCTAAATATAACATCCATTTTTTGATTCAATCACAAAACCTCAGAATTTGATATCAGCAGTCCTTTCATTCAAAGTCAGCTAGTAAGTATCTTTTCTATTATGCTTACTATGAGGTGTTGGATAGATACAAAGCCAGTGATAATGGATATTTCAAACTTTGTTTTAAACATCTTGTAAGCATTGTATTCAATTCCCAATATCTTTATGAGGTGGCCACGATTATCCTCATTTTACAGATAAGAAACCTGGGGCTTTGAAAGATTAAGGACTTTGCCCAAGACCAGAGGACTACTAAATTATGTAGAACTGAAACTCCAGCCGCTGACTCCAAAGCATGGGTAATTAACTTTTTTTTTTTTTTTTTTTTTTTTGAGACAGCGTCTCGCTCTATCACCCAGGATGGAGTGCAGTGACACGATCTTGGCTCACTGCAACCTCTGCCTCCTGGCTTCACGTGATTCTCATGACTCAGCCTCCTCAGTAGCTGGGAGTACAGGTGCCTGCCACCATACCTGGCTAATTTTCGTATTTTTAGCAGAGACAAAGTTTTGCCATTTTGGCCAGGATGGTCTCGAACTCCTGACCTCAGGTGATCTGCCGGCCTTGGTCTCCCAAAATGCTGGGATTACAGGTGTGAGCCACTGTGCCTGGCCCAGAGTCTCGCTCTATTGCCCAGGCTACAGTGCAGTGGTGCAATCTCGGCTCACTGAAAGCTCTGCCTCCTGGGTTCATGCCATTCTCCTGCCTCAGCCTCCCGAGTAGCTGGGACTACAAGCGCCAGCCACCACGCCTGGCTAATTTTTTCTGTATTTTTAGTAGAGATGGGGTTTCACCGCATTAGCCAGGATGGTCTCCATCTCCTGACCTCGTGATCTACCTGCCTCCCAACGTGCTGGGATTACAGGCATGAGCCACCGCGCCTGCCCCCGCCCCCGCCTTTTTATTTTTATTTTTTGAGACAGAATCTCGCTCTGTTGCCCAGGCTGGAGTGCAGTAGCATGATCTCAACTCACTGCAACCTCCACCTCATGTGTTCAAGCAATTCTCCTGCCTCAGCCTCCTGAGTAGCTGGGATTACAGGTGCATGCCACCATGCCTGGCTAATTTTTGTAATTTTAGTGGAGACTGGGTTTCACCATGTTGGCAGGAACTCTCCATCTAGCAGTGACCACAGAGATGTGAACAAATACAGTTTAACTCAAGCAATGCCACAAGAAGAATATGAAGAGAGAGACACACAGAGTAATTCTGATCTTGGAAGACCTCACAGAGGAAAAGACATTGAAGCCAGGTCTTGATGCATGAGGATAAGTCTTTCAGGCGAAAAAGGCAATCGTTACTCTAGAAATAAGGAACTGCATGTACCAAAATTTAGAGGGCTTGACACATCCATGGAATGTTCAGAGTTCAGTGTGTATTTGAAGATGGGGAGCCTGGAAGCAGAGACACAGGCAGTTACAACAGCCAGGTGAACATGAAAAGGGAGGCAGGAGCAAGGTAATGAAGGAGGCCAGAGTCAGGACATGTTTCTAAGCCAGAAACGAAATGGTCTATGACCTACTGGTCACAGGCAGTGAGAGAGAAGAATCCATAGTTGCTGGATTTGTATAATGTTATATCATTTAGGCCTCAAAATTAAGGAAGTAAGACAGATTGGGAGTGGGGACAGGGATCAGAAAGATGGTATCTTAGTTCAATTTGGAAAAACTGAGTTTGAGATACTTGGGAAGCAGTTAAGCATCCTCTTTACTGCATTCTTTACTTGAAGAAACATTGAGTATCTCTTGTATCAAGTAAAAAGAAAATTAAAAGAGGAACAAAACTGGACCCCGTCCTCCTAGAGTTCACTGTATAGTCTGGTTCTTCATGGAGCAGTAGATAAGGGGAGCTTACAGGGGGATTTGTGTTTGTTATGGTGACTAAGGGGTGCTAGTTGCACTTATTGGACAGGTGCCAGGGATATGGACATTCTGCAATACTTGGGACTGTCTTACATCCCTCTTGACTTTCAAATGTCCCATTGGACATCTACGTAGTGAAAATCTGTTTAGAACTGTTTGAGCCTAAAACCTAACTCTGTTTCATATAGAAAGGCAAAATTTTTTTTGCAGGTTTTATACTGAATTGTCCTAAATAGAACCTCCATGGAAACTGAGGGAAGACTGTACTTGGTTTGTTTGGAACTTTACAAAAGCTGTTCACCATTTTAAAAAATTACATCATGGGCAACAAAGCTGCTCACAGGTTTTGAGTTATCAATACGATGAACCCGGACTGGTCTGAATTGTAGCTGTCCTACTCATGGTAATTCTATATTCAGAATCTATGCACTTGATTATGCCTCCTGGTTTGTCATGCCTGGGTATGTACATATTGCAAAACACGTAATTTGATTACAAATTCCTTTCCTTTTATTTTTTCCTTTTTATTAAAATTAGAGCATTTTATTACACTTTTGGAATTATATATAGGTAGGTTCCATTAACTATGACTTTCATTTTAGGATAGGAAAAGGCATGATATAAAAAGGATTACAATAGGTTTGAGAATCACTAGTGAGAGATGGACATATATAAATTGAATTGAATACAAAGGAATCCATGGAAACACTTCAGAGAGGTAAAAAGTAAAAGGGAGAACCAGGAAGAGAGATTATTGGCCATAGGAGATCTGGGAAGACTCATGGAGGAAGTATGAAATGAGCAGGTGCTGACTGATATCCTCCGTTAGAATAACTCCAGAAATGTGGGGCTTAGTACCCACCTTAGAACCTGCCTCCAGTGAGGCCCAGTCATTCTGGCATGGCTTTGTTATCAATTTCTTTTCCATGCTTTACCCGTATCTTCCCGACAAAGGTCTTTGTTCTGGAAGGCTCCAATGGGCAGAGCATGATGAATCCCTAACCTCTGTGGTGTCTCTTCTGGAATCTGAAAACTGTGGTCTCTGTAATACTTTCTGGTTAATCTCCTCTTCTTTAGGCTAAATCTCCCCACTTCCTCCAACTGTTTCTTATATAACTCGGTTTCATATTTCCTCACCATCTGGATCATTTTCCTCTGAACATGCTGCAATTTGTCAATGGCCCTTTAAAAGTGTGATGCCTAGAACCGAATGTGGCTTCCAGAGCTGAAATATATAACTGTATTTCCTAATATTTCCAAAAGGCAAAAATGTTATCCCTCTGCACAGGCAGTGAGATCAGGACAGAGGAGGGGGGTGGGGATGGTCTGTCTTAACAATCACCGTACTGCCAGTATTGAAAAATTTCCTTTTTTGTTTGAGCAAGTTCTATATGAATTTTTAATACTTGCAAGTAGACTTCTGATCTCAAAGAGGGGTTTTCCCCCTTTGTTCGTTTTTGTTGTGAGGTATAAATGAAAAAATGTAGGTCTGGCTAACAAATACTAACAATTATTTTTATTTGCTGATAGCATCCATCTACCAGCATCCTATGGTCATTTCCCGTCTGAAGACATTTTTCCCTTAACAGACTGTGCCCTGCCCATGTCCCAAGTCATCTAACCAAGACTGGCGGGAACACCACCCTTTCCAGGGGCTTGGTCTATAAATGGAATTAGTATTGCTGCCTTAAGCTTGAATCTGGTATGTATCTGGAAAACCTCTGCATTCCTGCACGTCTAGTGAACCTCGGCTTTAGCCCCAAAATGCAAAGTTCCATCAAGGCCCCTGATTTTTCATCCCATTTTGGTCTGAGACTGAAATCCTGCAGCAACTTGACTGGCTATTGCCAACATGTTGTCTACACAAGCTAAAACAGTACCAGTTTATCTCATTCTAGATGCTAGGGGCCCCATAAACCACAGCAATACCACCCACTGGTTTGAACTTATGGAAACTATAGCAGACCTCTGCATAAGGAAGCCAATCTGACATGAATACTAGCTTGCTATCCTCCTTGAATGCAATGACTTCAAGAAGTGGGAGACAGGTTAGCCATGGAAGTCTAAGCACTTTATGTTATATCTGCCAGCTGCCCAAGTTTCAACATGCCTTTACAGCTGAACAGACCAGTTCCAAGGTAAACTAAATGAGAGCAGGCATATTTGTCTGTTTTGTTAGCTGATGTATCCCTCACCCTTAGAATAGTGCCAAGCACATGAGAGGTGCTCAACAAACCTTAGTGGAATTAACTAATAAAATGATCTGGTATGCTAGACATCTATTTTTGTTTTTCTCAGTATTTCTTTCTTCTGAGAATCGCTTCTTTCCCATTCCATGTTATTCTGGTGGAGCTGTCAGCCATGAAACAGAACAAGCTAACAAATGGTGTCATGAGTCTAGGGGCTCACGGAAATACAAGTCCCTAACTCCTAGATTCCCCACAGTAAGCAGGTATCTGTAGTGCTTCCTACTTCTAGAGAATTTGAGGCATACAATCAGGAACAGTGATGAATGTGGGTGGTACATGCTGCAGGTAGATTTATTCAGAGGCTAAATTTTATGTGAACACTTATCACAAAATCCAAGCCAACAGGGTAAAATAAACCTCTAGTGAGATAAGCTTATGTTTCTATTACTGACTTTCATAACTAATCAAATACAAATATCAGAAATTAAATTATTCAAATAAATTTAAGATGAAACTTTTTCAAATTTCTGTTAGATGAAATACAATTTTTATAAGGTTAGCTTTAGTATGATAATACTATTTAGAAAAATAGGTTTTTCAGAAAAAATGTAATCTGTAGAATAAAAAAACCCTATATATTGGATTTAAATGATCCAGTAAGTGGGTAGCAGGAGAGCTATGGTTGTATAAGGATTTTTAAAAATTGTGGTAAAATATATATAAAATTTACCCTCTTAACCACTTTCTACATGTACAATTCAGTGATGGTAAGCACATTTACAAGGTTGTAATTGTGCTATCCATTTCTAGAACATTTTTGTGATTACAAACAGATACCGTGTATCCCTTAACCAATAATTTCCCATTTCCCCCCTTCTTCAGCCCCTGGTAATGTCTATTCTGCTTTCTGTCTCTGTGAATTTGTCTATTCTGGCTACCCCAAAGAAGTGGACTCAGACAGTATTAGTCCTTTTGTGCTGGCTTATTACCATGATGTTTTCAGGGTTCATCCATGTTGTGGCATGTATCAGAATTGCATTTTTTATGGCTGATTAATATTCCATTGTGTATATATACTACATTTTGTTTCTCCACATCTGTTGATGGACACTTGTTTCTACCTTTTGACTTGTGAATAATGCTGCTATGAATACTGGTGTACAAGTATCTGTTTGAGTCTCTGCTTTCAGTTCTTTTGAGTATATGCCTAGGAGTAAATTTGCTGGATCATATGGTAATTTTTTTATTTTTATATTTATAAAATATTATATATTTTATTTATAATCATGTTTTATTTTTTGAGGAATTTGCAAAAGGTTTTTTAAAATGACTTACAAGACAAAAATTTATTAATTTAGGAACCATACATTGTGAAAATTTTTACTCTTCACTATTTCACTTATCATTATTAAAGATGGAGTGATTACTATAGTAAGTAGAGCAGAGAATATATCATTTCCTTGTAGTGAAGGAAGGAGGAATTTCCAAGCAACACAAAGAAGTCACAATAATTGTGTTGTGCTGAAATGGATTTTGACCAGTCACCAGGGTTTTGACAAACACAAAATACACTCTTATAAAACCCAAAGTTCCATTCAGAAATAGAGAAAGAATAAATCCCATTATTTGATCATACAATTGTATTCTCTGTATGCAAAATAATTGATCAGTATTCATCAAACATGTAACAGTCATGAAAGATAAGGCAAGACTGAGGAACTATCACAGGTTGGAGGAGACTAAGGAGATCTAACAACTAAATATAATGTGGATTCTGGATTGGATGTGGAACAGAAAAAGAACAATGGTGGAAAGACTGGTAATAAAGTCTGTAATTTAGTTAATAGTATTATACCAGCATTAATATCTTGGCTTTGATAACTGTACCTATGATTATATAATATGTTAACATTAGTGGGAGCTGAGTAAAAAGCACATAAGAATTCTCTACTATTTTTGCAACTTTTGTGTAAGTTTAACATGATTTCAAAATTAAAAGCTAAGAGGAATTATAGTTTCTAGACTTTAACAGGCATTTGAAATTATTAACCCAAATAATTACAGATAGCAATGATAAATTTGGGGTTTTAACTATGATCCATGAATGAGCCTCCAACATTCACAGAGGAAAAAATATTAGACTTTTTATAGTTAGTGCCTCTAATAAACAATTCTCTCATGTCCCCTCATTGTCATACTGGTCCTGTGTTTCTTCCTCCTAGATCCATCCTCCCAAACCTTTCAACTTTATCTTCTGGAACAAACTTTACATAAGAAAGCTCCTCCTAACATTTATAGCTTCTCAAATAATTTTCCTCTTCAACTATTGCCAAATCAATGTTTATAGCTCAGATTGCTCTCTGAGTTCTGACAGTACATCCAATGGACATCCCTACTTCCAAATGCAGCTGAAGTTTGACTCATTTGCCCAAGTTAGAAACATAGGACTCAGCCTAGATTTGTCCTCAACCACCTCCATTCTCTGCTCCCAAGTATCTTAGTCTGTTTTGTAGTATAAAATCCAATATATTACACTCACTAAAGTATAAAGCTGAAATTCAGCCATCTTTATCATTGATATAGACACAATCAAGTTGTCTATCAATGATAAAGATAAAACCTCACTTTGGCTTAAATGGCAAAAGAGATTGTAGAAATTGGTTATAGGTGAATTCAGGAAATTTTTGATGGTGAAAATGCCCTTTATATTTTGTATTAAAAAAGAAAGAAGCTATAAGCTATTGTATACTGATATTTCTATCAGCCATGTGCCTACTCATTTGTGTATTACGGATTTAGAAAATACCACAAAAATGAATTAGTTCCTTTTGCCATTCCTAAATTCTACAAAGAAAAGATAGTTCTTGACTAGAAGAGGAAAAAAAAGCCAGAATATCATTCCATATTTAGTAAAAAGTTCTAAAGATTTGGAAGATAAAATTCCAATTCTAACAGAGCATAGCAGAAATAAGAACAACCAAAGTTCTTCATTATACAAATAAAGATATTGAATAAAGTCAGAAGAAACCATCCTGACCATATATTTAGAATACTGTGTGTTGACCTGGCCTCACTATAATCAGAAAGTCAACTCAAGAAAAGAATGATAAATAGGAAGGCATCTAGATTAGCCTAGAAACCTGAAGATCCCAATTACTTCCTGCTATGGACTGAATATCTGTGACCTTCCAAAATTCATCCTTGAAATCCTCACCTCCACGGTGATGATATTAGCAGATGGGCTTTTGGGAGATGATTAGGTCATAAGGGTGGGACCCTCATGGAATAGGAGTAGTGCCTTATAAAAGAGACCCTAGAATGTTCCCTCATCCCTTCTACCATTTAAGAGTACAGTGAGAAGACCACTGTCTATGAACCAGAGAGTGGACTCTCACCAGACATCAAATGGGATGACGCCTTAACTGTGGACTTCCCAGACTCCAGGACTGTGAGAAATAAATTTCTTTCTTTCTTTTTTTTTTTTTGAGACAGAGTCTCACTCTGTCGCCCAGGCTGGAGTATAGTGGTGTGATCTCAGCTCACTGCAAGCTCCACCTCCTGGGTTCACGCCATTCTCCTGCCTCAGCCTCCTGAGTAGCTGGGACTACAGGCGCCCGCCACAGCACCTGGCTAATTTTTCTTGTATTTTTAGTAGAGATGGGGTTTCACCGTGGCCTCGATCTCCTGACCTTGTGATCTGCCCACCTCGGCCTCCCAAAGTGCTGGGATTACAGGTGTGAGCCGCCGTGCCCAGCCGAAAAATAAATTTCTATTGTTAATAAGCACCCAGTTTATGATACTGTGTTATAGCAGCCTGCAGAGACTTCCATATAGAACAGGATTAAGATTCATTATTCTTTATTATTAGAATCTAAAAACTATATGTGACTAAGTGTTTTAATTTGTATTTTTAATGACTTAAAGTGATGAAAAGTTGATATGGCTTGGCTATGTCCCCACCCAAATCTCATCTTGAATTGTAGCTCCTATAATTCCCATGTGTTGTGGGAGGGACCCAGTGGGAGATAACTGAATCAAGGGGGTGGTTTCCCCCATATTGTTCTCGTGGTAGTAAGTCTCACAAGATCTGATGATTTTATAAGGGGTTTCCCCTTTGGCTTGACTCTCATTCTCTCTTGTCTGCTGCCATGTAAAACGTGCCTTTTGCCTTCTACCATGATTGAGAGGCCTCCCCAGCTACATGGAACTGTGAGTCCATTAAACCTCTTTTTCTTTATAAATTACGCAGTCTCAGATATGTCCTTATTGGCAGCATGAAAATGGACTAATACAAAAGTAAAACTCAAAACATTTAACCAAATTTAGTTTAATTCTCATTTCATCATATGAACTTCTACTAAATATCATTTGGATCTTTTCGTGGATGTCACAGTAACCTGAAATCTCTAGGTTGGGGAAATAATACCATCCAACTGGGTCAGAAGTAGACTCGGAACTGAACTCACACAAACTATTTTACAGTTGTTTCGTCTTATTAGAGTGAGCTACTGTGCACTGCAGTGGAGTCCAATAAGATTTTGCTGCTCATTAAGTAATAACTCATTCTTCACATCTGCTACTGAGAAACACAAATGCCAGATTTGGTAGTCATGAAAGCTGTGTATCTCAAACAGGCAGTTTAGTCATATACCCTATCACCATATGTGGGTTTCTCCTTGAGAACATCTGTGGTCCATGGTCAACGGGACCTGTTCCAGGAGCCCCTGCTTTGATAGAATTTCCTAGTATGTCATGTTAGAATCAGTGAATCAGAGACTCTTGGAGCTGGAAAGAAATTATAAGTTCAAAACTGATATCACAGGAAAAGTATAATCTGATGAGATACCAGTCAAGTCTTTCTTGTATTTGTCCTGTTGAAACAATGAAAAACAGGTCAGGCACGGTGGCTCGTGCCTGTAATCACAGCACTTTGGGAGGCCGATGAGGGCGAATCACCTGAGGTTGGGAGTTCAAGACCAGCCTAGCCAACAAGGTGAAACCCCTTCTCTACTAATAATACAAAAAAAGTTAGCTGGGTGTGGTGGCAGGCACCTATAATCCCAGCTACTCAGGAGGCCGAGGCAGGAGAATTGCTTGAACCTGTGAGGCAGAGGTTGCAGTGAGCCGAGATTGTGCCACAGTGACACTGTCTCAATTAAAAAAAAAAAAAAGAAACAATAAAAAAAAACCCAGAAGAATCTTTTCCTCTCATCACAAATGTTAGAGTTGCTATATATAATTAAATATAGAATTGTCTCATTTTTCTAGTGCAGGGTAACAAGCTGTATTTGAAATTAACCATAAGCTATTGTTTATTCACTTATCCTAGCCCTCCATCTCTTTTGATGGAAATAAGTTTCCTGCTCTTGTTTTGATTTATTTATTTTTTTTTTTTGAGACAAGAGTCTTGCTCCGTCGCCCAGGCTGGAGTGCAGTGGTGCAATCTCGGCTCACTGCAACCTCTGATTCTCCTGCCTCAGCCTCCTGAGTAGCTGGGACTACAGGTGCCAACCACCACGCCCAGCTAATTTTTTGTATTTTTAGTAGAGATGGGGTTTCACCATATTGGCCAGGCTGGTCTCAAACTCCTGACCTTGTGACCCACCCTCCTCAGCCTCCCAAAGTGTTGGGATTACAGGCGTGAGCCAACGTGCCTGGCCAGTTTCCTGTTCTTTTTAATAAAAATACAGCAACCAGGATCTGGATATCTACAATGTTTTGCCAACAACTAAAACAAACAACACCCCAAATCTGTACTGACTCTGCAGACAAAAGAGGTCAAACAATTACTTCAGAGTCTCAAAATTAATTTATAGGCCTAGTGAGAAAACTAGACTAGTCTAGTAGACTAGACTCCAGCTTGGATATTTTACTGTTCTCAGGTTCCAGTGAGATAAAATGCTTCAGCATATATTTTTAGTCATGGGTTATTTTTATTTTATTAGCATTGCCTTTAAATCACTTTTTTCTTAAAAAAAAAAAAAAACCCTTCCAGCATTTCCAAATTTATGATTCCCCACTTGAATTATGCAATTCCATTATGAAGCAATGGTCTATAGTTTACCCTTTATCCAACTTTTATCATTTTTTATTTAGAATCATTCCCAGAAATACAAATTAGCTGATTACTGAACAAGTTCTAATTACTCCCCAGAGACCATGGGAGCTTAGGGTTTCAGTACAGCATTGTTCACTGTTTGGCTGTGAAACAGACTTCCTCCTCTGGTGACTGATCTGTTATTGATTTAAGAACTGACCTAAAGGGCTATTTGTTCTGGGCGCTTTGAAGAGCGTTTGCTTCCCCTGACTTTCAGAACTATTCTGTTGGACATCCTGAAGCCTTAGGCCATAATCTTTACTATGTAGTTTGTGCAGCCTGGAATAATGGAATAGTGGCTAATTAACCTGTTCTCACCCCCAAAATAGGGCCTGTGATTTAAAACACCTCTAAAAAATCACACTGATGCTTCAGTCTGGAACCCTGAGGCAGGTCAATTCTGTTCCCAGTCCAGATCATCCTTCCTTCTTAGCCTCAGACTTGGGGCCATGGCTGGATTCTAGATTACAAACTCTTCTGAGCACAAATTGCCATCTCCATTTCCCATGGTGCCTAGCTCTAGTCTCAGCTCACAGCAGTTACTCAATACAAAATAAAAACAAATTTGTAAATAATTTTTTGAATTATCTACAAATAGTTAAAATTACATGTAAACTTATAATTACAATTATTTACAAATTGATTTATAAATAATTTTTATTTGTAAATAAAAAGCTTATAACAAAATTATGGCTAAATAACTTCAAAGAATAGCTTTGACAAGTAGGTTTTATGATCCCAGAGCAATGACATCAGAAAGTCTTGCACCATATTAATAGTTTCAGGCTATCTTAAGAAATAAAAAGTAATTCAATGAATAGCATTTTGTTTAAGAATTAAGTGAGCATGTTGATGGAATGGCAGCAGAAAAAGACTCGAGTTCCTAAGGCTTCATTATGATTCCTAACCCTTTGCAATCTGAAGAGAGCGCTATACAGTTTTAAACTTGCCACGGCACTCAGAATAGGGGAGGCCTAAGTCCCCCTTCTTTGATAACAAAGAGGGCAGAACACACCTGATAGTGGGTTGGGAGCAAGTCAGGGTAATAAAGGTGAGCCAAGAAGCAGTTCAAGGGGCTTGTGAATGCCATTCACCTCTCAGTGGGATCCAGGAGGGATCAGAGGGTGTTAGCTGAGGACGAGATATTTAACCGAGAGAGATGGAGATCTGCAGGGAGCTGGGACTGGGTGCTGCTAATTTCCATCTGGTAGAACTAGCGTGTTCCAGTTCCTTACTATTCAGTTATTAATCAAAGACCTCTCCAAGCACCTGACACACTGCTAAGCTCCACAGGGATAATAAAGCCAGAAAGCTTGGTTTTTGACTCTTAAAGTACTCACAATCTAATTTGGGGAGGGAGAAAATTCAGCAGAAGTTAAATGACTAGAGAACAATTAAATGCTAAGCTCTAAGTTCAAGAGGAGTTCACAGGAGGGCAAGATCTGGATGGAGTAAAGGTGCAAGACAAAAAGCCTCAGAAGAAGCCTCAAGAAAATGAGGAACCAAACTGGGGAACTAAGGTTGTTTGTAAATCAGGTGCATGTGGATAAGCCCTTCTTGAGAGGGGCGGGTTTGGACGGATGTCCTTGAATGGTGGTCCAGCAGGACAGAGCTGAAATTCATTAGTAAATCCTGACACACTGTTTTTGGAAGCGATGGAGTCTGTGATGAAAATATAAGAGGGCTGGAAAACAAAGAAGACAGAAGCAAATAATCCTTGGTTGTTTCCATGCCTGAAGAGGCTCACTGTGGCATGAAAATCAACATGAAAACAGTCAGAATACCATAGCATCCAAACTGGGCATTGTGTAGACATTCCGTGGTCTAAGTTTTAAAACATTTATTAACTCCTTATTAGCCTCTTGATTTCTGGAAGAGAATATTTAACTTAATGACAAAAGAGGAGAAAGATCCAGCAACCTACCATGGGGGCTTCTTATGCATGAATGTTCACACAAGACTATGAAGTAGATATCATGGTCCCTGTTCTACAGATGAGGAAAAGGAAGTTTATGGAGAATAAACAGCTCACCTAAATTTGTCCAAATGGTAGAGTGGCAGACCTAGATTTTAAACCCTGGTATGCATGTTGCCCAAGCCCATTTTCTCTATCCATGTAGACAGCACCTGATACCCTTCGAGAGAAGAGTCTATGATGTCTCATTTGTTGTGTGGTCAGAGAGCTGAACCTGGAGCTGGGAGTGACAAGAACTGTTTTTTTTTTATTCATGCTTTCCTATTAGTTCTAAGACTTTGGACAAGGCACTCCCTTCTTTTGGTTCTATTATCTAAACTTTAAAAATAGGGTATATAATTAAATTGTTGGTAAGGTATCATCTGTGTAAGTTTGTAATTCTAAGTGTACAAATGCCTTCTCCATCAGAGAATGACCATTGAATAATATGACTGCTCTAATAAAAAGAGGAAAGGGAATATGCAGACACATGCTGATTTTTATATTTAGAAACCCACCAAGATATAAATATAAATTTAGAAATCTGCCAAGATCTAAATCTGATAAATATGAACTGTTCTGCCACAACAGCAATGGCAGCTCCAGGACTTTAAAGAAGAAGGTTCAGTGACAGCAGGTTTATCTCACAACTGTTTGCAATAAGCCCACTGCCTTCATTTATATGGCATGCATTTAGTCCCCAAGAACATCTATTAGGCCTCCAAGCCACCCCTCAGCACTGCTACTGCCCACTCAAATCCTCAGAAAAAGGCTTGAAGGCTGCACACAAATACAATCCAGTCAGGGAACCTACAAAAATGAAACCACCAGAGGTAAGAGACCACAGAGAGGATAGCCTAGACAGGTAGTCACTATTTAGGGCTGCTTAACATCCATCCTGCAGTCACCAGCCCTTGCAATTTTGCAAAAGGGGTGTGTGTGTGTGTGTGTGTGTGTGTGTGTGTGTGTGTGTGTGTGTGTGTGTGTAGTGTGGTGTGAAATACCTTGACCAAATATGTGGTCCCAATACTGACCAACTATGTGAATCAGACAAGATGTGTGTGTCTGCTATCGCCCAAGGATCATCAGT
Organism: Homo sapiens; assembly: GCF_000001405.40. Taxonomy (NCBI): domain Eukaryota; kingdom Metazoa; phylum Chordata; class Mammalia; order Primates; family Hominidae; genus Homo; species Homo sapiens. The sequence goes on from NC_000001.11 coordinate 95,017,100, forward strand.
TTGCTGCAGAACTGGCTGATAAAAAAGACAAGGCAGGAGGCCCTGATGAGTGCTGGTCTTAGAAATAAAAAGGGGATAATTGAAGCAGACAAAAGGCATTGAGAAAGACCTTGTCCAATTCACATCTGAATAAAGTCCATCAGTAATCCCTAAGTTCCTACACATCTAACTCCTGCAATGCTTAACTGTTTTTAACACCTATCTGCTTCCTACAGTCAACTGCAGGAAAAGCCTTAAAACAAAGAGTCACTGTGCTAGGAAAAAAAAATGGCAAAACTGGTGAAAATTAAAGTTCATTTCCCAGTAGACCTAAGGGAGACCTAGGAGAAGAATTCCTGCGGTATAATCTGATCGGGGCAGTTGGAAAGGAGTGCAGGTAAACAGGCCAACCTCTAGGGTCTTTGTGACAAAAACAGGTGGGAGAGAATGTCAAGGATAAGATGAAACAGGGGCTTCAACATGATCCCAATGGAGGGGAGAGGTGTAGATGAGAGGAAGAAAGAGAAAGAACAGTTAAAGCATGGAAAGAGACAGAAGAGAGAGGAGGGCCACGAGCATGTATCAGGGAGGGCCATAGAAGGGCAACCACCTTCTCGAAGGCCCCTTGGGATGTGTATGGGTGACAGGTGCTCCCTAAGGAAACCCTGGGGAACCCCAGAATGACTCTAATAGCCACATCGACATCATAATTCAAGCACATATATATATTTTTGAGATCTACAATATCTAAAATCCAATGAGGCACTGGAGCTCCAAGGATCATATGTCCTGGCAGGAGGTGAGCAGAAGTAAGTGGTTTTGAATGGCAGGGAATCACTTTCCCAGCAGAGGGAGTGGCTTGGTTAAAAGCAAGTGCATCTGCCAACTGTGATCCTTCTCTTGGAGCTTCTCATTACTCCTATTTGATAGGAAGGAGAAGCTAAGTCAGAGAAGCTAACTGATTAGCTTTGAGTCACCACACCTAACTACTGACAAAGATGAGAGTAAAGCCAAAACCTCCTGATTTGTAGGATGGTATTTTTTCTTGTGTATCACAACTGAGGTAAAATGGATGCAAACCAGAAAAAAAAGTAGATTGGAAATTATAGGAAATCAAATGGGAAGCAAATATTCAGGATGAATTCTCAATGAAACCTATAAAGAAAATATGAGGTGGCCAGGCGCGGTGGTTCAGGTCTGTAATCCCAGCACTTTGGGAGGCTGAGGAGGGCAGATCACTTGAGGTCAGGAGTTTCAGACCAGCCTGGCCAACATGGTGAAACCCCGCCTCTACTGAAAATAAAAAAATTAGCTGGGTGTGGTGGCACACTCCTGTAATCCCTGCTACTCGGGAGGTTGAGGCAGGAGAATAGCTTGAACCCAGGAGGCAGATGTTGCAGTAAGCCGAGCTCATGTCAATGCACTCCAGCCTGGGTGACAGAGCAAGATTCTGTCTCAATTAGTAGAAAAAAAGACAAAAGAAAAAAGAAAAAAGGGACGGAAGGAAGGAAGGAAGGGTAAATATGGGGAATTCTTTTATGACCTTAAGAATGAAAGTTTGCCTTATATAAGCTGCACCTGGTTTCCACAGAGAGCAGGAAATTCACCCCCTACCTTCTCCCAACCTCCAGCCCCTCCCAATTCTGTTCTTTAATAGAAGTGACCAGTGGGGAATTTTTCTCTCCCTGTGTGACTTCACAGAGATGAATCATGGCTCCTTGAAAAACTGCAACAGGCAAATTGGCTTAGGAATAATTAAACAGCAACAGACCAAGTTCCCTGAATCCAGGCACTGCCTCCACTAACAAGGTTTATCTACAAAATACTGTACTGTGTAAGTAAATCTTGTGAAAAATAACATCTGGAACTTTAAGATGTAGACACAACTGATTTAAGCATGTGACACCTGTCTTTAGAGAAAAGTGATTAGCCCACAAAAGCAAACCTGTTTTCACAAACTGTCAGCCATAAACATATTTTAAAAATTGCTTGTGTCAAAGATTTGTATAAGTGGCTTAAATGTGAATTCAGGAAGACCAAGAATGCAAAATGGTATTTTGCTAACAAATGGAATTTGCTGCCCTTTGCAATTCTACAGCTGATTCCACTGCAGGATTTCACTTTTTATGGCAGAATATGGAAGTTTTGACATTGCAAACACGTGAAACTTATAAATCTGGTATTCACATTTCTTAAAAGAATTATCAGTCACAATATGTTCTTTCTGTAATTTGAAGGTCTTATCAGCAGGGACCTTCTTGCTATTTTTAAGCATGTATAATACCAGTTCAAGCTCTCTAACCTGTTTCTGATTGGATCTTTTACATTCCTCACCCAATAATGCTAACACAGCTTTTGCAGTAAGCCATAATAGTATTTGAAATTTGTAAGGTGTTTACTCATTCCACTTATCCTCATTCTTGATTGTAAGGTCCTTTTGAAGAACATTTTAATAATTATTTGCCCATGTATCTTAGGGAAAATCAGTTAACCCTTTTGACTATGTGGAAAAGGCACCACTGAAGTTGAGAAGCCGCTTGGCTTATATCTGCTGTAAAATGCTGTCCTGGTATGAGTGGAATTTCAAATTGCATGCTAACAGGTAAAGAAGCGATAACCTGGCCGGGCACAGTGGCTCACGCTTGTAATCCCAGGACTTTGGGAGGCCAAGGTGGGTGGATCACCTGATGTCGGGAGTTTGAGACCAGCCTGACCAACATGGAGAAACCCTGTCTCTACTAAAAATACAAAATTAGCCGGGCATAGTGGTGCATGCCTGTAATCCCAGCAATAAGCTTTCTACAGCTGATTTAACTTCATGTATGTTTTACACTAGAAAAAGAAATCCATGATACATGGCCGGGTGTGGTGGCTCATGCCTATAATCCTAGCATTTTTTGAGACCGAGGCGGGTGGATCACCTGAGGTCAGGAGTTCAAGACCAGCCTGGCCAACATGGTAAAACCCCATCTCTACTAAAAATACAAAAGTTAGCTGGGTGTGGTGTCATGCGTCTATAATCCCGCTACTCAGGAGGCTGAGGCAGGAGAATCGCTTGAACTCGGGAGGCGGAGGTTGCAGTGAGCCGAGATCATATCACTGCACTCCAGCCTGGGCAACAGAGTGAGACTGAGTCTCAAAAAAAAAAGATAAAAAATTATACAAGGAGAAAAATAAGTCATCAAATTGCAAAGTATCAAAGAGTAAGCGCTAACTGAAAAAGATACATCTACTCAATGACTTCTGGGCAGGGTAAACAAGGAATTAGAAAGACCATGAAGGAGAGGGCCTTTGATCTCCAGAGGCTGTTAGAAAACACTATCTGTGTTTTAATCTTTTTTTTTTCTCCCCCAAATGAAGTAAAAAATGCTAAGTGGTGGCCAGGCGCAGTGGCTCACTCCTGTAATCCCAGCACTTTGGGAGGCCGAGGCGGGCAGATCGCCTGAGGTCAGGAGTTTGAGACCAGCCTGACCAACATGGAGAAACCCTGTCTCTACTAAAGATACAAAATTAGCCAAGCATGGTTGTGCACGCCTGTAATCCCAGCTACTTGGGAGGCTGAGGCAGGAGAATTGCTTGAACCCAGGATCCAGAGGTCACGGTGAGCCAAGATCACACCATTGCACTCCAGCCTGGGCAACAAGAGCAAAACTCCGTCTCAAAAAAAAAAAACAAAACAAAAAACCCCACAAAACTCTAAGTGGTTCTACAACACCAAGAAATTAAAGTAAAGCAACTATTGATGAAAATGTTTTGGAACTCGATGCTGTAAAGGTGTGTGGTGGTTGCACAGCATAGTGAATGTACTAAAATGCCACTGAATTGTACACTGTAAAATGGCTAATTTTATGTTATGTGAATTTCACTTCAATTAAAGAAATAAAGCAAGTGTACTCTGGTTAAGGTGAATGAGAAACTTTCGCCATTTTCTTATGGTGCTTTGATAAAGAGAATATTTAACACTTTAGAAACATGTTATCAAAAAAATCCTTAGACGAATTCAGCGATTAATTCAGAGGGAGCAAAAGTTAACCAAGGAGCAGTTATGCAATGTTTTTTTCCTATTCTACTTTTTCCAGCCCACCTAAAGGCTGTAAATGGTCATCATCAGGTTTTAATAGCTTCTCTGACTTCTCCTTTCCTAATCTCTCTCCTACCCAGATTTACTCTTTCAAAATTTATTGAACTCCTACATGCCCCACGCTCTAGAATAGGTGCTAGCACTGCCAAGATGAGTAATACACCTCACCGTTCCTCAAGGAGTTCACAGTCTGTATTCAAATTTTTAAAACTTCCCATGACGCTTCCCTACTGACTCTAGTTACACAAACTCTAAAACTTTAATGATCCCACTTAACTTGGAGAGCAGCACCCTTCTGAGGCTCTCCATTACATATTCAATTATCGGTGCTGTCTGTGCCCCCTTCTTTTATTTTTTCCTCAGGTCAAAGAGCGATTTTAAAGATTCTAAACAGAAACATCACTTTCTTGATTTTCAAGTGCTATACAAATAGAGCTCCTGCTTCACATGATCCTTTAAAATAAGCACTGAAAGTCTGTGAAGCTGGGACTGGTTCTAGGAATTATTCATGCATCTAAGGTCATTTCAAAGGCTTCCCTTCTCTTCACCCCACCCTCTGTTCTCACCTCGTCACCAGCATCTCCCATTACCCTCATCTATAAGGCCAGGTCTCTGGAGCTCACTGCCTGTGACCACATCAGTCCCTTCTTCAAAAACAGTTTTGTTTACCTCATGTTTTCCTTTTTCTTATCCTCTCACAACTGAATTCCTTTTCATTCAACTTTCATTTTTGTTTTAACTGTGACCTCACAGCTATCCTTGGGAAAACACATTGGCTTTCACCTTGAAAGGAAGAGTCCCCACCAGCCTCAGATCCAAAATGAGCCTGTGATGGGCTGGAACAGTGACAACTCAAGAGTGATGCAGGCAAAGCAAAACAAGAGAGCAAAAATCACAGGCAAAGCCACGCTGGCTTCTGCAGACAGGAAAAATGTAATGTTTGCCAAGTGGAAAAAGCATCGACTTAGAAAGAAAAATCATTTTCAAGCTGCTGAGAGTCCCCCAAAATGGAGACGAATCAAAACAACTCAAAGCAATCTAACTGCTAATATGCAGCCTAATTTTGACACAGATGTTGTTCGGAACTCACTCAATGTGAAACAGAAGCTATAACATTTAAACTAAATACCTCATTTATGGATGGAAGCAGCTACAGGTTGTCACTCAGCCAATGTGTCAGTGGCACAGCTGGTAATTTCACCATGCAACTGGGAAAAGCAGTTTGTCAGTCACAAGAAACCAGATATTTGGGGGGATTTTCACATCAAACCACTTCTCGCAGTGGACTCTGACCATCATCAGACTTGCTAAATGCACGTACAGTGCAGGGCCAGTCCTTCTGTATCTTTAAGGAGGCTGCCAAATTTACAGCGCATATATGGAGAGGAAACACACAGTGGGAAGGGGTAACACTGGCATTATTTTAACACATTATAGAGGACTGGGCAACAGAGGAGCAGGAACTGAGGAAACCTAAACAAATGGCTCCCAATTATGATTTCATTAATCTTGGAAAACATGAAGCAGTAAGACAAGTGTGGTCTAATTGTTTCTCATCTGACTTGGCTTGGAAAACCTTACTCTCACTTAATTCCATTGACAGATAAACATCTTGGGACAGCTGACCTTTTCTTTGTCTAGCCAAGTTTCCTTTGAACATGTTATAAAGTTTTTTGATCACCACCAAATATAATACCAGATGAAAGTCATTATACAAAGAGAATCAAATTAACAACAGTTAAGGAGAAAAAGTTCCTGTAAGGGTTCTGGCATGTCAACAATTAACAAGAGTTAATTGCCTCTTCTTAATATTTCAAACACATGTTAATTAGTAGGCCAATAAAAATTTTATATACTATACAAACAGTGATAATCTTGGTGCCACCTAGTTTGTGGCTCACCACAGAAAACACCTAATCAAAAAAAAAATCACAGTATCCTACTTATAGATAATAACCCACCATCCATGTCATCAACTTTTTTTTTTGAGACGGAGTCTTACTCTATCCCCCAGGCTGGGGTGCAATGATCTCAGCTCACTGTAAACTCTGCCTCCTGGGATCAAGCAATTCTCCTGCCTCAGCCTCCTGAGTAGCTGGGATTACAGGCACCCACCATCATGCTTGGCTAATTTTTGTATTTTTAGTAGAGACAGGGTTTCACCATGTTGGCCAGCCTGGTCTCGAACTCCTGACTTCAAGTGATCCGCCCGCTTTGGCCTCCCAAAGTGCTGGAATTACAGGCATGAGCCTCCGCACCCAGCCATCAACTTTCTACTGCTATGAACTTAGACATTTCACAGCTCAAACTGGGTATGAAACATGGAAAAAAATGACTAAATAAAATAATGGACTTCTTTCATACAAAGCGTGAGTGAGTGTAGATGTAATAAGTACATCTAAATTTGTCATGGTGAATTAAACCAGCTTCAGGCAAAGAGGCAGAGTATTAGGTTGAAATGGTCCATTTCCTTTCAATTTGTTAATATGGAGAATCTGAAATTTATTTTTTACTTGATTAAAAATTAAATTAGGTTTCATTTTTGTATGCAGAGCTCTTTCCTTGAGTATTTCATTTGGTAATGGCCAGGGTGGAATGAAGCCAGTAATCAAACACTGCAGACTTTGGAAACCCTCCTGGTTTTTCAGACTCTTAATAAAGCCTGAGAAGAGCACCAGTGTAGGGAGTGGGTGTCTTTGTTTTTGTGATGACTCACTTAATCCAGTATTCATTCATTTATTTTTAAGTCATTCCTCAAATATGTGGAAGCTTTTCTAGAAAGGACCATGGAAAACGCAAAAATACTTGGCCTTTACCCTCAAGAACTTTATAGATCTTTTTCCCCCAACATAAGCAGTCCTCTTACTTTAATAATCAGCAATCTCACAAATTAACTTTTCTATTCTTCTCCTTGAAACAAATTCCTCTTTAGGAGTATATTTTCAAGAGAATATGAGATCAGCCTACTCATTCGATCCGGCTAATTTTTTTGTATTTTTAGTAGAGATGGGATTTCACTGTGTTAGCCAGGATGGTCTCGATCTCCTGACCTCGTGATCCGCCCACCTCAGCCTCCCAAAGTGCTGGGATTATAGGCATGAGCGACCGCGCCCGGCCTTTTAAATAGGGTCTCTATTTTCAACTGAATTAATCTGTATTTCAAGTCTACCTGTTGTTTCTTTACTCCATTTTCCCTGAAGCCAAAGTATAAGCTTCCTGAAGAGCTGTTTTATTCATCCCTTTTAGTACCTGCTGCATTAAAGATATTTTTTAAAATACTGGATAACTTTTCAATTGAGCAAGTTAGCTAATATTAGCAGAATCTAATACATGTCTAAAGAAAATTGGAGTTACATAACATCTTGGTTACTTAGGTCTCTCTGGCATGGGCAATTTCGTGGATGTTCTTAAAGTGAACATGAAGACTTGAACAACTTGGTTTGCATGACTTTTGTGGGATTTTTCTGGGTCAAGTGAATAGCGAGCCATTTTCACAGATCACCTCAGTCCACTCAGGGGTAGAGCTGTGTTTACTTTTATACCTCGAGTGCACAGTATAAATCCTATCACAGAATAGGGTCCTAGTCAAGTTTCATCATGAGATTTTAGGAATTCAGTCACATCTTCAGGCTCTACTTCTAATTCTAGCTCTGTTGCTACTTCCATCACCTCTGCAATTACTTCTTCCACTTGAGTCTTGAACCTCTCAAAGTCATGCAGGAGGGCTGGAATATACTTCTCCCAAACTCCTGTTTATGGACATCTTCCCATAAATCAAGAATGTTCTTAATGGCATCTAGAATGGTGAATCTTTTCCAGAAGGTTTTCAATTGACTTTGTCCAGATCCATCAGAGGAATCACTATCTATGGCAGCTACAGCCTTACAAATGTTTTCTTAAATAATAAAACTTGCAAGTCAAAATTATGCCTTGATTTATGGGCTGCAGAATAGATGCTGTGTTAGCAGGCATAAAGATATTAATCTCCTTGTATATCTCCATCAGAGCTCTTGGGTAATTAGGTGCATTGTCAATGAGCAGTATATTTTGTATTTTTTTAAATAAAAACATCCAGCCCAATATATCAAGAGCAGTAATATTTTGAAAGGAAGCTTTGTCTCTTGAGTAGTAGGTCTCAACAGTGGGTTTAAAATATTCAGCAAACCATCCTGTAAACAGATGTGCTGTCATCTAGGCTTTGTTGTTCCACTTACAGAGCACAGGCAGAATAGATTTAGCATAATTCTTAAGGGCCTGAGGATTTTCAGAATGGTAAATGAGCACTGGCTTCAACTTAAAGTCAACAGCTACACAGAATCAGCCTGTCCCTTGAAGCTTTGAAGCCAGCTATTGACTTCTCTTTAGCCACGAGAGTCCTGAATGACATCGTCGAATATAAGGCAGTTTTGTTTATATGGAAAACATGTTGATTAGTGTAGCCACCTTAATCAATTATCTTAACTAGATTTTCTGGATAAATTGCTGCAGCTTCTACATCAGTACCTGCTGCTTCACCTTGCACTTTTATGCTATGCAGATGGCTTCTCTCCTTAAGTCTCAACCAACCTTTGCTACCTTCAAACTTTTCTTCTGCAGCTTCCTGACCTCTCTCAGTCTTTACAGAATTAAAGAGAATTAGGACCTTGTCCTGAATTAGGTTTGGCTTAAGGGAATGTGACTGGTTTGATAGTCTATCCAGACCACTCAAACTTTCTCCATATCAGCAATGAGGCTATGTCATGTACTTATCGTGAAACCAGTGTGTTCACAGGAGTAGCACTTTTTTTTTTTGAGATGGAGTCTCGCTCTGTCGCCCAGGCTGGAGTGCAGTGGTGCGATCTCGGCTCACTGCAAGCTCTGCCTCCGGGGTTCACACCATTCTCCTGCCTCAGCCTTCCGAGTAGCTGGGACTACAGGCGCCCACCACCACGGCCGGCAAATCTTTTGTATTTTTAGTAGAGACAGGGTTTCATTGTGTTAGCCAGGATGGCCTTGATCTCCTAACCTTGTGATCCGCCTGCCTCGGCCTCCCAAAGGGCTGGGATTACAGGTGTGAGCCACCGCACCCAGCCTGGAGTAGCACTTTTAATTTCCTTCAAGAACTTTTCCTTTGCATTCACAACTTGACTAACTGCCTATTGCAAATGCCTTCCTCACTAAGCTTAATCATTTCTAGCTTGTGATTTAAAATGTGAAACATAAGAAATACTACCTTTCACTTGAACACTGAGAGGCCACTGCAGGGTTATTAATTGGCCTAATTTCAATATTGTTGTGTCTCATAGACAGGGAAGCCCAAGGAATGTGTGTGTGTGTGTGTGTGTGTGTGTGTGTGTGTGTGTGTATGTGTGTGTGAGACAGAGAGAGGACAGCAGGCTGTTGGAGCAGTCAGAACACATACATTTATTAAGTTCACTGTCTTATGTAAGCACGATTCACACTGTCCCCAAACAATTACAACAATAACATCAAAGATTACTGGTCACAGGCCAGGCGCAGTGGCTCATGCCTGTAATCCCAGCACTTTGGGAGGCCGAGGCGGGCAGATTACTTGAGGTCAGGAGTTCAAGACCAGCCTGGAAAACATGGTGAAACCCCATCTCTCTTAAAAATACAAATATTAGCAAGGCTTGGTGGCATGCACTTGTAGTCCCAGCTACTCAGGAGGCTGAGGCAGGAGAAAGAGTGCTTTGTGATAAAAGTCACAAAAATCCAAGGATGATATCTTAGTCTATTTCAGGTGCTATAATGAGATACGATAAACTGGGTGGCTTATAAAGAACTGATATTTATTTCTTACAGTTCTGGAGCCTGGGAAGTCCAAGATCAAGGCACCAGCCAGTTCAGGGTCTTGCATACTACCTGGCACACTAATAAATGGTAGCTGTTTAAGAAAACAGTATGTCCTGTTACTAACGAAAGATCTACAGGGAGTTACTTTCTCTCTCCTTAGTGATGGTCTTACTTACCAAATCTGGCTTCACCCTGTGAATTAGGGGAAAGGAGAGCCACATGGAGTGCAAGGTGGTGAAAACGGTGGAGGGCCAGGACTGCTGAACCTCCCGGCTTCTTGGAATTCGGTGAATGTAGTATTTGGTATACTAGAAGGAAACAGATGGAATCCAAATCAACTGAGTCACTGATATCAAAGTTAAACATAGTAACAATTAACAGCTGTAGAAACAGAAATGCTTTCTTTAATTTAAATTTTCATTCTAACCACTTTTAAATTAGAGTTGTAATGCCTATCTCATGCTTTATATAACACATCAGATGGGATCACATATGACAAAAAAGTTCCTATGATTCAAAAAATGTTAAAGCCAGTTTGAACAATAAGTTGGGGGAAGTTTCTATAAACTATGTTTCAGGCAAAGAATTTAACCTGCTGATATACAAAGAATTCTTACCAGTCAATATGTAAGACAAGTAACCTAGTATCAAGATGGGCAAAGACAGACAGATAACTCCAAATGGAAGAAATACAAATAATGATAAACATGTAAAAAGATGGCTAACAAGCACAACAGAAAACAAGTCATTTTCGCCTACCTGATTGGCAACGACAGTGGATAACCAGTGTTGTTGAGAGTATGGGGAAATAGACATTTACATTCACTGGGTAAATACATGGGTACAACTTTTTGGGAGGGCAATCTGGAAATATCTATCAGAACTTTAAATGTGTCTTCCTTTGATCCAGCATTTCTGCTTCTGGAAATATATCCCACAGATTACCCCACTGTATCATTGTTTGTATTTGTGGAAACTGAAATTAGACCAAATATTCTCCAGTAGGGAATGGAGAAGTGCATACAGTAAAATATATGGAGATATATTAACAAATGACATAGAACTATATGAACTCGTATGGAAGATATCCCAAGACACGTTAAGTGAATCATGCAAGTTGGAAGACAGCATGTTTAATATAATCCAGCATCAATTAACAAAATACTCACATGCATACATACACACATCAGTATTTGTTAGTTTGGTTTTTTTTTGAGACAAGGTCTCACTCTGTTGCTCAGGCTGGAGTGCATGGTGCAATCACAGCTCACTGCAGCCTTGACCTCCCTGGGCTCAGGTGATCCTCCCACCTTAGACTCCCAAGTAGCTGGAACCACAGGCACATGCCACCATACCCAGATCTTCCCACCTCAGCCTCCAGTAGCTGGGACCACAGGTGTGGGCCACCATGTCCACCTAATTTTTTTGTATAGACAGGTTCTCGCCATGTTGCCCAGTCTGGTCCTGAACTTCTGGGCTCAAGTGATCTACCCACCTTGGCCTCCCAAAGTGCTAGAATTACAGGGTTGAGTCACTATACTCGGCCATGCATTAGTATTTTCATTAAAAAAAATCTGGAACTGGGCTGGGCACAGTGGCTCACACCTGTAATGCGAGCACTCTGGGAGACCCAGGCAGGTGGATCTTCTGAGGTCAGGAGTTTGAGACCAGCCTGGCCAACATGGTGAAACCCCATTCTCTACAAAAAATACAAAAAATAGCTGTAGTCTCAGCTATTTGGGAGGCTGAGGTAGGAGAATTGCTTGAACCTTGGAGGCAGAGTTTGCAATGATCAGAGATCATGCCACTGCACTCCAGCTTGGGTGATAGAGCAAGAGTCTGCCTCAAAAAAAAGAAAAAGAAAAAAAATCTGGAGCTGGAACTACATGCCAGAAATTACAGAGAAGATGATATTACAGGATATTTTCATTTTTCAGGTCAGAATAACTTTGAATATGTTTAAAATTTGCAACAAGAAAGTGATATTTTCATAATCAAGAGAAACCAACATATTTTCCTTGAATCAAAATTCCAGATATATTGGTTACCTATTTCTGTGTAACAAATTATCTCCAAATTTACCAGCTTAAAACAATAAGTATATTCTGTTTTTCACAGTTTCTGTGGGTCAGGAACCAAGAGTGGCTTAGTGGCTTGCAGTGACTCATGAACTTGAAATCAAGTGGGTGGCTGGGGTTGTAGTCATCTGAAGGTTTGACTGGGGCAGGAGAATCCACTTCCAAGGTGGCTCACTCAATGGCTGGCCATTTAGTGCTGATTGCTGGTTGGTGTCCTTAGTTCCTTGCCAAATGGATCTTTCCATAGGGCTCCTTAATTAAGTGTTCTCATTATGCAACAGCTAGCCTCTTAAAAGTAAGTGCTCCAAGAAGAGGCAAGGCAGAAATTGTCACGTCTTTTATGACCTGACCTCAGAAGTCACATTTTGATATTTCTGATATTTTGATATTAGTTACACAGATCAACCCTATTTGATATGGAAGGGGCTACACTGGAATGTGAACACCAGGAAGTGAGAATCATTGAGGGCTTTCTTGGAGCCTGGCTACCACACAGTTAAGTCAGAAAGAAAAGAACAGAATAATTAATACATTCTTCCTTTCCCCTTGGCCTTGAGAAACAATATGTTCCTTGAGAAAAGAAGATAGAGAAGCCTTTTTCTAAACCAGTGAAAAGCATATAACTACATTCTTGCACTCAGAAAAAGGTGTGAAATTGTGTTTGGAGGCTTCTATTATGCTCCAAGAGAACATGAGTGCAGTTCTTACAGACTCAGCAAAAAGTGAAAATGGAAATGTGTGACCACTCTGCTTCTTCATATGATGGCAAAGAATATTTTCTCATCTCTCCATGGTATACCAGTGTAGAATGGGAGACCTGGGCTCAATATGTATCCACTATTTTTATTTATTTATCAATCTTTTATCAAATCAATGTTTTTCCTTCCAGAAGCTAAGGTACTAAATATTGAACTAGAAACTAATACTGAGTAGTTCCCAAACTATAAACCACTCAGAAGCAATAGCAAATTGTTTGAGGTTTATGCTCATCTAAGTTGTGGAGATTACTAATTGAAAAACAAGTAATAGGCCAAGCAGTACTGTAGAGTCAAAATCCCTTCTCAGAAACCTTTTGGGTCAGAAGTGTTTGGACAGGTAATATGGTTTATATACCACATATTATATAATATCCTTTTTTGAAGTTTGGGAAAGAAATAAAACATATTAATATCTCTGCAACAATACATGAATATTCACACTAAACAGGATAAATAAAGACTATAAGCTTCATGCTGATTCAAATCAGGTTTTGCCGTTAAATAAGCTTGTGACAAACTGGATTTTTTTTTTTTCCAGTTTTCAGAGCTCTTTAGGATTTCAGACTAAGGGACTGTGGACCTATACTACAAACTACATTTGAATCCAGTAAGATGTCATGTCATTGTTATTATTGTGATAAAAATAATTCAGTAGAATTCCATCATAGAAGTTTTTTTGGCTGTTACTTCCACCAAATTGTGTGGCCTAATCTCAATACCTATAATATTTTATTTAAAAAAGCATGGGTGTTTATCATGTTCCTTTAATTTTGTTAAGGCTGTGAGCATACAACTTTACGAAGCAGCAGCAATGAACAACATTTCTGGATTATATCCAGACAGTGTCACCAGGACTGGAAGGATGATCAGTTTGATTCTGGCTCCCCTGATTACACCTTGGCTCCAAGGACATAAACATCCAAGCCTGGTAAAGCCTATGCAAGAGCGTCTGGGGCTGGAGATAGCTTTCCTAGACCTGGACGTGGAAGAAAGTCTACATCTCATCCCTGGCAGCAGCCTGGAGCAGCTAAGAAAATGGGTTTAGGAAGTCTCAGTCCATTTTCAGAAGAATAGAAACTAGTGCAAGCATGTTCTGGGGTGGGAACTGAGGGACCTCCAATATATAAAATAGAAAATCAGGCCTGAGGGTAAGGCAACAAGACCAGTAACTAAAGTTTGATGACCTCTCTTTTTACTTGTGGATGTACCATACAAGGAGCCAACCTCCCAGTCTCCAGACCAGAAGTTTAGCTGGGAGGGGAGTCTTGGTTCCATTTGTGTGCTGGAGCTAGCTCAGCCAATGACCACATGCCTACAGTGACCAATCATCTAGACTGCAGAGGTGGATCTCAGCCTACACTTGTTGTCTCAGCATAATTATTGATAGTGCCCCATGCTCTCAGAAGTATCAATTTAAATAATAAAGCACATGGTTATCCACAGGGTAGGGCAATGAGGAGCCTCTTCCAAGTCAGAGGGCAGGATACTTGTTCAGCACAGCCTGAAGAGTCAATATGGTGGGAGAATCTGCATCAAAGTCAGGGATGAAAGTTGAAGTGGTGGCTGGAAAGAAAGCCAAGGTGGAAGCCCTAACCGTGACATTAACAATGACTGGCACGGGACAGGAGAGTCCATCTGGTGCCACTCTCTGGCTTACAGCTCTAAACTAGAGAAGCTCCACTTCCAAATCCTATCCGATCTTTCTCACATTATTTTTTGACAGTAAGTTCAGGTAACTGAAAATCCTACTAAAAAGACTGCTCTATAAATCCAAGTCTCCACCTACACATCCCCCCACCATTGTAGCATATCCGTTCTCCTCAGAGATATCTTTCCTGACTAGCCTTTCTAAAATATCCCCATCCTCCCCTCTCCCCATCCCCACGTACACATATTCTTCCCTCCTCCATCACCAAACTTTCTGTGTGCTTTAAAATAACATCTACTATACTGGCATATTATATACTTATTTATTTATGTATTGCTGTCTCCTCCATTAGAACATAACTTACACAAGGAGGCCAGGAACTTACTTTTTAGACGGAGTTTAGCTCTTGTCATCCAGGCTGGAGTGCAGTGGCACGATCTCAGCTCACTGCAACCTCCATCTTCTCAGTTCAAGAGACTCTCCTGCCTCAGCCTCCCAAGTAGCTGGGACTACAGGCACGCACCACCACACCCACCTAATTTTTGCATTTTTAGTAGAGACAGGGTTTCACCATGTTGGTCAGGCTGGTCTCCAACTCCGGACCTCAGGTGATCTGCCCACCTCGGCCTCCCAAAGTGCTGGGATTACAGGCGTGATCCACTGCGCCTGGCCCTGGGCCAGGAACTTTAATCACTGCAATCTCAGTGCTTGTAAGAGTACTTGGTTATAGTTTGTAGTAAAAAAAAAAAAAATTTTATTGAATAAATAATTCAATATGTCATTACACAGTAATATAAATCAATTCCATCTTCCTATCACCTAGCTGAGATATATTTAGAATATAGAAAGGACACAAGGGGGGTAATTTGAGAGTGTATACTTAAAGCCTTATTTGCAAGGGCCACTCTTTAAATGGGTTGAACTGAATGGAATTCATGAAGCTAGAGGAGAGAGGCTGGGGTAGTGCAGGGAATTGTGGATTTATAAACAGCCAAAGCTAGAAGGCACCAAACCCCAAAGGTTGGGGAAACAGGAAGGAGGGACACAAAGGAATCAAAGACAAATGTCCCCCTTCCCTAACATGTTCTAGGTGAAAAGCCTCTGTGGGTCCTCTTTCCAAAAAATAGGACCATGAGAGAGGAGTGTGCTGAGGCTTTGAGGTATGCACACAAAGGGGAAAGGAGCCTGCCAATTAGAGCAGCAGGGCATCCCCTTCTGCATCTAACAATGCTTCAAAAACTCTCTGCCCCACTGTTTTTCTATGATACCTGCTATGCTGCCAGGCAGTCAAGTAGATGGGAACCCGGGCCATCCTGACAGGGACAGTGCCCTCAGATTACCTATACTTGACACAGAAATTGGGTACTGGGTTACTTGATGTCCTGTGTCATTTAAAGGAAACACTGAGAGCCAGGCTGTGGCAAAATCTTAAGAGAGTTTTTATTATTTTACATAGTTTTAGGAAATAAAATCAACTATATAAAGAAGTCAATGAAAAATAATCAATACAAGGCTTATATTCTGGTCTTAAAGTTTCCTTTGAAGACAAGGGAATGAGACAGAGGTTCAGACAGCTACAATTCAGGCCTGCTATGACCTTTGGCCAGGAATTACCTAGGGGTTCTGATATCTGGAGAAATCCAAATGAAGGCATCTTTATAGACGTTGTTTTTGTTAGTCTGTACCTTTGCTCTAAGGGAACTGTTCCTGACCCAGCTTCATGTCCTATAATGGGATGCAAGACATAAAAGATGCCTGCTCCATCATTTTACCACCCCTACCTCCCACTCCCAGAACTACCATTTGGTTCAGGAGTGGCCACATAACCCTAGCAGGGCCAGTCTTTTCCTGGATTCCTATAGACCAAGGAAAGTAGTTCTTCCTTTGAGGGACACTGTAGGCTGCTAAACTGGATCTCAATCCATCCTACGGGGGCTGAGAAATACATACATACATACATACATACATATATATATATATATATACACACACACACACACACACACACATACATATATATACACACACACACACATATATATATACACAAATATATATATATATTTGTATTCCTCTATCCACTAGGCCTTTCTACAGTGACTTAAAACTATTATATTTTCCACCACAATGGGCTACTCCTTCTGTATTCCCAAGGTAGAAATCAACAAATCAACAGTAAAATCTATCATAGATTTCCTTCTAGATATGAAGATCTATGAGGTTGCCAGGGACCGAAAGGAGAGAGGAGGCTGCCCCCATGTTTCCTTCTCCCAAAACTTTTATACACATTCCATAGCTAACCACTTATTCCACATGTCTCGGCTACTCCCACAATTCAAGTCATTACCATCTCTCACCTTGACTACTTCAACAGCCTCTTAACTAGTCTCTTTGCTTCTCCTCTTGCTCCCCTACAATCTATTCTTTATAGAATTGCCAGACCCATCTGTTTATAATGTAAAGCAGATCCTTTCATTCTCCTGCTTAAAATCCCACAAAGGCTTTCCACTGCACCAAGTCCAAATGCCTTACAGTTGCTCCCAAGGTCCCATGTAATCTGGTGCTGGCTCACATCTCTAATTCCTCCTTGTTCATTCACTTGAGCCACACTGGTCTTCTGTCTGTTCTTTGAATGTGTCAGACTCACTCCTTCCTGAGGGCCTTGTCTGCTCATTCTAACAAGTTTGATTTGCTCCCAGACTGTCTCACAGCTAGCTCCTTCCTGTACATCAGATCTTGTCTAAACATTACCCACTCAGAGGGGAGACAGTTCTTCTCCAAATATGTGGTCTCTCCACCACACTGTCTTGTTTTACCATCTTCATAGCAATCACCATTACCTCCAATTAACTTGTTCATTTATGTGTATATGTGATTGTATGTAGTCTGCCCCTCTTCCAGGGATGCAAGCTCCATGAGAGAAAAGGATTTCATCTTGCTCACTGCTACGATCCCACTGCCTGATGTTTTGCACATCATGGGTACTCAGTAAATAACTTGCTGAACAGACAAATGACTATCATTATAATTTCTAGAAGTCTAGTCCATGCTGGATGGTGATGGGGAAGATGCTGGCTCTTAACCTCATGACATCTCAGGGTTTTAAGGGACATACTATTCCAACTTTCTCACTTTGCAGATGAGGAATCTGGACTTCCCTAAAGTGACAGCACCAGGACCTGAACCCAGGTCTTCCATGTGTTCTGAAATATGCTGCTGACTCACCTCCTTCTCTAGATCTTGCTTGGATCTCTGTGTCTCACTGCTGAGGAGCTGCTTTCCCCAACATATAAGGAGCTGAACCACGAAGTTTACTCCCTGCCTCCTGCTACTCTTATGTATAGCCAACTACTCATCCTGATCCATTTCCTTTTTCTTCCTTGATTTTTCAAATCACCCACTCTCAAACCCATAGAGTTTGTTGTCTCTTTCCCTGCCTCTACAGGAACTAAGCTCCCTGCCTCCTCCTCTCTCTTTGCCCTCTGTGCCCTGTTTTGCACTGTAGGCTTGGGTTACCAAACCCACCTACCACTGTTACCAGTGACCGCCCGCCACCTACCCCGACACATTCCCTAAGCCTTTTAGGGGAAAAATCAAAATAAGAACACAACAGGACCTCAGAAATTTTGAGACTTTTCTGTTGAACTTTAGGCCTCAAGGCCCTTATGGCAAGTTCTGCTGTCCTGCTATTGCTCCTACCTGGCAGTCAGCTGGGTTATATGTTCCTAGAAAGGATGTTTTTGTTTTGTTTTGTTTTGTTTTCTCTCTTTCTTCTCTGTCTCTTTCTCTCTTCTTTCTTTCTTTGTAGTTCAATGTGTATATCCTGCAAAATTTACCTGTCTTCAATATAATCCAGTCTCTTTCACACTATTGGCCAAAGAAGTAAGACTCTTTCTTATTCTCTATCGTATAGAAGAAAACATATTTTAGTGAAACAGTGAAACAACCTTTCCATCTCAGCTTCCTAATTCCTGTAGAACAGGGCCATGTCCCATAGTACTCTGTATGCCCACAAGGCCTCCCAACGCTCCCTATATGAACTTGACTGATGTATAATCAAATATATGGTGGCAAGAGAGACAAGAAAAGTAGGATGCTGAAGAGTGAAAAAACAGAGAAATGGATTTTGTTCAGGCTTCTAGTGTCTGATAGTATATGAAACACTGAGTTAAATACTAACAGTATATGACAACTTGTAACTTTCAAAGTATGTTCCAGAATTACATCACTGTTAAAAACCACAAACATATCTGGCTTTAGATTTGTGAAAACTAAATAGGAGTTTATAGTGATTTAGATGGAAATAATTCCACCAAAGAATCCAGATGGCATCATAAACCACAACAGAGGAGATCAAGTGGTTGATGAAGTCATTCTTTGCTGTTACCACACACTGAAACATACAATACCTTTATTATTTAGTGAATGCCACACGACTGAAAAGTCCTGGAAACAAGACAAAGTTAAAATGGTAAAATTTCATTCAACCAAAAATGGTTTCAGCTTTCTTTCATAACTATTTAAAAATAATGCAATGTATATTTTTAAATGTATGTTGGATGGTTCAACTAATCATTATGAAATCAAGATGACCATAATTTACCACAAAATTTTTTTTTATATGTCCTTCAAGTACTTGGTAGATACTTTATGGTGCTGATGAAATGCCATGAAGTGTCATATAAGTGAGGGTGCTGTGGGCCCCTGATATAGTTTGGTTGTGTCCCCACCCAAGTCTCATCTTGAATTGTAGTTCCCATAACCCCCATGGGAAGGACCAAGTGGAGATAATTGAATCATGGGGGCAGTTCCCCTGTGATAGTGCGTTAGTTCTCATGAGTTCTGATGGTTTTATAAGGGGCTTCCCCCTTTGCTGGGCACTTATTCTCCCTCCTGTCACCCTGTGAAGAGGTGCCTTCCACCATGATTCCAAGTTTCCTGAGGCCTCCCCAGCCATGTGGAACTGTGAGTCAATTAAACCTCTTTTTTTTTTTTTTTTTTTTTTTTTGAGATGGAGTCTCACTCTGTTGCCCAGGTTGGGGTGCAGTGGTGCGATCTCGGCTCACTGCAACCTCCACAACCCAAATTCAAGCAATTCTCCAGCCTCAGCCTCTCAAGTAGTTGGGATTACAGGTATGCGCCACCATACCCGGCTAATTTTTGTAGTTTTAGTAGAGACGGGGTTTCACCATGTTGGCCAGGATGGTCTCAAACTCCTGATTTCAGGTGATCCGCCCACCTCGACCTCCCAAAGTGCTGGGATTAAGGGCGTGAGCCACCGCGCCTGGCCCAAGCTTCTTTTCTTTATAAATTACCCAGTCTCGGGCAGTTCTTTATAGCAGCATGAGAACAGACTAATACAGTCCCATGATGGGTCCTGCTGATAACCACTTACTTTGCATGAATCAAGCTCTCTGGACCTCAGTGTCCCACTGTGAAGCAAGGAGGGCTAGCTGAGATCAGGGATCCTTAACTAGCCACCATGATCCCACAGCTGGCTCAAGACTGGCTTGTCAAAGAGAAATGAGGCTGCACTCCAGCTCTGCCCCAGGGCCTGAAACCACCCCTC
Organism: Homo sapiens; assembly: GCF_000001405.40. NCBI lineage: Eukaryota > Metazoa > Chordata > Mammalia > Primates > Hominidae > Homo > Homo sapiens. The sequence goes on from NC_000001.11 coordinate 95,037,006, forward strand.
ACTTTACCTCCAGAAGCTTCTCCTTGCCTGGTGGTCTGAGACTTCAGGGAAAAACAAAGTAGTTTGTTTCTGAAAAAATTATGGGATTCTGGCTCAAAAGATTTTTAAAGCCTTTTATAAATGCACATTTATTCTCTCTCAGCCTTTATTGACTCCTTCTTTTGACAATATCGCAATTTTCCTTTGGGTAACTCATTCCTCTCATATTCTCAGCCGGACGGTTTGGTGGTATTTGCCTCCTGTCCCCTTCACCCCTAACCCTGCCTCTAAGAGTAGGCCTGGAATGGCTGAAGCAACATGGAGGAATCATTCCTGGCTACAATGATTAGCTGAAAGATGGGAGTATAACCCCACTGGAGTACCATGAGGCAGGAGATGTTTGCTGGGGCTCTCTCTCCCATATGCTGTAAGAGATCCTCTTCTTCCTCATGAAGAGGAAGAGACATGAGGCCAGGAGGTGCTACAGGTTTTTGTTACCCTAATGAGAGAGCTTGGAGCTGCTGGAGGCAGCACTGTGGGAAGCCCGGTGGAGCTGCCACTGCAGAAGACAGAGCAGAGAGACAACTCTTGCTATAGGGATATGCCTGGGCAACCGGACCAAGCCTCGCCAGAAATAAGACTGAATTTTTCCTGTTTTGTAAGTTGACAAATTCCCTTTATTGTTCAAGCCAATTTTAAGCGTAGGTTTATGTCACTTGAAGTTGAAGCACCCTTCCTTTGTCCTTAAAATGGTAAGAAAATTGCATTCCTTTTCTTAAAATAAAATATATATATTAAAATCATGTATGAAACAATTGTTTACGACATTGAATTTCAGAGCTGTACTCTCTAAGCATGGATTCATTCACTTGTTTCTTCATTAAACTTTCAACAAGCACCTGCCAGGTGACAGGAACTGGGCTAGGGAAACAGAGGTGAATAAGACATTCACAAGGAACTCACTGCAGTCTATCAGGACAGCACAGGAAAAGTGATAATTGCAGTCAAAGGGATAACTATAATATGAGACAATTATTAAATATAATGTTAGCACCAAGTAAGAAGTAATAAACTGGACCAGGTGCGGTGGTTCACACCTGTAATCCCAGCACTTTGGGAGGCCAAGATACGTGGATTGCCTGAAGGTCAAGAGTTTGAAACCTGCTTGGCCAACATGGTGAAACCCTGTCTCTACTAAAAATACAAAAAATTGGCCACGCGCGGTGGCTTACGCCTGTAATGCCTGTAATCCCAGCACTTTGGGAGGCCGAGGTGTTTGGATCACCTGAGGTCAGGAGTTTTGAGACCATCCTGGCCAACATAGTAAAACCTTGTCTCTACTAAAAATACAAAAATTAGCTGGGTATGGTAGCACGTGCCTGTAGTCCCAGCTACTTGGGAGGCTGAGGCAGGAGAATTGCTTAAACCCAGGAGGAGGAAGTTGCAGTGAGCCAAGATCGTGACACTGCACTCTAGTCTGGTGACAGAGTGAGACTCCATCTCAAAAACAACAAACAAACAAACAAACAAAAACCCCAAAAAACAAATTAGCCAGGTGTGGTCATGGGCACTTGTAATCCCAGCTACCTGGGAGGCTGAGGCAAAATAATTGTTTAAATCTGGGAGGTGGAGGTTGCAGTGAGCCAAGATTGCACCACTGCACTCCAGCCTGGGCAACAAGAACAAAACTTCACCTCAAAAAAAAAAAAAAACAAAGTGATAAACTATAAGGTTTTTTTTTTTTTTTTTTTTGAGACAGGGTCTCCCTCTCTTGCCCAGGCTGGAGAGCAGCGGCATGATCATGACTCACTGCATCCTTGACCTCCTGGGCTCAAGCGATTCTCCCACCTTGGCCTTCTGGGTAGCCAGGACTACAGGCATGCCCCATCACATCTTGCTGATTTTAAAAAAACTTTTTCTAAAGACGGGGTCTTCCTATGTTGCCCAGGCTGGTCTGGAATTCCTGGGTTCAAATGATCTTCCCACCTTGGCCTCCCAAATTGTTGGGATTACAGGCGTGAGCCACCACGCCCAGCCAATACATTATTCTTTGATAAGGTAAATCAGGCTTCATGAAGAGATTCCTGATCTAACTTGTGCAGGATATAAAATTTTCTAAGTATAATAGTGTGGGTGTGGTTGGTGAAGGGTCTTCTTGCCAGAGGAAGCAGCGTGTTCAGAGCTGAGAGACATGAAATAGCATGGAATATCTGGGGAACTGTATTTTGGTACGTAAGAAGCAACATAGGGAACAACAGAAAATGGAGTTGGAGCGGAATAATGGGAGCAGAAATGCATTCAAGAAATACCAGTCTAGTAATTATGAAGAGAATGGACAGAAGGGGAGAGGGCACGACCAGAGAAGGGCAATCATTGGGGAGATCACTGAAATACATCAGAAGAATGATGCTGAAGGCCTGACGGCCAGCAGCAGCACTAAGGTAGAGGAATGGAGATGACAAGCAGTGAGAAGGGAGATTTAGGACGCTGGAGAGTTTGGGATAACTCTCAGGTTTTTACCTAGGGTGAACGGTACTGTCATGACCTGGGGAGCAAATAGCAAGAGCGGAAACAGGCTGACAGCACATCATGATTCACTGTGGTCTTGTTTGGAGCATAATTTTGAGTTGGTAAAATACTCTTTAAGTATAAAATATATCAATATTAGAAAACATACACAGGTATTTTAGGTTGAAATGGGACAGACAGGAGTTTGTACTATAACTGAAGCAATGGGTAGACCTAGCAGGCAAGTGGACGGAGGAAGACAACTGGGAATCTAGGAAGATAATATTCAGGAATCTGGATGCTGGACTGATGCTGACAGGCCCTGGAGAAACACAGCCTGGAGCAGAAGCCTCGCTTGACGTTGACAAGTCAGACTTGAAAGCCAGGTGTGAGATCTCTGCCGGGTGCAGTGACTCACGCCTGTAATCTCAACACTTTGGGAGGCCGAGGTGGGCGGATCACTTGACCTCAGGAGTTCAAGACCAGGCTGGGCAACACGGCAAAACCCTATCTCTACAAAAAATACAATATTAGCCAGGTGTGGTGGCTCGCACCTGTGGTCCCAACTACTGGGGAGGTTGAGGTGGGTGGATAGCTTAAGCCTGGGAGGAAGAGGTTGTAGTGAGCCAAGATTGAACCACTGCACTCCAGCCTGGGTGACAGAGTGAGACCCTGTCTCAAAATAAATAAATAAATAAATAAATAAATAAATAAATAAGATTCCTAATCTCAGCCAGGCCTCCTTATTTCACAGTAGAAGACTAAGGCCCAGAGGGGTTGATTCACACAAGGTGACAGAGCTGGTTATTAGCAGGACCCACAGCTCCCTTACTCATATGTTGCTTCATGACATTTCATAAGCACCATAAAGTGAGCATCTACCAGGTATTTGAAGGACAAGGGAGTATCCCTCGGCACCCATTGTTTCCCTTTTACTTCCTTGCCATGCTCACCTGCTTGGTCAAACCTGACTAAAACTGTAAGTACATCTCTAGTCACAGCCTGGCCACATGCAGAGCTTAGAATTATGCTGTCCGTGGTGTGACTGCAACTACCAGAATTATTTCCTTGGGCCTAAAGGCTGGAAGGATCTAACAGCCTCCATTTGTACAAAAGGAAGGACGTAGGGAATTCCAAAACAGGCCATGTCCTGATTTTATAACAGCACAAAATAAATTGTATGTTTGTACTCAAAGGTATAGATTTTTTTTTTAATTGTGCTATTTATGTTTTTAAAACCAAACATTGGTGATTAGAATGCCATAAATTTGCTTTGAAATGGAGAAACAACAGTACTATATTATAAAATGTTACTGCTCTTCATGTTGTAAGAATCCCATACAATACAAATTTAACTGGCACTGGGAAATTGGTTAAATTACCACAAGGTTGAAATAACGGCACTATGTTATTCACAGCTATTTTAATTTCATCTGTTCAGAACATGATTTAAAGAAAGTTTAACCTGACTGGCTTTAGGTCTAGAGATAGAGGAAGGAATAATTGAGATTTGGGGAGGAATTTAAGAGATTAAGCTGTTTAAAATACTTTAAAAGCATGTATATATCTACCTGATATACTATTTCAAAAATAAGAATCTATTCACTGAAATGGCCACATCAGAATCTCTATTTGCAGTAAATTACAAATATTTTCTTATTCAAATATTTTGCTCATTTAGACCGGCCTCCTTTCAAATTAGAGATTTTTTTTTACCTTTACCTATAATTCAGTAAGTTAAGGTCCATATGAATGAGGAAAAGTGCACATATACATTATACACACTCAAAACCATAACTATGTTAAGCCACCAGTTGTAATATACATTACAGTTGACAAACTTAAATAAAACCCCACAGTTTAAACTATACAGTTACAAACATTTCTTTCAGAACTGATTGGGAGGCCAAGGCAGAAGGAGACTAGCGTAGGCAACACAGCAAGACCCCATCTTTACAAAAACAAAAATTAAAAAATTAGCTGGGTGTGATGGGCCTTACCTGTAGTTCCAGTTACTTGGGAGGCTGAGGCAGGACTGCTTGAGCCCAGGAATTCAAAGATGCAGTGAGCTATGATTGCACCACTGCACCCCAGCCTGGGCAGACAGTGAGACCCCGTCTCTTTAAAAAAAAAAAAAAAGAAAGAAAGAAAAAAAAAGAAAGGGAAAAAAGAACTGCTTAGGAACTGTGGAAAGTAACAACAAATACACTCAATGTAGACATCTCAGCAAGCTGTACACAGTCTCAGTCCACTGTGCGAAGTTAGCACCCCACCTTGTGGAAAACAGTAGGTGGTGTTCAGTGGAAGAATGTCATGTTAATTTTAGAAGAGCTGGTTGATAAATCCTGCAACCACCAAACTGCCACTGATTCTTATATAAACAGAAAATGCAAAACCAAAAAAAGAATGCAAACCAAAAGAATCCCTATTTATTACACTAGCAGCAAAACTTTTGTACTTCCAAAATAAAAGGATATGAGCCTCAAAATATTGGTGCTTGTGGTATGTGTTTGGATTATTTCTGTAGAAAATATTTATTTAGATATTTATAAAAAAATAAATATTTCATATTAGTAGGTTTTTACTCCCACTGGGGCTTGTATCTCTTCTTAGTTTTGTTTCTAAAAAATAGCTGTTTTCTAATTGTAACTTTAGAAAATACAGAAAAATATTCAAAGACAAAACCAAAAATCAACCAATATCTCCCTACTCTTTTGAAGAAGCCCCCACCCCAACACTCTATCTCACAGAGATCTCTCCCTCCTCTGCATTCAAAGCACTCATTGTCCTTTGCTTATCTTTGATTTAAACATACACACACACACACACACACACATACACACAGTTTGAAAGTTCTTCTGGTCTTCTCAGTTTCGTCAGACTCTTCGCGTTATTTATCATTCCTGTTACTTTCTTGGCACCATGTCTTCTGGAGTTCTCTGTCACTTTGCTCTGTTCCCAACTGTTTGTTCTCTAGGACCACCTATGAAGTCTTCACACTGGAACTCCCTTCACTGCTGTCCTGAGAATTCCCTTCCCTTCTCTCCTGGACTGAGGCCCAGATCCCTGGAACTGAGTCTCCCTTTTGGGTGCCCCTTGTTTTGGTGGGGCACACCCTCTGTGGGAGGGTACATGAGGAATCCATTTGAGACACTGCTCCACTGTACTTCTGAAACCTCAAATGTGATTCCTTTTCTTGTTCTTTCTGGAAGTTTTTAGTATCTTCTCTTCATCGTTAGTTCTGAAACTGTACATGACGTGTCTTGTGACTACACTTTCACTGGACTCAGGATAGTCCTTTTATTTTAAAAGTCGGGTCCTTCTGTTTTGGAAATTTCCCTGGGTCATAATTTTGTTTCATTTTGAACTTTTCCCATTTCCTTGTTCCTTCTGAATAATGGACTTGCAACATCCAGTTTGGTTGTCTAATTTTCTTGCCTTTCTCTACTGTTTTTTACGTTTTCCTTATGCTTTTAATCTTTTTCTTGAGTTCTTCAATGTGATCTTCCAATCTTTCATTGAATTTTTATTGCTGAAATCAAAATTTTAATAGCCAAGGGGTTTTTTTTGTTCTTAGTTTTTTAAAAAATAGGTCTCATTCTTGTTTTAATGAAATAATGCCCTCTCATTTCTTCGAACATAATTGTTTTCGTTTAAACTCCCCACTGCCACTGAAATGCCCTTTTCTCTAGTTCCTTTCGTTAGTTTTCTCTTTAGAGGCTTTCCTCAAATGTCTGATATTCTGTAGATGTTGATTCAACTACTGATTCTCAAGGGCGATGGGAGGGGAGGCCCCCCATACACACGTTATAAGGTCTGGAGACATTTTGGGTTGCCATAACTGGTGGTGGGGGTTGGGGGAGCACTCTTGGCATCTGGTGGATAAAGGCCAGGGATGCTGCTAACATCCTGTAACACACAGGACATTCCCCTACAATGAAGATTTGTCTGTCCCAAAATGTCAATAGTGACGAGGATGAGAAGCCCTACTTCACATTAAAGAATGAGGCATTAAAAGGCCGACTGCAGGCTCTATGTTCAGCTCTCTACCGCCTCTACTGAGAACTAGTGCAGGTCAGCGGCTAAATGATCAGCAGTGCACTGCCACCTGGTGGCAGGATGAGGGAGTGACATTGCAGAGGAAAGAAAATATAAGTCCTTCAACACTTGGAGGGGCCCGCCTGGTCCATTTCTGAAGCTTCAAGGACCTTTTAGGGGAAGGAGAGGAAAGAGGAAGGTAGAGAGGAGAAGGAAAAGAAGTAGAAGGAAAGGAGAAGGAGCGAGGAGGGGGAGAGAGGAGAGAGAAAGAGAGGGTTGAAGAGAGAGGAGAGGAAGAAGAGAGAGAAGGAGGGGAGAGGGAGAAGGGAATGAGGGAGGAAGGGAGACAGGGAAGGAGGGAGAGAGAGTGCACAAGTGTGTAGAGTTTAGGAAACGGTTTTGAATCTGTGCAAAGTGGTTCTGGGAAGTCCCTCTAAATCCCAGGGAGTTTCCAGGTTCCTCTAGGCAACACTTTAAAGACCCTTGGAGATCGGGATGCTCCCCTTTCAGACATCCCAGGGTTGGTGATGGCAATCCCATTCTTACAATTGCTCAGAACAGCTTTGTAGTCATGTTTGATTCCTCTGTTTTCTGCCATGAAATTCTGTTAACTCCACTTTCAAAAACATCCAGAATCCAACTATTTTCCCTTACTCCTGGCCCTCCTGATGCAAGCCACATTATCTCTTGCTGGGATTTCTGCAACAACCTCCTAACTGATTTCCTTGGTTTTGCTTTTGGTGTATTTGTAACACAGCCACACGAGTGACCTGTGTAAAACAGTATGATTGTGTCACTCCTCCAAGCAAAACTTTCCAACAGGTCTCTATTTTCCTCAGATTAAGAGAGGAAGTTTTTAAAAGGGCTTACAAGGTCCTAAATTATCTGGTCTTTGCCCACTCCTCCCATCTCCTCTTCAGTGTCTCTCCTTCCACTCACTCTCCTCCAGGGACCAGGATTACCTGCTATTGCACCAACATCCAGGAATATTCCTCTCTATGGCTTTTCCAGAGACTTTTCCCTCTGCTTGAAACACTCTTCTCTCAGGAGTCCCCATCGCCTTCAAGGTCCTAAGAGCAATCACAACTTTTCCACCCCATCAAAATTCCCAGTTCCCCATCCCTGTGCAATCTGCCCCCACAGCACTGATCACCTTCTAACAGACTTTACTATTTTCTTCTTCACTATGTCTGGTATTACTGTCTTCTCATCCAGGTCAAGTGGAGTGAGCTCCATGATGGCAGACATTTTTTTGTGTTTTTTGTTCACTTGTGTATCCCAACTATCTATAATATTGCCTGGCAAATGGAAAGCAAATATTTATTGCTGAATAAACAAAGTATTTTTTTTTTAAAAAAAGCATTAGGATTCTGACACCTACTGCATTATAAATTTGGGAAAACTGAAAATCTTTGTTAAGTTTTTAAACATCAGGAACATGCTTCTGTATTTATTTTTACCATATTTAATGTCTCAATAAGATTTCACTATTGGGCCCATATTGATCATTTCCTTTTATTCAAGCTCCTTTCCCAGTGTTTAATATTTTAGGTCTCTTTCTTCATTATTTTTCTAACAGTTAAAGCTAGCATATAAGGAAGTGATTGAGTTTTGCATATTTGGCTTGAATCTGATACTTTTCTGAACTTGTATTACTTGATAGTCTTTTGTTGATTTTGTTTCTAGATATAATTATTTATAGCATATATTACTTTATTTCTTCTTTTTCAATGTTTATACCTCTTATTTCGACTTAGGTGGAGGGCCAAAACAAAACACAGTATGACTAATGGCAGATACTCTTCTTTTGGTTCTGATTTTAGAGAGAAAGAATGTAATGGACATTGGCTTTTGGCTCCAAGTATACTTTTTCATTTTAAGGAAACCATTGACAATGTTGGAATAATAGGTTATTTGTGCAAAGCAGTGTTTTAGGAAGCTAAATGTGGACAGCCAGGGATATCAATGTGATTTAAAGAAGACTAGAGTCCAAATCAGTAGTATGTGTAGAGTTTGCATATACATTGCAAATGTACTGCAATGTATACATTGTATTAGTATACTAATTGTATAGTATTAGCATACTGTATTAGTATATTAATAGAATTAGTATAATAGTATACTAACAGAATGGTATACTAATAGAATTAGCATACTATATACTAATAGAATTAGCATACTATATACTAATAGAATTAGCATACTATATACTAATAGAATTAGCATACTATATACTAATAGAATGGCATACTAATAGAATTAGTATACTAATAGAATGGCATACTAATAGAATTAATATACTAATAGAATGGCATACTAATAGAATTAGTATACTAATAGAATGGCATAGTAATAGAATTAATATACTAATAGAATGGTATACTAATAATTAGTATACTAATAGAATAGTATACTAATAATTAGTATACTAATAGAATAGTATACTAATAGAATTAGTATTATATTATTATACTAATTAGTATTATATTATTATACTAATTCTATTAGTATATACTCAGTATACTCAGTATTGCTGGCTTGAGTAAATTATTGAAAAATATGAATAGAGGGCATAGTGGCCACAACAAAAATAGTTTGGAATATCTATTACACTGGTTTCTACACCATATATTTATACTCCTAACTTCTAGGTGTACTTCAGAATAGGAATTCAATCAACAATCTAGCACAGGAGTCTCCAACCATCAGGCTGTGAATCAGTAGCAGTCTGTGGCCTGTTAGGAACCGGGCTGCACGGCAGCAGGTGAGTGGCAGGTGAGCCAGCATTACCACCTGAGCTCTGCCTCCTATCAGATCAGCAGCAGCATCAGATTCTCTTAGAAGTGCGAACCCTATTGTGAACTGTGCATGCAAGGGATCTAGGCTGTGCACTCCTTAAGAGAATCTAACTAACGCCTGATGATCTGAGGTGAAACAGTTTCATCCTGAAACCATCCTCCACCATCTGTGGAAAAACCGTCTTCCATGAACCTGGTCCCTGGTGCCAAAAAGGTTGAGGACTGCTGATCTAGCAGAATGCTAGAGTGGGCAAGGGTTGACAAGCCCTTTAATGTCAGCAAGTTATTTAATTTGGGCTTCTTTATTTCCCATATTTATTGCAGTAAAATTGGAAAGTTATAAAAGTGCTTGCAGAATGTGTATAAAATGTACTTTTTAAAATAACTTACAGAATAAAATAATACTACAGCATTTAGTGAAAAACTGAAAATGATAGGAAATGGTATAACAATACTATAGTTTACAATCATTTTAAAGTAAAAAGCAGTCTAGGCGCAGTGGCTTACGCCTGTAATCTCAACACTTTGGGAGGCTGAGGTGGGTGGATAGCTTGAGCCCAGAAGTTCGAGACCAGCCTGGGCAACCTGAGATTGCTGCACTGCACTCCAGCCTGGGCGACAGAGTGAAACCCTGTCTCACAAAAAAACATAACATAACATAACATAACATAACATAACATAACATAACATAACATAACATAACATAACGACATGCCTGTATGAACCAACATGGAAAGTTATCAAGGTACAGAATTAAATTTTTTTTAAAAGTTGCAGACAATATATAGGATGTGATTTATAAACTAGCCATAACCTGCTCCTTCCAAAAAACACCCAACACTGTCTCTAGGGTTATATGTATGTGTGTATATATAATTCATACTTTGTTATATGTATACATGTAACAGAAGGGGAAAAAAAGCACTGGCAGGATATAACTCAAACTGGTACAGTGGTTACTTCTAGAGAGTGGAACTGGGATAGTGACAGGAAACTTTCACTGTTTACTTTGTATATTTATTTATTTTTTTTTAGATGGAGTTTCGCTCTTGTCACCCAGGTTGGAGTGCAGTGGCGTGATCTCGGCTCACTGCAACCTCTGCCTCCTGGTTCAAGTGATTCTCCTGGCCTCAGCCTCCCAAGTAACTGGGATTACAGGCGCCCACCACCACGCCCAGCTAATTTTTGTATTTTTGGTAGACACGGGGTTTCACCATGTTGGCCAGGCTGGTTTTGAACTCCTGACCTCAGCTGATCTGCCCGCCTTGGCCTCCCAAAGTGCTGGGATTACAGGTGTGAGCCACAGTGCCTGGCCTGTTTTTTTGCATATTTCTGTATTGTCCAAAGTTTTAAAATTAAGAAACCAACAGGCCAGGCATGGTGAGTCACGCCTGTAATCCCAGAGCTTCGGGAAGCTCAGGTAGGAGAATTGCTTGAGACCAGGAGTTCAAGACCAGCCTGGGCAACATAGCAAGACCCCATCTCTACAAAAAATAAAAAAGCCAGGTGTGGTGGTGCATTCCTATAGTTCTAGCTACTTGGGAAGCTGAGGCAGGAGAATCACTTGAGCCCAGGAGTTCGAGGTTGCAGTGAGCTATGATCATACCACTATATTCCTGCCTGGGCAACACAGCAAGATCCTGACTCTTTAAGAGAAAACATAAACAATAAATAAAATTTGGAATGAACAGAAAAGAGCAAAGCAACAGAAAAATAACCACTCATAGTCCTGCCACAGTTAATTATGGGGCATATTCAATAAAGATTTGCTGAAATTTCCACTAAACACAGTGTCTTGTATAGAATCAGCACTCATTTTGTATTTTTTGATTGAATTAGCAAATAAATAATGTTTATTGGGAAAACATAAGCCTACTTACAGAGTAGTGGGAAATCTAATTAAGTGGCCTGAAAGTTGGCTCTGACTTTTAACCCTTCAAATCAGTTTTCAGCAACTTCTATTGTTGTTTTATATATGAAAAACTCTATATTTTTTTAAATGCAGGTTAAAAAATGTTTTATTCATATGTCACCGAGCTTTTTTCTTCAGTAATGTGAAAAGGGGCCAACTCATGCTGTAACAGAAGTTACAAGGAGTAATAGTTGGTTGCCAAGGGAGGCAGTTAAGAAACAAGGCTCAGATTCAGAAGCAAATAAAAGAATGAACCAAAATCCACACTGCAATGCCCTGAGCCTCATTTCCTTCCACGCCTTGGAGGGGTGGATGTCCCTGCTGAAACATGGCCTATTGCTCTCCAGGAAGAACGTTCTGATTTGAGTTTTCATTTACCTTCATAGGGCTCTGGTAATTGGCTCTATTTGGAAAGGTTACTCTCCAATTTTTGCTGGAAGGTATTACTTTACTACTCTTTACTTTAGAACTAATCCCAGTGGAAATTACTTTTTCTTTGGTAGGCTTTTCAAGGTATTTTTTTTTCATATAAGTAATTTCACAGTCAAATATCCTTTTTTTTTTTCTTAGCTCTCCACTCTTTGCCTTTCTAATTTCAGTTGTTAGTCAAGGAAGCCTGTTTCTTATTAAAAAGCTACTTAAACTACTCAGAGAAAGACAGGCTGAAGAGTAGAGTTAAAAAGTTATTAAACCAGGAGTATTATTTGCCTTTACTCTTGTGTAATTATAAATAAGGTGAATTAGGCACCTAAAATATTATACACCATTAAAATATACACTGATTCAGAAGAATCAGAAGAAATTTGAATGAAGAATTTGTGCAAGAAATGCAGGCCACCTCTAACATTCAATTAATAAAATTATACTAGTTTAAAATTTAGCTTAAAATCTGCTGTATATTAATATCTAGCATAAATAGGTAAATACCAACATTAATTTTTTTCTTGCATGAGGGCTATGAAAGGTTATAATTACAAAAAGATAAATAAATAAACATTTAAAAAATATGGGGGCAAGCACAGTGGCTCACACCTGTAATCCCAGCACGTTGGGAGGTGAAAATGGGCAGATTGCTTGAGTTCAGGAGTTCGCGACCAGTCTGGGCCACATGGCAAAACCCCGTCTCTACCAAAAATACAAGAAATTAGCCTGGTGTGAGTGGTGTGCACCTGTAGTCCCAGCTACTCAGGAGACTGAGGTGGGAGAATTGCTTGAGCTTAGGAGCCAGAGGTTGCAGTGAGTCGAGATCGCACCACTGCACTCCAATCTGGGTGACAGAGTGAGACCCTGCCTCAAAAAAAAATTATTAAAAAATAAAAAATAAGGGCCAGGCAAAAAATAAGGGCAAGGTAAAAAATACAGGCTCATGCCTGTAATTCCAGCACTTTTGGGAAGCTGAAGCAGGCAGATCATTTGAGCTCAAGAGTTTGAGACCAGCCTGGGCAACATAATGAGACCCTGTTACTACAAAATATCAAAAATTAGCCCAGTGTGGTGGTGCACGTCTATAGTCCCAGCTACTTGGGGGGCTGAGACAGGAGGATCACTTGAACCCAGGAGGTGGAGGCTGCAGTGAGCCATGATTGAGCCACTGCACTCCAGCCTGGGTGACAAAGAGAGATCCCGTCCCAAAAAAATAAAATAAAATAAAAATAAAATTTTTTTCTACAAACTAGCAAAAACATTTAGAAATTTATTGGATAATTCCATATCAGAATAAGTTATTAACCAAATGACAGAAATTTCCTGTTACTTATATAACTATAAGTGATTAACATTTCTAATTTGTATCTTCTGATTTCTGGGAAGCTCTCTGTGTTTTTGGAGGAGCAAGCCTGTGTTGAAAATGTGGATTTTGGCTTCTCACCAGAACCAAGTGTGAATCGATGCCCTTTTATTCCTGAAGCGTTCCGAGCGATATGGATGAGATCTTCTGCCAAAGCACAAAGTGCAGTTACTATTAATGCTTTAAAATGATCCAGATTTTCTGGTTCACTTAAGAAGTCCGAAAAAAATTAAATTATAGAGAGATAGTTCAAGGCCTGTAACCACAGGAGTGTTTTCTATAGCCAGGAAATTGCAACTTACACAATTATAGTGCATTATTTAAAAAGTGAGGAAAATTGGGGGAGAGAGGGGTGCTATTTACACAAATGGTGCAGAATAGGCATCCACACCAAGAGTACCTCAAAACTCTGACTTTCATTAGAAAATGAATTTGACTTTGGTTCTGATAGAATAGCAATATAAACTAGCTTTATAACCCTCCTTCTATAAACAGTTTTAAATGCTGTCAGAAATATAACAAAAATACAATTTAATCTGAACCAGGAAGAAGGAAACGGAAGTCCCTAATTGCCACAAACAAGAAGAAAATGAAAAGGGAACAGGCAGCCTGTGACATGAAGGTTTGAGGAGGATGACATAATTATTCCAGACACCTAAGGGCTGGGATTTCAGGGCCTCTAAAGGATGGGGAGGAGAAAAGCCTACAAAAAACAAATTGATAGCTGATATTTCCAAGACAATAACAGCTCCCCTATATCTGAAATTTATTAATAGAAGGCCCTAAGGCCCAGTTGTTAGTCTTCTTCTATTTTCTATCAATCAATCCCTGGGTAATTTTTTTTTTTTTTTTTTTTGGAGACGGGGTCTCACTGTGTCACCCAGGCTGAAGTGCAGTGGTGTGATCTCCACTTCCTGCAACCTCCGCCTCCTGGGTTCAAGCAATTCTCCTGCCTCAGCCTCCTTAGTAGTTGAGATTACAGGCATCAGCCACTGTGCCTGGCCTACTCCCTGGGTAATCTTATCTAGTTTCTTGTTTTACCTACCATCACCTATACACAGAAGACTCCAAAATCTATATTATAGACCAGACTTCCCTTCTGAACCTCAGACTCATAGATCCCATTGTATTATCTACATCTTCTCTCGTATGTTTACAGATAACCCACAATTACCCCTCCTGATGACCCCTCTAACCTTCTCTGTGTTAAGTGGCAACTCCATTCTTCCAGTGGCTCAGGCCAAAAACCTGGGTGCCATCTTCCACTCCTCCTCATTCTCTCACACCCTACATCTTATCTGCCAGTAAATCCTATCAGCTCTGACTTCAAAATATATTGAGAATCTGACTTCCTTCTCCCGCATCCACTCCCAGTCTAAGCCATGCTGATCTCTCATTTGGAGCACTGCAATAGCCTCTAAACCCCTCTCCCTGCTTTTGCCCTTCTCCCCTTCAGTTTAGTCAGCGACTAAAGTGATTCTGTCAGATCATGTCCCTCCTCTACCTAAAGCCTCCCAATGGCTCCCCATTTCACTCACTGGAAAAAGCCATCCAAGCCAACAAATGAACAACAAGGTCTTAAAAGACCTAAGCCTAACATCCTTACCTTAACCTCTATGACCTCAGATCCTACTCGCCTGCTTCCTTCGCTTTGGCTACATGGACTCTCGCTATTTTACAAACATGCCAGGCACGGCCCCACCTCAGGGCCTTCTTTGCAGTTACTGCTTCCTCTCCCAGAATTCTCTTTCCCCAGATGGCTTAACATCTCACCTCCTTCAGGTCTTCATCTAAACACACCTTTCCTGGTCACTACCTAAAATTACAACCCCCCTTTAACCCTCTGAATCTTCCTATTCCCTTGCCTTGCTTTATTCCTCTTCTTAACAAGTTTTCACTAACGCATTATAAATTTTACCTAATTATCTGGTTTATTATCCCGCCACTAGAATGTAGCCTCCATAAGGGCAGAGATTTTTCTGTTTTATTTACTACTGTATTCCTAACACTTAGTAGGTATTCAATAAATATTTGTTAAATAAGTTTGTGAATGCTAAACTTTGTCATGAAGGAAAACTAGAATTCTAATCAAAGGAAGGACAAAACCAAGACATATTTTCAGGTAAACAAACAAAAACATGAAAAGTCATCACTTGCAGAACTTCCATGAAGGAACGAATGAAATACATACCTCTGAAAGAAACACACTGAATCCAAAAAAACAAGTAGGATACAAGAAGCAAGGGTAAGAAAGAAAATGCCATATAAATATACATCTAAATAAGCACAACTGTATAAAGCAATAATAATGATAACTAATTTAGGTGGTATAAACACAAATTAGAACCAAAATACTACACAATAATATGTAAGAGGAGAAGGAGTGCTCACAGTTAAAACATTCTCAACACCTTGTTTAAGATGACAGCAAGAATGAGAAAAAAATAAAATAAAAATAAAAGGTTTGTTTTTCAGGAGGAGGATGGAGATATTATATTTTTTCCTTTAACTAGTTACTCATGTTAACAATTTACGAATAATGTGTAAGGGGCCAGGCGCAGTGGCTCACACCTGTAATCCCACCACTTTGGGAGGCCGAGGCAGGTGGATCATTTGAGGTCAGGAGTTCGAGACCAGCCTGGGCAACATGTTGAGACCCTGTCTCTACTAAATATACAAAAATGACTCAGGTGTGGTGGCACGTGCCTGTAATCTCAGCTACTCAGAGGCTGAAGCAGGAGAATCAGCTGAACCCGGGAGACACAGGTTGTACTGAGACAAGATCGCACCACTGCACTCCTGCTTGGGCACCAGAGCAAGACTGCATCTCGAAAAAAAAAAAAAAAAAGAGTAATGTCTAAGAGAATAGTATAATTTCCATTTCCAAATGAAAGGAGAAGCGGGGAATAAAGACATCTTCATTAACACAAACAGAAAGCAGCCCAAGGAGGAAAAACAAAAAGATTCCAAGAAAAAGGTCTAAGTAAAAAGGACAAAATAAAATAGGAGAAAGAAATCTAACGCATCAGTAATCACAACAAATGTATATGTACCAAACATGCTAGTTAGAAGACAATTCCCAGTTCTGAATTTTTAAAATTCTGCTATATGTCATTTATAAAAGACACATAAAAAATGCAATAACACACACAAAAAAGTGAAAATAAAGAGGTGGGAAAATACATACCATGCAAACACTAACCAAAAGGAAGCTGGTATTTCTATGTTAATGTTAGATAAAATAGATTTTTTTTTAAAAAAAGCATTATTAGGGATAAAATGGGTCACTTCATAAATGATTAAAAATAATTCACTACATAGAATCAAATTTGAGCTTCATAATGATTAAAAATAATTCACTATGTAGAATCAAATTTGAGCTTCATAATGATTAAAAATAATTCACTACGTAGAATCAAATTTGAACTAGAATGCAAAAATATGTACAGAAAGCTAACAAATACAAAGAAAAAAGACCAATTCACAATCACAATTTTTACATACCTGTCTCTGTTTTTTGGGATTTTTGTTTTTTTTGTTTGTTTGTTTTTAGAGATGGAGTCTCACTCTGTCACCCAGGCTTGAGTGCAGTGGCATGATCATAGCTCACTGTAACCTCAAACTCCTGGGTTCAAGCAATCCTCCTGCCTTGGCCTCCCACAGCGTTAGGATTATAGGTATGAGCCACAGCACTCAGCCCATGCCTCTCTCTTACTGAATAGATCAAGAAGTCAAAACAATTTATAAAGATATAGAAGATGACTTGAACAATGCAGTAAACATTATGGACATACACAGAACTCTGCAACAAACAATGGGGAATATAATTTCTTTTTAAGCACAGAAAATGTACTCAAACTCAAACATACTAGGCTACAAAGTAAGTCTCAACAAATACCAAGGAACTTCTTTTACAAGAACACATTCTCTGCTCACAATGTCAGATTAGAGTTTTACAAAAAGTCCAGCTACATGTTACTTACAGACAACACATCCAACCTTGCCTCAAACAACAAAAAAATGAATATTAAAATTGACAAATGTCTGGCTTCAAACAAGCAAAATTAGGACTGGAAGAGGGCACAAACTACAGCTACAGCACAAATTACAATATTAACAAGAGAATATTATTGATAGGGTTTAGATCTGTGTCCCCACCAAATCTCATGTCGAATTGTAATCCTCAGTGTTGAAGGAGGGGCCTGGTGGGAGATGACTGGATCATGGGGGTAGAGTTCTCATGAATGGTTGGTCATGATCTCCTTGGTACAGTATAGTGAGTGAGTTCTCACGGGATCTGTTTGTTTAAAAGTATGTAGCACTTCCCTCCACCCCTTCCTCCTGCTCTGCCCATGTGAAGTGCTGGCTCCTCCTTTGCCTTCTGCCATGATTGTAAGCTTCCTGAGGCCTCCCCAGAAGCAAAAGCTGCTATGCTTCTTGTATAGCTTGCAGAACTGTGAGCCAATTAAACCTCTCTTCTTTTTAAATTACCCGGTCTTGGGTATTTCTTTATAGCAATGCAAAAATGACTAATACAATTATGAAAATATTTATGTCAATACATTAGCAAATTTACATAAAATGGACACATTCCTAGAAAAATGTCCTAACAACACTGATTTAAAAAGAAACACAAATCTTGAAGAGTCCTATAACCATTACAAAAAGAACACATCAGGCCCAGGTGGTTTTGTCTTAGACAAGTTCTGCAAAACTTAAAAATAACCAATTCCGTGCTTACACAAATTCCTCCTGAGAATAAAAAGTTGTCTATACTCCACAGCTCATTTGATGAGAGTACTGTAACCTTGATACCAATACCAAAGAAAAGCATGAGAAAGGAAAAGTACAATCTCACACATGAACATACATTTAAAAATCCAAAACAATATGTTTGCAAACCAAATCTAGCAATGTATTAAAATATAACACACCATAAACAAACTGAGTTTATTCCAGGAATTCAAGAATAGTTCATACCACGTACTTGGCCATATAAACAAATAAAATGGGAACAACCATATTATCTCACATGCAGAAAAGACATTTGATAAAAATCAACAACCAAGTATGATTTAAGGTAAAACTCTTGGCACATTTTTAAAATCAGAAAGAATACAAGGATGTCCACTACATTATTCTCTATTTGTTGCTGTTCTGGAAGTTCTGACAAAATAAAATGAGAAAAACAAAAGGTGTAAGGATTAGAAAGAATTAGAACTACCACTATTTGCAGATGATTAGATTATCTTCACAGATAACAAAGATTCATAGTAAATTATCAGCTTTAATTAGAATCTAGTAAGTAGATCTTCTAAGATTACTATACAAAAATCAAGTGTATCTCTACATACCACCAACACGGAAAATGTCACTAAAAGATATATTACTTCCAAGAGTAAAAAAACAATACAAGACACTTAGAAATAAACACACCAAAGATATGCAAGACTCTTATAAAGACAATTAGAAATGTTACTGAAAAGCATTAAGGAGATCTAAACAATGAAGAGAGAGAGAGATGAAGTTTCTGGATAGGAAGACATCATCATATAGATATAAGTTCTCCCCAAACTGATATATTCAATTTAATGCAAATAAAGATATCAACAAGATTCTTTTGTGAACTTGTCAAAACTAATTTAAAAACCTATGTAAGAAAGAAAGAAAAATTAAAACACCTCGGCCGGGTGTGGTGGCTCACACCTGTAATCCCAGCACTGTGGGAGGCCCAGGCGGGCGGATCACGAGGTCAGCAGATTGAGACCATCCTGGTTAACATGGTGAAATCCCGTCTCTACTAAAAAAAAAAAAAAAAAAAAAAAAAAAAAAAATTAGCCAGGCGTGGTGGCGGGTGCCTGTAGTCCCAGCTACTTGGGAGGCTGAGGCAGGAGAATGGCATGAACCCAGGAGGCAGAGCTTGCAGTGAGCGGAGATGCACCACTGCACTCCAGCCTGGGCTACAGAGTGAGACTCTGTCTCAAAAAAAAAAAAACAAAACAAAAACAAAAACAAAAAAAAACTTCTGAAGGATAAAGCTAAGGGAGTTTGGTACTGGGTGAGGGATAGACAAACAAACCAGTTAACAGAATAGAGAGCTAGGCTGAACAGCTATATATTAGAAGCAGAAAAAAAAAGAATAGAGAGCTAAGATACAGACCTATACATACACAAAAACTTCACGTATCAGTGGTGGCACTGCAGAAATGGACTGCTGAATAAATGGTGCTGGGCTGGGCCCCTATTTTGCCATATGGAAATTAGATCTCTTTCAAACATTATACAGAAAGAAATCAATTCCAGATGAATTAAAGACAAGTGTGAAAAGCAAAATGTGGCCAGGCACGGTGGCTCATGTTTATAATTCTAGCACTTTGGGAGGCCAAGGTGGGCAGACTGCTTGAGTCCAGGAGTTCGAGACCAGCCTGGGCAACATGGAGAAATTCTGTCTCTACAAAAAATACAAAAATTAGCCAGGTGTGGTGGTGCGCTCCCATAGTCCCAGTGACTTGGAAGGCTGAGGTGGGAGGATTGCCTCAGCTGGGAAGATCGAGGCTGCAGTGAGCTGTGATCACGCCACTGCACTCCAGCCTGGGTGAGAGTGAGACACTGTCTCAAAAAAAGAAAAGAAAAATATTAAAACTTCTAGAAAATAACACTTGAGTATAACTCTATGACCTTTAAGTCCTAAGGGAAAATATAAATTTGGATTCCTAAAGGAAAATATAAACATTAAAATCTAAAACTTCTGGCTGGGCGTGGTGGCTCACGCCTGTAATCCCAGCACTTTGGGAGGCCAAGGCGGGCGGATCACGTGGTCAGGAGTTCGAGACCAGCCTGGCCAACATAGTGAAACCCTGTCTCTACTAAAAATACAAAAATTAGCTGGGCATGGTGGTGCACACCTGTAGTCCCAGCTACTAGGAGGCTAAGGCTGGAGAATTGCTTGAACCCAGGAGGTGGAGGTTGCAGTGAGCTGAGATCAGGCCACTGCACTCCAGCCTGGGCAACAGAGCGAGATTCTGGCTCAAAAAAAAAAAAAAAAAAATCTAAAACTTCTCTTCATATAAAACAGTGAAAGGATAAGCAGGAAGAAAATGTATACCGTTTTATATATATATAAATAAATATATATATACATACACATACACACACACAACTCTGTTATATGGATATGGAAATATATTGTCAATGTAACCTTCCAAGAAATATA
This sequence comes from Homo sapiens, assembly GCF_000001405.40. Taxonomy (NCBI): domain Eukaryota; kingdom Metazoa; phylum Chordata; class Mammalia; order Primates; family Hominidae; genus Homo; species Homo sapiens. The sequence goes on from NC_000001.11 coordinate 95,057,240, forward strand.
TATATGCACATGCACACACAGTTAGTCCTCCAGATCTATGGGTTCTGCATCTGTGGATTCAATCAACCATGGATCGAAAATATTTGGGGAAAAAAATGGATAACTGTATCTGTACTGGACATGTACAGGCCTTTTTCCCCTTGTCATTATTTCCTAAATAATACAGTATAACAACTATTTACATAGTATTTACACTGTATTAGGTATTATAAATAATCTGAAGGTTATTTAAAGTATATGGGAGGATGAGCAATGTGCAAATACTACGTCATCTTATAAAAGGGACTTGAGCATCTGCGGATTTTGGCATCCGTGCAAGGTCGTGAAAATACATGCACACGCGCACACACACACAGATGGTCATTTCTCCTTAGATGACCATCTGTGTGTGTGTGTGTGTGTGTGTGTATGTAGATATATACATATGACCTATATATAATATGAAAAAGGATTAGTTTACAGAATAGACAAGTAGAAAAAAGAGAAGAAAATGGTCCTAAATTGAAGAAAGATCGTAAGAGTCCACTGAATTCAAGAAAGAATTAATAAGAAAACAGACATGTAGACATGGACTGATTAAATTTCAGAATTCTAAGGAAAGAGAATCAAACTAGGATCAAACATCTTTTCTGGAACTCTGACTGCTGGAAGAGAATGGAATAGTATTTACACACTCTGAGAGGAAAAAATTATGGCATTACAATTAGTATTGTACATCAAGCCAAACAACTGTAGGGATATTATGTCACAACAAAGGTATCTTCAGGCCGGGCATGGTGGGATCACCCCTGTAATCCCAGCACTTTGGGAGGCTGAGGTGGGCGGATCATGAGGTCAGGAGATCGAGACCATCCTGGCCAACATGGTGAAAACCCGCCTCTACTAAAAATACAAAAATTAGCTGGGCATGGTGGCACATGCCTGTAATCCCAGCTACTTGGGAGGCTGAGGCAGGAGAATTGCTTGAACCAGGGAATCGGAAGTTGCCATGAGCCAAGATCACGCCACTGCACTCTAGCCTGGCAACAAAGCGAGACTCCATCTGAAAAAAAAAAAAAAAAAAAAAAAAAAAAAGATATTTTCAGAGATGATAGCCGGGCGTAGTGGCTCATGCTTGTAATCCCAGCATTTTGGGAGGCTGAGGAGGTGGGATCACTTGAGGTCAGAAGTTTGAGACCAGCCTGGCCAACATGGCAAAACCCCATCTTTACTAATAATACCAAAAAAATTAGCTGGGCGCCGTGGCACATGCCTGTAATCCCGACTACTTGGGAGGCTGAGTCAGGAGACTCACTTGAACCCAGGAAGTGGAGGTTGTAGTGAGCCGAGATAGCACCACTGCACTCCAGCCTGGACAACAGAGTGAGATTCATTCTTAAAAAAAAAAAAAAAAAAAAGATACTTTCAGAGCTGAAAAGACTCTGGAAATATACCGTCCATATAACCTTTCTCAAAAAAAAAAAAATACTGAAGGAAACACTTGAGCCAAATAGAAAACAAAATGAAATCAGAAGAAGACATGGTATACAAGAAACAGCGGTGAGTTAAGAGTATATAACTGTTGATGTTATGATGAGATTTAATTAAAAAGTGATACTTGAGCTAGGAGAAAGCTAATGAAAATCTACTCTACAGTTTTTAAAATTTTATTTTTTTTCCTCTCATTCTTGACATTTCATGATTCTTTTCCCTCATATTTGCCTTATTGCCTGGAGAATTCCTTTAGCCTGACTTTCAATTCACAAATAAGGTTTTTGGCTATATTTAGCCTGATAATTACTGACTCAGAACTTTTAATTTTGATAAGCACTTTGTTTTAATTTCCAAGGAATCTTTCTTGTTTTAACATTGCTTCCCTTATTAAAGAGATTATTCTTGGCTGGGCACAGTGGCTGACGCCTGTAATCTCAGCGCTTTAAGAGGCTGAGGCAAGCGGATGACGAGGTCAGGAGTTCGAGACCAGCCTGGCTAACATGGGGAAACCCCGTCTCTACTAAAAATACAAAAATTAGTTGGGCGTGGTGGCGGGCACCTGTAATCCAAACTACTAGGGGGGCTGAGGCAGGAGAATCATTTGAACCCTGGGCGTTGGAGGTTGCAGTGAGCTGAGATCACATCATTGCACTCTAGCCTGGGTGACAGGGTGAGACTCTGTCTCAAAAAAAAAAAAAAAAAAAAAAACATATTATTCTTGTTTATTTGGAATATCTCCTTGAATTTCAATGATAATATGAAATTTAAAAAGTTATTTTCTTTTTTTCTTCCTCTTTTTAAGTTTCTTGTGATCACCCAGGAGCTAAAAAGTTATTTTGTTTCTATGTTAACTTTTGGGAGGGGCCCTTTGTTTTGAATCCGTTAATTATCTTCACAATATCTAATCATATTTCATTTTCAGCTTATTATAAATGAAAGTCTAGATTAGTGTCATCTGATAGAACTTTCTGCAATGATAAAAATGTTCTATTCTATATGATCCAAAATGGTAGCTACTAGCCACATGTGGCTACTAAGCATTAGAAATGAGGCTAGTGCAACCGAGGGACCAAATTTTAAATTTTACTTAGTTTTAATTAATTTAAATTGAAATACACGTAGCCACATATGGCTAGTGGCTACTATACTGGACAGTGCAGGTCTAGATTGTTAATTATACTTGGCTAATATGGGTTCTTCCAGCAAATGTATTGATCACTATTGATTTCTTCAGCAAGACCCCACCTTTTCCTAGTCTGGTGAGCTCCATGGAAGGTACAAAAGATGGCTGAGCTGAAGCGTAGAAAAAGATCAGTAGGGAAACCCCCCCAACCTTAGTAAGGCTTGGCAGGAAGGTGTCTGTCTCTGCCTCTTTGTCTTTCTGTCCTTCACCACCCTCCTATACATACACACACAAACACACACACACACACACACACACACACACACACACACACACACACACGTGGTGGTACCCAGTGGTGGCCAGCAGAAATGTTCACGCTATCTCCCTCAACAGCTCATTTGCATCTCTGCAGAGCTCTTCCCAGCTTCAGATTCATGAGTAGAGGCTCTTTTAGGAATGGAGCAGAATTTTCTCTCTAACAGTGGCTGCATTGCCCCAGTAGGCGACTGTTAGTAAAAGGAAGTTGAACAGAGATGCTTAGTCCTACATTGCACTTCGAAAATACAAAATAATGGCACTATAAAAATCCAAAATCTGGCTGGGCACAGTGGCTCACGCCTGTAATCCCAGCACTTTGGAAGGCTGAGGTGGGCAGATCACGAGGTCAGGAGATCGAGACCATCCTGGCCAACATGGTGAAACCCTGTCTCTATTAAAAAAAAAAAAAAATAGCCAGACATGATAGTAGGCACCTGTACTCCCAGCTACTCAGGAGGCTGAGGCAGGAGAATCGCTTGAACCTGGGAGGTGGAGACTACAGTGAGCTGAGATCACACGACTGCACTCCAGCCTGGGTGACAAAGTGAGACTCTGTTTAAAAAAAAAACAACAAATAAATAAAAATAAAAATCCAAAATATTTTTATAGTTAAGACTATTAATGTGAAGCAAACCCAACTTACTTGGTTCTAAGTGTTGTGATGCACAGTATATAACTACTGTCCCCCTAAAATTCATGTCCACCTGGAATCTATGAATGTGACCTTATTTAGAAATAAGAGCACTGCAGATATGATCAAGTTAAGATGAGGTCCTTCTGAATTAGAGTGGGCCCTAAATCCAACCGGTATCCTCATAAAAAAGGCATGTGAAGACAGAGATACAGAAAAGGTCATATGATGGTGGAAGCCGAGATTAGAGTGACGTAGCTGCAAGCTAAGGAAGGCCAAGCATTGCTGGCCACCACTAGAAGCCAGGAGGAAGCAAGGAGGGATTCTTCTTCAGAACCTCCGGAGGGAGTATGGCCCCATGACACCTTGATTTCAGACTTCTACCCTTCAGAGCTATGAGAAAATACATTTCTGTTATTTTAAGCCACCCAGTTTATGGGTGGCAAAAACCCAGTTTTGTTACAGCAACCCTAAGAAACTAATACAGTATTGATTCCTAAAACAAAAACGAAATCACTTTGGCTTATTTTCCACAGAGGAAAAAAAGTACCACACATTTTGCTATAGCTGAATGATAGCAAGCAGATTTATATACCAATCTTGTTTGACGTGGATTTTTTGAGAATACATTTTAGTAGTATGTTAGTTGGGGATAAGGTTTACAAATGACCAAAAGTTAACACAAACAGCCTTGAGAGAGAGAGAGAGAGAGAGTGTGCGTATGTCACAAAGGTGGGAACAAAGGGAGTGGGGTAGGGTTCTAGGAGTGGGTCCTGATTTCCCAAGAAAAGAACCACCAATCCAGGACCAACACAGCTATAGCAGGGCCTCTTGAGCCACTGAAGGCAGCACCAGACACTGGCTTCTCCTCTCTTCCTGTACATTATCTTCATTCTTCTATCTATAGACTACCTTTATCTTCTAAGTGAAAACATGACTGTCAGCAGCTTTCAAGCTTTATCATTTACAGAGCTTGCCTGAAGACAGACTGATTCCATTCTCTAGGTCTCCAAGCCCAGAAAGCTCAGAGAAAGACTTCGATTGGTCTGAGTTAGGCCAGCTGTCCACCCCTGAACTATCCAGAGCAGCCCTGCAGCTGGGCCGTTCCCAGAGAGAGGGATGGATAAAGGCACTCACTCTACATAAGGAACAGCTCTAGTTTCCTTCCTTAATTAAGAAGTAGTTTCACTTAAAAAAAAAAATCTCTAAACACTGACTAAAATGCTATAATGAAGTGAGCAACCAGGGGTAAAGAAGTACTAATAATTTCAAAGGCAGACACAAGTATGATTTGGAGAAGAAACAGCAGTCATAGATAAATCAAATTATCAATAAACGTAACACATTGATAGAGAGCTTTAATGAAGAGCCAATAAGCACATGAACAGGATGCTTCGTGTATGTAAGTAAAAATAAAATAATTTTCACTATTGGAATTCAACGAAAAACTGCTTTCTCTATTTAAAAGAATAAAAAATATGCAAAAAATTAAGCAACCATTTTTTTTCCTTCAACTTTTAAGTTCCAGGGTATGTGTGCAGGATGTGCAGGTTTATTACACAGGTAAACGTGTGCCATGGTGGTTTGCTGCACAAATTAATCCATTACCTAGGTATTAAGTCCAGCATCCACTAACTATTCTTCCTGATGCTCTACCTCCCCCAACCCCTCCCTTCAACAGGCCCCAATGTGTGTTGTTCCCCCATATGTACCCATGTATTCTCATTGTTCAGCTCCTACTTATAAGTGAAAACGTGTAGTATTTAGTTTTCTGTTCCTGCATTAGTTTGCTGAGGATAACGGCTTCTGGCTCCATCCATATCCCTGCAAAGGACATGATCTTGTTCCTTTTTATTGCTGCATAGTATTTCATAGTGTATATGTACCACATTTTCTTTATCCATTCTATCATTGATGGGCATTTGGGTTGATTCCATGTCTTTGCTATTGTGAATAGTGCTGCAGTGAACATATGTGTGCATGTATCTTTACAACAGAATGATTTACATTCCTTTGGGTATATACCCAGCAATGGGATTGCTAGGTCAAGTGGTATTTCTGCCTCTAGATTTCTGAGGAATCGCCACACTATCTTCCACAATGGTTGAACTAATTTACATTCCCACCAATACTGTAAAAGCATTCCTTTTTCTCCACAACCTCACCAACATCTGTTGTTTCTGGACTTTTTAATAATCGCCATTCTGAGTGGTGTGAGATGGTATCTCATTGTGGTTTTGATTTGCGTTTCTCTAATGATCAGTGATGTTGAGCTTTCTTTCATATGTTTGTTGGCTGCATGAATGTCTTCTTTTGAGAAGTGTCTGTTCATGTCCTTTGCCCACTTTTTAATAACAGTTTTTTTCTTGTAAATTTGTTTAAGTTCCTTGTAGACTCTGTATATTAGACCTTTGTCAGATGGACATATTGCAAAAATTTTCTCCAATCCTGTAGGTTGTCTGTTCACTCTGATGAGTTTCTTTTGCTGTGCACAAGCTCTTTAGTTTAATTAGATCACATTTTTCAATTTTTACTTTTGTTGCAATTGCTTTTGGCATTTTCATCATAAAATCTTTGCCCATGCTGGTGTCCTGAATACTACTGCTTAGATTTTCTTCTAGGGTTTTTATAATTTTGGGTTTTACATTTATGTCTTTAATCCACCTTGAGTTAGTTTCTGTATAAAGTGTAAGGAAGGAATCCAGCTTCAATTTTCTGCATATGGCTAGCCAGTTCAACTCCTTGCAAAATAGAAAATTCTTTCCCCATTGTTCGTTTTTGTCAGGTTTGTAGATCAGATGGTTGTAAATGTGTGGTCTTATTTCTGAGTTCTCTATTCTGTTCCATTGGTCTGTATCTGTTTTTGTACAAGTATCACGCTGTTTTGGTTACTGTAGCCTTGTAGTATAGTTTGAAGTCAGGTAGCATGATGCCTCCAGCTTTGTTCTTTTTGCTTAGGATTGTCTTGGCTATTTGGGCTCCTTTTTGGTTCCATATGAATTTTAAAATAGTTTCTTATAATTCTGTGAAGAATGTAAATGGTGGTTTAATGGGAATAGCATTGAATCTATAAATTACTTTGGGCAGTATAGCCATTTCACAATATTGATTCTTCCTATCCATGAGCATGGAATGTATTTCCATTTGTTTGTGTCCTCTCTGATTTCACTGAGCAGTGGTTTGTAGCTCTCCTTGAAGAGGTCCTTCACTTCCCTTGTTAGCTATATTCCTAGGTATTTTATTCTTTTTGCAGTGATTGTGAATGGGAGTTCATTCATGATTTGGGTTTCGGCTTGCCTGTTGTTGGTGTATAGGAATGCTAGTGATTCTGCACATTGATTTTGTTTCCTGAGACTTGGCTAAAGTTGCTTATCAGCTTAAGAAGTTTTTGGGCTGAGACAATGGGATTTTCTAGATATAGGATCATGTCATCTGCAAGCAAGGATAATTTGACTTCCTCTCTCCCTATCTGAATACACTTCATTTCTTTCTCTTTCCTGATTGCCCTGGCCAGAACTTCCAATACTATGTTGAATAGGAGTGGTGAGAGAGGGCATCTTTGTCTCGTGCTAATTTTCAAGGGGAATGCTTCCAGCTTTTGTCCATTCAGTATGATATTGGCTCTGGGTTTGTCATATATGGCTCTTATTATTTTGAGGTATGTTCCTTCAATACCTAGATTATTGACAGTTTTTAACACGAAAGGATGTTGAATTTTATCAAAGGCCTTTTCTGTGTCTATTGAGATAATTACGTCGTTTTTGTCTTTAGTTCTGTTTATGTGATGAATTACATTTATTGATTTGCGTATGTTGAATCAACCTTGCATCCCGGGTATGAAGCCAACTTGATCATGGTGGATAAACTTTTTGATGTGCTAAGCAACCATTTTTTAATTTGAAGATTTATTTTATAGAAATTCATATCTTTTGGTAGCAAAGGAAATGTATTTCATCACCAGCAAACATTTGACTGCCCATTGTGGGTAGGGCACTGAAGTGCCATGAGATTATTACTAGAGACAATTAAACTCAATGTGCAACTTGTAATTTTCTTAGAAATAGAAATTGTCACTTACCATGTTACTAGGGTCTCTATCAGCTCGATCTAGTTCAAAAGAATTTATTTTATTGGCACTCATTTCATCAGTGTCAGCAATGACATAATGTCTAGGTGAGTAGGCATTGGACAAGCTCCCAAGCAGCCTCAGGATCTCAGTGGTATGCCCACCTGGAAAAAATATCAGAAGTCCTAAGATTAAGAAACCCACAATGGACATATCCATTTGACCATGTTATACCAATATCATGGTTTCAGGTTGGGGGTGGGGGGGCACTGTAATTGTATATTTCTCAGAAGACACAAGGAACATTTGAAAACAATAAATCTATGCCCTCGTATAAATACAACTTTTATATCAAAAGCAGATAATACATGTATAAAAATAAAATCAGCACTAGCAGTAGGTACTAAGGAAGGCACAAAACAGTATAAGACATAGCTCTTGCTATCAAGAAGACTGGTGAGAAAGGGGCAAGACACATATATGAAGACAAAGAAGATGCAAGACAGTAAGAAAAACTAAAATGTGAAGGGTAAGCAAATGGTTATGAAAAATCAATGCCTTAAAAATAAGGAAGAACCCCGGAAAAGGCTGAGATGACTTGAAAGGTGAAGATAATGGAGAGATAGGAGTAGGGAGGCCACTGGGTGGAGATGGGGATTGTTAGGGCATGAGATGACAAGATCTGAAACATGTGTTCAAAGAGTGATAGCAATACTGGGAAGAAGGGTACAGGTGAAATAAGGCACGAAAGCAGGATGGGAAAAGGGAAGCCAGTCACTGAAGGTTCTATGTAGAGAAGTAAGGTGAAGGGGGCATGAGCGCTGATCAGCAGGGCTTGGGCCTTCCTAAGAAACATCTTTTGTTCACCACTGTAACCCCAGCTCCTATGAGAGGTCTCAGCACACTGCAGGTCCTCAAATATTTATCAGCTTCACCAAATGAGTAATGTTCAGTTTCTGAAATAATATAATCTCCAAAATTTTAATACATTAATTTTGAAAGCATAAATTTAAAAATCAACTATGTTCATTGAGACAATGAAAACATTGTTTATGAAAACAACAATAGAATATCTACCTATCTATAAACGATTTAAGCACAACAGTCAAACTCCTTATCAAGGAGCCCTATCACACCCATTTCAGTCTCGTTTCACAAGCTCTCTGCCTCAGTCAGGTTGATGTCTTCAACATTCTCTGCATTCACCTTATTCGTTACTCACTCCTTGCCTCTGGTCATGCTGCTCCCCCTACCTACAAGGCTTCCTCCACCCCACCTCCCTTATTGTTGTAAGAAAGAGTATATAGTGATACAAGAACACAAACAAAGATAAATTAAACATGAGTTTTCCCCCAACACAAATTCCCTCCACCCCCTCACCTCCCCCCAGGTGGAGTTTCACGCTTGTTGCCCAGGCTGGAATACAATTGTGTGATCTCGGCTCATTGCAACCTCCACCTCCCAGGTTCAGGCGACTCTCCTGCCTCAGCCTCCCGAGTAGCTGCAATTACATGCGTGTGCCACCACGCCCGGCTAATTTTTGTATTTTTAGTAGAGACAGAGTTTCACCACATTAGTCAGACTGGTCTTGAACTCCTGACCTCAGGTGATCCACCCACTCGGCCTCCCAAAGTACTGGGATTACAGGCGTGAGCCACCATGCCAAGCCCACATTTTTTTTTAATAGTAGAAAGGAAAGGATTTCGTTCTAGATCCCAGAAGGAATTATATATAGAAACAAATTTGGCATAGATTTAGTGTGAATTTCAGGAATTAAAATCATACATTAGCTTTATAACCTGTCACCCATCTTCTTGACTGGGGCATATAATTTACACATCTGGTTTATACTCATTTTAGTATCTTTGGTTTAGCCTCGAAAAAAAACAAAAAAGTTAGGCCAGGTGCGGTGGCTCATGCCTGTAATCCCAGCTATTCAGGAGGCTGAGGCAGGAGAATCACCTGAGACTGCACTCCAGCCTGTGCAACAGAGCGAGACTCTGTCTCAAAAAAGAAAAAAAAAACAAGTGGTGGTACTCCAAGTAGGTATTTGTTTTCACAGCTGGAATAATTAAGGATAAAACCTAATATCCACAACATCTTCCACTACAATTAAAACTTCATTATACCTGCTTTAATAGTCTTTTATTTCCTTTTTTAAACTTTTTATTTTTATTTTTATTTTTTAAGGAAACCCTCATTGAATACTGTGAAAGTTGTCAGGATAAAAATAGAGTCACTTGTGACAAAATGGAGCTGGGAAAGGCCATGAAGGAAGGGTTCTTAATGCTCAATCGCCTGAAAACAAGAACTGTTACAAAAGACTATACCAAAACCACAACCTTGTACAAAGGCCACTGCAACCTTATGCAAAAAAAAACTTCTGCAAGGACATCTGCCCAGCAGTTGCCTGCCTAACCTTGGACTGATGCCACCCTTATTATTGATCCCTGTAAGCAAGGATAATTGTTTCAAAACAACTTATGTAACCCTCCCCATTTTAGCTTTAAAAATTGCTGTCTTCCCTTGCCTCTTTGAATGTGCCCATAGTTTACTCGGCATGTGTGTTCCACACTACAATGCTTACTCTTGAATACACTTATTATCTTTGGAGAATCTCTCTCTGTTATTTAGCTTGACAGTATATTCACTGAAAATTTAAACTTGTTACTGAATAAAGTCATTAAAATGATGGATTTTGTCTTCCATTTTACTCTTTTATTGATACATTTTTTTTGAGAATAAGAATCTCTAAGTTCTACCTTAAAATACATCCAGCATCCAATCATTTCTCACCATTTCTTTTGCTACTCCCCTGCTCCAGGCCACTATCACCTCTCATACGGATTATGAACAGTTTCTTGATCTGTTCCCTGACCCACTTCCCCTTCAGTCTATCGCAACATAACATCCCGTGTGACCCTATTCGAGTTGATCAAATTATTTACTTCTGCTCAAAATCCTCCAGTGGCTTCATGTCTCATGTGAAATAAAAGGCTTCTTATACTCTGACCTCAACTATGTTCCCTCTTGGAGCTCATCTCCTGTTCCTCCCCGCTTACTCAGTCTACTCTAATCACTCTAGCCTCCTTGCTGTTGGCTGTCATCTCCCCAAGAAGGCTTTCCCTGACAATCTTCATAAAAAAGCAATGCCCCTTCCCCAAATCGTAGTGTTTATCACTGCATAACTTACTATGTAGTCTATTTATTTGTTTTGCTTTTTATCTCCCTCTATCCATGCCTCACTAGAAGGCAAGCACCATACTATGAGGGCAGGGATTTGTGTTTGTTACTGCTGTACCTCCTATTCCTAGAAATAGCAGGCTGTCCTATTGAATGAAAGAATGAATGTTTGATATTAAATCTAACATTTGCCTAAGAAGGCTGTATTATGTTTCAAAGAAAAGTAGTTTTGGCAAATGTTCTCTGAACAGAAGTGATCTACTAATAATTTTTTATTTTTTTGAGATGGAGTCTTGCTCTGTTGCCCAGGCGTGATCTCGGCTCACGGCAACCTCTGCCTCCTGGGTTCAAGCGATTCTCCTGCCTCAGCCTCCTGAGTAGCTGGGATTACAGGCACCTGCGACCATGCCCAGCTAATTTTTTTGTATTTTTTAGTAGAGATGGGGTTTTGCCATGTTGGCCAGGCTGGTCTTGAACTCCTGACCTCAGGTGATCCACCTACCTCAGCCTCCCAAATTGCTGGGATTACAAGCGTGAGCCACAGTGCCTGGCCTACTAATAATATTTTATGATATCTAAAGAGTAAATGTCGCTTGGTCTTCAAGGTAAATATTGAAAATGCCTTCTGCCTCCTCCAAAATTTTGGGCATGAACTATTAAACTGCTTATTTGATTACAAGTCTTCCTTTAATTGGCATGGTTCTTTCAGGCCCTTGATACCTTCCTACCCTCAATAATCTGAATGAAGGCACCATTTGCCAGGTGAATTATCAACCTTAATTTTGGTTTCTAGTCCACCAAATGTAACACTATCAAGTGAATGGTTCTAACATCCATCCATTTGTTCAAGTCAGAAACCTGGAAATCACCCTTCAGTCCTTCCCTCCCACATCCTCTACTTTCAATCCACAGTTGTGGATTTAACTCCTAAAATCTTCCAATCTCATCTGAATGCGATTGCTTTTCTCCAGCCCCACACCTATCACTCCAGTCAGACTCCAGTCTCTCAACTCTGGCCATTCCAAGTGCTATCACCTTCTTTTCACATCCTTATCTGAAATATTCAAAAGGCTCCTATTTGTTTCTCTACTTCGGTCTTTGTCAAGACATTCTTTTGACAATGCAGGCTTGAAGTGGGTGACTCTCCACTGAAAAAGATAAGTCATGTGCGGTGGCACGTGCCTGTGGTACCAGCTACTCGGGAGGCTGTCTCAGAATCGCTTGATCCCAGGATTTAGAGGCAAGCCTGGGTACATAACAAGAGTCTGTCTTAAAAACAAAAACCAAAACAAAACTTCAAAAGCTCCTTTTGCCACCAAGACTAATAACAGTAACCATTTATTAAATGCTTATGTAAAAAGAAAAGAAAATGTCAAGACCTTCCAAATTTATTATGCCAAGGGGAAAAGCTAAGCCCTGGAAACTGACTCATGTAACATGGCTTTTTCTCTTTGGTGTATGTCTGTTGCTTCCTGACCTTTGTGTTGAGATGTTATACATTAACCAGATTCCCTAGTCTTTATTCAAACCTAGACTAAATGACATTGGAGATAGAGGCCTTTGTGATTGTTACCTCCTTATACCAGAATGTTAAACAAATCCCTTAGTGTGTAATCAATAGTAGTGTTGGGACTTAGAAAATAATATCCCAAAATGAAGGCCTTAGAAGCAAAAATTTTTCTCTGGCCTTCTCCTGTCCTCTGTCTCTCAGTCCCATACTCCCCTGAGGCTTGCCATAGAAACTAGAATCTCTCTTCCCCAGGGCGGGTCACAGAAACCAAGAACTCCTTCTCCCAAAAGCTGGTCATAAAACCTAAAAATACTACTCTAATTTTACTCCACCTTTCTGTGTAAAAACTGGCCATAAAGAAATTATCCGAGCTGGGGAGCTGGGCGAGGTGGCTCACACCTTTAATCCCAGCGCTTTGGAAGGCAGGAGAATTGCTTGAGGCCAGGAGTTCAAGACCAGTCTGGCACACATAGCAAGACACCATCTCTATTTTTAAAATTAATTAATTAAATTAAAAAAATTATCTGATCTACCTTGTTTGACGGTAGGTCATAAGACCCCCATTCCAGAGAGGGCCCTACCCCACATCCAGAAGGAAAGGAATGCATGCTCAGAGAGACCAAGAAAAATCTAGACAGGCCTTGCTGGGCTTCCCTACTGTCTATTAGCATTAAATTATACCCTTTTGTCCAGTCATAATTCTACATGGCTGTCCATACTTTGCTGAACCTAAGCATAAAAACAGACCATTTCCCTTGTATCTCTGGGTCTTCATTCAGAACACTTTCATATATGCTTCATAAATTTGTATGCCTTTTCTCCTATTATTTCTGCCTCATCAGTGATTTTCAGTGAAACTTCAGAGGGCAAAAGGGAAGTTTCCCCTTGGCCCTTACAGTAGCCAACCAAATCTTGTATCTGTATGTTGGCCTTTGTATGGAAAATATTGTAATTTTGTTCAGCATCTCTGTTCTTGCGTATACAAACTACCTTCATTCTTCCCCACATGGGGAGCACTGATTACATTCTTTGGTATAGGTTTGCTCCCCAGACACCCAATCTCACGCTTTGTGCTTGAATAAACTCTTCTAACTGGATATTGAGCCCTTTGATTATTTTAGGTTGACACTATATGTCAAGCACTTTACTGAACACTTTATTTTTTAATTTAAGCTTTTGATTATATCATTTTATTTTATTTCATTTTGAGACAGGGTCTCACTCTGTCAACCAGGCTGGAGTGCAGTGGCACAATCTCAGCTCACTGCAACCTCCACCTCCCAGACTCAAGTGATCCTCCTACCTCAGCCTCCCAAATAGCTGGGACTATAGGTGCATGCCACCACATCCACCTAATTTATTTATTTATTTTAATGTAGAGACAGGGTTTCACTATGTTGCCCAGGCTGGTCTCCAACTCCTAAGCTCAAGCAATCCGCCTGTATCGGCCTCCCAAATTGCTGAGATTACAGGTGTGAACCATCACGCCCGGCCTAAACACTTTAAATATGATCCTATTTAATCTCTCCTGTCCTCTCTCAACCCATGTAGAAACAGAAGGTTCAGCGAGGTTAACTAATTGCCTGAGATCCCCAAGGTAGTAAGTGGCAGAAATGTGATTCATGTGTGGTGTTATGACAACCTAGAGGCCTGTGGTCTTAACCCCTACATGATATCAACAGTGGAGTAGCAGCAATTGCTTTATAAAGCAGGATTTTAGGCCAGGGGTGGCTCACGTCTGCAACCCCAGCACTTTGGGATGCTGAGGCAGGAGGATCACTTGAGGTCGGAAGTTCAAGACCAGCCTTGGTCAACATGGTGAAACACTGTCTGTACTAAAAATACAAAAATTAGCTGAGTGTGGTGGTGCGCCTGTAATCCCAGCTACTCGGGAGGCTGAGGCAGGAGAATGGCTTGAATTTGGGAGGTGGAGTTGCAGTGAGCTGAGACTGCGCCACTGCCCTCCAGCCTGGGCAACAGCGTGAGACTCTGTATAAAAAAGAAAAAAAGCAAGATTTTAAATACTCTTTACAATCTGGACTCAGTTTACCTCCCTACATTGAACTCTACACGATAGTGTTCTCTCAACTCTGGTCATTCCAAGTGTTATCACCTTCTTTTCACATCCTCCCAGCCCTCGAAACCCTGGCTGTCCCTCATCTGACTAATTCTGGGTCATCTTTCAAGTTTCAGTTTAGCATCATTTCTTCCAGGAAGCTGTCTGTTTTTTAAGACCTGATAAAGTAGTGCCCTTCCTGAAGACTGCCATAGCAATTTGTACTTCTTACACAATTATTACAAGATTATAGCATTTATCTCATTGTGGCAAATACTCATTTTGATTTATTTTCTGTTAGTTTTTTTGTATTCTCTATTTCATTTACTGCTGTATCTTTGCATCTCTCACAGGACTTAGCACGGAGTCAGCACTCCGTGGCAAGTAATGTTAGTCAGTTTTGTTATTTCCAGAGGTTAGTTTAGTGTTTGGTCTTTCTAACAGCTCAAAACAGATTAAGTGAATAAAGTAATGCGTTATACTTGAACATAAACTTAGTACATTTACTCATACTATACATGTTCTATCTGGATGCAATCTCCTGCCATACCCAAATGTTTACATTGTGTCTGTGTGTGTCTGTCTGTCCCTGTCAAATATGTGTATTTAAAATTGTAAGCACCTACAGAGTTGGTGGATTTAGATTGTATTACCTGACAGGTCAGTGTGTTGCTCACACTCTGCCACCGCGTGTGTATTGTTCTACAGCCCGTAGATCATTGTTTTTATCCTCTTGGACTTTGTATATTTATAAATGTGACAATTCATTTTGCCTCATTTGTCATGTAGCATTCGTGTTTCCTAAACTAAATACGCAATACCTAGATTAATAATGCACAACAGCCATACGGGGAAACTGCATGTTTGCATCAAAAGGCTTCTACGTTCTCTGTTCACTAATTGTTTGAAAAATATACGCTACAGAGAGTCTTAATTATAGACAAGTGTAAATTACTTGTCATAAAAAAAACCTCTGGGCCGCGTCAGCAAACCAGCCCCTACCCTGGCTGGACTGCCCGGTTCCGGCAAGGCAGAGAAACTACAAATCTCTGCATGCAACACTCCAAGAAGTGCTAAGGGTACCAGGGAAGAGCGTCGCGGTGCACTCTGGGGTTTGTAGTGACCAACCCAAGTCCGACAGTCGCCTCCTCGATACTTACCGGACCCAGCCACTACCAAGATACTGAGAGACTCCCGGGGCGTAACGTCCATGGAACGAAGCACTACCCATATTCGCAGGATTAGGAAAACCGCCACAGCTCCTGCGGCCGCAGCTAGAACGAGAACGCACACCATGCAGAGAAACGGCGCATGCGTCCAACTTCCGGGGACCAGCCGCTGTCAAAGTTCACAACTACGGGTGCCGAAGCGACTCAAACGCGGAGGACGCACGTCTTGGTGGGCTGGTCTTTCCTGAGCTGGGAGGAGTGGAGGCGACGGAGAAGCTGAGGTCCCAGTCACAATCCATTTTACCTCATTTATCATGTAGTATTCGTGTTTCCTAAACTAAATACGCAATACCTAGATTAATAATGCACAACAGCCATACAGGGAAACTGCATATTAGCGTTAAAAGGTTTCTACGTTCTGTACGTTCACGTTTGTCAGCGGAACCCCTGCTTCTGCGCGGATTGTGCGCAGCTGCAGCCAAGCGTAAGCTGAAAATTGTAAAGTTAAGCGCTGGGGAAGCTTGATTTACGCCCACGACGAGGTCAGGCAGTCTCTGCGCCCTAAAGGTCCCGAAACTCCCCAGTTAGGAGGTGTTCTGGCTCTGTCAACTTCGTGAATGCCACCTGAAGCTAAGGGAATACATCCTTTCTTTCTTTCTTTTTTTTTTTTTAATGCCAAGAGAAATGTTTCTGTTGCACACAGACATTACTGAAAGTGTTCGCCAGTAAGGACCCTAGGCTTAAACATCGAATTTAGGGCCCTCATCCAAACCCCCTGTCTCCCAACATGTATGTTTTTAACTTTTCTCGAGGTTTTCACAGCTCTCAGTGTGACCAGAGTAGTTGAGGGTGACCACCTAAAGGTAAGCCACACTCCTAAGAGGATTGCAAAGCTCAGTGGCTCTAGGTAGCAGGATAGACAAGGCACAGTCCTACAATTAATATTCAGTTAATTTTATCACAAAGCATTTCCAGTGTGTTTCTCATGTCCTCAGCCAAAATGATGATCTGCCAACACCCCCTTCAATCTCAATTTTGCTTATGTCTAATTAATTAATTGTTAATAAATTAATTATGTCTAATTAATCCACATTACGACAACATAAAATACTAAGATCAGGAGCCCCTTCACCCCAAATATAATTTGCCTTCGGTCCACCATAGACCTACCTGTAGGTTATATTGAACAGGTATACAGATGAGTAAAAAGGTTCAGAAAGGTGCAACTGCTTGCCCAAGTGGAATAGCGTCAGATCTAGAATCAGAAACCAGAAATCTGAGTCCTGCTGGACAGGAGTACTGCATCCTGTATTCCTTTGCTAAATTCAAACTTGCCTGATCACCACACTTACCTGGAGCCTAGAATGTGTTATTAAAGGTGCAGACTCCCAGGGTCCATTAGGAAACACTGAATCAGAATTTCCGGGGATCGGGCACCTGGGATTAGCTTATGTAACCAGCGTGTCCATTCCTATCAGCAAGCAAGTTTGGGAGACTTTGTGAGTAGAGTCCGTGGACCTTACAACACTTTCCAAATTGTCTTCCATCAAATCTTCTTTCTTTTCTTTTCTTTTCTTTTTTTTTTTTTTTGAGACAGAGTCTCACTCTGTCGCTTGGCTGGAGTGCAGTGGCACAATCTTGGCTCACTGCAACCCCCACCTCCCAGGTTCAAGCGATTCTCCTGCCTCAGCCTCCCAAGTAGCTGGGACTACAGGCATGCACCACCATGCCTGGCTATTTTTTTTTTTTTTTTTTTTAGTAGAGACAGAGTTTCACCATGTTGGCCAGGCTGGTCTCGAACTCCTAACCTCAGGTGATCTGCCCGCCTCTACCTCCCAAAGTGCTGGGATTACAGGCATGAGCCACTGCGCCCGGCTCCATCAAATCTTCTTAACTATACATTCTCGCAGTAAGACCTTAAAGTGGATATTAGTTCCCTTTTTACAGACAAAGAAGTAGATTCCATAAAAGTTAAATAATTTGCCTAAGTCTACTTAGCTAGTAAGGGTGGAGAAAGTTCATAGTTGTGGACTTAGAAGTCAGTGTCTCTCAAATTTTAATGGAATCAGAATTCTCTGGGCTTACAAATGCGTAGTTGGAAGTCCAGAGGTAGGGTCTTTGGTGTAGTAAGAAAAACAGCTCAAGGATAATACAAGGAGTATCATTTACTTGTATATGCCCACTCTGCCATTCCTAATAATGTCTTCAACCTGAAACAGTCTTACCTGATACTTAAGACACTAGTGGTCCCAGAATGGGATGTGTGGATGGTTACATCCAACAGGGCAATCTCCATAGCCAAAAAAGAGGTTATCTTGTCGGGTCTTTTTTGCCCCTCCCCCCCAGTCTTGCTCTGTGGCACGGTCTCGGCTCACTGCAACCTCCACCTCTGGGATTCAAGCAATTCGCCTGGCTTAGCCTCCCAAGTAACTGGGACTACAGGTATGCGCCACCACACCCAGCTAATTTTTGTATTTTTAGTAGAGACGGGGTTTCACCATGTTGGTCAGGTTGGTCTTGAACCTGACCTCATGATCCGCCCACCTCAGCCTCCCAAAGTGCTGGGATTATACGGGTGAGCCATGACGCCCGGCCTGCTTTATTTTTTATTTTTTTAAAGGCAAGGAAACTTATTCTAGAACCCCTCACAGCAGACTTTCTTTCACTCCTTTTGGCCATACTTATATCACTTTCCCAGGCATAAAAGGAAAGCGACTTCAAAGCTGGTGGAGGTGGGAGGAGGATGATCTACAACTCACCTGTAATACATGGCTGTTGGATGGAGGGTGGGTACTGAACAAAATAGGCATTCTCTCAGTGAGGAGGAAGCTGCAGGGAGGGTTGTTGGGTAGGCAAACAATAGCATCTAGATTGCTGTGATGATGATGTGTCTGAAACAGCTTTGTAAACTGACACATGCAATGAAAATGTCAGGCATATGATAATTACTTAGCTCCAGGCCCCAAGCTCTATATTAAGGTAGATTTAATACTTGGAGGACACCCTTGCATTTCCCATTACTTCATCCCCTCACTATTATAATTACCTATATCTGTAGGAAATATTAGTTTGACCACACTTGGCATGTAGCTGGAATGAATGGAAGCAATCAAACATTGGGGGCTTGCAAGGAAATGCAGAGAATCAAAGAGGGTGGGGTACCAGACATTGTTTGGACTTATTGGTTGAATTATTCTGAATTAAGGTGATCATAAAACTCTTTAGTTTTCCTGCCAAGAAAGTTGAGAACTGCAGGGAGCAGCTAGGTAGCAGGCAGGGACAGGAACATAGCTGAGAATTCCTGCCAAAAATGTCACCTGGGTAAGCCAAGTCCTGGGCTGTGACAGACACAGAATGTATAGATAATCAAGAAGTCAAGAAGCTGTAGTGGGCCAGGCATGGTGGCTCATGCCTGTAATCTCAGCAATCTAGGAGGCCAAGGCAGGAGGATCACTTGAACCTCAGAGTTTGAGACCAGCCAAGGCAACAGAGTGAGACCCTATCTCTGTAAAAAATTAACCAGGCATGATGGTGGTGTGTACCTGTAGTCCCAGCTACTCAGGAGGCTGGGGTGGGAGGTTTGCTTAAACCCAAGAGATCAAGGCTGCAGTGAGCCATATTTGCACTACTGCACTCCAGCCTGGGTGACAGAGACCCTGTCTCAAAAAAAAAAAAAAAAAAAAAAAAAAAAAAAAGGCCAGGTGCGGTGGCTCATGCCTGTAATCTCAGCACTTTGGGAGGCTGAGGAGGGTGGATCAGCTGAGATCGGGAGTTTCAGACCAGCCTGACCAACATGGAGAAACCCCGTCTCTACTAAAAATACAAAATTAGCAGGGCATGGTGTCACATGCCTGTAATCCCAGCTACTCAGGAGGCTGAGGCAGGAGAATTGCTTGAACCCGGGAGGGGGAGGTTGCAGTGAGCTGAGATCGTGCCATTGCACTCCAGCCTGGGCAACAAGATCGAAACTCTGTCTCAAAAAAAAAAAAAAAAAGCTATAGTGGATTAATCAGGAAAGTTAAGACTGAGTGAGAAGAAGCAACAATTAAAATTTCTCTTGGGAAGATGAGTTGCGCTGACAGTACATTTAACAGATTCATGGAAGTAAATTATAGTGCTGCAAAAAGCATGAAAACTATGTTAATAGTTGACAAAATGAATAACGATATGTGGTCTATAACCAGTCATAAGTAAAGCATGTCTGGGAGGTGATTTTTTTTTTTTTTTTTCTGAGACAGGGTCTCACTCTGTCACCCAGGTTGGCATGCAGTGATGCGCTCTCAGCTCACTGCAGCCTCAACCTCCCTGGGCTCGGGAGATGCTCTCACCTCAGTGTCCCAAGTAACTGGGACTACAGGTGTATGCCACCATGCATGGCTAATTTTTGTATTTTTTGTAGAGTCAGGGTTTTACCACATTGCCCAGGCTGGTCTCAAACTCCTGAACTCAGGCAATCCACCCGCTTCAGCTTCCCAAAGTGCTGGGAGTACAGGTGTGAGCCACGTAGCTCAGCCTGGGAGGTGATTTTTATTCTCTTCTTTTTTTTTTTTTTTTGAGACAGAGTCTCACTCTATCGCCCAGGCTAGAGTGCAATGGCGCGATCTCAGCTCACTGCAACCTCCGTCTCCAGGGTTCAAGCCATTCTCCTCGCTCAGCCTCCTTAGTAGCTGGGATTATAGGCGCCTGCCACCACATCCGGCTAATTTTTCGTATTTTTAGTAGAGACGGGGTTTCACTATGTTGGCCAGGCTGGGCTCGAACTCCTGACCTCATGATCTGCCCGCCTCGGCCTCCCAAAGTGCTGGGATTACAGGCATGAGCCACCACACCTGGACAATTTTTATTCTCCTCTTAAATCTATTTCCCAAAGTTTCTACAGCAAATATTACTCATGCACATTTTTAAAGTTATTTTAGAAGTTCAGATAATTTTGTACTTTTCTGTAGGATTGTACATGTTAATTTATTCAACATATTTAATAAGCATCTGCTATGTGCCAGACACTGTTTTAGGTGCAGGGGATGTCATATAAATAAGACAGTGGTCCAGGCAAAAACTTTGGACTAGGGAGATAACAGTGGAGGGAGAAGAGGTCAGATTTGATATACATTTTATGGGTAGAGTCAATAAAACTTGTTAAGGGATTAGATATTGGGGATTAAAAAACAAGGAGGAATCCAGATGACTCCTAGATTTTTTGATTCAAAACTGGTTAGGTGGTATTATATGCAAAGAATAGACAGACTGAAGGAGAAACAAGCTTTTGTGGGTAGGGGAAGGGGAGGAGATGATGAAAGTGAAGTGGTCTGTTTTTGACTTTAGTTTGAATAACCTGCTAGGCATCCAAGTGGTTATGTCAGATAGGCAGTTTTATGTGCAGACCTGAAGCTTGGGTCAGATCTAGTGGTATAAATTTAGAATTCATTAGCGTATAGATGGTATTTAAAGCTATCGGATTGGGTGAGATCACCAAAGAAGAGTTGAGGTCAGTCCTGTCAAATAGAACTTTCTACAATGATATAAGTGTTCTGTATCCATGTTGTATACTATCCACATGTACCTTTTAAGCAATTGAAATATGGCTAGTGTGATTGAGGAAATGAGTTTTATTTCATTTAAATTATTTTAAATTTAAATAGACACATGTGGCTAGTGGCTACTGTATTGGACAGTGCAGGATAGAGAAGAGTCTGGAGGCACTAACATTCAGAGGTCTAGTAGAGGAAATTGAGCCAGCAAAGAAGATGGAAAAGAAAAGGGGTGATAAGAGGAAAATTAGCAAAGAATGGTGTCCCCAAAAACCAAAAAAGGAAAATAATTGAAGAATGAGAGTGCAGTCAGCTATGTCACATGCTGTTGACAGGTGGGATCAGACATTTTGGGAACAGGTTAGTCACTGGAGATCTAAATAAGGTAGTGATGGAAGGCAGATGGAAATGAAAAGAAAGAATGGGACATGAAAAAGAAAAAAAAAACAGTCTCCAGTTATCGCAGGTTTTTCTTTGAGGGGAATGGATAAATTGGGTGGGAGATGGAGGAGCATTTGGAATTGAGGAACCTTATTTTTTTAAGATGGGAGTTAATTGACATATTGATGTTAAAAAGAGGCGGTAGAGGAAAATTGCTGTGGGAGGGAAAAAGAATGAGCACAGGAATAAATATCTTCAAAAGATGGAATGGTTTGGAACCTGGAGCACAAGTGGGGAAGTTGGACTTTGATAGGAGGAACGACCCTCATTCTGTCGTAACAGAATGGAGAACAGGGATGAATGTAGATATAGGGATGTTTGTAGAATCTGTGGTGAGTCAATGAGAGTGTGGAGAGTGTACAGTGTGGGAAGCTTGAAGGAAGACAAGGTATGAAATAATCATCTTAAAGAGTAATTGGCACACTCACCAGGACCAGTGTAGGATTTCTGGGCAGATTATAATGCCCATTTGAGGCTTCTGATAGCAAATATAATGAGAAACTAGTCAGCATAATTTTATATATTTTCCCCCCAGTGGAAAAGGCAGATAGTTGGTGCTATGGTTTGACTGTGTCCTCCAAAAAGCATGTGTTTGAAATGTAACCTCCAGTGGAACTTTGTTGGGCGGTGGGGCCTAATGGGAGGTGTTTAGTTCACGAGGGCTCCACCCTTATGAGTGGAATAGTGCCATTATGAAAGGGCTTGATGCTGCAAGTTCCATCTCTTGCTCTCTTTGTGTTCTTTTGCCCTTCTGCCTTCTGCCTTCTGCCAGCCTTGGATTTTGTACTTCCCAGCCTCCAGAACCATGAGGAATAAATTTCTGTTCATTATAAATTACCCAGTCTCAGGTATTCTGTTATAGTAGCACAAATATACCAAGGCAGTTGACTAGAGTTGGAGCATTGATGGGTGAATACAAAGGAGAGAGAAGACGCTCTTCAAGGGAGTGAGGTCTGTGGAATTTCATGTAATCCTAGTAGAAAATGAAGACAGGAGGGTGGGGGTGGGGGAGTGGATGAATAGTAGCATGGTAGTAAGATCTGTGGATTGGAGGCCCCCAGAAGATTGAAAAATTGCAATGAAAGAACTAGAGTAAGTGAACTGTAGACATAAGAGATGGTCAGAGAGTGGAATGCTTGAAGTGAATGTTGTGTTATTACCAGTAGTAGTATTTAGAGTATCACTGGGAATGGATGAAAAATATCACTGCATCCTGAAATCACTGAGGGGTAGAGAGGAAAATAATTAGCTAGGAGCTCATGTGTTCAAAGAGTAAAAAATTGGAGAGTGGTAGCAATTAAAAAGATCATTGGGTATGAGCTGGATATCTTCCATCTGTCTCTCCAGATTCATTCTCCATGCTTTCCCACTTCACTCAGTTCCATGTTAGCTGAGACTTAGGGACTAAATCAACCGGTTTCCTTGCCCTCTGATTCTTGTTGAGTTTGGCCAGTGATGATCTTCAGCAGAAGATCTGATGGAGGGAAGGCTGTGTCCCTGAACTGAAGGTTTCTGCTATTTTCGATATGGCCTTTTTTATACATATATTTTCTTCAGGGTCCCCGCATTTCCTTTCTTTGTTCCTTCAGATCTAGGGGGTGGTACCAGCTCCACTGTTACTAGCCCTAGGTTACTGCACCATCCCTTGTTCTTTCCCTACCACATTCACACCTTTGTAAATAACCCCTTTATAACTCATCCTCAAATTAACCTGATACAAGTGTGCCACCTGTATGCTATTGGGGATACAGATACTGACTGATACAAGGTGATAAAACTACATGGCAAGTACTTTAAAGGAACTGGAGTTTGAAAGAAGGAGGAGAATGGTGTGGAAGCAGCAATAGAGAGAAAGAGGGATGCCCTCCCCGCCTCCTGTGGGAGTGAGAAACAAAAGGCTTCTATTTGAGAGACATACTGGGGAAGTGTGAGAGAGCAAGCCTTCAGCTTAAGAAGGGAAGTGAAGAAGACATTCAAAGAGAAGCTTAAGATAGAGGGAAAATTTGCAGGTTATAGCAGGATGCCCAAAAGGTGCTGTGAAAGGCTTTGAAGGGTGGTGTGGAACAGAGGTTGGGTCAGATTGGGGGAACTATAGAGATAGGAATTAGAATGATAATGGATGATCTGAGAGGCGTCTGAGGATTTAAGTAAATAGGAATGTAGGCAGGCTTTCAATTCATTTTAGTTCAGTTCATATCTATTAAATGCTGCACACTAAGCTAGGCACTGAGGGGTACAGTGGTAAGGTAATAACAGTTAACACCCAAGCAGTGACTTAACAATGAGCCTGACTGTATAAACTGCATGCCTCTTGACAGGGCCTCCTGGAGAAAAGTCATTCAACCAGTTCTTTTATGGGTTGCCTGGGAGTGTGGGCTGCTAGGGATCCTGGCAGCTAGGTCCCTTCCCAGCAGAGTTCAACCATCGTCAATCTTAATAAGGGTAGAAAAGTATAGATAAAAAAGAATGAAGCTTTTATGCAACAACCAGGGACACCACTTTGGTCAGCATCATGCCTGTCCATGACAAGGTAGGATAAAGCTGGAAGGGATTTCTTAGTCTGGGTCAGAGACAGAACTGGGACCATGTGACCACCAGGAGTGATGGTTACACACTTTGCTGTTAAAGATCATCTAGAAGATTGGGCAGGATGGGTGATAAAAATTGTCCTAGTACAACCCAAATAATCTTAGTTATAGTCAAGATTTTTTTTCCTTTTTAAATATACTAATGTATATTTGAGTCACAACCTTTTCCTGGATGAAGCCACTACCTAGGACTCTTCAAATGCTAGCCCTTGAAGGCTAAGGCAACTATTTAATACTTACCATAATGGGCATTCATTGTGTATTTATTATATGCCAGGTACTCCAAACATGGATTAGCTAATTAGACACTTCTGATACCCATTTGACAAACGAGGACACTGAGGTACAGAGAGATCATATCATTTGCTCTGGGTTACAAAGCCAGGAATTGGTAGAGTCAGGGTTTAATCATAGTCAGTCTGACTCTATAGCCCACACTTGTATCTTCTCCATTATCATTAAAACTATTTATTGTAGGCTGGGTGCAGTGGCTCATGTCTGTAATCCCAGCACTTTGTGAGGCCAAGGCGGGCATCACTTGAGGCCAGGAGTTCAAGACCAGCTGGCCAACATAGTGAAAACCTGTCTCTACTAAAAATACAAAAATTAGCTGGGTGTGGTACTGCATGCCTGTAGTCCCAGCTACTAGGGTGGCTGAGGCATTAGAATCACTTGAACCCGGGAGGCAGAGGTTGCACTGATCAGAGATGGCACCATTGCCCTCCAGCCTGGGTGACAGAGCAAGACTCTGTCTTAAAACAAAACAAAACAAACAACAACAACAACAACAACAAAAAAAAAAAACAGCTGGGCGTGGT
The DNA here is from genome assembly GCF_000001405.40 of Homo sapiens. Classification (NCBI taxonomy): domain Eukaryota; kingdom Metazoa; phylum Chordata; class Mammalia; order Primates; family Hominidae; genus Homo; species Homo sapiens. The sequence continues at coordinate 95,082,147 of NC_000001.11, forward strand.
GGCTTACCGCTGTAATCCCAGCACTTTGGGAGGCCGAGGTGGGTGGATCACGAGGTCAGGAGATCAAGACCATCCTGGCTAACATGGTGAAACCTCATCTCTACTAAAAATACAAAAAATTAGTTGGGCGTGGTGGCGGGTGCCTGCAGTTCCAGCTACTCAGGAGGCTGAGACAGGAGAGTGGCATGAACCCGGGAGGTGGAGGTTGCAGTGAGCCGAGATTGCGCCACTGCACTCCAGCCTGGGCCACAGAGTGAGACTCCGTCTCAAAAAAAAAAAAAATAAAAGAATGAAAGAAAAAAAAATTTATATTTATACTAGCTACTGTGCTATATATTAAATAAAACAAGATAGAAATATTATTTACTATGTCTGATTTTTCATTTATACAGTTAAATAGAAGGACAATGATTTTTTAAGTGGTTTTTTTAACATTTCTGTCAAGGATTGCTTTTCCTTTTTCTTGCTTTTTCTTCAAGTACATTCAAAAAGGATTCTCTCTAGATAGATAGATAGATAGATAGATAGATAGATAGATAGATAGATAGATTGACTCAAGCCTTGTTTAAGATGAATTTAGTGAAATTACTAAGACACAACAATTGCATTCTTTCTCTTTTTCACTTTATGTTGATTTATCCCAGATACATCTTTTCAGACATGTTTATAAATCCCTTGTCCTAACCTTGTACACCCCAAATGCTCCATCAGTTCCAAATTTAACAAAACATGAAAATATTATTTAAAAGGACATTCCCGGACTAGCATGGGAAGCATCATTCATACCACATTATAATGTTTATTAATGACAACCACAATAATAGCAACTTCTTTAATTTTCAAAGTGACCATTTTTTCAGTTTTTGACCTATAAGTAAAGTAAAGGCAATTATGTTTCTGCACTAAACATTGCTTATCTTTGAAATCTACTAAATTAATTTTCTCCTCAGCCGAGTCCTCCCTCCCCACAAAGCCTGTGTCTGGCATCCTCATTACGTTTTTATTTTCTCCTTCATTGTGTACATTGCCCTTTTTTCTCGAATTATTGTCTGCCGCCACAGAGCTTTTTGTTTTTAATAGAAACACACAAATTGTGTCTCTTCATTTTTTATGTATTCATTATTCCTTAACTTTATATGAAGAAAAAGCATGGCATACCTACTGTGAAAATCATATGCATAATAACACACACTGCCTACCATTTAGTAAGCATGTACGTACTTTCTCAACCACCTCTCACAACCATCCTATGGTCTTAAGTACTATTATTATCCCCATTCTGTAGGTGAGGAAATGGAGGTTTTACCATGTTAAATGAACACTGCTGGTGCTTTGACTTAACTTCCTGTGGATGTACCGTGGCCATCTAGTGACTTCAGGAATATAGTGATGTTGCTTAAGGGAATGTATTTAACAACACACGTTTTACAGTAAGAAGGAGGAGACAGCAAAATGAAAATTACGGATATGCTACTTAAAGGTTATTATTATTTTCTCTTGGAATTTTTGTGCAAATAACCAATAACACGTTACAACAGTAGAGAGACAGCTCTAGCTATGCCTCTTAACCTGGTTTCTTTTCAGCATTTCCATGACTTATTTAATATCCTGTTCATCTTTCATCAACATTAGGCTGATGAATCTTCATGAATACCTTCTCAATTTGTTAACAAAACAGGTTTGTTAATTTACTGACAGACTTTTTTGATATAAATCTCAAGTGACTTAGCTATTTCGCAAGCCTAAGATTCCCATCTCCTCTAAACCATCACTCCAGTGGGCTCTTTACTGATTATATTTGTTTGGGATAGGTTGAAATATAACCTAAATGAACCTGAGAAAGTATTCACACTTTGTAATACTGGATTAATATTTGCATATGGAACTGTGGAATAACTGTGTCTTAACTTAGAAATGTAGAAGAATCTCTAATTTCCCTTTCTGAAAAGATGCTAATAATCTAAACAAACTCTTTTATGGTCAGTTTCTTACATCATTTATCCTTTCCTGAATCTTGAACCACTGACTCTGTCTCACTGTGTCTTTACCCTTAGCCTATAAAACTAGCTCAAGTCTTTCCCATTAAAAAATAAAAGCAAAAATCAATAAAACCCTTCCTCAATCAGTCTGGCTCAGCAAAGCTCCTTTAAACTGCCAGACAGTCCAGCCACATTAAAATGGCACTCCAGTCTTTAAACCACACCTTTTATCTCTTCGCCAGAGTGCCTTTCCACTCCCATTCTATTTTTACGCAGTTGGACTATGTCTTGGAACTGAAGCCTTCTACTGAGCACAGAGCAAAGTTATATTTCAGATGTTGAGAGGTGATCATTCTGAACATGCAGTCAGGCAGCCTATTCTTGGTGAATTATATGGATGTTCCTGTCAGCATATGGAGGAAGCATGGCCCTCCCAATGACTCAGAAGTCATATATTGACACAGACTTGCCCTAGAATGACACTGTCCTGTGCATGCTGGGTACCTCTATAATATACTGACCCAAAGAGTGTCTGAGAGCTTGGTTGAAAACTAACAGGAACAGATCCTTTCTCTGATAAAGCTTGCAAATAAATGGGGCATATTAGGTTTGTCTTATCTTGGCCAACCTTCCCTGTCAGCTACCACTAGGTGGCTCTCCACTGATCTTTCTAAAAGGGTTGAGGGACCACTCAAGAGGGGGGATCTTCCAGACTTAGGTCTCACAAGGAGAACCATTCTCTTTACTCCCCTGATGCCTTCTCTCATCCTTGAATTTCTTTCTTCCAGACCTCAGTCTGGTGGCCTTGGCTACCTCCTTCAGAAATATTCAAGCACTTCCCACCAAAAAATGTAGACGTTTCATCTCGGTTTATTCTTCTGTATCACAATGCCTAAGACTTCATCTGAGTGAGTACGTCAGTAACTGGGGGTTTCAGCGGACTGTGAGCTCAAGCCCCATGAATAAGGTTGACGGTGAATCTGCCAATGGTGGTTGAATTCTCATACCAATGTGAGAAGTGAGCTGTGTCACTTAGAATGTAAGCACTCGTTGTAATAAAAAGCATTCAATTTCCTCAGAGACAACAAAATCTAATCCTTTCTCTGTGAAATAATATTTTTTAAAGGAATTTTGGCTTTATTATATAAGAACAAGAGATTCCTGCTTTCTCTACTACTTTGAAGAATTAGAGCCAACTTTAGAATTTGTTGACTCTGAGTCTCTTACGGAAGTTTAGAATGGAAGGTGGGGGAGGGGGCGGTTGAATATTCGAGTTTAGTCTGCCAAAGAAAGGTGCCTGAAGTTTATAAGATTTACTGTTGCTGATTCATATGCTTCTTCAGATGTATTTGTTTATTGACCCCTTCCACCTCAGTTGATGTTCTGAAAGGGTAGGGCTTTGCCCAAACTCCAGCTGTGGCTAAGGTGTTTTCTGGTCCTTCTTCATCTCTACACCCAATTTGGACCCCTGACTCTCCAGGGAACAAGCTATCTATCTCATGCAACAGTGGCAGTTACTGACTGTGAGAGTGGAGATAGAGGGTACTATCTCTGGAGGCCCCAAGATCTGGTTATTCTAAGTTTTAACCAACACATTCAAGAGAAGTTCTGAACTTTGAGAAAACTTTTCCAACCTAAGATACAGAGCACTCTGTTTTTCCGGCTGTTCAAGATGCATTTCTTTTCTTTTCTTTTCTTTTTTGAGGCGGTTCTTCTTCTCTCTTACCCAGGTTGGAGAGCAGTAGCATGATTGTAGCTCACTGCAGCCTTGAACTCCTGGGCTCAAGTGATCCTCCCACCTCAGCCCTCTGAGTAGCTGTGACTACATGTGCATGCCACCATGCTTCGCTAATATTTTATTTTATTTTATTTTATTTTTTTGTAGAGACATGGTCTCACCATGTTGCCCAGCCTGGCTAATCTTTAAAAAAATTTTTTTTGTAGAGACAGGGTCTCACCATGTTGCCCAGGCTGGTCTCAAACTCCTGGCCTCAAGAGATCCTCCCACCTCGGCCTCCCAAAGGTCTGGATTACAGGCATGAGCCACTGTGTCCAGCCAAGATGTGCACTATATGTATGCTGGGCAGTAGAAGAAGAACTGTGGACAACCCTGGGCAGTAGAAGAACTGTGAACAACCCTAGTCTTTTGGACTCTGTTGGGGCTTAGAAAACAATGCCCTGGAATATGGTACTTTGGCATGCCTAGTACCTTGAATTAAAGAAAATTGAAAGGCTTCGGAAATAAGACTCAGAACCAAGGTCTCTCTCTGACCTTTCCCTGCCCTTTGTCTCTGGGATCCTCTTTCTTTCTGAAGCACAGGGAGGGACTCTGTCTCTGGAATTTCCTTATCTGACTAGTAAAGTTTTTTTACAAAAGAAATGCAATTGTCTTAAGACCCCCTCCCTAGGAATTTTATCAAATAACCAGGAAAGAGGCTGGGCGCCGTGGCTCACGCCTGTAATCCCAGCACTTTGGGAGGCTGAGGCAGGTGGATCATCTGAGGTCGGGAGTTCTAGACCAGCCTGACCAACATGGAGAAACCCCGTGCCTACTAAAAATACAAAATTAGCCAGGCGTGGTGGCGCATGCCTGTATTCCCAGGTACTTGGGAGGCTGAGGCAGGAGAATCCCTTGAACCCAGGAGGCGGAGGTGTTGGTGAGCCAAGATTGCACAATGCACTCCAGCCTGGGCAACAAAGACTGAAACTCCGTCTCAAAAAAAAAAAATTAAAAATTAAAAAATAACCAGGAAAGATTACCACCGGATAAAAAAAGAGACTGGGAATCTTTGCCATGCTCAGACAGACTTTTCATTTATTCTTCTGAGGGCAGCTCCAAGAGATTTTCTGGCAGAATTTTTCTGTATAAGACAACCTTTGTTCACAGTGACGTTCTGCCCCTTATCTTCTGGCCACCTCTTCCAGAGTTCAGAGGAACTTTATTCCAGGCCATTGTTTTTTGACCTCATTCATTTCCCCTACACCCTGCTCCCCATCTCCTCTTCCCCTAGGAAGAAGAGTATATAAGCATCTGGACTTCACTGAGTTATCGGGTAACCACATTCCTGTGATTTCCCCCACCTCCAGCCCCCAGCTGGTTAAATAAACTGTGTATGCCCTTTTCTCCTATTAATCTGCCTGTTGTCAGTTCAGTTTTCAGCAAACCTTCAGAGGGCAAAGAAGAGTTCCCTGTTTGACCTTACAACCTACTACTGCTACCCCAGCTCAGTCCCCTGAGAGTGGTACTCATGCCAATGGAATTAGTCATTGCTAGTCGTCATCTTAACTGTCGGATTCTTTCTGTGAAAGCCAGTGTTCTTAAAAAAGACCAGGCTATACTTGCTGTCTCATTTTCCCTCGTTCATTTTCATTTCCCAATTCACTGAAATGTAACTTCTACCATAATTATTCTCTAATAACATCTGTATTTTCAAGTCCAAAGAATATTGCCTTTTTAAAAAATATATTATTATTTTTTTCTTTCCACAATAAGACATCTGAAAGCAAGAATATTTCCTTTTCTTATCTTTCTTGTCTTCTCTTAGCCAACTGAAAAAAACCTTTTTTATGAAATTATTTTCTTCTGTTGACTTTTTTCTTTTCTTTTAGACAAGCATGTTGACATTGACATAATATACCATTTTCTTTGATTCTCCTCATACCACTATTGTTCTATCTTTATATTCTTCTTAGGTCTCTCTTTTTCTATCTACTTTCCTAAAAATTACAAAAACAAAACAAAACTGTTGGCTGAGCACAGTAGCTCACACCTGTAATCCCAACACTTTGGGAGGCAGAGGCAGGAGGATTGCTGAAGGCCAGGAGTTTGAGACCAGTCTGGGCAACATAGTGAGACCCCATCTCTACAATAAAATTTTAAAAAAATTATAGCTAGGCATGGTGGCACATCCCTGTAGTCCTAGCTACTCAGGAGGCTGAGGTGGGAGGATCACTTGAGCCCAGGAGTTCAAGGCTGCGGTGAGCTATGGTGGTTCCACTGTACTCTAGCCTGGGTGACAGAGGCACACCCTGTCTCTTAAAAAAATAAATAAATAAAACTTTTATTTATAAAATATATTCAGAAAAGTACTTGAAATCATAAAACGGAAACGTGGGTACCCACCAGCTAGATTTTGCTGTATGTTTTTTTCAGGCTCTCACTTTCTTTTCGTCTAAGAAGCTTATTTATCCCCTTTTGGTCTTTGCATTTCTAAGGATTCTTAGCTATGGATATCTTTCCTTTTTACTTTTTGTGGCAGATTAATAGTTGTCCCCAGAAAACTGTTCTCCCCTTCTTGCTGGTCACGTGTTCACTCAGCTGGCAACTACATTTCTTATCCTCCTCTGCAGTGAGGAGTGGTTTTGTCAGTAAGTGCTTGCCAATTAAATATAACTAGGAGCAATGAATACAACTTTTGCCTTACTTTGTTAAAGGAAGATGGCTTGCCTTGGACTGCTTTCTTTCTCTTTCATGGACATGTCTGTGACCAGCTGTGATGATGAAGATGGGGAAGACATCCTAGAAGAGGGTGGAACAACAAGATGGAAGGAACCTGGATCCTCTATGACCTGAATTTTAGAAAGGCAAACCTAGAACAGAGCTGCTCTTTTATTCTAGGCCTGGCTGTTAGGTGAGAGGAAGAGAAACATCTATTTTCTTTATGTCACTGGATTCTGGGATCTCTTAGCCTTTACTCTAACTAATACAGAAATTGATACTTGGAAATGGAAAACTTCTAAAATCCAAAAACATAGTACTGCCTAAGCAGTCAGAAAATTGGCAGTGAGGAAACAGACCTCTCAGGCTGGGAAACTGTTGATCCTTGTTAGGATGTGATAAAACATTTGGTAAAAATGTTACCTATTTAACTTGGAAGGCTGATCATGTTCCTTCTGTAGTTGAATTCTAGGGGAAGCATTTGGAAGAGACCAGAATATAGATATATAATGGTTTCTCTTTGCTGCATTTAGCAAGGTTTTTCAAGAAAGCAATGAGCTCACATAAGAAATGATGGGTTTGCACGCAGGATGGAAGAAAGTAAAGAATGTACACTCTATGGCCACACCACCCTGAATGCGCCTGATCTTGTCTGGTTTTGGAAGAATTTACAGAATATTGGGGCCTCCCAGTATTGGAAAGTTCAATTATTTCTATAGTCCAAACAGGGTATTGGAATGTTGCTCAGAGACTTTCTCCAAGTCCTCCCATTAAGATTCTTCAGCCAAAGAAAGAGATCTAGCCTTGCAGCAAAGATCAGATTAAGGGAGTTGCCCTCACTTATTTTTTAAGATTATCTTAAAATAGCCACCATTAAAACAATGAAAAGATGAATGAGTAGATGATAGGAACTAGTGAATAAGCAAATTTAAGAGGTAGATTGAAAAAATAACTTGCATTGTAGTTCCTGGTGAAGCAGGAAATTTTCCCTGACTGCTTCATGAGTAGGACCCAGAGTGTGGGCACTGGGGCTACCCAGCCATTTCTCCACTAGCAGGGGTAAACTCCACTCACTTGAACCCATTATGCTCAGCCCCTCATGGGAAGGAGCATGCAGGTGAGCAGGTGCAGGAGCTGGGGTGAGTGCTTTTGGGTGCCGGCAGGAGCAAAACTCTGTGCAGGCCCCGTGGCAGTGTCTAATGGGGAGTACCTGTGACCCCTAAAACCCCAGAGAGTGTGTGTTACAGTGCGCTTTTAGCTGTGCTGTCCGTGGATGGCTTAAGTGTTAAACAGCTCAGTGGGCCCTCTGCTGTTTTGCATGAGGCAGTTGCTCTTCACCAGCAAGGGCAGAGGGTCAGTGTGACAGCCTTTGGAGGGATGCCTCTTATTTGGCATGCAGGAAAAATCAGGTTTCATGAACGAATTGAAGGGTGGTGAATGTGGAGAATTTTATTACCAATGAAAGTGGCTCTCAGAGGGAAGGGGAGCTGGAAAAGGGATGGAATGGGAAGGTGATCTTCCCCTGGAGTCCAGCCATCCCCTGTCAGACTCCTCTCCAAAGCCACACCATCAAGCTGTCCCTTTGAAGTCAAGCTGCTTCTCTCTGACATCCAGCTCCTTCTCCTTTTCTCTTCTCTCTGCTGGTGGAGCCTGGGGTTTTTATGGGTACAGGATGACGGTGGGGCAGGCCATGGGTAGTTTTTGAAAAGGCAACATTTGAGTGGGAAAACAGGAATGCACGTTCCCTCTTTGGGCCATGGTTCCAGGCTTGGAGGTGGGACCCTCACCGGGGACCTGCCCTCTTCTGCCCAGAATTTTCCTGCCTCCTGTCCCTATCACTGGCACATGTAATGGATGGGTGACAAACAGCATAGAAGCCTACAAGTCCCCACATGGTTTCATTTTTCATGATTTCCAAAAATATTAAATGAAAAGTTACAGGAATAGACAATTCATAAGTTTTTAATTGTACACCCTTATAACTAGCATGATGAAATCTTATGCTATCCCAGCCATCCCTCCTGGAAGGTGAATCCTGCCTTTGTACAGCATGTCCATATTGTATATGCTACCCAACTATTTGTCATTTAGTAGCCCTCCCAGTTATGATCCACTGTTGTGGTATGGCAGTGCTTGTGTTCAAGTAACACTTATTTTACTTAATAATAGCCCCAAAGCACAAGATTAGTGATGCTGGCTATTCAGATAGCACAGAGAAGCCATAAAGTGCTTCCTTTTAATAAAAAGACAAAATTTCTCAATTTAATAAGGCAAGAAAAAAATTGTATGCTGAGACTATTAAGAAAGATCTACAGTAAGAACGAATCTTCTGTCCATGAGATTGTGAAGAAGGAAAAAAATTCATGTTAGTTTTGTTATGGCACCTCAAATTGCAAAAGTTACAGCCACAGTGTGTGATTAATGTCTTGTTATAATGAAAAAGGCATTAAATTTGTGGGTGGCAGACATCTAAACATGTTCTGATTGATGGCAATGGGGTTCAGTACCATTGTGGTTTCAGGAATCCATTGTCTTGAGACATATCCTCTGCCAATAAGGGGGGACTACTGTACTACATTTTTGTTTGTTTGTTTTTGAGATGGAGTCTTGCACTGTCGCCCAGGCTAGACTGCAATGGCGCTACTGAACGGTGACAGCATGCTGGAAGTCCTCACAGCCCTCGCTCGCTCTCGGCGCCTCGTCTGCCTGGGCTCCTACTTTGGCGGCACTTGAGGAGCTTTTCAGCCTACCACGGCACTGTGGGACCCTTTTTCTGGGCTGGCCAAGGCCAGAGCCGTCTCTTTCAGCTTGCAGGGAGGTGTGGAGGGAGAGGCGCGAGCGGGAACCGGGGCTGCGCGGGGCGCTTGCGGGCCAGCTGGAGTTCCGGGTGGGCGTAGGCTTGGCGGACCCCTGCCGGCCCCGGGCAATGAAGGGCTTAGCACCTGGGCCAGCGGCTGCGGAGGGTGTACTGGGTCCCCTAGCAGTGCCAGCCCGCCGGCGCTGCGCTCGATTTCTCACCGGGCCTTAGCTGCCTTCCTGCGGGGCAGGGCTTGGGACCTGCAGCCCGCCATGCCTGAGCCTCCTACCTCCTCCGTGGGCTCCTGTGCGGCCTGTGCCTCCCGGATGAGCGCCGCCTCTTGCTCCACGGCGCCTAGTCCTATCGACCACCTAAGGGCTGAGGAGTGCAGGTGCACGGCACAGGACTGGCAGGCAGCTCCACCTGCAGCCTCGGTGCAGGATCTACTAGGTGAAGCCAGCTGGGCTCCTGAGTCTAGTGGAGACGTGGAGAACCTTTATGTCTAGCTCAGAGATTGTAAATACACCAATTAGCACCCTGTGTCTAGCTCAGGGTCTGTGAATGCACCAATGGACACTCTGTATCTAGCTACTCTGGTGGGGCCTTGGAGAACGTTTATGTCTAGCTCAGGGATTGTAAATACACCAATCGGCACTCTGTATCTAGCTCAAGGTTTGTAAACACACCAGTCAGCACCTTGTGTCTAGCTCAGGGTTTGTGAATGCACCAATCGACACTCTGTATCTGGCTACTCTGGTAAGGCCTTGGAGAACCTTTGTGTGGACACTCTGTATCTAGTTAATCTAGTGGAGAGGTGGAGAACCTTTATGTCTAGCTCAGGGATTGTAAATACACCAATCAGCACCCTGTGTCTAGCTCAAGGTTTGTGAATGCACCAATCGACACTCTGTATCTAGCTACTCTGGTGGGGACTTGGAGAACCTTTGTGTCCACACTCTGTATCTAGCTAATCTAGTAAGGACGTAAAGAACCTTTGTGTCTAGCTCAGGGATTGTAAACGCACCAATCAGCGCCTTGTCAAAACAGACCACTGGGCTCTACCAATCAGCAGGATGTGGGTGAGGCCAGATAAGAGAATAAAAGCAGGCTGCCCGAGCCAGCAGTGGCAACCCGCTCGGGTCCCCTTCCACACTGTGGAAGCTTTGTTCTTTCGTTCTTTGCAATAAATCTTGCTACTGCTCACTCTTTAGGTCTACACTGCTTTTATGAGCTGTAACACTCACCGCGAAGGTCTGCAGCTTCACTCCTGAAGCCAGCAAGACCACGAACCTACCAGAAGGAAGAAACTCTGAACACATCCGAACATCAGAAGGAACAAACTCCAGACGCGCCACCTTAAGAGCTGTAACACTCACCGCGAAGGTCCGCGGCTTCATTCTTCAAGTCAGTAAGACCAAGAACCCACCAATTCCAGACACACTACCTTGGCTCACGGCAACTTCTGTCTCCTGGGTTCAAGTGAGTCTTGTGCCTCAGCCTCCCAAGTAGCTGGGATTACAAGTGAGTGCCACCATGCCCAGCTACTTTTTGTATTTTTAGTAGAGACAGGGTTTCCCCATGTTGGACAGGCTGGTCTTGAACTCCTGACCTCAGGTGATCTGCCCACCTCAGCCTCCCAGAGTGCTGGGATTACAGGTGTGAGTCACCACACTTGGCCTTGTACTAAGTTTTTGAAGAAATTCTATTGCTAAAGAAACCACAAATCTGACTTGGAAATGCCAGTCATTGTTCATATCCTAAGGCAGTCTCTAGGAAAACATATTCTCCAACATCCACTTCAATTTTTAACCTGAAGAATAATGCACAAGGAAGAACCTCCCAGAGGGTGAACCCAGGGGCCCAGATGAGGCTAATCAAGGAATTTCTTTCATGGCCAGTGGAGAGATTTCTGCTTGGAAAGAAAACAAACGAACAAGCAATTAAGGACTACTGATTGTGTCAGGTTTCCATTCTTTTATTTTTCAAATGGAAGTTTTTATTGTGGTTAATTCTGTTTCTGTTCTAACCTTGCATATTGGGTTGAAAGTGGGGATTGAGTATCTTTCTTTTATGTTATGGGTCATCGGACTGTAAGCAGTCATATCTGGATGTATCAGAGTAGGCTGTACTTCCCCCAGAGGTACTGACCTTGAGCTGGCTGCAGAAAGTAGATAGGACCACAGGTAGAGAGGGAGATTGAGCTGTATGTGAAGAAGAGTCCACTCAGATGTTTGGGTGTCCCAAGGGATTGACTATATCTCTTTGTTAGCCTTCACCTTCATGTAATGCAGTCTTTTTGGGAGTATTGATCTGTTTATTCAGAAACCTATTACCTGCATATTGACAATTCCGAAATTCGTATGTCCAACCAGGATTCTCTTCTATGTTCTAGACACATATATGTTATCCAAATACTGGATACCTTTGCATGAATTTACCACAGGAGAGACTTCAACTATAACATGTCCCAAACTGAAATTATTTCCTTTTACCTTAACCACATATCTCTTCTGTGGTAGATTGCAATAAATAGTCATAATCTTGTCCCATCCCTTTATATATGACCCTGTGCAATGTGACTTTTCTGTTTTTCTCATTAAGAGATGGACTCCAGACCTTTACTTCATTGTGTCCGGGTTGGCCTATGACTTGTTTTGACCAAAAAAATGCATAAAAAATAATGATATGGGAATTTTGAGCCTGGACCTTAAGAAGCCTTGCTCTCAGTCTCTTGGAAAGTTCCTGTCATCATGTGAAGAAACTTGGGCTAAGCACCTCCCTTTTTTCTGATACAAGGTCTCACTCTGTCACCCAGGTTGGAGTGCATTGGTGCCATCATGGCTCACTGCAGCCTCAACCTCTGTGGCTCAAGCAATCCTCCCACCTCAGCCTCCCAAGTAGCTGGGACTAAAAGTGCATGCCCTCACATCTGGCTAATTGCATTTTTTTTTTTTTTGGTAGAGATGGAGTCTCACTGTTTCCCAGGCCGGTCTTTAACTTCTGGGCTCAAGTGATCCTCCTACCTTGGCCTCCCAAGGTTTTGGGATTACACCATGCCTGGCTGGCTAGCCTCTTTGAGGATAAGAGTCTACATGGAGAAAGATGCCCAGCTGACATCCAGCACCAACTTGCAAGGCCCAGTGAGATCTCTTGTACCATAATTATTGATAATTTTTAAACGGCAACAACAGAGTGATAAACCCTTCTAAGTGAGTGCTGTATGCCACTGCACAGGTTAAACATCTGTGAACTGGTCTTGATCACCAGAGAGTTTATCTGGACCATCAAGAACCCACCAACCTTCCAGGTGACTGTCACCACATGAATGAGCTCAGGTGAAACCAGCAGAAGAACTTCCCAGCTAAATCCAGCCCAAATACTGACCCACAGAATTGTTAACCCATAAATGATTGTTGTTTTAAGCCACTAAGTTTTGTGATCATATGTTAGGCAGCAATAAATAACTAAAACATACTTACTCCCTTATCGCCTATCCTGGATAATTAAAGCCTGAATAATTTAACTTCACCCACAGTATGAGACCTGAGGAATTCTTCAGGCTTTCTACTTACTTGTGCATCCATGAGTATGAGTTGTGGAGTCAGACTACACGAGTTTAAATTCTAGCTCCTCTTCTAATGTGACCTTGAACACATTATTTGTGCCTGTATTTCTTCATCTGTAAAATGAAGATAACCTTATCTTTCTTACTAGGATCTGTGAAGGTTAAATGACATAACAAATGAACAGCACTTAGCACGGTGGCTATGCTTAATAAATGTCATGATTGCCTTGGATCCAATCATACTGTACCTAAGATTCAGAATGAAACTTGCAGGAGTACTACAGAAGACTGCTGGGGTCACACAGGAGCAGTTTTCAAGGAGGTCAAAAACAGACATGGTCCTAGAGAAACTACAAATTAGTGTAAAGTGACAAACTTGTGCTCTGGAGTCAGACTTTCTACCTTCATATGTCAGCTCTGCCACTTGTTCTGTTTCTCGGCACATTACTTAACCTCTTTAGGGTTTTTATTTTTATTTTTATTTTTATTTTTGAGACAGAGTTGCTCTGTCTCCCAGGCTGGAGTGCAGTGGCGTGATCTCGGCTCACTGCAACTTCCACCTCCTGGGTTCAAGTGATTCTCCTGCCTCAGCCTCCCAAGTAGCTGGGATTACAGGTGCCTGCCACCAAGCCCAGCTAATCTTTTGTATTTTTAGTAGAGACAGGGTTTCACCGTGTTAGCCAGGATGGTTTCAGTCTCCTGACCTTGTGATCCACCCGCCTCAGCCTCCCAAAGTGCTGGGATTACAGGCGTGAGCCACCGCGCCGGCACCTCTTTAGGTCTTAATTATGTATACTGTAAAATGAGAATAATAAAAAGAAATCCCTCATAGTATTATTGTGAGAATTAAGTAAGGACTAAATGATTAAGTCATGTAGGCTTGCCACATGGAATATTCACACCACATGATATTTGAAAAGTGAGTATTGGTCAGAAAGGCAAACCAAAATTGCTTTAAGAGAAAAATTACAACATATAAAGTACACTGTATACAAGACTGCAAACAAGATATGAGGTAAGCGATCAGGAGCCAAAGGGAAGATAAACAAATTAAGTTTAGAGAGGAAGGCAGATGTGAAACCATTCAAGACTTTAGTCATTGCATCAGAAAGTATCGGAGTTGTGTTTCCTCAATCTCTCTGCAAGCTACAGCTGCAAAGCAGAAGGTACACTAACAGCAGGCTTTGGATTGTAGGTAACAGTTCAAGCAATCTGAGGTTATTCTCTACCAATTAGCCATTCAAATTTTAAGTAGAGGAGTGACATTTTGAAAGAGTACCTTGACAACAACTGGAGAACAGAAAGAGCAGGACAGAAGGTCCACTGCCTGTTTTTGTAAATAAAGGTTTATTGGAACATAACCTTTGTATTGAACCATTTATGTATTGGCTGTTGCTGTTTTCCGGCCTTAGGTGTAGAGATGAGTAACTATGACCATCTGGCCCACAAAGCCTGACCTATTTACTGTATGATTCTTTAAGAAGTTATTTGCTGATCCCAGGGAGACTGTTGCAGTAACCTGGGGTAAGACAAGGGTGGATAGCTTTGCGGAAGGGACAGTAAGAACTTTGGAAAGGCAAACCTATAGATTGTGCCAAAATAGTCAATGTCTCTGAGGAAATCATGACCCAGATATCAGTTGGGATCATCCGTTTTGTTTTTAAACTAGATAATATTGACTCAAGCCCCTATTACACAACTCTTACATTATATAGTGTTTCATGAAGTATCCTGCCAATTTTCCAGACGTGATTTCAGCACTACCTCTGGCCCCCGCTAATGGGTTCAGTTTATGGACTATTTCACTGGACTCTAGGTGTGCTATCTCCTTTCTGCTCCTTTTTGATATAGCAGTGCAACTCGGCCCCATCCTGTGGTTTCTTCATTTACCTCACCAGCACCTCCCCTCACACCATGTGTGCGTCTTGCAGAGGTATGAGAATTTAGGGGTAGTGGAAAGCCTACTGGAAATTTGGAAGAAATGAGGGGAGTTAAAGAAATACAAGTAACTTAGAATATTACACATTTTAAAAAAGTATTTTAGGCATACCATGAAGTTACTCTGCCATCCCTTTCTTTTCACTCTTTCTCATCTCTTCTGTCTTGTCCCCAACTCCTTCCACATCTCCAAGTTAATTTCTTTTTCTTCCCCTTAAAAATGTTTTTTTTCTTGATACATAATAGATGTACATATTTTCAGGGTACATGTGATAATTTAATACCTTTATATACTTTGTAAATATCAAATCAATGTAATTAGGATATCCATCACCTTAAATATTTGCCTTTATGCTAAAATTCAAATTATTCTCTTATAGCTATTTTAGAATATACAATAGATTATTGTAAACTGTAGTGACACTACTGATTCCAAATTAATTTCTGATATAGAACAGTCCTTCTTGTTATTCCTGTCTCTTATTAACCCAAGTTCTCTAGGCACACCATCTATATATAATGACTCAAGATGTTTTCCTCTGAGAAGAATTCTACTGCCAGCTATGAGAGAAATGGTTAAACTTCACTCTAGTATCAGGGTTTCTTGGACCACAGTGAGATACTGGTTTGTATCAAAAAATGTGTAATCCAACTCATCCAGCTGGAGGAGCCAGGAAAAGGAGGTAGTCCAAGATGGGAGTAACGAAGTAGGGAAACCCAGATCACTTCCACAGGAGTAGTGTAAATACCTAAGAGGTGTGTGTGAGGTTGTAAATGAGAGAGGACACCAGGAATCAGGAACAGAGGAAATCAACCAAAGGAACTGTATTGTAGACTCTTGCCCCCTTTTGAAAGGAGATGGTGTCGTAACTTTTATATATGTTCCACTTAATAGAGTATTAGACACACCGTAGGGACACAAGAAATAGTTGATAAACGGAACTCTTAACTTCATGCCATTCCTGAAATCTAGTTCTCTTTGTGCTCCTGGGGCTTTGCTGTTTTGATATAGATCAATTTACTGCTCCTGAACAAATCAAGCAGCATTAGTTTTATTTCTAAACAACCTAAGCAAAAGAGCATCAGTAAGTGTATTTCATATATTCTTCCTTCAAATAGATGGAAACTAGCTCTCAATATATTTGTATCGTAACAACATTAATAACAAAAAACAGTTACCACCATCATTTATTGAATGCTGACTAGATCCGATATACAGTATCAGATCTATATAGCACAATGATCTGTGTACTCTCATTTAGGCCTCATAATAGCCCTTTATTATATTCATTTTAGAGATGAGAAGATTCTGGCTCAAAGAGGTTCTCTTTCCTAAAGTCATAATAACTGGTGGTTTTTTTGACTTCAATACTCTTGATCTCAATAACACTAGTCCTCGCTGCCTCATAACTGGTTGCCCTGCCCCATTTCTAAACCTTTGTTCTCCTTATTCTCTTGCTTAAAATCCTTCATTGTTTCCTCATTTCCTCCAGGGCAGAGTCTATGTAATTCGGTGTGGCATAGTTTATTTTTCATAATCCTTGACCACTTTAGTGGCCTTAGCTTCTCCTGCTGTTTCCATAAACGCATATTGAGTTCCAAACATTTGTGGTTCCTGGGGACATGCCCAGCTCCTCTGTGCTTCCGTGGTTTTGCATGTTCTCTCTCATTCTGTGGTATTCTTCCTCCCCATCTGCCTAGGCTTCAAAACCAGAGACCCAAGTTCTGATAAATCTCTTTTTTGAGATCTCCTAATCTCTCTGGATTTTGATTCTCCTGTTAGAAAAATTGAGATGATCTTTCCTCAGTTTGGAAACAGGTTATCTGTAATGAATTGTGGTCTTGCGTCTCAGTGGCTGTATCATCTTGGGAAAGTTGCTAGGCTTCTGTAAGCCTCAGGGTTTTTCTAGAACGGGATAGGCTGGGTGCGGTGGCTCACACCTGTAATCCCAGCACTTTGGGAGGCCGAGGTGGGTGGATCACCTGAGGTCAGGAGTTCAAGACCAGCCTGACCAACATGGAGAAACCCGGTCTCTCTAAATACAAAATTAGCCGGGTGTGGTGGCGCATGCCTGTAATCCCAGCTGCTCGGGAGGCTGAGGCAGGAGAATCACTTGAAGCGGAGGTTGTGGTGAGCCGAGATCGTGCCATTGCACTCCAGCCTGGGCAACAAGAGTGAAACTCTGTCTCAAAAAAAAAAAAAAAAAAAAAAGAACAGGGTAATGATGTTTCTTTAGAATAGTGCCTGACACATAGTAAGTATTATCTTATCATCACTATTTGGTCAGGCACGGTGGCTCACGCCTATAATTCCAGCACTTTGGGAGGGTGAGGCGGGCAAATCACTTGAGTCCAGAAGTTCAAGACCAGCCTGGGCGACATGGTGAAACCCCCTCTCTACTCAGAAATGAATCGTTATTATACGGATCTTGCACAAACTAAATAAGAACAACATGATCTAGGATAATAGTTATTACCACATTGTGCTTCCTTAGTGATTACCTGCTCATCTTTTAAGATTCAGCTCAAATTCACATTTACAATGACTTTCTGTATGCACTCTGTACACTCTACACATGGTTAGTCATTTTGTCAATTGTGCTAAAAAACTCTATTTTTATTTATTATATCACATGTAGTTATTTGTTTAAGTCCTCATTTCCTCTGCTAGTCTGGACTCCTTGAAGACAGGAACTATTTTATTATTCATCCAAACCTAGCATAAGTAGGTATTTAATATACTTTGATTAATTGATTGCATATATATACATTCATTAATAAACAAGAATGATCCTCAAGGAACTTATAGTTACTACAACAATGATGATGATGACAACAATGATGTAATGTTTATTGAGTATAATTTGCTCTACACTGTCCTAAACTCTTGGTACTCATTAACTCATTCAATTCTCACCAACTCTATTAGGTATTATCCCCATGAAAGTTTTTTTTTTTTAATTATAAAATCTTATTATCACTATTTGGTCAGGTACGGTGGCTCACGTCTATAATCCCAGCACTTTGGGAGGCTGAGGCAGGCAAATCACTTGAGTCCAGGAGTTCGAGACCAGCCTGGGCGACTTGGTGAAACCCCCCCTCTACTAAAAACACAAAAAATACAAAAATTAGCTGGGCATGGTGGCTCAGGCCATGGTCCCCACTACTTGGGAGGCTGAGGTGGGAGGATCGCTTGAGCCTAGGAGGTAGAGACCTGGACAACAGAGTGAGACCCCATCTCAAAAAAAATATGTATATGCATATATATACATATAGAATAAAGAAATTCACAAACGTAAAAAAATCTTATTGTCACTATTTTACAGATAAAATAACAGGCTCAGAGAAGTTAAGTAACACACTCAAAGTCATATAGCTATGAAAAGGTGTACAAAAAATTTATGTTTCAATAGAAAATCCTGCATTGCTGGCTGGGTGCGGTGGCTCACGCCTGTAATCCCAGCACTTTGGGAGGCTGAGGCAGGCAAATCACCTGAGGTCAGGAGTTTGAGACTAGCCTGGCCAACATGGTAAAACCTTGTCTCTACTAAAAATACAAAAATTAGCTGGGCATGATGGTGCATGCCTGTAATCCCAGCTACTCCAGAGGCTAAGGCATGAGAATCACTTGAACCCAGGAGGCAGAGGTTGCAGTGAGCTGAGATTGTGCCACTGCACACCAGCCTGGACAACAGAGTGAGACTCTGTCTCAAAAAATAATAATAATAATAAAAAAGAAAAAGAAAATTCTACATTGTTTAGAGGACACCTTCCAGATCATCTGATTCCTGCCTTTAATTGTCTTTGAGCCATTTTACAACTCAGTATAAATATGTCTTTTTCAGATTTGCTTAAAAACAGGTTGTAACATCTGCCTGGTTCCCTCACTGAGTTAGTTAAATAAAATCTTTGACATTATTTCCTTTTCTATC
The DNA here is from genome assembly GCF_000001405.40 of Homo sapiens. Lineage (NCBI taxonomy): Eukaryota > Metazoa > Chordata > Mammalia > Primates > Hominidae > Homo > Homo sapiens. The sequence goes on from NC_000001.11 coordinate 95,100,796, forward strand.
TGTGTCAGTCATGATTTTAGCTTTTTCTGAAAATTATCTTTTAAGAAAGATATAACTGGAATGCAACCCCAATTCTGACTTCAAGGCCCATTTATGCAACTCAAAGGTCTCCAACTTTTTTTTTTTTTTTTGAGACAGAGTCTTGCTCTTTGCCCAGGCTAGAGTGCAGTGGCGCAATCTCAGCTCACTGCAACCTCTGCCTCCTGGGTTCAAGTGATTCTCCTGCCTCAGCCTCCCAAGTAGCTGGGATTACAGGCGCCCGCCAATGTGCCCGGCTACTTTTTGTATTTTTAGTAGAGATGGTGGTTTCACCATCTTGGCCAGGCTGGTCTTGAACTTCTGACCTCGTGATCCACCCGCCTCAGCCTCCCAAAGTGCTAGGATTATAGGCGTGAGCCACCGTGCCTGGCCTAGGTCTCTAACTTTACTGTACACCTTACTGGGGAGCTTCTTTTTATTTTTGTTTCATTTATTTAGAGAAAGGGTCTTGCTCTGTCACCCACGCTAGAGTACAGTGGCGTGATCATAGCTCACTGCAGTCTGAAACTCACTGCAGTCTCAGCCTCCCAAGTAGCTGGGACTACAGGTGCGTGCCATTGTGCCTGACTAATTAAAGTGTGTGTGTGTGTGTGTGTGTGTGTGTGTGTGTGTGTATTTTGTAGAGATGGAGTCTTGCTATGTCACTCAGGCTGGTCTCAAACTCCTGACCTTAAGAGATCCTCCCACCTGAGCCTCCCAAGGTGTTGGGAGCCACATTGCCCAGCCAGGAGCTTCTTTTTAAAGTGCAGAGCTCTGTGTTCTACCTCAAGAAACTCTGATTTACAAGGTTTTTTGTTTGTTTTTGTCTTTTTAACATGACTCCAGTTATTCTGTTGCAGGTGGTGTGAAAAACACTGCTTTGAACAACTCTATGATACTGCTTTCCTGGTAGGAGAAATAAAGTACCTGTACAAAGCAAGATATACATTTGCTTAAACTCTCAAATGAGAAAAGAGGGAGAGAGAAATTCTCAGCCTTAACTAGGAAAGTTTTGACAAGAAAAGATGGGAGGAAAAGACAGTGTGTGTGTTGGGGGCAACATGAGCAAAGGTAGAGATGCAGGAAAATGGAGAATGACTAGTAGTTGGATTTGGTGAGAATGAGTAAAGAGTATGAACAGTAAAAATGGAAATGTAGGTTTGAGCTCAAATGGTGGACATTAACACATTTAGTTAATAGGCAATAAAGAGTAAGAGAACGATTTTGATTTGAGGTGAAAAGAAGATAACCAACAGCAGGTCAGAAGAATTCTGAAGAGGCATGAAGTTGCGGAGAGAGAGAGACAACTTATGAATGACAAGAAAAGAAAAGATATGAGATCACAAGGATTTGAGGACTCTTCTATAACCAATGGATATTTATTGAGGGTCTATTTTGTGTGAAACATGTGGTACTGAGCAATGGGAGAAGATGGAAAGGAAATTATTAACTTGGTATGATGCCAGGGAGACATAAGAGGAAAAGGGTGGTATACAGGTCTAAATTTGGTGAGTGAGAGTAAGGGTAGAGGAAGTAAGTAAATGAAAAATACATAGGGAGTCTGACTGACAGAATTTGCTGTGTACTTGGATAGAGAGAGCTGAGCAAGAGGGAGGAGTCTAGGAAAATTGAAGTCTCTAGATTGGGTGATTAGAAGGATGATGACTTCGTGAACTCAGAGAAAGAAGAGTATGGAAAGGAGGAGGGATCATGAGTTATATATTTTATTGCATTTGAAGAACCTGGGAAAACATAGTAGAGTCTTGGGAATATAGGTCTGAAGCTCAAGAATGAGTTTTAGATGGCATACGTGGAATTGATACCAGATTCACCTTAGTGGATTGGGGGAACAGGGAGGACAGGGTTAAGCCAAAGCTAAGATGGATTTCAAGGTAGGTAAGAACCTGGAGTGGGCAGAAGTGAACTGAGCAAAAGGTTAATTGCAAAATTTAGAGCTAAGAATCAAAGCAGAAAAGACCGTTATGTTCTCAGGTTCAAGGAATTATCAAAACTTTGAGATGGAAAGCTCAAGGGCTAGGGGAATGCAGCAAGAGCTAATTGAGAAATGAGAGCAAAAGCAGTGGATAAAGTACTATATATATATATATTTGCAGAACTTCCTTTAGCAAGAGTAGTGTATTTGTTTGGAAGAACTACTTTTTAAAAAAAAAATTTTTTTTTTTGAGACTGAGTCTTGCTTCGTTGCCCAGGCTGGAGTGCAATGGCACGATCTTGGCTCACTGCAACCTCCGCCTCCCAGGTTCAAGTGATTCTCCTGCCTCAGCCTCCTGAGTAGCTGAGATTACAGGCATGCGCCACCATGCCCGTCTAATTTTTATATTTTTAGTAGAGACAGGGTTTCACCACGTTGGCTGGGCTGGTCTTGAGCTGCTGACCTCAGGTGATGCACCCGCCTCAGCCACCCAAAGTGCTGGGATTACAGACGTGAGCCACTGAACCTGGCCAGAAGAACTACTTTAGGTAGGCAGTGAAACTCCATTGGATTTAATCAACAGAAGATGTTTCTTCAACTCCTATGTAGGAAAGAAGAGAGGTTGGAAGATAGAGCTCGTAGAAGTTCTACTCAACTTCTCAGGAACCCCCTACTCTTATGTTAAGTTGGGGAGAATCGTGAAATGTTTAGAGATAATTTCCTGTAGAAACTAGAGGAAGGGCTGAATTCTGGTTCAGAGAGATGAAGGAATAAGAAGGATGTCAGTGAGTTATTTTTATATTGACATTCTTATAGAATGATTGGGCTTTACTGTTGTAATGGTACAAGCCAAAGAAGACTAAAATTATTAAAACCACATCTAAATTATTTAGGAGACATGATTTTGAATTTCAGCTCTTTTTGTTCATCCCATCCCCTACAAATCAATTTGACAAGTGTTGAAATTCGACAGTGGTGTATTTAGCTATTGGTTATGGTTTTTTATTTCCCAAGAATGTCTTGTACGACTAGCAATCAGAATTTACACAATTGTTTTCAAAGTTTCCCATGATACTCTTACAATGTGCATTATTTGTTAAACGAATTAATAATTTGGATTAAGACAAAGTGAACTGAAATCAAGTTCATTTCACCTCTATGTTGATACATTAAGAGGATGACTTTCTCTTTCTGTACTAACAGAACACTGTGTGCCTAAAACAGTGTTAAAAAGCCAAATGCTGATAGATTTTTAAATACCTGGTAGAGGATTTTATCAACAAACCAGAGGGCTTTGTAGGAGCCATAAAAGGGGAGGCAAAGCAGCCCTTTACATCACTTGGCTGTATTTTATTAACTTTAGGTAATTGCTTAGGATAAAGAAGGAGGAGAAACACATCATTCTCTCTAGAATGTAGATTATCAGGTAAGACTCTCCCTCAGCCACAGAACTTTGAGCTTCCTAAGCGAGTTCCTTGACAAGCTGAGAACAATGGGAACACTTAGATAGCACCCACCTTGCAGGGTGCAATGTAAGTTGCAAAGGTGTACAGATGCTCCTTTACTTAGGATGGTGTTGTGTACTGACGAACCCATCATAAATGGAAAATACACTAAGTCAAAAATGCGTTTAACGGGCCAGGCACGGTGGCTCACGCCTGTAATCCCAGCACTTTGGGAGGCCGAGGCGGGCGGATCAGGAGGTCAGGAGATCGAGACCATGCTGGCTAACACAATGAAACCCCATCTCTACTAAAAATACAAAAAAATTAGCTGGGCAAGGTGGCGGGTGCCTGTAGTCCCAGCTACTCGGGAGGCTGAGGCAGACGAGTGGCATGAACTCCGGGGGGCGGAGCCTGCAATGAGCTGAGATCGCGCCACTGCACTCCAGCCTGGGGGACAGCGAGACTCCGTCTCAAAAAAAAAAAAAAAAAGCGTTTAACATGCCTAATCTACTGAACATCATAGCTTAGCCCAGCCTACTTTAAACATGCTCAGAACATTTTTAGCATGGCTCACACCAGAAATCCCAGCACTTTGGGAAGCTGAGGTGGGTGAATTTCTTGAGCTCAGAAGTTCAAGACCAGCCTGGCCAACATGGCGAAGCCCCATCTCTACAAAAAATTAGCTGGGCATGGTGGGGTGCACGTGTAGTCCTAGCTACTTGGGAGGTTGAGGCAGGCGTGGATTGATTGATCCCAGATGGTCAAGGCTGCCGTGCGCCCTGATCACACCACTGCACTCCAGCCTGGGTGGCAGAGTGAGACTCTGACTCAATAACAATAAAAAAAAATAATACTTTCAGTACAGTATTCAATAAATTATACAAGATATTCAGTACTTTATTATAAAATAGGCTTTGTGTTAGATGATTTCGCCTAGCATCAGGAGAGAGTATAATTGTACCACATATCACCAGCCTGGGAAAAGATCAACTTGACAATGCAATGAAACGCATTCAGTAGAAGAATCTTGAAGGAATGCATTTCACTGCATTGTAAAGTCGAAAAATTGTTAAGCTGGACTATTTTAAGTCAGGGACTATCTGCATAAGACAGATTTATTGAAAATAAATTCCCTGAAATATCCTTTTCCCTGAAACTAGATTGTCTTCAGGTAATTGATAATCCAGGTGTATTCAGTGATTTCACTCTCAGAACAGTTGTGAGACTTAGAATTGTACTTTGGACTTTAATGTACCATAATCTTGCCTCCTCCATGGGTGGTGGGTTTTGATAATTAGGCACTTGTCCAGAAAAGCTGGATTTTGGATGAATATATTACTTCATTTGTTTCTAAATTCAGAAAATATTTATTTATTTTTATTGGTGGCAGCAATAGAGACTAATTAGAAAGGATGAGTGCATGGCCGGGCGCGGTGGCTCACGCCTGTAATCCCAGCACTTTGGGAGGCCGAGGCGGGCGGATCACGAGGCCAGGAGATCGAGACCATCCTGGCTAACACGGTGAAACCCTGTCTCTACTAAAAATACAAAAAATTAGCCAGACGTGGTGGCGGGTGCCTGTAGTCCCAGCTACTCGCGAGGCTGAGACAAGAGAATGGCGTGAACCCGCGAGGCGGAGTTTGCAGTGAGCCGAGATTGCACCACTGCACTCCAGCCTGGGTGACAGAGCGAGACTCCGTCTTAAAAAAAAAAAAAAAAAAGAAAAGAAAAAAGAAAGGACGAGTGCAGAAAGAAGACTACTGCAAAGAGGACTAGTTTGGAGGCAGTTGTTCTAATGCAGACACTGAATGCTTCTGTGGGACGAGGAGGAAGTCAATGATGACCCCCAGGTCTTCCTGATGGCTTAGTGGATCCTGTAGCCATAGCCATATGGAGAGATAATCACTGTAGATAATATTCCATTTAAGAACTTGTTATTGAGAAAGGCTCAAATTCTGAAGACCTCAATTTCTATCTATAAATGTTAAGAGGTAAAGTGAGTTTCTTACCTGTAACAAAAGAAACAATTTCAATGCTAAAAAATCCTGACATTTACTTCAACTTCATTTCAATTTGATATGTTTGTGAAATTATCTTGTATTTTCTACTTACCACAGAGAATTTTAAAATCTGAGACTTTAAACATAATTTTCCTTATTGAAAATAAATCCCCTTAAAATATCCTTTCCCCTAAAACTAGATTGTTTTCTTTTTAAAATCAAAAAAGGGCCAGGTGTGGTGGCTCACGCCTGTAATCCTACCACTTTGGCAGGCCGAGGCGGGTGGATTGCTTGAGCTCAGGAGTCCGAGACCAGCCTGGGCGACATGGTGAAATTCTGTCTCTACCAAAAATTGGCTGGGCGTAGTAGTGCATGCCTGTGGTCCAAGCTACTCAGGAGGCTGAGGTGGAAGGATTGCTTGAACGTGGGATGTGGAAGTTGCAGGGAGCCGAGATGGCACCGCTACACTCCAACCTGAGTGACAGAGTGTGACCCATCTCAAAACAAACAAACAGACAAAACAACAACAACAAAACCAAATAAAAAATTATTAATATATTGCAAAGTATAACAAAAATATTTTGAAAAGGGATGGCAATGGGTAATTTTCAAAACCGTTACTTGCTGGAGGACAAAAAATGCTTTTTAATTAAAATGCACAGCATGCAGGTCAAGATTAAGTGGGAGATCTGAATGCAGCATATGCATTTTCCATAAAAATAATAACTGTCATTTTCGATGCTTCTGACTTCTCATATAGAATGTCTAAAACAGGAACTTCGGTTAGTGATACACATGATTCATATGTATGGGTTGAGCTGCTTATAGTAACACCATTGCAGGAATGATAGTTGTAATAACATGAGGTAAATTTTATTGGGAGATAAGAAATTTGTAAGGGAGATAATATGTTTGCATATTTAACAACAGTCATAAAAATAGTTCTTTTAGGCCGGGCGCGGTGGCTCACGCCTGTAATCCCAGCACTTTGGGAGGCCAAGGCATGCGGATCATGAGGTCAGGAGATCGAGACCATCCTGGCTAACACGGTGAAACCCTGTCTCTACTAAAAATACAAAAAATTAGCCGGGCGTGGTGGTGGGCGCCTGTAGTCCCACCTACTCGGGAGGCTGAGGCAGGAGAATGGCGTGAACCCAGGAGGCGAAGCTTGCAGTGAGCCGAGATTGCGCCACTGCACTTCAGCCTGGGCGACAGAGCAAGACTCTGTCTTAAACAAACAAACAAAAAAAATTTGCTCTTTTAATTTTTAATTATTTTTAGGGTAGTTTTTTGTCTCTGTGAAGTGGTTGGTTTATATCACTACAAAAATATGATTCTTTTGGAATTGAATATTTTAGCAGGGGATGGCAGTAGAGCAGGGGCTCTTTATACTAAGGAATACTTCTAAACTCTAAAGTTGTATTTAGCTATAAGGTCTATGAAAACCACTTATGAATAGTTTATCAACTTTATTTTTAAAAATCGTACATAGGAACAGGATAGGGAACATGTTAGTTCTGATTTTAATCATATTGATGTATGGGTTCTTCATGTTTCAAAACAGTAAGCAGGAATTTTTATATGCTGATAAACAGTGATACTCTAGTATTATCCAAGCAACGTCTGTTAACAAGGCATTTTAGATCTAGAATTAAACAAAAAAAGATATAGCTTTGTAAATTTCCCTCTTTTTCAAAAATGATGGTGGGGAGACCAATCTGAAGAGGCTGTCGTGAGAGATGAATGCTCCTAAGTCAAAGAGTAGTGAGGAAGTAGAATAACAATATGTTTATGGGATGAGGTTGGTTGGTTTTAATTTGCATATAGTTTTACAAATGAAGACCATTTATAATGTGTAAAGGTCCTTTATTTTTCTTTTTCTGTGATATCTGTTCATGTTTTCTAATTTTCTCTCGAGTGTCTGGTCTTTTTCTTCTTTGATATATAAGCTTCTTATATATTTATCTGTGATTTGAATATCAGATATTTTTTCCAGTTTGTAATTTGTGTCTCATCCTTGCTTATGCTATTATTGTTATTTTTGCCAGGTAGTAGTTTCTGATTTTTTAATTAGTTAGATTTATTAATCTTTTATGGCTTTTAGATTTTGAGTCACAGTTAGGCCTTCCCATTCCTTTTTACGAATTCCAACGTAAGGAGAGAATTCATCCATATTTTCATGGAATGCATTTTTTTGTTTTTGTTTCTGTTTTGCTCTGTCATCCAGGTGGGAGTGCCGTGGTGCAATCATGGCTCACTCTGGTTTTGACCTTCTGGGCTCAGCCATTCTCCCACCTCATTTTTTGATTTTTTCTAGAGAGGAGGTCTCACTATGTTGCCCAGGCTGGTATCAAACTCCTGGGCTTAAGCAATCCTCCCATCTTGGCCTCCCAAAATGCTGGCATTATAGGTGTGAGCCACCATCCCTGGCCTTTGTAATACATTTGTATATTCGTATTTTGCATTTAAGTCTTTGGCCCATTTGGAATATTTACTAGCATACAGAATGAGACATAGATTTAACTTTATTTTTTCCAGGTGCTATCCATTTATTCAAGTGTCCATCTTACCCCACTGACTTGAGATGCTGCTTATTTGGGTCTATTTCTGGGCTTTCTATTTAATTCCATTAGCCTATCTATTCCATTGGAAATCCCAAAGTATTAATTATTGAGATTCTATAGTATTTTTTAATATACAGAAGGTTATTCCTTCCTCACTGATCTTTTAAAAATTGTTCTTCTGGTAAACTTGTTTGTTTATTTTCCCATGTGGACTTTGGAATCATTTTGTCCTATTCCAGAAAATTGCCAATTAGTGTTTTCATTGATATTGTAATACATTTAAAAATTAGGGGCACGTGCAGTGGCTCACACCTGTAATCCCAGGACTTTGAGAGGCTGAGGTGGGCAGATAGCTTGAGCTTAGGAGTTTGAGACCAGCCTGGGCAAGAAGGCAAAACCCCGTCTCTGCAAAAAATACAAAAATTAGCCAGGCCTGGTGGGTGTGCCTACAGTCCCAGCTATCCAGGAGGCTGAGGTGGGAAGACTGTTTGGGCCCAGGAGGTTGATGCTACAGGGAGGGAGATCTCATTTGAGCCAAAATTGTGCCACTGCCCTCCAGCCTGGGCGACAGAGTGAGACCCTGACTTTAAATAAATAAATAAATAAAATTAAAACTTAGAGAGCATTTACATACATTGACTTTTTCTCTCCAAAACCTGGTCTGATTTTCATTTGTTCAAGTCTACTCTTGTGTCCTGCAGGAGTGTTTTAATGTTTTTCTCATGTAAGTTTTGCATTTTTTTTTTTTTTGAGATGGAATCTTGCTCTGTTGCCCAGGCTGGAGTTCAGTGGTATGATCTCTGCTTACTGCAACCTCCGCCTCCTGGGTTCAAGGGATTCTCCCACCTCAGCCTCCCAAGTAGGTGGGACTACAGGCGTGTGCAACCATACCTGGCTAATTTTTTGTATTTTTAGTAGAGACGGGGTTTCACCATGTTGGCCAGGCTGGTCTTGAACTCCTGATCTCAAGTGATTCACCTGCCTCAGCCTCCCAAAGTGTTGGTATTACAAGCGTGAGTCACCATGCCCAGCCAGTTTTGCATATTTTTTGTTAATTACCCCTACACACTTTTTGTTGCGATTATGTCTTTTTCTTCTTTTATTTTGTAAGAGTATTGTTTATCTGTTTGTACTACATACACATAATGTGTGTATGCATATATATATATATATATATATATATATATATATATATATATATATACACACACACAAACAATTTTGGTAAATTAATTTTTTTCCTGCTCCCACACTTAAATTTTTTATTGTTTATATATTTTTTAGTTGATATTTTGGGTATACATATACACGTACATGTGAGGATATACATATGTATACCAAAAAAATCAACTGAAAAAATGTATATTTAAAAAATATATATATTTCACTTGATTTATAGGTATAAAATCATATAATATAGAAATGACAGTTTTACACTTTTTTTGTCAATAATTATATCTTTACTTTCTGTCTTTCCTCTAGTTCCTTTGACTGATACTTTCAGCCCCACATTAATTAGTAGGGGAAGAACGAGCAACCCTTTTGTCCTGTTGACCTGAGCAGGAATCCTCCAAATTTCCCTATTAAATTTGAAGCTGGGTTTGAATTTTAAAATTAATTTTTAGTCAGACATTACTACTTTGCTTTATGTGAGAAATGGAAAATTTCATCCAACAACAAGATCCCTAAATGTCCAACAATAAGGGATTGGTTAAATACATTATGTTAAATTCATTGAATGTAACAGAGCACTTACAAAATATGTAATCTTTTTGTCATTGAAATAAAACCGAAAGTATATGCAAGTATGCATGGAAAAATATCGAGGAGGACATTCAATAAATGGATCTAGGCCAGGTGCGGTGGCTCACGCCTGTAATCCCAGCACTTTGGGAGGCCAAGATGGGCAGATTACTTGAGTCCAGGAGTTCAAGACCAACCTGCACAACATGGCAACACTCTGTCTCTACAAAAAATTTAAAAAAGTAGCCAGGTGTGGTGGCGCATGCCTGTAGTGCATGCCTCCTACAGGTGGAGGTTGCAGTGAGCTGAGATTGCCCCATGCACTCTAGCCTGGGCAACACGGCAAGATTCTGTCTCAAAAGAAAAGTAAAAAAAAAAAAAAAAAAGGATCTAAAAGTTATAAGCATATAAACTGGTGATTGATAACATAAATTTCAACTAATTTATAAAATCTAAAAATATCCATAACATTTTAGCATAATTTAAAAACGTTAGAGATTTATGAAAAATTGGCCAGGTGTGGTGGCTCATTCCTGTAATCCCAGTGCTTTGGGAGGCCAAAGCAGGAGGATTGCTTGAGGCAAGGTATTTGAGACCAGCCTAGGCAACAGAGCAAGACTATCTCCACATAAAATAAAAAAAAAAAAAGATTATCTGGGTGTGGTAGTGTGCACCTACCCAGCTACTCAGGAGGCTGAGGTGGGAGGATTGCTTGAGCCCTGCAGCTCAAGATTACGGTGAGCTATGCTCATACCACTGCACTCCAGCCTGGAAGACAGACAGATTGTGTCTCTTAAAACAAAACAAAACAAAACAAAACAAAAAAAAAGAAAAGAAAAGAAAAGAAATGAAAGACATTTACAAAATAATAACTGTGTTCTTTGTTCTGGATCCCTTTCTGTTATTAATTATTTTCAAAATGAAAAAATAAGCCTCTCCTGTTTAATTATGGAACGACCAGAGGTGTTTATCATGTATTCTTTGCAAAATGACATGAAAATGATAGTGTAGAAAGATGTTTACAAGATATAAGCCACAAGGAAAAAGGGAATAGGAGAAAAGTCTACAACAGATAAGAGATTTCAATAAATTGTAAAAGCCAGAAATTGGACAGAGAAGTGATAACTGGCTTGGCAAAATGGAAGAGAGGCTAACCTCAGTGCTTGGAGGAAACTTAGCACTTGATGGTGCAGTGGACTGTGGAAGGCAGGGGCAGGGCACAGGCTGAAAAAGGAAGATTGCTGTATAATGGTTCACTAGGCTCTTGGACCCCTGGGTCCCTTCTCCACCTCATTCAGGCAGCCTGCACTCATGCCCTCCACCCTAACATTGCCACTATCAATGCAATCCCTCTATGAGGTTAGAAGTTTCTCCTCTGGAGAAAGGAGTTTATCCTTTGGTGAAGCGTTCTCATAAACAAAACGTCTAACCAGAGAATGGGAAAGAGCCCTTGGAAATGACAAATGTGTTTGAAATAGAAAGTTCGGTGGAAGATAAGGTTAAGGAATTATTTTGGTCAAGGATGTCTCAATCTTGGCACAGTTGCCATCTGGTGCTGGAAATTCTTTGTGTGGAAGTTTGCTCTGTGTATTGTATGACGGTTAGCAGCATCCATGGCTTCTACTCACTAGATGCCAGACCATCCCCCTCTTTCCTGTGGCGACAACCAAGAATATCTCCAGACATTGCCACGTGTCTCCTGGGGCAGGGGAATCAACCTTCTCCTCCTTCTGCCCCGTTTGAGAACCTCTATCTCAGACAATAGATAAGAAAGATACAGAGATGATCAATAGGATAAAAGGACAATACATTTAGAGAATAATATAGATGTTCCAATAACCTACTAACAAGAATTCACAAAAAGAATAGAGAAAATGGAAGGGAGGAAAACAGCAAATAAATAAAAGAAAAAATTTGCAAATGAGATAAAAAAGACTGCTTGGTATCCAGCACAACCACTGAAAAAAGACCTATTTGTAAGGTGCATCAATATGACATTTCAGACTACTAGGGAAAATGGAAGATTCTAGAAAGAAAAATAGGTCAGATACAGAGGAGTGGGAACTAGAAAGGCATTAGACATTTCAATGGCAACACTGGAAAAATGCTTTCAAAATGCTGAGGGAAAATAATTTTCAATCCATCTAAATTATCAGTCAGGAATAAGAGTAGAATGAAGACATTTTCAGACAGGCAAGTACTCTAAAAATTTACCCTCTAGTACCTCTTCTGAGTAAGCTACTGGAGTCTGTGATCTGGCAAAATAAAAGAGTAAACTGAAAGTTGTGTGTTTGGGCATTGGAAGATATTATTGATGGGCATTTGATAGATATGTTGAAGCATTTGTATCTAAAATTTAGGTTAGATACATTTTTATTTTATTTATTTATTTATTCTTGTAGAGACATAGTCTTACTAAGTTGCCCAGGCTGGTCTTAAACTCCTGACCTCAAGCAATCCTCCTGCCTTGGCCTCCCAAAGTGTTGGAATTACAGTTGTGAGCCACTGCATCCAACCTTAGCTACATTTCTTTTTCTTTTCTTTCTTTTTTTTTTTTTTTTTGAGACAGAGTCTTGCTCTGTCGCCCAGGCTGGAGTGCAGTGGCGCGATCTCGGCTCACTGCAACCTCTGCCTCCTGGGTTCAAGCGATTCTCCTGTCTCAGCCTCCTGAGTAGCTGGGATTACAGGCGTGCGCCACTAAGCCCAGCTACTTTTCGTATTTTTAGTAGATACGGGGTTTCGCCATGTTGGCCAGGCTGGTGGTCTCAACCTCCTAACCTCGGGTGATCTGCCTGTCTAGGCCTCCCAAAGTGCTGGGATTACAGGCATGAACCACCACACCTGGCCCCTAATTGTTGATTTGAGTGAACATTGTAATATGGTTATGTTGCAAGGAAGCATGAGGGCAAAGTTGTTGTGGTGGTGGGTAAAAGAGCTAAATCCTCAAATACCATAAGATGTCAATAAAGAATATGTAAAACTGAAAATCAAGAAATTCTGTTACAAGGTTATCATTTAGGAGATGAAGAACATGGTAGGGTTGTGTGGAATGTAGGGTGAAGACAGGTGGGGAGAAGCAGGGCCGGGGGCTGATGGCACTCATTGATGTTTTTTGTTATAAGCCTTTAAGAATTATTTGATTTTTCACTTATGTGTGTTACTTTCACTAAAAATAAAAATGCAAACAAAACAATACACATACATTGTAGAAAATATATCACATATAATAAAATGCGCAAAAAGAACATAAAAAGATGGCCAGAATCTCATCCATCCAGAAAACTGAGTGTGCCTGTAGTCTCAGCTATTTAAGAGGCTAAATGGGGAGGATTGTTTCTGTATTTTATGGGCTGCCTCCATAGATGCCTGGGAGTTAGAGGCTGTCATGTGATATGGTATCTGTGACTGGCCACTGTACTCCTGTACCCCAGCATGGGCAGCATAGCAGACCCTATCTCTTAAAAAAAAAAGTCTCACCCACCCAGAAATAACCACTGGTAATATCTTGAAATAGTTTCATCTGAAAACAAATGAAAGTACTTTTAAAAAAACCTTTTGGTTTGTTTGTTTGTTTGTTTAGAGACAGGGTCTCACTCTGTTACCCAGGCTGGAGTGCAGTGGTGCAATATCAGCTCACTGCAGCCTCCAACTCCTGGTCTCAAGCAATCCTCCTGCCTCAGTCTCCCAAAGCACTTGGGATTACAGACATAAGCCAGTGTGCCTGGTGAAAGTATTTTTAAACACTTATAAAACTACAAACACTCTTAATACACTAAAACTACCAACACAGGAAAAAGTAGTGCTTGGGGTTATTCATTTTTTAGTAATTCAGCCTTTCTGATCAAAATGTTTGGCGTCATTTAGTTTGTATCTTCACTAACAGAGCAGAGTGGAGAATTAAGGCAACTTCTCAAAATATTTTTGCTTTAATTATAATTTTTAGAAAAAAAACAGCTTTTGGTCTTAGTTTTTCAAACAATTGGTTCTATTCAGAAGATTAAGAATTTTGGAAAATAAATTCATCAGGAAAACTTACTTCATTTAAAACAGTTTTTGGCTGGACATGGTAGCCTGTAATCCCAGCACTTTGGGAAGTCGAGGTGGGTGGATCACTTGAGGTCAGCAGTTCGGGACCGGCCTAGCCAACATGGTGAAACCCCGTCTCTATTAGAAATACAAAAATTAGCCAAGCATGGTGGTGCATGCCTGTGATCCCAGGTATTCGGGAGGCTGAAGCACGAGATCTGAAACTGGAAGGCGGAGGTTGCAGTGATCCGAGATGGCACCACTGCACTCCAGCCTGGGCAACAGAGCAAGACTCTGTCTCAAAGAAAAAAAAAAAAGAGTTTTTGTATTTGTTGCCCATTTCAAGTGTGGATAAATACTTTCATTTCTCTGATCTGTTTGCTTGAACTGTTTCAGTGAATAACAATATAAAAAGTGCAATTCGGTCTTTATACATCCCATTTAAAATGCAGAAAAACTTCATATGGTAAATACAGAATTCTGAGAAAGTATCCTTGGAAAGGGAATATTGGTGAAACAATTAATAATACAGATTTAATGAACTGGATATATATATATACACATTATATATATATATATATAATATATATGTTTGTTTTTGAGACAGAGTTTCGCTCTTATTGCCCAGGCTGGAGTGCTATGGTGTGAGCTCGGCTCACACAACCTCTGCCTCCCAGGTTCAAGCGATTTTCCTACCTCAGCCTCTCGAGTAGCTGAGATTATAGGCAAGCACCACCATGCCTGGCTAATTTTTTATATTTTTAGTAGAGACAGGGTTTCTCCATGTTGGTCAGGCTGGTCTCGAACTCTCAACCTCAGGTGATCTGCCCGCCTCAGCCTCCCAAAGTGCTGGGATTACAGGCGTGAGCCACTGCACCCAGCCATGAACTGGATATTTTTAAAGAGATTAAGCTACCCTGAATTTTTCAGGAAAAAATACAGTTGATGTATTCTTCTACCTCCTAAGGTCACTGAGTTTTAATTAGCTTAAAACTTGCAACATTCAACTACTATTTACTGAATTCCTCTCATAGCTCAGGCCTTGTCCTTGATATATTAACTTATATGTTCTGTACAATCTCAAAAACAATCTTGCAGTTTTCATGAGGCATTTGTAGAGGCCTAATATGAAGGAATATAGTGGGACATAGAGTATAGTGGATTTCTGTGGGTTTACCTGGCTTTGGTTACTGCTGTTGGTGTTAGAGAATTATGCATATCAAAGATAATGATGGTGCATTTATCAGGAAAGAACAGAGCTACTATCAGCCACCAGAGACTAGCATGGGAGAGTTTCTGTAGGAGGTAGTGTTGATACAGACTCTTGAGAGGACACTGTGAAATTGGTATTTTCTGGGCTGACTTCACAGATGTTCACATATAACCATCCTGCCCACAGAGAGTTATGAAATAGCTATGTGAGTGCACAAGGTAGCTATTGCGCAAACCAAAGTTGTCAGGTACTGCACATATTGTGAAGGGACTATGATGGGACACCGTGTGGTTCAAAGAGCACTGGAGCCCTGGTACATCCTGAGAGTCTTGGGGAGAAAAAGGGGAACACGCATTTGGGGGCCTGAAAGATCTTTCTCTCTGCTTGACTGCAGGGCAGGTTTCTGTCCCTCCCTGTTCTGTGGTATAGATTTTGTCTTTTCCACATCAGTCCAGGTCTTCAGAGTCACTATGAATTATTATTACCATTTTAAAGATGAAGAAATTGAGCCTCAGTGAGGTTCAGTTAGCTAAAGGCACACAACTCTAATAAACTGACAGAATTCCAGGTTCTGATTTAAATTCTATTGCCCTCTCTTGAAAATAAACATGGACAGCTTATATGAGCTTTTGTGTATATATTTTCTGGTCTAAATCTGCGGCAGATATGTGTGTCTTTCTGCGCATGTATATAGTAGATCAAATATGTTAGCTCTATTGACATTTCTTAGAAATAAATATCCTGTTATCAATGATAGTGTTTACAAATTATTTATTTAGAACTTACCTCTTTTCAAGAAAAGGCCTTGTGATTGCTCTCTGCGAATTATAATGCATGAGTATACCTCTTTGTTATTTTGTTTTGTTTCAGACAATTATCTCTGGTTGATGCAGATCACTTGGAGGCTTTTGGGGCTGTATATAACAGGTCAGAACATCTATTTAATGTCAAACTTTATCTACTAGGCAACTTGGAATTCTCAGCCAGCACCAAATATTCAAATCCAACTTCCACACCCCGACAACAGAGGGGTTCCGGGTGTAGGTGTAGTGCTGGTGCACCCATGAGGGTGTTTTTCAGGAATTCTGGAGGTGGTGCTGGAGAGAACACGCTTCTTCTACACGCGCCCCCTACCAGTTTGGTATGCACCTGCAGCCCCAAAGAAGAACTGGCGGGACTCGAGTGTGGCCGTGTCAGACGTGGCAAGAAAAACCAGCAGTTGCCTTTTCATCTCTTTTCTGATGATCTAACCATGAAGTCCCCAGTATTTGAGCATTTAAGGCAGAATGTAAATTCATAATTTAAGAAGATTTTTTGTTACGTGGCTAGCCCAGGTACTGACCGCTGCGGGGGCGGGCTCACACAGTTCCCCCGCTGGCAAGTTTTGTGACTTGCTTTGGAAAACCCGGGAATTGCACCCTCTGCCCTTGGCAAGGTGTGAGCTTCCAGGATCTCTCCGCTGCGACTTCGGGTGTTAGGGTTTTTGGGCTCTTTCCGGGACCCAAGTTCCAGGGCAAGAAGGTCTGCTCGGCGGCCCGCCTCGGGGCCCCGCCCACTTTGGCCAGGGTCGGAGCCGCCCGGAGCGGGAGCCGGAGCCCGAGCGGCCGCGGCCCCTTTAAGGAGCAGCTCTGCGGTAACCCGAGCCCGCAGTCCGGGCGGGCGCGACGGCCGCCGCGGTAGCTGGAGCCTCCGCGACTGCACCTCCAAGCGGCCCGGAACCCGCGGCTTCCCTGGCTCCCGTGAGCATCTCACCGGGCGGCACTGGCCAGCGCCAGCCCTCGGGCCGGCCCGGATGAGCAGACTCCTGTAGACACCCGCCGCCCTCTCCCGGCTCGGCGCAGCCGCCGCCCGCGCGCGACTCGCCCCGGGACCCGGCACAGGTGACGCCGTTTGGAGGGGGGGTTGGGGAGGAAGGCGGGCTTGCCTCGCCCCGCGGCTCCCCCGCGCCAGCCGCCAAGCGCAGCCCGCGGAGAGGGGTGCCGCGGCTTCCCGCCCCTGGCCTAGCGCGGCCGAGAGCTCCTGCGCCTGGAGGCTGGGTGGGCGTCCGGCGCGCGGGAGGCGGCCCGGGGCTCCCGGGCGGGCTCCGGCAGGTGTGTGCGGAAGGCTCAGCATCGTCCCCGCCCGGCGGGCCACGGCGTCGCTCCGGGAGCAAATGGTGTCCCGGGGCCCGCGGCCCCCGCGCCGCCCGGGCGCCCCGCATTCCTCTCGCGTTTCTCGGGCTGCACGATTCCGGCTGCCCTGTCTGCCTGGCGGTGCCTCTCGGGTCTGAGCTTAAAGCGGGTGGGTGCAAACCTTTGGGCATCCAGGGAGAGCTTTCTTGTTAGAGCCCACACACAATCGGGCGCATCAAGTGGGTAAGTCCCCCTCCCCCGCCGCCACCTTCTGAAACAAGTAGCTCTTATTTACCCTTGCAGTTCTCAAGTGGGTCCCATTTTTAGCCACTGAGTGCTGAAAAGTCTAGTGGGAAGGGACCAGGCGTAGAGTCGGAGGGAGAAATTGGTTTCTATTTCCATCTTT
Source organism: Homo sapiens (assembly GCF_000001405.40). Classification (NCBI taxonomy): domain Eukaryota; kingdom Metazoa; phylum Chordata; class Mammalia; order Primates; family Hominidae; genus Homo; species Homo sapiens. Next base: position 95,118,255 of record NC_000001.11, read on the forward strand.
ACCTCTGTAACCCCTAAGTGCCTCGGTTTACCCAGCCATGAAATGGGATTCGTAATGCCAGCAGTTTCCTACCCCTCCAAGACGGCAGAAAAACCTCTGTGAAAACACTTTGAGTCTAAATTCATTTAAGAGTCGCTGTTGCTGGTCTGTATATTTTTAATTGTACACACATTTGAGTGTTAATGTGGTGCACACTTTTATATGAAATTATGAAATTTACTTTAAAGACTGATCTTGGATAATGTTTAATCCAAATACCAGTTTGGAGAAGATGGAAGAGTTTGTGTGGACCCTAGGAATTGATGTGTGAAATAGGAAAAAAGATTTAATAAAATCTTTACGCAGTCATAAATGGAGTTGAGAAAAATTGACCTTGGATTGTGGTGTTTTAAGTGAGTTACTCCCGTGCCAGCGCATGGTGTCGATTGAAATGTAGCTTCATCTTTGTGTAGCCGATTAAGGTAATAAGTTAGAGAATCCCAGCTCCCTTTTAATTGTGCTATATATGAGGAATTTTTATCCTTGCTTATCTTTTCCTTAAATTGGGCGAAACGAAATTAGAAAAGTGTATTCCCGCCGTGTTAGAAAATATGAAAGAATGGGTGAAGAACCATGGATTTTAGTTTATTTGCCACGCCCCTCCTGTGCCATCTGATAACCCAGAGAATATTTTGAGGGTGCTTCTTTTTTTTTCTACGCCTGCAACTCCTTTTGTCCCATTACCTCCCTCTGGAGTTTGAATCTTTACTGTCCTCATCCTTGAGATGAATTTTATCTGTTTAGGCTGGATGCCTCTGACCCAGCTGCCCAATCAGTCATTATTTATTTACAGTATTAGATTTCCATTTATATTCATTTCACTCTAAGCCTTCTTTACCCTGGTGGAAAGAATAATGGGTCTTTGCTACTAATGCTTTATACTTGGAGGTGAACTAGGAATGGCATGCTCAAGGTGCTGAGACTAATGCAAACCCCAGGGAAGCTAGGTCTTCACTGGAGTCTTCTGAATAGGTCCTGGAGTACAGATGCAAGAGTTGGCCTGTCTTTTCCTTGATTTTCTGAAATCTCCACTGGGTAAATTCATCTGATTGCCAAGGGAAGTCTTATGAGCAGGGAGCTATCAGAAATCTGAGTGTTAGACTGATTAAGAGCCTTCCCTGCAAAAGACTGGGGAGAAAGAAGTAGTGGCTTTGTAGGTGTTGGAGAGTCCTCCCTGTAACCAGATAACTAGTAGGAAGTAAAGGATCCCTAGATTCCCAATTGAGAAATGGGAAAGGGGCTGGGTTTCAAAAGGGAAGTGGCACAGCTTCTAGGCAGGTTTGGGAATGTACCTGAGGTTTGATGGGCCCTTCTCCCTCTTTCTCTTTGAGAGTGTTTCTGGCTCCTCAGAGTCAAGCACAGCTGTCTTAACAGTTTTCAGACCTGTTTACTCTCCTCTTTGGTGCTCTAAAGGAGGCCCAGCGTTCATGTTCCTCTCTCAAAGCTGGTCTTGCATGTATTAGAGGAAAATGGGCAGTTTAGTTTGTAAGAAACTCTTTAGACCTCAGTGTCTCTCCCCACCCTTCTTTCCAAATTAGTCCCACATCCTACAGATTAAGGATTTGTTTGGGCTTCAATATCTCAAACTGGGATACTCAGTTTGGCTGAGAAGAGTAAACTGAACAGTCTACACTAAGATATGAAAAGCTAGCTTTTCTGTTAAGGAAGATAATGAATTAATTGTCTGGGTGAGAATTATGGGCATTTGGACAAAGGAGGGCCAGACTGGGGGTGGAGTTGTGCTGGACAACTTGTGCCCTCGTCCTTGAGAGAGGAAAGGATACCACCAAACTAGTGCAGTCACCCTGTTGTGCTTTTTCTTCTTCCATTTGCCTTGAGAGAAGAAGAAGATAGCAGTATGGAGGTGGAGTCACCATCTGTTCTCAAGGATGGGAAACAGACTTTAACTGAACATTAGGAATGAGCTGTATTCACCTGGCATTGGTATCAGGCGCTGGATGGATTACACCAGAGAATACATTACATTAGGAAAGTAAGGCTAATTTTGTAAGAAAGTCTAGGTATTTCCAGAGTGACTTTAGTGGTATTTTTTCTTGTTGAGGATGAAAGGTTGCACACAAAGAAATGGAGGCCTACTGCTCTGAGGCTTGTTATTCCTGGTGAGACAGTTGGATGTGCTGCAAGCAGATCCCAGACCTGATCAGGCAGGATAAGGCAGGAATAGCAAAAGGTGTTTCTTTGTTCAGAACATTGGTCTGTTCACGGAGAAGGCAATGGATATATAAGAAGGAGCTTCTGAACTGGTGTAAAAGGCCAAAGCTTTTGAAAACAGCCAACGAAGAAGACACGTGGAAGGCTGTTCAGAGCTTGAGCCAGCACTGGAGGAAGGGAGTCCCAGACAGCGGGACCAATATCATGGGTGGAGTTTGAGTAGGTGGACAAACGCTTGTCTAAAGCAGTGTTTCAAACATTTTCAGACTACAACAGTACAAAATGCATTTTTACACTGAGACCCAGGGCATAGCAAGTATATGTGTATGTGAAACTAGTTTCTATTTCTATTGAATTTCTGTTTCTAGTCTGTGTTCTTAAAAACTCATAACGTGTTAGTGGATCACAGTCCACTATTTGGAAACCACTTTTCCAATGGGTAGAAAAACAGGTTGCAGTGGAGCAGGCTGGGCGGAGGGGGATTGGAGATACTGGAGGAGGTGTGGGGAGCATAGAATTGATTGAGCACTACCTGGACCCCTGTCGGTGGGAGAGAAGGCAGTGTAGAGACTCATCTTGTGTCTGACAGGTGCAGAACTCACATAGATGAAATGATGGGACAGATGCAGAAGAGGGGACTTTCCACCAGTTCTACTTACTTCAAAGCAAAATGATTGGCTTTAAGGAAAAGGAAACGTGCAAGGAGTGAACTTGGATATGTAAGCACATTTCTTTAGAGCAGTAAGATTTTCGTCTGTACGCTTAATGAGGAGACAAAAGGACCCAGAACAAATTGGCTGATGAATTCAGGTCATGTCCACTTTCATGGCCGGATAGGGAGCAGAGGGGCTAGTAGTGCAGGGAGGGTGAGTAGGAGGCTCACACCTCCCCTCACAATTTTGAGAAGTTGGAGCAGAAGCAGCGGATGGAATGTGTTTTGAAACCCCATTTGCTGATCAAACTCATTAGGAAGTTGGCTGCTTGCCTCACAGAGAATTTGAAAAGTATTCTTTTTTTCTTTTTGAGACAGGGTCTCGCTTTGTCACCCAGGCTGGCGTGTAGTGGCACAGTCTTGGCTCACTGCAACTTCCGCCTCCCGGCTTCAAGTGATTCTCCTGCCTCAGCCTCCCAGGTAGCTGGGATTACAGGCACCCGCCACCACCCCGGGCTAATTTTTGTATTTTTGGTAGAGACGGGGTTTCACCGTGTTGGCCAGGCTGGTCTCAACTCCTGGCCTCAAGTGATCCGCCCAACTCAGCCTCCCAAAGTGTTGGGATTACAGGCGTGAGCCTCCGTGCTCAGCCTGAAAAGTATTCTTATTACATTTTATAAAAGGGCTAGCCTGTCAGGACTTCCTTAGAAGTATAGATCTGTGATCAAATTCCAATCATCATTTGTAGCCTTTGGGGGTCATCTAAACAGCTTCTTGGAGAAACTGATGAGGCAACCAGCAATTGTGAGTTAATTCCAGTATTTGCCCTGGAGTTAATCAAGGGCAGAGTCTTAATCTGTAGTTAATCTGTAGGCTTTTGATTTCCTTTTCATGACTATCAACATCTGGTTACAACACCGAACACTCCTAGCAGCAAGAAAAGCCTGGAGGAAAAGTACACAGGTGGCTGGCGTGGTGGCTCACGCCTATAATCCCAGCGTGGAGGTGGGCAGATCACCTAAGTGAAGAGTTTGCGACCAGCCTGGCCCACCCACATGGTGAAATGCCGTCTCTATTGAAAAAAATACAAAAATTAGCCACACATGGTGGCATGTGCCTGTAGTCCCAGCTATTCGGGAGGCTGAGGCCAGAGAATCGCTTGAACCTGGGGGCAGAGGTTGTAGTGAGCCGAGATTGTGTCACTGCACTCCAGCCTGGGCAATAGAGTGGGACTCTGTCTAAAACAAAACAAACAAAACAAAACAAAAGTACACGGGTATCAGAGTTCACCCCAGCACGTTGCTTAGTGACTGCTTGCTTTTATCATTGATATTCCGACCTAGTTGCAGCCTCCCCTTGACCTGACCCTGCCTTATCAGATTTTCTTACCTTAGTTGATGTTTTCAGTGTTTGACTTCACCCTTCCTCAGCTGTCTGGTATTTATCTAATGCTTTCAACTCTGGTTTCTCTGTTATCTCTGACAACTCTCCCCCTATCCCCCACCAACTGCCTTGTGGTGTCCACCTGACTCCATGGAGCTCAATTCTGGGTCCTGGCTTGTGACATGTTACTATTCATTGAATTCTGCCATGGCAAACTCTAGGAAAAACTGCACATTGATGAGTTTATGCATTTATTAATTTAACTTTAAAATTTTGGGGACCTGGAGAAACTTTCTTGGTCAAATTAATTTTAATTAGTTTTCTCCAAATAGGCTGAAAAAATCTTTGAAAAATTAAACTTCTCTCTATATCTGTATTTAGTGGAATGGGAGGAAGAAGGAATTTTCATTTGATGAAAAAGTTTGAAAAATTTACAAGTTCTTTTTATAAAGTGTTACTTTATGGACATGATTTTTTTTTTTTTAAAAAGAGAAATAGGGTCTCACTGTGTTGCCCCAGGCTGGTCTTGAACTCCTGGGCTCAAGTGAGTCTCCTGCCTTGGTATCCCAAAGTGCTGGGATTACAGGCCTGAGCCACTGCGCCTAACCCGGGACATGATTCTTAAAACTAGTCTTGCTCAATTAACATGTTTTGCTCCATTACATGTAAAAATATTGAGACAGGAATTTAATTAAATGCTTTGTAATTTGTTACATGTAAGGACTTATAAAGACTACAGCTTTGTTTAGAATGAGGTTTCCTTCCCTTTTCATATTTTTTAAACCTGTGTGAGTGCTCCCAAACAGATCAATTTCTTACATGCCCTATGGAAAAGTGGAGGAATCCAGGGCAACATAAGGATGAAAGGGTGAGGCCAAGAGGAAGGCTTGATCACCTGGAGCCAGAAGAAAGAACCAAACCTTTAAGACATATTTAGCATTTTGAAGATTTGAGAACACTTTATAGTCACAGGCCTCTAAATGTTTAGTGTTTTTTTAAATTGCAAAAGTAAAACTAGCTCATTACAAAAAAATTATAAATGATCAATATTTAAGAGAATGAAAATTCACCTCTGCTTCCTCTTCCAGCTCCCACCCTGGCTAGTTTCACTCCTAAACACACCTAGTTATCAGTTTTGGGGGTAAGGCCCTCCAGACGTTTTCTCTACAAATGGCAAAATGTGCCCAGAGTTATTTAGTTTTGAAAAATTTATTATTTTGCAGCTTGCTTCTTTTATCACCTTTTTCATTTAAATGTCAATAACATGTGATAGTATACATATAACCATATTTCTATTGGTGGACCTTGAAGTTACTTCTAATAATGTTTTGATAAACACTCTTATAAATACTGTATATCTTTTCAAACTTGTGTGAATTTTTGAGGGTAAAAGACCAATTCATTGGCATACTGCTTATTTTATAATTCGGGTAACACAGTGTTATCAACATTTACATATTCTGCTATTTAATTCCCCAAATATTCACTCAGCAGTGAAAGCGCAGCGTTAGATGTTATGGGGATTTCAAGGTGGGGCAATGCATCCTCCTTACCTACAAGAGGTCACTCTCTGATAGGGGGATTAGGCATGCACATTGACTATAGTATCTTTAGTTTTATTTATATTCCCCTTTGTTTCAAACAGGATTTGGGATTTTTTACAAAGATGCATATGATATGACAAGATAAAGTATATTTAGTATAAAGAAGGAAAAGAAGATGGAAGTATAAGTGAGGCTGGTTAGTGTATTTCGAAGTCCTGTTCTTTCCTTACTAAAAGTTCTGGCTATAAGCTTTCCAGCAGCAAAGAGAAGAGGCAAATGATCTATAACAAGCTTCAGGGTGTCCAGAAGAGAAACCAAATCAGAGAAGCACACCTATTCCTGATTCCAGAAGGCGAGAAAAATTTTCTCCTTTGGGTTTTCATTAAGAAAACACTATATTTGCAATGGCCACATCCTGAACAACCTTCCCAGTATCTTACAGTAAAACCTAGTGACTTTGCCTTACGATGCCATCTCATATCATGTTGCCCAGTGCTAGCCAGGGGTATCATGCCATGGCACTGCTCAGTGAAAGGTCAGTAGGGTGAGGTGTAGGTTCATGGGTTTAATCCAGAAATAGCTTTAAGAGGACCTAAAGGGACACATGAGCAATGAAAAATAGCAATGTGATCTTGTTTCTGGATAATTTTTCCACAAAGTAGTATAGAATATACAATTTCAGTGGAATTGCTATGAGTAAAACCTACAGAATACTAAGCCTGTAACTTTTGAAATCAGAAATGAGGAAGTTTTAGATGGCATTAACTTAATAGAACTATAGCACTGGCTGGGCAAAATATTTTTCTAAAAAAAAAACAAAACAACAAACACCACCACCCTGTACTTGGTCCACACAACAAGGATGGTACTTAATCAATCCCGTAAGTTAGAAAGGATTAGAGCCACCATTCTAAGAAGTCTTGATAGCATCTTCAAGATTAAACTTGTTAATAGGTTATACAGTGTGAGAATGTCATCAGGGCTTAGAGGTCTACCAGGTGGGTCAGCTTGACCCTGTTTCATAAAGCCAGGAAGAATTCACTTCCCATGAGTTATCTGGATCTGAACTTCCATGACCACATTCACCAAATTCTTGCCTTGGGAATGTTGGCCTAAAACAGTTCTTCATTATCAAGTCTGTGGGCCAAGCTTAGGTTTTTTTTATGTGACTTACTACACCTGAATTTAAACATGAGGTTGAGGCTACCTGAAGTTTGTGATGTGATGAAGGCACATCTGATTCGTTTTGCACATCACCTTACTAAGCTGTGAAGTAGTTCAAGGAAACATGTCACCATATCTAGATTTTTTGACTGTCTGGCAGTATCAAACCTGAATCAGGTAGATAAGTATCATGTTTATTGGGAAACAGTGCAGTTGGGACCAGTTTTAGGCAATGGCAATCTTATGGGAAGAGCTTAGAAAGGAAACCACTGTCAAAGTAGCTCGAGTAGAATTTTTATCTTTTAAGACTAGTCAAGAGGAGGAGGGAAAGAGTAGATCAAGGAGTTCCATTTGTAACTGTGAACAATCAATGGAGACAACTCACTACCTTCAGACTAGCCCTCGGGTAGAGTGGACCTTAGGTAACAAAAGGCCACCTAGAGAATTTAGAAACTCCTTGGCTGTCTTCTCATTTTGGCCACCAAATTATCCGGTCAGATCATAGGTATAAACAAGCTGCAGGGCCCTTAGGCCAAGGGTTAAATCAAGAGGGAAATGATCACATTCCTTCAAATATAGAATATAATATTCCTGTATGATTTGGCATGACTGGAGAAATATTAAATAGGTGTAACATTTCTTGCTTAAGAAAGGGCTGGTATTCCGGCCATAGTGGCTCAGACCTGCAATCCCAGCACTTTGGGAGGCTGAGGCAGGAGGGTCACTTGAGTTCAGTAGTTTGAGACAAGCCTGGACAACATAATGAGACGCCATCTCTATTAAAAAAAAAAAAGGAAAAGAGGCCAGGTGCAGTGGCTCATGCCTCTAATCCTAGCACTTTGGGAGTCTGAGGCAGGAGGATCACTTGTGTTCAGTAGTTTGAGACCAGCCTGGACAACATAGCGAGACGCCATCACTATTAAAAAAAAAAAAAGAGGCCAAGCGCAGTGGCTCATGCCTCTAATCCCAGCACTTTGGGAGGCTGAGGTGAGTGGATCACTTGAGGTCAGGAGTTTAAGACCAGCCTGGCCAACATGACAAAACCCCATCTCCACCAAAAAATACAAAAATTAGCCAGGCATGGTGGTGCATGCCTGTAGTTCCAGCTGCTTGGGAGGCTGAGGCAGGAGAGTTGCTTGAACTCAGGAGGCAGAGGTTGCAGTGAGCCGAGATCACTCCACTGCACTCCAGCCCAGGTGACAGAACGAGACTCTGTCTCAGGAGAAAAAAAAAAAAAAAGGCTGGTAATATCAAGAACTATTCTTTATTGAGTCGTCTTTTAATCTGTTGCCAAATAAACCATCCATAGACCCTAGTAGCTTGAAACAGTGATTTATTATTTCCTGTGATTCTGTGGGTTGGCTAGGTAGTTACTGTGTTGGTTACAGGTTCACTCAAGTGGGTGCCTTCAGCTAAAGGGTTAGCTGGGCTGAAGGATCCAAGATGGCTTGCCAGCATGGCTGGTAGTTGATACTGAGTGTTGGCTGTCAGCTGGGCAACCTCAGTTTTCTCATTGTGGCCTCTATCTACCATCCTCTGGTAGACTAGACAGGCTCCTGACATGATGGTCTCAGGGCAATTTTCCAAGATAGTGTTTTTTAAGTCCTACCTAGGCTCTAGAACCATCAAAGCCTCTCTTCTGTTGTATTCTCTTTGTCAGCAGTTGGCAAGGCCAGCCCAGGTTCACAGGGCAGAGACATAGACTCCACCTCGGGATTGGGGGCCTGGCGTGGCAGTGTCATTGTTGCAAAGGAATTTATGGCCACTAAATGGTTTACCACAGGTGACTGCATGTACTAGGAACTGTGCTTGGTGCATTTAACAGATTATCTCACTTAAGCCACATAACTATCTTGCCATTAGGCATTCTCATCCCCATTTTAAAGAACCCGCAGGTCACAGAGGTTGTGTTGTTCTTGCCTGAGGCTACTTGGTAAGTATTGGAACTAGGCTTTGACTCTAGGTATCTCTCCAGCTGAGCGGCATTCATCTTAAGAACCCAACAAGTGGGAGACATATGCTAACTTGTTCTTCAGCCCCTCTAACTCATTTAATACCACTTCCTTTCCTGTGGGGAACAGCCACAAGAAGAAAAAAAGAAGGCAGCAGGCAAAGCCCTACCTTAGCCACTTCCCTTATCCTAAGGACTTTCCAGGGTTAATGAGATCCATGATTTGGAGGTGAGAAGAACTTCCCTGACTCCATAGGTTCTGACTTCCTAGGTAGCTTGGCGGTGACTGAGTGATCCCTTTAAAAAAAGAACAAAATATATTTGGGGAAAATCATGCTTTGTCCAGGTTTTCCTTGAGTTCACAGAGTTGGCAAAAAGCCATGAGATGTTCCAAGCCAAGAGCTCCTTTTGTGATCCCTCCAGGAAGGGAAGAGCAGTGATATGGAAATAAGTACATTAGATGCCAGGTGGAAAAGGCAGTCTGTAGAACCTCTCTCTTTTTTCCCAAGAGTCTCCCCAGACAGTAGAGAGCCACCTGGTCTCTGCTTCAGCTTCAGGGACTCTTCCTAGCATAGACTTCTTCCAAGGCTGGAGTCCAGTGTTTTGTTTGAAATGTTGATTTCCTTGAAGGTGGGCTCTCAAGCTGTATAAGCTTCAAAACCGTTACTTTTTATTTGTGCCAGCTACTATATTAATTTGACCTCCCAATTACTATTGTCTCCTGGCTGAAGGCATTCTGATTTATCCAAAATCCAATGGCTGTAATTGTAACTCATAGGTTGAAAAACAAAGATTTCTTTATAAAAGTTTTAAGTGAGTCTGTAGTCCCAGATACTAGGGAGGCTGAGGCAAGAGAATTGCTTGAACCTGGGAAATGGAGGTTGTAGTGAGCCGAGATGGTGCCACTTTCTAGCCTGGGCGAAAGAGTAACACCGAAAAAAGTTTTCGGTGGAGTGAGATGCTAGGGAGCAACATTTGTCACGTAAATCACATGTGTACTCTGAGGCATAAGGCCTAGAAAATGACCTGAATTTCCTAAGGGTAGAATTCTTCAATAAGTTTGGAGTTGAGAAGCAGAGGAGCTGAAGGGAGAGATGGAGAAGGCCTTTTTCTTTTTGGCTTCATTCTGCTTGTTAAGCATTATAAAAACAAACCCCAAGTAAAGGAATAAATGTAAATGAAATAAAACATTTAAAATGAGACAAAAGATAAAAAGTTGATGCAAAATAGATGAATTATGTCAGATTTAATTTATTTTTAAATTAAAAGCTAGAACATGTAAATGTAAGCTAAGAAAATAGGAATAAAAGTTTTGTTAAAATCCAGTTAAAATTACTGTACCTATAATGGAAGGGAGAACTAGTTAGGTGTTGTGGATACCAGTGGGAGAAATGATTTCTTGGAACAGCAGGAATTTTCAGGGAGGGGTTAAAGAGGTGGGATAGCCTCCTACCCTTGCTGTGTCAGAATATCTTGGTGTAGGGACTCTCGGTTGTTTGAAAAATCTATATCAACAGAACTCTTTTGCTCCCGCAAAACAAACTATAGAAATTCCTACAAGTAGAGAAGACTTTGTAGTCTAAGCAGAATTGTATGTGTGTGTGTGGTGGGGGTGGCAGGGGAGCCTGGGATATGAACATTTTAAAGGCACTTAATTGGATCAGAGAAAGATTCCTGGAAGGCATTTAGTATAGGATGTACAAGGAAAGATAGGATTATGACAGGAAAAGAAAAGTCTTAGATTAAAGAAATGTGTAGCAGAGTTGTGACTCAACTGTCAGATCGGTTTTCTGAGCTTTGGTAGCAAGGTGGGGCCACCCCCAGCCTTTGAGTATGGATACTTTTTTGCTGAGAGTGGATGACACAGAGCTTAGTTTAGAGAACAGGGGTTAGCCTCCTTCCTAATCTAATGTCTGTGGTTGTAATTATTATATACAATTATGAGAAAAATAAAGGTCTATTAGAAATGTGTGAAAAGTTAAGCTTAAATATTTTGTTCTTTGTTATAATCAAAACAATCTGTAATCCAAAAAGATTGTTTCAAGGAGGTGTCAGTTGCCAGGGTCTGTAGCAGGCAGAATTGATCAGTTTCTCTTTAACTTGAACTCTGTTATGTACTCTTGGAGGAGTAAGGGCTGAAGAAATAGGAAATAGAGAATAAAAATATAAAGGATACCCTTTTTCAAAGTTCAGTATTTTAGTCGACAGGGAGGAACCATAGAGAAATCTTTTCTATAGCCATGAGCAATTCCTTGTTAAACCTTAAGTAATATCATTTATCTTTGAAAGGGAGTGTAACAGGCCAGGCGCGGTAGCTCACGCCTGTAATTCCAGCACTTTGGGAGGCCAAGGCCAGTGGGTCATCTGAGGTCAAGAGTTCGAGACCAACCTGACCAACATGTTGAAACCCTGCCTCTACTAAAAATACAAAAATTAGCCGGGTATGGTGGTGGGCACCTGTAATCCCAGCTACTCAGGAGGCTGAGACACGAGAATAGCTTGAACCTGGGAGGCAGAGGTTGCAGTGAACCGAGATCGTGCCATTGCACTCCAGCCTGGGCAACAGAGTGAGATTCTGTGTCAAGAAAGGGAGTGTAACTTAATTATATGAACATAGGGCTTCTTCACCTTTCCTAGCTTGGTCTTCTTTTCCTCCCATTTGGTTCAATTTAAAAAGCAGTACCATGAATATTAGAGGATTTATAGAAATTGGGTTGACTTTTATGCAGCTGGCTTCCTGTAGACTTTTACACTCACGATAATGGTTCTTTAACTTGATGCTCAGAAAAGAAAAAGAGGTGGAACATTTTCTTCATATTATCCTCCTAAGTCTTTTTCCCTATATGTCTCTTCACATACAATTAAAACAACAAAAAGCAAAAACTATAACTGCAGTTAGCTGAGAGCTTTATATACATTCTTTTAGATGCTTAACAATTTTTACATGATGGAAAAGTCGAAAATGAGTAGTTGACATTCTTTTTCTTTATTTTATTTAATTTATTTTTTTTTGAGACAGAATCTTGCTCTGTTGCCAGGCTGGAGTTCAGTGGTGCGATCTCGGCTCACTGCAGCCTCCGCCTCCCAGGTTCAAGGGATTCTCCTGTCTCAGCCTTCCGAGCAGCTGGGACTACAGGCACGTGCCTCCATACCCAGCTAATTTTTTGTATTTTTGGTAGAGACGGGGTTTTACCATATTGGCCAGGCTGGTTTCAAACTCCTGATGTTGTGATCCACTGGCCTCGGCCTCCCAAAGTGCTGAGATCACAGGCATGAGCCACAGTGCCCGGCCCGACAGTTATTCTTTACTAAAATTTCAATGTCTTTGGTCATTTTTTGACATTTTGTCAATGTTGAGATAGATAATTACAGTGTACCACCTATATGAAAATGCAGACAAAACTCAGAATGGGTGTAGGATGGTATGCCTTTTTTGGCCAGGGTTTTTTATTTGTTTCTTTGGCTTGGTAAATAGCTCATCTTCTGCAGTGATGTGCTTATTTACAAATGACTTAGAGTTTGCAGATAGAGACTTTTACATCCTAGAGTGTTAGGACTACTGGTGGTGGTAAATAAGTCAATAAATCAGTACTTCTGCAGTTGATAAGAATGTTAAAGTACAATTACAGGTTGTACATGAAACTTTTGAATGTATATCATGTTAAAAGGAGCTTACAGTAGATAAATATACTCCATTTATAATGGTACTTTTTGCTGTTGGACATATTTGGAGGTGAGAATACTTCTGAAGTCAGTATACTTTCATGCGGTAATACTATGGTTGTCAGTTCAGAAAATTCCTTTTCTAGTATTGTGATTACCCTGGTAAAACAAGGAATCTATAACACTAGCAGAATGGAAAGCACATGTAAGAGTATGTCTGTTATTATAACTGTTTTATTTAACATATTTATTGAGCATAAATTACATGGAAGACATTGTGTTGTGCATGGAGATTTAATGGTGAAGGGAAAAATGCCGTATTTCCCACCCTTATGGGGCATACATTCCACTGTGAGAAGGAAATGTCTGTTTAAGTCGCAGCTGTAAAGGAGAGGGACATGCAGCATGAGGGCAGGTAATGGGGGAATTAACCTGTTGACAGAGCTCAGAGAAGACAGCTGAAGAACCATGGATGTGAACTTGGGAGTAGAGGGGTATGGAAGGGAGTTAGGGAATAGGATGTGCACAGGCCTTGTGGAAGAAGGGAACATGGCATCTTTAAGGAAGAGAAAGAAGGCCATGTTAGCTGGAATGCAGTAAGTGAGGGCAGGTGCCAACTGAGGCTGGAGAAGATGGAGTCCTCGTAAGAGCATTGAGAAACAAATGAAGGTTTTAAGATGAGGGTGGGTAAGGAAGTGACATGATCAGAGATGGCTTTTAGAAAAGATTCTCCTGGAGCCCTCCAATTTGTTCTTCACTCTAAGGAGACCAGTTTGGAGACAGTCCAGAAATGTGATGATAGTAGCTTGAGAAGAAAATGCATCTTTTTGATAGTTATTTAAGAAGTATAATCCATTGGACTTGGTGGTAGATTGAATATGGTGGCAGAGTTGGAAGGTGCAGAAAGCAGGTTATCAAGGGTGACTCCTGGGTTTCTGGCTGTCAGATCTGAATGTATGGTGCAATAGGTTGACTATGGTTTGTCCCCATCAAAACTCATGTTGAAATTTGATTCGCAATGTATTGATGTTGGGAGGTGGGGCCTAGTGAGAGGTGTTAGAATCCTGGGGGCAGATCCCTCATGAGTGGCTTGGTGCCATTCTTATAGTAGTGAGTTCTCATTCTGGCAAGAGTGGATTAGTTCCTTTGAGAGTGGGTTATTATAAAGCTGGGACGCCACCCAGGTTTTGTCTCTTTACACATACCTGCTTCCCTCTTTGACCTTCTCCACTATGTTATGACTTAGTACAAAAGTTTTTGCTAGAAGCCAGGGCCATGCCCTTGAACTTCTCAACTTGCAGAATTGTGAGCTAAATAAACCTATTTTTCCTTTATAAATTATACAGTCCCAGATGGGCGTGGTGGCTCACACCTGTAATCCCAGCACTTTGGAAGGCCAAGGTGGGTGGATCACTAGAGGCCAGGAGTTCGAGACCAGCCCGACCAACATAGTGAAACCCTGTTTCTACTAAAAATACAAAAAAATTAGCCAGGCGTGGTGGCACACGTCTGTAATCCCAGCTATGCTGGAGGCTGAGGCACGAGAATCGCTTGAACCCAGGTGGTGGAGGTTGCAGTGAGCCGAGATTGCACCATTGCACTCCAGCCTGGGTGACTGAGTGAGACTCCAACTCAAAAAAAAAAAAAAAAAAAAAAGTAGTCTCAGATGTTCTGTTACAGCACCACAAAACCGACTCGGATATTTGTGATAACCATTCACTGAGATGAAGAACCTAGCTGAGGACCAAGTGTAGGGGTCAGGTTATGAGCTTGGTTTGAGATGCCTTTGAGACACTGTGTAGTAATATCAAGTAGCAGTAGGCTATATACATTAGCTCAGAGGAGAGATCTAGGATGAATATTTAAACTTTAGATTTTTCTACGTTTAAGTGGTAACTGAAGCCACAGGTGTAGGTGAAATCACATAGGAAACAAGTAGATAGAAGATGGTCTGGAGTCTTAAAGAACTCTGTTATTTAGTAGCTGGGTAGAGGAAGTGTGGTGTTATGGAAGTACAGGAAGAAAGCATTTCAAGGAGAAAATGGTCAGGATCTGATGTTGTGGAGAGGTCAGGTAACATGAAAGCTGCACATAGCAGTCATTGTTAACCTTAGCAACAGCTATTCCAGGAGAGTGATGTGGATGGGGACAACAGTGGAGTGTGGTGAAGTGTCAGATGAGAAATGATGACAGAATACAGGCAAATATTTCTAGAACTTTGTCTGTAAAGGAGTGGAGAGAGAGAGAGCGCAAGTGTAAAAATTCAAGCAAGAGAGAGAAACTTTATGGAAAGAGAGGATTGAAGAAGAGGTTGTAAATCTGTTGATTTTTGTTTTTGCTGAGAACTTGAGCCTGTTTAAGAGCCAATAGACCCTGGTGTGTGATGTTCCCGTTCCTGTGTCCATGTGTTGTGGGGTGGGGGGACGGAGGAGGGATAGCATTAGCAGATATACCTAATGTTAAATGATGAGTTAATGGGTGCAGCACACCAACATGGCACATGTATACATATGTAACAAACCTGCACGTTGTGCACATGTACCCTAAAACTTAAAGTATAATTAAAAAAAAAAGAGCCAATAGAAAGAGCCATTTGAGAGGGAGAGAGTAAAGGATAATGTGGAGCAAAAGATTCCCAAGAAGGCCAGAAAGGATGGATCTAAAGTGCACAAGTTAGAGAGGTTGACCTTAGGTGGGAAGACAGATAGTTACAGATGGAGGTAGTTTGTATAGTTGGTAGTGTGGGATATTGAACGTTTTCATATGTTGGCTTCTACTTTTTTGTGAAGTAGGATGGGGGTCATCTGCTGAGAATGGGGTAGATGGATGGTGTTTTGAAAAGAATAGGGACAATTTGGGAATTTTATTGTGGACTCTGAGAGGGTTGGTTGGAGTGGCAAATGGTTGGAGTGGAGGGCAGTGTTGAGGGCTGTCTGATCCCTCTGTAATTCTCACACACTGGCTTCAACCTTCTCATGTGTGACATTCTGCAACAGAGCTCTGATTGTTCTGGACTCATTGCTGAGTAAATAGTTGGGCATATCCAGGATTAGGATTTTGTCAACTCTTGGCAATGGAAAGGGAATTTGGGTGTTAGAGTGCTGTGGAAATGATGGACTTTGGGATGTAAGCTGATTAAAGAGGGATGTACAAGCAGAATAGGGCTAATGGGTTGGGAAAAAGCTGAGAGGTCAGTGGACTGATAATGTTGTAATACTGCACAGCTTGAAGGAAAGAAGGCCCTGGTCAACAAAGGGAATACTTGAAGCGTTATTTTCGAGGCAGAAAACGATGTATAGGGGACAATAAAGGTTCATGGGTGGGTAAGGTGGCATGGAAGACATGCCATTCCAGGTGAAGATAATGGACTGAGTCGTCTAGGAGATGCGAGCCAACAAATGGGCAGGAATATGGCAGGGCTTGACGACATCAGTGAGCCAGGGCTAATGTCTTTGAGTAAGCAAAAGTGATTGGGAGATTAGAATATAACAGTGAGGAAAGGAGGAGGGTGGTGTAACTGAATGGCAGGACCCTAAAAAGGATATGGGTGTTTGCAGTGGGCAGGGGAATGGAGAAATAAGGCCTGAAGGGGCAGAGGTGCCAAGGCCATCTCCTGACTCCAGAGTGTGAGAGGCTGGGCAGCTGCTATTTGAGAGGGTTGCAGGAGAAGAGGGGTGTCTTCAGCATGCTCAGAGGAGAGGCCAAGGATATGACACTACTTTCTGGGTGTAGAGCAGCAGTTCCAAGGGACCTAGAGGAAGGTTGTGGGAGGTGGAGAGGGTGATGGGCTGGGAAGGAACTTGGAAGCAAAACAGCGGTACTCAAGTGGTAGAGGATA
Source organism: Homo sapiens (assembly GCF_000001405.40). Classification (NCBI taxonomy): domain Eukaryota; kingdom Metazoa; phylum Chordata; class Mammalia; order Primates; family Hominidae; genus Homo; species Homo sapiens. The sequence goes on from NC_000001.11 coordinate 95,134,661, forward strand.
GATCTCTGCAGTGGGCACTGCCTACATTTTAAGTGTTGCCTGATGAAAACAGGCATGAGTTAGGGGTCTAGACCTGGTGGCTGTAGGATGGTTTTATTTTCCTTGACTAGAGTGACAACAGGCCCAGAGATTGTATGTCCTGTGTGCTGCTGGAGGTGGATGATGGTAGAAGCAGAGACTAGGTGCACACCATATGCTGAGTACTGTTCTAAGTGCCCAAGAAACATTATATCATTTATTTCCTATTACAACCATGCCAGGCTAGTACTGTTGATATTTCTGTCTTACAGATGAGGAAACTGAGGTTCTGTTAAGGTAAGTTTAGTAATTTTTCTAAGGCTACGCAGCTAGCAAATGGTAGAACTGAGACTCAAAATCAAGACTTTGTGCCTGTGTACCTCCCATGATGGTGTATATACTTAACATTTCCTTCCCTGTGAAATTATTATTTTTAACATATCTGATAGACTGTTGAGAAGTTAATGTAATAGGAATTGTCTTTCTGAATACCAAAATTAAATTCAATTTTAGACCCCAAATCTTGTTTGCAGAGTCCTCTGAAAGTTAGACTAGGGCCCCTGCCTTCTGCAGACAACCCTCCCAGCTCTTCTTTTACCACTTCCATGATAGACACTTGGACACTTCTAAAGGGCTAGAGGGTGGTTAAGTTAAACTGCCCACTTGTGTCATTTTGAGTAATGCAGAATAAGTTCCTGGTCTCATTTTTTTGTACACTTTTTTTTTTTTTTTTTTTGAGACAGAGTCTTCCTCTGTCGCCCAGGCTGGAGTACAGTGGCATGATCTCAGCTTATTGCAACCTCCGTCTTTCAGGTTCAGGTGATTCTTGTGCCTTAGCCCCCTCAAGTAGCTGGGACAACAGCCGCATACCACCACGCCCGGCTAATTTTTGTATTTTTAGTAGAGATGGGATTTCACCATGTTGGCTAGGTTGGTCTTGAACTCCTGACCTCAAGTGATCCACCCGCCTTGGCCTCCGAAAGTGCTGAGATTACAGGTGTGAGCTACCATGCCCAGCCACAACACTTCTTTAAATGTTCAAGGAATGCTCTCAAGTTCGTTTTGTTTTGTTTTTGAGACAGGGTCTCATTCTGTCACCCAGGCTGGAATGCAGTAATGTGATCTCCGCCTCCTGGGCTCAAGTGATTCTCCCACCTCAGCCTCCTGGTAGCTGGGATTACAGGTGTGCACCACCACACCTGGTTAATTTTTGTATTTTTTTTGTAGAGATGGGGTTTCACCATGTTGCAAAAGGCTGGTCTTGAACTCTTGGGCTCAGGTGATCCGCTGGCCTTGACCTCCCAAAGTGCTGGGATTACAGGCATGACCCACTGAGCCTGGCCTGCTCTCAAGTTTTCAAGTTTTTTTTTTTTATTTTTTTTTAAGAAATCTTGTTCCCAAGCTAACATTACTCAGCCTCTTAGCTCTTTATGACATGATAAGATTACCATCTTTACACCACTCTAAGGGTACTTTGGTATGTAATTAATTGGGAGTATATGGGACTGATGCTTGATCAAAAGATGCACTTCCACTCTTTCTGAGTATAAATGAGCCTGAAATTTGTTTTTTTTTGTGTGTGTTTAGTATTGTTGTTATACTGTTGTCTTTCATTGATTTGTGTCACTTACAATGCTAAGGTCTTGTGTGTATGGCTATTATGCCAAGTCCTATACTTTGGTATTGCCTTTAAAAATTTTATTATATTTTGCCTTTATGATTTGGATTCATTATTTCAGCTAATCAAGATAATTTCAAAACCTGATTCTGTTAACTTAATGTATTAGCTGTCTTTCCCACCTCTGTGTTGTATGCAGCTTAAGTAAACATACAAATATTTACAAAAAATATTTGCTAAAACAGGACCAAAAAAGAGAAAATTGTATAAAATATCAAGAGATATTTCTCAATTCTACTTTGGATCATTAATTTACATGCTGCTTCTAGTTTTCAGCTAGCTCTTGGGCTCACTAACTTTGTTGATCTAGCCACTTTTTTTGGTATTTTTCATAAGGCTATCATGAGAAACTTTCAGAACTTTGCTGGGATCAAGGTATCCTTCACTTGGTATTCTCCAATCTACCAGGATTTGTTGGTCAGTTATTTGTGGAGGTAAGGTATAGGAAGGAATCCAGGATGACTGAGCTGTTCCAGGTTGGAAGATGGGGCAGTATTGTGGATGTCCATGTCATTCATTGAGGTATGGCACCACAGAGAAGGGCTGGTTGGGGTTAAGTTCAACTTGGGCGAAGTAGAACCTGTGGGGCCTCTGGATGCACAAATGGAGCCCATCCAGAGGGTGGCTGACCATTCAGGGCTGGTACATGGCGGGTGGTGAAATCTAGTTGCACACAGTATAAGCAGTGTTGGAGGTGCAGGGCGCATAGCCAGGCAGAACCTATAGTATGCAGAGAAGAGGTTCAGGTAGTGGGGGTTGGGGGGAGGTAGTAAACATTGCCAAGTTAAAGGTGTTTATGCCTGATCGCCTTCATTTTCTTGGTCAAATGGGAAGAAACCTCATCTATTTTAAGAGGGAGAACTAGAGATTTGAGAGCGGTGAATATTTGGAGTCAATGTGGGAAATAGGAAAGGGAGCTTGCCAGGGATGGGAAAAGGAATGCTAAGCATAATTGGGGCATTCTTCCCAGCTTCCCCCTTCTTTGCTGCCCTTAAAGACAAACACACAGACCCATCCCCTTCTTTTTAGGGATTTTTACTGCAAAACACTCCAGCAGTGGTTCTCACTGGGGGATTATATCAGAAAATGAAGGAGAGGGGTTATGTATGTGCATGGAAGTGGCACTGGTATTTGATATATTCTCTAAGGAATCCCTGTATTTGCAAAGGAATCACAAATGGGGGAAATGAGTGAGTGATCGTGTTTTGGTGGGGAGGGGCTGGTAATCCTAACCTCACCTACTAGAACTGAGTCTGTTTTTTCTAAAGTCAATTTCCTTTAAAATTGCCCCTTCTTCCCCTCATCCCCTCTTCCTTCTTCCTCTCTGTCCTTCTTTCCTCCTCCTCTTCTTTTCTCTTTCCCTCCCTCCCTCCCTTTCTTCCTTCTCTTTTTTTCTGAAACAGCGTCTTGCACGGTCACCCAGGCCTGAGTGCCCTGGTACACAATCATAACTCACTGTAGCCTCCATCTCCTGGGCTCAAGTGATCCTCCCATCTCTGCCTCCTGAGTAGTGGGGACTACAGGAATGTGCTACTACACCCAGCTAATTTTTCTATTTTTTGTAGAGACGGGGTCTTGTTAATGTTGTCCAGGCTGGTCTTGAACTCCTGGCCTGAAGCAGTCCTCCTACCTGGGCCTCCTAAAGTGCTGGAATTACAGGCATGAGCCCGACTGAGAACTGAGTCTTTTGGGCTCCAGCCTAAAAGCATCTTATTGGGATTTTAATAGAAGAGAAAATGTCCTCTTGGTTTACTTTTGGATACCTCCTCACTATTATGTGTTACCTCTCCTGGGTATTTATTCCTTGGAAAGCAGGGAGCATTCTCTTAGCACCCTACACTTACCACTTTGTGTGGTGAGGATCAATTTCTTTGTATCCCTACTGGCTATAAGCATGTCTCCCTATTTTGTATTCCAGCACAGTGCCTGGCTCATGGTGGACCAGAGACAGATGGATGGACTGTTTTTTGATGTGAAGACTGAATTAGCCCTGGCAGTGCTGTTTCCCAGGGCCCTATCTCTGGGAGTCCTCCTGCTGGAAGGGAAGTGCTCTCATAGCTGATAGTTAAGACATGTACAGTCATGCATTGCTTAACAATGGGGATACATTCTAAGAAATGTGTCCTTAACACAATTTTATCATTGTGTGAACATCATAGAGTGCACTTAACACAAACCTAGATGGAATAGCCTACCACACACCTAGGCTTTATGACATAACCTGTTGCTCCTAGGCTACAAACCTGTACAGCATTTACTGTACTGAATACAGTACAGTACTGTACTGAATACATTGTGTAGGCAGATGCTACACAATGCCAAGTATTTGTGTATCTAAATACTACATTGTATAGTATTTACTGTACTGAATACATGGTGTAGACAGATGCTACACAATGCCAAGTATTTGTGTATCTAAATTCTACATTGTATAGTATTTACTGTACTGAATACATGGTGTAGACAGATGCTACACAATGCCAAGTATTTGTGTATCTAAACATAGAAAAGGTACAGTTAAAAAATGTAGTATAAAAGATTAAAAATTGGACTAGGCATGGTGGCTCATACCTGTAATCCCAGTGGTTTGGGAGGCTGAGGTGGGAGGATCACTTGAGGCCAGGACTTTGAGACCATCCTGGGCAACATAGTGAGACCCAGTCTCTACAAAAAAAAAAAAAAAAAAAATGAGCTGGGTGTGGTGGCTATGTGGGAGGCTGAGGCGGGAGGATCACTTGAGCCTAGAAGTTTGAGGTTATAGTGAGCTATGATTGTGCCACTGCACTCCAGCCTGGATGACAGAGTGAGAACCTGTGTCAAAAAAAAAAAAAAAAAAAAAAAGATAAAAAATGTTACACCACCTCTGTGGAGCAATTACTGTGAATGGAGCTTGCAGGACTAGAAGTTGCTCTAGGTGAATCACTGAGTGAGTGGTGAGTGAAAGTGGAGGGCTAGGACATTACTGAACATTACTGTAGGCTTTATAAACACTGTACACTTAGGCAACACTAAATTGATTTTAAAAATTTCTTTTTTCAATAAATTAACCTTAGCTTAGTTTCTTTTTTATTTTATAAACTTTTTTATTTAAACCTTTGATTTTTTTTTTTTTTTTTTTTTTGAGACAGTTTCATTCTTGTCACCTAGGCTGGAGTGCAGTGGCGTGATCTTGGCTCACTCCAGCCTCCGTCTCCCAGGTTCAAGTGATTCTCCTGCCTCAGCCTCCTGAGTTGGTGAGACTACAGGCATGTGCCACCATGCCTGGCTAATTTTTTGCATATTTAGTAGAGATGGGGTTTCACCATGTTGACCAGGCTGGTCTCGAACACTTGACCTCAGGTGATCCACCAGCCTCGGCCTGCCAAAGTGCTGGGATTACAGGCGTGAGCCACTGCACCCAGCCTTTGATTCTTTTTAATAACACTTATCTGAAAACAAACCCATTGTATGGCTGTAGAAAAAGATTTTCTTTATATCCTTATTTTATAAGCTTTCTTCTATTTTTACAATTATGTTATTATTATTTTATTACTTTTTTGTTAAAAACGAAGACTCAGACACACACATTAGCCTAGGTCTGTCAGAACCATCAATATCATTGTCGTCCACCTCCACATCTTGTCCCACTGGAAGGTCTTCAGGGATAATAACACACATGGAGCTGTCATCTCCTATGAGAACAATGCCTCCTTCTGGACTGCCTCCTGAAGGACTTTCCTGAGGCTGTTTTACAGTTAATTGTGTGTGTGGTTTTTTTTAATAAATAGAAGGAATACACTGTAAAATCATGATAAAAAGTATAGTGTAGTAAATGCTTAAGCCAGTAACATAGTCATTTATTATCATTGTCAACTATTATGTACTGCACATAATTGTATGTGCTAGACTTTTATATGACCGTCAGTGCAGTAGGTTTATTTACACCAGCATCACCTCAAACACGTGAGTAATGTGTTGCGCTGCGGTGTTATGATGGCTACAGCGTCTCTAGGTGATAGGAATTTTCAGCTCCATTATAATCTTATGAGACCACCATTGTATATGTGGTCTGTCATTGACTGAAACATCGTTATGCAGTGCATGACTGTACTTCAGACCTTTTCATGTTTTTCCCTACTAAGAAATCAGTGTCAATTAAAGTTTATGTAAACCATCTTTAATGAAAAGTATAAACATTATTTCATTCAACAGGTCTCTGGAAAAGTTTCTTTGATGTCCACAATTCCTGTGAATCAAGATGGACTAATTATAATGTAGAGTTCATGTCTAGACGCTCTTGTAAATTGCTACAGAAGTATTTCCCTTATCTGTTTCAGCTGCTCTTCGCTAGGCCAAATAGTATCCCAGCTTTCTGCCAGCTACTAGCTACCTGTAGAGGTATATGAAGTAGGTGTGCTTTTCCAGTTTTACTGTATATTCCTATACTTAATAATCACCAAACTCTTGCAGGCCCTTAACATATGTTAGTAATGAGCATCCTTTGGTTTTATCACTTTTTACCATTTTTCTTGCCTGATTCATGCATTAAAGTGAATGAACAGGGGTAGCTGCTTCCTACCAGAAGCCTTGGTTTTCTGGGGAAATTTGTAAAGATCTCTAGATTAGTTCTTGATTTGGCATGACTGATTAAGCAAGCAGCTGTTCACTAAGAGGCAAAGCTGAGAGTAGAACAATTTAATTGGCTTCTATCTGTTGAGCTTTTAATGGAAGTCACAGCTTGAATATATGGAGCTCTTTATTTAGTTTTAAATGAAACATTTTTCCAAAGGGAGACTCTAAACATATATCCCAAAGTCTTACCTGATAATAATTCTGTTCAAAATATAATATTCATCCATTAGAACAAAGACTTAAAAACTCGATTTTTGGGCGAGGGTGGGATGATACATTTTTTAATGGTGAATTGTTTGAGTGCTTTTAAATACAGTAGTTAAATGAACAATTCATAAAATGGATAAGGTATGATATGTTTTATGACACCTTTTAACATTCATGAAATAAATGCTTTGTATACATTGAATTTTAACAAACTAAATGAGCAGCCCGTGCCCACCTTCTGCTCTAGGATCAGCAGAGAGCATACGAAAGTCTTCAGGGGAAACCTCCTCACATTTAAGATTAGATTCTCCATTCTCTTCTGATTACTGATTATATTTTTTTTCCAATTTTGTGTCCATCTGGCCTCCAGATACCTATTTGCTTTAATCTTAGAAAAGCATTATTCTCCTTACATCCCACTTAGCAAATTATGGTAATGCTTAATTTATGTACAAAACTTTTATGTATTGTTTGGTTAATATTAAACCTAGGCTAAAAGACCACAAATTAAAATTTTAATACCCAATAAACATATGTTGAATTAAAAAGAAGTAAAAGAGCAGTAAAGTTAATGGAGTCTCATAGAGAAGAATTGTAATATCAATATTTTTACCAAGTACACACACACACACACACACACACACACACACACACACACAAAGAATGAGGAAAGAATTCATTATAGACATATGAATTCTGATGGAAGGGGCCCTGTGGGAGATTGATTCTTATTACGATATCCTGGTTGGAAGGGAATGAAGTGGGGTTATTGCTAGTGCAGTCAATGACTTGGCTTTTCTCTGGTGAATTGATTTCAGTAGGTGACTTTATTTCTTTGCATTAGGCAGCTGGAAATGTGTATTGATTTATTTCTTTTTCATTTGAGAATCAGCTTTATCAAAGATGGAGCCATAGAAATGCTGTATTTGCTGGATATGAGCAAATGCCTTAGTGCCTTTTTTTTTTTTTTTTTGCTCTGAATGTTCCTAAGATTTTTAGGAGCCAAATAAAGTTCAGCTCAATGAAATAGAAAACACACTTTGAGTGTGCATATATGCATAGTACTATTCTTTCTGCTAACTCGATTGTTAAGACCTGAAGCTCTTTTATAAAAATCTTTTTTTTTTTTTTTTTTTTTAATAAGGGATACAAAGCCCTGCAGGCCTTTTGCTCCAAGAATGTGTGTGATTGAAGAGCATGTTTTAAAAGTTAAATTCTCATTTGTGCAGTGACGGTGTTAGCGGTGGAGGGTGTTCAGGTTCTTGGCATTTTGAACAAAGAATTAGACAAAATGCACAAAGCAAGGAAGGAATGAAGCAATGAAAGTAGCGATTTATTAAAAATGAAAGTACACTCCACAGGGTGGGAGTTGGTCCTACCATAGGGGCTCAAGAGCCCGGTTACAGAATTTTCTAGGGCTTAAATACCTGCTACAGGTTTCCCATTGGCCACTTGTTGTACACCCCATGCAAATGAAGTAGTGGCCCACAATCTAGGCCGGTTGTGGTGCCTCACGCCTGTAATCCCAGCACTTTAGGAGGCTGAGGTGGGCAGATCACGAGGTCAGGAGTTCAAGACCAGTCTGGCCAACATGGTGAAACCCCGTCTCTACTAAAAATACAAAAATTAACCGAGTGTGGTGGTGCGTGCCTGTAATCCCAGCCGCTCGCGATGATGAGGCAGCAGAATTGCTTGAATCCGGGAGGCGGAGGTTGCAGTGAGCTGAGATCTATCGCACCACTGCACTCTAGCCTGGGGGACACAGCAAGACTCCATCTGGAGGCGGGGTTGGGGGCGTGGCGGAGGGGAGGGGAAGTTACACTTCTGTGCAAAGGAAGACTTGGCTGGCAGTCAGTCAGATTGGTTGGGGAAAGCAACCAATCAGAGGCTGAAATGAAGTTATAAAGTTATACTCCTATGTAAACGTCTGATTGGTTGCGGAAAGCAACCAATCAGAGGTACTTTCAGTTTTCCATTTGCCACTCAGAAAAGTGAGGGAGGGGTTTTCAAAGCGAGTAACCTCCAGTTATTTTGTTAGTTAGGTGTGTAAAGTTGGGCTTTTCTGTTTGATTTAGTTCTAGGAAGTCAGTATGAATCGGCCTTAGGTTCCCTGCCTCCAGACCCTATTGTCTTGCCTCAACAGTGCAATGGCTCTTTGCTAAGACTGTGTTCTTCTTAAGATTTTAATTTTGTTTTAAATGTTGTTTGTCCTGCTCCAAAATTAGTTTTTTAATTATGGAATTATTTTTTGTTTTGTTATTACAGGCAGTGTTAGTTCTATGGTTTTTGGCTTGATTGTTTCTTAGAAATTATGTAACCAACTCTTTCATATCATAGATGAGAAATTGAGGGATAAAGAAATCGATTTGTCATAAATTTAATTGAAATATTATTAGAAGAATAGTTTTTACTTATAGTACTTGAAATTCTCTGTTAATATTAAGACTTAGATAATTTTGAATATCATGATGTTAAAATTATAAATGACACCTCTAATATTGAGATCTTTAAGATAAAACAGACATAAGATACATGACAAATAGATGGTAAAGGTGAAGAAATATACAAAAGGTCAAAAATTCTTATAGTTTATATTCTTAACATTTGTTCTAAATTTTAAAAATTACTAAAATTACAAGACATATTTCTTAAAATAAAAAAATTACTCTAGGTTTATTATGAGACAACAATTTATAGCTGTCATTTATCTTAACAGGTTGAAGAAATATGGAGATCAACACAAAACTGCTCATCAGTGTTACCTGTATCAGCTTTTTCACCTTTCAGCTTCTTTTCTACTTTGTAAGTTACTGGTTTTCAGCAAAAGTTTCTCCAGGTTTCAATAGTCTCAGCTTCAAAAAGAAGATTGAATGGAACTCAAGGTAAAGCATATGAAAATGTAATTGATGACAAGAAACTAGTTTATGAGATAAAATTATTTAAAATATTTCAAAAAAGTATTTCATTTAGGATCTAATGTAAGGCCAAATTTTTATTTGATCTTAGAAATAAAAGGAAAAACAAGTAGATGATCTCATGCAAAAAAAAGTTTAAGAATTCATATATTGAAAGATGTTAGGAGAAATTTACTTAAGTTTCTGAGGAAGTGTGTGAAGATGAAGTAGACTCCAGCTGACTGTGGATGAATACTAGTACTTTCGTGTTCTTCTTTGAAATATTTATAACAAACATATTCTTTGGAAACAAAGATGGAAGAAAAAATTAGTTGTACTTTTGAGTAGCTTATACCATACAGCATTGGCCAACTTAGCCAGACCTGGGGCAGTTAGACTCTACACATCAGGGAACAAAGTGTACAGTCAGTGCATATGAATCTTTTAATGAACTTTGCATTATAATTTAGAGCCCTCCAGCATTTATTATTTTGTTATATAATTTTAAAGTAAAAATTTCTTTTTAGTTTTTTTTTTTTAAACAGAAAAGTAAATGGAGAAAGAATTAGACATCTATTGATATAGAAATCTGCTGGAGTTTTATTTTTTATTTTTATTTTATTTGTTTATTTATTTTTTTGAGACAGAGTCCCGTTCTGTCGCCCAGGCTGGAGTGCAGTGGTGAAATCTTGGCTCGCTGCAACCTCTGCCTCCCAGGTTCCAGTGATTCTCCTGCCTCAGCTTCCTGAGTAGCTGGGATTACAGGCATGCGCCACCATGCCAAGCTAATTTTTGTGTTTTTAGTAGAGACAGGGTTTCACTAGGTTGGCCAGGCTGGTCTTGAACTCCTGACCTCAGGTGATCCACCCACCTTGCCCTCCCAAAGTGCTGGGATTACAGGCATGAGCCACTGCACCCTGCCAGAGTTTTAAAAAGTTGGTTGCAATTTTTTTGTGTGTGTACAACTTATTAATCTCACAAGATTTCAAACACAAAATGGCTCTGATGACTTCTTCACGTGCTTTAGAGCATTTTATGTCCCCAAACATCACTGTGCATTTGTAAACCTCAGTGAGTCAGAGCAGCCGTGGCCTTATTTTTTGTTGTTGCTATTTAGTTGAAGTTAATACTAACCATAAAATGGATTCAGCAAGTCTCTAAAGTTTGCTATAATTATCTTTCATTGAAATTTCCTTTTAAAATTCAAGAAATTCTGTCAGTGTCTGAGTATTTATTTGAGAATGGTCATATTTGATTTGAAATTCCCTTTGAACCAAATTGTTTTGCAGGCATCTACTTTTATGATTCAGACTGTGAATTTAATAAGACTCTAGTTGTTTTTTTTTGTACTTTACAGTGATGTATCGGGTTCATACATGTCAAAGTTCTTTTCACCCAAAAAGCAAGAATTATTTCTCCACATATTTTCAAAAAATAAGCAGTATGATTATTTTGTCTTAAGACTAGCACAAAAATATTGTTCAAATGCATTATACTAGAGATACCATTACTTTAAAAAATCTTTTCTAACATATGAAGATAGATGGAATGGTAGGAAAGAGAAGGGGGTACATACGTTCTCTGATTAAATGTTGAACTATTTTCATTTCCTCTTTCCTGTGGTTAGGATAGGTAAAGGCATTTGAATGTTAGGTAGCTGCAAGTCAGAGAAATAGGAAAGGGTACAGAGAGATGGAAGCCAAGATGAAAATGAAATGAAATTGAAGAATATTTTGCATTATCTAGTCTTATCACTGCCATTCTATGACACAGGAAATACCATTTGGGAAACTGAATTTCTATTTGAAAAAGGAGTCTGGGATTATATAAAATTCATTTAGGTATTCAGTGGTGTTTTCTCTTTTTCTCAAGTTTGCTCCTGCTTCTCACTCCAGCTTTTTTTACAAAGGACTTAAGCTGTAAGGTGGAGAGTGCAAAGTAGGACAAGGAGGCTGTATTTTGAGTAAAATATGTATAAATGTCTTAAAATTCAGCTTCCAGTTTGAAACATACAGGTAAACACACATAATTCTTTCTAGTGATCAGGAAAGAGTCTCTAAACATGAGTTGAGAGTGGTCTGAGCCATCTAGTATAAAAAGAAATGGAGGAGAAAAAATCACTGGAAATGCCCATTTGAGAGACAACAGTTTAGTTAAAAGTGAGAAATTGTTGTACTGAATTGTTACTTTTTCTGAAAACGTGTATACTTACAGGTGCTACATCTTATAATGTAAAAAAATTTTCTTAATTACTTATATTCACTTTCTTACCTATCACATTGAAAGTCTTATTGTGTTGAAATACTACTAATTTTTAAATGTTTCTCTAAAATTTAGCTGAGTTATATAATTTCTGTTGGCAATATTTACACTACTTGTGATTAGTAACTTAAAATTGCTATTCTAAAATAGTCATTAATCATTTCCTTAGAGTGCTATCCCTTTATATGCACAAACATTTCTTTTCCACCCTCTTTGAAAAAAAATTGAAATATTTTATCTTGGGTAATATCTTGGAATTTCTTTTTAGATACTAAGGAATCTAAATTTTCCTTTGCTAGGAATCTGATTTTAAATAATAAAATATAAAATTTTTATTAACAGAAGTTTCTGAAACTATAGTATAGACTTTTAATACAGAATAGTGTATGAGTGAGGGCAGGGTATTTGTTTTTCCTCCTCATTACAGAGGGAGATATTTGATTGGACCAAGTAATATTTAACTTTTCTGTACTGAATCATACACCATTTCCATCAGCTGAGGGCTTAGAATGCTTTCCATTTACCACATAACATCTCAAAAGAGAAGTGAATCTGAGGCCTGAGTGTCAGAAATAAAAAGTTAGGTTTTTCAAAAGGGAGCTTTCTGACTATGGTTACCAAACAGTAAAACAAGTTTGTAAGAGAGATTATATATTTTTAAATTTTATATAATTTTTGAATAGCAATAGAGAGTGGGCTGTATGACCATTTAAATGGAGTATTTTATTTTATATCAAGGAATTTAATTTTTTTTTTTTTTTGAGACAGAGTGTCGCTCTGTTGCCCAGGCTGGAGTACAGTGGTGCAATCTCCACTCACTGAAACCTTTGCCTCCCAGGTTCAAGTGATTCTTGTGCCTCAGCCTCCCGAGTAGCTGGGATTACAGGTGTGTACCACCATACCCAGCTAATTTTTGTATTTTTGGTAGAGATGGAATTTCACCATGTTGACCAGGCTGGTCTCAAACTCCTGACCTCAGGTGACCCGCCCACCTTGGCCTCCCAAAGTGCTGGGATTACAGGTGTGAGCCACCATGCCCGGCCAAGGAATTTACATTTTTATCCTGTGCTCAAGGTGTGCTTGGCATGAAAATTATAGACTTGTAAACCAGATAAATTGGATTAATTATTCACATTTCAAAATGATTCTTAGGTATTATAAATGATACTTGGTCAATGCCTTTAAATTGGTGAGAATCTTTGCTTATTTAAAATATGGCTTGATTTAGCATGATACATCTATTTTGTAACACACTATTAGGTCAAGTATATTGGTTTCTAAAGTTACAATGAAATTTTCTGATACCAAACCTAATATTAGTTGATATATTTTACTTTTAAAGATTTGGGATCATATTGTAGAGAAAAATTTATTGCACACCAGTAATTTTTAGAGAGAAAACTTTGCTGTACCTCTCATTTTTTATCCTAATGAAGTTTCATTACTTGTGAACTTCTCAATAAAGATGTGAGAAATCTGAAATTGTTGGGTAAAAAAACTTTATTGTATGGATGAATACACAGTATCCTAAGTATAGTTCTCTAAGTAACATAGAGCTTGGGAATTAGTCACATCATTAAATTTATTAACAAGATATATTCATAGAAACTTATGGTTTTTATGTTAAACTTATTCCTTCTATACAAGAAAACTTGACCTGGATCTTGAGAACATTGTGCTTTCACTTGGGTATTTCTTTTAAAAACAAATTTTCCGTATACATTTATGGTCCTCAATTTTTCTATTTAGAAATGTTTTCATAATAATGATAAAGAGGGACTAATAATAGCTACCCTTGTTTTCTTACAAATTTGTTACAAGAATCAAGTGCAATAGTGCATGTCAACGTACTTTAAAAACTGAAGCCTCCCAAGATAATAAATCTTCATATCATGATCCATTCGAATTGTTTTAAGGATATGGAGTTTGTTAAAGCCAGTAGATCTGGAAGTCATTCCCAGCTGATTGGAGCAGGAAACTTATCCTGCATTGATGCTGTTGGGGCTGGAGCTTGGAGCCAAGGGTAGTGGCCTTGCCAGTTGCCATCTGGCTGCACAAAAGTCTGTCAGCTGCATCATCATGTATGCATTTATCTGTCTTAGAACTTTTAACCAATAAGTGATTCACCAGTTCTCTAGCAGGAAATTGTAGGCCTTGGTATCTTCCTCCTTCTTTATTCCAAAGTAAAGCTGTGGCCTTTGGATTTCTAAATGGCAAGAAATGGCAATTTTGCATTATACTCTCCGTTATACTTCACACCTGTATATAAATGCTTCCAGGTATAACTTGTTCAGAATGTTCTGTGTCTTGTCAGGATTAAATTTTATTGCAAAGAATCTAAAATCTTTGTGTGTATTTTGTTTAATTTCAGGGTAGTATCCACATGCCATTCTTTGGTGGTTGGTATTTTTGGCCTGTACATTTTCTTATTCGATGAGGCTACTAAAGCTGATCCACTTTGGTAAGCTGTTTCTTTTTCTAAGATTGCCAATTTCATTTATGTTTTGATATTAATTATTTATAAGAACATCACTTACTTTAAAACAGAAAACATATTGATCGTATATGCCTTATTAAAATGCTTGTGCTCAGACATTCTAGCAAAGTGCATTTAAATGATTTATTTTAGATTTGAACACAAATGAAGGCCATTTTGCCTTAGTGTAGCAATTGTTATCCAAAACAAGGAGAATATGATGATAATTTAAACATTTTTACTGTGTTAATGAGTAAAGCCAAGTTATTGTAGTCACAGTTCTGAAGAAAAATAAATCATTATTGAGATAGGGTAGTCAACTTGGATAATATCTACTTAAGACTTTTTTGTCTCCAATTTATGTTTGACTCATTTGATATCAAAGAGATGAAATGAGAGTTACAGATGGCCATGTGATAGGAATTTAGTACCACAGGATTTGAAGCACTAATGCACTAATAATAACTGTGTTCAGTAGTAATAGGATAACATGTAAGATGGTCCTTTTAGAAAAATTTAAATGTCATTCCAATGGCAGAAATTTTGCAAACTGTTTCCTGGTGTTATATGAGAAGGCTTAGTTCAGCTTAGTTTGAGAGAGCAGGCATGTTTGAAGAAGCACTGCACTGAGATGAGGTAGTTGTGGGCTCCGGGGGATGTAGGGCAATTTAGCCTTTTCTTTTGACCACCACCATTTGACTGCAAGGACGTTTTTCTATTCATAAATATAAAATTATTCCCAGAAGAATAATATCAGTATTGATACATTTTCATTGGGATGCTGTTTTTCAAAGAGAATTAATTTATTGAATTTAATTCCATGACTAGGTTTTTAAATAGTCTACCTACAAAATTTCTAGCTTTTTAAAAATTTTCGTTTTCATTTTACTAACGTGACCATCAGCAAAATAAAACCAGTTCTTTTGGGAAGTAAATTTCATAACAAAGATTTGATTCATTGTTCAAGTTTTGCCTTATCGAACTTTAACATAATTTTTGATTTGAATTTTATGTCATGATTTACTCCAGGTCAAATTTTCCTGGTTATATTTACAGATCAAAATTTGTAAAGAAGGCACAACTTGTGCTAAATCTTTCTATTAAATATTTGTAGTCCAGCTATTTTAGTTAGTGTTACTTTCACTAGTAGTTCACTTTGTAACTATCTTACTATGTAAGATAACAGCAGTAGTTACCTTACTGCTAACACCAGTACCACATGATGCGTCACAGTTTGGCTAAACTGTCATTGTGTGTTTTGCAATTTTATTTGAAGATGACAGCTTACCATTTGAGAATCTATAGAAAGCAATTTTATTATATTTAAATCTCTATAGAAAAAAGAAGTAGCGGTCATCTACAATCTATATACTTTAAAAAGGAACCTTTTTTTTTTTTCAGGGGTGGTCCATCACTTGCAAACGTGAATATTGCTATTGCCTCAGGCTACCTCATTTCTGGTATGTGAGATGTTGTTTTATTGTCTAATTCCTTGTAAACTACTCACGGAATTATACAAAGAATATATAGTCTATGCTTTTGGTTTATTTGAGAGATAGCATTTAGGAAGCATACAGAGGAAAAAAATACCTCCCATGATGGTAGAACATGAAATGTCTTTTCATGAAATGGTTTTCTGTTTCTCACTGAAGATCAGAGTTACAGAGTGATGCCTCAAACAACTGAGGCCTGGACATTTTTTATCAGCAAGGATATGGTCCCTCTTTGTCCTAATGAGGCTCTTAAGTGTAATGACTGTGAAACTAACGAAATTTAACTTTTAGGGTCCCTCACTTGCAAGAGTTCTTGAAATGTGTTCCAGTAGTCATGGTTTTGTGTTGTTTTTGTAAAATTTGCAGAAGTAAGCTTTTTTCTTTGTTTTTCTTTTTAATAGTTATAGTTTTTGGTGGCGTCACTATTTTGAATTAGTATTTAATTGCATTCTTTTTTATTTTTAAAATATTTTTTGTACGATTTGTTTTATAAATGAGTTGGTCATTTTGTACCTTCCCTATGACCATCTTATCTCTGTTTGAATTATTGTAGTGACAAAAATCAGTCACTTAAGCTTATTTAAAATTATTTCTATTCAATAATATTTTTTGTTTATTTTAACTCTGGAAACAAGTTATTCATTTATGCTTTCAACAAATATTATATTACATATGATTAGGTTGGTACAAAAGTAATTGCAGTTTTTGTGATTAAAAATAATGGCAAAAATCACAGTTACTTTTGCACCAACCTACATGCCAGGCCTTGTGCTAGATTCTGAGGGTTTAAAGATGCTCACAACCTGGCCCTTGTCTTAGAGGAGCCACAGGAGTGTGGATGAGACAGGCATATAGGAGCAGAGATTTTATGGTAAAGTAGATAATCAGACTAACTGAGGGATGAACAAAGTGCTGTGGGCTCAGAGTGGACAGTGATGAGTTGGCAGGAGAAAGAGTTCAATACATTTGAAAAACAGTGCAACTTTCTTCTTATGTAATACCTTACTCACTTTTCTTTCTTACAGATTTGTCCATTATAATTTTGTATTGGAAAGTGATTGGTGACAAATTTTTTATAATGCATCATTGTGCGTCCCTGTATGCATACTACCTTGTACTGGTGAGTTCCAGGATTTTCTGTAGCCTAACTAGCAGACAAGATTGGGAATAGTGATGTAAAGGTGAACATAAATCTAAACATACAATTCTTAGTTTTTAAAGACCATCTCCAGATGCATTCAGGGATTGCTTTTGTGGTATGCTATCTTCTGTATTAACTAAAATAATACCTTTATGTGTGTCTGTGTTGGTGTTGGTGTGTCTGTTTGTATTCATAGATTTTGAGACAGACAAATGACCCTAATTCTTTGAATTTCCATTTAAAACCTTCAGGATTGTTGTAGCTATAGATATTTGTCTGTATTTCTAGATGCATTTATGATTTAACAGCAAAGAGTATGAGCCAGCGAAAATATTTCTTTTCTGTTTAATTCCATGTGCAATTACATATACATAATTACATTTAAGTAGGTTGGAGCAGTGGAGAAATCTTGCTCAGACTTTTTCAGAATTCCAAGACCAAGGTTAATAGAGGATTCTTCCAACAGATCTCAGGCAGTAAAGCATATTAAATTATATATCTAAAATTTCTACATATACATATGTAAACTAGCAACTTTATATTCCTTGTATGTTTGTTAGGTTTCTCTAGAATCAATTGTTTTTCAACATAAATATACCAACAAGCTCAAGGTAGATATTGCAACTGCAATTTTTTTCATAAAGATGGTTGCTTTTTTGATATGTCTATGTTCTGTTGTTATAGTTTAAAATTTGTCTTTTAAAGTGAATCTATTCATAGGGAAACAAAATAGGAAAAGTTAGATGAAATGATGAATGTTAACAGATGCTATAAGGATCCTATGTTATTTACCAATCTTACAGTAGTTACTCATTGACTATAAGAAGGTTTTTTTCTATGCAGTGAATTCCCAGGTCATTTTGTGCATTTTGTTATTCCAAGTAAAGCTAACAAAAATAATAATAATTATAATTTTGGGGGGGTAAATGATCATGAAATTCTTATCACTTATGCAATAATGAGAACTTGTATTTGGAAAGCACTTTGACTTAATACTTATGTAACCATTTAAGCTGTTTGCAGTAAGCTTTTTTTCTTAAATGATTTTGTTATTAGAACCAAAGTAAAACTTAAAGTGATGAATAGAAGCAAGTTCCCTGCAGTTTTAAAATGTATCCTTACTGAAGAAATAGTTGAAAAGTAAGATTCTTTGGAATTTAAGGTATTATAGGTTATATAATGTCTTGATTGCTATTTTTGTATCTTTCTACTATATTTACTGACGTTTTGAAATTCTCTGGCAAAGTAATTTAGAGCTTAATGAATCCTCTTCTGTCTATATAGAGAGGTACAAATCCTACAGCCTTTTTTCCTGATACTCATCTTTCACCCCTGGAGCAGGATACTAATTATCAAATAAACCTGACAAGCTGATCTCTTATTCTAAGAGAAATGAACACATTTATGCTTTAATCCTCAATTTTTAAGGACAAACTACCATCCTTTGTACACCCTTTCTGACTACATTGATAGCCTTCACTTTTTGTGTATGTGTTCCTTGTGAATCACTTCTTTCTCCAATTAAACCATGCCTTTAGATAATGAGTTAGAATATATTTGGAAAACATTTAAACTTGAAAATCATTCAATATGCATCAATTTCCAAGCCCACCATATTATTATTATTTATTTTCTTTTTTTTTTGAGATGGAGTCTTGCTCTGTCACCAGGCTGGAGTGCAGTGGTGTGATCCTGGCTGGGCAGAAGGGATAATGGGGAATTACTGTTTAATGGTACAGAGTTTCCATTTGGGAATATGGAAAGTTCTGGAGATGGATGGTGGTGATGGTTGTATAACAAAATGAATGTACTTAATGCCACTGAATTGTACACTTAAAAGTTGTCAAAAGGGTAAATTTTATGTCATATATATTTTGCCATAATAAAAATGTTAAAGCAAGCTTATGAGATAACTGAAACAAAGTTAGGAAGGAGAACTAATAACATATTGGACAATGTTATTACATTTTTAGAAAGGCTTCATCCTAACTATAAACTGAAACAAATGGGTGGAACTTAATAGTGATAAATGTTAAGTTTTGCATTTAGGTTCAACGATGCATAAGGATAAAGAATGACCTGGAGGTGGTAGATGATTGCATCTCAGTTATGCCAATTTATCACATCTGCTAAAACAGAAAGCTTTTTCAAATTTAGATTCTATTAGAGGAGGCCTGGTATCCAATTCACACGTAGTTTGCCCAGTCAGACCACATCCAAGACCATCATCATCTGAAGTCCCTAAACTTGCATGTATCTGGAAGAGAGCTGCTAGTTAACTGTAGAGAGGAGATATTAGATTAGGTAGCTATTGTCTTATAACAAACAATTGAAGGACCTGGAGATGTCAGCCTAGAAAAGCTAAGAACTATAAGGACATGATGGCCTTGAAATGTCCCTGGAAATGTGAAAGGACTACTAAGTGGAAGGGGGAGTAGACTTATTCTGGATTGATTCTGATGTTGGGACTAGGACCAATGGGGTGGTAAAGAGAGGTAGGGGAGACTTCTATTTTATGGAAGAAAGACATCCTCAGTGATTGGAAGATTATCACAATGGAAAGGCCTTTTAAAGTGGCTATTCTACCATAAGATAGCTTTAGTCAGATAGATATAAAAGTAGATACAATCAGCAGAAGCTTTAGGTAGGAGCTTGCACTAAATAATCTTTAAGGTTCTATTCTAATTCTGAGATTCTGTGATGCACCTGTTTTGTTGAAATGATTTGATTTAGTTCTGATGCAAGAGAACTAGACAATGGGGGAATTAACAATAAGCTAAGTTATGTCACCAAGTTCTTAAGTAACCCTAGGAGGAAGAGGTGAAAGCAGCTGGCCTGCCAATCCATTCACTTCCTTGGGGGACAGGAGGGGAGAAAAAGAAGGCACGTGGCCCAGTCTAATCTCCTTGTCAACAGGACTTAGGATAAATTGAGTACTGATGTTTGTTAGGAAGAAGAAACATTAACTCTGAAATGCCCTTAGCAGTGTGTCCCTGGGTAAGGATTACCTATAGTAAAGAGAACCCAGTATCTATAAGGCACAGCTCATTGGAGAAGGTCATGTAGGCACACAGCAAGGAAATAAATAACTGGGTTGCCAGTGGCCCTTGATGTCCCAGACCTCTCTCTGCTTCATTTGAATTATTTGATGGTCTCTATCTTTGTAACATTTAGTAGAGCTTAATGCTAGGTAGGAACACTGTTTCACATGAGTCTGATTTGGCAGTCCAGTCCTGTGTGTTAGCTCAAACCTTCATCTCTGTCTTATAAGCAAATAATCAAAAACCTTGAATGATTACAATTAAGCAAATAATTATTAAACATAGTAATAGATTTTGTTTCCAAACCTCAATTCTAGGTTGATGGTACCCTGAAACGGTTTCCATTAATAGGTAATAGACTGACCCAGAGTCTCAAGCACAATTGAAATGTGCTTGAGACTCTGGGTCAGTCTATTACCTGTTAAAAAATGCCCCATCATTGCCACTATAGAACACGGTCACGTTTTTACACAGGATTCCAATTTGGGATGCCCAGAACTTATTTCCTACCAACATATAGTCGTAGTGTAGTGTAGTGCAGTGCAGTGCAGTGTAGTGTAGTATAGTAGGGAAAGGGTGCCCATTTCTGTCCAGGCCTTTGGTGGTAGAACAGTCAGTATTTAGTACCATACTAGCAGTAGTAGGTGCATAATTTAGTTCTCTTTTCCCCCCCACCTTATAAACCTCTGGTCTTAGCCACTCTTAGCTGGTAGAAAAATTTCCCATAGTAAGAAAATCCAGACTTCCATAATCGCTTGCTAAAAGGAGAATTTTCTTTTAAGCTGCGGAAGGGATCAGAAAAATCCTGTTTTGTTTCCCCTCACAGTCATGCAGAGGCCATGGCAAATGTAGATTTTACTCTATGCAAAGCTCCTTAAAGGTAGATGACAGAGTAGAGACACCACACTAACCATAAATAACTTGTGAGTTTTGCCATAATTTACCAACAATAAAGTATCAGAATTTGTAATTATTTAAAAATATTATAGAAAGATTTAATCCTATCCCTTTAATAGCATCTATCTCATTTGTATTTTAGTAGGTTTTCTTGAATAGGAGAGAAAAGGATAAAGTAACAAGGAATTATGCATAACCTGAATCTTATCTAATGGCCACCTATGCTGATGGACGTATGTGTCACATGTGATGCTATCTGTCATTGGATTAAATGGGCCCAGAGTCATTGATATATTGACGGGTACAGGATCAGAAAATATAGACTCAAGATTACTGAAGCATAGTTCTGCACCCCAGTGTGACTCACAGAGGTTTTTTTTTTTTTTTTAAGATTTTTTTATTTTTCTTTTTTTCCTACTGGCAGGATCAACCAGGTATTACAGAGATTTTGAGCTAAGGAGGGTGGGGGATAGGGGATAACAATAGGATAGAATGAGTGGTTTCAATTAGGGATGTAAGATTTAAATATAAGATACTATTTAAAAATTAAAGTGTCATCCAGGGATCAATCAGTAATACTGTAGTAATTTAAGGAATGGAAAGATCATTGTGTTAATTTCTGTTAATTTTTCTTCTGAATATAGATGTTGGTAAAAAAAAAATTGAGTTTGTAGAAATACTGGGCTTAGTAAGTATAATGTTTTCTAGGTCTGATTCTCCAGAGATAACTACTGATAGTACTTGATGTATATTCTTGCAGTTTATATAAGTTTTACATAAATGTTCATATGTATATTTATGCCTTTTTGAATTTTCTAAGAGAGCTTTTGAGATAGATGGGATTTAAACCCAGCCTTCAAAAATATGCATATTTAGGTTGGAAAAAAAAGTAGGGAAGGCTTTCTAGGTCAGAAAACATTTTGAGGAAAGTCACTGAGGAGATGTCAGATCTTCATGGGTGATACTGAGGACTTGGGGTGTCAGGGTATGGGATTTGTGTAGACATGGGTGATGGTTGTACATATGGATGAGTAAGATAGGGCCAGCTGATAGGTGGAGTGAAAATTCAGACTCACCAGCCCTGCATTTTTGCTTTTCACGGAATGGTTGTAGGATCTTTGGCCAGAAAATAACTTGATACAATTGGCATGTTAGAAAAATAAAGCTGATGATGATATGCAGAAAAAAATCTGATTGGGGAAGAGGATATCTTTTAGGAGGTGCTTGAAGTAATATAGGTGACAGATTACAAAGAAGCTAATTTTGATGGTTATAGTGGTGGTTATATTAATGAGGAAGAAACAAATCTGACTCATTTTGCAGTGAGTAGAGCACAATATCTAATTTGGATTTCAGAGAAGGAAGGGAAAGAAAAGACCAAAATGATCCAGAGCACTAGAGGAAGACGACACCATGGAAGGAAATGGGAGAAGCAGTTTGGAGAGATACTGTGAGATGTTAAGAGGTTTTTGGAGATGCATGGCTATCCCAGGGGAAAGTGGCCCATATGCCATTAGAAATGAAGGTTTGTGTAAAGGGCAGTGCAGTCAGGGTCAGGGACCAGAAGAAGAATGATCAGGCAAAGGATAACTCGGAAGGTAGAAAGAGAACCATAAAAGAATGCATTTGGAAATCAGTGGTTTCCAAAAGCAATATTGGAAGCAATATTCCCTAAAAGCAATATTGTAAATAAAAAGCTGAGATAAATAATGTTTTAGCAGAGGCCATTTAAAAAAGCTGTTTTAGGTAATTCATTTTTATTTGAGGATTAGGAAACATTGACAAGCAAAAAGAAAAAATGATGCCCCAATCTCACAACCTATATAATTATATTATTTACTTACTTAACATTTACATTTAGGAATGTACTTTTTTCCTATATACATACGGGTTTATGCATATGTCAAAAACAGCATTTCTCATATAAATATATAATATGTATATTACAAAAATGTGATCAAAACTAAAATTTAAATTTTCATTTTACATATTGAAGTGGTTCTGGCAATCTTGGGTCAGAAAGCAAGGAACCTATCAAAGACTAATGGGACTGTGTCAGAAGGACACAAGATCCAATATGAAGGCTCTTCTGTTGGCTTAAAATGTGACATTTTGATCATCAATTAGAATAATGACTATGGTTGATTGAAATCCATTGACTCGTAAGTTCTTAATTATATTTTTAAAAAATGAAAGGAGAAAGCAAGCCAGTTGGGCAGTCTTGCTTGACGTCTCATGTGGGTGCTGTTAAATGGCAGTTGAGGCTGGAATTATCTAAAGGCTCATTGGTAGGAGTTCAGTGGGAGAGTATCTATATGTGGTCCTTCCGTGTAGCTTGGGCTTCTCACAGCCTCATAATTGTGTTCTGAACAACATTTCAAGAGTAATTGTTCCAAGAGACCCAGGAGGAAGCCGCAAGACTTCTTAGGACCTGGCTTCAGAAGACTTACTACATAGGTAATTCCAGTATATTCTATTTATCAAGTGAGTTGCTAAGGGCAGTTCAGATTTAAGAGGTAGGAAATAAGACCACCTCTTGATACGAGGAACATTTTGCACATACAGGGAGGGAAGGAATTGATGTGGCCCTGTTCAGACACTATCCGTATCTTGATTTGTCAATGTTGGGTAATAATGTTAGATAGTATTTTCTTGCTGTGGTGGACAAGAATTTAATGTTCATACCTCTATTTGCCTTCCCTTCTTCCTCCCAATGTAGTTAGGGAATGCTAGTTGTCACTCAGTTCCTTTTAAAACTTTAAGTATTCTTATTTCTGGTCCTATAGCACCCCTTGATACTTAATTTTTTCTTTTTTTTTTTTTTTTTGAGACAGAGTCTCATTCTGTTGCCCAGGCTGGAGTGCAGTGGCACTGTCAGGGCTCACTGCAGCCTTGACCTCCCAGGGCCAAGCGATCTGCCTGCCTCAGCCTCCTGAGTAGCTGAGACATTCGCCACTTTACCTGGCTAATTTTTAAAAATTTTCTATAGAGATGGGGTCAGCCTATGTTGCCCAGGCTGGTCTCAAACTGCTGGGCTCAAGTGATCCTCCTGCCTCAGCCTCCCAAAGTGCTAGGATTACAGGCATGATTCACCATCCCTGGCCTCTTGATACTTCATTTATTTATTTATTTATTTATTTTTTATTATACTTTAAGTTCTAGGGTACATGTGCACAACATGCAGGTTTGTTACATATGTATACATGTGTCATGTTGGTGTGCTGCACCCATTAACTCGTCATTTACATTAGGTATATCTCCTAATGCTGTCCGTCCCCCCTCCCCCCACCCCATGACAGGCCCCGGTGTGTGCTGTTCCCCATCCTGTGTCCAAGTGTTCTTATCGGTCACTTCTCACCTATGAGTGAGAACATGCAGTGTTTGGTTTTCTGTCCTTGCGATAGTTTGCTCAGAATGATGGTTTCCAGCTTCATCCATGTCCCTACAGAGGACATGAACTCATTCTTTTTTATGGTGCATAGTATTCCATGGTGTATATGTGCCACATTTTCTTAATCCAGTCTATCATTGACGGACATTTGGGTTGGTTCCAAGTCTTTGCTATTGTGAATAGTGCCACAGTAAACATACGTGTGCGTGTGTCTTTATAGCAGCATGAATTATAATCCTTTGGGTTTTGACCCAGTAATGGGATGGCTGGGTCAAATGGTATTTCTACTTCTAGATCCTTGAGGAATTGCCACACTGTCTTCCACAATGGTTGAACTAGTTTACACTCCCACCAATGGTGTAAAAGTGTACCTATTTCTCCACATCCTCTCCAGCACCTGTTGTTTCCTGACTTTTTAATGATCGCCATTCTAACTGGTGTGAGATGGTATCTCATTGTAGTTTTGATTTGCATTTCTCTGATGGCCAGTGATGATGAGCATTTTTTCACGTGTCTGTTGGCTGCATAGATGTCTTCTTTTGAGAAGTATCTGTTCATATCCTTTGGCCACTTTTTGATTGGGTTGTTTGATTTTTTCTTGTAAATTTGTTTAAGTTCTTTGTAGATTCTGGATATTAGCCCTTTGTCAGATGGGTAGATTGCAAAAATTTTCTCTCATTCTGTAGGTTGCATGTTCACTGATGGAGTTTCTTTTGCTGTGCAGAAGCTCTTTAGTTTAATTAGATCGCATTTGTCACTTTTGGCTTTTGTTGCCATTGCTTTTGGTGTTTTAGTCATGAAGTCTTTGCCCATGCCTATGTCCTGAATGGTATTGCCTAGGTTTTCTTCTAGAGTTTTTATGGTTTTAGGTCTAACATTTAAGTCTTTAATCCATCTTGAATTAATTTTTGTTTAAGGTGTAAGGAAGGGATGCAGTTTCAGCTTTCTACATGTGGCTAGCCAGTTTTCCCAGCACCATTTATTAAATAGGGAATCCTTTCCCCATTTCTTGTTTTTGTCAGGTTTCTCAAAGATCAGATGGTTGTAGATGTGTGGTATTATTACTGAGGCCCCTGCTCTGTTCCATTGGTCAACATCTCTGTTTTGGTACCAGTACCATGCTGTTTTGGTTACTGTAGCCTTGTAGTATAGTTTGAAGTCAGGTAGCATGATGCCTCCAGCATTGTTCTTTTGGCTTAGGATTGTCTTGGCAATGCGGGCTCTTTTTTCATTCCATATGAACTTTAAAGTAGTTTTTTCCAATTCTGTGAAGAAAGTCATTGGTAGCTTGATGGGGATGGCATTGAATCTATAAATTACCTTGGGCAGCATGGCCATTTTCACGATATTGATTCTTCCTACACATGAGCATGGAATGCTCTTCCATTTGTTTGTGTCCTCTTTTATTTCCTTGAGCAGTGGTTTGTAGTTCTCCTTGAAGAGGTCCTTCACATCCCTTGTAAGTTGGATTCCTAGGTATTTTATTATCTTTGTAGCAATAGTGAATGTGAGTTCACTCATGATTTGGTTCTCTGTTTGTCTGTTATTGGTGTATAGGAATGCTTGCGATTTTTGCACATTGATTTTGTATCCTGAGACTTTGCTGAAGTTGCTTATCAGCTTAAGGAGATTTTGGGCTGAGACGATGGGGTTTTCTAAATATACAGTCATGTTATCTGCAAACAGGGACAGTTTGACTTCTTCTTTTCCTAATTGAATACGCTTTATTTCTTTCTCCTGCCTGATTGCCCTGGCCAGAACTTCCAATACTATGTTGAATAGGAGTGGTGAGAGAGGGCATCCCTGTCTTGTGCCAGTTTTCAAAGGGAATGCTTCCAGTTTTTGCCCATTCGGTATGACATTGGCTGTGGGTTTGTCACAGTTTTTATTATTTTGAGATACATCCCATCAATACCTAGTTTATTGAGAGTTTTTCGCATGAAGGCTGTTGAATTTTGTCGAAGGCCTTTTCTGCATCTATTGAGATAATCATGTGGTTTTCGTCTTTGGTTCTGTTTATATGATGGATTATGTTTATTGGTTTACGTATGTTGAACCAGCCTTGTATCCCACTGATGAAGCCAACTTGATCATGGTGGATAAGCTTCTTGATGTGCTGCTGGATTTGGTTTGCCAGTATTTTATTGAGGATTTTTGCATCAATGTTCATGAAGGATATTGGTCTAAAATTCTCTTTTTTTTGTTGTGTCTCTGCCAGGCTTTGGTATCAGGATGATGCTGGCCTCATAAAATAAGTTAGAGAGGATTCCCTCTTTTTCTGTTGATTGGAATAGTTTCAGAAGGAATGGTACCAGCTCCTCTTTGTACCTCTGGTAGAATTCGGCTGTGGATCCGTCTGCTCCTGGACTTTTTTTGATTGGTAGGCTATTAATTATTGCCTCAATTTCAGAGCCTGTTATTGGTCTATTCAGGGATTCAACTTCTTCCTGGTTTAGTCTTGGGAGGGTGTATGTGTCCAGGAATTTATCCATTTCTTCTAGATTTTCTAGTTTATTTGCGTAGAGGTGTTTATAGGATTCTCTGATGGTAGTTTGCATGTCTGTGGGATCAGTAGTGATATCCCCTTTATCATTTTTTATTGCATCTATTGGATTCTTCTCTCTTTTCTTCTTTATTAGTCTTGCTAGCAGTCTATCAATTTTGTTGATCTTTTCAAGAAACCAGCTCTTGGATTCATTGATTTTTTGAAGGGTTTTTGTGTCTCTATCTCCTTCAGTTCTGCTCTGATCTTAGTTATTTCTTGCCTTCTGCTAGCTTTTGAAGTGTTTGCTCTTGCTTTTCTAGTTCTTTTAATTGTGATGTTAGGGTGTCAATTTTAGATCTTTCCTGCTTTCTCTTGTGGGCATTTAGTGCAATAAATTTCCCTCTACACCCTGCTTTAAATGTGTCCCAGAGATTCTGGTATGTTGTGTCTGTGTTCTCATTGGTTTCAAAGAACATCTTTATTTCTGCCTTCATTTCGTTATGTACCCAGTAGTCATTCAGGAGCAGGTTGTTCAGTTTCCATGTAGTTGAGTGGTTTTGAGTGAGATTCTTAATCCTGAGTTCTAGTTTGATTGCACTGTGGTCTGAGAGACAGTTTGTTATAATTTCTGTTCTTTTACATTTGCTGAGGAGTGCTTTACTTCCAACTGTGTGGTCAATTTTGGAATAGTGCGATGTGGTGCTGAGAAGAATGTATATTCTGTTGATTTGGGGTGGAGAGTTCTGTAGATGTCTATTAGGTCTGCTTGATGCAGAGCTGAGTTCAATTCCTGGATATCCTGGTAACTTTCTGTCTCGTTGATCTGTCTAATGTTGACAGTGGGGTGTTAAAAGTCTCCCATTATTATTGTGTGGGAGTCTAAGTCTCTTTGTAGGTCTCTAAGGACTTGCTTTATGAATCTGGGTGCTCCTGTATTGGGTGCATATATATTTAGGATAGTTAGCTCTTCTTGTTGAATTGATTCCTTTACCATTATGTAATGGCCTTCTTTGTCTCTTTTGATCTTTATTGGTTTAAAGTCTATTTTATCAGAGACTAGGATTGCAACCCCTGCTTTTTTTTGCTTTCCATTTGCTCGGTAGATCTTCCTCCATTTCTTTATTTTGAGTGTATGTGTGTCTTTGCATGTGAGATGGGTTTCCTGAATACAGCACACTGATGGGACTTGACTCTTTATCCAATTTGCCAGTCTGTGTCTTTTAATTGGCTCATTTAGCACATGTGCATTTAAGGTTAATATTGTTATGTGTGAATTTGATCCTGCCATTATGATGTTAGCTGGTTATTTTGCCCGCTAATCAGTACAGTTTCTTCATAGCATCGATGGTCTTTACAATTTGGCATGTTTTTGCAGTGGTTAGTACTGGTTGTTCCTTTCCATGTTTAGTGCTTCCTTCAGGAGCTCTTGTAAGGCAGGCGTGGTGGTGACAGAATGTCTCAGCATTTGCTTGTCTGTAAAGGATTTTATTTCTCCTTCACTTATGAAGCTTAGTTTAGCTGGATATGAAATTCTGGATTGAAAGTTCTTTACTTTAAGAATGTTGAACATTGGCCCCCACTCTGTTCTGGCTTGTAGAGTTTCTGCCGAGAGATCCGCTGTTAGTCTGTTGGGCTTCCCTTTGTGGGTAACCCAACCTTTCTCTCTGGCTGCCCTTAACATTTTTTCCTTCATTTCAGCTTTGGTGAATCTGACAATTATGTGTCTTGGAGTTGCTCTTCTCGAGGAGTATCTTTGTGGTGTTCTCTGTATTTCCTGAATTTGAATGTTGGCCTGCCTTGCTAGGTTGGGGAAGTTCTCCTGGATAATACCCTGAAGAGTGTTTTCCAACTTGGTTCCATTCTCCCCATCACTTTCAGGTATACCAGTCAAACGTAGATTTGGTCTCTTCACATAGTCTCATATTTCTCAGAGGCTTCGTTCATTTCTTTTTACTCTTTTTTCTCTAAACTCTTCTCACTTCATTTCATTCATTTGATCTACAATCACTGATACCCTTTCTTCCACTTGATCAAATCGGCTACTGAAGCTTGTGCATGTGTCATATAGTTCTCGTGCCATGGTTTTCAGCTCCATTGGGTACCTGAGGTCTTCTGTATGCTGTTTATTGTAGTTAGCCATTCGTCTACTCTTTTTTGCATGTTTTTAGCTTTTTTGCGATGGGTTCGAACATCCTCCTTTAGCTCGGAGAAGTTTGTTATTACTGATCGTTTGAAGCCTTCTTCTCTCAACTTGTCAAAGTTGTTCTCTGTCCAGCTTTGTTCTGCTGCTGGCGAGGAGCTGCGTTACTTTGGAGGAGAATAGGTGCTCTGATTTTTAGAATTTTCAGCTTTTCTGCTCTAGTTTCTCCCCATCTTTATGGTTTTATCTACCTTTGGTCTTTGATGATGGTGACATACAGATGGGGTTTTGGTGTGGATGTCCTTTCTGTTTGTTAGTTTTCCTTCTAACAGGACCTTCAGCTACAGGTCTGTTGGAGTTTGCTGTAGGTCCACTCCAGACCTTGTTTGCCTGAGTATCACCAGTGGAGGCTGCAGAACAGCAAATATTGCAGAATGGCCAATGTTGCTGCCTGATCCTTCCTCTGGAAGCTTTGTCTCAGAGGGGCACCCAGCCATATGAGGTGTCAGTCGGCCCCTACTGGGAGGTGCCTACCAGTTAGGCTACTCAGGGGTCAGGGGTCCACTTGAGGAGGTAGTCTGTCTGTTCTCAGATCTCAAACTGTGCTGGGAGAACCACTACTGTCTTCAAAGCTGTCAGACAGGGATGTTTAATTCTGCAGAAGTTTCTGCTGCCTTTTGTTCAGCTATGCCCTGCCCCCAGAGGTGGAGTCTACAGAGGCAGGCAGGCCTCCTTGAGCTGTGGTGGGCTCCACCCAGTTCGAGCTTCCAGGCCGCTTTGTTTACCTACTCAAGCCTTAGCAATGGCGGATGCCCCTCCCCCAGCCTCACTGCCGCCTTGCAGTTTGATCTCAGACTGCTGTGCTAGCAATGAGCGAGGCTCCGTGGGCATGGGACCCTCTGAGCCAGGCGCGGGATATAATCTCCTGGTGTGCTGTTTGTTAAGGCTGTTGGAAAAGCGCAATATTAGGGTGGGAGTGTCCCGATTTTCCAGGTACCATCTGCCACAGCTTCCCTTGGCTAGTAAAGGGAATTCCTGACCCCTTGTGCTTCCCAGGTGAGGCGATGCCTCGCCCTGCTTCGGCTCACACTCTGTGGGCTGCACCCAGTGTCTGACAAGCCCCAGTGAGATGAATGCGGTACCTCAGTTGGAAATGCAGAAGTCACCCGTCTTCTGTGTCGCTCATACTGGGAGCTGTAGACTGGAGCTGGTCCTATTCGGCCATCTTGGAACCCCCGCCACCTCTTGATACTTTTAAAAATGAAGATATTAGTGCCCCAATTTTTTCTTCTACTTCTCTAACTCCTACTTTGCTTCTCAGTTTTTATCACTTGTACTTTTGTATTGCTGAGAATTAAAAATATCTACTTTGTATTCTGTAATCATAGTTTTTCTTTGTAGTCAGTTGATCTACACATAGAAAATCAGTAAAATATTTATTATGATTGTATTAAAATAGTTGATTGCAGGACCCAGATTACATTTTCTGTGTAATTTTTTTGGAGTTTCTAATTGCCTTCCTTTTTTCCCCCCATCATTTGCCTTTACTACATATTTGAGTAGCTTCATATCCTCAAGGATACTACTCCATCTCTGCAACCGTCTTTTCCCAGCTCCCACATACCTGCTCCAGGAGTTTGCTGTTCTGCTGCAGTCTGAACAGATTGCTGTCTGTGCTGCTGCCCAGTGGCCTGGGGCTCCCTGTCATTCCAATCTTGGGCTGAAGTCACTGTTTCCTCAATCCCATGTCTTTGACTTTCTTGTTTATTCACTCATTTTGCTGCAGCATATCCTCAAATGATACCTAAGAAAGCGAAGGAGGTAAACTGAGTCTGTTGAAAGTTCTGAAGATGTTTTTATTCTCAGACTATCTGGTGGTATCATTATCTCTACTGGTGGCATATGGATATGTAATAACATTTAACCAATGACTATTGTTATGTGTTTCAGTGTCATAGGTAACTTTGAGTGAATATCCATATATCTTCTCATTTGTGCACATGAATAATTATTTTCAAAGAATAATTTTGTTGAGTGGAATTCTTGGGCAAATAGTATGTGTGTGTGTGTGTGTTTTTTTTTTTTTTTCAGACAAAGTCTCGCTCTTGTCCCCCAGGGTGGAGTGCAATGGCGTGATCTTGGCTCACTGCAACCTCCACTTCCCGGGTTCAAGCGATTCCCCTGCCTCAGCCTCCCAAGTAGTTGGGATTACCGGCACCTGCCACCATGCCCGGCTAATTTTTGTATTTTTTAGTAGAGACGGGGTTTCAACATGTTGGCAGGCTGGTCTCAAAGTCCTGACCTCAGGTGATCCACCCGCCTCGGCCTCCCAGAGTGCTGGGATTACAGGCATGAGCCACTGCGCCTGGCCTAGTATATGTATGTTTTAAGGATATTGATTCATTCTGCCAAAATTCTCTTCAGAGAACCATTGTGTAACTGGTTCTTTTCATCAAGAGGCTGCTTGGTTTCTGTTGTTTGTTTTATTTTTGTTTTGTGAAGACTGCAGTTAACAGGGATCAGGAACTCTGAAAAGGGTTGGCTAGAAGAGTCTTTACCTGAGCAATGTGGAAATGATACTGGGAAAGAAAATAAACATATACTGTCTGTAAATATCAGAAGGTTTATATGAAAAAGAGATTGGATTCAATTAAGTTTTTTGGGTTGTGAGGATCAGAAGTAGGACAGGCAGGTGGAAATCTGAGAGAGCAGTATAGTTTTGGAACTTTTGAATAGCAGTCCCAGGTTGCAGTGAGCTGCTTACACTTCTCACTATGGGGTAGTCCACCCTAAGCTGAGGGCAAACTGGAAGAGCTTTTGTGGGTGGGATTTAAAAATCTATGGGTAATAGAAAGTAGGTAATTTTCAGAGGCCATTTCAACCATGCCACACTGTGGTATGATGAACATAAAGTCATCATGAACACAGTTAAGTTTAGGTTGGATGAAATATATTATAGTTGTGCAAAGTGAGATGAAAAGCTGACAAAAACCATAGGATCAATAAAACAGTTTAGTTTACCCTTAGAAGTATTAATTTTCCTTTTCATCCTGGATGCTTTTCTGCAACAAGTAGAAAGTAACAACTACTTTTGGAGGGTGATTTGTTCACGTAAGGTTATCTTTTATAGTAAAATAGCAGTGTTCATTAGTAGTGCATCCAGTCCTTCCTGACTGTAATGATCTGTCTAATCATCCATTCCTCCCCATCATCCAGGCCTGAACCTTAGACCTGTGTGGTCACCCTTGCATCAGTAACTAGGTGTGAATGATTGCACCTAGGCAGGAAGGAATAGGCCGTTTTAGGCCTTGTCTTTATAATAAGAAAATTTACCTTGTTCAGTTGTTTTTTTAGAGACAAAGTCTCACTCTGTCACCCACGCTGGAGTACAGTGGTGCAGTCATAGCTTGCTATGGCCTTAACTCCTGAGCTCAAGTGATCCTCCTGCCTCAGCCTCCTGAGTAGCTGGGACTATAGGCACACGCCACCATGCCTGGCTAATTAAAAAAAAAATTTTTTTTGTAGACGTGGGGTCTTACTATGTTGACCAGGCTGGCCCAGAATTCCTGATCTCAAGCGATCCTCCTGCCTCAACCTCCTAAAGTGTTGGGATTATATGCATGAGCCACTGTACCTAGTTCTTTTTCCTCTTTTGAGTGCCTTCTCTTTTGAGTGCCGCATACTGATGGCCATCAGTATTTTTCCTGATGGCCCTCAGTATGCGTCTCATTTTATTCTCATGTCAGTCTTGCTATAAAGATGGCATTGTGCCCATTTTACAAAAGGAGAAACCGAAATTTAGATTAGCTTTGCCCCAAGTTGCCACCAGAGCTAGGATTCAAATCCTGCCCTCCATACCACAGGCGTATTGTCATTAACTGTCTCCGCCTCCCAAAACTTAATTGCTTTTAACTATCCCTGCCTCCCAAAATGTAATTGCTTAATTATAATAATAATTTGCTCAAATAGAGGAAGTTTTAAAAAGTTTGCCAATAAATATTTCTGGAAATTCTGTCAGCATTGGGATATAGTGGTGGTATCTGTTGGGAAATGCTGAGTGTTGGGAGAGAAGCTGAGGCAGGGCTTGCATGTCTGACATAATGTAAGAGAGTCTTGGAACATGTGCGGGGTCCAGGGTCTAAAACCCCTTGTGGCCTTTGGAACACCAAGCTCTGTGCCAAAGGGTGGAAGGCTACCCTGACGCACGGTAATCTAAGCCCAGGGCATAAAACCGCTCGTGGCTTGGATAGAATCCAAGGCTCCTGGCTCTGGAATGTGTCTAGACTTGCTGGCTCCTTGCTCCTTGCTCTCCCAGGATCGATTGTATCTTGAGTTAAAAGAACCTGCTCTCCATTATCTCAAGTAGCAGAGCATATGCTAAACCATCACAGCTGTAAATCATGTGCTTAATGTAACGCTCCCTTTCGACCCCCACATTCTCACCACCTGTTTCTTTGTTTGATCACCAATAAATAGTCTGGGCTTCCAGAGCTCAGGGTCTTTGCAGCCTCCATACTTAGTGTTGGCCCCCTGGACCCACTTTCTCTCGTAAACTGTCTTTTTTCATTCCTTTGACTCCGCCAGACTTCGTCACCCCCACGACCTGGTGTTGGGACCATCACCCCAACAGTATCAAATGGCATTCTTAGACACTTCCATCTATCGTTAATTTTAACTCTCTCGTTTTATGTTTTATAAAGTGATGAGGACAATGATGGTAGTAATGGCAGCCATATAGTCCTAACAACAGCCCTGTTTAAAAGTATTAACCATTCATTATAGATTTCTTGGAATAGGATCAGAGGAGTTCAGTAATAGGCACAAGGTTACACAGCTAGTAAGGTCAGAGCTATAACCCTGGTTTGTCTTTCTTTTAGACTACATCCTATTGCTCCTTAGTTTGCAAGTGTGCTCACTGTCTGCTTCTAGATGTTTTACTTCTGTTACAATGGTCCCACATTCCCCTGCCTCTTCTACTTGCTTACCCACTTTTACCAGCCTTGCTTCACTAACTCTAAATGTATCAGTGTTTGGAGATTCAGACATTTTTATTTTCTCATAACAAATTTGATAACTTCTAATTCTGTTCCACTGATATCTTTATGAGATTAAAATCTGGATGGCTTTCTCCTTTTCTTTTGGAATGAAATGTGAGTGAGCTTTTTTTTTTTTTTTTTTTTTTTTTTTTTAAGAGACGGGGTCTCACTAATGTTGCCTTGGCTGGGCTCAAATGATCCTCCTGCCTCTGCTGGCATTATAGGCATGAACCACCACCTCCAGCCAAAGGCTAATATTCTGATAATCCTCTCTCCCACTCAGAAATAGGCCTGAAGGACTCTTGGGATTTTGACTTTAGAGGTGATGTGCTTGTTTAACAGCACTGAGAAGGCAAGGTTCAACTCAGGAAACATGGGCCAGGCACTGTGTAAGGCTTTATGGATATAACAGTGAATAAGGAACAGGAAATGTAGATATTTGCAAGGAGCTAAGTACTCTCACAGATAAGCAGAGAGATCTGCGGAGCCAATTGACTGGGGGTTCTCCCAGCTAAGAGTTAAGGGGTCAGGAAAAACTTTTCTAGAGGAATGTAGCAGGTCCACCTTAAGAGCTGTGCAGTCTGGGGTGGGTGTTTGTAAACCTTTGCTCAGCGCAGTTTCTGAGAAGTAGGGAGCTAGCTCCTTGGGGCTTATAGATCGCTGGCTATTTCTAGACTAGGAAAGCACTTCTCTCACTTTAACGTACCTTGGACTCACCTGGAGGGCCTGCAAAACACAGCTGCTGTTCCCACCCCTCATGGTTTCCCATTCAGTATGTCTTGGATGGGGCCCTGGAATATGCATATCTAGCAAGTTCCCAGGTCATGCTGATGCTGCTTATCTGGGAACTACACGAGAACCATTGGGCTAGAAGTACTAGAACTAACCATTCTCTTTGGGAAGAGGAGAGAGGAATTAGAAGAGCCAAGATGTTATGCCCAACTTTTTTCAAATTCAAGAGACAATTTCCTCAAAGCATGGAAAATTTGCATTTTGGCCAAAGTTGTTTAGATGAACATAACATCAAATTTACCATTTTTACACTGACTCTTTTAATACTTAATGAAAATCATGAAGTCAGGTTTTATCTGATATTAATTTGGTACTTTGGTTAATACTTTTAATTCTTTACCAGTATGAAAGGAGTTGGAAAAAGTAATCTTTTAAATTCTCAAAAAAGGTCTTAAATATAGTATACTTCATGATTTTTTTTTTATTTTTAAAGTTAATATTAACTAGAGAGAAATTTTTAGAATTTTTTTAAAGAAACGGTTTTGCTGTGTCACCTAGGCTGGTATGCAGTAGTGTGATCACAGCTCACAGCCACACCCTCAAACTTCTGGGTTCACATGATCTTCCTGCCTTAGCCTTCTGAGTAGCTGAGTCAGACTACAGGTGTGCACCATTGCGCCCAGCCTAAAATGGTTTTTAAAATTTAATTAAGGCTTAGGCTGTTGCTGCTATAGTATTTTGATATTTTACATGACTTTGAGGAGTCTGCTTTAAAATACTTTATAAGTTGTATAAAAATAAATTTTGGTATTTGATCTTATCTTTGGAAAAACTATTTATTTGAAGGATACAGTAAGAAATTTAGCAAGAATTTTGGCTGACCTTAGGAACACATTAACTCGTAACATTTTGCAGCAGTCTGGTCTGTCATCTTCTCTAAACATTGAATGTAGTTACATAGAATGCCATAGACTTAGAACAACTAAAGAGAATTGTTAGGAAAAATAGATCAGAAGAAAAATCACCTTTGACAGGAGAAAGTCAGTGTTATGAATGAGAGAAATTATCCTTAAGGAATAAAAAGTTCACCTATAATTTTTTTAATGCTTCATGTTTATTACATACATGAATCTGTCTTAGTGAGGGGTTATAATAATACAAATCATTCTTTTTTTTTTTTTTTTTTGAGAAGAGTCTCGCTCTGTCCCCCAGGCTGGAGTGCAGTGGCGTGATTTCGGCTCACTGCAAGCTCCGCCTCCCAGGTTCACGCCATTCTCCTGCCTCAGTCTCCCGAGTAGCTGGGACTATAGGCACCCGCCACCACGCCTGGCTAATTTTTTGTATTTTTAGTAGAGACAGGGTTTCACTGTATTAGCCAGGATGGTCTCGATCTCCTGACCTTGTGATCCGTCCACTTTGGCCTCCCAAAGTATTGGGATTACAGGTGTGAGCCACTGCGCCCAGCCATAATGCAAATCTTTCTAAGATGTTTATGTCTGGTGTCTGGCTCAAGTAGGAATCTCATTAAAATAACTTTTTCCTTTCATTTTTTTGTCCCCTCAAGAGTCATATTTTAGTTGTATACTGTTTCCAAAGTTGTCCTTTTCCCTAATTTGCTACAGAATTTAACTATAGAGATAGCAAAAAAACAGAACATTTCTCTTATTTTACTTTACTTGTTATTTTAACTTCTTCTTAAATATTCCAAGCAAGTCTTTTGAGAAAACTCACCTAAACTTTGAACAAGCCACCAAATTTTTTCATTAAAAAAAGCACACAAAATACCTAAGGAGTTTGAAATGCAAATGGCAATTTGTTCCTTATTATCTTTAAAGTGGTTCTTTATGCTGAATAAATTAGAGGGCTCAGACATTTGTGCTTTTCTCATCCCCCCCCTTTTTTTTAGCCGCAAATGTGATTTCGAATATGTATTAAAATGAATTATTTATTTGTTATTTTAAATTTTTGTATAGAGATGGGGTTTTGCTATGTTTGCCCAAGCTGGTCTCGAACCTCTAGGCTCAAGTGATCCTCTTGCCTTGGCCTCCCAGTGTGCTGGGATTACTTTTGTGAGCCACCATGCCCAGCCTAAATGCATTTATAATAAAACAAAGATGAGAGTGGCCTGTTCAGAGCTATCCTAGTCGTACCATTTTACCACTGAAAATCCTGCAGCCCGGGAAACCCCTTCCTCTGATACCAAAAAAAATCACGGCAGCTATGATTTGCAGTTCACAATAATGGATCATCCACTGATGCAACTTAAGTGTGTTGTAATTGTGAGCAGTAACAGTCTATCATTGACATTGCCCGTTGGATTAACTGTTTTGATTTGTATTGACATAGTGTTAGTTTAACCTACCACACTGTGAATACTGTGACTGTATTTTCTGAGAGTTCAGATAATGAAAATGAGAACAGTTATGATATCAACACCAGAGTGTCCCAGACATCACTGAGAAGGAAAGTTATTATTGTATATGGAAATCTATGTTATTTTATATATATTAGTATATAATGATATGTTATAGACAGAGGGAAAGACACATAAAATTTAATTAGGGAGATAAAACAGAACATATTGCACAATAGGCAGGAAAGAATTTGGGATTGGGCATTGTTACAGTTTGAATTGTGTCCCCTCCAAAATTCATAGGTTGAAGTCATAACTCCCAGTACCTTAGAATGTAACCTCAGTTGGAAATAGGGTCATTGTAGATGTAGTTAGTTAAGATGAGTTTGTATTAAAATATGGTGGGCCCCTAATCCACTATGACTGGTCTCCTTGTGAAAAGGGGAAATTTGGACAGACATGCACACAGGGATAATGCCACGTGGAGACTGGAGTTAGGCTGCCACAAGCCAAGGAACTGCAGGAAGCTGGCAGAGAGTCCTAGAACAGATTCTTCCCTAGTTGCCTGCAGAGAGCTCATGACCCTGTTAAACCCTTGATCTTGGACTTCTAGCTTCCGTAACTGTGAGACAATACATTTCTGTTGCTTAAACCACCCACTTTTTGGTACTTTGTTATGACAGCGCTAACAAACTAATACAGGCTTGGTGAAGGAGATGTGTAAGCACCTAAGGAGACTGTGTCTCTCAAGTCTGGGATAAGACAGGCAAGCACATCTAAATTAATCTGCACTTCTTCCATCTTGTTTAAATAAAAGCATTTAGTATAACAGAAAACTAGTATAGAATAATAATTTCAAATAAATACCTATTCTTCATATTTGTGTGTTAAAGTAATAAAACCTGTGCATAATTCTTTCTCCTCCATTGTTATGTCTCTGGACTGGTATGGCTGTGCCCTAGTTGACTCTCTGAAAAGTTGGTCACCCCCTGTGCATTCAATGCTCCTCTTGCCTGCTGTTGCTGTGTCTTTGGCCATCCCTCCTTCCTTCTTCCTCATCACAAATTCCAGTATTGCTAAGGATAATGAATTTGTGATTATAAAAAGTTTTAGATTAACCTTGTTAAAGGTAGTTCTTATAATCTAGCTTAGAATTTTGAATCCCTAAAATAATTTTCACGAATAAATACTAAAAATCATCAAATAAAAAGTCCACCTATTATTTTTTTAATGCTTCATATTGTTCTCATTTGGAAGGCAGCATGGTATAGCCAGTAGAAAAATAGTTTCCAAACTTTTGTTTACATCTAATGTATTGGGGTAGGGAGGACTGTTTTCTTTGGCATGTAATCATAATTCTGATTTAATTGGAAGTGCTGGAGTGACTCCATTTACTTAGTAGCAATTTTTAAAGTATATTAAGTAAAATTTTTAGAATGTATACTTTTGGTTTTCCTTCCAATGTTTACTAACTCTACTAAACTTTTCATATTATTTAATTGGTAGAATGTACTAGGTATTATGTTTAAATTTAGAAAGGTCTCAAAGATCCTAAATTTAGCTCCAGGATCTTCTGATTCACAAATATATTTTTCAGAACAAACATGGTGGCATGTGTTGTCATACTGGGCAAATATACCTGTACTCACAGGCTTATGTATTGTTATTGAGGATAAGTGCTTTTTTGAGATTTTTAAGGTGCTTCCAGTTAGTAATGGATATAAAGTGAGTTACTATCAGGTGTTAAATTGTTATAAAACTCCTCATCTTCTGAAATTCACAGTACTTTGTGATCATTCTTTTTTTTTTTTTGAGACGGAGTCTCGCTCTGTCGCCCAGGCTGGAGTGCAGTGGTGCGACCTCGGCTCACTGCAAGCTCCGCCTCCCGGGTTCACGCCATTCTCCTGCCTCAGCCTCCCGAGTAGCTGGGACTACAGGCGCGTGCCACGTGATCATTCTTTTCTACAGTAATTTGAAAATGCCATTACTAATGGTTATTTAGAGTTCATTTGTTTAACGTGACACAACTGCTTGAAGCCTATTTTCATTAAGTGGACACTGTATACATAAGTGAACATAAGTGTATAATTTACTGTTTTTTAAAAATACTGTAGAATTCCAAGGATCTTTCTATATTCTCACGAAGAAAATCAGTTTAACAGTAAAAGGTAGAAAACTTCTTGATCTGTTTTGGTATTGATTGTTATATTATGCTGAGAAGCTATTGGATATTTCTACGGTATTTGGGAATTTTGTTAAGAATGTTATCCTTGACGTTGTGTTTTATGTTTATCATTCAGAAAAATGGAGTGCTGGCATACATTGGGAATTTTCGCCTGCTTGCAGAGCTTTCCAGCCCGTTTGTGAATCAGCGGTATGTTACTGATATCATTGATTATTTTAAAGTCATGCTGTTTATTTTTAGTTTGGGCAAATCCTTTTCCCGTGATCCTCAAGTTACTATATAAAAGATACGGATCTGTGATATGAATTGTTATCACCATCATACAAATGAGGAAAGTGAGTTTTGGAAAGGTTAGAGTAACTTACCCAAGTTTCCCTAGCTAGCAAGTGGTGGTGCTAGCTTTTAAATCCTGCTCTTTGCAGTACGATGGTGCTTTATGATGCCTGCTTCCAGCTCATTCTTTCACCCTCCACGTTGTACACTGCAAGATGAATGGTATTCACTGAATCTTAGATTTGAGTGGGGCTCTTTATGGAAAAGGACAAATATCACTGTGGCTCATTTTGAGTCTAGCTCATATTCCTGACACTAACTTCCTCCTGTCCCCAAATTCTTATATTGACATTATCTTAGTGCCTCATTGAAATACATAATCTTTTTATTTTTTAAATTTAAAAGGCTACTTTTAGCTGGGCTCAGGGGCTCACGTCTATAAATCCCAGCACTTTGGGAGGTTGAGGCAGGAGGATTGCTTGAGGCCAGGAGTTTGAGACCAGCCTGGGTAACATTGTGAGATCCCATCCCTACAAAAAAAAAAAAAAAAAAAGAAAAAAGAAAATTAGCTGGGCACGATGGTGCTTGCCTGTAGTTCTAGCTGTTTGGGAGGCTAAGGCGGAAGGATTGCATGAGTCCAAGAGTTTAAGCAGTGTGTCCAGTGAGCTGAGATCCAGCCTGGGCAAAACAGAGAAACCCTGTCTGTAAAAAATTTATTTTTTTTAAAAGACTACTTTTATTTTAAATACATACAATGTAAATAACTAAACTAACAATTTGTAATATTGATAGTCATCACTAGTGAATTATTATTATTTTTGAGATGGAGTCTCGCTTTGTTGCCCAGGCTAGAGTGCAATGGCGCCATCTCTGCTCACTGCAACCTCCACCTCCTAGGTTCAGGTGATTCTCCTGCCTCAGCCTCCCAAGTAGCAGGGATTACAGGTGCCCACCACCATGCCTGGCTAATTTTTGTATTTTTAGTAGAAACGAGATTTCGCCATGTTGGCCAGGCTGGTCTCAAACTCCTGACCTCAATTGATCCACCCGCTTTGGCCTCCTGAAGTGCTGGGGTTACAGGCATGAGCCACTGCGCCTGGCCCATCTCAACCATTTTTAAGAATACAGTTCAGTTGTGTTAAGTATATTCACATTATTGTGCAACAGACCGTTAGAACTTTTTCATTTTGCAAAATTGAAACTCTACGCCCATTAAACACTAATTTCGCTCTCCTGCAAGTCCTAGACAACCACCTTTCTACTTTCTGTTTCTATGATTTTGACTAAATAATTCATATGAATGGAATGATACAGTGTTTATCCTTTTGTGCCTGGCTTATTTTGCTTACTATAATGTCCTTGAAATGCATCATGTTGTAGCATATGACAGGATTTTCTTCTTTTTAAAGGCTGCATAATATTCCTGTTGTATGTGTAACACATTTTCCTTATGCATTCATCCGTCCATGGACATTGAGATTACTTGCACCCCTGGCTATTGTGAATAATGCTGAAATGGACATGGGCATACAAATATATTTTTGAGACCCTGTTTCAAATTCTTTTGGATATATTTCTAGAAGTGGGATTGCTGGATCATATGATGGTCCTTTTAATTTTTTGATGAACC
Source organism: Homo sapiens (assembly GCF_000001405.40). Lineage (NCBI taxonomy): Eukaryota > Metazoa > Chordata > Mammalia > Primates > Hominidae > Homo > Homo sapiens. Next base: position 95,175,604 of record NC_000001.11, read on the forward strand.
TTCAGACAGTTTTCCATAATGCATACATCTTTTTACATTCCCACTAACAGTGCACAAGGGTTCTGATTTCTTCACATCCTCATCAACACTTGCTGTTTTCTGTTCTTCTGATAGTAGCCATTCTAATGGGTGGAGGTGGTATGTCATGTGTTTTTCTTTTTCTTTTTCTTTTCTTTTCTTTTTTTTTTTGGATACAGGGTCTCACTCTGGTTCCCAGGCTGGAGTGCAGTGGCATGATCTTGGCTCACTGCAGCCTTGACCTCTCAGGCTCAAAGGATCCTCCCACCTCAGCTTTCTAAGTAGCTGGGGCTATAGGCATGTGCCACCACACCTGGCTAATTTTTGTATTTTTTGTAGAGAAGGAGTTTCACCATGTTGCCCAGGCTGGTCTCCAACTCCTGGGCTCAAGCGATCCTCCCACTTTGGCCTCCCAAAATTCTGGGATTACAGGTTTGAGCCACCGTGCCTGGCTGGTCATGCGGTTTTGATCTACATTTTACTTTGATTCATGGTGTGGAGCATCTTTTCATGCATTTCTTGGCCATTTGTATATCTTTAAAGAATTGCCTGTTCAAGTTCTTTGCCAATTTTTTCCTTTTTTTTTTTTTGATGCAGTTTTGCTCCGTCGCCCAGTCTGGAGTACAGTGGCGTGATCTTGGCTCACTGCAACCTCTACCTCCTGGGTTCCAGTGATTCTTGTGCCTCAGTCTCTTGAGTAGCTAGAATTACAGGCATACACCACCATGCCCAGCTAATTTTGTATTTTTCGTAGAAATGGGGTTTTGCCATGTTGGCCAGGCTGGTCTCGAACTCTTGACCTCAAGTAATCCTCCCACCTCGGCCTCCCAAAGTACTGGGATTACAGGCATGAGCCACTGAGCCAAGCCCTTTGCCCATTTTTAAATTGGGTTATTTATTTTGTTGTAGTGGTACTGAATATTGATACTTTATCAAATACATGATTTGGAAATATTTTCATCTATTCCATAGGTTGCTTTTTCACTCTGCTGATTGTTTCCTTTGATGTGCAGAAGATTTTAAAGTTGATGAAGTCCCATTTGTCAGTTTTCGTTTTTGTTGCCTGTGCTTTTGGTATCATATCCAAAAAATCATTGCCAAGTCTAATATCCTGAAGCCTTCCCCCTATATTTCTTTCTAGGAGTTTTATAGTTTGGGCTTATGTGTAGGTCTTTAATTCATTTTGAATTAATTTTTATATATGGTATAGGGGTCCAACTTCATTCTTAGAATGTGGATATGTAGTTTTTCCAGCACATTTGTTCAAGAGACTATCTTTTCCCCATTGTGTAGTCTTGGTACCCTTGTCAAGTCATTTGGCTGTACATGCAAGGGTTTAATTTCTACAGTAGCTTCTAACTGACTTCCTAATTCCAGATACACCTTCTCTCAGTCCTTTCCTCACAGTGTTACCAGAATCATCTTTCTTACATTCCACTTTCACTACCTTATTTTTTCACTAAAAGCTGCATCCTGTTTACACTTCTCTCTCTGACTTCTGAAGTTCTCTGTGATGTGCTCCATATGCCTTCAGCCTCTTTTTTAAAATTATTCATTAGAATCAGTTTTCTATCCTTACTGTCTTATGTTCCTTTGGGTTTTTCTCATATTTCTTCCTTTATTCATATCCTCTGTTTTCTCCCCATCTTTGAAAAATTTACTTATCCTTTAAGTCTTAGTCAAAATCTAAAACCCGGGGAAGGCTTCTATGATTATATGTCTTGTTATTTAGTACAGGGGTAACACAGTAAGTTGGGAGTATTCCACATCAGAGACACATAAGTTAGAGCACTTACCCTGAATGAAGCCTCATGAATAATTTCAAAGATACTGGCCATTGGAGGCACAAGCAAAGCAGGAAGATGTTCAGGACAATTGACAGGGCTCCCTAGTTCTGTGTGCCTAGGGTATACTCTGGAACAAGATTACTTGTGAGGTCTCTTTTTAAAAATAATTTTATTTTTTATTAAAATTTTTGTTTAACCGCTAGACCACCTGGGAACCTGTGAGGTCTCTAAGTGATGTATGCAGTTCATATTATTTACATAGAAGGAGCTCTCTTGGTGATAAAACACCTCCAGTTAATCTTGAGTTACATAGCTTATATGACATTCTCAAGGGGGTCAGATCTCATAAATCCATTAATTCCTGGGTCACTTACCATAAGCAATCCTAGACTAAGTATGTTCTTCTAAAAGCATCCCATAGATGAAGCCTCTCTTGCTACAAATTTTATTAGTCTCTTTATCAAGAGGTTTGGCATTAGTGTGTTTACCAGGTGATTAGCCTGGATCAACTGTCTTTTTTTCTTTTCTTTTTTTTTTTTTTTGTTTTTTTTTGTTTTTTGGAGATAGAGTCTCGCTCCATCGTCCAGGCTAGAGTGCAGTGGCGTGATCTTGGCTCACTGCAACCTACACCTCCCGGGTTCAGGCAATTCTCCTGCCTCAGCTTCCCGAGTAGCTGGGACTTCAGGCGCATGCTGCCACACCCGGCTTTTTGTATTTTAGTAGAGATGGAGTTTCACAGTGTTGCCCAGGCTGGTCTTGAACTCCTGAGCTCAGGCAATCTGCCCACCTCGGCCTCCCAAAGTGCTAGGATTACAGGTGTGAGCCACTGCACCCGGCCTCTTTTTAATTTTTATTATTTATTTGTTTTTGAGATGGAGTCTTACTCTGTCACCCTGGCTGAAGTACGGTAGTGTGATCTTGGCTCACTGCAACCCCAACCTCCCAGGTTCAAACGGTTCTCCTGCCTCAGCCTCCTGAGTAGCTGGGATTACAGGCATTCGCTGCCATCTCACCTGGCTAATTTTTGTATTTTTAATAGAGACGGGGTTTGGCCACGTTGGCCAGGCTGGTCTCGAACTCCTGACCTCAGGTGATCCACCCACCTCGGCCTCCCAAAATGCTGGGATTACAGGCGTGAGCCACCATGCCCAGCCCTTTTTTTTTTTTTTTTTTTTTTTGAGACAGTCTCACTAATATTCTCCCTGCTTCTCTCTGGGTGACTTCTTTCCTCCCAAGGTGTCAGCTCTTAACTATTTACTCATATTGGTGTAAGGGACTATGCCTTAGTTTTGGAATCGGATAAACTCAAGTTGCAATGACCTTGGACAAGTTACTTAATATTCCTGTATTATAGTCATTTTATCTATGAAAAGAACATATTTAATATTACCTATTTCTTTGTATTATAGTCAAGTGTTTTGTTCTCTTAGGTGGCACGTTGAATCAACATGTGTAAAGTAACACAACATATTTCCCTCTATACTCAGTGCATGGCCCAGCTGTCCACTTGGTTACTGCTGCTCAACATGGGTGAAGTGTTTTTGACTATTTCTCCCTCACTTTATTTGATCCAGCATTAGGTTCTACCATATCACCTCCTAATATTTCTCACCTTTACCACCTCTTCTCTGTCTCTACCTTCAGTGCCCTAGTTCACCATCTCTTGCTGGCTACCTTACCAGTTTCTAACTCTGTACTGTTTGGTAGGGTAACCACAAGCCACATATGAATATTTACATTTAAATCATTTAAAGGAAATAAAATTAAAAATTCAATTCCTTAGTCTAACTTTTGGCATTTCTAGTGCTTTATGGCTCCATGTGGCCATACACGGAACCTACAGCTATGTGTGAGCAACATACCTTTAGTAGAACATTTTTATTATTGTGGAAAGTTCTTTTGGTCAGTGGGGCTCTAGGCCAGGTTGGCAAACCATGCATGGCTCATGGGCCAGACCCGCTGCCTGTTTTTGTAAACAAAGTTATACTGGAGCACAGCCATGTTCACTTTTCTGCCATGATTGCTTTAACTCTACCATGGCAGAATTGCATAGTTCTGACAGAGAACAGATGGCCACCAACAGCTACTGCTTTAATGTTCACTATTTGGCTCTTTATGGAAATAGTTTTCCAGCCCTTGTCATAGACCATCTCCTGTCTCCTATCCTGTTCCCCTTTCATCTCTCTTCTATATTATTATCTTTCACAATAAAGAAATATATGGCTTTGTAGGAGCCTACAACATAGCTTAAGAAGAAAAAAATATGTAGCTTCCTTGGTTAAAACCTCTCAGTGGCTCTGGCTGCTTACAGGATAAAATATGAGCTCTTCAGTGTGACACAGAAAGCTCTGCAAGAAGAGCTGTCTTATCTCCTTCTGCCACATGGCCCCTCAAACCCTCATCTCACACCAGCTTGTCCATCTACTGGCAATGCCTCCTGTCTTACTTGTTATTTAGAACTCAACCCAGGGATAATTTCCATCACTAAAACCCATCTCTTTCCAGGCTGAATTGGGTGCCTCTTACATATCCTTTCACAATAGCAACATATGTGTATATTACTATACTTAATGTATTTTATTGCAAAGTTCTCTCTTTTTTATGTTTCCTATTTATCTTTACATTTCATTAGATCAAGGGCCAAATTTTGTTAAACTTTGCATGGTCCAGTGTCCACACATTATCTGGCATGTAGTAGCCATTTGATTGCTTTTTGAATGAATGACTCCCAAGAGGTGATAAGTTAAGCTTTAGCTAATTCTGTCTCTTGAATATGATTCTGATTATGAGATTTTGAAGCAGGATAAAGCTACCTTTGACACTAATAGGCACCTCCATTTGTTTTTGTTTGAAACTCTTTTAGAGAAATTATAAAATTAGAGATAGTTTAATTTTATAGTTTTATAATAAAAACTTATACTGTACCTTTATCTAAAAGCTTTGAATCCTTCCTGTTAAGAAAATGAGAACTGGCGTTAGAATATGAATAAGAAATGGCATCATTGGGCAGTAAGGAGATTGTAACAATATTGAGCACAGCTTCTGTCAGAGTTTCCATAGTTTAGTTGTTTTCTTTTTTAGTTTGAGATATTTTTATTTTCTCTCCATTTTAGAGCTTTGTATATAAGAAGGCACATGGCATACATGTGCTGGGGTACAGAGTGAAAAAATACTGAATTAGTTTAGACACCTGGGCTTCAGTGAAATTTCTGCTGCTGAGTTATGCCCACACGCAGGTTTCTTTTATATAAAGTAATTTAATGGTGCTAATTTCTTTCTTGCCTAAATGCTCTTAATTGTTTTTGAGGACATATTTTATGAATTGATATTGAAATTGAATACCTTGTAAAAGCTTTGCACCTGTGTTTCTTAATATGTTCATTCAATATTTATTAAATACCTCTTCAGTACCTAAATGTCCCATTCTGTGACTTCAAGGAGCTTTAGATATAGCGTCTGGCTTCATGTCTGTGTTTGAGAAAATAGTACCTAAAAATATAAAATACAATTTTTTCTTTTTTCTACTAAAAACACAAAAATTAGCTGGGCGTGGTGGCACATGCCTGTAGTCCCAACTACTCGGGATGCTGAGGCAGTAGAATTACTTGAACCCAGTTGGTGGAGGTTGCAGTGAGCCGAGATCACGCTACTGTACTCCAGCCTGGGTGATAGAGTGAGACTCTGTCTCAGAAAAAAACAAAAAATTATTACCTCATTGAATATTAACAGTAATGTTCCATGTTAACACAATATTTGTGTGTGTATGAAAAATAACTGCATTGCCAAAACAAACCAAAAAAAAAAACAGTAGGAACAGTGTCATTGTTTTACATTTTTGCAAATCTCTTTAATATCTGGAATGATAGAATTCAGCTGGATTCTCAGATGGGCTTCTGTTTTCAGTCTGTTGTGATAAGTAGTGTTTGAAGCATATGAAAAATATCTAGCCTCTCAGAGTTAATTATGCAATAGAAAAAAAGTATTTTAGTGGCCTTTTCAAATACTAATAATTGTGGATATTCCTTAATATGTCATCAAAATATACCAAGAGGTAGTTTCTTAAAGGGTAAGTAAATGTGAAATCTGAAACCATATCAATGAACTTTTCATACTCTGTTATATTCAAATTCATTGGCCTTTCTTGGGCTTTAACCTGTTTTAAATTTGTTTAATTATTTATTTATTTATTTATTTATTTTTTTTTTTGAGATGGAGTCTCGCATTGTCACCTGGGCTGGAGTGCCGTGGTGCGATCTTGGCTCACTGCAACCTCCACCTCCCAGGTTCAAGCAATTCTCCTGCCTCAGCCTCCCTGAGTAGCTGGGATTACTACTACTCCCTGAGTAGCTGGGATTACTATGCCACCACGCCCGGCTAATTTTTTGTATGTTTAGTACAGACTGGGTTTCACTATGTTGGCCAGGCTGGTCTTGAACTCCTGACCTCGTGATCCACCCGCCTCGGCCTCCCCAAGTGCTGGGATTACAGGTGTGAGCCACCGCACCTGGCAGGCCTTCAATCTTTTACATATGCATAATTTTGATTCATCATGTCTTGGTCATTGGGAAAATATTGGCTCACTGAGTTATGTAGGTCTTCTAAATGTTGAACATTTATTAGATGACATTTAAAATATCACCGCAGATCTCATTAGAAAAGTCTTTAAGTATTGAGAGGCTGTCAAGCTCACAGTTGCAGATAACAAATTTTCCAATATTCTGATTTTCATTTGAAAGTTCAGATTTTGTTGTTGGTATCAAAACTGTCAGTTGCTTTTCTTTATGTGACAAGCCCACTTTTTTTTTTTATTTTTGAGAGAGTGCCTGCCAGATGGCTCAAGCAATCATAGTTTATTGTTTTTTGTTTTTTTTTTCAAGTAAAAATGGCAGTCTGTGGAAGAACCTGGTAGTTTAGCTTACAATTTAAACCATCAGTTGAGGGTTTTTCCTCAAGAAAACCATTTTACTTTGTAGCAGAAATGCCTTATGTGTACTTCCCATTTTATCATACAGAATATTAAAAAGACACATACTCAGAAGTCATCTAATAAAAATAATAAATAATTCTTACTGCTTCATTAAGGGCATTTCTAACTGAAACTTTTCTTTTTTCTGGTTTTGTTTTTAACTGCAAGCAAGCATGTGGTGGGAAAGGATACAGTGGCTACTAATACCATTTCTTTATTTGTGCTAAGATGCCAACAGTTTTATTTACTAGCACTTTACACTATCAGTATAGAAGTCAGCACAATGAAAAAGGCAAATAATGTTTTAATACTATTATTAAAATAATTATATCTTGAAGACCTCCCAAAAAGGACTCAGGGGTCCATAAACCACATTTTAAGACCTATCATTGATTGATACTTGTCACGTAAGGCTTCACAGAGAACGTGGCATACACTCTTAAAATGTTTTAGGACTTTTTTTTTTAAGAAGTGGATGGAGAGGGAAGGGCCTTCATTCAAGAAGAAAAGAATCAACATAGGATTTTGAAAAGTGAAATAAACATGCTATGGGAAAGAGAAAGTATAGGATCAAAGAGTATGTCTTAGGGGTAGGGTGGATAGATGTAGAGGATGTTGAGTGTCTGGGAGAGCTGATTGAACTTGACCCAGTAGACAGTGAGATTATAGTGGAGAAAGACATTCTGGAAAGAGCACTGAGTGGTTATAACTTTTGATATTTGTAGGATAGATTGTAACACTGGAGACAAAAGTTTGGGTTAGGTTACCCAGTTCTTAGTTGTGTGAATGGACAGTGTAATTTTATTAGTTCCGAAAGTAAATAAGAGTCCATATTAAGCTGTGGGACTAGAGAGATGACAAAATAGAGATTTTGAAGAAATGAAATGAAATTGGCAATGAACGGATAAAAAATTAGAGAATACGGACAAGTTTAAGACAAATCCTATATTGGACCCAGAGAAATGTGCCCATCAAAAGTGACAGAGAATTAGGAAGACTGAGAGGGAAGGTGACGAATTTAGTGCGGAGATATTGGATAAGAGGACAAACAGAGCATCTGAGTGGAAATTTAGTGAGAGCTCGAGAGAGGAATGTTGGGATGATCAGAATAAGGTGATATTTTAACCTGTGAGAAAAGATATATTTAGAAGATTAGAGTTAAATGTTTAAGACTGGAAAATCAGCCAGGTGTGGTGGCTCACGCCTGTAATCCCAGCATTTTGGGAGGCCGAGGCGAGCAGATCACAAGGTCAGGAGGAGATCGAGACCATTCTGGCCAACATGGTGAAACCCCGTCTCTACTAAAAGTACAAAAAAGAATTAGCTGGGTGTGGTGGCGCGTAGTCCCGGCTACTCAGGAGGCTGAGGCAGGAGAATCGCTTGAATCTGGGAGGCGGAGATTGCAGTGAGCCGAGATCGCACCACTGCACTCCAGCCTGGCGACAGAGCAAGACTGTCTCAAAAAACAACAACATAAAAAACAAAAACAAAAAAAACAAAAAAACAAGATTGGAGAATCAGAGAAAGAAGAGTAGATATAATGAAGGAATAATTTAGGAGTAGTAGGGGAACCAAAATAATATGAAGCTGGAGGGAAACTTGTCTAAAATTCAGTTCTTAAATTCCTAACCTTCCAGGGTTAATGTTTATTAAATACAAATGTTTACATGCCTGAAGAAATTACATTTGCAACTAAGATGTAAGTAGAGTCAGCTTACAGCCCAGTCCCTTCACAGAGTTCCAGAAACAGTACAGCATCCAAATCCTTATTGGAGTTTTTCCAAGGATGTCAACAAAGATCCAGTTTGTTACTCACAACAGCACTTCTTAAAATTCTCTTCATTCCTCTTGGACTCACAATATCTTGACCCCACAGCTTTCCTAAGGCTCTCTCAAACTTCTGACTCTCAACTCCTCTAAAACTCAACAAACCAGTGCCATCAAGGATCAATTATTTGTCCCTGTCCTCTTTTCTCACTTTTTTTTTTTCTGTGCCTGCAAATAGCCCTCCATCCTCTTTCCAAATGTAAATGTGAATTAGAGCAAATAATTCCTAGTTTTTACACTTTTTCTAGTTTTTACACAATTTTTAGTGAGTACGATACCTCTACACAATTAACTCCCAGTAAACTTAATGGGAAGGTTCAAGTTCCTTTAGAAGGGTAGGAGGAGGAATAATTGCTAAATGACCAAAGTTAGGATTTTCTCTCTGGAGTGAAGGGAGGATTGTATTAATAAATACATACAATTTGCTGTCTTTTATGCCTGTCTTAGTAATAACAGTAAATGGTGGGTAAAAGAAAGTGTTGCTGTTCTTCTTTCCTTCCTTCCCACATGCATGTTTTCCTCCCTTCCCCTCTTTCCTCTCAGATTCAGTACATACCTTCACAAACTGTTAGTCTTTATTTGCTAGAATGAAAGAATGTTCTAATTAGGTAAGAAGAGGTGGATTCCAACAAAATAAGTGATCTTTCTGCCATGGAAGAGGGAGGTAAGGAGGACAGTTATGTAAATATTATTTCACCTTGAGTTAATATTTGGGTTCTTTCCTTTGAAAGAAACTGGTTTAAAGACCAGGCACTGGTTAGATGGAAAAATTGGCAGAAGCTAACACTATGGTTATGAGGAAGCTATGGGTGACCAATTTCTTTTTTTTTTTCTTTTTTTTTAAATTATACTTTAAGTTTTAGGGTACATGTGCACATATGTAACTGACTAATTTCTTTTGTAGAGTTGCAGTCATATCGTCTTGGGTTTGGGAGTGTAGTAAGAATGTCTGTGAATATGTCTGACTCTCCTTTCAAAAAACTGGCAAAGAAGAGAAGCAGTGGAGGGGAGGTTTTTGGATTAGCAGGAATTGAGCACGTTGGTAAAAGAAGAATCAATTTATAGAAGGGGAACTTGGTAGAACAAGGGAAGGCAGGGTAGTTTATTGAATAAATCCTAGAAGATGAGGACTCTCCTCTGAGTTGAAAGGTAAAGGTGCCTGAGAAGAAGTTTTGAGATCTTGGGGTCAGAGTGGAAGGAATTCATGGTTGATGGACTCTAATGCAGTTGACTCCCGAACAACATGGGTTTGAACTGTATGAGTCCACTGACACATCTATTTTTTTCAATAAAATTTGCACTAAGTGTGCCTGCCTTTCCTTCCAACTTCGTCACCTCTTCCACCTCTGCCACCTTTGCGACAGCAAGTCCAACTCCTTCTCTTACTCAAGGCTAGTTAACGTGAAGACGACGAGAATGAAGACCTTTACAAAGATCCACTTTCACTTAATAGTACATATATTTTCTTTTCTTTATGATTTTCTTTTCTCTAGAAAATAACGTTTTTCTCTAGCTTTATTATAAGAATATAGTATATAATGCAAATAACATAAAATAATGTTAATTGACTTTATGTTATTGGTAAGGCTTCTGGTCAACAATCAGGTGTTTGGGCAAGTCAGAAGTCAAGCAATTTTCAACTGTGTGGGGAGTCAGCACCCCTAACCCTGGTGTTGCTCAAGAATTAACTGTATATCAGTAAGAAACCAGATGCTCTGATGGGATTGAGAGACAAAAGTGAATGAGGAAGGGAATTGACTTGAATGGCAGGACAGGTTTGGAAGCAATTATATGGGAACTATGGAGTGAAATGAAAGGACTGTCGAGCCAGTTTGAGAATTCTGCTGAAGTTCAAATCTTTTAAAATTATATTTGTGCCATTTATCTTAATAAAGATTGGTGGGTAATGATATTTATTGAATTTACAGTATGGGGGAGTTGTTACTCTGTGTCATGGCAGCTTCATAGTACAAAGGAGGTACTATCATTTATCCCCATTTATAGAGATAGAACAAACATAGAGGTGAATAGCAGAGAGAGCTAAGACCACACAGTTGCTCCATGGCAGAACCAGGCTTTCAACCCAGGCGGCCTGACTGCAGAGCACCCTAGCTACTCTTCACGTCATTCTGTATTGCCTAAGGAAAGCTGGCTTGATGAAACACTGGAGATCAGCAGAGTGGGTGAGATAGATGAAGTGGCAAGAGAACGGAGGGTGCTGATGTGTGTTCTGAAGTTAACTTGGAGTTTGGATTAGGTAGGAAAGGAAGTGAAAGCGTGGAGGCTGATAGAGAGAGATTTGAGGATTTGAAGGTCAAAGAAGTAGTTTAGGTGAGATTGGGTAAAGAGAAATATGGAAGGCTTATGATTAGAGAGGAATGGGTTCACTGAGGTATAATATTTCTTGAGTAATTCCAAGGCTGCCATGTAGTCAAAGAAATGAATGGCTGAAGGAGAAGGGAAGTCTTTGGAGAAGAGAAGGCTTGAGGATCAGAGACCTGGATTAGAATGTGGATGTCATTGCTTTAGTGATGTTTTTCCTATTTGCAGTATTATTTCATTAATTTAGCCATTGCTATCTAAATAGTCTTTCTTAATTGTCTTAGATAATTTAGCCCTTTTATCCTACATAAACTTATAAAATGTAATACATCTCTCATCCTATATAAATTATTTGATATTTTAATCACTCAATAAAATATTTTCAAGCTTTTTAACTATTAATTTTTAGTTTCTTATGTTGAACAATTTTAGCTTAATCATGACTAATTCAGTTAAATTGAATATTAAGATACACAGATATGTTTTACTGCCTTTGCAATTTGATCTCTAAAATGATGTAAAATTAGGCAAGGCAGTTTTTTTAAGGAAGAAAAAGTGGAATAGAGCGAATGTTCACTGACTTTTTAAAAACCTTTTTATCTTTAGAATAGTTTTACATTTACAGAAAAATCAGAAGGCTGATACAGAGGGTCCCTGTGTACCCCACACCCAGCTTCCCCTATTGTTAGCGTCATAGATCAGTGGGTGCAGTTGTTAACAATTAGCGAGCCAGTGTTAATATCTTATTGTTAACTAAAGTCCATACTTTGTGTGGATTTCTTTCGTTTTTGCCCAGTGCCCCTTTTCTGTCTCAGGATCCCTTCCAGAATGCCACACTACATTTAGTTTCATGTCTGCTTAGGCTACTGTTGGCTGTGATCGTTTCTCAGATGTCCTGTCTCTGGTGACCTTGACGGTTTTGAGGAGTACTGATCAGGTGTTTTGTAGACTGTCCCTCAATTTGGGTTTGTCTGATGTTTTTCTCATGATTACACTGGGGATATGGGGTTTGGGGAGGAAGACCACCGAGGGACAGTATCATTCTCATCACACATATTAGGACTGCATGCTGTGAACATGACTTAATCATTGTTGATGTTAAGCTTGTTCACCTGAGGTACTGTTTGTCCGGTTTCTCCATTTTAAAGTTATTCCTTACACCTGCCCTCCCCCTGCCCCTTCCATACTGTACACTTTGGAAGGAAGTCACTGTGTGTATTAGTTTGTTGGGGACTGCCATAAAAAATGCCACAGTCTGGGTGGCTTAAATAACAGAAATGTGTTTTTGCACAGTGCTGGAAGCCGGATGTCCAAGACCAAGGTGCCTGCAGGGTTGGTTCTTGGTGAGGCGCCTCTCCTCTTCTTGCAGGAGGCAACTTCTCTCTGTGTCCTCACATGGCCTCTTCTCCGTGTGTGCATGGAGGAAGAGGGAGAACTTTGGTCTCTCCTTTCTTTTAAGGGCACTGGTCCTATTGGATTGGAGCCTGACCCTTGTTACTTTATTTAACCTTAATTGCCTTCTTAAAGGACCTATCTTGAAATACAGTCACTTTGGGGCTTTAGGGCTTCAACATAAGAATTTAGCCGGGCGCGGTAGCTCACGCCTGTAATCCCAGCACTTTGGGAGGCCGAGGCGGGTGGATCACAAGGTCAGGAGATCAAGACCATCCTGGCTAACACGGTGAAACCCCGTCTCTACTACAAAATACAAAAAATTAGCCGGGCATGGTGGCGGGCGCCTGTAGTCCCAGCTACTCGGGAGGCTGAGGCAGGAGAATGGCGTGATCCCGGGAGGCGGAGCTTGCAGTGAGCCAAGATCGCGCCACTGTACTCCAGCCTGGGCGACAGAGCGAGACTCCGTCTCAGAAAAAAAAAAAAAAAAAAAAGAATTTAGTGGGAAACAGTTCAATACATTACACTATACACAGCCCACACTTGAGGACTAGGGGTTTATGCTTTACCTTGTTGAAGGTGTGATTTCTACATAAATTATTTGCAGTTATTCGGAACAGATTTGTTTCTTCTCCCCTATTCATTCATTCATTCATTTATATCAGTATTGATTTCTGGATATTTATTTTATACTTTAGGTTATAATCCAATACAACATTATTTATTTTGTTGCTCACATTGTGAGTTTTGGACCTGGAGAGCTCATTTGGTTGGTTTCTGTGTTCCTTTGACATAAAGAAACGTCATTTTGTTTTTTGAGCACTTTCTTGCTCTCTGGCCCTAAATGATACTCTAACAGGTTCATATTGTATATTGTGTATTCTCTGTTCCCAGCCCTCAAATCAGGTATTTCTCAAGGAACCCTAGTTTCTTTCATTGGAGAGTGGTATTAGAAGCCAACACGTGGATGCCATGTATGCTCATTGTTACTGAGGCATCATTGTTTCTATGGGCTCCTAGCTGACAGAACCTGGAAATATGCTGACCTGTGTGTATACACCTATCTATAATTATTTCTGTATGTATGCATTTATAGCTATATCAAGCTAAAATAGTTCACTGTTTCCAAATCTAATCCAGTATCTCATGGAAAAAATCTAGCCGCCTCTTGCTTGTCTGAAACCTTTCTATCCAACAATGAGAAACCTGGTTCCCACTATTTTTCATCAAACAAATCCATTTATTTGTTCAGTCCTGATATACATGTATAATGGTTTCAGAATTGTTAATTGTTTTTGCGTGAACTAGAGTACATTGCCTGTATACAGTTTCTTTTGCCTTTGTCTTATAGTCTCCATCTTTGAAGTCACTTAGGTCAGCACCTCTTTCTACCTTACTCCTTTCAGGGATGTTATATCATGCATTTGTAACAGTTAAGATTCTTTTGTCACTGTTTGCATTGCATCCTGGTATCCCCCAACCTCCTAATTGATTGTTTAAAATTTTGCATACATCAGGTTCACTTTTTGTGCACTTCTGTGGGTTTTGATAAGTGCATAATGTCATGTATCCACCACTATAGTATTATGCAGAACAGTTTCACCACCCTAAAATATCCCTTGTTTTACCTACTCAATCCCCTTCCACTCTTTCCGAAACTCTGGTAACCACTATTCTGTTTTCTGTCTTGATACTTTTGCTTTTTCTAGAATGTCTATAAATGGAATCATACAGTGTACAGGATTTTCAGACTGATTTCATTTACTTAGCACTTTAGATTCATTCTTGCTGTTACATTGATAGTTTATTTTTATTGCTAAGTAGTATTCCAATGTATGGATGTACTACAATGTTTGTCCATCTTGATGGCTTGTAGTTGTTGGCAGTTATGAATAAAGCTGGTGTAAACACGTATGCAGCTTTTGTGTGGACATACATTTTTTAATCAGTTGGAAAAATACCTAGGAATGTGATTGCTGGTTTGTGTGCTATGAATATGTTTAGTTTTATGCCTGCTAAACTGTCTTCTAAAGTGGTTGTACCATTTTGCATTCCTAGCAGCAATGAATGTGTGTTCCTCTTGTTCCACACCCTTGCCAGCAATTGTTATTGTCCATTTTTTGGGATTTTAGCTATTTTAATAGGTGTGCATAGTATCTTGTTGCTAAAATTTGCACTTTCTTTTTTTTTTTTTTCTTTTTTTTTGAGACAGAGTCTCACTCTTGTTGCCTAGGCTGGAGTGCAATAGCACGATTTCGGCTCACTGCAACCTCTGCCTCCCAGGTTCAAGAGATTCTCCTGCCTCAGCCTCCCAAGTAGCTGGGATTACAAGAATGCGCCACCACACCCAGATAATTTTGTATTTTTAGTAGAGATGGGGTTTCGCCATTTTGGCCACATTGGTTTCTTTTCTTTTCTTTTCTTTTCTTTTTTGAGATGGAATCTTGCTCTGTCGCCCAGGCTGGAGTGTGGTGGTGTGATCTCGGCTCATTGCAACCTCTGCCTCCTGGGTTCAAGCAATTCTCTGCCTCAGCCTCTGAGTAGCTGGGATTACAGGTGCCCGCCGCCATGCCTGGCTAATTTTTGTATTTTTAGTAGAGACGGGGTTTCACTATCTTGGCCAGGCTGGTCTTGAACTCCTGACCTGATGATCCACGCTCCTCAGCCTCCCAAAGTGCTGGGATTACAGGGGTGAGCCACTGCGCCTGGCTGGCCAGGCTGGTTTCAAACCCCTGACCTCAGGTGATCCACCTGCCTCAGCCTCCCAAAGTGCTGGGATTACAGGCGTGAGCCACTGCAATTTGCACTTCCTAATGACAATAGTGAACATCTTTTTATATGCTTAGTTTTCATCTATATATATTTTCTGATGAGGTTTTTGTTATGCTCTTTTACCAGTGTTTTAATTGGGTTGTTTTCTTATTGTTGACTTTTAAGAATTCTTTGTGTACTTTGTATACATGTACTTTACCATACATGTATATTTTAAATATTTTTTCCTAGTGTGTGGTTGTCTTTTCTTTAACAGTGTCTTTCGCAGAGCAAGTTTTAATTTTAACGAAGTCCAACTTAACTAACTTTTTCTTCCATGGATGACACTTTTGGTGTTGTATCTAAAATAGCACCACCAGATGCAAGATCATACAGGTTTTTTTCCTTTTTTCTTATGGAAGTTTTATAGTTTTGCATTTTACATTTAGGTCTATGATCCATTTTGAGTTAATTTTTGTGTAAGGTGTGAGATCTCTGCTTAACTTCATTTTTCTCGATGTTGATATACAATTTTGCACACCTTGTTGAAAAGACTTTTTTTCTCCACTGAATTACCTTTATGCTTTTGTCACAAATCAGTTGAGTATATTTGTGTGGGTCTATTTCTGAGCTCTCTTTTCTCTTCCATTGGTTTATTGATCTTTCACTAACACCATGCTGACTTGATTACTGTCGCTTTATAGTTAAGTCTTGGAAATGGGTAGTGTGAGTCCTCCAACTTTGTTCTTTTTCAGCATTGCGTATGCTATTCTAGGCCCTTTGCTCCTCCTTCACTGAATTTTAAAATTTAAAAACTAAAATAAAAATGGTTAATCCTCAGAGATGCACTATAAATGTGATGTTTCTTTAATTCATTTTTCAGGTGGTTCTTTGAAGCTCTGAAGTATCCCAAGTTTTCTAAAGCTATCGTTATCAATGGAATACTCATGACAGTAGTATTCTTCATCGTGCGGATTGCCTCAATGCTTCCTCATTATGGCTTCATGTATTCCGTGTATGGAACAGAACCCTACATAAGGCTTGGAGTTTTAATCCAGTTATCCTGGGTCATTAGTTGTGTTGTTTTGGATGTGATGAATGTCATGTGGATGATCAAAATTTCAAAAGGTTGCATCAAAGTCATCTCTCACATCAGACAAGAGAAAGCCAAAAATAGTCTTCAGAATGGAAAACTTGATTAAAAGAGTGCTACCGATAAGCAAACTTCATTACTACCCAGCATATCTGCTGATAGGATGAATTCTTGGCATGTTCTTGTGTACCTTTCTTAATTATAATTGTTATTCAGGATTTCAGTGTCATTTTTTTTAAACCTTAGAAAAGAGAAGGCCGGGCACGGTGGCTCATGCCTGTAATCCCAGCACTTTGGGAGGCCAAGGTGGGTCGATCACTGAGGTCAGGAGTTCGAGACTAGCTTGGCCAACATGGTGAAACCTCATCTCTACTAAAAATACAAAAAAAAGTAGCTGGGCGTGGTGGTTGGCGCCTGTAATCCCAGCTACTCGGGAGGCTGAGGCAGGAGAATCGCTTGAACCCGAGAGACGGAGGTTGCAGTGAGCTGATATTGTGCCACTGCACTCCAGCCTGGGCGACAGAGCAAGACTCTGTCTCAAAAAAAAAAAAAAGAGAGAAACTAAAATTAAAATTTAGTTTTCATCCCAAGATGTCTTTTCTGCCTTTCTTTTGCCTTATTTACAAGCATGGATAAAAATCTTAAAGGTTTAAATAAAAATGATCAATATAATGGTGAATCTTTTGAGAAATCTCTTAACTGCATTGGTATTTTTTCTCTGTGAAAGATGACTATGATAATCTGGTACAAATGGTTTTATGTCACCAATTTTGCTGCAAGAATGGGAACTGCTTTTAAATCTGTAAATAGCTCTTAACATTTGTTGTATGCACTCTTTTCTTACTATGGCTGTCAACACTTGTGTAGGGTTTAATTTCTAAATTGTTGGCATGTTCTTTTTCTCAGGCTATTCAGAAGTAACAACATTTTTCATTTCAGACATGCAATCACCTATTAATGATGAAATATTTTACCACTTTGGGAATATTTAATTAGTTTAGTCATGGAGAATACTTCCCACATTTTAAGATTTTTTCAAATATCACTGTCATTTCTATTTTAGCATTTTATCAAATTATTGCTTTTTTATTTTATAATAAGGCTTAAGACAGATTATAGACCTCCTTAAGAGATGAGTTTCTTCTTCTAAAAATGCATGTTGATAGAGGACTATTTAGGCTAATCGGAGGAATCATTAAGAAAGAAAGTTTTAACACTGTTTATCCCTATCTGCTTTCCTTGCACTTTTTCTGTGAAAAATATTTTCTGTTTGCAAAATCTTCCCTGAGTTCTGAACCCAGCACCATCAGTACCAAAGTCTTATGCAATATGTATTTATTATGCTCCTGAAATAGGCCTCTTCTTGATGAGACCCAAACTATTACAAAAATATCAGTATTCATATTTTACTCACAATTCATACCCGTGCTTACTTAGTTGGCATTTTAGTGCTTTGAATTTCTATCTTAAAGCACAGAAAAAAAAAGGTAATTTAATCCAAGTATTCTATCATCAAAATTATTGTCTGATTATATGAAGATAAATGACTGGCGACTCTGGTTGTGTGTGTATGTGTTTTGCTTTTACTTTAATTCTTGCAATCCAAATATAGAATTATATATTTATCTATTATTGCCTTTATTCTTTAAGCACTTGAGTTTAATGATTATTCTTACCTGAGAAAGGAAGAAATTTAATTCTACCAGTGATGAATACTTGAAATTAATTGAACTCATACCAAAAGATGTAATCCAGTTTCTCAGTTTGAAGGAGAACGTTTGACTCACTTTCATTGTTCATGCTAGCTGAATATAATCAAGACTTTTGATTTGATTTGCTTTTATTATTCAATGCAGATAGAGCCTGATAAGTTTTAGAACATTTAAAGAAGATTGAAATCTCAGTCAGTAACTAAATGATAAAATGAGATTGATTGGCTTATACTAGGTACATTTATTTTTGAAAGAATTAATGTAAAATAATAGTTATTTTTAAAGCAGCTAATATTACACTGATAATTTGTTGCTAAATTTAGTGCTGTCCACATCATAGGTGCTTAAATATGTACTGGTTAACTAGAGGGGGGTAGGAAAGCAAGCGGTTTTATCTTGTTCTTACCTTTTTGCAGGAAAAGTGGCTTTAAAAAAATTTATATAATAAAACTATTTTGGAAATTCATTCTTTTAGAAAGAGACCTTGAGATAAATATTTTTTGACTCTGGATATTTCTATAGTTCTGAACACAGATTTTAAACCCACTATCAAAATGAAAACAATATAAAGCTATATTAGTGAGTCTCCATGTAGCAGTTTGTTTTTATAGTTACTGTTTCATGCTTAAAACTTCATTCTTACTTTCATTAATGTTACCCTTCACTGGTATAGCCACTCACTAAATAAGTATATTTAAAACATCAAAATTTTGAACTAAAGTTTGTGATTCTCTTATTCAGCAATCCTTATCTTATGCTGGCTGCATGAGTTAATTCAACATCCAGATTAAATATCCTGAAGTAGGTTCTATATATTTCCTCATACAACAGACATGGAATGGAAATGCCACTAGAAACTGCCCTGCTACTTTTAAGTCTGACCTTTGCAGGAGGTACACTTTGCTGTTCTATGATTGTATTCACCTACCTAAAATACAAATGAAGACAGAACATATCATTTACTGCACGATGAATTTTTCATTTATTAAATGAAAAACGTTTGCTAGACATTTTAAATATTAAGTATTTTGACTACACGGATTAATTTAAATGATTCTATCAGGCATTCTGATATTTAACAACTCTATTAAAATATTTATAGAAAAATAAAAGCAAATTGATATAAATTTTTGAGCAATTCTATTTTTGTAGAAAAAAGATAACCTGTAATTATAAAGATGTTTTTTGAATGTGTAGTATCCTAGAAAATAAAAGTTCTTGTGAAACTTAAAAAATGAATGAAAACCAACTAATAGCATGCAAGATCATAGATCCTGCATTAAATTTTTATTTGTGAAAATTTGAAAATTATGAGCTATAACTTATAAAGTTTGCCTTCTTATGTCTAAAATCTTTTAAAGGATTATTTGCATTTATGTAAAACTGGAAATGAAGTTATATATGAGTGCAAAGAAATTGACTTCTGCTCAAATATGTGTTGATACCCTACAGTAAATTGAATTAAATTTTTATCCCAACTGTTTGATTTTATTATTTCATGGACTAGCCTTACGTTAAGTGAAATACTATTTATGTTGTTACCACCCCTAAGAGTGACTCTGATATATTATGGATGACCCAGGACGGTCTTAAAGGTCTAGTTTTAAAAACTGCCTAGTTTGTAAGTATTTGAATCCAGTTCTTTTCTAAATTTTAATAATTTGACTCAAAATTTTTGCTACAGGGTCAACTTTTAAATTGTATATTTCCTCTGAGGCACACTGGGCATTTGGAGAATGGTTCTTCACTGGTGTAGAGAGCCAGGTTTACTGTTGGTTGCACCATCTGTTATCAGGCATGCAGAAACATTTTTCTTCTGGAGAAACAGAGGGGAAGGTGTTGTTACAGTGTACATGTTTCCTCTGTGTCGTTTTTAAGGGAAATAAACATGTTCCAAAAGATGCTGTTAAAATAAATATTTGAACACGTTTTCTGTTTCTAGGTTGCTCTTAATTCCAAACATTTAAATAAATGTGCATTTGAATAGCTTTAGGTGGTTTAGTCTATTAGCTGAAATGGAAAAGTTCATGTATTGACATCATCAATAATACTTCATAAAGGTTTATGTATTTTTATGTGTTTGGATTCCATAAGAAGTTGAACTTAGATAATTTTATCAAGAGTAGCACAGTGTTTCTCAGGTGCGAGCCAGCATACAGCGAGACCCTTCATGTGTCTCTGGATGCACATATATCTTCCCAACCTTAAACACAGCTCATTGAAATACATTAAAGCTACTGAAAGTGAGTTCTGATGCAAAACACATGTGAGGTGTGTAGGAACAATGAAAAGCTAGAGGATCTGGAGTTAGAGGAGGCATTGAGAGTGCTTTTCCCTTAAACGCCGTGATAGTCCTCCCTTGATCTAGAAGTATTCTCTTTGAATCCTTCCATCTCTTCCTCCTGGTACACCAGATGACTTCATCAGCATCTCCCTCTTTTATGCTAACACCTTTCGCTGTCAACTTTTGAGACCTCCCCATGTATCTATAAGCTTCCCAGTCTCTTATGGCAAATTTAAAAGTTTACAAATAGGTTCTCTCATTGAAAAAAAGCATTGTAGTAAAGTTTAAAGTGGAGCTCAGACAAATCATGACTTATTAAGAGACTACAGGAAGCCATTCAGCATTTAATAATAACTGTTTACAACATGAGGCAAAGCTAATAATGTTATGGTTTTATTAAGAGATCTGTCATCTCTGTTTTTCTTAAACTGGTTTAACAGTCAGAGCTTTGTAATGTGTTTCAGCTGAAGATTTATTATAGGCTTGTAAATTATCTAAATGTTCTTTTTAGACCCCATGACAGGAGCACAGAGGAACTGAGATAACTCTGTGTTATGAGAGGGTGGATGCTGGCTTGTGCCAAAATTATTTTAGAGTCCTGCTCTTTAGGGAAAACTTTGCTATGGTAATGTTTCTTTGAAAACAAATTTACCAGCAACTGCGTTACTTGGTGTTTTCCAAAGTACAACATCCAAGGCTTGAACCTTACCCGTTTCTAGGCCAGACTAGGCCAGCCTCTAGTTTTGATAATAATTCATACCTTTATTGGAATATATTTTGGATAGCAGTGAAGAATTGAAAGCAGCTCCTAAAGATTGGTTTGTTTGCTTTGAAAATGTTTACACTTATTCACTCTAAGCAGTGGACCATTTTGATATCAGGCCCTATACATAAGACCAAAACCAGAAATATTTCTAAATCTCAAAGATTTATAAGTACAGTACCTCTGGCTGAAAACTCGTTAAACATCTTTGGATATTTTTTCTTTATATCTTTATGTAATTATTTCTGTAATTAAGTGTACATTAGGGTTATTTGCTACTTAACAAGCCTAAAGGTATAGCTGTATATAGAATGTGCTCTGTGTTTTTCTGTTTCCTGCTTGGTTTGTTTCTGGTATGACTATGTCTACTTTTTATTTAAGGAATTTTGTGTAGATAATACTCTCACTAACTTGTAAATAGGATAAGTTATGAGATTTTTTGGTATTAGAATTTGTAATAATAATGACTTTTAGATTTTATTTGAAAAAGCTACTTGGAAAGCAGTAAATAGAACTATAGTGATATATATAGATACATAGATATATACTTTTTTCTGAGAATGTATAATATATAATTGTCAAAGATTTTTGGAAGTCTTTCAAAATATACTTAATACCATTTTGAGAACATACCTTCTAATTTATTTCCATAAGGCTGAAGAACTTTTATTTACAAAATGTAAGACTAGATAATGTATGAATCAGTGTTACTAGGACTTATCAGTACTTAAAATAGCAACTTGGCATTCTTTATTTTGTTTCCTGGTTGTTTTATTTGGAGGGATAATAAATGTCTAAGTTATTTCCATTAAAATTTTGAAATGTTTGTATACTTTATGTGTGCCATTTTAAAGTATATGCAAGTTCTAAGCAATAATCTGCATGTTATACAAGGTTGACATATTTTGTCCTGAAATTTTTAGTTAACATTTCAAGAATGATAAAATGAACACCCTGTAAATTACCCTTCTCCCCCTCCCCTCCATGAAAACCTTGGGATTTTCTTGTGCTAGAACACTACCACAATGTGGTGCAAAGCTTTGTATTTTGTGGAAAAAAACAATAAAATCACAATTATTTAGTGCAAAAGTTTGTCTGCAAGGTGTATACTTTAATAGTAATTAATGAATAGATTAATGATAAAATTATGTTCTGCAAATCAAATAATCTCTTCTAGCACCTTAATCCTAAAGGTAAATTTTTATTCCTCAGGATGCTTGTAGAGCTTGCTTATTTCCTTCCCTCCCTTTCTCCCCACTGAGGTCACAGCTTGGTAGCAAACCAGCAGGAGTTGCAACCATTTTAGTCATGCTTGTTAATGAAAGGAATGGTGCTGTCTAATCGATTTGTTCTTTTAGATTAAGTAAAACTTTGGCAGTTGTGTTTTTAATCTCCTTGCCTTTGTCCCTAGGCCTCTTATGTGGTCTCTAGTGCTTTTTGCTGAATGTCTTGGCTGGAATTCCTACCTTCTCAAATTGCCTGTGGTCTTAAATCCTGCATCTTGGTCTGAGAATATCCAGTAGGTCAGGAAGCAGAGCACTAATTGAATACTGAAGAGGTTTGCCTATGGAGAGTACCATGAGTCATGCTTCAGAACATGCCTAAAATGTTGTGTCCAGACTGGCAAAGGAACAGCTGAATTTCAGAATGAAAATAGCAGTCACAGCTGTCAGTGGAGATAGGCCACAGGTGATATTACAAGTATTCAGAGCTACTTGAAGCAAGTGTAAATGGGGTCTCTGCCACACCTCAGGCTGTTTCAGACATGATCCATGTTTTGTTCTTCTATCTAGTCTTTTTCTAAAAGTCTGCTTACTGCTTTCGTTCCCTTTTGATGGTCCTTCAGCATGCATAAAATAAGTGATTTGACAAATTTGTAACTGTTCCCTATGCTAGTAACTGGTCTTCTGACAGACGTTCCTAGATGCCTCCCCCCCAAAAAATTGGACTCTTCATCTAAGGGTGGTGCACACCACCCTCTGCTTGAGTAGCTGTGCCCATTGTCATTTTTGGCACAGTGCTCCTAGATCCTCCCTGCCATTGCTGCCTAGTCCCTTTCTCTTTTCATCTACCTCCAGCTAAATTCAATTACCATATCTAGTCTTGTCATCTTACCAGATCATGGATTATACCAGCAGAAATTACCTGTGGAGAACTTTTGAAAGGGACTTGTACAGAAAAGGAAAGGCAATAGGGATGATAGGCTGGATGATTGGCTGTATTTCTGTTGAGGATAAAAGATGGAAAGGTGGATATTTGGAAAGAATGACACCAAGGAAAGAGGAAGGGACTTCAGAGAACAGAAAAAATAAGAAAATGTTATGTATATATACATTGCATTTTGGGTGACAGGAACCTATCAGGGAAAAAATGAATATAGTAAAATTCCTATACATGGTATCAAGAGTATAAGAAGTTACAACTTTTCTCAGAACCAGGTATGGTAGCCCTGTTACTTGGGGAGGCTGAGGTGGGAGGACAACTTGAGCCCAGGAGTTTCAGTTCAGCCTGAGCTACATAGCAAGACCCTGTCTCTAAGGAAAAAAAAAAAAAGTTTTGTGACTTTTCTGTGTTGAATACGTACATATTCATTATATATGCTTCTCTATATGTATGTAGGTGGGTGTATATACATGTATAAAGTACACTGTTGTGGACAGAAAGGATGTATGAATGGATGAGGCACAAGAGGGTAGAATTTTGTTTGAATTGTCAATTAGAGCAATTTGGAAAGAGTGAGGTGCCTAAAATCCTACAGTAACCATGAAGAAGCATCTTAATCTGAGTCTTAGTTTTGTTATCTGTAAAATAATCTCTGATGTTCCTTCCAACTCTCCCATCCTATTAGTAAGAGCTTTAGTTTGAAACGAGGCAATCAGGAAGGAACAAGTGTAGCTTTGAAGGCTTAATAATATGATTTAAATGACATTCAAGGAAGATTCTCAGTGTCAAATTAGATGAATGAGAGTACAGAAGAGGTTTAGTGATGGAGAAACTGGCCAAGGACCTGCAATGTAGTTAAGTCTGATGGCTGGCATGGGACAAGGAAGATAAATAAAGGGTCTGACCTGATAAATATCAGAGAGAGAGGTAAAGGGATTTAGAAAAACAACCTAACTCAGGAAACTCAGGAATAAGGCTGTGGAATGGAGAGGGGACAGATGCCACTGGGTTGTGATGTCAGAATGTGGGGAGCTGCAGTCATTTGCCATGAATGATAAAAGAGAAGGCATAGTAATTGGAAGAGTGGTGGAGCCTGTGACAGACTTTTAACATAATGCCAGTGTTGTGCAGAGTTTCTCCCAGAGAGCATCTGGAAGAAAGAAAAAGCTCTGTCCAAGTACCACACTGTTGTGGTTTTCATGACTTTTCGGATTTCTGACACAATGTCTTGCCTTGACCCCTTGTATCTGGATATTTCAGGTTCCTGACTGGTCACTGACCCATGGTTTCCTCAACACCCTTTCAGGTTCCAATGAGCTGACCCCATGATTCATTGTTCCCCATAGGGTCAGCTCAGCCCTGTCAAGTCAAGGAGCTTGAGAAAGGTCTAGAGATGATAGTAAGAGGCCTAAAGAATAAGGCCCTTCTCTGAAGTCCACTAGCTAGAGGCTACTGTGGAGTGGGGAGACCCCAGCCTTGCAGTGGGATTGGTTCCCTGCGTGAGGTGGTCTTTGGATGGTGCAAGAAAGGGCAGAAGCTCAAAGGGTGGAGCAGAAGCAGCTGTGGATCCTGGAGCAGGGGTGGAGGCTGCAGGGACTGTCTTAGGCTCCCAGTTTCAGTTTATGAATTCAGAGGGGAAATGGAGAGGCACTTTGAAACATTCTCTCTTGGACAACCATGCCATTTTTTTGTTTGTTTTTGTTTTTTGAGTCAGGGTCTTACTCCGTCTCCCAGGCTGGAGTGCACTGGCGCAGTCTCAGCTCACTGCAATCTCCACTTCCTGGGTTCATGCGATTCTCCTGCCTCAGCCAACAAGTAGCTGGAACTACAGGTGCGTGCCACCGCACCCGGCTAATTTTTGTTATTTTTAGTAGAGATGGGGCTTCGCCATGTTGGCCAGTCTGGTCTCAAACTCCTGCCCTCAAGTGATCTGCTGACCTTGGCCTCCCAAAATGCTGGGATTACAGGCGTGAGCCACTGCGCCTGGCCCCATGCAGTCTTTTAATTGGTCTTCAACTCCACACTGTCACCTCCATCATACATGCTACCGATGGAATCATCATTTAGAATACATCTGAAATTTTTGTCACAGTCCTGCTCAAAACTTCCAGTACTCCACTCCCAAGTCTAAATTCCTTAAGCCAGATCTAAGGTTCTCGATGATAGCTATAGCCCTACCCTATCCAACCTCATGGTACCCCTGAAAGTTCTCCCAGAAGGGTGCCACTGCCGCCCCCATGCTCATCCAGCTCCAGGCACTTAAACGTTGGCTGTGATGTGGCCTAGAGGCCCTTTCTTTCTGATCTGCATTCTATTCATCCTCAAGACCATATAGTAAAGGAATTGGTTCTTATTTTTTTCACTAAAAATTAAACAAAAATGTTCAGATAAGAGTTGAGAGAAAAAAGCCTCATTAAATTATTTTAACATTTATTGAGTACTTACTTGTTAAATTGTCACATGAATTCCTGGAACAACCAGGATAAATAAACTCATTCTTGACTGGCAAGCTGGATCTCAGAACCTCCTGTCCTGTATAAGCGGGGCCACGGCCAAGCTGCTGTGTTTTCTCTTAGCTGAGAGGTCAAAGAAATTAGTTCCCCCCACCCCCATTGAATGGGGCAACTAGTGGGTGCAGAGCCCACTACAGGCTTTAGAACAGACTTTGATATTTTGAATAACACCATAGAAAGTCTTTTCATCTGGGACTCCAGAAACCTGGATTCCAGTTCTGGCCCTAATACCTTCTAGTAAGCATTTTAGGCAAGTGCTTTCACCTTACTGGCTTTTGTTTTTTGATCTGGAAAGTGAGGAGTTGAACTGGTTGAATTAAAGGCCACTTTTCTTTCAGATTCCATCATTCAGTAATTATGGGCTGGGCACGGTGGCTCATGCCTGTAATCCCAGCACTTTGGGAGGCTGAGGTGGGCAGATTGCCTGAGCTCAGGAGTTTGCGACCAGCCTGGGCAACAAGGTGGAAACCCTGTCTCTACTAAAACACAAGAAATTAGCCGGGTGTGGCAGTGTGTACTTGGAATCCCAGCTATTCGGGAGGCTGAGGCAGGAGAATTGCTTGAACCCGGGAGGCAGAGGTTGCAGTGAGCCGAGATCACACCACTGCATTCCAGCCTGGGCAACAGAGTGAGACTGCATCTCAAAAAACAACAACAACAAAGAAAACACGGTAATTAGAATCAAGGTTAGGGACATGTAGCCCAGGGTATGGTAGGGTATGAGCAAATTCCTATCAGACAGCAATTCCAGAATACTAGTTTCAAGTGTGTAAGTTTTTGGAGGTGGTCTAAATTTCAATTTTGATTGTGACTGTATGCTCTTGAATGAGGCCACTTGTTTATGACTCCATCTGCCTCACTTGTAAGAGGAGACAGTATCAGTTGCAATCAATGAACCTAGCCAAAAAGGCTAACTATAAATATTTGCTGAATGCTTCAACATTCTTAGGGGAAATAGATAAAGTTTTAATGATGTACTTTCCCACTGTACTTGCAGCCAAGTTGAATTTTGTCATATTCTTCCTAGTGTTAACATTTAAAAGATGTAAACATTTTCATCATAGTATCTAAATATAGAACTCATTTTGTTTCCCACAATTAAATATAATCATCAGAAAGGAAAATAGATGATTAACAGAAATGTAAATGGTAAGTTATTTAGTCCCCTCTCACCAAAACCAATCTGAATCCTCTATCTTGAGAAGCCAGTCCATCACTAATGGGTCATTTACCTTGATTGACTCAGTGTTAGGACTTGCTGTGAGATCAGGACTTTCTATAAGATTTCTGTGTTCTTTGTGACTCTATATGTACACTGCTGGGATTATTTGATGGGCTTTGTGGAGAGTCAAGGCCAGGATGAAATCAGATGGGGACATTATTATGACAATGTTTATTGTCTGTGACTTTGCTGGTATACTTGTTTCCTGCAACATTATTGATCTTTAGCTGATTGGTGATAATTATCTATAGTAGATCCATTCCTGATTTTTACAATTGACTCTCTGAGGTGGCAGTTCCCAACCTTTTTTGGCACCAGGGACCAATTTCATGGAAGACAATTTTTCCATGTGACAGGGTAGTAGGGAGGATGGTTTCAGGATGAAACTGTTCCACCTCAGATCATCAGGCATTAGTTAGATTCTCACAAGAAGCATGCAGCCTAGATCCCTCGCATGCGCAGTTCACAGTAGGGTTGGCGCTCCCATGAGAATCTAATGCCCTGCTGATCTGACAGGAGGCGGAGCTCAAGCGGTAATGCTCATTAGCCCACCGCTCATCTCCTGTTGTGTGGTCCAGTTCCTAACAGGCCACAAACTTGGCCTGGTGTTTGGGAACCCCTGTTCTAAGGCACCATATCATGAAGGAAAGTAAGACGTGTGCATGCTGTAGGGAAAAATGTAGATGATTCCTTAGCTTTGTAATAAGCAAAACTAAATACTAATTAGGATTTATATTCTAAAGAATGGAGTGAGAAAATAGATGTAATAGTACTGTAATTTTTTTCTTTAAAAATTACTACTCTAAATGAAAACATATGACTTTGAACCATTATTTTTCTTTTTCTTTTTCTTTTTTTTTTAAACGGAGTCTTACTCTGTCGCCCAGGCTGGAGTACAGTGGCATGATCTTGGCTCCCTGCAGCCTCTGCCTCCCAGTTTCAAGTGATTCTCCTGCCTCAGCCTCCCGAGTAACTGGGATTACAGGCGTCCACCACCATGCTCGACTAATTTTTGTATTTTTGGTAGAGACAGGGTTTCACCATGTTGGCCAGGCTGGTGTTGAACTCCTGACCTCAGGTGATCCACCTGCGTTGGCCTCCCAAAGTGCTGGGATTACAGGCATGAGCAACCGCACCTGGCTGAACCATTATTTTTTAAAAAAGGAATCTAAGCTGTTTATTTAAAAAGTAAAGCCAGAAGTCTACATTCTATTGTCTACCCCTTTCATGACTTTCTAGCCATTAGCTTCAACTCCTAAATATCCTTACCCTAGATCAAACCAAATGTTTACATTTTCTATGCTTAACCCAGGTAACAGAGACCTGCTGGAACATTATTCAACTCTGTGTATTGGGGCCACCACAAATTCAAGATCTCATTCACTTAAAAAAAAAATTAACACTCTAGGCACCATGCAAGGGAAAGGGAATAAACGGTGAACAAAACTGTCAGGGTCTTTGCCCACAGGGAGCTTAGAGTCTGGAAGGGAATAGAGGTTGCAATTAACTGAATGTTTGTATCCCCCCCAAATTCATATATTGAAATTCTAACCTTCAAGGTAATGATATTAAGAGGCAGGGCTTTGGGGAGGTGATTAGGTCAGGAGGATGGAGTGCTCATGAATGGGATTAGTGCCCTTAGAGACCTTAGAGAGATCCCTGACCCCTCTGCCCTGTGAGGTTACAGTGAGAAGACAGCTGTCTGTGAACCAGGAAGTGAGTCCTCAGACAACAGATTGGCTGGAGGTTTGATGTTGGACTTGTCAACCTCCAGAACTGCAAAAAATTTCTGTTACTTATTTCTATAATTTATGAGCACCCACTTGATGACAGTTTGTGATAGCAGCCCAAACGGACTAAGACAGAGATAAGGAACAAGGGAAAGCAAATCAAGTGATTCTGTGTAGAGTGTGTCTTTCATCTTCAACTCCTAAGTCTGGCATAGTGTTTCACATTTAGTAAGTGACCAGTCAGGAAGTCAATAAAAAAAATTGATACAATAATAAAAAAGAAAAAGTAAATATTTATTCAGTATGCATTATGTACCAGGCTTTATTTTAGGCTCTGAATATTTATCAGTGAAGGAGGCAGACAAGGAAGACTTAGCTCTCTTAGAACTTAAATATTCTAGCAAAGAGAGATGGGCAGTAAAGAAGTCTGAAAAAAGAAATAAACATAATACAATTCCAGATAATAAGAAGTAACATGAAATAAATAGAAGAAAATGGAAATTGGGGACAGTTTAAACAGGTCACTTTGTGGAGATGGCACTTGTGCTAAGACCAGGCAGGAGGCATCTGCAAGTATTGTGAAGAACAATCTGTGCAGAGGAAATAGCAAGTACAGAGTCCTGGAGGTGGGGAGACTGGTGTGTTCAGTGAAAAGGAGGCAGTGTGACTGGAGCATGAGGGAGGAGGATGAGAGATGAAGATGTGGTCGGAGAGGAAGGAGGCATAAGATTATGCTGGGTCGTTAGGCCATTGTAAAGTGTTTGGCTTCTTACTGTGCCAAGAATAAGCATTCCGGGTTTTAAGCAGTCCAAGTGAGAAATGATGTGGACCTAAATCTAGGGTTTCAAACATTTTGTTCCACAATCCACAGGAGGAAACATATTTTGTGTGGTGACTCCACACATAAACACAGATACATAAGCAAAATTTAATGAGACAATACCCTTACCGTGAATGACGCCCTCTGAATTTTTCTGTTCTCTTTCACTGTAAAAGAAGAAATGCCGGTTGTCACCCACAAAACTGATTTGATAACTCAGCAATGAGTGGCAATTTACAGTTTGTAAAACATTGGTTCAAACTGAAGTGGTGACAGTGGAGATGAAGAGAAATGGATGGATTCAGGATATATTTTACAGGTAGAGTTGACAGTAGTTGTTGATGGACTGCTTACAGGAAAGTGAGGGAAAAGCCTCGATAAATGATTTTGTATGATTTTGGCTTGAACAAATGGGAGAATGGTGGTCCTAAGATAGGGAAAACTAAAGAAGAAGCAGGTTTGAAGGAGAGATGGAGGAGAAATCAAGAAATCTTTTCTAAACACTTTTTTAAAATCTGATTATATATGTTATTCATACAGATTTGTAATATTAATTGCTCAAATTATAAGCCAACTATAAAAAAATCTTTTTATATAGACTCTTAAATATATCTTAAATGTTATTTGTATTTTCATCAAAGAGATACAACTTGCCTACTGAAATAAAAGAGAAAGAAATGTGATCCGTGGTCTTGCCACACAAATATGACAATGCTTAGTTGTTTAATGTCTTCTTAATGTAACCTTTTCTATGCATAATTCTTTAATCACTACCTAAGCATTTATAAAGGTAATTCATTAGGACTGGGATCATATAAACACTGTCCTAGTCTGTTTGTTTGGACTTCTATAACAAAATACCTTCTACTGAGTAGTTTATAAACCACAGAAATTTACTTATCCAGTTCTGGAGGTTGGGAAGTCCAAGATTAGGGCCTGGCAGATTCACTGTCTGGTGAAGACCTGCTTCCAGGTTTCACATCCTGGTTTATTGACGATGTCTTCTTGTTGCATCCTCATATGGCAGAAGGGTTGAATGAGCCTCCTTGGGCCCATTTTATAAGAGCAGTAATCTTATTCATGAGGTCTTCTCTCTCATCACTTCCCAAAGGCCCTATTTCTTAATCCCATCCTACCAACCTTGTGGGGTAGGATTTCAACATAGGAATTTTTGTTGGGGACACTGACATTCAGACCATAGCAAGCAGTTTAGAGATGATCAGTGGATCTGGAGACAGTGACATTCATAATCATTGATGCTTAATAGGTAGCTTAATTTTTTAAATAATAAAGTGGTTTTAACGGGGAACCAAATAATTTAATGTTTTTCAAACTTTAAAAATCCATGCAAATTATAACATCAAAATTTTCAACCAGTTTTGGATATGTGCCCATACTTGTACATATGAACACCATCACACTCCTTCAACATCCATCCTTATCCCCACTGAGAATCATGAATACATTTTTTTTTCATTTTTCAAATATATAAAAAATGATGAAATATGCCTGTCCAAACTACATGTCCCCTTTCTGGTCCCTTTCACGCCTCTTCTGATTCATCTTTTTACAATCTACTCCATGATCTCATTCCTTGATGACCAGTGATTTCATCAAGCCCAGTTGGCCTTTACCTTTACATACAGCGAAGCTTATTTCACAGTTCTGAGAAGAGTGTTAGAGACTGTGTCTGTACCAATCTGAAACCCACATCAACAGTTTCTTTTTATATTTCAATGCTTATTGGGCACTTTGTATGAAGTATTGTTGTAGGTTCTATGTAAACAAATATGAGGGAGAACATGAGGCCTGCCCTCAAGGAGTTTATAATCTAGACTTGTTGCCAAGCAACTTTAAAAAGATAACCTTTTTATTTTAGAGCAGTTTTAAAGTTACAGAAAAACTGTGAAGCTAGTACAGAGTGCCAGTATACCCCGTATACCCTCAGTTTCTCCTTTGGTTAACATCTTAGGTTTGTTTGGTGTATAACATTATAGTCAGTTTAAATCATACAGCTTACAGAATTTTGAATTCTGACCTTTTCACTTTACAATGTATCATAAGCATTGTTTCCATTTAAAATGAATATTAATGCTGGCCAGATACTCTAGATATTACCTTTGCCAGCCACCTCATTTTTCAGATGAGGAAACTGAAGCACAGAGAGCTCTTAAGTGTTTTGGTTAAAATCAGAATATGGAATAAAACTGTACTTGCAGGCAGCTGTCCCAGGTCCCTGAATGTCATATGCTGCTGCTTCTCATTTACCAGGGAGAAGATGTGAGGATATAGGGACTGCTACCTCTCCACTCAACCAACCAACATTTACTGGGTACACACTGAGGATCAGTGATTGTGCTGGTGGTGGTGGGGAAACAGCACAGAGCCTGGCCAGTCCCTCTCCTCAAGGAGCTTACATTGTAAATGTCTGGGAGTTGAGATCACAGAATAAAAGGACATTGAGTTACCGTTTTACTTTGGTGAGGTGTCAAGGACAGAGTGTACTGGGGAATGGGAGCGGAATAATTTCAGAGGGTTGGAGTGCTGGGCTGAATAATGGCCCAAAGATGTCCATGTCCTAATCCCTAGAATCCGTGGATATGTTACTTTACATGGCAAAAAGGACCTTGAAGATGTGATTGAGGATCTTCTTGATCTTGGACTATCGAGGCTGGCCCAGTGTAATCACAAGAGTCCTTATAAGGGAAAGAGGGAGGCAGGAGAGTCAGAAGAGATGTGACTGGAGATGCAGCTGGCAGTGTGATGGGATTGTTGGCTGGAGGCCAGGCCAGGGAACAAGAAATGTGGGCAGCCTCTACAACCTGGGAAAGGCAAGACACATATTCTCTGCGAGAGCTTCGAGAAGGAATGCAGCCCTGCCAATGCTTTGATTTTGGTCTGTAAGACCTATTCTGGACCTCAGACCTCCAGAATGATGAGAGAACAAATTTGTGTTGTTTGAAGCCACTAAATTTGTGGTAATTTGTTACAGCAGAAATAGGAAACTAGTGAGCTGGCTCTGTAGAGACTAGTTTTTATGAAAAGAAAGACATGCTATTTAGATATTGTAGTACAGAATGTTAGATTTAAAGGTTCATCTCTGCTCTAATCCAATAGCTTCATTTTTTTAGTTGAAATTAATGATGAAAAAAGTATCTGCCAAACTTTTTCTTATTTAAACTGATTAGATTACTTTTGTTTTGAAACTATATATGTAGCAGCATGATTCATGATAGCCCCAAACTGGAAACAGCCCAAATATCATCAATAATAGAGTAGAAAAAGAAATTGTTATATATTTCTTCAATATTACACAGCAACGAGAATGTATGAACTACAGTTACATGCAGTAATGTTGATGAATCGCTTGAACTCATGTCATTGTTGCTGGAAAGAAACTGGATACAAAAGAGTTAATACCCTATGATTCCATTTACATAAAGTTCCATTTACATACATAAAAATAGGCAAAACTAATCTACGATGTTAAAAGTTACCTTGGACAGGGGTGGGACTGAGTAAGGACTGGGAGAGGGCAGAATGGAGACCTTTGGGACACTGGCAATGTTGTATTTCTTGGTCTGTGCTGGATATATGGGTGAGTTCACTTTGTGAAAATTCATATTAATTGTACAAACTTGTGCATATTATATGGTAATAAAAAAGGTGGCTTAGAATAAAACTGTATGACTGTGTTTGATCTGAATGGTGGTTCTAACAATAGCTTGACCTAAAGAATATGAACTTTTAGAAGGAAAGCAATGAGCAGAATCCCCTGCTGGGTCCTTCCTGGATCCATTGCCCAAAAGGAGAGCCAACAATCCTCCGTGACTTTAGAATATTGAATATACAATTTTGTCCGAAATCCATTTGAAACACTTGCTTTATGTGTTGACTTATTAACCTCTCTGCCTCTGGGACACATTATTTTTCAAGCTGGTGTTTAAAAATATTATTTAATTGTGGGTAAGTAATCTAGGTTGGAAAGGAAGTCTTTCCAAGTTAAGGATAAATAACAGTTGCCTAGTGATGTTTCTGTGGAAGAACAAGGCTTTCTGGTGTGTTTGGAATTGTCTCTACTAAGGGCACTCTTTATTTTAAGCAGGCTTCAAGTGGAAAGCTAAGCGCAAAGCCTAACTAATGACGCCCTTCACACCAACTATTGTGGCAGGATAATTTGTACAAGGCGGATGAATTCATTTATAGAATGCTGAACAATTTATATATTAAAAAGTGTCTAGATTAAGTGATTTATATAATATGTATTTAAATAAAAATATTCAACAGTTTCAATGAAAAATAGAATTTTCTGTGACAAATATATTTTATAAGCTGTGCAGTCCTCACATCATTTTTGATTTCCTGAAAGTAAAAATGTGTAGATAATAGTTGAATAACTTGGAGAAATTCTTGTTCTTCAGCAAACATTAAGGAGAACTTCAATTAAATTTAAGTAAGTTCTCTACCCTTCCAGGCTTGTGCTCTTTGTTTACTGTGTTTTTGAGGCCA
This sequence comes from Homo sapiens, assembly GCF_000001405.40. Classification (NCBI taxonomy): domain Eukaryota; kingdom Metazoa; phylum Chordata; class Mammalia; order Primates; family Hominidae; genus Homo; species Homo sapiens. Next base: position 95,209,476 of record NC_000001.11, read on the forward strand.
CAAGCATGTGAGCACTACAAACATTAACTTATCTTTGCTAAGAAGGATAAGGGCCAACACAGTACTTAGAATTCCCAAAGTACTTATATCAACCAGATTATTTCCTCACAAGGTTCCTTATCACATATAATTCTGACCTCTAGTTTTTCTTTAAGCTTACCTAAGGCTGAAAAAGTTTTGAAGGATTCTTAAAAAGTTTTTTTACAACTTTAAGGGAGCTCAAATTATGAAGTTGGATATTAACTTGACACAGTTTGATTTTTGACAACTTCCTACCAAATAAAATGGATTAAAGTTAGTGCTCAGCTCTGGTAGAGAATATTAAAAACAGCAACAGTGATAACAAACAACAGAAACACCCTGAAAACATAAATAAAAGGAAAATAATATATAAACACTGCAGTGCTATCTGAGTAGCTAGTCAAGAGAAAATATGAATGCTCTTTAGGTCAAAGCTGACAGGATTTTTATATCAACTTAATTAAAGTAATAAAAAAGAATAATTTTATATGCTACTTTATCCATACTAGTACTTAGGTTACAAAATTGGGTGGGAGAAATTTTGGGACAATGATATATTAAAGAACAAATGAACAGAAAAGGAACATATCATGTACTACATAAAATTTTTAAAATTTAGTTTTAAAATATTTTCTTGTTTATGAAGTCTTAGACTGCTTATTAAAATCAGTATTTACTAAAATAATAATACTTAAAATACTTATTTACAACTGTAATGTAAGAGTTTTAAAAATAAGATTGCCTCCTTTCTTCTCTCCTTACTTGTCCTTTCTCTCCATCAGTGATTAAGGTGCAGTGACAGACTTCCAGTGCTTCTCAGTGTGCGTTGAGGATTTTATTCAATGTAGGTTCTCATTCAGTAGGTCTGTGGTTGATCCTGGAAATCTGTGTTTCTAATACACTGCCAGGGGATGCCAATGCTGTTGGACCTTGGACTAGGATTTGAATAGCAAGGATTGGAAATAAGATGTATTAGTCCATTCTCAAACTGCTATAAAGAACTACCTGAGACCAAGTAATTTATGAAGAAAAGAGGTTTGATTGACTCACAGTTCCACAGGCTGTACAGGAAGCATGGCTAGGAGGCCTCAGGTGACTTACAATCATGGCGGAAGGCAAAGGGGAAGCTGGCACATCTTACCATGGAGGATCAGGAGAGAGAGAGAGTGAGGGGCGAACTGCCACACACTTTTTTTTTTTTAAATTATACTTTAAGTTCTGGGGTACATGTGCACAACGTGCAGGTTTGTTACATAGGTATACATGTGCCATGTTGCTTTGCTGCACCCATCAACTTGTCGTTTACATTAGGTATTTCTCCCAATGCTATCCCTCCCCCAGCCCCCCACCCCTGACAGGCCCCAATGTGTGATGTTCCCCTCCCTGAGTCCATGTGTTCTCATTGTTCAACTCCCTCTTATGAGTGAGAACATGTGGTGTTTGGTTTTCTGTCCTGTGATAATTCGCTGAGAATGGTGGTTTCCAGCTTCATCCATGTCCCTGCAAAGGACATGAACTCATCCTTTTTTTAGGCTGCATAGTATTCCATGGTGTATATGTGCCACATTTTCTTAATCCAGTCTATTATTGATGGACATTTGGGTTGGTTCCAAGTCTTTGCTATTGTGAATAGTGCCGCAGTAAACATACGTGTGCATGTGTCTTTATAGCAGCATGATTTATAATCCTTTGGATATATACCCAGTAATGGGATTGCTGGGTCAAATGGCATTTCTAGTTCTAGATCCTTGAGGAATGACCACACTGTCTTCCACAATGGTTGAACTAATTTACACTCCCACCAATGTGTAAAAGTGTTCCTATTTCTCCACATCCTCTCCAGCACCTGTTGTTTCCTGACTTTTTAATGATCTCCATTCTAACTGGCATGAGATGATATCTCACTGTGGTTTTGATTTGCATTTCTCTAATGACCAGTGATGATGAGCATTTTTTCATATGTCTGTTGGCTGCACAAATGTCTTCTTTTGAGAAGTGTCTGTTCCTATCTTTTGCCCACTTTTTGATGGGGTTGTTTGATCTTTTCTTGTAAATTTGTTTAAGTTCTTTGTAGATTCTGGATATTAGCCCTTTGTCAGATGGGTAGATTGCAAAAATTTTATCCCATTCTGTAGGTTGTCTGTTCACTCTGCTGATAGTTTTTTTTTTGCTGTGCAAAAGCTCTTTAGTTTAATTAGATCCCATTTGTCTCTTTTGGCTTTTGTTGCCATTGCTTTTAGTGTTTTAGTCATGAAGTCTTTGCCCATGCCTATGTCCTGAATGGTATTGCCTAGGTTTTCTTCTAGGGTTTTTATGATTTTGGGTCTTATATTTAAGTCTTTAATACATCTTGAATTAATTTTTGTATAAGGTGTAAGGAAGGGATCCACTTTCAGCTTTCTACATGTGGCTAGCCAGTTTTCCCAGCACTGTTTATAAAATAGGGAATCCTTTCCCCATTGCTTGTTTTTGTCAGGTTTGTCAAAGATCAGATGATTTTAGATGTGTGGTGTTATTTCTGAGGCCTTTGTTCTGTTCCATTGGCCTATATCTCTGTTTTGGTACCAGTACCATGCTGTTTTGGTTACTGTAGACTTGTAGTATAGTTTGAAGTCAGGTAGTGTGATGCCTCCAGCTTTGTTCTTTTGGTTTAGGATTGTCTTGGCTATGCAGGCTCTTTTTTGGTTCCATATAAACTTTAAAGTAGTTTTTTCCAGTTCTGTGAAGAAAGTCAGTGGTAGCTTGATGGGGATAGCTTTGAATCTATAAACTACTTTGGGTAGTATGGCATTTTCACAATATTGATTCTTCCTATCCATGAGCATGGAATGTTCTTCCATTTGTTTGTGTCCTCTTTTACTTCATTGAGTAGTGGTTTGTAGTTCTCCTTGAAGAGGTCCTTCACATCCCTTGTAAGTTGGATTCCTAGGTATTTTATTCTCTTTGTAGCAATTGTGAATGGAGTTCACTCATGATTTGGCTCTCTGTTTGTCTGTTATTGGTGTATAGGGATGCTTGTGATTTTTGCACATTGATTTTGTATCCTGAGACTTTGCTGAAGTTGCTTATCAGCTTAAGGAGATTTTGGGCTGGGACGATGGGGTTTTCTAAATATACAATCATGTCATCTGCAAATAGGGACAATTTGACTTCCTCTTTTCCTAATTGAATATGCTTTATTTCTTTCTCTTGCCTGATTGCCCTGGCCAGAACTTCCAATACTATGTTGAATAGGAGTGGTGAGAGAGGGCATCCTTGTCTTGTGCCAGTTTTCAAAGGGAATGCGTCCAGTTTTTGCCCATTCAGTATGACATTGGCTGTGGGTTTGTCATAAATAGCTCTTATTATTTTGAGATACATTCCATCAATACTTAGTTTATTGAGAGTTTTTAGCATGAAGCGCTGCTGAATTTTGTCGAAGGCCTTTTCTGCATCTATTGAGAGAGTCATGTGGTTTTTGTCTTTGATTCTGTTTATGTGATGGATTACGTTTATTGATTTGCATATGTTGAACCAGCCTTGCATCCCAGGGATGAAGCCGACTTGATTGTGGTGGATAAGCTTTTTGATGTGCTGCTGGATTCGGTTTGCCAGTATTTTATTGAGGATTTTCACATCGATGTTCATTAGGGATATTGGCCTAAAATTCTCTTTTTTTGTTGTGTCTCTGCCAGGATTTGGTATCAGGATGATGCTGGCCTCATAAAATGAGTTAGAGAGGATTCCCTCTTTTTCTGTTGATTGGAATAGTTTCAGAAGGAATGGTATCAGCTACTCTTTGTACCTCTGGTAGAATTTGGCTGTGAATCTTTCTGGTCCTGGACTTTTTTTGGTTGGTAGGCTATTAATTATTGCCTTAATTTCAGAACCTGTTATTGGTGTATTCAGAGATTTGACTTCTTCCTAGTTTAGTCTTGGGAGGGTGTATGTGTCCAGGAATTTATCCATTTCTTCTAGATTTTCTAGTTTATTTGCATAGAGGTGTTTATAGTATTCTCTGATGGTAGTTTGTATTTCTGTGGGATCAGTAGTGATATCCCCTTTATCATTGTTTATTGCATCTATTGGATTCTTCTCTCTTTTCTTCTTTATTAGTCTTGCTAGCGGTCTATGAATTTTGTTGATCTTTTCAGAAAACCAGCTCCTGGATTCATTGATTTTTGAAGGTTTTTTTGTGTCTCTATCTCCTTCAGTTCTTCTCTGATCTTAATTATTTCTTGCCTTCTGCTAGCTTTTGAATGTGTTTGCTCTTGCTTCTCTAGTTCTTTTAATTGTGATGTTAGGGTGTCAATTTTAGATCTTTCCTGCTTTCTCTTGTGGGCATTTAGTGCAATAAATTTCCCTCTACACCCTGCTTTAAATGTGTCCCAGAGATTCTGGTATGTTGTGTCTTTGTTCTCATTGGTTTCAAAGAACATCTTTATTTCTGCCTTCATTTTGTTATGTACCTAGTAGTCATTCAGGAGCAGGTTGTACAGTTTGCATGTAGTTGAGCAGTTTTGTGTGAGTTTCCTAATCCTGAGTTCTAGTTTGATTGCACTGTGGTCTGAGAGACAGTTTGTTATAATTTCTGTTCTTTTACATTTGCTGAGGAGTGCTTTACTTCCAACTGTGTGGTCAGTTTTGGAACAGTGCGATGTGGTGCTGAGAAGAATGTATATTCTGTTGATTTGGGGTGGAGAGTTCTGTAGATGTCTATTAGGTCTGCTTGGTGTAGAGCTGAGTTCAGTTCCTGGATATCCTTGTTAACTTTCTGTCTCGTTGATCTGTCTAATGTTGACAGTGGGGTGTTAAAAGTCTCCCGTTATTATTGTGTGGGAGTCTTAAGTCTCTTTGTAGGTCTCTAAGGACTTGCTTTATGAATCTGGGTGCTCCTGTATTGGGTGCATATATATTTAGGATAGTTAGCTCTTCTTGTTGAATTGATTGCTTTACCATTATGTAATGTCCTTCTTTGTCTCTTTTGATCTTTATTGGTTTAAAGTCTATTTTATCAGAGACTAGGATTGCAACCCCTGCTTTTTTTTGCTTTCCATTTGCTGGTAGATCTTCCTCCTTTTCTTTATTTTGAGTGTAGGTGTGTCTTTGCATGTGAGATGGGTTTCCTGAATACAGCACACTGATGGGACTTGACTCTTTATCCAATTTGCCAGTCTGTGTCTTTTAATTGGCTCATTTAGCACATGTATATTTAAGGTTAATATTGTTATGTGTGAATTTGATCCTGCCATTATGATGTTAGCTGGTTATTTTGTCCGCTAATTAATACAGTTTCTTCATAACAATGATGGTCTTTACAATTTGGCATATTTTTGCAGTGGTTAGTACTGGTTGTTCCTTTCCATGTTTAGTGCTTCCTTCAGGAGCTCTTGTAAGGCAGGCGTGGTGGTGACAGAATCTCTCAGCATTTGCTTGTCTGTAAAGGACTTTATTTCTCCTTCACTTATGAAGCTTAGTTTGGCTGGATATGAAATTCTGGGTTGAATATTCTTTTCTTTAAGAATATTGAATATTGACCCCCACTCTGTTCTGGCTTGTAGGGTTTCTGCTGAGAAATCTGCTGTTAGTCTGATGGGCTTCCCTTTGTGGGTAACCTGACCTTTCTCTCTGGCTGCCCTTAACATTTTTTCCTTCATTTCCACCTCGGTGAATCTGATGATTATGTGTCTTGGGGTTGCTCTTCTCAAGGAATATCTTTGTGGTGTTCTCTGTATTTCCTAAATTTGAATGTTGGCCTGCCTTGCTAGGTTGGGAAAGTTCTCCTGGATAATATCCCAAAGAGTGTTTTCTAACTTGGTTCCATTCTCCCCATCACTTTCAGGTATACCAGTCAAACGTAGACTTGTCTTTTCACACAGTCCCATATTTCTTGGAGACTTTGTTGGTTTATTTTCACTCTTTTTTCTCTAGTCTTGTCTTCTTGCTTTATTTCATTAATTTGATCTTCAATCACTGATATCCTTTCCTCCGCTTGATCAAATCGGCTATTGAAGCTTGTGTATGCTTCATGAACTTCTCGTGTTGTGTTTTTCAGCTCCATCAGGTCATTTATGTTCTTCTCTACACTGGTTGTTCTAGTTAGCCATTCCTCTAATCTTTTTTTCAAGGTTTTTATCTTCCTTCAATGGCTTAGAACATGCTCCTTTAGCTCGGAGAAGTTTGTTATTATCCACCTTCTGAAGCCTACTTCTTTCACCTCATCAAACTCATTCTCCCTCCAGTTTTGTTCCCTTGCTGGCGAGGAGTTGTGATTCTTTGGAGGAGAACAGGCATTCTGGTTTTTGGAATTTTCAGCCTTTCTGCTCTGGTTTCTCCCCATCTTTGTGGTTTTATCTACCTTTGGTCTTTGATGTTGGTGACCTATGGATGGGGTTTTGGTGTGGATGTCCTTTTTGTTGATGCTGATGCTTCTTCTGTTTGTTAGTTTTCCTTCTAACAGTCAGGCCCCTCAGCTGCAGGTCTGTTGGAGTTTGCTGGAGGTCCACTCCAGACCCTGTTTGCCTGGGTATCACCAGCGGAGGCTGCAGAACAGCAAATATTGCAGAATGGCAAATGTTTCTGCCTGATCCTTCCTCTGGAAGCTTCATCTCAGAGGGGCACCCACCAGATGCCAGCCAGAGCTCTATTGTATGAGGTGTCTGTCGGCCCCTACTGGGAGGTGTCTCCCAGTAAGGCTACCCGGGGGTCAGGGACCCACTTGAGGAGGCAGTCTGTCTGTTATCAGAGCTTGAACACCATGCTGGGAGAACCACTGCTGTCTTCAGCGCTGTCAGTCAGGGACGTTTAAGTCTGGAGAAGCTGTGCCCACCACTGCCCCTTCCCCCAGGTGCTCTGTCCCAGGGGGATGGGGGTTTTACGTATAAGTCCCTGAGTGGGGCAGCTGCCTTTTGTTCAGATATGCCCTGCCTACAGAGGTGGAACCTAAAGAGGCAGTCTGCCTTGCTGAACTGCGGTGGGCTCCACCCAGTTCGAGCTTCCTGGCAGCTCTGTTTACACTGTGAGCATAGAAGCTGCCTACTCACACCTCACCATGGCAGACGCCCCTCCGCCTGCCAAGCTCCAGCATCCCAGGTTGATCTCAGACTGCTGCACTAGCAGCGAGAATTTCAAGCCAATGAATCTTTGCTTGCTGGGCTCGGTGGGCATGGGGCCCACTGAGCCAGGCACTGGAGGGAATCTTCTGGTCTGCTGGTTGCGAAGACTGTGGGAAAAGTGCTGTATTTGGGCAGGAGTGTACTGTTCCTCCCACTACAGTGTCTCTCACGGCTTCCCTTGGCTAGGTAAGGGAAATCCCCTGACCCCTTGCGCTTCCTGGGTGAGGCGGCGCCCAGCCCTGCTTCGGCTTGCCTTCTGTGGGTTGCACCCACTGTCCAACCAGTCTCAATGAGATGAACCAGGTACCTCAGTTGGAAATGCAGAAATCACCCATCTTCTGTGTCAGTCTCACTGGGAGCTGCAGACCAGAGCTGTTCCTGTTCGGCTATCTTGGAAGAGTCCTCCTGCCACAGACTTTTAAACCATCAGATATTGTGAGAAGTTACTATCATGAGAACGGCATGGGGGAAATCTGCCCCCGTGATCCAATTACCTTCCACCAGGTGCCTCCCCTGACACATGGGGATTACAATTCCACATGAGATTTGGGTGGGGACATAGAGCCAAACCATATCAGAAGAGTTCCTCCTCAAAGAGTTCATAGTCTACTTGCAGCCACTTCCACTCTCCACTTGAATTCAAAAAGTTTCAGTTGATTTTTCAGATGACATGTACAACCAGATGCCAAGCTGGAGTTTCTCCCTTCTTTTAAGATCTAGACAGAATTGGATAGAAACACAACCCTAGTTTGATAGCCTATAAAAATCCAGACTTTCCCACAGTTTATTGAGAGAACCCAGAGGTAAAACTTGGTCCTTCTCTAATTTTCACAGAAAACCACCTGCACAGAGATGCTGTCTATATCTATTTGTAGACTTACTGTTGTAAACGAAGATAAAGGAAGAGATGATGTAAACAGGGCAAACCCCTCTGAAAGGAACTGTGGGCTCTTGCTTCCACAGATTAGCTCAGTATCTTGATCTTCTCACTGTCTGCAGTGCTGTATCCATCCTGCAGTACACACTGTAATTGCCATCCATAAGCTCAGGCTTCCCAAATGTGTGCAAGAGAGCAGCACCTGAGCTACATCTAATCAGATCCCTATTTGAACTCTCTTTTAAAACAAGTAAGGCAAAATCTTCCTTCTGTCTGGAGAAATCTCTTGTTTAGTGTAAATGTTTAATAGGTAATCATATAAGTAACATTAAAAAACATGCTGAAATGATTAGACAGGATAATAGACAACATAAAGCAATGTTTAATTACTTGGTAAGTACTGGCTGTGTGCCAATGTAGAGATCAACTATCAGGTGTGTGTATGTGTGACTTCCTCCCATTCTTTACATTACTTAAAGTCACTGAATCACATAAGCAATAATATAAATGTGTTTAGTATTTTACTTATATATAAGACAAAAATTGCCAATGCTGTCTAGCCAAAGACCACCAGGAACACACTTGTTATTGAACAAGTTGGATCTATTACTCTGGCAGTAAGGAAGAAGGCATTCCATGGGGAACATCCTCTTATGCTGGCTGCCACTCACCCTACATTTGCATAACTTAGAAGTTTATTCATATAACCCTTCTGAACAAGAAGCTCAAGTTCTATCACCTTTTAAAAGGCAAAAATAAAAAATGGTGAAAGGTGAGTATCTTGCTATATTAGTAAACGAGAAGGAGAGATAAAAGGAGAACCAAGGAGACTGTGGTAAGGAAACTGGAAGTTTTAAAGTAGTGAGTGATCAGTACTTTCAATCTTCCTCAGGTTAAGTAAGATGAAGACTGAGGAGAATCCACTGGATTTGGACTTTGAGTCACTGTTGGGTAGACACATGACTGCAGTGGTTTGAAGAGTGAGTGAGAGGTGAAGTAGAGGCTGCACTTGGCCCTCAGTATCCATACACTGTGCATCCATGTATTCAACCAACCTCAGATTGAAAATATTTTAAAAAATGTGCCTATATTGAACATGTATAGCTTTTTTTTCTTTCATTATACCCTAACCAATGCAGTATAACAACTATTTACAGAGCATTTACATTGTATTAGGCATTATAAGTAATCTAGAATGATTTAAAGTATATTGGAGGATGTGCATGGGTTATATGCAAATACTATGCCATTTTATATCAGGAATTTGAGCACCCTTGGAGTTTGGTATCACAGGAAGGTCTTGGAACCAGTCTTCCAGGGATAGGGAGGGACAGCTGTCCTTGTCTTGCAGGAACCTTGGCCATGAAAGGATACTGTGAGGGGATACTGTGTGTGTGTGTGTGTGTGTGTGTTGGGGAGCTTTGGGGGAGGGTGGAGGGTGGGGAGTGACGATGTTGTAGGTAGGCTTCCTCAGAAGAAAGTGTGGCTTTGAGGATTTCCAGCCTCACTTTTATTATCTGTCTCTTTAGGAATTTTAAGTTAACCAAGGGACTGGTATATCATGATCAACCATTGAAATGCCAAAATGCTAAGTGAATTATTTTAAAAATAAACCCTTCATATGTCAAAACAATTTTAGATTTACAGAAAAGTTGCAGTCAGTACAGACAATTCTAATACAACTTGCACCCAACTTCTCCTCCTGTTAACATTAATATGATACATTTGTTATAATGAATCAATATTTATACATTATTATTAACTAAAATCTATACTGTATTCAGATTTTCTTAGTTTTTACCTAATATCCTTTCCTTATTACAGGATCCCATCCAGGATACATAACATTTAGTTATGTTTAAAAAAAAAAAGTAACTGGGAAGCCATTAGGCTGAGAGGGCTCTGGGAAGCCATTAGGCTGAGAGGGATCTGTGTTCTGGGTTTCTACGTAAGCAAACCTTGCAACCCAACTCAAAGTAACTTTACTCATCAGAAACTGCCAACTAGAGACTTTAAGGATACTGTCTCACTTTAACCAGTCAAACATTTTCTTTGTGTTGCTTCTGTGAACACTTCATAAAAGCGTTCCCCTCATATCCCCTCTATGGAGCCCAAACCACACGTGGTTTGGTGCTGCCTGATTCATGAATTGCTGACTGCTCAGATAAACTCTAAAAGTTTCATTTGCCAAAGTTTATCTTTTCATGGTCTCATCTTGACTGTGACAGTTTCTCTGATTTTTCCTGTTTTTGATGACCTTGATAGCTTGGAGTACTGGTCAGGTACTTTGTAGAATGTACCTCAACTGGAATTTGTCTGACGCTTTTCTCACTATGAAACTGGGGTTGTGGGTTTGGGCGAGGAAGACCACAGAAGTAAAGTATCACTTTAATCCCCTCACATCAAGGGTACAGACTGCCGACATTACTTACTGCTGTTGATGTTGACCTTGATCACATGGCCAACATAGTGTTTGTCAGGTTTCTCCACTGTGAAGTTACTCTCCCTTCCCCACTCTCCTTTTGTACCATCCTCACTGATGGAAGTCACCATGTGAAGCCTGTACTCAAGGAGTGGGCATTTGTACTCCACCTCCTTGAGGGTGAGGTTCTACATAAATTATTTGGAATTTTTATGCATCAGAGTTTTGTCTCATCTCCCCAGGATAAATGGATTTTAATCCTTAAAAAGACTGAATGATGGCTGGGTATGGTGGCTCATGCCTGTAACCCCAGCACTTTGGGAAGCTGAGGTGGGCAGATCATGAGGTCAGGAGATTGAGACCATCCTGGTGAACACAGTGAAACCCTGTCTCTACTAACAATACAAAATGTTAGCTGGGCATGGTGGCGCGCACCTGTAGTCCCAGCTACTTGGGAGGCTGAGGCAGGAGAATCGCTTGAGCCCGGGAGGCAGAGGTTGCAGTGAGCCAAGATCACACCACTGCACTCCAGCCTGGGTGACAGAGTGAGACTCCATCTCAAAAAAAAAAAAAAAAAGACTGAATGACTTCATGCCTTGCTTACTAAGATTAAACTCACAGGATAAATTTTATCCAGGAAGCTAGCTATTTGGTTCATTTTTTTCAATACAGATTAACATGCTGATGGTAGCAGAAGTTGAGAGCAGTGAAGAAGAGCCTCACGAAAATAATATTCAGTGTGTCTTATTCACATATTTCTTTGCACAGTCATTAACATTTCCACAGGCCAAGTAAAAAGTCATATAGTGGAAACTACTTGTAACTGAGTGATTTGAATAACACAATGCTGAAGTACTGGATCAACATTTTATTTTAATTTTTTTAATATTTATTTTTTGAAACAGGGTCTTGCTCTGTCAGCCAAGCTGGAGTGCAGTGGTATGATTACAGTTCACTGTAGTCTCGACCTTCTGGGCTCAAGTCATTCTCGCACCTCAGCCTCTTGAATAGCTGGGACCACAGGTATATATGTATTTTTAATTTTTTTTTTTTTTTGTAGAGACAAGGTCTTGCTATGTTGCTCAGGCTGGTCTTGAACTCCTGGGCTCAAGTGATGCTCCTGCATCAGTCTCCCAAAATGCTGGGATTATAGGCATGAGCCACTGCACCTGGCCTAATTGTCACTTTTATTTTCTGACTTCTGAGTAGGTAGCATAGCGTAAAAAATTAGAGTTTCTTGTCTGTATAATTAGCATTGGGAATGGAAGAGAAACCGCAGAAGAAAGCAAACTGGTTGTGCTGGTCAGCCATAGTTCACCTAAGTTCTACCACTTACTAGTTGTATGACCTAGGGAAAATTACTTGACCTCTGTAAGCCTCAATGTTCTCACCCATAAATTGAGAAAAGTAATAATACCTACATAACATAATTTTGGGGGACTAAATGAGATAATATACTTTTAAGTGTATTTGTAAACTCTAAAGTTGCACTGGTTGCTCAAGCTGACACTCAATTGCTGGGGCTGACACTCAGCCAGGGTGCACTGCACCCGCCAGCAGAGATGTTTATACCTAGTGTTTGTTAGATTGGCCAGGCCTCAAGCTGCATTCGCTGTTAAATATTGCGAATATCACCACTGCTAGCGACTGGGGAACCATACTGAGTCAGCTTCCTCCTGGCAGTCACAGCCATTTACGTACTGTTGGAACTAGCACCATAGCTGGGCCTCACTACATGTGGATGATTAAGATTCCCTGATGTCTGGGGACACGAGTGTGGGCAGCCAAAGATTTACCTTGATGGATTTTGAAACACAAACTTTCCTCTTGCAGAAGGCGTACTGGCTATCCTTGGGTCAGCATGTAATGTTGGTATATTCCTTCACAGAGTATACACAGACAGGCAGACAGACATTCCTGTATTCATTCTGTGGACGCCCATCTGCTGGTGCAAACAATTAAAACAGTGGATATAGTTTTGTTCCTTTCCTTGCTTTCCCTTTCTTAAAATGTTACCCAAAGTAATGAACACATGACGGAAATCATACTCCTGAATAATTGCTTAAGTATAAGTAGGTTAGGCATCAATACAAAGCTATCGAAAATTCCAAGCCATATTTATTACTGACTTTGGAGATGGTTCTTTCAGTGAATCATATGACACCATTAAATATAAAAATATATTGAGTCGCATCCCCTCAAATACATTATAACTTTAATGCTCTTTATTGAATCAATTCTACTTTTATTGGAAAAAAATGATTTGTGCTTTTGAGAGAAACAGTAATATAATAATTTCCAAGTTGCATCCTATGCTTTGTTTTTCCAAGTCAATATTTTGGCTAAGGAGTTTAGTTTTTGATTCGTAAAATTGTATCAGCTGGCTAAGATTGAGTACACAAACTTTTTTTGTAATTGCAAGTTACTTATTAAGGTGGGCTTTTAAAAGGTCATTATTTTGGTGACAAAAGCAATCACCCATTTGATTTTGGTAATAAAAGTTAAAATCAAGCTAGGTGCCGTGGCTCACACCTGTAATCCCAGCACTTTGGGAGGCCAAGGCAGGTGGATCACTTGAGGCCAGGAATACGAGGCCAGCCTGGCCAACATGGCGAAACCCTGTCTCTACAAAAAACACAAAAATTAGTTGGGCATGGTGGTGTACTCCTGTAATCCCAGCTACTCAGGTGGCTGAGAGATGAGACTCGCTTGAACCCGGAAGTCTAAGGTTGCAGTGAGCCTAGATTGTGCCACTGCACTCCAGCCTGGGCAACAGAACAAGACTCTGTCTCAAAAAAATAAATAAATAAATAAAATCAATAGTCCATAAGGAAAAACAAGAACATTTCCGTTTCCTTCTCATTGTCTAGCTTTGAAGACCTGACTTCAACTGCAGGGAGAATGGAACTCTCTGTACTGTTTCAGAACTTAGTGATTTTTCCTTTCCCCAGTCACAAGTCTTATAGTATAAAAACTACCATGAGGTAGTTCGTGGAGATAAGGTTTATAACATCAGTTTATTCTTTTATTTCACCCATAGGTATTTCATAGTTCTTAGAAATTCTCACTACTGAGCAAAATGATATTGTCTTCACTTAACTTTGTTAAGCATATCACTTGATAATACTGAATTTGAATTCTATTAAGAAGAAAATACATATGATCAAAGAAGCTGGGAGTGAAATGGGCCATGAAATCCACTGGATATACTCACATGTAACCCATGCAATGTCTGGATGACTTTAATCTGTGCAAGAGTAAATAATTCAAAAACCAGAAAGGTTCTCAGAAATCATGGTGTAATTTGCATCTTTTTACAGTGGAGGAAACTGAGTTCCATCAAAGTTAAGCAACTTGCACTAAAACAGAGCTGCTGAGGAAAACTGAGCTGACTCATGGTCTGAGTTCTTTGTGCTTATTTTACTGCTTCTTACCCAGTGCTGATTAGGGCATAGTTTAATCCTACAGAGAATCAGTGCTTCCAGAGCCACAGACTTGTAACTGAAACAGCCAGCTTCATTCATTGCACTTTTAAAGAAGTGAGACAGCAGGGCTCAAATCTGGCTGTTAGAGGTGTGTGAAAAGTAATACTTTATTATTACTAGTAAAATGTATAAATGTATTAAAACTGTGAATGATTACAATGGTATGCTTTTGGTTGCAAGGAATAAAATCCCAAATAGAACTAGCTAAGGCAAAAAAAGAGGATGCTTTGATATTAGGATTCTAATAAAAAGCATAATTGAAGAAAGAGCTGCACCACCAAATCAAGGATAAAGCTGGCTTTGAGAACAACCTGAACAGTGACTGAATGTTGCTGGGATTCTCATTCTCTCTATCTCTTTCTAGCTCTCAGCACCTTCTTTAAGCTTTTACTTTGAACTCCTAGGGATGTTGGGAGTGGGGTGAGGGTAGTTACTGTACAGAAATTGAGAGCTTTTGGCGGGGGGGGGGGGGTCACTCAAAACTAGGTTCAAATTCTGCTTTGCAATTTTACCTTGGACATGTTATTTAATGTCTCTGAAGGAATAAAAGTTCAATAATAACTGCCTTTCAGGGTTTTTGAGAAGAATAACATGCAATAATGTACATAATACAATTAGCATAACTGTTGGCCTATAGTAGCTACTCAATAAATGGTAGTTATTGTTATACATTTAAGATATTATTTGATTATAGGTCTTTCGTCCCTACTCTTCCACCATAACCCTGGCTGAAAAACCAACAGACACAAAGCCAACTGACAAAGATCAGTTTTCATAGAACCTAAGATGCCATCAATTGTGAGATGGACCACTATTTTATGTAGCTCTGCAAAAGAAAATAGCTGCCAATTATACTCTGGGTTATTTACCATTTGAAATTTTTATTTTATACTTCTTAAAAAGCTCTTTTAGATTTAGTTAGATGTATATGATCAAATATCACTATTATTCATACATAGAAAGGAACATATCAGTCAAAACTTGGCTAAAGTATTCCCAAAACTTGTTAACATTCTGTCTGTGAACCACATTTCAACTCAGAGGCATTGGTGTCTGTATTCTTCCATATGTATTATCCTTTGTTTCTTTGATAGCATTGGTGAAACTGCATTTCTTAAGAAACAAACAAACAATCCCCCCCAAAACTCCACTAGTACCTCCAGGACTTCTTTCCAAGATGTTAATAGTCATTCTGCCATTCTATAAGATTTCATGATCTCAGAAATCAAGTCATCAAGGAAATGACAAAATAATGCATGTACAAGCCATCTTGTCTGCTGCCTGGCTAATGCCAAGGCGAGATGCCATTGATGTTTTGGAGCTTCTTGATTTCAGAGACGTTAAAATATATATAAAAAATGCATCTAAAAAGTGATATACAGTCTGGGCATGGTAGCTCACACCTGTAATCCCAGCACTTTGGGATGCTGAGGCAGAAGGATCATTTGAGGCCAGGAGTTTGAGAACAGCCTGGACAACACAGCAAGACCCTGTTTCTACAAATAATAATAATAAAATAAAAAGTGATACATAAAGAATACTAGACTGCCCATATCACTACAGGTACCTCACTTTGTCAAAAATAAATATAATTGGCCGGGCGCGGTGGCTCACGCCTGTAATCCCAGCACTTTGGGAGGCCGAGGCGGGCGGATCACGAGGTCAGGAGATCGAGACCATCCCGGCTAAAAAACGGTGAAACCCCGTCTCTACTAAAAATACAAAAAATTAGCCGGGCGTAGTGGCGGGCGCCTGTAGTCCCAGCTACTCGGGAGGCTGAGGCAGGAGAATGGCGTGAACCCGGGAGGCGGAGCTTGCAGTGAGCCGAGATCCCGCCACTGCACTCCAGCCTGGGCGACAGAGCGAGACTCCGTCTCAAAAAAAAAAAAAAAAATAAATAAATAAATATAATTATAAAATTATTTGAAATAGCGAGTTTGTTTAATGCATTAAAAATTATTTGAATAATTGCTGGCTGCAGTGGCTCCTGTCTGTAATCCTAGCACTTTGGAAGGCTGATGTGAGTGGATCACTTGAGGTCAGGAGTTCAAGACCAGCCTGGCCAACATGGTGAAACCCTGTCTCTACTAAAAATACAAAAAAATTAGGCAGGCATCGTGGCTCATGCCTGTAGTCCCAGCTACTCAGGAGGCTAAGGCAAGAGAATCACTTGAACCCAGGAGGTGGAGGTTGCAGTGAGCTGAGATTGTGCCACTGCACTCCAGCCTTGGTGACAGCAAGACTTGGTCTCAAAAAAAAAAAATAAAAAATTTGAGTAACTACTCAGTCTGTGTAAAATGAGGTGTATTTGAATCAATCATTTTTTTTTCTTTTGGTTAATATTAACAGACAATGGTAGGCTGAGCTTTTAGGCTAAAAACAATTTTCCCTAAGTGAAGATTTGGTTTTCTTCAGTTCTATTAGCATTTCATTCACAGAGACAGATTGGTGCCATTTGAAGACACTTGAAACCTGTATTTTTTCTTGCCAAGATTTGTTGTTATAACATAAAAATCAAGCAGTAGCAAAGCTTACATGTTTTTTAAAAGAATAAATTCCCTTCAATTTTTAAGCTGAGAGCATATTCAGCTCAAATTCAGAAAAAAACAGGAATCTTATGAAAATATTATGAACTTGCTTACCTGTCTGTTTTCCCCCAATACTTCTAAAAATTGAGATGTACATAAAATAAAATGCACAGCTCTTAAAGATACAGTTAAATGGCTTAAACTCATGTAACTACTACCCCAATTAAGAAACAGAACATTTTAATCAACAATAAAAAGTTCCCTTGGGTCCCTCTCCAGTGAATCCCCTGCCCCCTTCAACATAATCTGATCTGTTAATTTAAGCCATGGTCAACAACATATTGAAGTATCAGAAAAATAAAAGGAGAAGCATCAGAAAAATAAAAAAAGAAAAGAAAAAGAAGCTTCTTAAGAGATCATGACTTACAGACTAAGATATCTAAGTGCCTCTTCTTAATTTTAATTACTGTGGTTATATTGTTATACATCACTTGCCTTGAGTGACTTATTTTAAAAATAATTAGTAGTAACTTGTATAGTAACAGAACATTATACCCTACTCACTTATTCAGGTGGAAATAGGATAGATTTCTAGCTAGCCTGGATCAGGTACCATGGGGTATCTCATTACAGTTTGGGACATAAACACTATATAGATTTACCTACCACATGACTTCCAGACTCAACCCAGTAATGTCAAAACTTTATATTGCATAGTAGCTTTAAATTACTTTAAAAGCCATTTTTATTTGCGCATAATACAATCAAGTGAAGTGGTAACTGTGAGCAACTGTTAGTCAAATGTGAAAAGTTACTGTAAAGGTGACATGCACTCCTCTTTTCAGCTCCCCGTATGAAGCTGTGGGGCTTCGTTAGGATTAATCCATTGTTGCATTTGCCCATTTGTATTTTCTTCACTACTCTCAATGTGAATCAAGTAAAGACATCAGTATTAATCTGCCTGCTTAACACTGATGTGTGTCAACATGTTCAAGGTATGATAAAATCTGGTAGAAATCAGAGTGGAGGTAATAAGAAAAGTGAACCATAACCTATTTACTTATACACTATAACCATGCATTAATTCATTCTTGACTCATTCCACAAATATTGAATGCCTTTTATATGCCAGGCCCTGTGCTAAAAGTTGGAGATACAACCAAAGATGACATAGAAATGCACCCTCATCTCATGAAAATCATAATCTACTGGGATTATAGACATATAAGCAAATACAGTTCCCTACGATAAGTGATGGGGAAGTATAGGATGAGTGGAATTCAGACCTGAAGAATGAATAAGAGTTCACCAGAGGGAGAAGTAAGGAATTATCTTAGGAAAAAGGGGAAAGAGGTAATGACAAAGTATGTGGTAATATGATCCCAAGAGTAGAAGCTCTGGCTGTGTTTCATCTGGAAGTATAATGTTCATTTTGAAACTAATGAAGCTATCAGTGAAAAAATGTCTGGCTAATTAATGTTTTGAACAGCAATGAGAATCACGTAAATAGACAAGGATTTTACCTAAAACAACAAATGACAAAGTATTATAGCCTAGCCTTTTATTCTTAGATAGCTTTTATATCACTAAGGCAGAGAGATAGAAACACACACAGAGAGACGTAGAGAGAGAGAGAGAGAGAGGGGCAGTCAGACAGACAGAAACAAAAGCCAATGTGGTATTAGCAGGTGGCAATTGTGCTACAAGGGAGATTTTTTCTATTGACTTTTTTTCCCCACTAAAAACAGAAGGAAATAATGTTAAAAAGTGAAAAACAACAGGGAAATGCAGAAACACTCCCACAAAGGGGTTATTGTTTTGATCCAGATTGTGTTAGAAACACGAGCAAAATAGTGCTTCTTTGTTTCATTGCCAGGAAGTACATCACCGTCATTGTGAAATTCTTGAGATTCAGACCGGCAATCATCTACTCCCATGATTTCAACAGGCTGCAGATGACCACATGTATGATTTTTTTTTTTTTTTTTTTTTTGAGACGGAGTCTCGCTCTGTCGCCCCAGGCTGGAGTGCAGTGGCGCGATCTAGGCACACTGCAAGCTCCGCCTCTCGGGTTCACGCCATTCTCCTGCCTCAGCCTCCCAAGTAGCTGGGACTACAGGCGCCCACCACCACGCCCGGCTAATGTTTTTGTTTTTTTAGTAGAGACGGGGTTTCACCGTGTTAGCCAGGATGGTCTCGATCTCCTGACCTCGTGATCCTCCCGTCTCGGCCTCCCAAAGTGCTGGGATTACAGCAATCACTCGATGGCGTGAGCCATCGCGCCCGGCCATGTATGATCTTTTAAGACCTGTCTCTCCCACTATACTACAACTTCTAAGAGATCCTGTTGCAAACCAGTTTCCCTGGGACCTGGTGCAATACTTGGCACATAGTAAGGTGCTCAATAAGTGCTTGTTGAAGAATAAAGGCAGAGATCTATCTTTCCAGCCACATTTCCTTAAGCTTTCTTCTTCCCCCGCTTACCCTATGATGGGGAACCTCTATCACAATGGCCAAACCAGGCATCCTAGGCCTTCTCCAATGGTTTTTTACTTCTTTGGCAGGACCTTCATCACTTTATCCCAGGAAATGCTGGTGCCCCTCTGGGATTAGATTCCAAGTGCCTGGAGGGCAGTGACTATGTCTCATTCACTCACAAAAACACCTGAAATTTTACAAAATGACTAGCATATAGTAGGTGCTTGTTAAGTCTAAGTTATTTTATCAAGAATTTATGAACTTTATGATGAGTTTATTTGTATCAATAAATATGTATCGAATTCCTAATCTGCCAGGCACTGTTTAAGGTATGGAAGATACAGAGGTGAACAAGCATGATAAGGCCCCTGGAAGCTTACTGGAACTTTAAATTCTAGTAGAGACAAACTAGATCCCTATCTGTCACCATATACAAAAATCAATTCAAAATAGATTAAAGACTTAAATTTAAGACCAGAAACTATGAAACTACTAGAAGCAAACATAGGGGAAATGGATCAGGACATTGGTCTAGGCAAAGATTTTTTGGGTAAGACCTCAAAAGCAGAGGCAACATAAACAATAGACAAATGGGATTACATCAAACTAAAAAGCCTCTGCACAGCAAAGGAAGCAATCAGCAGAGTGAAGAGGCAACCTACAGAATGGGAAAAAAAATATTTGCAAGCTATCCATCTGACCCAAACTCATCTTAATGAGTACAGGGCCTGTCAGATTAAAACCAACATTTTCAAGCTCCCTTTTAACTGGCAGCAGTCATGGGGACTGAGTCCTAGTCAATGAAATTGGACTGAATCCCATTCTTCTGACTCGTGATCGGAGCTCCAAAAGCCACCCTGAACCACAGCATGACCATGGGAATCAAATCTGTGCAGAGCAGAGCCACAAAATAGATGGAACTTATATCCTGACACCGGGGAGCACCAAAGCTCTGCCTACCTCCACACTTGAACGTTTAAGAGAAAACCAATTGTATCTTGTTAAAGCCACTGCACTGTTAGGCTCTGTGCTTTTTTTCACCTGAACTAATCGTAAATCATACATCTGTTAAACACATCACTTTAGAACCTGTCATCTTCTGTCTCTTAATATCATCCACCAACTCTATTCACTCCATTTGGCCCCGGTTTTCCTTTTTCTTCCCTATTTTCCTGCTTTATTTTTGTCCTTTTTCCCTTAATTGAGCATTAGGCAAAACTCAAATATCCTGATGTATTATCTACTGAACACATTTTAAAAATTAACATTTATTAAAAAGAATATGAAATACACAAATGTAGAGGGAATGAAATACTGAATCTTCATGTACCCATCACTCCACCCCACCAATCATTAACCTATGATCAGCTTCTGCCCCACTCACACTATAGCCTCTTCCTCCCTCCTATATTATTTTGAATCAAATTTCAGACCTCATATTGTTATTGAATCAAGTTTCAGACTTCTTTATTTAAGAAGCAGGCAAGTCAATCTTTTTTACTTTTTCCTTACATAAAGACAAATTCCTAACTCATGACTTCTTTTGCCTCATAAAAATCAATCTTTTCTTTCCCTATTTCTCCTCCTTTTCCCCCTTCCCCTCTTCCTCCTACCTCTTTTTTTTTCTCTTTCTCTTTCCCTTCCTACCTTCTTCCCTCCTTCCACTATAATTTTTAAAAAGGAAATCCAAGTCTAATTTTCCCAGTTTTACCTGTGGTTCCTTGATATACATCTGTCTTTCCATTTTCAATCACTTTTGCTAAAATGGCAGAGTTTACTCATGGATAGTCCCTTTATGAGTTTGGAGAAAAGGATATTTAAGTCACACAATCCTCAGCCCTCTTTTAGATAATAAAAACTGGCTACACTAGTAATACAGTGGGAAAATATAATGAATAAGAAGAATCCATTTATAATAGTCACCAAAATTAAATATTGGATACTATTTTAACTAGAAAAACTCAAAAACCCCAATGATACCAGTGACTTGTTTTTATAACATTGAGAAGGCATTGAGCTTTTATATTGGTGGATTTGGGCCATATGGATGGGTTCCCATAAAGCAAGCTGGAACTGTCTTGATACCATTCATGCATAGAAATCAAGCATGGCAGAGTGCAGCCGATATTTTGGAGGGAGTGCAGATTACTTGGACATGATGGAGGCAGATCTTTCCACACAAGGGTATGATCACAGAGCCAGTGGCAAATTCTCATAGATTTTATTTGCTTTTATCATTATGAAAAATAAATTTACGATCTGTATACTGTAACAAAACAAAACAACTATGACTAGTTAACATCCCAGACTTTGTGTACTTTTGGAGGGCTACTGTGTTCCTGAGCATTTCCAAATTATTTCTCCCCTCGGAAATTGTGGGAGGTATATGCTACTCCTACTCTGTTACTTTAACCTACATCATAATATTGAACTTTACACCGCTAAGGAAATGTGATAATTCTTGTATGCTCAGCTTGGTGAAAGAATTTGTAATTGTTTCATATTGTGTTTACTTGTCTAGACCAAAGGCTGTAGTCACTGGAAACATGGACTTGTTTTCATCTCTAACTCTCCACCTCTCCACACTCAGCCTGCAGAGCCCGGCCAACAATCAGTGAGTGTCTAAGAACATTTTGTGAAATGAGTATGCGAATGCAGAAACTCTTTAGACAGAACCAGTAGCACAGGTTCTTGGAGTTCAGATTTATTTAGGAAGTTGGCATTTAAGCCCTCTTTTGGTTGTTTTGGTGGTTCATGAAAGTACTTTTACCTTTCTCAGTTTTGATTTGATATTTTTTCTTATCACACTCCACTCCAGTATTAGGATCCTCACCTTTTTTTGACATAACACTTAACTCTCCTAATACACTTGAAATTGTGCATTCTCATTTCTATGCTCACGTGAGTTTTGACTTAAGATTTCAAACTCAGAGTTGAGTAAGTCTACATACTACTCATGAGAAAGTGAGTAGAACTGTTTCCCCCCAAAATGAAAAGAACTATCTTCTGGGTTATTGGTTTTAACTGAAGGTGAAAGGTTTTAAACCTTTTCCCCTTATGGTCTTGGGGAAGCAACTATTTAGAAAATTTGCTTGTAAAAATAATACTTGTAAAAATAATAATTGTTCTAGCAAATCATACACCTTTGTGTGTGTAAGGGTGAGAAGGGAGAGAGAGAGATGGAGGTAGACAATGCTCTAACTGTAGACATTCATCCTACATTTAAATATTTTGAATTTTCAGTAGCCTGTGAATACGAGGAAACTTATTACATTAAGGTAGACTTTAGAGATTTGACATGTAGCTGATATTTTCACAGTGCAAGAAATATCAAGCTGACATTATGCAGTCTCTGAGATGATTATTTCCAAATGTCAGAGTGCAGAAACTTATTCATGGGACTTCAGTGCCTTAGGATAGTGTCAATTTAAAAGACATTCACATTGACTTCTTTTTTATTTAAACATGCTAAATGAGGTATGAAAAGCAGATTAAGAAATCAACTGAGAAAGGAAGAGCAAAGAAGAAACCTATTGACAAGAAAATTTTAAATCATAGATTGATGTACTCTTTAATCAATTTTCATGGACCTATTGCTGACAGCAGGCTTTAGCAACTGCCTCCTAATCCTTCCTACAGCTGTAATTTTGCTCTTCATGTTATTTCACTCATCTCACTTATAGTGAATTTGGAAAATTAAAAATAAGTAAAAACTATTTGAATATTTTATAGATTTTTTTTTGCTCTTGAGACGGAGTCTCGCTTGGTTGCCTAGGCTGGAGTGGTGCAAAGGTGCGATCTCGGCTCACTGCAACCTCCGCCTCCCGGGTTCAAGCGATTCTCCTGCCTCAGCCTCCTGAGTAGCTGGGATGATAGGTGCTTGCCACCACGCCCAGCTAAATTTTGTATTTTTAGTAGAGACAGCATTTCACCATGTTGGTCAGGCTGGTCCCGAACTCCTGACCTCAGGTGATCCACCCGCCTCGGCCTCCCAAAGTGCTGGGCTTACAGGCATGAGCCACTGCGCCCAGCCTATTTTATAGATTATTTTCAATAAATAAGTCAAAAACCAAATTGTTTGACTTTTCATAGTAACACTGGATTTCGAATTAAAATAACTTAGTAATATTTTAAATTAAAAACGTATTCTTTTGTTCAATCTCTTTAGCAGTTAATTATGAACCTACTGAACTGCTGGAACGTCTGTTATTTTGGAAATAAAGGAGTTTTTTTTTTCTTCAAGCCAATTGGCCATATCAGAGATAACTGCATTTAAATAAGCCTTCATCTTCCCAATTATGTGCTCCTAATTACTCGGGGTCACTGAAATCCCATGGCATCTTCTGAAAAGCATTTTCCCTGCAGTCCATCTTGTTAGGTTTCCTTTCTGTTCCGGGAAGCCAGTATCTTTTCCTTTATCAGATTCCTTTTTTACCAACAGCGGGAATGGTAATGGTGAATGGATGCAGGGTTTTAAAATCAGCCAACTTTGTTCTGACTTCCGTAGGTCAGTGACTGGAGTCACTGCCTAACAACCTAAATTCCCAGATTTATCTCATGAAATGTGATTTCTCATACAAACAAAAGTTGTGAGAACTCCATGAGCAAGACCAGCTGCTTGTGGGGACTGCCAAATTTTAAACTGTTATTTGAACAGCAAAAAGACCAGGCAAACATCCGAGAGACAGACCTAACTGCAGATAAGTCTTGTAATCTTGTTCACTATAGTCAAAACAGAATGGATTGCTTATTCTGTTACCCTATTGGTATTGCTCACATTTTAAAATTTAGGTGCTGGGCTCAAGAATGATAATTTTATTATTAAGCTTCAAGAGTCACATTGTATTGTATGCATTGAATATCACGAAATCGAAAACACTGAAAAGCTAGCGTTTACATTCTTGGATCATACCCCCAAAGGCCAAGGATTCCCACTGGCCGCTTGCAGCAGGGCTGTCTCCTGTGAAGGCAAGAGACAAACGAGGAGCGTTATGACACTTTGCTCCCAGGACTTTGGCGCACAGTTCCCATGAGTCCAGGTCCGTCCAGTCAACATCCTGAAGCCAGGACTGGCAGGTCCTGACCCTCCCTTTTTGCACCCGTAAGGGGAAGGGCCCGGGAATCTGGACCTTGTCTAGAGTCCCGGCGCCAGTACCAGTTCGGAGGGCATCCTGGAGGTTGTTACTAACCCGAGCCTCTTCCAGGCTTCCCAGGCACCAGGGTTGCTAACAGCTCCACGGGGGCGAATAATTTTGTTTATTTTGTTAACTGTGGTTATCTCCAACACTCAGTTCAGACCTGAGCCGGGCAAAGTCTCACCTTGTCTCCTGGTCACTTCCCTGCTTGTTTGTTTCTTCCTAACTCCCAAGTGTCTTTCGCCCAGTTCATCCCCACCTCAGCAGCCCAAGGCTCGGCGGGGACGGTCGGGGTTCGAAGCCTGCAGCTAAACTTAGAGGGTTCAGGCTTTGCTGGGAGGCCTCCCTGTGCTCAGAAGAGCCGGGGGTAAGCTGGGCGGTCGCCTTGGGTGCAGACAGAGGCGCAGGGCCTCGGCCTCCAAGAAAATTCCCAAACCGAGAGGCTGAGCTTCGCGTCTGTAGTTACTGAGCAGGAGCTTCTGGGCGGAACTTCTAAGGGCCCCGCCCGCCCCGTCTGCCCTGACCCTCGCCCGGACTCGCCTCGCCCACGTCCCGTTTCGCTTCGCCCCAGCTCCGTCTCGCCCCGCCCCCGTCCCGCCCGGTTGCGGAGGCGCGGGGCGCCCCCGGGTGGCCGCGGGCAGTGCTGCTCCTGGCCGGTGGAGGCGGCGGCTGCGGCAGCGGAAGGGGAAGCGCTGAGGCGGTGGGGCCCACAGCCATGGCGGAGCCTGTGCAGGAGGAGCTCTCGGTCCTGGCCGCGATTTTCTGCAGGCCCCACGAGTGGGAGGTGCTGAGCCGCTCAGGTGACTACCCGCGCGCGGGAGGGACAGGGCGCCCTCAGGGGCCACCCGCGTTCGCTTTGCGTCTCCTCCCCACC
Source organism: Homo sapiens (assembly GCF_000001405.40). Taxonomy (NCBI): domain Eukaryota; kingdom Metazoa; phylum Chordata; class Mammalia; order Primates; family Hominidae; genus Homo; species Homo sapiens. The sequence continues at coordinate 95,234,390 of NC_000001.11, forward strand.
ACGGAGCCTGGGCACCCCGCCTGGGCCCACGTATGGGGACCGGGTTAGTTGAATGATGGAATGACACGCCCGGAGGCCGGAGTGGTGTCGCAGCGGGCGGGAGTGTGAGGCGACCCCAGAAACACTAAGAGAGCGGCGCGGCCCACTGGGGCCTCTGCCGCCGGTCCCGCTCCCGGAGCCGGGGGCCCCTGCGTGCGCACCCCCAGGCCCTCCCCCAGCCTCCCACCCCTCAGATCTCACCCTATAAAGAAGCCTGTGCTGACGCCCCCTCGTTGTTCTGTGTCCTTCCTAAGCACTATGCCCTAGGCCCCCCCGAGAGCACTCCCCGGTTCTAACTCTACACGGGTATTTGTAGGTCTTAAGTTGCAGGAGGGCAGGGTCTGTTTGGTAATGACTCCAGGCACCTGGTAGGTAGTAGGTAAATGTTTGTTGACTGAACTTTTTCATTTATCCAGTGCTCAACCTCAACTTTATCTGCATTCTATTTCCAAGTTGATTGCTTTTCTGATACTTTTTTTTTTTTAGGTGGAGTCTCTCTTGTTGCCCTGGCTGGAGTGCAGTGGATCCATCTGGACTCACTGCAGCCTCCGCCTCCCGAGTAGCTGGGATCACAGGCGCGTGCCACCATGCCTGGCTGAATTTTATTTATTTTATTTTATTTATTTTTTATTTTTTAAGACGGAGTCTTGCTTTGTCGCCTAGGCTGGAGTGCAGTGGCGCGATCTCGGGTCACTGCAACCTCCGCCTCCCGGGTTCACGCCATTCTCCTGCCTCAGCCTCCCGAGTAGCTGGGACTACAGGCGCCCACCACCACGCCCGGCTAATTTTTTGTATTTTTTTTTTTAGTAGAGACAGGGTTTCACCGTGTTAGCCAGGATGGTCTCGATCTCCGGACCTCGTGGTCCGCCCGCCTCGGCCTCCGAAAGTGCTGGGATTACAGGCGTGAGCCACTGCGCCCGGCCTTTTTTTTTTTTTTTTTTTTTTTTTGAGACAGAGTCTTGTTCTGTCCCCCAGGCTGGAGTGCAGTGGCGCGATCTCGGCTCACTGCAAGCTCCACCTCCTGGGTTCACACCATTCTCCTGCCTCAGCCTCCCGAGTAGCTGGCACTACAGGCGCCTGCCACCATGACTGGCTAATTTTTTGTATTTTTAGTAGAGACGGGGTTTCACCATGTTGGCCAGGCTGGTCTCAATCTCCTGACCTCGTGATCCGCGCGTCTCGGCCTCCCAAGGTGCTGGGATTACAGGCGTGAGCCACAGGTGCCTGGCCTTCTGATACTTTTTTTTAAACAAGCTCTTGAGGGCTTTATTAGTCATTTAGCCCACATTTATTGAATCCCTGCTGCCTACAGACTTTGTCAGGGTTTCAGAGACACCGCTACCCATGGCCTCTAGGAGCTTACAGTGTAGAGAGGTTCTTTTGACTATTTTTTGATGATAGGTGAAACTTACTGTCCCTGTATGTGGCTTCTATTGAATAAAAAAAAAAGAAAAAACACTGCCATGTATGAGAAAGTGACTCAGTTTTCACTTAGCTTTCAGATACATTATGTACATGTTTGGGGCATGAGATTTATCGTTCTAATGTTATATTGTAGCTACCATTAAAATTGGCTTTCTGACCATAAATTGGTTAACCTTTAAGAAGGTAGTCTAGGCCTGGCGCGTGGCTCATGCCTGTAATCCCAGCACTTTGGGAGGCCGAGGCGGGCAGATCACCTGAGGTCAGGAGTTCAAGACCAGCCTGGCCAACATGGCGAAACCCCATCTCTACTAAAAATACAAAAATTAGCTGGGCATGGTGGCACACGCCTGTGATCCTTGCTACTCGGGAGGCTGAGGCAGGAGAATCACTTGAACCCGGGAGGCGGAGGTTGCAGTGAGCCAAGATCTCACCATTCATTGCACTGCAGCCTGGGTAACAAGAGTGAAACTCTGTCTCAGAAAAAAAAAAAAAAAGTAGTCTAAAAATGGGCTGGATGTTGTGAGAAAACCATTTAAGATTAAGATCCTTCATGATATCCATTGGGTGTGTTATTCACTGAAGGACAGGGAGTTGACTTCCATTTATTCCTTCTTGCATTCATCCACTCACATCCACTCATTGGGCACTGTTATGTTCCAGGCACTATGCACCTATTAGTGTAATGGAGTTGCTTTCTTTTTAGTGCCCAGCCTGACTTGTATCTTTTGAAACAATTGTTTAAAATCCATATGAAGGGGTTTACTCACTTTTAGTGTTTTCTTGTCATCCCTCTTCTGATTGGATAATTCTTCACCATCTCCCTCTCTGTCTCCACTGTTCTCTTTATTGATAATTACTTCTGCCTGAGGCAGCTATTTGAAGAGATCATCAGTTTTCCTAAATTCCTTTATTATGGCTCAGTTGGGAATATCCTGGAAAAATGAACCTGCAATTTCCCATCACACCTTAAAGAACTGGTAATGGTCTGGGTCATTAGTACACAGCTGAGCATAAAACACTGCTGAAGGGTCAGAGAAAACCCAAAAATGTAAGCATAGAAAGAAAACAGTTTCTTAATCTTGAGAACACTGTGAACCCTTTATCTGCTGTTAAATTGAGCATGACTTTCAAGCCATGCCTCCTAATTAGTTTAATTCCATGTTCTGGCATCAATAAGTAATTGAATTATAAAAGAATTCAGTGTAACAACTTAGGACATTTTGTTGCTGAGAGGTAGAATAATTCAGTGATTGAAATGGGGATGTTTGATGTTCACAAGTGGGAATTAAGGGGGTAAGGTAAAGGCCTTTTTTTTTTTTCCCATGATTTTCGTAACATCTTTTTACAAAGTAAGGACTTCTTTAACAGACCACAGTAAACATGCAGCAGACTGCTGGCTACCACTCACCATCACTGTCAGTTTGGGTTGGAGGATACACACTTGATACCAGAACACTCTAAACACTAGTTCTTTTCTGGCCTCCCCCAAATAAGGTTCTCCCTTTTGCCACTGGAATCAGGAGAATGTTGCAGAGGAATTGCATTCCTGGTAACAAGATAACCCAGCAAGACTCAGACTGCTAACCCAAGGATCAACTATTAAGGCCGTAAGATTGAAGAAGCTAAATAATTGGATTCCATTTAGCTGGACTAATTTTATGCTGAGAATTTCAGGGGATTTTATCTGCCTTTTGATCTCTTTACAATGGTTATAGTAAGCTTCTAGTAAGAGGCATAACCATCTCTTAGGGGTGCAAATTAAGTAAGTCCCTACACTCCCATCTACAAGGGAGGGCTGTGGATAGACCACATTAGGGATATTCTGTTTTTCTGTATGCATTGTAGTCAGTCCAGGTGCCAGATTTGATGGGGTGACCTGCCATGTACGTGATACTTGAAATGCATCTTACTTGATGAGGGGTACTATTGGTCTTACTTCACAGAGAAGATAACTGATACTCAGACTGGTTAAATAACCACCAGGCTCCAGGTGTATGGGCCTTTGCACTGCATCATGCTCCTTAATAGAGAGATGGGGCTGTTGCATCAGGAAAATAGTTCTTGGAAAGCAAGGAAATACTTGTGCAGAAAGAGCGATAATGAGCACCCAGAGAAAAGATATGAGTGTGAGCCAACTTATGTTCAGAACAATCCCAAAGGGGAGTGTTTGTGCATGTATGTGTGGATCTATGAGAGGCGTGAGATTGGTATTGTATCACCATTTTCCTGATGAGGAAATTGAGTGACACAGATTATGTGGCCATAGTCAATGTTCGTTATATGTGGGAGTTGTGCTTCTGGAAAGAATCTTACAGATAAAAAAGTTGTAAGATGGGAGAACCCAATATCATGTAATAGGTTTTCACAGAAGCTGCAGAGTGAATTTTTGTATTTTAGCAACACTAATGTTCAAATTAGTTTGGGCCTTCTTATAAAATGAATCATGACTGTCACACATTGACCCCTCTAAATCTGCTCAGCTCGGTTTTATGCTGATTGTCAGTATTGAGCTGACTTCTATAAAACCGATGAGATTGCTACTTTTAGCTTCATTTATTTTTAGTTTTTTTTTTTTTCTTCTGAAGCTACATTGAAACTTATGTAAAAATCCAACTGAAGCATAAAACAAGCACTGGTGTATGCTTGCCTGGGAGCTGCCTGGGAGCAAGAGGAGACAGTCTTGTCTTACCAAGTATGAGAGGGTGCTGAAGGTTTCTTGGTGGTTTTCTTCAAAGTTGTATCTTGAGGATATATAACAATTGCAAAGAAAAAAAACACAAGTGTAGGGAAGGTCAGATGTATATGGTATGTAAACAATTTCTTAATGGGCTCTTAGTGAATCCTGAAAAACCCATTCTCTTAAATTTTACCTTTTTTTAAAAATGTCTTCTGTTATTTGACTGCATTTATAGAGTTTCTGTTGTGTGTTGTATTTTATTAAGTAGAATGAAACCTTAAAAATAGCATTAGTGTGAATTTGGAGTTCTAAAAGTTTAAGTTTCTCTAGTTTGAATTTCTGTTTGGAATGTGTTTAGGAGCTTACTTTCTGATGTTTGTAAGGAAGCATAAGGTTTGAAACCTGTTTCAGTTTGTGTTTTAGGTATGAAAATGATACACTTACTATAAGACAGAATGATTTGGTTAGAAACAACAAGTAGTCAATTTGTATCAACTTGAACAAGAGGGCAAGACCCTTTTGGTAGGGTCTTTAGAATACATGAAAACACCCTTGGACTTATGGAGATTTTAGTTTTCTGGGGCAAGCCTTAAGTTTTCTAGGGCATAGATGTTTGTTGAGAATGATCAGTTTGTGAATTAAGCTTATTAACTAAGGTTCTGGGGGGCTAAGGAGGGGCAGAGATTAGTATTAGATTTAGAGCATAATTATTTTTCTGCTAATCACTGTTTCTAAGCTGTTAATAACCTTAAAGCAGATAGGGGCAACTTTGTTTTCTTTTTTATTATGGCAAAAAAAGAAAACAAAAAATCAGACTTACAGTGCATGTGTCATATGAAAAATTCTGAGGCAGAAAGGAGCCAGTTTAATTGCTTGTACAATGTCAAGCAGATGAGATATGGAAGAGTACAATACATACTTCTAGAGTTTTTGGGAGAAAATGAGTTTTTAAAAGTATGTAATTTTATTGCCACATTAAATACCAGAAGAATGGAGTATGTTATTGGGCTTTTCAGTTTCTTGTAGAGATGACAGTATCATTTTGTATAATCTTATTTTGCAGCTACAGTGTATGTGTGGGTGGGCAGGGGGATTTACCAAGACCAATTAGGAAGAATGCTAATCCTTTCCAATTCTTAAAAGAACTAAGGCAGTTTTCTTCCGAACATATAACTAGTATGACGGTCACAGTTTTCTAAGGTGAAAGTCAGGAGTTTCACCCATTGCTATTCTGTTTGCTGACTAGGACCAGAAAATAACACAGAGAAAAATGAAAATTGGTAAGGACTGACATGGCTGGCTCAGTAGCTTTTCAAGACTTTCCCCCTGGACTACCAACATGTTTCTTTCCTGTGGTTCCCTGCACCAGAGAGGACCCGGTAGGTGTTTATATGGCACAGGTTGGAGAACACTGTGGGTCTCAGGGTTTTGATCAGAAAAGGATTCTTCAAAGTTTGCAGCATAGCATCTTGCTTCAGTGCGGATACATTGCCTTCTTTTGTAGTAAAATCTCTGTCTCCTCCTTATAGGGACCCTTGTGATTACATTCAGGGCTCACCTGGGTAATCCAGGATAATACTCCCCTCTCGAAATCGTTAACTTAATCATGTCTGCAGAGGCTCTCTTGCCATGTGAGGGAGCGTATTCACAGCTTCTGGGAAACAGAATGTACACATCTTTGGGCCCATTATTTACCACAGGTACCAGGGATTTCTGCACCTGTGAGATCCGTGATTACAAGCTACTAGCACAATTCCAAGAGCTGTATGACTGTACAATTTAAAAGTTTTTTGTATCCCCCCATTTTGGTTGTTGTTTAAAAAGAAAATCAAGATATTTCAGTGCTGGAAAAAATGTTAATTTAGTTTAACCACAATAATTCTGGACATGAAAATACCATAAAATAAGTTTGAAATACCATGGAAGTCATTAGGTGGGACTTAGGGAGGAACTGTGGAACTGGACAAAATTTTAGTAGACAGAAAGTTAAGGGCCTTCTTGGAGATAATGGGAGCAAGAGGCAGAGATGGGACACCCAAGACTGAGGACATGGTATAAAATGGGTAGTTGAAGCAAAAAGTGAGGAGAGAGGAAGTCAGAGTGGTAGGCTGGCCCTAGGCGTTGCATGGAGGAATTTGTAATTCATTTCATTCTGGGAGAGTGGTATTGGGATAATTTGGTGTGGGGAGAGGCAGGCGGCGAGGAGACCACTATTGCAGAAGCCAGAGAAAGGCCTGAATTAGGAGGGTGGAAGGGAGAGAAATTCTGGAGGACTTGTGGGATTTGGCAGTTGAATGCTAAGTATGAAAGAAGGAGGGAAAAAAAAAAGTTGAAGGCAGCTTTAAGATTTTATGCCTAGGCTAGGTGTGGTGGCTTACACCTGTAATCCCAGCACTTTGGGAGGCTGAGGCGGGTGGATCACCTGAGGTCAAGAGTTTGAGACCAGCCTGAACACTGCAGTGAGCCATGATCACCCTGCTGCACTCTAGCATGGGTGACAGAGTGAGACTCAATCTCAAAAAGCAAACAAAAACAAAAAACAAGCACAAGACCAGTGATAGAGTTTCCTGTGGAAGGGAGGAAGACACTTCTTTCTCAGATAAAACAGTGAAAAAGAGCAAGATGATTAAAAAAAAAAGTATAATCAAGTGGCCCAGCAGTTCCTAGGCAGCAATGACAACTGCAGTTCCTTGGTCACTAACACACTTCCATGGATTCAGCCAGTAAGGAGACAGTGAACCCAGATGGATTTGGACAGTTACTGCTTAATGCACAGCAGGCAGCATTAGCTTCATGTTCACATTGATTCTCCTTGTCCCCCAAGTTCAATGGGGTGATGTAGAGGTAGGCTGAGGTGCATACAATGCACTCAGTGGGTCTTTGTTATAGCTGAGGGGCAGTGAGCTTAGGAACCCTCCGGTATTATGAGGGAGCTGCTAGTGATCCTGCTCAATCTTTGTCCTGAAGGAATATGTTACCTTATATTGCTTAGGAAACAAATCTGCCCCCTGACCTGGAGGGATAAACTCTAGCTTCCAAGGCTGTCGGTTATGCAAAAGTCCTTGAACAAAGATATTAATGCCCTTTGCTCAGAAGGCATTCAGAAATGCCAGATTGTGGGCATCCGACCCGCAGACACTGACCTAGTGATGGATGAGAGACGTACACTGACACAGACATTTTGCTTGTCAGTGTGGCTAAAGGGGTTCTGCTCCTGAATCTGCAGTGTAGGCCATGATAAGCCGGTGAAGTTCACATTTATTTAGTACAGATTAAATGACAAGGGTCATGAGTAAACACCACTAGAAGGTAATTAACATTGCCACCCCTCCCCACCCCCCCCAGGGGAGAGCAGTCATGCACCCACAGATAATCAAAGGTTGCTCTTAGGACCACATGAGTAAACAAGCTATTTAGGTAAACTCTCCCACATTCCCTTGTTATTTGCTCTTTTGCTATCAACTCGAGGTAAAGAGGATTCGGCTGCTTTCAGCCAAATCTTTTACTGAAGCTATGCACCACCACCCCCCAGCCTTCTAAGAAGGTTTGTGACTATTTCCTATAACTATCTTTACAATTTTTCCTCTGCAGTTTTTCCCACCACCCTGACTGAACTCCCACACCAGATCCCTGGAGAATTATCTACCAACACAGACATTTATGTTTATATAAATTATATGTACATGTATATGTACGCATATTTATGAATAAAGAAATGTTTAGGTGTAGAAGAGAAGTCAAGGAAGATCACTTGGGATATATCCCTGCTCTCGTGTTCTGAAACACTGGATTGAGTCAATATGATGGGATCTGTGTCTTACCTGTCATTTTCCCTCAGAGACTAGTACAGTGCCTTGAGCTTAGTAGGTGTTCAGTGAATGCTTGTTCAATGATGAATGATTGAAGATCTTTAAAAGTTCTCCTCCTTCTTGAAGAGAGAATGTCAACTCCCTAGATGATTATTAGAAAGTTTATTCAGCCTAAATGGTTGTGTGTTGTCTGCAGTTCTATTTGTAATGTCTGTTTTACATATTGAAATGTACTATTTTAACATAGGCAGCCTACTTTAACAATAAAGTATTTTTTTTTAAAAGGGTAAGTAGTTAGGCCGGGTGCGGTGGCTCATGCCTGTAATCCCAGCACTTTGGGAGGCCAAGGCGGGTGGTTCACCCGAGGTCAGGAGTTTGAGACCAGCCTGGCTAACATGGAGAAACCCTGTCTCTACTAAAAATACAAAAATTAGCTGGGCATGGTGGCATATGACTGTAATCCCAGCTACTCGGGAGGCTGAGGCAGGAGAATTGCTTGAACCTGGCAGGCGGAGGTTGCAGTGAGCCGAGATCATGCCACTGCACTCCAGCCTGGGCGACAGAGTGAGATTGTGTCTCAAAAAAAAAAAGAATAAGTAACTAGATAGAAGAAGAAGGGTTTTGAGAAACATGATGGGTTTTGGAGGAATGTACAAAGTTAGATTTGGAAAATTCTTCTTATGAAATACACATATAAATTGTATCATTTTAATATGGTCTTCTTAACGGTTAACTGTCTATGTTTCCAGATGATGTCCTAAAATAGTCGTTCCTTGCAGCTGGTACTGAAGAGTGTATGAAAGAAAAACTCTGTAACAGATGTGTCTGGTCCTGTATGAATCAATATCTGTAGCAATGGCTTTTATATATGTGGAATCAGAAGGCTCAGGAAACAATTTTAATGTTCTGTTAGGTTCTTTAAAATGGGGATACATTCAGGTCTCAGTTGTTGAGGCTGTTGAGCAGCAATCCAGGTATGAAAATGGGAAAGATTTGACTGCTTCTCTCATGCAGGGGAATAAAGCAAAGGCACGTGCAGAGGGAAGTAGGGGTAGAGAGAGGCAAGTTAGCTTCAGAGAGATTTATTTGCACCCAGTTCTGTTCTACTCAGCCTGACGTTTTATCATCTTTTTGAAAAGTGGCATGAAGTGGTGTGGAACACATCAGAGGGTGAAGCCAAGCAAATCTGAAAGAGAGCAGAGGATTTCATATGATATCCTATGTGTGCTTTCCCCTTCCTTCTTAGGAGCTGGAAGAGGCAGAATTGATGTCCACTCAATTTCAGTTCATCTTGCCACCTTCATATTATACTGATACTAATATATGTGAAATAAGAAGAGAACATTCCAGGCAGTTACTATGTCACATGCAGTCATCAGTTTCTCTGCAACCCTACAACCACAGGGGATTCCATTGCTTGCTTTGACTTGGACTTCTCATAAAATGACTTTCGTTGGATTTAGTGTACAATTTTTAAGTTAATTACTGATTTTGTATATATGTGGTATTGTATCTTTGAAAGCTCATATGAGTTTATTAGGGATTTTCAGAATTATCAACTAAATCTGGCTAGAAAAAAAATTATCTGATGAAAAACCTTTCTGGTAACTTAATAAAAATGGGGTGATAGCAAGTGTAAATGCCAGTTAAATCCTGGGTGCTGGTGTGTGTGAATACATGAATACATGTGTATGGTTGAAGGAAATAATTTGTAAATCATAGCTTTCCTAGTATTACGTGTCCCTTCATAAAATAGCTCAGAGTTTTCTCATGAAAAATAAATTGACATTTGAGACAAAAGTTTGAACTTGCTGGTGTTCCATTCAAATTGAATAATGTACAGCTAATGATTATTTTTGGATGCCTTCCAGAGACAGATGGGACCGTGTTCAGAATTCACACAAAAGCTGAAGGATTTATGGATGTGGATATACCTCTGGAATTGGTGTTCCATTTGCCAGTCAATTATCCTTCATGTCTACCTGGTATCTCGATTAACTCTGAACAGTTGACCAGGGCCCAGTGTGTGACTGTGAAAGAGAATTTACTTGAGCAAGCAGAGAGCCTTTTGTCGGAGCCTATGGTTCATGAGCTGGTTCTCTGGATTCAGCAGAATCTCAGGCATATCCTCAGCCAACCAGAAACTGGCAGTGGCAGTGAAAAGTGTACTTTTTCAACAAGCACGACCATGGATGATGGATTGTGGATAACTCTTTTGCATTTAGATCACATGAGAGCAAAGACTAAATATGTCAAAATTGTGGAGAAGTGGGCTTCAGATTTAAGGCTGACAGGAAGACTGATGTTCATGGGTAAAATAATACTGATTTTACTACAGGGAGACAGAAACAACCTCAAGGTGCCAAAAAGTTAAATGTTGAGTATGAATCTGGCTATTTTCTGCTTTAAATGGTGTGTCTTTAAGTGTGTTTTATAACAATGGGATAGATTAATTATTAAGATGTTTCTGCTTTCATTATTACAATCTTAATGGATCTTCCTTTTCTTTTTAAAGAATGTCTGACTGCTAATTACAAGTACAAACTTGCAAAGCTTGAAGAATAAGATTGCATTTTAAAAATCATGTCACTTAATAAAGTGACAGGTTATTTAAAAGCTCTGTGGCACATGAGTGTTTGTTTCTGTAATTAGCTATGAGCTTGAATTTTATAAATGTGCACTAAAAGTTTGTGCATATTAATATTTCTTCCCATAGTTAGGCACAGCAAGGTGTGTATTTGTGGATAGTCTGCAAGATTTGTAACTTTCTGGCTGTTAAAAATACATTCTGACACTTTAATTTGGTATCTATAATACCTGGAAAGAGGAGCTTGTCTGTTATAACCGAGATTTCATGTTAGTAGAAGTAGAATCATTAGGGCTGTCAACTTGTCACCTCCTACCTAACTTTTGCTTTCCACCTGACTTGTCTCAGCAGTTGCTTTCAAAATCATCATCTTCTTCAGATTTTTCAAGTTCTTATTCTAAACTCATCTGACCTGTTTTAGGTGGGACAAGATGAGGAAAACTGTTTTTTATATTTTAAATATTAGAAGAGCTACAAATCAATAGGTTTTATACTTTCAGATAGGTTAGGTCATGAATAATTACATTTGAATTTATTTAAGACAAATTTAGTGTGAACAGTGAATTTATTTAAGACAAATCTTAAAGATTTGTAGAATAATGACTTAGTTTTTTCATGATGGGCTCTTACCACAAAACTGCTTTGGCATTTGGTTAACCAGACTCATGCTGGGTTAAAGTATATAGATATAACAGTAATTCAGATTTAATGCATATCTTGGATTGGGACTGACTGAGGAACCTCTTGTTTTAAAGTGATTTGTAGTATATCTATAACGTTTGATCCTTTTGGGTAAAATAGTAGCTGACAAAAAATAAATACAAATTAATTTTCATGCTCATCTTTACCTGAAAGACTCAGATTTCTCTTTAAGCCAGCTCAGGAATATTAGGCTAAACCCAGCTGTTTTGCAGATGTTCTTACTCAGATTGAAACATCAATTAATTAACAGGTATCTATTCATATTTAACTAGAACCCTGCTAATGTAGAGAAAGAATACTTTTTTAGGAGATCTTTTTTCAGTTCTCTCTAAAATGTCATTTTATATAAATTTCTCTTATATTTTTATAAGATTGTATACTAGGATTGAGGATGTATAGGTACATATTTATAGATGCTATCAATTTGGAATGGTAAGTGCTGTGTGCCTGGTAATGTCATTTAGCTGCTGAACTTGTAATAGTAAGAACAGTGGCTTGTGCTCTCAAGTGTGCCATGGCGCTATATCTAGATACTCCTCTAGTGCTTTGCATGTATTATCTCATTTAATTAGTACAACTTCCCCATGAGGTAGATCCTGCTATTAATTCCATTTTATGGAGAAGGCAACTGAGCCACAGAGGATTTAAGTAACCAGCCCAGAGTAAGAACTAGTAGGCAGTTCAATCCAGATTTAAACTTGAGGAGTTGGATTATATTGTTCTTTACTCCTGTATCCACCACTACATTATTCTGCCAAGTATGTTAAAACAAGTATATAAAAATTCTTACTGCTTGATTTAAAAAGGGGGTATTTAAGCATGAAAATAAGCCTACAGGTTTATAGCTCCTTTAAAACTGGGACTTTGAGACTCAGAGTAAGATATGTATTTAATGTACTGATTTATTATTTAGGAGTACTTGATTCTTCAGAAAACCTCCAAAGTAGATGTGGACTCAAGTGGAAAGAAATGCAAAGAGAAAATGATTAGTGTACTGTTTGAAACAAAAGTACAGACAGAACACAAAAGGTATAATTTAGTACTATTGCAGATGGAAAAGCAACTGAATCGATAATTATACTCTGACAAATCTAGGCATATTCATGAGTTTCTTTTGTATAATGCAGGTTTCTGGCATTTGAAGTCAAAGAGTATTCAGCGTTGGATGAATTACAAAAGGAATTTGAAACTGCAGGACTTAAGAAGCTTTTCTCCGAATTTGTACTTGCTCTGGTAAAATGAAATGGAAGACAGGAATCTTTTAGTAAAATAGCAGTGTTTTTTGTTGTTTTTGCATTGGATTTGGGGAGTGGTTAATTGAAATAGTCAATTTTAAAGTTTCTCTGAAGCAAAATGATAGGCATCATTCTAACTTCAGGAACAAAAGCCAGTTCTGTTTTATGAAATATTAAACATGAAGAAAACTTGTATATTCTAATGTTTGCCAGGAAAGGCTAGGTTCAGTAGATGAGACATTATTTAAAAGATAAATTTAAAAAGATGGTAAATGAACACTTGTTTTTATAGACAATATTTGTTTGAAACTATGTAATTTTCTGGCTAATTTTCTTGTAATTAAATGATTTTTTAAAAAAGATTTGTTTTCATGTTTGCTTTTCTTATGTTTATATTTTTAGCATTTGATCGCCATTTTCCCCCATCCAGGTTATGTCTAATGTTTTAATAAATGTTAAGAAAAATATAACACTGATTTTTTTTAATGGAATTGCATAAATTGTTTAACTGCAAAGTTCTATAAAACAAGATTTATAGTTGCTTTTTGAGGGTGTTCTAGAATAGCATGATACTTGCTAGCCTTAGGACTAGAGATTTGATTCCAATTAAAATTCTTATTTGAAAAATTGAACTTCTTGTTTTATAAGAAGAGAAATGTTCATACAGAATGAACCTGGCTTGCAAGATGGAGGAAATTATATAAAAATACTATTTTTTATTTCTTATGAAATCGGTCAAAACATGGTGAAACATACTTATCATGACCTAATGAGAGAAGCCGTAAGATAAAACTTGTATTAAAATCTGTAATAAAAACATAAGTAGATATTTGTATCTCGGAAAGGATATTTGTACGCATGAAGCCACTTGGGCTGCTAAAATAAGGGGCTGAGTCATGGAAGAAAGGCCAAGTGAATCCCTTTGGCTGCCACCTATGAAGTATAGTGATATCATTATATAATTATAACTGATGGGGGAGGGAAGTGAGGAGAATGTGGCATGCTGAGCAGTGTTTCCTGACAGTAATGCTCTGTGATGATGTCAGTTCAATCTGATTGTCTTATTTTCAGGTACCTTTATAATTTAATTATACCTATCTGTTGATTATTTTATGGGGTTTCTTTAATGAGGAGATGTTCAGTTTACTCTCATTCTAGTGTGTTGATTTTTTTTTTTTTTTTTTTTTTGGAGAACTGGTAAATGTAGTTAGATTGTTCTATGGCAACAGCATGTATAGCAAGGAGAAGCTACCCTTCTGGTATGCAGAACTGAGAAAATAGGCTTGAAAATTTGGGACTGCTCATTATTACCCCTTCATTTGATTTACTGTAGTTTCAGTGAAAATTAAAATAATGAAAAAGAATAGAGTTGAGAATATTGGCCATATGGTTGAGATGGATTGAGGGGATCATGATATAATAATATTTTACCTTGACTCTTCTCTGCAAAAATATATTCCTGCTTATGCTTTCTGGTGCCCTTTTAGCCTTTCATCTTCAAATCTGACTCTTTACAGAAGAGCTTGAATCAGATCAACTTGAATGTTTGCTGTAATGACTTTTTCCAAATTAATGATATTTTTATCTGCTAAAATTATTTTTAAAAATATTGGTTATTATTACTTTCTTAGATGTTTACATCTAAGTCTTTCACATATACATACACATCAGAATAGAAAACTAAAACTTGACAGAGTTAGCGATTTATATAAATGTAATTTGACCTCTGGATAAAAGAAAATTTTAAATTATATACCAAAAAGCTATGAGTCTCTTTGGTATTTCTTTAGTATTAGAGGAAGAGACTCTTAATTATTTGCCTTTATATTTTTTGCCTCAAACTCTGCTGCTTTCTTTTCAGCTTGAGATACTTATGAAAAGATAATTAAGACTTCTGCTTCAGTGATGGTGGACCAGCTTTTCACTGAAGAAAACTAAAAACAAAATATAAAACACATCCTCTTAAAATAATCAAAGTAAATAAGACAGTGAAAATTGCTGGGCTAAATCTTGGAGGGGAGAGAAGTAAACCCAGCACTTAGGGCTATTTTTTCCTATGGGTACATTGGCCACCCTGCAATAGTTAGCTGAAGGGCCGAGTTCATTTTTGTCAGCTTGAAGATGTAGGGAGTAAATTTGGGGTCTGGAGGATAAAGTAGGTGGGGCCAAGAGCTAGGACCCCCAAAGGACTACACTGTGTTAATAAAGGTGAACTGTACATAAACCAATTGTCCTAGACTATAGGTAAGGTTTGAGAATTCTGGTGGGTCCAGAAAATCTTAAATCTTCAACTTGGATGATTCTAATACTCTCAAATCCTCCAAATCTTCTTTGAAGAAAGCTAACATCCTCCTAAGGCCTCAGATTATATCTGTGAATAATTTTAAAATTCAGTATCTCGCAAATGATCAGAGGTAACTGGATACACGAAGAGACAAGATAGAAACAGCAGAAAAAACTCAATGGAAATCGGCTGGTTGTGGTTGCTCACATCTGTAATCCCAGGAACTTGGGAGGCTGAGGTGCGTAGATCGCTTGAGCTCAGGAGTTCGAAAACAGCTTGGGTAATGTGATGAAACATGTCTCTACAAAAAATACATAAACTATTAGCTGGGCGTGCTGGCATGCACCTGTAATCCCAGCTACTCGGCAGGCTGAGGTGGGAGGATTGCTTGAGCTGGGGAGGTCGAGGTTGCAGTGAGCTGAGCTGAGATCGTGCCACTGCACTCCAGCCTGGGTGACAGAGTGAGACTCTATCTCAGAAAAATTCTGAAACTGAAAAATGTAAGAGTTCAAGGGATGGTTAATCAGTTAAGGTCCAGTTAGGAAATCAGAAACTAGGCATTTCAAACAGTAAATTTAAAACAGACTGATTACAAATTAAAAAGGCTGTAAGAGTTAAAAGGAGAGGGAGTGGGGCTGGATAAAAGAAGAAAAGGAGGAGGGTGAGACACTCAGAGTTTAGAAACTGCTAAGAGCCTACATTTGCTATTGCACTATTGGAGACGTTGTAATAGCCTATATCTGCTATTGCACTATTGGAGACGTTGTAATAGCCTATATCTGCTATTGCACTATTGGAGACGTTGTAATAGCCTATATCTGCTATTGCACTATTGGAGTCTGCTCAAATGCTGCCTAGACCAGAGCTAAAATTGCTAATAGGCACTGTCTCTGGTCCATTTGAATCTGGAATCACTCCACCCCTGTTGCTGCTATACCAACTGCCAACAAGGATCACAGTGCTATCTGTGCTACCTTCTGATCTCCCAGAAGTGCCTTCTATTGACAAGCCTAACAGGAACCAAGCTGGCAAGGAAGTCTGGGGAAAGTAGATTGCAGAATTTCAGCCTCAGGAGAACAGAGCTGACTATAGAAGGATGACTGTGTGTGAAATGGGGAGAGGGCTGAGTGCCCACAGAAAATAACCAACCAGGACACTTATTTTCAGCTATTAAGCATCCACACACACATCCTTCTACCCATATTTAAACTTCTATGCAGCAATAACAGTTTTATGCTTCTGTCTTTGTAGATTTAACTCTGTTCTTTATGAAACTCACCATTCCCTCAGAAAGGGGAGAAACAGCCCCACCAGTTACTACTGTTCTTATTGGTGTTAATTCTTCTAGTTTAGTCACAATCCCACCTAGATATTCTGTAGCTTGAAGATTAAACTGTAAAGTTCCCTATCATTAGTATTAGTGGCATTCCTTGTACTCCTACGGCTTGAGAGGGGGAAGGAAAAAAATAGTTACTATATACAAAGATATTTAGAACAAGCAATGAAGCACATTTACATAACTACTTTGGTACTTGTTTCTGACTGGTCATGAAGCTGTAGTTGATATTTGTAACTTCTTCCTCTACTTAATTTTTCATTGCTCCTGGCCAGCACTTCAGCTGGCAAGTGTTCTTTACCTAGTAGGGTAGCTGAATCTTCATTCTGGATGGGTCTGAGTCTTTAGTAGTTGGGGTGCTTATTAATTTTCACTATTAAATAAGTCTTAAGAGGCAATCCAGAGATTCCCCTGGGGTCCTTGACCTCATTGTGTAGCAGCAACCCAATATCCGTAATAATAATCTAGTTCAGTCACCCCAGCCAATACAGGGATCTCTTTCTTTGTTTTTTAGTTTAGTGTGATAAGAAACCTAATATATCTAGGCATCAGTCTCAATTTTCAATTCATTTGAACCATTTTATGTGCCTTGGTAGAAGAATTCTTTCCTTGTGAACTAAGACCTGTAAACTAGCATAGTCCAAGTTTACAGGGATGAGAATTAGAAATTCTGTGAGAGGGTTATTAAGTATACTACTGAGAGGAATCAGTCCTATTTTTATCCCTTGATTCCTGGACCCATGTATTCTGGCAATGGGAGAAATACAACTATGCTGATCACTGGTTCAAACTATATGCTACATTTTGTATAATAGCACTGAAGTCTCTCAGGGGCTTGTCTCCCACCAGGACTAATAACTGAGTTTTTTTTTTTTTTTTTAGACAGTCTCGCTTGCCACCCAGGCTGGAGTGCAGTGGTGCGATCTCAGCTCACTGCAACCTCCGCTTCCTGGGTTCAAGTGATTCTCATGCCTCAGCCTCCTGAGTAGCTGGGATTACAGATGCATGTCACCATACCCAGCTATTTTTTTGTATTTTTAGTAGAGATGGGGTTTCACTATGTTGTTCAGGCTGGTCTTGAACTCCTGACCTCAAGTGATCTGCCTGCCTCAGCCTCCCAAAGTGCTGTGATTATAGACGTGAGCCACCACACCCAGCATAACTGTCTTAACAGGTCATTATATTATTCTACCAAGCCAGCCACTTCTGGATGATTAGGTACATGGAAAGTCCTATGAATTTCATCCATTGCTACATTTATTTTGTTGTGAAATGAGTTTCTGATTCAGAAGTTATATTGTGAGGGATATCATGTCTATAGGATCATAGTTGGTTGTATTATAGGAAGGGACTTCAGATTCATATCCAGAAGTATCAGTTTAGTAAGGACAATTTGCTGGCCCTTCCATTAGGGAAGGGGTCCAATGTAATTAATCAGCCACCAGGTAGCTGGTGTTTTTTTAGGAGGGGAGGCCTTTTTCGTGGCTTACTATGGGTCTTTGTTTTTAGCAGGTTAGGTACTCAGCAGGTTAGCAAGATCACCCTTGGTGAGGGGAATTTCATGTTGTTGAATCCATGAATAACCTCCGTCCCTGCTGCCGTATTTACTTTGTACCTGAGCCCACTAAGCAAGCACTGGGGTGCTAGGGAAAGAGGCTGACTAACATCCACTGGAGGATTCAACTCATCTATTTGATTAATGGAGGCCTTCTCTGCGGTGGTTGCCCTTTGAAAAACATCACATGGGACACAAATATCCTCACATTTTGTGCTCAGCCTGAGAACTCCATTCCTATACCTCTGTCCCAGATCTCCTTTTCATTAGTCCTTTTATTTTGTTCTTCAAAGTCTGTGACCTCCTGGTCAACCTGTTAGCTGCTGCTCATGAAATACTGTAAATCTATACCTCAGGGCATCTCTTTACCTAGAGAAGGTACACAATCAGAATTACTGCTCAAAGTTCTACCCACTGCGTAAATTTCTCTTGATTTCTATCTTTCAGAGACACTCCACATTTGAGTCAAAATTGCTAAAGTGAAGAATATTGTGAAGAACCACCCATAAATCAGGCCTGAAATATTTCTTCCGTGGTTACCAAGTTATCGGAACTCCCCACAAGATCCTCAGTGTGGACTGAGAAAGAGGAAGCTGTGCAGAAGGACTAGTTACTATAGATAACTGAGCCACTTGAGCATGCAGCTTAGTTGTACCTTTGGGACCCACTTGTGCCTGATCTCATATATATTACTTCATCTACACATGCCCAACTTTACAATTTCATGAATAAAGTAATTCCCAGTTCGTGATATGTAGCTCCATGTTCAATTGATGTCTCATGGTCAATTGTTCAATTTTATCTAAGACCCAGTACCAAGCTAGGAGCTCTTTTTTGAAAGAGGGGGCCGGGCACCGTGGCTCACGCCTGTAATCCCAGCACTTTGGGAGGCCGAGGCGGGTGGATCACGAGGTCAGGAAATCGAGACCATCCTGGCTAACACGGTGAAACCCCGTCTCTACTAAAAATACAAAAAATTAATCGGGAGTGGTGGTGAGTGCCTGTAGTCCCAGCTACTCGGGAGGCTGAGCCAGGAGAATGGCTTGAACCCAAGAGGCGGAGCTTGTAGTGAGCCGAGATCGCACCACTGTACTCCAGCCTGGGCAACAGAGTGAGACTGTCTCAAAAAAAAAAAAAAAAAAAAAAAAAAAAAAAAAAAAAAAGGATAATTATTTGCAGAAGAGGGCATGGCTTTGATTAAAATCTTAAGGCTCTGTTGGGCTTGTGAGTTCTCTAATATAGCATCATTATAGGCCATAACTATATTGAGCACCATTGGATCTTAAGGGTCATAAAGCCTAAGTAGCAGGGCAGTTTCATCACAGTCTGGATGTGTAGCCTATTGTTTTGCTCTGGGCCCCACTCAAAACAGGCAACTCCAAGAATTAATCAGTAAATAGGTCAGAGTATACATTCAAAGATGGGATATATTGCCACTAAAATCCAAAGATACCTAGGAAACATCATACCTTAATGGTAGGAGTACAAGGTACGGTAAGTAACCTTTCATATTGGAATATTCCAGGATGTACCTTAAAACACTAGATTCCTAAAAACTTCACTTAGGTAATTGGCTTCTAAATTTTCTTGGAGTTTAACTCCCTCCCTCTGATAAGTGTCTTCTAAGGCATTTAGGGTGTTTGCTACATTATTTTCACCAGGTTCAATCAGCATGTTTGGTGAGATGTTAAAATGAATGAAGTCCTTGAATACTGGTTTATGACACAGATTCAGAAAGTTGATAGAGTCCTAAAGTAAGATATAGTCCTAAAGTGGAAGTTTGTGGCTGTGGTTGCTTCCAGTGGCCTTTGCAAATTAATATAGAGTAAAAAGCATTTGCCAAATCAAGAGCTAGATATCAAGTACCCAGAGGTATGTTGATTTGCTTCAGTATAAGACTACATTTGGAAGAACAGCTGTAATTAGAGCCACCAGCTATTTAAATTTGATAATCTGCACTTACCTCTAAGACCAACTTGATTCTGGACAAGCCCAAAAGGTGAGTTAAATGGGGATGTTATAGGAATCACACTGGGCAAGAACAGTCTTTTCAACACATGGTCCTGGCACAATTAAATTTTGCCCCTATCTCATATACTCTAGGTTAATTTCAGATAGATTACAAGCCTGTGTGAACATAGAATATTTTCTTGACTTTTGGATCCTAGTCTTAAACAGGACACAAAGCAATAATCCTTACAGAAAAGACTGATAGATTGTACTACATCAAAACTAGGAACAACTGCTCATCAAAAGATATCATGAAAGACAATAGAAAAACAGGTCGGGCATGGTGGCTCATGCCTGCAATCCCAGAACTTTGGGAGGCGGAGGCAGGTGGATCACGAGGTCAGGAGATCGAGACCATCCTGGCTAACACGATGAAACCCCATCTGTACTAAAAATACAAAAAGTTAGCCGAGCATGGTGGCGGGTGCCTGTAGTCTCAGCTACTTGGGAGGCTGAGGCAGGAGAATGGCGTGAACCCGAGAGGCGGAGCTTGCAGTGAGCCGAGATGGCGCCACTGCACTTTAGCCTGGGCAACAGAGCGAAACTGTCTCAAAAAAAAAAGAAAAAAAGATAATAGAAAACCAAAACTCAGAATGGGAGAAGCTATTTGAACACATTTAATTGCTATTGTTCAAATATTTAGAACATTAATAAGAAATAGACAATCTAATAGAAAAATGGGCACGAGAATTTTGAACAAGTATTTCACAACTGAGAATATACAAATAGCCAAAAAACATACGTAAAGGTGCTCAACTTCATTAGTAATCAGGGGAAATGCAGAGATAAAACTATAGTAAGACACCACTAGTCACCCACTAGAACAATTAAAATTTAAAAGATGAATATTTGCATCCACCGAAGTACAGAAATAAAAATTAAAAAAAATATATTTTTAAAAAGATGGATAATAGCAAGAGTTGGCAAAGAAGTGGAGCAATGCCAATGCTGATATACCATTGGTGGGAGTATATTGACCCAACTGCTTTGAACAAACAGTTGGGTATTATCCATAAAAACTCAAGATTCTATACCCAAAACCCAGCAATTCTACTTCCAGGTACATACCTTACAAAAATGTGTACATATGTGTAGGAAGTTACATGTACAAACATGTTCATGACATCATTTTTAATAGCCCAAATGAAGCAACCCAAGCATTTATCAGCATAAAATGGACAAGTAAATTGTGGTATATTCATACAGTGGAATACTATATAGCAAACTATATGAGCAAATTACAGCCTCATAGGGCAACATGGATCCATCTTTAAAAATCAACATTGAATCAAGTGAAGTAAACACAAAAGAATATATACTATCTGATTCCAAACATTCAAAAATAGGTAAAACGATGCTTAATTATAATGAGGGACACATACTTAAGTGCTAAAACTAAAAGACGAGCAAGGAAGTTGTTATAATAAAAGTCAGGATGGCAGTTACAAATCGGGACATGGAAGGGGTTGTGACTGGAGAGAGGCATGCAAAGACATTTTTTGGCAGATGGCTATGTCCTGTTTCCTGACCAGGGTGCTGGTTTATCAGACATTTTGGTTATAATAATTCATTAAGCTATACAATGACTTTAAGATATAGTTCTGTATGTCTTCCCCAATAAAAGTAAGCTTGGCTTAAAAGTGCCAATTATTACAATATTTTTAGTAAATAAAAATATTAAAGATAATTCTTAAATCTTTGTAATTAATAATGATATTTCAATCCTAAAATTTGGCTTAGCCACAGACAGAATTGTAAGGTAGATGCTGAAGGGTAGGCTATTATAAGTAGAGTGGTTAGAGAAATCTCCAAGGAGATGGCATTTGAACCAATACCTGAATGAAAGGGGACCAACCACAGGAAGATGAGCAAAGTTGAAGACAATTTGGTTTAAAATCAACTCGTAGAATTGAGGAGTATCAGTCACTGTTACCTACTGGTAATTTAGGCAAATCATGGACTAAGTAATTTTGCAATGTTTGCACTTTTGAGTCTCCTGTAACCTTGCTACTCAAGCTGTGGCTCATGGACCAGCATCATCTATTGTTAGAAATACAGAATCCCATGCACTATCCCAGACCCACTAAATTTGAATCTACAATTTAATAAGATTCTCAGGTGGTTTGTGTGCATATTAAAGTTTGAGAAGCATTATCCTATAATTATATGTTCATAAGCAGATATGAGGAGATTGAATGTGAAAAGTTGAACAATAGACATCCATATTGTAAAGGGCATTCCAGTCCCAGAAAGCAAAAAATATATAAAATTCATAATTACCCTTTGTCTATCAATCAAACAATATTTGATCATATTGCTTTAGCATTCTTACATATTTTAAATTTTGTTCTTTGTCTCATGATTGAACACTCAAGTGAGTAAAGATTAATGATTGTATGATAGAAGTTGTACATCCACCTTTCTTAGCATGACAGCTGAGCTCCGTCTTATCTTAATTATGCCAACTTTATGAGAACTTTTCTTGTTAGCACTATTTTTGACCCTTCAATCTGTTGTTTTTCACTTATTTTTATACAAAAGGGAACACATACCATTCAAATAACAGTACAAATACAGCTATGTAAGATGAAGATGCTGTTGAAATTTTGGAACCTTCACAAAGTAGCTTAATTTGTTTGTCAGTTGATGCACAAAAGTCTAACTATGAGCAATAAAAAAAAGTTTTAAGGTATTCACTATTATAAAATGCATAGGGCAAGAAAATGAATTTGAAATTAAAAGATTCAAAGTAGGAGCAATCTCCATACTATGAAAAACAGACAGAAATACCTAAAGTTTGCAAAACTGCCAGTGATGCGTAAAAATTACCAATAAGTGAAAAAAATTGGGGAATGGAATCTTCATTTTTGATAAGTTAATTATTTCAACTAATTTAATATCTCAATCAGTTTGCTTTCCACCATTTTGTTTTTGAGAAGATTGCTTTTTTCTAAGTAACCTGGATCGTAGGTTTCAATTTCTTCAGATCACTTGGTTATGTTGCTTTATTCCTTCCATCCCTTTTGTATTAGTCAGGGTTCTCCAGAGAAACAGAACCAGTGTGTGTGTGTGTGTGTGTGTGTGTGTGTGTGTGTGTGTGTGACAGAAAGGGAGAGAGAGAGAGATTTATTTCAAAGAATTGGCTCATGCATTTGTGGAGGCTGGCAAGTTCAAAATCTACAGAGTGAGCTGATAGGCTGCAGACTCAGAAAGAGCCCTGTTGCAGTTCAAGTTTGAAGACTCTGAAGATGGATATCCAGGGAAAAGCTAATGTTGCAGTTGATGTCTGAAGATAGTCTGCTGGCAGAATTCCCTTTTACTTTGGGGTGGAGTTGGAGGGTGGGGTCAGCCTTTTATTTGATTTGGGCTTTCCACTGATTGGAAGAGGCCTGATCACATTATAGAGGTGGATCTGTTTTACTCAGAGTCCACCAATTTAAATGTAAATCTCATCCAAAATACCCTCACAGAAACAACCAGAATAATGTTTGACCAAGAACCAGGCCCATTCAAGTTGCCACATAAAATTAACTATCACACCTCTCAAGAAATATCCTGTCAGTTGCTTTGCTTTTAG
Organism: Homo sapiens; assembly: GCF_000001405.40. Classification (NCBI taxonomy): domain Eukaryota; kingdom Metazoa; phylum Chordata; class Mammalia; order Primates; family Hominidae; genus Homo; species Homo sapiens. The sequence goes on from NC_000001.11 coordinate 95,257,626, forward strand.
AGGTGAGGAATGTGGCTTTCAGTTCATATCTGCTTAACTCATTGCCATCTCTTCCCTACCATGTTTTCATTGCTATAAAACATTAAATACTGATATGAATTTGTAGTAGCATTGGTAAGACAGATACCTTTTACAAAATAAGTTAACAACTTGACAAACTGTAGTTTCTTTTGGCTTGAGTGACTCCTCTTGAGTCACAACTAACCATGATAAGAGATTCCACAAAAAGCTACATTTCTGCTAGCCTAGGAGCATAACAAATGTTGACTGAAGGACATATATTGATTTTTTTAAAAAGTGAGCTCATCTGCTTTGGGATATCGCTCCAAAGCTGTAAACTTGTGTTTGCTCAGTTCACTGTTGGCAAGACACCCTGAAGTAGTTATTAGGAAGGAATTCAGGAATTGCACTTTTATCTGTGTGATCCTTCACCTGGTGCATTTCTGGTGCTTCTGATAATGCTGCTCCTTCATCACTAAGGCATGGTTAGCCTCTGCTAATCTTTAGCAATAGAACTTTCATGCAACCAAGAGAGCTATGCTGTAAAGTGCTAATGATTTACCAAAATTCCATGCATGAATCTCTTGATTCTTTGAGAATTCCATCCATTTTCATAACTGTCATTATTTCCCTCTATGTAGTTGAGTCTCAAATTTACATCTCAGGTCCTGACCTCTCACCTGACCTCTAAACACTCATTTCTAACTCTCTGCCTCACATTACAACCTACATGTCCTGCCAACATCTTAAATCCATTATGATTAAAGTAAACCCATTAATGATCTAATTTTTGTTATTGTTGACTGTTGAAATTACTATTAGGCTTCCAGGATTAATCTTGGATTTTCCTTTGACGTCTTCCTTACTCTCTTACATCCAGTTAGCTTCCAAGTATAGTTTGTAGTGATTCTTATATTCACCCATCTTTTCCATTCTCATGGCCACCACTGTATGTAAGTGGCCAGGACTATTGGAGGTCACCAAACTGGCCTTCTCACCTCTGTTCTTCCACTTATCCCATTCTATAGATTGTTACAGTTGATAATCCCTCATCTAAAACTGTTGGAATTAAATCTGTTTTTAGAATGAAGATTTTTCTTTTTAATTTTTGCATTTTTAGAAAGGTAATATGGTTGTACCATATATTTTAAAATCTACCCAATGGGGCTGGGGCAACATTCTGTAATCAAACACAGTTATTTCTTCAGTGAAACACATGAATATTCACATTAAGATAAATAAAGAGTATAAATGTTCTCACTTTGATTCAGGTTAAACTTGGATGCTAAATGAATTCAGATTAGGCTGGCTTTTTAAGGTTTCAGAAAAAAACCTTAATATTTTTGGTTTTTTAGAACTTTTTGGATTTTGGAATTGTGAATTAGGGATGGCAGACCTGGACTAGATAAATCTTCCTCAAGTAGTAGTATCACTCCCGTTTCCTACTGAATTAGTTGTAAACTCTTGAATCTGGTATCTTCAAATGCCTTCTCAATTTGACCCCACATCATTATTTTCTGGGTTTATTTTCCACTCATTCTCTATGTAGCCTTTTTGCCTCAGCCAAACTGTATAAATATTGCTTATTTTTCTTTCCTCTGCATATAATCAAATTTGTCCTTCTTCTTGAAATGTTATTTTTTTCTTGTGCATTCTTCTACAAACTGTCTGTTGACATCTTTTCTATATTTGCAGAGCTGTTTCCTGTATAAAATGCTTGATCCCTATTTTGGGATCAATAATTGTTCCTTGGTCTGAATTCTTGTAGCAAGCCTCAGTTTTGACATATGTACAATCAATCAGAATAATACCCCTTTCTTACCTCTTAGACTTGTCATTACACTAAATAATGTACAAATGCCTCTAGCACGGTGTCTGACATGTAGTAGGAACTCAATTGACATTGATTATTCCCTTTTACTCTCTTCCTCCTTCCTTTCCTTTTCTTAGTATATGCTGTACTTTATGTTATCATTTTAAATGTACTTTGTTCTTCCCATTACTAGATTGGAAGTTTTCGAGGGTAGGACCTTACTTATTGGAGGCACAGCAAATATTGAGTTATGTGAAATGAATACAAATTGTGTTACTAGAGAAAGTTAAATTCCTCTTCTGGATTCTGGAAAGACATTGGTTTGTCTATGTATGAATGTACATTGAAACTTCAAACAAAACAAAACAAAACCTATGATGACAAATATAAGTCTTCAAAATCTCCATCAATAACATTCTAACTGCCAGAGATCACCCAATATGACCTTCCATATACTTTCTCTGTTTCAAATATTCTTTGTATTATTATTTCCTTCTCCTTCCTAATCTGGAGACAGAATGGTTGTCTTTTTTAAGGCAAGACCACTTGCCTATACATACTTGATTCCATCCTCTGTCTTCTCTGAGATTTCATAACATTAATTCTCTCTTGCATTTTTAATCTTCAATAATAAAAATGCTCAAATATTTCCTCTTATAAATAGCATCCTCTCTTTGATTCCCACTTTGTTTTGTTCATTGAACTGATATCTATTATGTTATTATGTCATCGCCTCCCATGCCTCTTTAAAAAATTGTGTTGTGAAATATAACACTCATACACAAATGAATAAGATATAATTGTACAGCTAAAGAAATTATTATGAAGTAAAATCTGTATAAATACCACCTGTTCAAGAAATAGAACTTTGCTAGCATCTTTACACTTCCCAGTCTCAACCCCCTGAATTGACCACTATTTGGATGTTTATGGCAATCATTTCCTGGTTCTTTTTTTAATTTTACTACCTAAGTAAGCTAACAGTATAATTTAGTTTTTTAAATTTGTTTTTAAATTCTTTATGATAAAGTCTGATCTCTTCTGCTCAGTCTTGTATTTGTGAGATTCATCTATTTTATTGTTTATAGCTATGAGGCATTCATTTTCATTGTTGTATGAAATATTCATATAGCCCAATTTATTTATCGAGTCTACTATAGATTGTTATTTGTCTAAATATTTAAATTTTTTGCTATCACAAATGGTAGTGCAATAAATGTTGTTGTAGATATCTCCTGGTACATGTAAATATGCATTATTGTTGAGTATATAACTAGCAGTGTGATTACAAGGTTTTAGTGTTTGCATATTTTCAACTTTACTGGATGATGCTAAACTGTGTTCCTAAGTGGTTGGGGCAATTTACACTCCTGGCAATACTTGGTACTGACAGTCTTTTTAATTTTAGTCATTACAGTGTGTGTCTAGTGGTGCTGGATATTAATAATATTGAGCACATTCTAATATATGTTAGCCATTTGGACATCCTCTTTTGTGAATTGTATCTTCAAATCCTTCATTCATTATTCTACTGGGCAGTCTGTTGTTTTCTTATTGGGTGTAGAATTCATTATGAATTCTGGATATGAGCCCTTTGTTGGATATATGTATTGCAAGTAGCTTCTCTCACTCTGTGGTTTGCTTTTTGTTGTGTCTTTTGATGAACGGAAGTTCTTTTTTTTTAGTAATATGACTGTAAAAATAAAATTCATTTTTAGGTTACAATTTGATGACTTTTGACTCAAGTACACATCCGTAATCATCAACCACTACTCCAATTGTTGGGTCCCCCAATATCGTCTCTGCTTTCTTCCTGTGTCCTGACCAAGGAAAACAGAATGCCTTGACTACTCTGTGACCTGGCCAGCTACATGTTTTTCCTGCATCCTTGAATCCAAGCTAGGGCGTTGAACATTCCCCACTACTGATAAAGCTGTTTAGGTTGTTGCTGGAAACACAGAGATTGATTATGTTACTATACACGTAGAAGGCGTCCACCTTCGGAAAAATTCTTTAAGCTCTCACATAAACTCCATAACCTGACCCCTCATTGCGGACATACTCAGGAAGAACATCTCCCCCTCACTGTCGCTCAGGCGGACCTGCTGCAGCCTCCTCCTGTGTAACTTGTAAGTTCCCCTAATAAATGCTTCAGATTGGTCACTCTGGAGTTTAGTGCTTCCTTCTCTGAAACCCAAGCAGGCCCAATCTCAGGAAGGTTTGGGACGGTCCCTTGAAGGAGTTCCCCTGCCACCATTCTTGGGGTGACTCCAGCTGCTGAGTTTGGCCGGAGAGAAAACCAATCTACACGTACAACCTTTCCACCTTTCCGCCTCCCCAGAACCTTTCCACCTCTCCAGAAAGTTCCCTCAGCCCCATTGCAGTCTCCTCCCCTCCTCTTCTTAGGTAATCACTGTTTTGATTTCTATCACTGTAGATTAGCTTTGCCTGTTCTAGAATAAAGGTGTTATTGAATAATGTGTACTCTTCTGTGTCCAGCTTCTTTCACTGTCTGTGATTTCATCTACATTATGTTGTGTATTGTGGTTTGTTCCCTTCTATTGGTGGCCAGTAGTCCACCATATAAATTTATTTAGCCATTCACCTTTGATGGATATTATGAATAAAACTGCATAAATATTTAGGTGTAAGCCTTTTTATAGATACAGATTTTCACATCTTTTGGTAAATATCTAGGAGTGGAATTTCTATGTCTGTTTAACTTTATATAAGAAATAGCCAAATTGTTTCCAAAGTGGTTGCACCATTTTACGCTTCCATTTGCAATGTACTAGGTTGGTGCAAAAGTAATTGTGGTTTTAGTCATTACTTCCAATGCAAAAACTGCAATTCCTTTTTTTTTTTTTTTGAGACTGAATTTTGCTCTTGTCACCCAGGCTGGAGTGCAATGGCGCGGTCTCAGCTTACTGCAACCTCTGCCTCTCGGGTTCAAACGATTCTCCTGTCTCAGCTTCCCAAGTGGCTGGGATTACAGGCGCCCACCATCAGGCGTGGCTAATTTTTGCATTTTTAGTAGAGACAGGGTTTCGCCATGTTGGCCAGGCTGGTCTCGAGCTCCTGACCTCAGGTGATCTGCCTGCCACGGCCTCCCAAAGTGCTGAGATTACAGACATAAGCCACTGCGCCCAGCCAAAAACCACGATTACTTTTGCATCAACCTACCTATGTTCCAGGCGCTGCATTCCTTCACCAAAAATTGGTATTGCTATTCTTTTTCATTTTAATCACTCTAGTGGGTGGGATATTACACCAAGGTTTATGTTTAGTTATCTGTAGGTTTTCTTAAATGGTCTGAAACAAGTAATTACCTCAGAATAAAATATTTTAGGAACCAATGCTGGCAGGATTACATCTTATAAAGAGGATATTGTTCACCAGTTTTGGTTCTGAGCAATCTTGAGCTAGTCCAGTGCTGGTGTGAAGTGTGCTAGTGCTTTTTTTTTTTTTTAAATCAGGATGCATCTTGATGGTTGGTGTCATAATTTCTGTTTCAGTGGTCTTCTGAATGTCCAGAGCCACTGTAAGGGGAATTGCCTATGCAGGCCATGCCAAGTCTCAGAGCATAGCAGAACATATTATAATACTTCTGGTGCAGTAACAGGCCACTGTGCTTTTGGGGGTCCCTTTCCGGAAAGTAGCGGTCAGAATGATTGACAAAGGCCTTCTGCACAGTAAGATAAGGTGCTCACTTGAATGGAACCTGGGTAGTGGCAGGGCACTGACTTTCTTCATAGATCATTCCCTGAGACTCACTCTAGGTGGTCTATGAATACCACCTCGCCTTTGTCCGCCTGGTCCTTTCAGATTGGTTCCCCTTATCTTCAGGCTCTACTGTCTCACCCTCTCAAAACAATTCCTCTAAAGGCTCTTAACCCACAACCCAGAGAAAATTATGTTCTCTGGTGGGAGAAAAGCTAGTGGTGGTAGAGATCAATAGGTGTTTACATAGTTTCCATTTTAACCTTCCTTTATAGTAATGAGCCCCAATTTCTACCTAGGCACAGTGCCATTTAGAATAAAATCCATATTTTTTAGATTTCCTTTAAACTAGGCAGGGCCATAAGACCAAATTCTGGGTCTTGAACATGACTTCCAGGAAGGCTTCTTGAAGGTGCTGGCTCACTGGGCGCTGTCTCTTTTGCTCTGCCCCTTCCCCCGCCCCCGGCATGTGGACACAGTCCCAGACATTCCAAAGGCATCTGGGATGATGAGGTGAGCTTGAGGGTGAAAGTGGAGCGGACAATAGGAATTACCCTCTGAATGTTTTTTTATGTGAAAGAATATAACTTTGCGGCTTTAAGCCACATTTTAAGTTTTCTATCACATGTCATCAAATCTAGTCCTGATGTACATATATGAAATTTGGAACCTATTACAAGTAACAGAGTATAAAATGTGACTGACTCTGAGTCATTCCAAATCTATTATTTATGGCTTAAACTTTTTGTCTAGAGTTCTTAGAAACCTAGATTTTCTTAAAGTAAGCTTTTGAAACATAATATCCAAGAATTTAATTTTTCTTTACCTGTGTCCAGCTTTAACAACCCTTCTTTGTTGCAGTGAAGGTGAGATGGACCTTATGGTTTGGGCTGAAGAAAAGATACAAAAAAAAAAAAACAAAAAAAAACACAAGAGGAAAAGACAGATAAGTTAATATTTTAAAATACCATCCCATATCATATTAAATAAATATTTCTTCGACTATTTGTAGCAAAATATCACCTTAGCACATTCTCAGTTTATGTTCCCATGTTACTAATAAAGTACAAGGCAATTTGGCATGCTTTTTTGTTATGATAATCTGTTTCCTAGAATTATTACTAATAATTATTCATAATTTCCATGGTGTTAAGATAGTATACTCAGAATGGCGCTAAACTTTTTGCTCTTATTTCTCCTGAAGACACAGATTCCTATGAAAATAACACACAAAGGGGGCAAAAAGGAGAAAAATCTGCTGTGAATTTAATTTATGGTCACTTCTTGGTTTTCATTAGGCCCACTGCTGGATTTACCTTATCAGGCCACAAAAATGTGAATTCCCAAGAAATCCAAGTAGAAAGAGAATAGAGAGAAGGGCAGAATACATTTGATTTCTTTAAAGTTAGAGCTTTGTTCTAGGCCCTCAAGTATGAAGTTATTTAGATCTATTTATAAATCATCTATGTATCTATATTGATAAACCAACTCCACGTGCAAGGGAGCATCTCAGTTAACTTTGAATGAATGAGGTTCCCCATGATCCAAAGGTCAGTTCCTTAATTAGCAAGGCCTTTTTGGAAACATTTTGGAGATGAAATATTTTAAAATGTTTTAGTCATGTGTATTAGTCTGTTCTCACATTACTATAAAGAACTACCTGAGACTGGGTAATTTACAGAGAAAAGAGGTTTAATCAGCTCTGAGTTATGTGGGCTACATAGGCTTCTACTTCTGGGGAGGCCTCAGGAAACTTACAATCATAGTGGAAGGTGAAGAGGAAGCAGGCATGTCTTACATGGCCAGCATGAGAGACAGAGACAGAGACAGAGACAGAGAGAGAGAGAGAGAGAGAGAGAGAGAGAGAGAGAGAGAGACAGAGAGAGAGGAAGTTCTATGCTCTTTATAACAACCAGATCTCGTGAGAATTTATTCACTATCACAAGAACAGCAAGCGGTGAGTCTGCCCTCCATGATTCAATCACCTCCCACCAGGCCCCTACTCCAATACTGGATTACAATTTGACATGAGATTTGGGTGGGGACACAGAGCCAAACCATATCATTCATCTGATAAGCAAAGTAGATTGAATATACTAAGGATGGTACAACTGGGGTTGGTACTAACAGCTTTGATTACACCCTGTTGTGATATGAAGGAGCTCTCTGCAGTTCTACTGAAGTAGAAGAACCTCAGCTTCCATGTTTTGCAGTCATCTGATAAGCAGAGTAGATTGAATTTACTAAGTGCAATGCACCTGGGGGTTGGCACTAACGGCCCCAATTCCATCCTGCTGTGATATGAGGAAGCTCTCTCCAGTTCTATTGAGGGAGAGGAACCTCAGCTTCCACATTTTCTGAATGGTCCTATTGCCTTCAAGTTCCAGCAGGTGTTTGACACTCTTTTCCTTTTGCTACCTCTGTTTCATTTCTCTCTCTGTTTTTCCCTACTTGCCATTCTTGGTGCTTCTTTTAATCTCTGCCATTGTAGAGATTGGCTGCTTACTGATTTCTTTCCTCTTCTCTCTTTTTTGTCTTTTTTCTTCTTTGCTGTCTTCTCTTTCCCTTTTTTGCCACTTCTTCCAAATTTTATGGTTTTATTTTATGGTAGCAGGGGTTAGTTTTATAGCCATCATCATTAATCAGAGTGGATCTTCTTTTAGTTAGTACAACAACTGATCACAACAAATTTCCCTTGGTACAATTACAGGTTTTAGAAATTGGTTTTAAGTTCATGGTTTGCTCCTGAAGGTTGACAGTGCTTGACTGCATAAGTGGGGTGTTGTATGTGTAGAAGTCATAGACCTGAGAACTAGAAAGAACTAAAAAGATCATCTAATCTGCTTTTTTGAAAAAGTGGGGCTACTGGGGTAAGTTACTTAACCAAGGCCACTCATATATCTGATAGCAATACTTGGGAGATAATTATATTAGCTCTTTAGTCCTATGTATAATGCAAAGAGAACTCAAGGAACCAATGAACAATTGTTGTCCAATAGTTATAACCTTTTAGGGAAAATATCTGCTCCATTCTGTTCTGGCACTTTAGAGAGGTGAGATGATTTTCTTCATTCTTTTTTTTTTTTTTGGGACAGAGTCTCCCTCTGTCACCCAGGCTGGAGTGCTGTGGTGTGATCTTGGCTCACTGCAACCTCCACCTTCTAGGTTCAAGTGATTCTCATGCCTCAGCCTCTGGAGTAGCTGGAACTAAAAGCATGCGCCACCACGCCCAGCTAATTTTGTATTTTTAGTAGAGACGGAGTTTCACCATGTTGGTCAGGATGGTCTTGAACTCCTGACCTTAAGTGATCCACCTGCCTCAGCCTCCCAAAGTGCTGGGATTACAGGCATGAGCCACTGCTCCAGGCCAATTTCCTTTATTCTTGAATTGTAAAATTATCCTTACACTTATACTCACAGTGAATTCATAGAGTTTCTTCACAAATAAAAGCTATTTTCTTAACATTGCGATTATTTATGTATGAATACAACTTATAGTACCTGGTGCCTGAAACTTGCTATACTTCTTGTTTCATACATATTAGGAGTTTCAAATAACCAGATGATTTTTTGTTAGGGAGTAAGCATTCCATGTGTCACAAAATCTTATATTTACTTTAAAAAATCTAAATATTTTGCTGTCAGATAAATGAGCATATAATAAAAATCTCCTTTGGAGCTACATTTATGCATTTCATTTTATATAGACAAATAGAATTTGAAACCTGGAAAGAAGCTTAGCGATTTCTGGTTCAACTTTCCAACCAGTGCAGTAATTGTTAAAAATTGTAACTGTGATAGCCATCCACTTCCTGCTTGAAAAACTCCAGAGATTAGTATCACCCTCATGAAGCAGCTGTTGTTACTGGACAGCACAGTAGACAAAAAGTTATTTCTTGCATTCAATCAAAATCTACATTTCTTAACCTATGGCTTTTTATTCTAGTTCTGGCCTCTGGAGCAACACAGAATTAGTATACTCTTCTCTGTATGACAGCTCTTCAAATATTTGAAAGTAGTTATTATGCCTTTTCTTATTCTTCACCTCCCAAGTTGCTTGAATAATTTATCAAAAATTATAGCTTCTCCCACTCACCTGGACATTTGCCTTTCATTACATTCTAATTAGTCAATGTCCCTCTTAAAATGCGGCATCCAGAATTGAATTCTATGTTATAGACATGGTTTAACTAGCCAGAAATACAGTATAACAGTCACAGATAGTGATCTGTGGGTAGCAATTTCTCAAGGGAGCCTCATCCTTGAGATAGACTAAGACTCTTAAAAGAAAGGGACTTGTAGGAAAACACTTGGTAAATTGTAGAGTGCTTTATAAATGAAATAATTTGTTATGTCCCACTTAAGACTTTAAAATACAACAAATAATCAAAGAATGTAATTTTTTTACACATTCTTTATAGCATTTTACACAGGGCTGATTTCAACCGTTGTCTGCATAGGGCTAGTTTTTTTTTTTTTTTTCCCTGTGGAAAAGTAGAAAAACACTTTAAATCTCAGCCGTTATTCTGGGTTACTGGGCCCTTTCTTGAGTTGAACAAATTTTATAGTCTTTTTTAGGACATGATTTTTTGAAACAAATGATAAATGTCATTTTTTTTACCTGTACATACTTATTTAATGAGGTAATAGCAGAATCTTCTATTGACAAGACCTTTTAATAAGTAGAACCACTTTTACATTTGAAGTAGTTTTAAATATGTAACCTATATTGCTTCAATTTTAAAGTAAATTTAAACTTCTCTGATTTTAGCTAATTTAGAGTGGAATGGGAATCTTACCTGAATATGGTTTAATATTGTCATCTAACCATTCATTCATTCTCAATTGCTTACTTAGTATTGATTACATGTTAAGGACTTGAAAAAATTAATAAATTGGTGTTTTTTCTTTCATTATTAACTCTAGAAAAGTTTTTTAAAAGAATAACTTTTTTCTAAGGTGTTTGGCATATATTTGTACACGAACATTCTGATTAAGGATTCTAACATTCTAACAGCAGGTTATAGTTGGCAAATACAAATGTGAATATGAATGTGCATAAATAAAATTGTGAAATATAAATATGTGGCCCCAATGGGATAATCATAATGATGAGCACCCAGCACACTCCCTGGCACATAGTAGATTCTTAACTACTTAATATTCATATTTGCCATATGAATATTACATGTTAGGGGAATATTATTCCTAGTCTTGGCAGTGAACCTGTAATTACAATGGGAGATTGAGTCCTATAGATTTCTGTGCCATTGTTCAAATGAGTGAGACACTTTGGGACTGCACTATATTTTAAGACCTCATATCTCTTTTGGAGGAACATTATTTCTTGGTTGAAAGAAATTACTGTATTTTCTCAAACATGACAATATTGTGGTGGTTGTAGTTTGATTTGTAATGTGTCAAACTCTAAAAAGCATAAATTGTTTAAAAATACATAAATACTCAGAATAAAATCAGTCATTTAGTACTAGCTACATTGGAAAGAAATTTAAGAAAAACCTAGTAAATCACTTTTAAGGATATAGTATTCTAAAATTTATTTAGAAATATAAGAGAAAATTAGAATTCTGGAGAATCATCCATTTTTTTGCACACTTTTAAAAAAATCGTGCAATTTAAATTTTTTTTCCTGTTACAAATCTTGGCAACTAGAGCAATGTAAATTAGAGGGTAATTGCTTTGTAAAATTAGATTTGAAGTCATGTAATTTAAATTTATACTAGTAGGTCCAGAATTTCCCTTTCTATTAAATTTACTTTCCTTTTAATAGTTTAAAAAATTATTATTCAAGTAAGTAAACATTTCCAGAGAAAGACTGTGTTTTCTTTTTAGAGTTTGTGAACTTAAATCTTCTTAAGCTAGGTATTATTTGGCTAATCATACAATTTATACTCATAATAGGCTGAAGAGCTATAAATATTCTAATAGCTTCTAGTGGTTATTGTTTTTGGCAATATGATGTGTGGGCTTTTATATCAATATTAGTTAGTGTTTTTTAAACTTCATAGTATTTTCCTCCAGCAAAGAACTGGCTCTTTTCTGAGTAAGAAGAAAATTTTCGCTTAAAATGAGGCCATTTTGCATATTAATTAGGAGGTCTTTGAACTCTAAGAATAAAATCCATTAATGCTTTGGGTATGGAACAATTATGCATTCAAGGACTTTAATTTTATGCTAATAATGTGACAAGCTTTACATTTCTTTGTTTTGTTTGCATTTTCTAAAGATAATTTAATGCAAATAATCCATCCATATACTGCATAGAGCGAGTCGGATGGTTTCCCTGTAGTTAAGATTGTATCAGCTCTCCTATTATAAATCTCTATTACCCATGGTTTATAATTTAATTGAAAAAACTCACTGCAGGCAGAAATTCAACACTTAGAGTTTCAGGCTAAAAGCAATATTTCTCTTTTTAAAAATTGCCCCCTCTATTTAATTTCATAGTTAATGGAAATATAAGAAGGATGATCCTGGAGCTGATTTTCAACAAAGCCAAACAGATCATTGTCTATAACTAAAATAATTTCTAAATAACAGTAGTTGATATCTTATCAGTGGTCTAATACTACAATATTTAACTAAATAAGAAAAGACAACAGTGAATTCTGTTTATCCTTTTCCTATATGAAAAATACACACAAGGAGAACAAGAAACTTCTGTAAGATCAGACATGTGTAAAATGTATAATTGACAATATTGTCTGAGGTGTTATGTTTTTGTTTGATTTCAAAGTGCATACTTTACTCCTTTTAGTTGATCTAGACTAATGCTATGGAATCTGCTTTTTGTTGAACCAATATAGGAACAGGGCATAGGGCAGGAAGATGCACGCTCTGAAATTCTTCACTTTATCTGTCTTCATCTTAAGTTTATACTTCAATTACCTTGATGGGATTCAGGGGTTAATTAACAGGCATAGCAACTTCAGCAGCCTTACCAAGTAAAACTGAGAAGAGTTTTTAGACCCATGATGGTTTTGTCATCAGCTTTTGAACTCAAATCCTGTAGTATGGAAAGGTTAACCTGCCAGGTAGTATGCAATCTCCAATCAAGAGTAGTGGTTTTATCAAGCCCAATGAGACAAAGAAAATATTAGTGAGTTAGAGCAATATGTACTCTATTTCCCTCAACCCATGAACATTTTCCTATTTAATTCTTACTTGTAACGCTGCATGTGACATATATGCTATAATTTTTTAACTGTAGGTATTATTGGAAACTTGCTGAAAAATGATCTGGCTCTATATATGCAATGTATTGTGTTTCTAAATCAGTTTCCTTTGAGCCTCTAAGGAAAATTATTGAGGACAATAATACAAACTTACATCTCTTATAACACTTCACCATCTACAGAGGGCTTTAATACACATATGCACAAGTGCTTAGATAATAGAGAAAGCAGAAGCTAAAAGATTAAGTGACTTGCTCAAGATGATGAAGCTAACAAGTGGTGCTTAGTGCTAACATTCTGTCTTCAAGCTAATACACCTTTTCCTGTAGCCCAGTGGCTCACTCCTTAGTTCTTTTGGGGGACCTCATATTTTTAACTTTGAGAAATAGAGTCAGTGATACCATCTTAGTTTGTTCCTAATGTTATAATAAAATATCTTAACTAGGAAATTTATAAGTAATAGAAGTTTATTTCTTACAGTTTTGGAGGCTGGGAATCCCAAGATTAAGGGGCTGGCATATTTGGTGCCTGGTGAGGGCTTGCTTTCTGTTTCACAGATGGTGCTTTGTTGATGCATTTTCTAGAAGGGACAAATGCGGTATCCTCACATGGTAGAAGGAATTGAAAAAAAAAAGGCAGCTCTCTGAAGCCTCTTTTATAATAGTATTAATACCATTAATAAGGGCAAAACCTTTAATCAGTCCCCAAAAGACCCCACCTGTTAGACTACACAATGGAGATTAAGTTTCAACATGAATTTGGGAGAGACACAAACATTCAGTACATAGCAGACATCATGAGGAGAATGCCTTGTATTTACTTGAAGTGTGTCAGAAACTATAAGGGAATTTATAAAGTTTCTAGTCAAAATCTTAAAATATTCCATATTATCTTAGATTCATAAATAAATAACTTAAAGCTTAGATAAAATTTATGTACATCTTAAGCATAACCTTGAATGTAAATGGATTAAATTTCTTATTTAAAATATATAGATTGGCTAAATGGATTAAAAAAAAACCCCTAAGACCCAACTATATGCTGCCTACAAAAAACTCATCTCACCAGCAAAAACACACATACACCAAAAGAGAAGGGATGGAAAAAGATACACCATGCAATTAGAAACCAAAAATGAGCAGGAATAGCTATATATATATCAGACAAAACAGACTCCAAGTCAAAAGCTATACAGTCAAAGATGGACATTATATGATAATAAACTGATTAATTCAGCAAGAGAATATTACAACTGTAAATGTATATGCACAAAACATCAGAGCACTCAGATATATAAAGCAAATATTATTAGATCCAAAGAAAGAGACAGACTGAAATACAATAATAGCTGGGGACTTCAACACCCCACTCTCAGCATTGGACAGATCATCTAGACAGAAAATCAACAAAGAAACTTTGGATTTAAATCATGCCACAGACCAAATAGACCTAACAGACATTTATAGAACATTTCACCCAACTGATGCAGAATATACATTTTTTTCATCAGCATGTGGGACATTCTCCAGGACTGACCATATGTTAGGACATAAAGCAAGTCTCAAAAATTTTTTAAGAATTGAAATCACGTCAAGTATCTTATTTGAACCATGACAGAATAATACTAGACATCAGTAATAGGAAGAACTTTTGAAAATATACAAATACATGACAATTAATCAACATACTCTTGAATAACCAATGAGTGAAGAAAGAAATTAAGAATAAAATCTACAAAATTTCTTGAAACAAATAAAAATAGAAATATAACATACCAAAACATTTGAGACACAGCAAAAGCAGTATTTAAAAAAATTATTAACTTTGTACAAGTTTAGAAAAGCAGTATTAAGAGGCAAGTTTATAGTAATAAATGCCTACATAAAAACTAGATATATTTAAAACACCGTAAAGATGCATCTGAAGGAACTAGAAAAGCAAAAATAAACTAAACCCAAAATTAGTAGATGGAAAGAAATAATAAAGATTAGAGCACAAATAAAGGAAATTGAGACTAAAAATACACACAAAAAATCAACGAATAAAAATACTTCTTTGAAAATGATAAAAAATTGACAGACTAAGAAAAACAAGAGAGAAGACCCAAACAAATAAAATCATAGATGAAAAAGGAGACATCACAATGAATACCACATAAGTAAAAAATCACTAGAGAGTACTATGAACAACTATATGCCAATAAATTTGAAAACACAAAGAAAATAAATAAATTACTGGACACAGACAACCTAAAAAGATTGAATCAAGATATAGAAAACCTGAACAGACTAAAAACATATAACAAGAGTGAATCAATAATAAAAAGTCTCCTAACAAAGAAAAGTTCAGGACTGAATGGCTTCACTACTATATTCTATCAAACCTTTAAAGAAAAAGGAATAACAATTCTTTCAAACTATTCAAAAAAATTAAAGCAAAGGGAATTCTTTTTGATAACTCATTCTGTGAGGCCAGCATAACCCTGATGCAAAAGTCATATATGGACATAACAGAGAGAGAGAGAGAGAGAGAGAGAGAAAGAGAGAGAGAGAGAGAGACAGAGAGAGAACTACAGGCTAATAACATCCCTGATGAATACAGATGCAATAATTCTCAAGAAAATACTAGCAAAGCAAATCCAACAACACATCAAGAAGATAACACACTATGATCAAGTGGAATTTATTCCAGGAATGCAAGGATAGTGCAACACAGGCAAATCAACAAAATGTCATGGATCACAACAGTAGAATGAAGGTCAAAAGACCATATAATTATATAATTGTCTTAAGTGTTGAAGAAAAAGCATTTGAGAAAATTAAACCTCCCTTCATGATTAAAACTCTCAGTAAATTAAGTATAAAGTACCTCAACATAATAAATGCCATGTATGAGAAACCTGCAGCTAACATCTTACTGAATGAAAAAAAGCTGAAAGCTTTTTCTCTAAGAACTGGAATAAGACAAAGATACCTGCTCTACCATTCTTATTCAATATAGTACTGCAGTTCTACCTTGAGCAATTAGGCAAGAGAAAGAAATAAAGGGCATCCAGTTTGGAAAAGAGGAAGTCAAATTGTCCCTATTTGCAGATGATGTGATCTTATATATAGAAAAACCTAAAGATTCTACCATGCAAATTTTGAACTAATAAACAAATTCAGTAAAGTTGCCAGATACAAAATCAACATACAAAAATTAGTAACATTTCTATATGCCAAGAGTGAAAAATCTGAAAAAGAAACCAAGAAATTAATCCTATTTACAGTAGCTACAAATGAAATAAAATTCTTAGGAATAAATTTAACCAAGGAGGTGAAAGACGTCTACAAGGAAAACTACAAAACATGGGTGAAAGAAATTGAAGAGGGTATAAACAAATGGAAGACATCCTATAATCACGTATCAGAAGAATTAAAAATATTGTTAAAAAGACCATACCAATCAAAGCAATCTGCAGATTCAATGCAATCCCTATCAAAATACCAATGACATTCTTCACAGACATAGAAAAATAAAACCTAAAATGTGTGCAGAACCACACACACAAAAAAAATCCCAAAGAGCCAAAACAATCCTAAGCAAAAAAAACGAAGCTAAAGACATCACATTACCAGGCTTTGAAATATAATACAATGCTGTAGTAACAAAAACAGCATGGTACTGGCACAATAACAGACACATAGACCAATGGAACAAAATAGAGAACCCATAAACTAATCCACGTATTTACAGTCAACTGATTTTTGACAAAGATGCCAAGAACACTTATTGTGGAAAGAGCAATCTCCTTAATAAATGATGCTAGGGAAACTGGATATCCATATACAGAAGAAGGAAACTAGACCCCTGCCTCTCATTCTATACAAAAATCAACTGTAAAAGGGGCAAAGATCTAAATGTAAGACCCAAAACTATAAAATTACTAGAAGAAAACATAGGGGAAACACTTCAGGACATTGGCTTGGGAACAGACTTATTATGAATGAGACCTCAAAAGCACAGAGAGCAAAAGCAAAAATAAGCAAATGGGATTATGTCAAATCAAAAAACTTTTGCACAGCAAAGGAAACAACCAATAGAGTGAAAAGACAACCTACAGAATGGGAGAAAATATTTGCAAACTGTTCATCTGACAGGAGATTTATATCCAGAATATACAAGGAACTCAAACATCTCAATAGCAAAAAGGCAAAAAAAATCTGATTAAAAAGTGGGCAAAGGATCTGAACAGACATTTCTCAAAAGAAGAAATACGAACAGACAACAAAGGTATAAAAGGATGCTCAACATCACTAATAATCAGAGACATGCAAATAAAAAACAACAGTAAGATATCTCACCATGGTTTGGATGTCTATTATCAAAAAAACAAAAATTAAATGCTGGTGAGGATACAGAGAAAGGGAACTCTTACACACTGTTGGTGGGAATGTAAACTAGGGAAGCTACTATGGAGAACAGTATGGGGGTTCCTCAAAAAAACACAAACAGAAGTACCATATGATCCAGCAATCCTGCTACTGGGCATTTATTCAAAGGAAAGGAAATCAGTATATTGAAGAGACATCTGCACCCCCATGTTTATTGCAGCACTATTTATAATAGCCAAGATATGGAATCAACCTAGGTGTCCATGAATGGGTAAAGAAAATGTGGTATATATACACAATGAAATACTATTCAGCCATAAAAAAATAAAATCCTGTCATTCATGGAAACATGGATGGAACTGGAGGACATTTTGTTAAGTGAAATAAGCCAGAAACAGAACATTCAACACTGCATGCCTTCACACATATGTAGAAGATTAAAAAAAAAGTAGATCTCATAGAAGTAAAAAGTAGAATGAAAGATACTAGTGGTTTGGAAGGGGAGGGGAAAGGGAGGAATAGGGAGAGATGTATTAAAGGATTCAAAATTATAGCTAGATAGGAGGAATAAGTTCTAGTATTCTATACCACTGTAGAATAACTATTATTAATAATAATGTATAGTTTCAAATAGCTAGAAGGAGAATATTGAATGTTCCCAACACAAAGAAATAATAAATGTTTGAGATGATAGATACACTAATTACCCTAAATCGATCACTCTAATTGTATGTATCAAAACATCACTATGTACCCCATAAATATGTTATGTGTCAATTAAAACCTACTAAAATCCATATTCATCTAAGCTACACAATAAATCGGTAATAAAATAAAAGGAAGTCATGAATTTACTAGTCTGTCTGATGAAAAATTGTTCTTAATGTTTTGATTATATCAAAAACATTGCTTAGGTATTAAGGTTATAAGAAAAGATTGTGTGAACACATTTGATTGTTCAGTCTTAAAGAGATTTTTGAGACAATAGTAGATAATTTCCAAGGATGTTTTAAGGTAGTAATGGTATAATAAAACAGGGGATACATTAAAAAAACCTCTAGGATTGCTTTGAATCTGGAAGTTCATATTTTTTGTGTGTAGTGAAAAAGCAGACTATTTCTAAAATTTACAAACCAATTCAAATTTCTTTTTTCCATTATAAGAATTTGCATAAGCCATTACTTCTATCTCTTTTATTTGTTGCTTTTGAATTGAATAAATTTAGAATGTAAGGTAGGGTTTACTTTTAAACTTTCTTTTCTTAGAAAAGTTTTCCTGACTCATTAGTTTTGTGAATGTTGTGTAATACTGAGTTCAGGTATTCAACTTGATAACATTTCATGTAACTGAATGGTCAGTCCATATGTCATGTAAGAACCAATAACCCTGTTTCCTTCTACCTTGTCCTGAGCAGACATTATCATCTAAGTCTCTTCATTCTTACAAGTTGAATTTGCTCAACCCTTTTATCTTTTTTGCACTGAAATACTCTTGCTAGTGCCCCCAGAGATCTCTCAATGGTAGCATCTGATGTATGATTTTTAGGCAGTACCTGGAGAGACAGTGAGATGTATTTGAAAGATGATGTGTTTTTTATTTAGACCAGGTGTTGGCAAACTTTCTGCAAAAGACCAGGTAGTAAATATTTTAGTTACTGTGGTCCACATGATCTCTGTCACAACTACTTCACTCTGCGACTGCAGTATTAAAGCAGGTATAAAAAAATATTTAAACAACTAAGCATGACTGTGTTCCAATAAATGCTATTTATGAACACTGAAACTTGAATTTCATATAATTTTCATGTGTCACAAAGTATTTTTTTTTTAGTTTTTTCAACAACTAAAAAATGTAACAGTCAGCTGGGCGCCCGGTGGCCCACGCCTGTAATTCCAGCACTTCGGGAGGCCGAGGCGGGTGGATCACTAGAGGTCAGGGGTTGGAGACCAGCCTGGCCAACATGGTGAAATCCCATCTCCACTAAAAGAACAAAAATTAGCCAGGTGTGGTGGTGGGCGCCTGTAATCACAGCTACTTGGGAGGCTGAGGCAGGAGACTCACTTGAACCTGGGGGCAGAAGTTGCAGTGAGCTGAGATCACACCACTGCACTTCAGCCTGGGTGACAGAGTGAAATGCTGTCTCAAAAAAAAAAAAAAAAAAAAAAGGTAAAAGTCATTCTTAGCTCACAGGCTGTGGAAAAATGGTGAGTGGCATTTGGCATATGGGTTGTAGTTTGCAGATCCCTCCTTGCTTTAGACAGACCTAGCTTTACATAGCAGCTCCATTAATTATTGGCTTTATGTTCTTGGGTACATTAGTTTACTTTTCTGAGTTTCAGTTTTGTCAGTAAAATCGGAATTTGTGTATGAAGTATTTGTAAGGATTAAATTAGATAATGTATGTAAAACACATACTGCAGTAATTGTTAATAGTAAGTAATTTGTAAATAGCAAATATAAGGGCAATAGTTTGAATCATAAATGATTAACTTGCTTGATGACTCTTCCTTAATTAATGCTGTTAACTTCTTTTTTCTCAAATGGAAACATCTTTCTTATTCATGTTTAAAATAATATACATTCTTTTAAAAATAATGTGAAATAGAAGGATAAGAATAATAAGATGATAGCCAGGCACGGTGGCTCACGCTTGTAATCCCAGCACTTTGGGAAGCCAAGGCGGGCGGATCACCTGAGGTCAGGAGTTCGAGACCAGCCTGACCAACATGGAGAAAACCCATCTCTACTAAAAATACAAAATTAGCCAGGTGTGGTGGCAGGCATCTGTAATCCCAGCTACTCGGGAGGCTGAGGCAGGAGAATCGCTTGAATCCGGGAGGCAGAGGTTAAAAAAAAAAATAATAAGATGATAAGAATAAGATTAACCCACAGGGTTAATCCCATAACAACCCTAGTATATAGATATGACCATCTCCTTCATTTCATATATAAGGAGACTGAGTCTCAGAGATGTTAGGTATTGCCTAAGCTTACCATTTATATAATGTTTATTTACTTTTTCCTGCCCAGAAAAAATGTCTCTCTTGGGGGAATTGTGCTTTTTCCATCCCAAATGTGGCTGTGGTGGGGGGTCAATCAGATTCTCACCCCCTGTGGCTACAGGGTAGACATGTGTGTCGGAAAGGGTCTAACCCCATGCCCTGCTGCCCTGGCCTGCTGTATTATTTGTCCACAGTTGACCATGTGATCCGGGCATGCCCAATCAGCAGCATTTCCTGAAGTAATTTTAATTGAAGCACCAGGGAACCTCTTTTCTCTTTAGCCACGAGTCTTGGAGAACATAAGTTTAGTATTACCTGAAGCCATGGATTGAACTTGTGGGAACAGCTGGCCTGGGAGAATGAAGCCAGTATGAGGAAGCAGTGCTGGTAGGCTCTGGGAAGGGAGAGAGAAAAAACCTGATGACGTTTGACTCCCCAGATCCAGGCATTTCTGAAGGCAGATCTGCCCCTGGATTCCCTATGGCTTGATGGTGCAAGCCTTGACCAAAACTTTTTCCTTGGGTTGGTTTTATTTTGTTTTTCCTGTGTGTGTGTATGTTTTCAGTCAAGATTATGGACTGAGCAGCTAGAATCAGGATGTAAGCCCATATATGGCTGACCCTAGAGCCTTGAGCTTCTCTCCCTTTCCTCTTCAGAGACAACCACTGCTAGTGGTTTGATATTTTCCTCGTGACTGACTTTTGGTTTTTAAAATGACTATGCAAATATTGTGGTATACATGAATATTTAAATTTGTCACTAATTTAAATTTATGCTTGCCCCAACACTGTCACACTGTATATCTTCTGTTGCCTCTCCAGGTGCACCCCATACTCCTTTCCATCCTTACCAGCTCCAGCCTGTTTTGTGCTCTGGGAGGCTGGCCTGGGAGTAAAGGTCCCTTGGCTTCTGCTTTATGGTAGTGCTGGATTAATGAGAGATACTGGCAGGAGATGGGAAGGAAAGAGGAGAGTTAAGCTGAGGTGTTGTTTCTCCTGGCTTTCTCTGCAGGGTTGATGAGTGGTGGCTGCCTCCCTTGACCCAGTGTCACAGTTCCTGGTAGTTGAGCCTGTCTGCTCAGCTTTGTCCTTCTGCTTGTAGCCCTGGGGACTGCACGGTCCTTTATAGGTTCTCTCCACCCTGCCCACACACATATTAATAATCCTTTTGTTAAACGCTCTTCAAATTACCCTATTTTAATGTGATCTTTGTTTCCTGTCTGGACTCTGAGTAATACTACTCGTATGAATATCTTTTCCCTCCACATTTCATGTCAAGATATGGTATTACCCACGTTTTAAATCATTTCAGTTCTCATAAGGGGAAAATGGCATCTTGTTTTAATTTATATTTTTTTGATTATTATTGAGTTTGAACATCTGTTCATATGTGAATTGGTTATTTGCATATTCTTGTTAATTGCTTATTAATATTCTTTGCCCATTTTTCTTTTGGGTGATCTCTCTCTCTTTTAAATTCCTATTATGAGTGGAATATTTTTTCTATTATGTTTTCCAACTGATTGCTGTTAGCATAAGTGAAAATTATTGATTTTGTGTTATTCTGTATTTTTCTGAACTCTTTTATAAGTTTTAATAGTTTTAGTTGATTTTCTTGGATTTTCTAATATCATTTGCAAAGAATGATAATACTGTCTCTTCCGTGCAATTTATGTCACATTTCTTTATCTCGTTTTACTGCATTGGCTAGATCCTCCAAAACACTGTTGGACAATAGTGGTGTTAATGGGAATCACTGGGCAATAGGAGTGTTAGTGGGAATCACTGGGCAATAGGAGTGTTAGTGGGAATCACTGGGCAGTAGGGGTGTTAGTGGGGATCATTGGGCAATAGGGGTGCTAGTGGGAATCTTTGTCTCATTCTTGACTGTAACTCAGCTCTTCCCAGAATGTGTTTCACAGAATACTACCACAGAGAGTTAACCCCTTGAGAGAAGTTCAGACTCGTGCAGAAGCACTTCACACTCTTAAGGAGTCTCAATGCACATAAGCATGTTAAAGGCTCTGAGACTTTTTTTTGTCCTTGCCTAATATAGCTCTGGTAATGAATTTTATGCAGTACATTATCAGCTCAATAATTTGCATGGGTCCTGGAGGGCCAAAATACAAACAAAATGTTTTGCGATAATATAGCTAAACCACTGTGGTTTTATGCAAAAATTCTGCTGAATTATTCTAAGGTTTATTTATTATGCCCCTTCTCAATGCTTTTTACTCTAGAAACATAAGCCACTGTATTTTGTATTTAAGGGATCAGATGGATCATTCACTATTTTGGCATGTTTGCCTTCAAAAGAAACAATTGAAATGAAAAAACTAACTTAAATGGAAGGATAGTGTTAGGAAACCATAAGGATAGTGTTAGGAAACCATACTATTCTTGCTCCTTCCTTTTCTTCTCTGTTTTACACACACAGCACACACACACACACACACACACACACACACACCCAAACAAAAACATAAAAGCCAAACAAAAAACTCCATACACCAATGGACCTCAAGTTACTATTTTCTCACATGTACACACTTTCTTCTTAATCCCCTTCTCCCTTCTTTTCCTTTCCATTATTTCTTCCTTCCCCCTTTCCTCTCTTCCAATGCATGCCTAATTATCTCCAGAAAAATCTTTCTGTTATTGCTCATTTTCCACCCCAACTATAAGTTAAAAATTATTCTTATCATTATGTCATTATTGATGAAAACAACATTAATATTAGGGAACACCAGTAATAAGGGAAGGGAAAGACAGTAGTTTTAAAATTTACCATAACTGTATGGCTAATACATGTTGTTATGCAGTCATGTGAAATTAGGCCCTAATAGAGAACTGGTGGTAACCACTTCCAAAGACCTTGAAAAAGCTCAGAAGTCCTTTTCAGAATGCTCACAAACATCTCATGTCATGTTGTTTTGTCATCCAATTAAATCTATTGTTCCTAGAGCATTTAAGAAAAATAAACTATTATTCTTTTTATTCTATTTGACTTTCCATTTTCTTCAATTACTAGGATGAAACAGTCTTGCTTCCTGCTGTATTTCATTGCAAATATTTCAGATATGCTATAAACCTAAATTGAGCTTTTATAGATTCTTTTTTTCAGGATAAACCTCATCTTCATTTATTACTTCTAGGGTAATATTCATCTTAAGTTTCAAAAATATGACATGTAAATAAACTCTGAGAAAACAACTCACTTATAAATTGGCAATTTTCTGTGTGGTGAATAAAAAGAAATACCAAAAGATATACTCTTCTATATTTACAGACTTTCTTTAGTTAGATTCGGTCAAATTTGTGGATGTGAATTTAAATCACATTTCTAGCTTAATATACAGAATTACAGAAATTCAGTAGCATCTCAACTTAATTGATATCTCATTATTTTAGTCATATGTTCTCATTTTTCACTTTAAATTCAATTTCTTTTATTTCTGAAGTTAGGATTCCGATGTTTTAAAGATTCGATTCATGACTCTATGCTAAATAGAAAGGCATACTGGATTTGTTTTTCTTCTGGACGTGGTTGGGAGTGGTGCCTGGCAAAATGCCTTTTCCATTAAATAATCATAAAAAGAAAAATTTATTATTGCTAACGAATTCAGGGATTTTGCTTACTGGAAGTAGTCAAGCAGTCTGAGACAAAAATACACATTGCAGTATGAACCATAACATTGCTTGGTTTGTAATATAAGAGCTGCTAAATATATTTTGAATATCACAAAGACTGTATTTCTTGCCTGGAGCATGCTCTTTGTTATACCCTCCGTCTCATATTCTTATCTTTTTCATGAGGAGTAGTGAATCTCAATAAAATCTATGGATTGTGTTATGTTTAAAGGCTCCTAACTGAACTAATATGTTCACAGATAAGATCAATAATATAGGCGTAAACCTTTAAAATTTAGATGGAAGTGGAAGCTGCCTAATAAAACTCTGGTACTGAATTTTATACAACATATACCAGTCTTTTAATTTTATATTCAGGTCCCGAAGGACTAGAAGACAAACTGAACACATCTGCGATTTTCTGGATTAAACGATTATAGTTTTATGTAAAAACTCTGAATGCACTTAAGGTTTATGTATTGTAAAGACATTGTGTAATGGTTATTCATTTCATTTCTTTGTTAAGAGCCTTTGTCTAATGTTGAAATTTTGAATTAAAAGTTTTATGTTTACACCTATTTAGCTGGACCATTAGTTCAGGATGCAGACTAAGGAAGCTCTATAGTTCTAAAGTAAGCTTCATTCAACATTTTTTTAGAGAGTTGGTATCTAACGCTGTATTTGTAAGGCCATCAGTTATCAAACCATGTAAGTGCTAAATTCCTTTTGAAGCTTTCAAGAGGTATTTTAATTGAGTTTTCAAAATTGCTTTTGGATCATACAATTCTTTCGTGCTTTATTTCCATTAACAAAATAGTAATTAAAA
The DNA here is from genome assembly GCF_000001405.40 of Homo sapiens. NCBI lineage: Eukaryota > Metazoa > Chordata > Mammalia > Primates > Hominidae > Homo > Homo sapiens. Next base: position 95,282,185 of record NC_000001.11, read on the forward strand.
TTAAATTTTAAAAGAAATAACCACAGTAGGTCATACTTTTATTAACTTGAGGTAGATAATGAACCTGTCCTATATAAAGACTGAGCTAAATCTGCTGAGAGGCTGTGGATAGTGTATTTTAATTAAGGTAATCCTTATTTGCATCTAACAAGCAGCATTGCTACTTAGAAATTTAAGACCTTAGTGATGCATATTAGTACATTACCTCAACAAATCTAATAGAGATTTAATACTTATGTTTTGAGGAGCTATTTGTCATAAAGTAAGAGTATTTGCATAGTAAATTTCAAGGATATTATTCTTTTCAGAGTTTTCTACAATTAAGCAACACATTAAACATTAAAATTTTATAATTTCTGTAGTGCTGGGAATGCTTGCTTTGTTATTAAACTGAACCTCATTTTCAGCTGCACATAACCCAATGGAAAAGTCCTGTGTTAATAAAGACATAACGAATGTACTGTCACTAAGGTTTTTTTCCTCTTAAATCTGAGTGATGGCCTATGTATTTAAAGAATGTTTTAGCATGCAAAATGCAACTTGGAAGACATCCATTCAGTTGGATGGAGAGTATTTAATCATTTAAAAAGTAGGCCAAAGAGACTTATCTCAACCATACTGCTAAATAGTTATGAGCTGCATCATACATAAATTAAGTGTGCTCTAACTGGGGGTATGGATAGACTCTTTCTTTAGTCAATTAAGTGTTTACAGTATTAGTATCTACTTTAGTTAGTTAGAGTAAAGGAATTAAAGAGACCATTTTAATTAAGAATGACAACTTTATTCTCAAGGTCCTTTTTATTTTGATAGTTAACAGGATAATTTTAGCATTTGCATTTTATTGATCCAGAGAGAATGATTTTATGAAATATAGCTTAGAAATAAGGCTCAACAGCTGTGTTTACCTGTGGTCACGTAGATTTGACTTGTGGTGAAGACCTCTGTCACTTAGACATCTTTACCTGGGAGTAACTTATGTAGGGTATGAAGGGCAAGATTCCTTTCCTACAAAGAAGGAATTTATACCTTGTTCGGCTTACCTTAGACTTCTGTGTGTTCTTTCTTCTCATTATCTTCTCCCATAAACTAACAAAATCCCTTTGCCTTTCCAACCAAGAGGAAAAGGTCTAGAAAGTGTTTGCCCCCAGTATCTAGAGAGTTCATTGGCTCCCCTTGCTTGTAGTAGTTTAAAAGATTCCCCACAGCAGGGAGTGCAAACGTTTAATATTCATTCAATGAGAGTGATGTTTCAAAGAACTAATTCAGGTTATATGGGTGTGGGTGCTCTATATGTGGTCATTTTTAATTAAGCGTTGCATCAGTTCTAATAAGAATGCTAAAATATTCAGATACTTAGTTTTATCATATGTTGGAGCCAGTATAGAAGGTGTTATTTCAAGCTGTGTTTACAAATAAGAAATGTTATCAATATATTTACTATTCTTATATATAATTGGCTAAAAGTGTCTAATAGTTGTAATGTATAAAAACTAGTTACATCTAAGAGATATTAGTAATAAAATGTTATTTGAATTCTCTTATCATTAGAAGGGCAAGTTGAAGTTGTGGAAATAACAGGCTTCTGAAGAGACTCACTCTGTTGTGGGTTCAAATCTCAATATTGTGATTCCTGGCTGGGTGATCTTGGGCCTTAATTTCTACATTTGAGCATTGGAAATCACATTGCAAGGGTAAGTATTGGTTCCTTCTTTCCTACACTATCAAATAATATATTAATTGGGAAGCTCTAGTGATTTCATGGACAAAATGTATGGCAACTGTTCCTTCCCTGTTGTGTTTTTGTTAACTATTCACTCACCCTTACCCCTCATTATTATTTAAGAGTTGAAAAACTAAAGCCCAGAAAGATAAAATGATTGATTTGGGATAAAACCCTAATTAATTAAAAAATAAAAATGGGTAGCAAAGATCAACTCATCTGGGTCACTCAGTCATGGGAATGCATCAAGTTTTGCCATAATCCCCAACTCCTTACTCTCTCTTACAACTGTCACATATCCCTCATGTTGAAGTTACCTTCTTGTTTGCTGTGTACTTTCAAGCCCTTGAGTAAATTCCCTCCTTGCACTCACTACCAAAATGCCAAGAAGAATCACCTATACTGCTATTTCAATTTCCTTATCATTCTGTTTTCTTACCCCCGTAATAAGCTATTCTTTTCCCAATCATATTTAAAAGAAATTCTTTTCCAAGGTCATTAATGACCCCTTCTTGGTTACTTAGTGAGGAATTGCCAAATTGTCGGTTATGTCAAAGAATTTATGACCCGATATCTTAGATTAGGACTACTTTCAGGCTATTTTGTTGTTTATATTGCAATATTTTAGATGCTCAGTAAAACTTGATGATTGGAAGCTTATCAACTAACAAGCTGACTTGTGGGTGGCCAAATCTGTCTTCTAATATAGCCATAAGAGCTAAAAATAGCACCCAACACTTAAACACTTACTCAGCACTTTCTGTGTGTCCAGGACTGAGCACTTGCTCTTTATTAATTCATTTAATTATCACTACAATCCCACAGTGTTGCTATTATTACCATAACCATTTTACTTATGAGGAAACTGAGGCATAAAGAAGATAAGAAAATCATCTGCACAAGGAAGTCCTGGAACTGGGAAGCTGATCCAGACAATCTGATGCCATGGCCCAATCTGTTGAGCACTTTGCTATTTTGGCACTTCCATTTTGTAGGCTAAGGAAAACTGACACAAAGATATGTATGGGGCCCAGATCTTTCCTTCAGTATTTATTTTTTCCATTTGAGGTAGCTCTGGTGAAGGACATGTATGGGAAAAGATCGGAGAGGAGAAGGGAGTAATTGGAGTCAGCCAGATGTAACTGCGTGTTGGCTCTGCAACTCCCTTGTATGACCTTAGGTGAGCTGCTGAGCTCTCTGAAGTTCCTGCTCTGTGAAGGGTCATGCTAATACCCACACCATCTGCATCATGGGCTTCTGTTTCATGTCACATATGTAGCAGATTTCTGTTCCAGAGTAAGAGCTTTATACACTGTAGCTATTACTATTATTTGTCCACTTATGTCACCTTAGAGAGGTAAGGAATCTCAATAGTACTCTTTTGCACAGAGTGCCATCGTTCCAAAGTTAAGGTTTACTTCATTTTTGATATCTTGGTGGCCTGCAATGTCCCTAGTTTCTATGATATGAGTTTTATAGTCGTGTTTTCAAGTAAATATAATTTTTCTCTTCTGGTATATACATTCTCCCTCATGATAGAGTCATAAACATCTGCATGAAATTCAGGGCTCAGTGCATTAATCCAAAATATTTTAATGAAGAACTTACTTGCAGTTAATCTCTATGATAACGCTTTGTGGGAATCAGTAGTGATTAAGTTAATTTTGGAAGAATAATGGTAACATAGTATGTTTTCATTTGGAAAGAGGGGAGGGAGTTTCATTTTTCATTTCAATAAATCTTTATGGAGTATCTACTATGTTCCAGGTTCTGTATCTGGATAGAGTGAATACATTTCATTTTAAGTGATCACTAAGCAATTAGGCAAGGCTGTCTGTTATGTTGTGTTAAAATGGATTATGATTCTGAGCCAGCAGGAAAGAGTGCGGGGGGTTGGGAGAGGAGGTGACAAAATTGAACTCTGCATTTGCTGTTCATGATGTAACCACAACAATATAGCCCAAATCTCAACCTGAGTCATGTTGTATTAGAATCTCACTGTTTTTATAAAGTGCTTTGAAGATGTTAATTTTAGGTTGTTTCTATTCTATTTTATGTTTATGTAAATACACACACATATATAATAGAATAATATGTTAATCAAATATTATGTGATTTCTGGTATATTTTGCCTCATCCATAATATTATTTGATGCCGTCTTGGTATGACCAATGTATAGGAGCTTATCTTCAAAGAGAAGGTATTAATTATCTTCAGATACATAACAGAGATGTAGTCTTTGCTCTTTAGGAGTTTGGAGTTTAAAACACGCAGTTCTAAGACAAAAACACCCTATAAATATCAAACAGGTACATAATTTGAATAAAAATTTTTGTGTTTCCAGAAATGTCACTTACCTACCTTAATCAACATGTGTGCTAGTAATTTTTGCATCTGTTTCTGCAAAACCAGAAAGAACTAATGATTCAATTCTAATGGGAAAAGAGCAAAGATGTTGCAAAACCATACAGTTCTTGAAATTTGTTTGTTCCACACATCTTATTATTGTTATGCTCTTTATCTATGATTACTGCACTAAAATATTAACCTTTTAAGAAAATTCATTGCACATTTGGTTGCAGCACTGCGATCTGCCAAATTATAGCATTCTGAATGTTTACAAGTCATCGAGGTTCCCCAGAGGGGCTACCTAAATTCCCTGAAGGGAAAGAAAAATTAAAATCATTGTTTTCCCCTTCTGCTTTTGTTCACAGAGAGAACAGACTTGTTTGTCAAGAACAAACACGCAGAGGTGAGAGATCAGGAAACAGCGGGCCCAGGGAGCCAGGCTCTGCTTTGCTGAACACAGTTGGAAGGAGTGAGTCCAGCAGCCAGTCACCATGAGGTGTCTCAGTGTCTGAGGAGAATTTGTGTGAACTGTCAGCTGAAAGCATCGACAGCTTCCCATTAGTAATGAATTATGGAAATAATTTTATTAATTTCTTCACCTCAATCAGAACATGTTAGTGAAAGTTGCTCAACCAAACATCAAAGAACCATTGCATTTTAACCTTTTAGTCTTTTACCGTGTAACCAGGAACAGCGAAGAAATAAATTAGTGTAGCATTCCTTTAAAAAAAAAATGCCTGGAGATAAGGAGTGGACATAATTTTTTCTGTTTTTAATTTAATAGCAGGTTTATGGTTTTATGCAAAGCCATTCACATTACATTTGACCCTCTGGGAGCTGCTTTTTTTTTTTTTCTGTGGATATAATTTTGAGTCTTTAATAATCTGTTGTTAAACCCAGTCTGAGTTTGATTAATGAATTGTGATGAACCGGTGCATTAATTTGCAGGTTTGGTCTAATGCCCTAAAAGGCTGCTTTGTTGCTGGTTATTAATGCTCAACTCTTCAAGAGGAGCCATGGGATGGCAGTGTGTCCCAAGTAATGAACAAGTTACACATTTGAGCAGTCCCAATGATAGAGCTGTAGCTCTAGAAGTGACCATGGAGCTACATTATTGAAAGAAAAAAATCCTGATTTAGCTTAATGCCCTAGAACAGGGGGCCGCAGACCTCCAAATCTACAGGTCTCTGGATGGAATTCAGGGGAATCTGTGAATTTCAATAGGAAAAAAATCTTTAATTAATCTCCAACTGAAATTTAACATTGTTCAATTATGAATGTAGGTGACAACCATAGTATTCTTAGCTGTATCTGTGACTTTGTCATCTCTAGAAATCACAAATATTTCCAGAACATGTTATAGAGATGCAAGTACCTCACTATGTCATTTGGGCTTGTCACTACCTCAGAATTATAGTAAGTATGAGGACAGCTGCCTGACTTGTTATTTAATGTAATAAAGAAGTACATATTTTACTATCTTGTTCATTTTTTAAAAAATGACTGTATTCAATATAATTGGTTTCATTTGTAATTTTATTTTAGATATCAAAACCAGGAATCCAAGAAGGGGTTTATGGCTCCAAAATGGTTAAGAATGCCCTTTTCTGAGTGACTGTTGTCTGTGCTGCCCCTTAGTGATACTTTACCTGTTCCTCAGGGCTCTATTTTCAGGAACATGCAAGCTTCAGATATGTTACCAATGCGGCCATGATAGCAATGACTAAGTTGTGCAAACATCATCAACTTTGCAATTACTCTCCTCCTCACTTTCCTCCTCCTAAGCTCTGGAAGCTATGAACTGTTTGTTTTACTCACTGGTATTTCCCCAACTCATATCTTATTTGACACATACTAGGCACTTCGTAAATATTTAATAAAGGAGTGATAGCTTTAAGAGAAAGTATTTTTTGCCTTGTTAGAGTAAATCTGAGTTTTAAAATCATTTTTGTAAATGAAATAAAATTTGGTATCCACATTCTAAAGAGCTTATTACATTATAAAAGGTATTTACAAGGCATTAGAAATGTTTATAGGAAATAATATTCACCAGTTTATTGTTCAGCAATTCACTTTATCAGGACACTATAGATTCTCATAACTGATTTTTTTTCAAAGCATTGTTATAATTAAACGAAGAGAACTGGAATTCTCCAAAGACATATATAGTTTTAGAGAGTTAGGAAAATCAAATTAAGAAGAAAGATGAGCATGTGTGTTGGGAGTGCGTGTAAGTGTGTGGATATGTTTGTGTGTCTCTGTGTGTAAAGAGATCCAACCTGGCGAAAGAGTCTTTAGAGCTGTAAGTTGCCTTAGAGATTATTTTTCAATTTAATTTAACAAGTATTGAAACTGAAGCACAAGGAGGTTAAATGGCCAGTGACCTCCTAATTGCTAAATCCAATAAACCTTTCTCAGACCTTATCTTATTTGACCATGCTATTGCATTTTATGTTGTTTACCTTCTCTAGGTCTGTGCATACGCTGTTTCTGCCACTCAGAATGCCATCCATTCCACTCCTTCCTATCCTTGCCCCCTACTCTTCTCCCAGGACAACACATCTTTTAAGCTGTCCTGGTCTCCAGCCCTCAAGTAGAACTTTGTTTTAGTTTAATGTTTCTCAGTTTTTCTCATTATTTCCCCCAGATAGCCTTTTTAGACATTTTTCCACCTTAATTCTCCTCACTTTTCCCCTTACTCCATTCTCTGGTGAAATTTTAATACTGCAGATAGACTTGTATATCTTTTTATGCATTGTGACCTTTTGGAAGGCAACAAACCATTATAATATCGAAGATTTTTTTCCCCTCAAGAACCAATTTCTCCTCCTTTGGGTGAGATCACCCTTGTTGAGAACATGTGCTCCAGTAGAACCCAAATGTCACAAGAGTTTCCCCGTCCTGTGGATTCAAAATAGGATCACAAAGGGCTCCAAACTTTGCCCATTTTGCTAAGTAAATTCTAGTCTTTTCCATGGGATTTCCTCCCTCCCTAAACTCCTCATGGTGTTTATCTGTTTTTAAGAAATCAGTCTTTGTTCTGTCTGCCTGGGAGCTGGGGACACAACATTACTGTTCAGAATGAGCTGTACAAAAGCTGTCCTCCATTTTGCCCTTGGTCACGATGGTTCAAGCTGACAAAGTGCCGCTGGTGGGCAGTGAATCTCAGAACACTCTGTGGTTGCTGCCACAACTGCCTGGTGGGGTGGGGAAGACAGTCACTATTGCTGCTTTTGCTCTTGGCTGTAGGTGCTTATGTTTTCTGGCCTCGGTCTAGATATCTGGTAAAGTAATTGCTCAGCCAAGTGTGTATTGCAGCAATATTTTGTGGTGATATAACTCCTTCAACTCCCATCTCACACCGCCATGTTCTCTAGGTACATTCAGGATACCAGGTCAAATTTCAGCTTCCTGGGTGCCCCATAGTCTCTCCTCCCTTCAAGCTTGGCTCATGTTGTTCCATCTTCCTGGCATGCTCTTTCTTCTCTTTTTCCAGTAGATAATGCTACTCTCGGTTGCCATATCACTTCTTTCAGGAAGCTTCTTGGATGCCCCTTTAGAATCTTTATTTGTTATTCGTCCTGTGTGCTCTGAAGGCGTCCTGGATTCCTAGGTTATTATATACAGATTGTTTCTTTGTCTATATATCCTATCATACTCTAAGTTCCTTGAAGGCAGAAAGCACATAGGGTTGTTAGATTTAGCAAATAAAAATACAGGACTCCTAAATGTATTTTCCAGACAAACAACAAATAATTTTTAGTATAAGTAGTCCCATAATTGGATATTTGAATATGGAACATACATATTTGAATATTTGAGTATAGAAAATACTTATACTAAAAATTATTCATTATGCCATTCAAATTTAACTGGTTATTCTATATTTTATCTGGCAATCCTACAAACATATATTGTGCTTATTGTATTCCTGGAGCCTAGCACAGTTCTAATCATCTAGGAAGTACTCCATAAATGTTTATGGAATGAATAAATTTATTCTAGATGCTGGTGACATAGCAGTGAATGAAAACAAAAGTCTTTGCCTTGTTGGAGATTACATTCTAGTGGGTGAATACAGATGATAAATAAGTAAGTAAAATATATAGTATGTCAATGTTGGTAAGAGTTATGGAGGAAAATAAAGGAGAAAAAAGGACATAATATGGAACTAATTTTTTTTCTCTTCAAACTTGCTCTATGTTCATTTGTTCTCATCTCAGCTGATGGCAATTCTATTTTTCCAGTTGCTTGGATCAAAACTCTGGAAGTCATCCTTCCTCTTTCTCTTCTATCCCTCATCCAACCTGTTAGGAAATTTTTTTTAACCTTCAAAATATATCCAGAATCTGACCACTCATCACTACCTCTGCTGGTAGCTCCTTGTTCCAAGCCAGCATCATCTCTTGCCTGGGTTATTGCAATAGTATTCAAGATGGTGGCTTTTCTTCTGCTCTTGTCCTTTTATATCCCATTTTCAACACTGCAATCAGACCAAGTCTTTTAAAATGTAAGTCAGATCATACCATTTTTCTCTTTAAAACTCTCCTGTGGGTCCCCATTTTTTTCATTCTAAAAGACAAGGTCCTTAAAATAGTTATCATGGTTCTTCATGAGAATCCTTATTCCAACCCCTATTCCCCGTCCTCCCTCTGTTACTTCTCTGACTCTCCTCCAAAAACTATATCGATCTAAGATGACCAAGTAACTATCTTGGTTTGCCATGGATGCTCCTGCCTTACCACTGAAAGTCACACATCTAAGGACACCCCTGAGTACCTGGCAAACTTGGACAGTTGCTCACCCTACAAACCACTGTAGCCATGGATGCCTTTTTACTGATCCTCAGGCATGTCAGACACACTCACTCCTACCTTTGGCCTTGGCATTTCTTCTGCCCGTTTGGAAAGCTCTTCCCCCTGCATCTGCATGGCTAATTTCCTTACTACCTTCAAAATTTTGTTCTGATGTTATTCTCACTAAAGCTTGCCCTGAAAGTGCTATTTCCAATTACAACTCTTTTCTCATCCCCTCTGAACAGTGTCACTAATATCCCTTACTCTGTTCTAGTTTTCTATGCATAGCATTTATATACGTCTAACACACTGTATAATTATTAATGCATTTATGTTTATTATTTGTTTGTTTCCCCATGCTAGACTGCAAGCCCCATCAATGCAGGAATCTTGTTTGGTTTGCTGTTTTGTCCTGAGCACCTAGGACAGTACTTGCCTCATACGGGTGCTGGATTAATATTTGGTGAATTAAACTGAAGAGGGATTGGAGGTTGTTTGGGGTGGAGGGAATTAAAATGATAGATAATGGTCACAGAAGAAGGTGATATTGGAGAGAACCTGCTTTGTGAATCTAGGGGAAGAAACAGGGAGAGGGAATGGTGAGTGCAAATGTCATGGGGCAGGAATGTGCCTGGCCTGCCTGGGAAGAGTGATGAGGCAGTAAAGCTAGTGCAGAGCAAACACAAGGTAGTGGTAGGAGGTGGTATAGGAGAGGAGATGGTGTTTCAAATTATGTAGAGCAAAGATCGTAAGAATCCTTTGGATTTTATTGTGCACAAAATAAGAATCCAATTGGACAATTTGGTGGATGGAGATTGGTGACTTGATCTGGATCTGATTCAGCATTAACAGTTCACCTGGTCACTATGTTGACCAAAGCCTATAGGAAACAAGGGCCGAAGCAGGGAGAGCAGTCATGAAATTGAAATGAAGACAGAGAGATGCTGTTGGTTCAGACAAGATTAGTAGCTGGGGAGGTAGCAAGAAATGGCCAGATTCTGGATGTACTTTGAATTAAAGCCAACAGGAAATGTTGATGAACTGAATGTGGGATGTGAGAAAAACAGGAGTCAGGAATAATTTATAGTTTGTTTTTAAGTAAACTCTTTCTTCAAATATAGCATGCATGCATAAAAATGCCCAAAGCATAAATATGTAGCTTGGGGAATTTTTCTTTTTTCTTTTTTTTCTTTTATTATTATACTTTAAGTTTTAGGGTACATGTGCACATTGTGCAGGTTAGTTACATATGTATACATGTGCCACGCTGGTGCGCTGCACCCACTAACTCGTCATTTAGCATTAGGTATATCTCCCAATGCTATCCCTCCCCCCTCCCCCCACCCCACAACAGTCCCCAGAGTGTGATGTTCCCCTTCCTGTGTCCATGTGATCTCATTGTTCAATTCCCACCTATGAGTGAGAATATGCGGTGTTTGGTTTTTTGTTCTTGCAATAGTTTACTGAGAATGATGATTTCCAATTTCATCCATGTCCCTACAAAGGACATGAACTCATCATTTTTTATGGCTGCATAGTATTCCATGGTGTATATGTGCCACATTTTCTTAATCCAGTCTATCATTGTTGGACATTTGGGTTGGTTCCAAGTCTTTGCTATTGTGAATAGTGCTGCAATAAACATACGTGTGCATGTGTCTTTATAGTAGCATGATTTATAGTCGCTTGGGTATATACCCAGTAATGGGATGGCTGGGTCAAATGGTATTTCTAGTTCTAGATCCCTGAGGAATCGCCACACTGACTTCCACAATGGTTGAACTAGTTTACAGTCCCACCAACAGTGTAAAAGTGTTCCTATTTCTCCACATCCTCTCCAGCACCTGTTGTTTCCTGACTTTTTAATGATTGCCATTCTAACTGGTGTGAGATGGTATCTCATTGTGGTTTTGATTTGCATTTCTCTGATGGCCAGTGATGATGAGCATTTTTTCATGTGTTTTTTGGCTGCATAAATGTCTTCTTTTGAGAAGTGTCTGTTCATGTCCTTCGCCCACTTTTTGATGGGGTTGTTTGTTTTTTTCTTGTAAATTTGTTTGAGTTCATTGTAGATTCTGGATATTAGCCCTTTGTCAGATGAGTAGGTTGCAAAAATTTTCTCCCATTTTGTAGGTTGCCTGTTCACTCTGACGGTAGTTTCTTTTGCTGTACAGAAGCTCTTTAATTAGATCCCATTTGTCAATTTTGTCTTTTGTTGCCATTGCTTTTGGTGTTTTAGACATGAAGTCCTTGCCCATGCCTATGCCCTGAATGGTATTGCCTAGGTTTTCTTCTAGGGTTTTTATGGTTTTAGGTCTAACATTTAAGTCTTTAATCCATCTTGAATTGATTTTTGTATAAGGTGTAAAGAAGGGATCCAGTTTCAGCTTTCTACATATGGCTAGCCAGTTTTCCCAGCACCATTTATTAAATAGGGAATCCTTTCCCCATTTCTTGTTTTTCTCAGGTTTGTCAAAGATCAGATAGTTGTAGATACGTGGCATTATTTCTAAGGGCTCTGTTCTGTTCCATTGATCTATATCTCTGTTTTGGTACCAGTACCATGCTGTTTTGGTTACTGTAGCCTTGTAGTATAGTTTGAAGTCAGGTAGTGTGATGCCTCCAGCTTTGTTCTTTTGGCTTAGGATTGACTTGGTGATGCGGGCTCTTTTTTGGTTCCATATGAACTTTCAAGTAGTTTTTTCCAATTCTGTGAAGAAAGTCATTGGTAGCTTGATGGGGATGGCATTGAATCTATAAATTACCTTGGGCAGTATGGCCATTTTCATGATATTGATTCTTCCTACCCATGAGCATGGAATGTTCTTCCATTTGTTTGTATCCTCTTTTATTTCATTGAGCAGTGGTTTGTAGTTCTCCTTGAAGAGGTCCTTCACATCCCTTGTAAGTTGGATTCCTAGGTATTTTATTCTCTTTGAAGCAATTGTGAATGGGAGTTCACTCATGATTTGGCTCTCTGTTTGTCTGTTATTGGTGTATAAGAATGCTTGTGATTTTTGTACATTGATTTTGTATCCTGAGACTTTGCTGAAGTTGCTTATCAGCTTAAGGAGATTTTGGGCTGAGACAATGGGGTTTTCTAGATATACAATCATGTCGTCTGCAAACAGGGACAATTTGACTTCCTCTTTTCCTGATTGAATACCCTTTATTTCCTTCTCCTGCCTAATTGCCCTGGCCAGAACTTCCAACACTATGTTGAATAGGAGTGGTGAGAGAGGGCATCCCTGTCTTGTGCCAGTTTTCAAAGGGAATGCTTCCAGTTTTTGCCCATTCAGTATGATATTGGCTGTGGGTTTGTCATAGATAGCTCTTATTATTTTGAAATACGTCCCATCAATACCTAATTTATTGAGAGTTTTTAGCATGAAGGGTTATTGAATTTTGTCAAAGGCCTTTTCTGCATCTATTGAGATAATCATGTGGTTTTTCTCTTTGGCTCTGTTTATACGCTGGATTACATTTATTGATTTGCATATATAGAACCAGCCTTGCATCCCAGGGATGAAGCCCACTTGATCATGGTGGATAAGCTTTTTGATGTACTGCTGGTTTCATTTTGCCAGTATTTTATTGAGGATTTTTGCATCAATGTTCATCAAGGATATTGGTCTAAAATTCTCTTTTTTGGTTGTGTCTCTGCCCGGCTTTGGTATCAGAATGATGCTGGCCTCATAAAATGAGTTAGGGAGGATTCCCTCTTTTTCTATTGATTGGAATAGTTTCAGAAGGAATGGTATCAGTTCCTCCTTGTACCTCTGGTAGAATTCGGCTGTGAATCCATCTGGTCCTGGACTCTTTTTGGTTGGTAAGCTATTGATTATTGCCACAATTTCAGATCCTGTTATTGGTCTATTCAGAGATTCTACTTCTTCCTGGTTTAGTCTTGGGAGAGTGTATGTGTCGAGGAATTTATACATTTCTTCTAGATTTTCTAGTTTATTTGTGTAGAGGTGTTTGTAGTATTCTCTGATGGTAGTTGTATTTCTGCGGGATCGGTGGTGATATCCCCTTTATCATTTTTTATTGCGTCTATTTGATTCTTCTGTCTTTTTTTCTTTATTAGTCTTGCTAGTGGTCTATCTATTTTGTTGATCCTTTCAAAAAACCAGCTCCTGGATTCATTAATTTTTTGAAGGGTTTTTTGTGTCTCTATTTCCTTCAGTTCTGCTCTGATTTTAGTTATTTCTTGCCTTCTGCTAGCTTTTGAATGTGTTTGCTCTTGCTTTTCTAGTTCTTTTAATTGTGATGTTAGGGTGTCAATTTTGGATCTTTCCTGCTTTCTCTTGTGGGCATTTAGTGCTATAAATTTCCCTCTACACACTGCTTTGAATGCGTCCCAGAGATTCTGGTATGTTGTGTCTTTGTTCTCGTTGGTTTCAAAGAACATCTTTATTTCTGCCTTCATTTCATTATGTACCCAGTAGTCATTCAGGAGCAGGTTGTTCAGTTTCCATGTAGTTGAGCGGTTTTGAGTGAGATTCTTAATCCTGAGTTCTAGTTTGATTGCACTGTGGTCTGAGAGATAGTTTGTTATAATTTCTGTTCTTTTACATTTGCTGAGGAGAGCTTTACTTCCAAGTATGTGGTCAATTTTGCAATAGGTGTGGTGTGGTGCTGAAAAAAATGTATATTCTGTTGATTTGGGGTGGAGAGTTCTGTAGATGTCTATTAGGTCTGCTTGGTGCAGAGCTGAGTTCAATTCCTGGGTATCCTTGTTGACTTTCTGTCTTGTTGATCTGTCTAATGTTGACAGTGGGGTGTTAAAGTCTGCCATTATTAATGTGTGGGAGTCTAAGTCTCTTTGTAGGTCACTCAGGACTTGCTTTATGAATCTGGGTGCTCCTGTATTGGGTGCATATATATTTAGGATAGTTAGCTCTTCTTGTTGAATTGATCCCTTACCATTATGTAATGGCCTTCTTTGTCTCTTTTGATCTTTATTGGTTTAAAGTCTGTTTTATCAGAGACTAGGATTGCAACCCCTGCCTTTTTTTGTTTTCCATTTGCATGGTAGATCTTCCTCCATCCCTTTATTTTGAGCCTATGTGTCTCTGCACGTGAGATGGGTTTCCTGAATACAGCACACTGATGGGTCTTGACTGTTTATCCAATTTGCCAGTCTGTGTCTTTTAATTAGAGCATTTAGTCCATTTACATTTAAAGTTAATATGGTTATGTGTGAATTTGATCCTGTCATTATGATGTTAGCTGGTTATTTTGCTCTTTAGTTGATGCAGTTTCTTCCTAGTCTCGATGGTCTTTACATTTTGGCATGATTTTGCAGCGGCTGGTACCGGTTGTTCCTTTCCATGTTTAGTGCTTCCTTCAGGAGCTCTTTTAAGGCAGGCCTGGTGGTGACAAAATCTCTCAGCATTTGCTTCTCTGTAAAGTATTTTATTTCTCCTTCACTTATGAAGCTTAGTTTGGCTGGATATGAAATTCTGGGTTGAATATTCTTTTCTTTAAGAATGTTGAATATTGGCCCCCACTCTCTTCTGGCTTGTAGGGTTTCTGCCGAGAGATCCGCTGTTAGTCTGATGGGCTTCCCTTTGAGGGTAACCCGACCTTTCTCTCTGGCTGCCCTTAACATTTTTTCCTTCATTTCAACTTTGGTGAATCTGACAATTATGTGTCTTCGAGTTGCTGTTCTCGAGGAGTATCTTTGTGGCGTTCTCTGTATTTCCTGAATCTGAACGTTGGCCTGCCTTGCTAGATTGGGGAAGTTCTCCTGGATAATATACTGCAGAGTGTTTTCCAACTTGGTTCCATTCTCCCCGTCACTTTCAGGTACACCAATCAGATGTAGATTTGGTCTTTTCACATAGTCCCATATTTCTTGGAGGCTTTGCTCATTTCTTTTTATTCTTTTTTCTCTAAACTTCCCTTCTCGCTTCATTTCATTCATTTCATCTTCCATCGCTGATACCCTTTCTTCCAGTTGATCGCATCGGCTCCTGAGGCTTCTGCATTCTTCACGTAGTTCTCGAGCCTTGGTTTTCAGCTCCATCAGCTCCTTTAAACACTTCTCTGTATTGGTTATTCTAGTTAGACATTCTTCTAAATTTTTTTTCAAAGTTTTCAACTTCTTTGCCTTTGGTTTGAATGTCCTCCCGTAGCTCAGAGTAATTTGATCGTCTGAAGCCTTCTTTTCTCAGCTCGTCAAAGTCGTTCTCCATCCAGCTTTGTTCCATTGCTGGTGAGGAACTGCGTTCCTTTGGAGGAGGAGAGGCACTCTGCTTTTTAGAGTTTCCAGTTTTTCTGTTCTGTTTTTTCCCCATCTTTGTGGTTTTATCTACTTTTGGTCTTTGATGATGGTGATGTACAGATGGGTTTTTGGTGTGGATGTCCTTTCTGTTTGTTAGTTTTCCTTCTAACAGACAGGACCCTCAGCTGCAGGTCTGTTGGAATACCCTGCTGTGTGAGGTGTCCGTGTGCCCCTGCTGGGGGGTGCCTCCCAGTTAGGCTGCTCGGGGGTCAGGGGTCAGGGACCCACTTGAGGAGGCAGTCTGCCCATTCTCAGATCTCCAGCTGTGTGCTGGGAGAATCACTGCTCTCTTCAAAGCTGTCAGACAGGGACATTTAAGTCTGCAGAGGTTACTGCTGTCTTTTTGTTTGTCTGTGCCCGGCCCCCAGAGGTGGAGCCTACAGAGGCAGGCAGGCCTCCTTGAGCTGTGGTGGGCTCCACCCAGTTCGAGCTTCCCGGCTGCTTTGTTTACCTCAGCAAGCCTGGGCAATGGCGGGCGCCCCTCCCCCAGCCTCGCTGCTGCCTTGCAGTTTGATCTCAGACTGCTGTGCTAGCAATCAGCGAGACTCCGTGGGCGTAGGACCCTCCGAGCCAGGTGTGGGATATAATCTCGTGGTGCACCATTTTTTAAGCCCGTCGGAAAAGCCCAGTATTAGGGTGGGAGTGACCCGATTTTCCAGGTGCCATCCGTCACCCCTTTCTTTGACTAGGAAAGGGAACTCCCTGACCCCTTGCGCTTCCCGAGTGAGGCAATGCCTCGCCCTGCTTTGGCTCGCGCATGGTGCGCGCACCCAGTGGCCTGCGCCCACTGTCTGGCACTCTCTAGTGAGATGAACCTGGTACCTCAGATGGAAATGCAGAAATCACCCGTCTTCTGCGTCGCTCACGCTGGGAGCTGTAGACCGGAGCTGTTCCTATTCGGCCATCTTGGCTCCTCAGGGAATTTTTCATAAAGGTAAAACACTCATGTAATCACCTCCTCCTGCAAGACATAGAACATTGCCAGCTCCCAAGTGGCCCTGCCTATGCTGCCTCCTGGTCATCATCCCTCTTTTCCCAAGTAACCACTGCCACTGGCTTTTCCCACTAAGACAACGTGGCCTATATCCACAAGTTTTGATATGTTATGTTATTATCATTCAGTTCAAAATATTTTCTAATTTCCATTGTGATTTCTTCTTTGACCAATTTCCAAATAATTGTGGGATGTTCTAGTTATCATTTTTGTTACTGGTTTCTAGCTTAATTCTACTGAGGTCAGAGAATACATTAATGGTTTCAATATTTTGAAATTTGTTTGAACTTGGGGACTTGTTTTATAGCCCAGCATATGGTCAGTCCTGACAAGTGTCACATGTTCCCTTATTAGATGCATAATTTTTTATACAATAACTAAGTCAAGTTTATTAATGATACCTTCTAGTTGATCATTTAATAAGTAACTGAGAAAAATGTGTTAAAGTATCCACTATCATTGTGGATTTATCTCTTCGTACTTTTAGATGTCAATATTTGCTGCACATT
Source organism: Homo sapiens (assembly GCF_000001405.40). Classification (NCBI taxonomy): domain Eukaryota; kingdom Metazoa; phylum Chordata; class Mammalia; order Primates; family Hominidae; genus Homo; species Homo sapiens. Next base: position 95,298,846 of record NC_000001.11, read on the forward strand.
TTTTGGGAGAATACAAATCTGAAATTATCTTATCTTTCTGGTAGATTAATTTGTAAACACCATTATCAAATCTCCTTTTTTATTTTTGATAGTAGTGTTTACATATCTCTCCTTCCATTCTTTTACTGTCAACCTTTCTGTGTCCTTATACTTAAGATATGCTTATTTAGGCAACATATGGTTGAATTTTTATTTTTTCTTTGAGTTGGATAAACTTTGTCTTTCAATTGAAGCATTTAGTCCATTACATTTAATGTAATTACTGATATATTTGGAATTATATTTATTGGCTATAACAACATGCATTCTTTACTTAATAGAGTCTAATATAAATTAATAGTTTTATCACTTCTCAGACAATGCTAGGATTTAAGAACATATTAACTTCATTTATTTCTTGTCTGTTTGAGTTATTGCTGTCATACATTTTAATGATACATGTATTTTAAACTCCATAAAATATTATTATTACTTTGTAGTCAATAGCCATTTATATTTATACTCATATTTACCTCTCTGTTGCTCCTCATTCCTCTCTGCAATTCTGTCTTTCCAGCTGGGATCATTTCCTTTCTGTCTAAAGAACTCCCATCAGTATTTCTTTTAGTGTGGATCTGCTGACAAAAATCTGTATTATCTACAAAATCTTGTATTAAATTGGAAAGGTATTCACTGGATATAGATTGCTGAGTTTCCAACAATTTCTTTCAGCACTTCAAGATGTTATTCTATTTTCTTCTGGCTTCCATGGTTTCTGTTGAGAACTTAGTTGTCATTGTAGTTCCTTTGAAGGCAATTTGCTTTTTTATCTGGCTGTTCTTATGGTTTATTATTTGTTTTTGTCATTTGGCAATTTCACTGTGAAGTGACTAGTAATGTATTTATCCTGTTGAGGTTTAACATCTTTTATCTGTTTTGGAAAATTTGCAGACATTTTCTCTTTAAATATTTGTTTTGCCACCATTTCCTTTCTAATTCTCTTCTGGGGCCTCAAGAACACTTATGTTAGGATTCTGCCATCTCCTGTGTATCTCTTGTACTCTTCTCTGTATTTTTATTTTTTCTCTTCATGCTCTGGTCTGAGTATTTTCTTCTGAGATATCTTACAGTACTAATCTTTTCACCTGTGTTTTGTCTACTATTAAACTCATCTATTGAATTGTTAGCTTTATTATATTTTTTTCAGTTCTAGCATTTTCACCTGATTTTTTTAAGATTCCATTTGGCAAAGTTTTCTTGTCCTCTATTTTTTGAACATTTGAATCCAAGTTTGATAACTCTATTATTTGCATCATCTCTGGCCCTGTTTCTATTGTCTTTTTACTTTTTGTCCTGTTTCTTGGTACGTTTGGCATTTTTAAAATTGAGTGCCAGACATTTTGTATGAAAAACTGTAGAAGCTGTAGATGACTCCTCTAGAGGTTCTACTTCATACAATGGTAGGCAGCTAGAATAAGGGCAAAGAGACTCAATCTCAATCTAATCAGTGTATGACTGAAAAGAGATTGGGTTTTAGAATTTATAAGGCTCTAGGGTCATCCACCGGCACTCAATCTGCAGGCTGGGTAATCTTGGGCAAGTTACTTAATATTTCTATTCATCAAATTTCTCAAGAATCACACAGGAAAAATAATAGTACTTTCCTCATAGGGTTAGAAGATTAAACAAATTAATATAGAAAAAGTACTTAGAATAGTGCCTGGTCAATATAGTGGTCAATTAGTGTTTGCTAGTGTAGTTTTTTTTTTTTTTTTTGAGACAGGATCTTGCTCTGTTGCCCAGGCTGGAGTGCAGTGGCACAATCACAGCTCACTGCAACCTCGACCTCCTGGGCTCAAGTGATTCTCCCACTTTAGCCTCCCAAATAGTTGGGACCACAGGTGTGCCGCTACCACAGGCTAATTTTTAAATTTTTTTGTAGAGATGGTGTCTTGTTTTGTTGCTCAGGCTGATCTCAAACTCCTGGCCAGCCTCAAGTGATCCTCTTGCCTCGGCCTCCCAAAGTGCTAGGATTACAGGCTATACTGTTCCCTGCCTAGTGTAGCTATTTATTTGTGCCCTGATCAGACAAAAACTTAAGGCCAAAATCTTCTCTCTCATTGCCTGCCTTTAACAAATATTAATTGGGATAGCAGCTAATGGAATTCAATGTGTGGAGAAAGGTCAGATTTTGTTAAAAGATAGACTCAGAAAATACAGTGGAATTATAAAACTTAAAAGCTCTTGCAGTATTGAAAATAGGGCCAAATAGGTCATGCAGGCATCTTGGTGCTGGTCCATGGTTATCCCAGATAATTTCCTATATGCAATTCAGTCAGTTTGTATACTGCTAGATGGAGTTTCAGGGCACAATTCTTCCCCTCTGGAGTGGATTTTGAGGACTCTTCAATTTCTTGCCTTCTGTCCCTGGAGTGGGAGTGAGGAATTGTTAAAAGAAGCAAGGCTCAAGAAGAGGAAGTGAAAACCTTAGTTCTCTCTCCATTCTATCTCTCAGGCTTTCTTTACCCCCTTTTGGAATGGTGAATTCTTAATCAAGGCTCCAGGAATGATGTTCTATCAAACTGAGAATTAGACACAATTTCATTAGAGAAGTTCCCAATTAATGTTTCTTTCTCAGTCTTATAAGAATCATCCTAGTAGGATCATTCGAGTTTGATGAGATTCAAGGTACATGATTATGCCACAGACACCGTACATGAAGCAATCTGTGTTTTGACTGGTGATAAATTGATAATCACCTACCTGGTTAAGCCAGTCCACAGAGAGGCAGTTAATATTGTGAAACTTCAATAAAGTCGGCTGTCAATGCATAGATATTGCAGGTGAACTCCTTGATCTCTCATTGTAATCCTTAGAATCTCTGTTATCCATCACTCTATAATACATTTGTTTAGCAAGGAAGTAGGCCTCTAAAATCTTACCATCAAAGTAAGCCTCAACAATAACGTTTTTAAATCTGACACACAAGTCTCAACAACCATCAGAACACTATTTAGCTGTCAAATTTAGTGAGGTGATGTCAATTTACAGAAGGATGGCAAGAGATGGCAAAGTGTTCCCCTTTCTTTTATGGAACAATACAAAAGTTTTAGAGGTATCCTTTTGCACTCCGCTTACCAATCAGGCATTTGAGTAGCAGGTTTTGGTATTAAGCTTTCCCTTTCCCTGACAGATCAAAATGCAGACTTCCTAAAGTTTATGAGATTTTCCTATTGCTAAGTCTTAAGTGGTGCAAAGTAGAGTAAGGATCACATTATAGAAGGTACAGCTTTATTTTCATGAATAAATATTGTTAAAAAACAAACAATATTGACAGATGGTTTTTATTTAGAATAAAATATTTAATAATTAATTTATTTATTTATCTTAGCTGTCTTGTACTTGGTTTCATTGTGAAAATGAGTTGTCACTTCAATAATTCTTCCCGGGGAACGTATATTCCGCAAAGGCCAAAACTCAAGAGTAAAACCAGTCATGGCTCCACTTAGCATTTCTAGGCTGTTACCCTTTATGAAGACGACATTTGGTCTTCCCCTGGTATATTTTGAATTTATATGAACATTCTAATGAATGATCTTATTGTGTGTGGTTCAATCTCCTGAGGAAAGAATTTTCTTCTATTTAATCTCAGGAAATAGGATCAGCTCTGCCAAAGTATTAGGGGCCTAAGGAAACACTTCCTGTATTTAAATTAAGCAGCTTTAAAACTGCTTAAAGGGGTCTCACTGATTAGAATTCCAGTGGAGAAAGCTCGGGAAGATTTCAGATTGTATCTGAATCCACTTCGCTTCTACTCCTGGTGGGAATTTTGAAAGGATTTTTATAGTTTCCTTAGGCAGTCAATTACAGATCTTCTTTTTCCAGTAATTTTTGAATTCATTATTCTCAAATATCGGAATGCATAAAGGAAAATATATCCTCTAAGCTATGGTATAAGACAGAGTGATTCAATCAAAGGTTTCTTACAGTTTGGAAAAAATTTTCAGTTTTTCTTACCTTTATTCAGAATTGTCTTGGGAGAAGTATGTAATCAAGACTTGCTGAGGAAATTGACTTTTCTTCATGACAGCAGCTCCTTGAGAACAGGGACATGTATGTTACGTCGTAACTTTTCCTAGAGCACCATGCACAATATTTTGTATAAAATATAAGCTCAATAAATGTGTAATTAAATTTACTGATGTATATTGTCTTGACAAATACTTATCAGGTATTACAGAGCATTCTGGTAATTGAGAAAGACATGGGTTGTTATAAGATTTGTTTTAAGGAATCCTTAGACCATTCTACTTGCAATCAGTTTCTCATACCAATGGGACTTTTTTGGTGTCAGTAGACTACTGCTAGCTGATAGGATGTTTGCTTTGACTTTTAACCCTATCCTAACTAAATTTAATAAAATAAAAGTAGAGAAAGCAAGAACAATATTTCAAAACCACTTTTTTTCCCCATATGGTGCATTATATGCAAAAAAAGTTATATCTAATGTGGTAATTAAAGGAAATTTTCACAAACTTATTGAAGGCATTGTATAATATTTTTATTCATAGTAATAAACAGCAAGTTGAAATATCCAGAAGAGATACAGTAATAAGAGGTAATATTTGTTGAATACTTAGATGGGCCACATGCTTCTTTACCCCTTCACATTCAAAAATTAATTTGATCCTTTCAAGCAACTGTGAATTTGGCACCATGATTAACATTTATATATGAAGAAGTCAAAGCTCAAAATGTTCATGTGGGTAAATTCTGGTTTAGGAACTAGGCAGAATGAACTAATATGGACAATCCATTATACTCTTCTTTCCTGCCCAGCTTCCACTTTTTAAATTGTGTTAAAATATATATAACATAAAACTTCCCATTTTAATTATGTTTTAAGTTTACAGTTCAGTGGTATTAAATACACTCCCATTGTTGTGCAACCATCACCACCACCCATTTACAGAAACTTTTTCATCTTTCTAAACAGAATCTCTATACCCATCAAACCATAACTCCCCAGTCCCCTTTCCTCCCAGCCCCAGAAACCCCCATTCTACTTTCTGTCTCTATGAATTTGGGACCAGATGAGCCACATTTTTAATCTCTAGGACCATTGCCTCCCAGAGCTGGGTCACATTTTCCATTTTTTTATTTGACAATTTGCTTTTTCATAGGCAATCGACTATGTTTTAGACCCAGTGTAAGTTTTTTCACTCCTAGGGATGTGGGCCTATACTAATTTCATAGTCATACTAAAGACCTTTGGCATTTTAGACCTTTGGCATTTGATCTGATGTTTCCAAGGACTTGCCAGAAGACTCTGTGACCTATCTACCTCGTATTTCCAATCCACATTTAGTTATCTGTTCCAGGACATCTTTGATCATTGGACTCTAATGAATTTGAAGAGCTCACCAAAGCATTTCATTTTGTTAAATGTTCCCATTGAGGCTTCATGTGCTACGTGGAGTTCCATTAATGTGTAACTCAGTGTCATTGCATTTAGACAAGGCCAGTCCACATGGCAGAAGAATTCTCAGAAAGAAGGAAGCCAGAACACCCGAAGGAGGCATACAGAGATGATAAACCAATATTGTTATTTATGACACAGAACATGAGCTTCAAGAGATTTTTAAGCCATTTTCAACTACTTTGTAAGAAAAAGCTGATAGGTCCATTTATTGGGTTTGGGAAAGAAATGTGGCTCCAGCACCATGACCATGCAGTGACAAGGTTAAGACAGATAAGCAAGAGAGTAAAAGACCTGGGCTGTCTTGCTCACGACTTTGGAGGGCTGGTGTAAAGTAAGCTTCTAGTTAACATTTGTTGAGTGAATCAACAAAACTGCTGTTAAATGAGATTTTCCAGGACACCAGATCAAAATATCCAAAACATGATCATCTCAAAAGAAGATTAACTCTGAATTTCCTTGGACTTCGAGAGGTAATGGGGATAAGCACTAACCATATGCTTGCTCCCTCTAAGATTCACTGTGACCATTCACTAATATGCTTTTCTATGTAAACGAAACTGATGGAAATGCAGGCCTGTGGAGCCAGTAAAGCTTTTGCCTGATCTTTAAAACTTTCCTGTTTGCTTATTTGTCTCCTATACTCAATAATACCACTGTGTGAGAACAGTGGGTGGAGTAATCTTAGATGAGTCACTTTGATTTCTCACCTATAAAGAAATGGGTTAGGCTGGGTGTGGTGGCTCATACCTGCGATCTCGGCACTTTTGGAGGCTGAGGCAGGTGATTTCTAGAGCCCAGGAGTTCAAGACCAGCCTGGGCAACATGGTAAAACCATGTCTCTACTAAAAAATTAGCCAGGTGTGGTGGTGCGCACCTGTGATCCCAGCTACTCAGGAGACTGAGGTGGGAGGATCAGCTAAGTCTGGGAAGTTAAGGCTGCAGTGAGCCATGATTATGCCACCGCACTCCAGCCTGCATGATTAGAGTGAGTGAGACCCTGTCTCAAAAAAAAAAAAAAAAAAAAAAAAAAAAGAAATAGGCTGTAATGAGTGAGCCTTGTAATCGATTTGTACCATAATCTTGGATTTTCTCCTTTTTTCCCCCCTTCTTTGTTCTTGCAACCCACCCCTGCTAGCTGGGTTTTATACTTGTTGATATACACAGAATTTCTGATTTTAAAAACCATTTGCAGATGGGAGGAGTACAGAAAGAAAACGGGGTGGGGCTGGGTGGTGAAGTGTAAAGAGGCAGTGGAAGAAAGACTGATTCCTTGGCCCTATATTTTAAAGAGCTTCATAAGATGAAGAATGAATTCCCCAACAGGAGAGACTGAGCAGTGGTTTTCCTTCCTGCAGCGAGATGTTATATAATGTTCCTGAAAAGGCCTGTGCGAATCTCATCTCTGGCAGTCCATGAGCAGGAGGACTTTCTCTGGCTGGCTCCTGTTTCTACCCTGACTCACACGCTTTACAACGAAGCAAGCCGCTGCTCCCTTCTGGGAGTCCTGAGACAAGATTCTCAAGACTGGAAAGAGGTCAACAGGTTGTTGTAACCCCTTAGCTACATTTGTCTCTATTTTTCTAGATTGAGCAAGGATTTGCTTTCCCTTGTTTTAGGAATTACCCTGTCAGTACAAGCAGCTGTTGAATTAGTATGATGGGGAGGAAGGGGTTATCAAATTTATTTTATTTTATGTGAATTCTCATTTTTTGGAAAACAATCTATCCTGTAATTATTTCAGATGCCAGTTCTCAGTTTTGTAAAGTTAGGTTTATTGAGTTTTGGGGCATTATTTCCAGCGAGTTCTTATATGTATATATGAAAAAATTAATGTAACACTGAAAAGTAATTATTTAAAAAATTATGAATAGAATCTTAAAATACCTTAGGAAATTTATAGATTTTTAAAAACATATTTTCAAAAATTACCTTAAACATGTAAATCAGCTGTAATCTTCCAGTGAATTAGGAAACCCATGTCTTTGATGTTAACCCTCTTTACTAGGGACTAAAACCCCTCTTGGGTCATAACCACATCCAGTTATAGTGGAACACTAGTTGAAGACCCTGTCAGAACTCCCAAAGAATCAAAAATTACAACTGGGAATCCAAACAGAGATGCTCAGGTGTTCTTGAAAAAAGAAGGCTTGGCATGCAGAAGATGTTCAATGAATATTTATTAAATAAATACAACTGAAGAAGCTGATAACTGAGTTTCTTTAAAAAGGAGGTTTTTGAAGCTAGCTCCAAAAAACACAGCAAAAGCAGTGGCTTCATGGAGGAAACCACAGCATGGAGGACACTTGGAATTGACATGTGATGAACTCTGTGTCACGGATCTAGCTCAGCCTCTGCTATAGACTTGTATCTGTGGACAAATTATTTCACCTCCATGGGCCTCAGTTTCCTCTCTGTAAAAGAAGAGGTTGTCAGTGGTTTTCAAACTGTGATTTTCTTTTTGTGATCTAAGTCTTATGAAGAATTATAATATACACACTAGGTAAAAGTAGACCCTCCTGGGTTGCATCTGGGGAGGCATTCTGGAGTCCTACCTGCCCTAGCACCCCTCAACTTGACGGCACACAGCTGTAAAGTGACCAGGCTTAATGATCTGTTAGGTCACTCTCCAGCTGTGACATTCAAGGGGAGTGCTAATAATCAGTGTTACAAGGAGCTGTCTGGAGGCCAGTGGAGGGTTTTTGAGGACGTATTTTGAGAAGTACTTCTTTAGAGTGTCATCTTCTCCCCTCAAACCTATTCCGACCCCTGCAGTCTCTAACCCTGTTGATGGCACCACAATCTATGTTGTCTCCTATGCTGGAAACCTAGGAGTTATCTAAGACCCATCCCTCAGGGTCCATATCCAATAAAACACTATCTTCTTTCAGTGTTGACCTTTGAACATTTCTTATACTTACCGTTTCGTCTCCAGCCCCATCTTCACCACCAGAATTCAGGTCCTTATCCTCTTTCTCTTGATCCTTATCTTCTTTCACAACAAACTCCTGGTCAGTCTACAGACCTTCAGTCTCCTTCCTTCCCTATATGGTCATTCCTTTACATAAAGTCTTTTAATTGTTCTCCGTGACCCATAGGACAGATCCCATCTCTCTGGGAGGGCAGAGAAGGTTTTCCTAGTCTTTCCTGCCTCACTCCCATCTTTCTCATACCATACTTCATGCTCTGGCAATATCAAGCTGCCTGGAGTTCTTTGGATATACCATGTAGTTTTACACCTTCACTCCTGGGGACATAGTAATTTTTCTTCTATTTTGCCCTCTAATGTCTTCTCCCCCTTTTTTCTGTAGCTAATTTCTAATCTTTCTTTAAGTCAGTGCAAGTGTCTTCCCTGTGAAAAGCCTTTGCTGACCCCTTGGCTGAGCTAAGGGCATCCATGTATTTCTTAGGACTCTGCACATTGCTCCCACACTATATTAAAATTATTTGGGTACATGTGTCTCTTCTACTAGATTGTAATTCATTAGTGACTAAGCCTTGTTTCTTTCTATCCCTCTTCCTCCCCAGTGCATGACATCCACTAGGCACTCAGTAAGTGGCCTATCGTGGGATTCTCTCTGGTCTCAAAACATCAGCTCCCTGATTTAGCCTCACATGAGATCAGTCCAGAGATTTAAGTGGCTTCAGGGTCATGCGAAGGGCTAATATGAAGTACAATACTTTCAAAATTTAAAAACCATGTTTTCACTTAAAATAATATTTCTTCGATCCTAGCATTTATCATGAAGCTATTTTAAGCTTTGAAAGTACTGTTTGCTTTTCCTCTTAATAAACTCATCATTTAAGAAGAGAAAAGTCAAAATACACGAGTGAAATACACATTGAATAAATTTACTCAAGTAGACTTTTGAGTCTTTGAGTAAATTTCTCATTTTACCTCTGTCGTAACATGAGCCTTCTGGAGGGTGAATGCCTGCTATGTTCCTCAACCCCGGCGCACATGAGACTCTGGCAAGAGAGCCATCCTCTTCACTATGCAAGTCTCCTTCTCCTTGCCTAGCATCTGAGCCACCAGGAGCCTATATGGCACCTCTGTGTGAATTGGGAAGGCAACTCCTTTGGTGTGATGCAACCCCAAAGGCATGGGGTTTAGAAATAGGACATTGCCTTTGTGCTAAGAAAAAAGTGACTGTTCTCTAGGGAGATGGCTCCAGAGGGAGTAGAGTTGGCTTTGAGCCCCTCTACCAGGCACCTTTGTGAAGTGCAGAGACTGACCCTGCCTAATGCAAACAAAGAGCCACACATCTCCCTCTTGCCCCACATGGTAATCTGGGGCTGCCAACCAAGCCCTAAAGGAGTAGAGATGGTCTCTCTGAAGAGCATGTTGGTGGGCTTTCTTGTTAAGCCTAGCTTGCCATTCTGATGGAGCAGTAGCATACTGTGGTGCTTTCTGAGCTCTGACCCAGAGGAATCCCTTCTTTGTCACTTTGTATAGCTCATTTTGCTAAGTGACAAAGCTGAATCTGTCACAACATGAGCCAAACAAAATAGCGATCACCCCCTCACATGTGTGGAGCCTCTTCACTTTGACGCACTCTGTGGTAAGCGTTATTCACGAGCAGTTAATTATCGGTCTTCATGCATAAAATGAATGTGACATTGGAGACAGATGTTTATTGTTTGTTACATATATATATTTTTTCAAAACTCCAGCTACCGAAATTGGCTGAAATTACCATCATAAAGCACTGCCTTTGTACATTCAGGGTTGTATTCTGATCCCTGACCTGCAGGAACAGCACACTGAGGGGGTAATATACACATGTACAGACTTTTCTTTTTATTGACAAGATGAATGGAATTGCTTTAACAACTGTGCTCAGGCTGAAACAACTGCTGAGTTCCACCAGGGGCTGCTGTTGAACTTCTAAAAAAAGATCATCTTTTGGAGGAGAAGGGGGGTAGTGGCGGATGGGGAGGGAGGGATGGGAATGGGGGAAGAGGAACAGAAAAAAACAAATCTTGGAAGAAAACCTGACATTTCTGTCTGAGGTGAAGCATGCTTTGCTGATGCCACACATGGAATGTTTCGGAAGTGTCAGTAATAAATACTTCTATCAGAAATCTTCATATTCTATATTTCTGCTTATCATACCCCAAGGAGAGTCATACAAAGACATAGCTGTCAGGGTCTAATTTGGATCTGAAAACTATGGCGGTTGTCAGGCATCTTTTCCCATGTGTGATATTTATCTTCTCTCACAAACAAACTGAGTGCAGGGTTTTTAATTAATTTCCAAGTGTCTCCCATGGTAATTTTACCCTAATATATTAATACGATGATTTAAACCATCATTCAGAGACAGACTTTTGGTTGAAAATCACTAAAGGCTTAGATGGTGTTTAGTGTTATCAATAAGCTACACGTTCGTTGGTTTGCAGGGAATCAATAAAGTTGCCCTTTCCTCATTTTTATTTTTAGAGGCATCAGTGGGATTTTATCTCTTTTAAGTATATTAAGGAAATCACGGGTGAGCTGATTTTGTTATTTTTCTTCTTTTGATTGGAGGAACTTCTTAGGCTGTTTCTCTTACTGCCTGTGGAAGGCTTACTTTAAGAAAAGTTCTTGATTTGATGATGAAGGAGTGGATTTTCTTCTTTAAATAGTCCCCTTCAGAAAAACTTGATTTTTAAAAAATAAAGGTGCCAGAAATAGGCCACTGAAAGGGGTATACCCCTGATGTATACAAACCTTTTGGGGGACAGCAAATGAATTTATCTTTTCTTTCCCTGCCCATTAGCCTTTTCAATAAAAGATGTGGAATAAAATGCATAATAAAAATTTTAAGGACAGGAGTAAAGTTGGAAGTGTAACACATGTTTCTTAAACAGTGTATTTTAAGAACAAATGAACATATGTTAATAAGCTAGCTTTAACCATTCCACAGTGTGTATATAGACTTCAAAACATCATGTTGTATGCGGTAAATACATACAATTTTATCTGTCAATTTAAAAAATAAATAAATTTCAGAAAAAAACCCCAAACAAAACAAAACAAAAAAAACCTAAATGAAAATGAAAGTGATGTCTTCCATAATAAGAAGTCACATTTAGAAGAGCTTTATTTATTTGTTTTTGGCAATGCTTGTATCTTTATTTAATATTATTATACTCTTAACTGAAAGGTTGCCTCAGATTTTATAAAGATTTTTTTCTCAATTCGCCTTTAGGATATTTGATTACTAGGGTGATAGGGCAATCTTTCAAGAAATATTTATCTTTCTCTGAAAAAGGCATTCAAACATCATTGAAAACCCATAGCAATAAAAGGTAGATTCCTAGAATGTTATATGAGGCTTTTAATGTCAATTAAAGATGAAATTTTTGGAAATGCATGAAACTCCTTCATATAGAATTGGAGATTGCATCTGTGACTTTTTTTCTGTATGGGGGTTTATTTCTTTCCTTCTCTCCTCAGTCCTCAGCCCCAGCCATAAAAACACTTTTCCTAGATCCATTAGGAAAATTTAATAACCAGATATCTCTCTAATGAGAAAGGATTTTTTAAGTTTGGCTGCTCTGTGCTAGTAATTTGTATTTTTTTCTGGTCTTGCATGTTGTATGTAAGCACCACAAAAAAATCAGCCTTTTAAACAGAGATTGATTCTGACAGCTTTTATTTTATGTGATTTCCAAGAATTGATATAGGAATGCTTCTTAATTGAAATAGTTCTCCTTTTTTGGTTTTTATTTTATTGTCCTTTACTTCTTGACATCTTGTACATTAAATCAAAGGCTGTTTTAGAGACATGAAATGACAGCTTTTTCAGAGTCCGATTCTGGATCCTGATAGATCTGCATTTCTCAAAGCAGACAAGTTGCTCTCGCCAGCCTTGGAGAAGCTTCCTGCATGATGGGCACGTCACCTAGAAACAACATAAACTGCAGGTTAATCACCGAGGAACGGCTCATGTCAATTCCCCACTGCCCTGCTTCCTGTCTAAGAGGAATAAAACCAAGAGTGACTGTTTCTTTGCTATTTAATTTAACAGAATCTGAACTCAACTTTAGTTTGAAATTATATTTCCTCTTGGCCAGGATGGAAAGGCTACTCATGTCATTTAGTAACGCGTTGTAAAGAAAAATCAAAGCGTCCTCATGGACTGTTTTTCCCTGTCGTATCTGCCAGTGATGAGAGAACACATAAAGTGAATGAGACGTGACACAGGCATGCACAGAGAACCCATTTGTTACACTGAAATTCTCAGGAAAATGCTATTTGTGTTACTGTGATGTTTTGGAGTTAGAAAAGAGTTTTTTGGGAAGAAAAGTGTCTTGATATCAGTGAGTAGAAATAAAAATGAGACAGGATGCAAAAATATGATAGCACAGTAAAGAGCAGCACAACAGAGCAGACCAGTCCTCCTTAGAGGTAAAAAGTAAACATCTTATAATGGGAACAGTAACAAGATGAGTATTAGAGATTTGTTTTTCAGTTCTGCCTAACTCTTTGTAACTTTACAATGTAAGATTCAGAAATTGGAGCCAATTACCATAATATGTGGTGGTTTGGTGGGAGCATGTTCTACATCAGACAGTTAAAAGGTTTTATTGCTATTAGGAGCAAGTTAATGCCCTTGATAATGTCTCTACTTGCTTTGTAATGTCTCTTGTTGAAGTATAGAATTCTTTTATCTTCTTATTACATTATGCAAAAACTTGAATTGAAAAGATATTTGCAGGAACATTTAAAGTAGTGCATCAATCAGCTTCAAAGAAGAGAAAATGTTCTCAGAATAGCTTATAAAAGGATAACTGTCAGTTTTATTTTGGATGAACAAAGGCGGCAACGTAAAAAGCACTTTATTGTAAAAGCATACTGTGCAATTCAATAAATATGCCATATAAATATAAAAGAGAAGAAAGTTCATAATTATCTGATGACTTAAATGTAATTTAAGTAATACTTTTAAAATGCACCTAGCAGTGAAGTACTCTTTTTCTATTGGGTTCTGAGTTCTAGCCACTAAGCCCCCATTAGGTGATAACTTAACTCTCTCTCTTTCTCTCACTCTCTCTCTGATAGCATAAGGATTTGAATGGATTAGTCATGGTCCCGTTTTTAATATATCTCTAAAAGATATAGAAAGAAGTATGTGTGGAAATCATTAGCAAAAATTTTAACCACCACTTAATGGTGCAGGCTTTTCAAAATGATTTGGTCTTATCTGCACAGTATTCAATTGTTTCTCATTGTCATTGCTGCTATAAGACAATTTTGAATTTGAATGTAACCGTATTGTGACTTGAAATAGCAGTTCCCAGTGTTTTATGTTTGTTAGGAAAAGCCATTAGCAGTGCAGTTTCTGGACTTTCTAAATCAGGGGTGCTTTGTTACTTTTTATGTAAGGGTACTTACAATTTTCTTATAATTAGAAATCTTTTTTCTTATTTAAGATAGATGGTTTTTAACTGTAAATGCTAGCTATACAAGCTTATTTTTCAAATGTTTCCCAGGTAATGAACTCTCACCTCATAAATGCTGCAGAGATGATTTTTTTCTGACAACTCTAAAAAATCTACAATGTGAACTACCTATTTAAAGAAAATATTCAGATCCACATGGAAAATATAACATAAATTTTTAGAATAGGAAAAAAATCATCTATAGAACTGAACTTCCCTATAACTTATGTTTCCACGCATGTCAATATGCATCTAAGCATGGACAGCCAGCTCCCTGCATGTAGAAGGCACTTTTCAAGTATTTGTTGATTAAAGTTGGAATATAAAAATATCCCAATCAGTAAAAATCTGTCTTTTGCTTTTTAACCTGACAAAGGGATACTAATCCCATATTAAATAGAGTAATATAAGTGTTCCCCCAGATTCTGGTCTTTTCAAGACTCAGAAGATTTCATTTGAAGTAAAAAAACCAGGTTAATTCATGCAACCACACTATTGTACCTTATAAAATTATATTAATGTTTGTAACACTTCTAAGAAATAATCTTCATTTATTTTAAAACTGCAAATATGGCACCTTATAATAGGAAATCAATTCATAACTTTATTTATGACATCATTTTGCTGGCAACTTGTTTCTCATGACTATTGTTCATGATACCTAATTCATTAAAGTAATTTTCTCCTTCTTTCAGTGGGTTTCCTACAGACTCTATAGCCAGTACTCAGTGCACTGCTGCTCTCTGAGATACCCCATTTTCTCATTGCTCCTTTCTTTTGGTATGTTTGGGAGCACTCTCATTTTGAAAGTACAAGGAAAATTATCTCATAAAAGAATGTAATAACAACAGAACTTCTGAGATTTCAAAAACGTAGAATTCTTAAGTTATTGAACTATGGGAAAAGCTGTAATTTATAACCAGTAAGTTAGTATGTTGTACACATCTGTGTACTGTTTCAGAAAATAAAGGTTGTTACCATAGCAACTGCCACATAACATAGAACATACGTTATTTGTGAGATGCCAGGCTCCGTGTTAAAAAAAAAAAATCCCTCCTCATGGCTGCTGCCTGGTGTTTCAAGGATTTCAGCCTTTTCTTTACTATAATAAGGGATCCTCTTTTTTAGTGTCCTGTTATTTTAAGTATTTTCCTTATTTTTATTTTCTCATTCTTTTAGGGTTTGTTAGCTATTGGTAAGTTTGTGTAGTACTGCTATGATTCGGTGACTGCCTCGAAGAGATTTCTCACCTAGTGTTAATTTGTTAATTTTTAAGAAATTAGAATTCCTCTTTCAGATATAGCAACATGTATGTGTTAAGAATACATTTAGTTATTCTGAATGCAACAGGTAAATGCAACTGGTAACATTTTATTTTGTGGCCCTTTGAAGATTTTACAATTTTGTATTGTATGACCACTATGGTATTTAACCACTTTTTAAAAATAAAAATGTCACCTAGGAGTATGTATTTTACAGGTGTCATTTTTTATTTTAAAATTTGTGTCATATTTAATTTCATTTGAAACTATCATATAATGACAAAATTTAACTTCTAAAGAAGTGTAGATTTCCAGTCTTTTTTGGTAAGTGCTAACGCCAAAGAATAAGAACGTTGACAAATAATTCTGAAGTCTCAATTTTAATCCAACTCCTTTTAGTTTTAAAGGCAGAATAATGAATGAATAAAAGGAAGGAGGTAATAAAGCAAAATGGAGGACCCTTTAATATGGCTGAGCAAGGGATCAGAATATCCAACCACTTTGAAATTAGTCTGAAAACAGCTTGACACATTAGAGCAACGATTTTTGGACTCATTGTTCTCATCCACATTATGGCAGAGATTTTTTATATGTATCTGTGAAGATTGGATTTCTTGTGCATGGTGAATTTTTAGCCCAGATTCAATATATTATTGCAAACACTGACATATTTTATCAGGTTAGAGGTTTTCCAAAGAATAGCATCTGAGTTTTCCTTTGCTGGGTACCAGCTTTCCCTAGAGACAGCTACCTCTGTATCTTTGGAATGGTTCTGTGTCACAAAAATGTGACACAGGATATCAATCCTGAAAACAAAACACTTCTGGTGAAAAATGGCAGAATAGATAATACTCCTCCTTTCTTAAAAAATAATAGTTTAATCAATAAGCATTTATTAAACATCTACCATGTGCCAGGCACACTTTTGGGGACATAAAGATGAATAACGGAGCTTCCCTGTCTCCAGGGAACTCAGAAATTTAATCAGGCAGAGAAGAGCACCATTAACTGACACAATGAGCTGTATGCTGCAACCTGATCTTTCCACAGGTCTCATCAGTCAACAACAACAACAACAACAACAAACAGTAATCATAGTTGACATTTATTGAACACTTAACTTTTTGACAGGCACCTCAGATGTATTTTGTAATTCAATCCACACAATAGTGCTCTGAGGGTTTTTTTGACAAGAAACTGGGCTTACAGCATTTGAATAACTTGCCTAAGGTTACACAGTGGAGTAAGGGTTCTCATGCCTGTTAAACCTAAAATATTACCTAAAATAATATACCTTGACCACTTGTTGCATTGGCACTGCTACCGTCCCCATCCCTGGCACCTTTGTCTCTCACTGGGCTCTGCAGTAGCCACCTGATAGACTTTCTGGCTGCCTCTTGGCCCTATGGTCCATCTTCCAAAGACTGGAAATCTACTCTTCTTTAGCTCCCAGGGTGGCCTTGTAAGAACATAAGTCAGATCACGTGCTCCCTGCTTGGAATTTTCCAGTGACTTCCCATTACATGCAGAACAGAATCCCAGCCCTTTTCCATGGGTTACAAGGCCCTGCAGAATTTGCCACCTTTCCCTGAACCCTTAAACTTCATCTCCTACTGTTCTCCCCCTAGCTTGTTTACAGTGCTTTAGACCGGGATCAGCACACTTCTCAGCACAGGGCCAGGTAAATATTTTAGGCTCTGCAGGCCATGCAGTCTCCCTTGCAGCTACTCAGCCCTGCTATTCTAGCATGAAAGCACCCATAGATAATAAATAAGCAGACGAGTGTGGCTATGTTCCAATAAAACTTTATTGACATAAACAGGCAGCAGGCTGGATTTGGCCTGTAGACTGGAGTTTGCTGATCCTTGTTGTAGATTTACTCTTTTTTCTTTTCATTCCTCCAATTTGCCAAGGCTTTCCAACCAGAGGGTTCACCTCAGATCTTCCCTGGGCTGCCTCTTCTGGCCACTGCATCCTCACTGTGAATGAGAGATTAACCCGGCTCCTCTATTTAAGTAGTTTGCTCTACTCATCTCCTGCATTATTACCTACTTTATTGTCTTCACAGCCTTTATCACATGAAACCTCTCATTAATGTATTTGCTTACTTGTTTATCAACTGTGTCTCCCTCTGTAAGGTGAACATCCTGTGAGGAGGACACTTTTTGCCTCGCTCACTGTGGTGTTTCTACCAACTAGAGCTGAGCCTATGGCATGAAAAAGGTGCTCAGGAAGTGTGTTCAGTTGAATGGAGAACAAGCCTGACTAACTCTAAAGCTTGTGCTTTCTATGATTTCCCAATATTCCTCTTCTGGAAGAATGAGCTCACACCAATGGTAATTTGAGGAATTTGTCACACTGGATTCATGAGGACCTGGCAAAGCTTCACCACCACGCACTTCTGGTCGACCCCAGGGAATTTCTCCCATGGGCATGTGAATAAGGCTGACGTCTGCCCCATGGTGTCCCGGAGTATTGACCTCTCATGCTGTTTATCACTGCCTTTGCTGACAAAGTCCCATGGCCACTGGGTATCATCACCTCCATCAGGCTTCTGTGTCACTTCTCCTGCATAGTCTGCACTCACTGAGCACCTTGAATGTCTTGAGACACCACCTGTGGGTGTCACAGAGACCACCTGGTGATGCCATTGCCCCTGCTGCCACCTCTATCTGAGCACCACTGCCTCTGTCATGTGCCCAAGCCTTCTGCTGGGACTACCCTTGCTTCCAGCCCCACCACGGTGCCACCACTTCAATGAGCTAAGCTGCTTCTAGTGGATGGTGGAGTTAGATGATCACCCTCTTTCAATTTTCTCTCAAATTAGTGATTCTGAATTAGTGTGGCTTGTGCTCCCAAATTGAATAATTTTAAACTTTTACTTACCACCATCTCTCTTCCTAAATGTAGTACCTGATGCTTACGTGAGGCTCATTGTGTGCCTGGCAGTGTGGGGAGAGATTTACATACATTAACTTGTGCAATGCTCACAACAGACCCATATTATTTTCATCTCCACTGAGGCCAGAGGGGTTAACTGACTCACTCAAGGCAACCAGCAAGCAACAGAACTTAGATCTGAATCCAGGCAACTGGCTTTAGATGCATGCTATTAATCACCCATCTACAAGGACCTAGACATGTGTCTATGGGGCTAGGCTTGGGATAGATGCAAGAAACTGATACCACACTCCAAAGCCCTATTTCACAGTTACCCTGGGGGTAACAAGCCTAGTCAGTTAAGTCTCTCAGTGCCATGTGATTCCTGGGTGCACACCACTGGCTTGCTAGATCTGTGTAATTACATCTGAACTGAGGCTGAAGCAAGGACTGTTCTCCCCAGACTCTTCTTCGAGTAAGGTGCTAAGGTAGACGCTTGAACTGTGTCTTTAACACAAAGGAGTCATGAACTATGTAGGGAAGGAAGTGAAATTTGAACTGCATCCTGAAAGATGACAGTGTTTTTGCCAGAGACTTTAGAAATGGACATAACCAGACCAAGGGGCTAGTGCAACCTATATTCCTTACAAGACAGAGAACAGGCCAAGGCATGGCAAGAGAGAAGGATGAGAAAGTAGAATGGGCTGGAATTTGAAGAGCCTTGATGCTAGGGAATTTGGACTTCATTATCTAGGCAAGAATAGGAGTGGGAAGGAGAGGCATCTAGTAACAGCTTTAACACGTGAAAGCTAGATATCAAAGAGCTCCCTGATATTCTTGTTGAGTGGAGGTTTTGAATCTATGGTTCAAAGGCTACTTGATGTCTCCTTGGTCTCTGGGTGGTCTGTGGACTCCCCTCTTATAATATTGATTGGGACAGGACTCTACCTTCATGGCTGTCATGTGAACTAATGATTGACAATGGCCCTTATCAAAATCAGTTCCATTTTCCTCATTCCTTGTAATAAAGTTTACCCTCTCTACATCTGTTCCCACCGCCTGCCCCAGCAGTAGTGGGAGGTGATTCCTGAGTGTTGTTATATTGGAGTGGCCCCAAGAAGTTCTAGAACTACTGCTCCAGAAGACCTCAGCCATGGAGATAATGTCACACCTGATTGTCTTGAATGGCTTTATCCAGGTTAGCCAGTCTTCTGAGCCCTAGGTCAAACCTCCCAGCCACCTCCCAGCTGGGATGATTACAAATGGACTCACCCTTAGTCTAGTAAGTTGCCTGGCAAGCGTGGTCATCTCTGATGACTTTGGAGACTGTCCAGTTTTCATGTCCACTAATTAGGCAGTTATTCACGCTTCATTTCACTTACTCAAAGGGCTCCCTTCCGATCGGAACACTTGTGAAGTTCTTCTGTGACTTCACGATGTTCCAGATGAAGTACGTCTTCTTCCCTTTTGGAATCAAATGCCCCTCTAGGATTGAGTCTCTTTTACCCAAACCACTTTTGAATCTTGTCAACTTTGTCTGTAAGAAACATTTAGACTTATCTTACTCTTATCAGTACAGAGGTCTTACTTCTTTGGCAAGCATATATAAAACTGTAGGGGAGAGCAGCCCAATCCATCTGTTTTATGTGCCCTCCCTACTTCACCTGCTTCTCCCCTAACCCTTGACCACCCCAGCTTGAGGACTAGAAAGTGAGGGGAGTGGAGAGTGATTCACAAGGTGCAAGGTTAGTGGATCCCACAGGAGAACAGCATATAGTTTCATGAGCCTTGTGAGGAATTAGAAAGAAACAATTAGTCTGAAGAAACATTCATCATTTTTATAACTTGTATCCTGTTTTTCCAGGGTTAATCCAGGCACATCAGTTTTTCTATTCCCATTATGTTCCAAGTTTTTAAAACATGAGACCCTTTTTTTTCAAAGGAAATTTTCAATGATTGCTCTATTAAACAGACAAAAGTGGGGCTGTGGTTGTTGAAGGAGGTGGTGGAGCCTGGGTATCATTCCTCCTAGCGCCCCTTTCCCTCATCCTTTAATACCCCCGCCCCCCATCAAAGGTAGGGCTCTGGGGAAATGAGGGTGGAAACTTCTGTTCTACCCAACCCATTGATTCTGACATTCACTCTGGGAGGTGCAGCTTGTATAAAAAATGATGTAAAGGAACATTTTAAGAATGACCTATTTTGTCTTAATGGTGAATAACTCTAGATTTCCCTGGAAATGGTGTGACTTCTTTAGGATAGTAGAAAGAACACCAAAACACAAAGGTTCTCAGAAACATCCTTCTCGAGAATATTCCTTGTCTTTTTCACTCCCAAAATTACTCTCGTAATGTATTGCATATGCAATACTCTTCCCACCAAATAGGGAAAATGATTCCTTTCTCAGCTCCAATTTTTGCTCTATTTTCAATGGTGGGGGTGGGAGTGGACACCAAATCACACAAAATATCTATCTCACAACCATATACAAGTAAAAGCCAACGTATCACCATTTTTAGCTGAATTCTAACCTTTTTGGGGAACTGGGAATATAAAATTTTGAAGTCACCCATATATTTAAAACTCAGAAGAGAAAACAAAGAACTTTACAGAAAGAAATTCAATAATAAAAATATACTTTACACAGTTATAATCAGTTCAGTTGGTGAAACACAGTTGAGGAGAAAAGAAAGGAAGGAAGGGAGTGAAGGGAAGGGAAGGCAGAGGGAACCTGAGATGTGGAGTGGCGGGAGCTTGGGAGATAGAGTGGCTGGCTGTTCCCGCACCACCGCACCCTTGGTTGTGTCCCTCATTTGTGGGCGATCCTCGCCTGGTGCTCAGCAGCACTCCAGTCCTGCCCTCGTGTGACCTGTGGAGCTGCTAGCGGCAACCCTCGCCATCTCAACTCACCTGAGGCGTTCCTTGACACCTTGGCTTCTTGGGAGGAGCCTTGTCAAAAAATGTCTACATCTTCTCTAGAGTGCCTTCTCCAGATCTGTTCTTTGCATTCAAGGGAAGTCCTTGTGCTGTGGTGCTTTTGGTCTTTTTGAAAAATGTTTTTCATGAATCAAAGGGAAAAGTAAAAATGAGAAATATTTGGTTCTTTTCTGGGGCTTTAATTTTTTTCCAAAAATTTTTTGAGTACTTTTTTTTCCTTTCTTTCTTTTTTTTTTTTTTCCCTTAAGAGCTCAGCTCTTGATGGAGAAGTGATTTTTCTAGGACAGTTTCCTAAACTTTAGTCATCTACATACCTCTTTCATGATCTTTGTTCTATCTGCATACCATCTGGTTTTTTTTCTCAATATTTTCTTTCTATCAATTTAAAATGGAATAATTTAGCCTTATTCTTGGATAAATTCTTATTATTTGATAAAACTGGTGAAATCACAAGTGTGTTATATTTTTTAAAAAACAGATAAATACTGGGGTATGGGCAACTAAAATGATCTTGCCAGTGACAAATCTTCACCATTTGGGAAATATCATTCGAGGAAATGGCCTGCTACTGGCTTATGACTTTGAATACAAACCTAGGGGCTGATACAATTGTCCACTATGCATCAAAGAGGAAAGAAATGGGAAAGCTGAGGGACTAGGAAAGAAGCTATAGAACCCAGCATAATATTTATTAAGACCTTGGAATTCTTTTCAAGATAAATTACATTTATATGCACTTATTATATGTATGTATTAAATTTACATCCCAGTTAAGTGTGATGAAGTTATTCTAAGTCCATTGCCCAAAAGATGATTATCCACAAGGGCACGATGTGGTTTTGTCATTGGTTTCAGCAAGTCATTGTAAGGAGCATTTTCCTGAAGGTGGTGTGGTGGTCTTCTCATTGCTATGTATTTGTTCTTCCTAAAATAAGAAAGATTTCTGCGATTTAAAAAAATCACACTACTTAATAATACTCTCGATTAACTGAGTACCTTTGTAGTTTCTCAGGAAAAATATAAAATTGGGTTGTATTATTACTTTATGTTTTTCTCTTTGGCACGGAGTTTCCTTTTCAGATTCCAGGGTAAATAGAACAAAGGATCAGTTTTTATAATTTATTTTTTTTTTCAAGAGCATCTTCTGGTATCTCATTATTTGGAGATAGCTGTGAAAAGAAAGATCGGGAAAATAGAAAGGCACAGTTCATTGTGTAATTCACAGTCATAGTAATTTTTTTATTTATATGTCTTTTTGGATGCTTTTTTGCTGGGAAAGACAGAATGGAATAATTTTCTCTTTTTCCTCTCTTTTGCAAAACCCATTGATGCAACACAATGCATGTTACATAATAATCACAGATATCATGACTTTGGGGAAGCAGGGTTTCAAGTAAACATGCTGTACGCTGTACAAAGTATTTTATGAAAATTTCACTTTTTGTGTTTGAGGATAATAAAAGGATTCCTTTGCGTCTTAGAAAAGAAATCCTAAAAACAAATGAACAAATGGACTCGGTCCACGGACACCTAGCCAAGACTGTCTCTGAGAAGAATGACATGCCTTCAGCATGAAGTAGCTACAAGAAAAGGACATGTAATTAAGGAGGAAAAAAAAAATCAGAAACTGGAGCCATTAAAGAGACTGTGATATGAGGAAAACATTGTACAGGAGATGTGACCGAAGATCTCAGATCTGAGAACTGAAAGGGAATGAAACTAGTTAAAATTCCACTGCTCATTCGCTCCACGGGAGAAATAACATTCCTGTGCGATGCCACTTGCCACTTCATTTTTAGAAACAATTAAAAGATGCAAATATTTATGAATCACTGTGTATGTTGTAATCCTATTTTGAAAACAAACATTGCCTTGTACTTTAGGTTCTCAATGCTGGTTGCTGTTGGGATTCAGGGGTTAAAGCAAGCACTTCAAAATGAGCTCACTACTGCTACCCAGACAAAGGGATGCAACTCTGAGAGTGTGTTCTGTTTGCCTGCAAGCTGTTGCCTATGCCAAATGAGCATTTTAAAAACCATTCAAATTAAGTTGAAAATTTGTAATTATATTTTCCCTTTTAATTGTAACTTATGCAAATGTTATATTCCAGCTGTACAAATAATTTTCATTTCAGACTACAACATTCACATTAAATCTAGCATGTAACACCCTGATACAAGATTTTTCCCAAGCTGTAGTTGCAGATTTAGAGGGCTAGAGTTGGCTCTGTTAGTGATGGCTTCCATTGTTGTTACCCTGCAGTTAAGTATAGATTGCAAAGTGGCAATAGAGAAGGGAGACACCTTTGCCACAATTTGCTGGACACAATTTATGAATAGAACACATAGAAAGAGAATGAGAAAGCAAACACATACACAAAAAGATCAACAGCTAAGAAACTTGGATGTTTGGTAAAGTGAATATTGTGTCCTTGCTGTAATTGATGAATTCGGCTTGCAGTGCATTAGTTACAGGAAGGGAATACATGTGACTCATTTGTTAATTGTCAGCCACTTAGTGCAAACAGAAATTGAGTATTTTCCATTTTCAATGAAAATTTTACTTTGGGAATTTTATGTACAAAACCAATAAAATTTTTAACCAAGAGTGAAAGAAGCACAGATTGTTTTAAATACATGCACACACACAGTATTTAAGGGATCACACATATCTGAGAAATAAAACAAAAAAGAAAAACCCTATAGAAATGCAGCATATTGTTCTGATTCCTGAAGAGTTTTCTTTACATAAATTTGGGAAGATTTTCATATTCTTGGTAGGCAAACACAAGGAACCTTGATTTACTTCAATCTAGTTCACTGCTGATCAGCTTTTTGTATTTAACAGCGTTCTAGAAGCAATGGAAGAGACAAAAAAAGAAAATTTAAGACACACCCTCAAGTAATTCACAAGCTTGTTGATAAACAAGGCAAACTTATGGAATAAGATGGACTGTAATAAAATGACATGTGTGTGTTTATACACCTAACAGAGAGTTCAACAATTCATTACTCAGTTGGGCAAACTGAGACTTAGTGTGGCTTAGTGATTTGTTTAAGGTCACACATCTAATAGTGATAACAACATTTTGGAAACCTAGGAGGTCTAGTTTCTGTCCTTTGTTTTTTCCATCATTAAGGCATTTGTCAGTTGAAAGCTGCACAACTAGAAATTACATTTGCCAAACATGGTTTCTTCCTATATTTGCCTGTGGAATGACTTTTGACTTAGAAATCATGTAGGTTTTTAACACTTGCCCAGGCCCTAGATAGAGATTGGAAGGGTTTGTTGATCTCTAATTAGCTCTGATTAGTCAAAATTGATCTTTAAACTATAGAAAATCCAAAACAAAGATCCCATAGCCCTAAAAAGTGTGCTATAAATCTGTATGCTTCAGGTTAAAGAGCAAATGATTAAATCCAGATTGATTCTTGTAGCAAAAGGGCAGTGCAAGAAAATGCTGGAAAATAATGGCTGGGGACAAAAGGCTCTGGTGGTGTATGAGTCATCAGCCTGGGACTGCTCATGGCCCGGTCTTTGTTCATTACTGCTGTTAGCACACATTCTGTTATACAAGTAACTATGACAATGCCATATTCCCTTTACTTGTGAAAAAATTTTGGGACCCACATATGGCAAGAAAAGATTGATGATCTAGGGTTGGTGTATTGCTCTCTGTGCAATAATTTCCTAGAGATGAATATGGGAATGCACATTTCTCTGTACACTGATTGATTTATTCACTAGTTCATGTATTTATTGACTCATTAATCATGGATTTTTGGGGTCACTTACTATGTACCAGGCAATATTATGTTTAACACTGGGAACACACATAGACAAAAGCAAAATTAAATCACGTATTTAATGAATGTTTATTGTCTACATGTAACTTATGGTTTAATGGAACCAGAAATTCTTGACTTCTGGTCTCAGCCCTCATCCAAAGAGTGTGCTGCCCATAAGTCCAAAGCCAGATTAGTTGTCCTATATGTCGTGGCATCTCTCATTTAGCCAAACTGAGTGTACACTCATAGATGCAGACTCTCCTGCATATCTTACCAGGAGGGCAACCCTGTATCACTGAAGAGATATGTTATCTTCCACAGTAAAATTGTGGTTAAAAGCATGGAAGTCAGAGTTAGACATGCAGGAGTCATATCCTGGCTCCGCTGCTCACTAGATGAGCATCCTTATTACAATTGCAGTTTTCTCGTTAGTAAATTGAGTGCAACCTGTAAAGACTGCAGTGAGGATTAAATTTAAATAAATAAATGCTGACACCTAGTAAGCCCTGACAAATGGTGGCTATTAATAACATTGTGCTAAAATTTGTTCCTCTTTTAATACCCACTTTCATTGGCAAGTGATGTCTCTTGCTTGCCCTGTATTAGCCCCACTGTGTCCATGGCATTATTTTACTGTGTGAGTACAAACTTAGACACCTGGAATTTGCACTCATCCTCTGGTTCCCTTCATTTACTTTGAAATGCTGCTGATAGTTTGATTTTCTAATTGTGGTAGTGAGAGGCTACTGAGCTCATTTATGGCTATTTTCTGGAGGGCATTCTGTGGAGCAGCCAGGAAGAAAGACAACCCGGGCTGGCTTTCTGCAACCGCAGCAGAGCGATTTCTGGGATGTAAATTGCATCAGAGTTCTTCCATCTTTTCTCCTGGTCCCCTCTACAACCTTCAGTTTCTGCTTTCTTTTCTCCCTCTCTTTCTCTTCTCTCCATCTACTCTTTAGATATTTACAAATACACATTAACTTCACAGTTCCTGACTAGGACATTATCTTTATTAACACTTGCAATTTGTGTGGATTATAGATCTTTTCATGACCTCTTTAGTGCCCTAGGATATGCCACTGCCATTTATTTGTATAATCTCCTACTTTGATGAAATGCAGATAAGTTGAAAAATCTGCCAAAAATTGTTGTCCGCAGGATATTGGGAAACAAGCACTTCCACAGTTAATTGTGTGTGCATTTTTAATCATAGTCTAATAAATTGGCTTTTTATTTCTTTAAGTTACTCTGGGAGAAGTCTCAGAATATTAACATTTTTGCTTCACATGGGGACATCTGCTCATCCTCAGAGTACATGCAGAAATCAACAAAATTGTGTGGGCATGGGGATGTTTTATTTATATTTCAGAAGTAGGAGAAATTCTTTCCTTCAAGCTTTAGAACCATACTAAGCTTATAGGGTAAGAAAAATTCACACACTATATTATAGTACCCCAGTGGGCTAGGATCCACAACATAACATTTTCCCTATCTTGCTGTCTTTTTTTCCTTTGGGAGAGAGGTCTCTATCCCGAGCTTCTCAGACTATAGGGCACATAAGAATCGTTGGGGTGTCTATTAAAAGGCGGATTCCCAGGTTCCACCATCCAGGGATTCTAATTCATGGGATAAGTTGGGACCTGGCATCCTGCATTTCACATTAAACCACTGCACAGAGTCTACTTGATTCTCTCCTTTGATTTCTACTCTTGCTTCTGCCCATTTTCCCAAGCTCAGCTAAGGAAAGCTGGTGCAAGAGGAGGTGCCTGACAAAACAGATGTCGCTGTGTCAGAGCTGTTTATTCTGAGCTCACAGTGCTGCCTAATACACAGTGCCATCGGGTTGTTGCTTAGGGAGACACCTATGATGCCATTAATTATTTAGGGATCCAAAGTAGCTGCCATTAATGAATTTGAATGTATTACAGTGATCCTAATCAGAGTAACAGATGCAAAATGACAATATGATACACACAATTTTCCCCCAGCGAGTTACACACTATTAAGGTCTGTTGCAGTCAATGAATCCAGATGCTTCCCTACTCTTACTGACCATGAAAGATCCTGGTTTCATTACATGAAAGAAAATAAGTTCATCCCATTATCTTGCAGAGTTAAAGCGAGATCCAATTCAGCAGCTGGTAAGGCATCATAAGTTGGTTTGCAATAATCCTGCCCCCGTTTCAGGATTGACTGAGTGGAAGAATTCTATTGCATCTGGGCTTATCATTCCCTTTACATTATTTTTATGCTTTCCCAGATGAGATGCTTTACTCTTGCTAAGAAAGCCTCCAATGGACAAAGCAAGTTTTATATACACATAATGTGAGAAAAAAGCAAACTATTTTTACAGAGGGTAAATTCATTAAAATCAGAGTAACAAAACTAAAGTCAACCATGATAAAATGGGAAACAGAAAGCTTCTCAAGAGTATATTGCTAAAAATGTTGTCAGATTTCTGATATAAACCAGGCCATGCATAGCAGCATTTCCCCCTTCCTGTCCTAGAAATTATGCAAAAGAAAAACCAAAAAACAAACTGAAAACGAAAAGCTCAAAGGCAAATATAAACCATAGACTGTGCAACATCTGTAAAGGCTGCCAGGAGACACTGAAATTGTGCGGTGGCCGCCAAGGAGGAAAAAGAAGGAGGCAACACCAAGAGAGCCCAGGGGTGGCAATTGGAGGAAGTGCCAGCAAAAATACTCATCCTGAAGGGGCAGGACTCACCTGAAGTGCTAAGGTTAACATAGTTGTTCTGGAATTGAGGTTTGCAGGGTCGGTGCAAAAGTGTTCCTATCCTGGTTTGGCTCTGAGAAATACAGGAGAGGGCTGAGCAAAGAAACCAAAGATGAGCTGTATTTGAAGGAAGCAGTTTATTTCTGGGGCAACAGGAAGGGGAATGAAGCCTGAAAGGCCACCTGGCCCCTCCCCAGTAAAAACTTCTTGAAAATAGTTTGTTTGGGAAAATGTAACTCATTTAGTGGTGAAAAGCTTTTAAAAAAGGGCATTGATAAAAAGATCCTATGTGAAAAATGGTGGAAAAGAGCGGCGAAATCACCAGCAGATGGAGGACATTCATAAATGGATGAAAATTGTGTCCTAACTATTTGCCATGAATTAAAATAAAAACATATGCAATGAGGCAATTACCTTGAGCAATTCCTTTTTAAAAAGTGTATTCATTTATTAATCATCCACTCTGTGCTGTGCTTTATAAGACTTTAGAGACATCATTATTTATTTATTTATTTTTAATTTTTTATTTCCATAGGTTTTTGGGGAACAGGTGGTATTTGGTTGCATTAGTATGTTCTTTAGTGGTGACTTGTGAGATTTTGGTGTACCCATCACCCGTGCAGTATACCCTGAACCCAATTTGTAGTCTTTTATCCCTCAACCCTCTCCTATGCTTTCCCCCAAGTCCCCAAAGTCCATTGTATCATTCTTTTGCCTTTGCATCCTCATAGCTTAGCTCCCATTTATGAGTGAGAACATATGATGCTTGGTTTTCCATTCCTCAGTTACTTTACTTAGAATACTGGTCTCCAGTTCCATCCAGGTTACTGTGAATGTCATTAATTCATTTCTTTTTATGGCTAAGTAGTATTCCATCATATATATATATATATATATATATATGGCATTTGGGCTGGTTCCATATTTTTGCAATTGCAAACTGTGCTGCTATAAACATACATGTGCAAGTATCTTTTTTGTAGAATGACTTATTTTCCTCTGGGTAGATACCCAGTAGTGGGATTGCTGGATCAAATGGCAGATCTACTGTTTAGTTCTTTAAGAAATCTCCACACTGTTTTCCATAGTGCTTGTGCTGCTTTACATTCCCACCAGCAGTGTAGAAATGTTCCCTTTTCACTGCATCCATGCCAACATCTATTATAAAAAATGCTGAGCATCACTAATGATGGAGGAAATGCAAATCAAAACCACAATGCAATACCATCTTACTCCTGCAAGAATGGTCATAATTGAGCAATTACTTTTGAAGGAAGACCCCAAAGCAGAAACACAAGAACACAGAGGAGAAGTGAGTAGTCGATGAAAAATATGAAACGTGCTGAAATTCAGGAAATATGTAATTCCAGAATGATGACACAACTGAAAGAAGCATGAAGAAGAGAGATGTGATAAAAACACAGTGATGGAAATAATGAACATAAGAGAAAAGAAAAGGAGATCCCAGATACATGCAATTGAAGTTGTAGATGAGAAACACAATCAATGAAACAAAACCCAAATGTTTAAAGATATGATTCAGGAAAAACTTCTGATAATAAAGTATGTGACTCTACACACTGCAAAGGCACTGTGTGTCCCAGGGAAAAGTGACCCAGATCATCATCAACAAGGAATACCCTAGCGAAATTATTGAACTCTAAGAAATGAAGGAAGAATTCTTTGGGCAGTAAAAGGATGAAGTAACTTGGAAAGGGAAAACAATCAGCTGAATTCATCTTCATATCCATGGCCATATTCAACACTAGAGGGTGGAAAAGTGGTACCTTTCAAATTCTCAGAGAAAGAAAGTGTGAGTCAAGGATGTTATATCCACCCATGTGCACAGAAGATTTCAGGGAACTCTGTTGCTAGGGTCCTTTTGTGAATAAGCAACTCAAGGGAGAAGTTCTGCCATCAAGTGTAACTGTGGCAAAAGAACTGGCAGTGAGCTTTTTATTTTTCTTTCTGGAACTGGAATTTTTATCAGGAGAAAAATGAAAATATACAAAAGTAGAGAAAACAGTATAATAAAATCTCAAGTACCCATTATACAGCTTCAACAGTTTGCATGGCCAATCTTGATTCATCTATATCTCGTCATTCTCTCCCCATCCTCCAGTGGATAATAATCCCTCATTTTATTTCTTCCATAACCATTTTAGTATGTATCTCTATTACAGAAAAATATTTTTTAAAACACAATGCCAATACCATTATCACACCTAAAAATAAATGATAGCAATTCTTTAATACCATAAAATAGCCAGTTAGTGGTTGTATTTCTGTGATTGCCTCACAATTAAAAAAATTTTTAAAATAATTTTTAAAAATAATAAAAAAATAGTTAATTTGTTTAAATAGATCTACAAATAAAGGCCATACATTGGAACTGATTACGTCTTTGAGTCTCTTTTAGTGTATATGTTTTTTTCTCTCTCTTTTTAAATTTTATTTTTAATTGTGGTAAAATATACATGTTTTAGTCTATTTTGTTTTGCTATAGCAGAATACCTCAGACTGGGTAATTGATAATGAACAGAAATTTATTTGGTTCACTGTCTGGAAGCTGGGCAGTCCGAGACTGAGGGGCTGCACCTGATCAGGGCCTTCTTGCTGCATCTTCACATGGCAGAAGGTATCACGTAGAGAGAGAACACTTGTGAGTTCCTCTCCCTAAGATGAAGCCAAACTCACTTTCATAACACACTCCTGTGATCATGAACCCACTCCGGTGATAAGAACAATGATTTATTCATGAGGGTGGAGCCATCATGACCTACTCACCTCTTAAAGATCCCACTTCTCAATGCTGTTGCACTGGGAATTAAGTTCCCAACATATGAACTTTGTGGGACACAGTCAAACCATAGCAACATATAACAAAAAATTTATGATCTTAATCATCTTTAAGTGTACAGGTCAGTAGTGTTAAGTATGTTTATGTAGTTGTGCAACCAATCTCTTGGGCTCTTCATCTTTCAAAATTAAAACTCGATTATATTAAACAATAATTCCTCATCCCCCTTTCTCTATCCCCTGGAAACAACCATTCTACTTTCAGCTGCTATACATTTAACTACTCTAGGT
Organism: Homo sapiens; assembly: GCF_000001405.40. NCBI lineage: Eukaryota > Metazoa > Chordata > Mammalia > Primates > Hominidae > Homo > Homo sapiens. The sequence goes on from NC_000001.11 coordinate 95,329,430, forward strand.
ACATCATATAAGTAGAATCATTTTGTGACTTGGTTATTTTACTTAGCACAATGTTCTCAAGATTTATCCATGTTGTAGCATGTGTCAGAATGTCTTTCCTTTTTAAGGCTGAATGATATTCGATTGTATGTATATGCCACAATTTTGCTTATCCATTTATCCACTGATGGACACTTGGGTTCCTTCTACCTTTCAACTGCTGTGAGTAATGCTGCTATAAACATGGATGTACAAATATCTCTTCAAGACTCAAGCATATACCCAGAAGTGGAATTGCTGGATCATATGGTAGTTCTATTTTTAATTTTTTTAGGAATCACTATACTGTTTTTTTTTCCACAGCAATTGCAAAACTTTGCATTTCCACCAACAAATGCAGAAGGATTCCAATTTCTCTACATTCTTGCTATGCTAGCCCTTGTTATTTTTTGTTTTTTATTTTGTTTTTTTTTTTTTTTGATAGTAGCCATCTTAATGGGTGCCAGGGGGTATCTCATTGCGGTTTTGATTTGCATTTCCCTAATGATTAGTGATGCTGAATATCTTTTCATGTGTGTATTGGCTATATATCTTTTTAGAAGAAATGTCTATTCAAATCCTTTGCCAATTTTAAATTTGGGTTTCTTTTTTTCTGCTGTTGTTGAGTTGTAGGAGTTCTTTATATATTCTGGATATTAGCCTCTTATCAGATATATGATTTGCAAATATTTTCTCCTATTCTGTGGGCTATCTTTTCACTCTGTTGATTGTTCTCTTTCATGCACAGAAATTTTTAATTTTAATGTAGTCCAATTTATCTATTTTGTCTTTTGTTGTTTGTGCTTTTGATGTCACGTACAAAAAATCATTGCCAAGCCAACGTCATGATACTTTCCCCGCGTGTTTTTCACTAAGAGTTTTATGGTTTCAGCTCTTGCACTCAGGTCTTTGATCTGTTTTAAGTTATTTTTTTCCATGTGATATAAGATACGAATCCAACTGTATTCTTTTATGACCATGAAGCTAACTGTATTTGAAAGTACAGCCAAGACGAAGACAACTGTGGAAGTTAAGGTAACAGAACAGAATACAAATCTTATATAAATGACAAGGAATGACATTCCTACATGAACAACTAACTACAATGAAAAAAAGAAAAAGACAAAGAAGTTGGGAGGTAGATTAAGTTTGCCGAGTCCTCACTGGCAAAGCTGACAATCAAACTATTTTATTGATAAGTGAAGTAATAAAAGTGAAATGCTTATTTCAAAGGACAAAGATAATATGTCATTGAGTGGTACAGGGGAAAGAGAGAGATGATGAGGAGAGAGAGGAGAGAGAGAATAAGAAACCAATAGATGTTATCATCTAAAAATTTTAAAAACCTGAGGATTTTTTAAAAAGTTAAAACTATAAATGCAACCAATAGAATAAAAATACAAACTTCCTCAAAGAGCAGAATGACTGTACACACAAAAAGACACACCATCCCTCCCTCTCTTTTTTTCCTTCTCAAAGTTGACCAAACTAAACTTAAGAAAAAATATAAAATAATGCAAGTGAACTGAAACAAAATATATCCATCACATTAAAAATTATGAATGAGCCCGACTCAACTATTACATGAGAAAGACCTTCAGATTAGATTCTAAACAAACACCTAACAGCCATATTCCAAAGAAAGACTTAAAACAAAAAGATTTAGAAAAGTTGTAAAAGGCAAACGAGGCAAATTCAAACAAAAGAAATTAAGGATTGCAATCTAAATATCAGACAAAGTAGAATTCAGGTAAAAAATCATTAAATGAGACAAATAAAGCATTTTATTACATGGGTTCTGATTTTCAATTGCTTCAAAACTAACTGTTGTAAACTTAGTGGCAAATAACAACCATATTTTATCAAATTATCAGATTTTGTGGGAATTCAGGCAGGGTATAGCAGAGATGACTTGTCTCTGCTGCACAATATCTGAGACCTCTTTTGGGAAGATACAAATAGATGAGGACTAGAAACATCTTGTAGATGCTTCACTCACATGGCTGGTGCACAGGCTAGGAAGACTGAAGCCTTGGTTCGTCTGGGACTGTCAACCAGAGCCCCTGAGCGTGATTTCTTCATGTGGCTTGGGCTTCCTCACAGCATGTTGGCTTCAGGATTGTCAGACCTTTTTTTTTTTTTTTTTTTTTTTTTTTTTTTTTTTATGTTTTGAGACAGAGTCTCACGCTGTCACCCAGGTTGGAGTGCAGTGGCGCGGATCTTGGCTCACTGCAACCTCTGCCTCCTGGGCTCAAGCGGTTCTTCTGCTTCAGCCACCTAAGTAGCTAGGATTACAGGTATGTGCCATCATGGCCAGCTTCTGTATTTTTAGTAGAGATTGGGTTTTGCCATGTTGGCAAGCTGGTCTTGAACTCCTGGCCTCAAGTGATCCACCCACCTTGCCCTCCCAAAGTGCTGGGATTACAGGCGTGAGCCGCTGTGCCCAGCCAGACTCCTTACATTGGCAATCCAACAGCAAATGTCCACAGGGAACAAGGAGGAAGCTTCATGGCCTTTTATAATTGTTGGATATGGTTTGGCTGTGTCCCCACCCAAAATCTCATCTTGAATTTTAATCCCCATAACCCCCACTTATCAAGGGCAGGGACAGGTGGAGGTAATCAGATCATGAGGGCAGTTTCCCCCATGCTGTTCTCTTGATAGTCAGTGAGTCTCATGAGATCTGATTTTTTCTTTTTTTTTTTTTTTGAGATGAAGTCTCTCTCTGTCACCCAGGCTGGAGTGCAGTGGCACCATCTTGGCTCACTGCAATCTCCACCTCCTGGGTTCAAGCAATTCTCCTGCCTCAGCCTCCCGAGTAGCTGGGATTATGGGCACCCGCAACCACACCTGGCTAATTTTTGTAGAGATGGGGTTTCACCATTTTGGCCAGGATGGTCTTGATCTCCTGACTTCATGATCTGCCCACGTCAGCCTCCCAAAGCGCTGGGATTGCAGGCATAAGCCACCGTGCCCTGCCAAGATCTGATGGTTTTATAAGCATCTGGCATTTCCCCAGCTGGCACTCATTCTCTCTCCTGATGCCCTGTGAAGTAGTGCCTTCCACCATGATTATAAGTTTCCTGAGGCCTCCCCAGCCATGTGAAACTGTGAGTCAATTAAACCTCTTGCCTTCATAAGTTACCCAGTCTTGGGCAGTTTTTTCTATCAGCGTGAAAACAGACAAATACACAGTCTTAGTTGATTTGTGTGGCTATAACAAAATGCCATAAATGGAGTAGTTTATAAAAGAAAGAAACTTATTACTTATAGTTCTAGAGACTGGGACGTCCAAGATCAAGGCACTGGAAGATTGAATATTTGGCTGAGAAAATATTTAATCAAAATGCTGAAGGAATAGCCTGGTTCTTCTTGACTGTTTCTAGTAAAATTTTAGATGAGAGAAATGATTTAAAGATGGAATTGTCAATCACTGGGCAGAACACTCTGTACAGAACACTGTGTACGGGTTATCAATTCCAGGGGAGAAGAACACTGTGCATGTTAGAACACTGTGCATTCTAGAGGAGGACTGTAAACACTTCTGCCCCTTGCATCTTGCTATAGGAATTGCTAAGGAAAGCACAGTGCAGTCAAGCACTGGATGTAGCAATGCTTTACTTACATAGACAAGATATAGAGCAAGGTCAGCTTCAATAGTGTGCATTGATACCCCAGGGTCAGTGAGTCTCTTCTGGCAGCCAGTGCAGGGCCATTTGCCTAAACACACCCTCTTATGCCACAGAGGACAGACCTCTCCTCTGTGGAGCCTGAAATAGTGAAAGCTGAGGATAGGCCTGCATACCATGGACACACATGCTGAAACAGAACAAAAGAATACTTACTGAGTATGAAACAGGAAAGTATGTTTCCACACAATGTGATGAGCCTGACAAGGGCTGTGTGAGCACTTTACCTCTTGGTTAGGAAGTGTTTCAGTTTCCATACCCATTCTTGTGTGGCCAAGTGGGGGTCAAAAGACTACACATAAGACTGCCATCCTAACATTAATCAAAAGGGAAGCAAAAAGCTAAAGATTTGAAGTATTCTCAGCCTATCATATTGTAAAGAATAAGATAGAATGGTGAGCGAGAACACCAAAGGTGTGACCAAACAATCATCTGATAAGGAGATTAGTCTCACAAGTTCTACCTTCAGAAAACACTAGGACATGAACACAATTCAGTCAAGTTCTTTACCACTTTATAACAAGGGTGACCTTTCCTTCATTGTCCAAAAACATGTTCCTCATTTCCAGCTGAGACCTTATCAGAAGGATCTTACCGTTTATGTTTCCAACAACATTCTGTTCAGGGTTACTTAAGTGTTCCCTAAGAAGACTGAGGCTTTCTCTACAGCTCTCCTCGTTGCTTTCTGGGCCCTCATAGAATTGCCACTAATAGTCTGTTCATGGCAATGAGGCGTTTTCTTGCATGCACCTCAAAATGTTTCCAGCCTCTACCCTTTACCCAGTTTCAAAGCCACTTCTTTTTTTTTTTTTTTTTTTTTTTTTGATACAGTCTTACTCTGTTGCCCAGGCTGGAGTGCAGTGGCATGATCTTGGCTCACTGCAACCTCCGCCTCCTGGGTTCAAGTGATTCTCCTGCCTCAGCCTCCTGAGTAGCTGGGACTACTGGCATGCGCCACCACACCAGGCTAATTTTTGTATTTTCAGTAGAGACGGGGTTTCACAGTGTTGGCCAGGATGGTCTCGATCTCTTGACCTCGTGATACACCCTCCATGGCCTCCGAAGCCACTTCTATATTTTAGTTATTTGTTGCAGCGCCCCATATCCATTTTCTCAATGCCAAATTTCAGTCTTAGTATGTTCAGGTTACTATAACAAAATACGTAAACTGGCTGGCCATAAACAACAGAAATTGACTTCTCACAGTTCTGAAGGCTGGGAAGTCCCAGATCAAGGTGCTGGCAGATTTGATGTTGGATGAGGGCCTACTTTCTGTTTCTGAGATGGCACTTTCCTACTGTGTTCTCATATGGTGGAAGGGGCTAGCTAGCTTTCTAGGGCCTCTTTTAAAAGGTTACTAGTTCCATTCCTGAGGGCTCTGTCCTCATGACCTAATTATCTTCCAGAGGCCCCATCTCCTAATATCATCACTTTGGGGGCTAGGATTTTAACATATAAATTTAAAGGGGACAAAAACATTCAGACCAGACCTAGCCTCAGAATCACATAGCATCACTGTACATGTGCTCTATTGGTTGAAGTAGTCACAGGCTGGCAGAGATTCAGGAGAGGTGGCAAAGATCTTACTTCTCTAGGGGACAAATAATTTGTCAAATAATTTGTGACCATGTTTTAGATCTGCCACAATGCTAAGGGATCTAAATTATAGTCTAAAAAAGCAGTCATTAGTATCTATGTATTTAATAAAATAGGAATAGATGAATTTTCCTTAATATGATAGGGCTCAGTAGAAAAGCCAGAATCAAGCTTAATGGCACACAATAGAGACATTCCTTTTAAAGGGAAAAAAAATGTTAAGGATGTCCATTATCACTTATATTATTTTACATTATTTAAGTATGAGCCAAAGCAGATACATGAAAAGGAGAGAATAAAATTAATATGATTTGTAGATAATGTGAGGTTTTACCTGGAATTCCCAAGGGAATTAGTTGAAAAAACACTACAATGAAAAAATTTGGTAATTAATGAGAAGAAATTAATACAAATAAATTAATAGCTTATAGATAGAATAAGAGAAGATATGCTATTTACAGTAGCAACCCAAAATACTGAAATGCCTAAGAGTACATGCTAGAAGAAATGTAAGAGACCTGTTAAAAATTAGCAAAATAAACTTTAAAACACTTCCATGAAATGCCAATAAGTATATTGAAAAACCTTGAGCAGATAGATAGAAATAATAATAAAGATGTCAATTTTTTTCTAAGTTAATTGCAAAAAAATAAGAATTTGTTTTTTGAAACTAGACAATTCAATTATAAAGTTCAGGCCTGGTGCAGTGGCTCACGCCTGTAATCCCTGCACTTTGGGAGGCCAAAGTGGGCAGATCCCTTTGAGCCTAGGAGTTTGAGACCAGCCTGGGCAACATGGCAAAACCCCGTCTCTACAAAAAATACAGAAATTAGCCAGATGTTAATGGCTCGCACCTAAAGTCCCAGCTACTTGGAAGGCTGAGGCTGGAGAATTGCTTGAACCTGGAAAGCAGAGGCTGCAGTGAGCCGAGATTATGCCATTGCACTCCAACCTGGGTGACAGAGTGAGACCTTGACTCAAAAAAAAAAAAAAAAGTTCACATGAAAAATAAAGACTAACAAAACTCAGAACAAGAATAATATTGATAATGATGGTAAGGAAATGAGAAAAGCATTACCATATATCAAAACATATTTTAAAACTCAAGTAGATAAAACAGTGTTGTAGGTAAATGAATGGAGACAGATCAATTAAACAAAATTTAAAAATCTAGAAACAATCAGGTATACACAGAAATAGCTCTAAATACATATGGGCTTTTAGTACGTGGTACAAGTGGAGTATTCAAAAATTAGTTTTGGAATTAGTTTTGGACCACCTGTGTAGATATTTGAAAAACATAGTTAGATTTTCTTCTCAACAATTATTTGGAGTACATTCCAAAGGGTTCAATGAATTAAGCTAAAAAAGGAAGTTATGAAAGTACTAGAAGAAAACATGGGGTGGTAGTCTCAGATTTCTCATCTAGTAACACCTGCTTCATAAGTTTGTGTTAAGAATTAGCAGACGTTTTGATACATAATAAGAATAAATGCTAACTGCTATTATTATCATTAATAGTATAAACTGATACTATTATTATCATTAATAGTACACAACTCTACTCTTAATAAAAGAGTAGAACTTTTTGAGGGGGGATAGGAGGAGGTTTGGAATCTTTTCCAAAATTTCACTTATAGATCTTTCTTGTTAATGTGAACTGGTTTCTTTTTGAAGTTATTATATGCAATAATTTTAAGTGAAGTAATGGAAACATTTAAAGGGCTATGGCAGAAAAAAATGAAATGATAAAAGTATGATTTTACCCATCCTTAGCTGCTGTCATACCAATAAGTTATGTTGTAGCTGGGGAGAATATCTAGATGAGAGGAAATGAATCTTTTTTCATTAGTATTTTCTTTCTCTCTGCCATTTTCATTCTCATCCCCTTTCTCTTTCTTTCCCTTTCATGAAACATATGCCACTTGTATTCCTTGCCTTTGAAGACATCTTTTTTAGAGCTTGTTGCCTCATAGAGCTGTTGTTCTTTCCTAACACACTACCAAACTTTTGGCGGAGTATGCTACCTTTGCTGCCATGGGACCATCCACTTATTCCTTGCTGCCTGTATCCCAGCACCCCATCCTCCAATTGTAAATGTTGACTTCAAGGATATAACCACCCAATGACCGAATCAAAAGCTTTAGAGCTGCTCTTTCTTCAGGACTGCACCTGCATTTAGCTCTGCCGATTACCCTTCTTGTAACACACACCTCACTGTCCTGCTTCTCCCACCTTTCTGTCTGTTCCTTTCCTGCCCTGCTCTGGCTCTGCTTTCTTCTTATTCCTCCCTCATCAGTACATCACACTTCCAAGTTTACTCCTCATCTTTCTGTTTTTTTTTTTCTTCATTATCTTCCTTGGAGATTCTATTCAGACTTGTGATTTCAACTCCTACAGCACTATAAAAGATTTTCTACAGGGAATCAGCTTCTCTCTTTAAAATAAAACTATAAACCCTCTAAGTTAGCGGCAGAGAGAACTTTGAAAGGTGACTATTCTCATGAGACAGGGCAGTCATATAAGTATCCTTGACTCTTCTTGCCCCTCTTTTCCTGTTTTTTCTTCTCAAGAGTTCTCTAAATATTTTCTTCCTCTTCAATCACTATACCTGGATTTTTTCCAATATAGGAGGCATTTTCAAGAACAGATATTTGCCAAATCTCAAGAAGATACTAAGAAAAAGATTATAGAAACTATTTATGGCACAATAACAGCCAATTTTCATAAGACATATCTCCAAGTTTGTTAATTATATAAAAGCAGTACAGCCTTATTTAGGATAGTTGGCATTGGTTGAGATGATGTGGGCTGGTACCAAGGTAGTGACAGTGGAAATGAAGAAGTAAGGATGGATTCATGAGCTGTTTACTGGGTGGACAGAGCTGTGATTGATGAGGTCTGCCGGTGAAGGCCAAGGAGGAGTTAAAGATGAATCCAAAGTGATTCACCTGGGCAGTTGAGTGAATAGAGATGATATTAATCAAAGTTATATCCAAATGACTACAGGGAACTCATTTTTGTAGGGAGGATAAATAGTTTGGTTTATGATATTTTGTATTTAAACTACTAGTAGAACATTTGGAAATATGAGTATAGGTACCATATTCTTAAAACATGTGTTGGCATTTTCTTCCCTGGGAATAGAATAAGATCTAATTCATCTTCATGGCCTCAACTATTGCCTACATGATAGTGATTCCTATGATAGTCATTAGTGTTTAATATGGTTTGCTGTGCCCCCACCCAAATCTCATCCTGAATTGTAGCTCCCATAATTCTCACATGTTGTGGGAGGGACCTGGTGGGAGATAATTGAATCATGGGGGTGGTTTCCCCTATACTGTTCTCGTGGTAGTGAATAAGTCTCACAAGATCTGATGGCTTTATAAGGGGAAACCCCTATTGCTTGGTTCTCATTCCTTCTCTTGCCTGTCACCATGTAAGACGTGCATTTCACTTTCTGCCATGATGGAGGTGCCTCCCCAGCTATGTGGAACTGTGAGTCCATTAAACCTCTTGTTTTAAAACAAATTACCCAGTCTCAGGTATGTCTTTATCAACAATGTGAAAATGGACTAATACAGTGCTGTTTGACCAATACTTCCATGTTTCTGCTTTCCAGACACATGGAACAGTGGTACTTGCTATACTTTTGAAATTAGATGTGACCACATTGCTTGCTTTGCTTAATAAAATATAAGTGAAATGTGTCATATCAATGTGGAAGCTTTAAGAGACTATGTATTACTCTCTGTGTGTCTTCCTCAGTACCATATTGATTGTAAAAGTGCTTTTCAAGGCAGAGCCTCCATCAGCCAGGTGTCCTGAGTGAGTGTGAGTTAGAACACTGGGCATGTAGTGATTTTGAGAAATAAATCTGATTTTAACTTAGGTGCTTGCTGTGTTTCTTTTGCTGGGCAGAAGCCATTTAGTTTAATTAAGTCCCATCTATTGATCTTTGTTTGTGGTGCATTTGCTTTTGGGTTCTTGGTCATGAAATCTTGTAAATTTTGACAAATGTTTAACTTTTTATAATAGATTTGTGTATATTTTATGGTAGTATTTGATAAAATAGGCTAGTATCTACATATATTTTATTTGCTTGTTACATGCTTAACTTTTTCTTAATTTAAAAAATATTTCTTGGCTACATAGTTCATCTGTAAGTTTTTCCAAACTGGAGAAATCTCCCCCAAAATTTCCAATATATTTATTGAAAAAAGTCTGTGTATAAGTGGACCCACATGGATCAAACCCATATTTTTCAAGGGTCAAGTGAACTTAGTATTATTATATGTGAAACACAGTATTTAATCTGTTTTATCTTACTTTTTCACTCACAAATTCTTATATTGTAAGCCACTCAATAGATGTTTTATTATTAAGTAATGGGTCTTTATCTACAGTTTGCAAAACACTGACTAAGGGTATGAGCTTTGGGTTTGGAATGCCTAAGTTCAGTCTGGTTCTGCCACTTACTACTGCCATGGCACATTCAGCAAGATGTATAACCACTGAGCCTCAGTTACTTCTTTTATAACATGGGATACTAATTTCTGCCTAATGATCTATTTTGTGATTAAATTAAATGAGACAATAACATAAACGGCTAGGCATGTTTCTTGCAACGTTTTAAGTGGTCATAAATCAAAAGGATTCAAACTTTCTTTTTGGTTGGGAAGATAAGTCCTGACATGACCGAAAGATCAGATGATCCAACTTCTCAGAAGCTGTAGTGTGACGGATACATCACTCGCTAACATATCAAACCTCCCTGGCCGACCTTCGTTGCTGTGGGCTCTGTGACTTCCCACACTCATGCTCGCTGAACACATTCTGCGTCCGCAAGCTCACCTTGTGGCTGTACTCCCTGGGGGGTATGAGCCTTGGGCACTCATACTTCCTCAGTCACGAGAATGCCATGAGTGAGGGGAACCAGAATTTGCTGTGCATTTGGGACAGTCTGCTCTTATTATCATATTATATTGTTTTCTCAGCCTTTTTCTTGATGATCTGAGTGACTTTGCTGTGGCAGACCTCCTTGCCAAAGTCCCAAGTTGAAATTATGAACCCTCACACTCATCAACGACGTTGTGTGCCCTCTTTCTGACGGCCTGTTGTCTTGTCTCTCCAAATGATTACAAGCTTGTAAAGGTTGCATTTACTCCATACGTGTAACAGTGCTCAAAAAAGGTTTATTTGTGGGGTCCATCGACAATACTCTTTACCTCCTATAATACTCTTTACCCGCTTTGTTTTCCTAGACAATTCTTACTAATTTTTCAAGTCTCTGCTCAAAAATCACTTTCTTTGGGTGCTCCCATTCTGAGCTCCTAAGTTATTCCTTCATTTTTTCAATACTTTACAACTTAATACTTTCCAAGCAATTATGAAATTGCTTGCGGAATTGTCTGTATTTCCTGCTATAGTCTGAGCTCTGTTAGGGTAGGAGCTGTTCTGATGTGCTGTAACCTAGCACCAAACCACAGTGCTTTTCTTAGAGCATTTTGGCATATCTCTATTTAGACCAGACACCTGAATGTTTGTGTGGACTAGACAGCTGGCATGTGTGAGTTAAGCGAGCCAGATGGAATTTGGGCAAGTGGAGATTTCAAACCTCACTTAAAGAGACAGCTACTGTTTAGCATTAGAGGGAGGTTCCCCAAAAGAAGGGTCCCCTCATTACTAAAGCTTCTGGTTTTTAAAAATATTGGAAACTTCCTCAGTTTTAAATGTGGGAAACCAATGTCTTTTAATTAAAAATCCCTACAGGCTGCTAGTTAACAATATTTAGACTATATATAATAGATATATGCATATATTTATAAACATATTTATAATCTGATTTTTTTTTTCACTTATTTTGTAAGTACTTTTTCCCAGTCAATTTCACATATATTTTCAGTTCCCTTAACTGTCAAATGAAGATAATATGATATTATTTCACAGGATTATTGTGAGGATTATATGAAATTGTGCATTCAAAACCCTGAGAGCAAAGTGAGGCCCCTTGTAAGTGATCCATGAATGGTAGTCCCTTTTCTCCTTTCTCTTGTTCAGTCTTCATGTTATGAAATCAGTAGCCCTAGCAGTGGCTAAAGAGAACATGTTCCCTGGAATACTTTGTCAGGTGTTAATAGATATTGGATAAGAGGGGTCCTACGGGCAATGGATTCGGAGAATGTGATATAAACAAATTTAAGCATGTATCTTTACAAAGGACTTCTTAAAGACTTTAATAAGCTCATCTGCTTTGTACATATTCAGAAAAGGATAGATATGCAATATTTCTCACAGTTAATTGACCTCAATGAGTGTCTCATGAAGTACAATTTGTAATGTGGATGCCTGAATCCCCTGGGGTCTTACTTTAAGGTCTCCTTAGAGGCAGTGGTCAGAGCCTGTGAGAAAAGCTCCAGTTAAATGGGCCTGTTTTGCCAAACTGCCCACCTTACTAGTCCACCCTGGGTTGGCATCAGTAGTTATATAGAGTAAGAAATTCAAGGCCCTCAAACAATTTTATTGATCCTGCATTGCTTTAGTAATAATGCCATAAACAAATGCACCCACTGAACAGCAGTTAGTTGATGCTGGCTAACAAAGCCACCCCTCTTGCTATCATTGATTTTATCTTTAGCTACCTATTTTCCCAGAAGAACTAAAGGAGGTGATTTTATTTCTGTTGATTCCATTCTTGAGATCGTTATGTTGATTATGCGTATTCTCTTCTTTTCATGTAGATGTTTGAAATTTCTCTAGGAAACATTTTCTCCTGCCTAAGATTGCACAGAGCATCATTTTTAACACGTAGTAAATGTTGCTGAGTAGAAAAATGTGTGCATTACAACGTATTTTTGCAAAGTAAGAGGTTTATATCTTTGTAATTATTTTCAATGTGTGTTTATTGATTTTTATAATACAGGGATATTAACTTGAAAGAGAACAAATTACATACAACAAATTAAGCACTTGCATGGATTAGAAAATCGAGGTAGTGCACTCAAGGCATGACTAATACGAGAGTGTTGCACGATAGAAGAACTGTGTGGTTTTACACCACATCTGGGAGGATTTCATCCAGCTACTTGTCTGAAAGGATCTTTAACTGAAATGCAGGTGCAAGATGGCATAAATTTATAGAATTAGAGAATTTTAGAACTGGAAGAGAACCTTAGATAAAGAAAGTGAGGATAAGAAAAATCAAGAATCATATTCAAGATTATAGAAAACTGGTGGCCTGGCCAGAGCTAGAACCTATGTTCCTGGACATTGGTCTTGTGTTGACATCCCAACTACATATAGTTTCTTCTTGAGTTTTTGTGACATCATTGATCAGCTTTGTAACCTTGGACAAATAACTCTTTCCTCATTCATAAAATAAGAACAGCACCCAAATGATTTGTATTAGTCCGTTTTCATACGCTATAAAGAGCTGCCCAAGAGTGGGTAATTTATAAAGGAAAGAGGTTTAACTGACTCACAGTTCAGCATGGCTGGGGAAGCCTCAGGAAATTTACAATCATGGCGGAAGGCAAAAGAGAAGCAAAGCCCCTTATTCACAAGGCAGCAGGAAGGAGAAGGAAAGCAGGAGGAACTACCAAACACGTATAAAACCACTCGTGAGAACTTACTCACTATCATGAGAACAACATGGGGGAAACCGTCTTTATGATTCAATTACCTCCACCTGGTCTCTCTCTTGACACGTGGGGATTATGGGGATTAAAATCCAAGATGACACTTTGAGTGGGGACACAGCAAAATCATATCATAAAGAGAAAATATGTATAGATGTAGCATTAGGTTTAGCACAAATTAATATACACTATCACTTTATTCATTTGGCATGTATTTATTGAATCTGTATGAAGTTTCAGGCCCTAATTTCTTTGAGAACAGATTTTTCCTTCCAGTGCAGATATTTACCATAAGCATTTAACATAATTTACATGACATATTTTTCAGTGTGTAGGGAAAATATTTTACATTTGACTACAATAATCGCAAAGAAGACATATTCAAAAATTCTCAAATTCTAAAATTCAAAGACTTGTTATATGATGTGAAACCCATTTGACTAAAGTTGCTATATAAACTACTTATTAATTTACTAACTTATAAATAACTTTTTAAAAAGGGAAATGACAAGTGATATTCTTATTCTCTAAAATAATGGATCAGAAGCACTTTTCTCCAGGAAGGTAAGAGTGCTGCTAGCCCAGTGGGGCCAAAGCTTTCAAGGGATGGAGCAGCTGAAAGGGTCCAAACATCTCTTGCCTGCCATGCGTCTCAGACCTTTTCTTTCAATTTGTCTCCTTCTCAGTTCAGTCTCCTAGTTTGATATGTACCTGAGGTTTGGGGCAAAATGATTTCAAAATGGATAATGAAAATTTTTCAGGATTCAGAACAACTCAGTTCATGGTGCTCATCCCCTGGTTCTGCTTCTTTCTAAGGACTGGAGTTGAAATTTGTAGAAATAAAAGACTAGGTGAATGGTGATCAGGTATCACTTGTTAACCAGTGCTGAGGGCACTCCCTCCCAAGATGACTTTGGATCTTCTAGTAGTTTCTTAGAACTTGACAGTGGGTTGGAAGGAGCAGGGTGTAGGAATCAATAGTGGATTGATTTGAATATCCTCTTCAGCAGGACCTGACGTGTCTCTTAAGGTTAATGTGACAGGTGAGCCCATGGCTTATCTTGGCTAGCTCTGGGCAAGAGGAGGTCTACAAGACAGTAAAATTTGTTGGAATTGTCATACAGTTTCAGATTGATAACTGGAAGTTTTCCACCAGATCACATCTATGCTTTAAGGGAACATGATCTCTAGATCTTTCTGGCGTGTTTGTTATACTTCTCCTTTTGATTGATTGCCTTTCGTGGTTCAAAATGCTACAGAAATATTAGTAGTTTGTTCTTATAACACACTTTTTAAAAAGTTGTTTTGAGCTAGTGTCAACTTTTCTAATAAGTTGAACAGGTTCATTCTTCAATTCATATTTGGAAGCTTGATATTACAGCGAAGTTTCCACTTTCATAAAGAATCAGTAATTACACATTAGTATTTGTTATCATCTAATCCTTGTATATATTTCCCTTCCCCTTATGAAATTTGAAAATATTTTCTAAATTTAATTATATTGCCTCAAATCTTAAATATTATGTGGGAAAATATGATGCTTCCTATAGAATAGTCCCCAACTTACAGATTATTTATTTCTTATGTTTATTTCAAAACTTGCTCGTTTGAAACTCAGAAAGCACTTATCCAAAGAAATACTATGAATATGGTTATATTTCTAAACAATTTTTTTCATCCATAATGTACCTGAAATATTTTACATTTATATTGTAAGGTAGACAGAAAAACAGTTGCTAAAATAGCAAACAAGAACAAAATTGTAAAAACAGACAAGGAAGTCAATATTTATTTATATTAAATGCTAGGTTTGGGGAAAACCAATTTTAATTATAGGAGAATTTTTGGAACTTTAGGAGAGCCCCTGAAGGGATTTTCAGAATCATGAAAAGTTTGTTGTGTGGGCTCTTCAATACATTGAGTTTTGATGTTCTATTCTTTCATACAAGTGTATTAGTAACATTGTATTTATATAACCTCAGCTACGGCCAGGGCAATTCTTTGGTTTCATATATAAATTTGGGAGAGTGAGTATAAGACAGGAATTAGTAGAAGAACTGCTGCAGAGCATTGAAGGCCATTTAGAGGATGACATCAGGAATTGGAAATGGGGCTGCTAAGGACTGACTTCTGTCCTCTCAAGGCTCATATGTTGAAGCTCTACCCACAGTGTGATGGTGTTTGGATATGGGGCCTTGGGGAAACAATTAGGTTTAGATAGGGTCACAAGGGTGGATTTCCCCATGATGGGATTAGTGCCCTTGTAAGAAAAGAAAGAGACACCAGAGCTTCCTCTCTGTGGCCATGAGGACACAGGTAGAAGGCAGTCATCTGCAAGGCAGAAAGATAGCCCTTGCCAGGAGCCCAGTCATGCTGGCACCTCAATCTTGGACTTCCAGCCTCTAGAACTGTGAGAAATACATGTCGGCTGTTTAAACTACCCAGTGTATGATATTTTGTTGTAGCAGTCAAGCTGATTAATACAGGGGCCAGATTATGGAATCCTGTGATCCTCTCCAGAGGTGAAATGCATGGTTTACAGCATGGTTCCAGGGTTGAGTTTTCAATTAATGGTAAAGGGGAAGGACAAATACTATGGAGTGGAAAGCAGGGGAAAGAAAATGCTTTGGATGATCAAATTTGGGGTCTTGGCAAGCAGGGAAGAGAAGAATCAGGAAGAATTCATCTTGCAAGGAAGTGGAGGTTTGAGGGAATTGGAGGCTAATTGTTGGACATTCATTTCTGGGAGAGTGCTATATTGATGTGGTTAAGACTTACTACGTAGCCTTGTGAACAAACTGGCTTTTCTGTGACATTCAGACATGGAATTTGAAGCTTTATGTTTTTTTTAAGTAAAATCCGTGGTTTTTAAATTTTTCTACTTTTTTACATTGAACATTTTGAAATATTTTTAATAATCCATATTAGTGTACAGTGTAATGTGTAGTTCTTTTGCTTAATGATACTTATAAGTTCTGATTTCTCTCTCTGAATAATTTTCATATTTGGTGCTTACATAAGGCTTCACAAAATCTTGTGCAATTGTCTAATAAACTAGTCTTATGTTTGTGTTAAGAGAAAAAAAATCAAAGACATGGAATATTTGTTATGGTCAAATGTGAATATGTTGGTTCTAGGACAAGACACTGCTGAAACATCACTCTAACACTCCCACCCTAGTTTTGAATGGGGGTGGGTGTGGATGGGTTTTCAGATTTTTTACTCAACATTTCACAGATGTTTCCAAATGTCTTTGTGCTACTGTAACATGCGAGTGCTTTTCTCCATTCATCTTCTGAGTTTCTTTTGGGGATCAAGTGAGATAATGCTCATGCAAGCTCCTTGTAAATAGTCACGTTCTATGCATGTGTTAATTCTTCTCTGCCTTGCTATTTAGATACAATGGCTATACTCAAACAAATACATCGAGGGCAACTTCCAGGACCAAAAGCTACAGCTCGGCACTTTTCCCTGCTACACTCCTGGGTTTACTTCTTAGTGAATGCTAAATGCTTGTGGCAGGATCCTGACCCCAAATCATTACAATGGATAGACTGTGCGCGCACAGCTTAAACTATACGTGCGCTTGCTGCAACATGATGGATATAACGGCTTGCTGAGAATTTGATTTATTTTCCAATAGTTTAGCATCCCTCTGCTTTTATCTGATATGACTATTTTACAAGCGTGTGTACCAAGCATGGCTTCAAAATTGCAGGTTATGAAATATAGAAAATGGAACAATTGCCGTGCATAGCAGAAATCTTCCTGTTCAGTCTGCATGCGTATATTTTAAAGTAAGATGGACTGCTGAATGGTGAGGAGCTTGCCTTGGGCTTCATTTTTTTCCCCTACAGGTGAAAGGAAATGCAAGACTTTCTTCTTCATTTTCAACTTCATATTGTTAGTTAGTTTTTCACAGGCTGGTCTGTGATGATGGGTTTTTGCCTTATCATTTGCTGGCATAATAAAAATGACATGATGATGCAGAAGAGAGCAGTTCCCCTTTAGGATGGAACAGAACAGCCAATACCAGTGATGGAAACATAGCAGGCTGATGGGGATGACTCCCCCTTTCTCATTTCACCTCAACCCAGTTCTCCATTTTCAATAATACACTTGTTTACTGAGAAATGGTCATCAGTACACTTGTTTACTGAGAAATGGTCATCAGATGCATAGGTTTGTGCATAGGAAGGACTGGCTAGTTGACAGTCTGCGTGGCTGAGGTACCAGCACAGCAACACTGTTCCTAGAAGGTCAGCTTGCCTCAGTGGAGGTTATATGTAATTTGGAGTTCTTACCTGAAATATTTCTCTTCCCCACACCATCATAATTGACTCTTGCCTGTGCCTAATTGGGACCTAACAAAAGAGCAAACTGAGGGCTGGTTCGCCTCTAATAACACTCCTACTCTGTTGGAGGTTTCCTTTAGTGCAGCTGTGTGGAAGGGATTGCCAGCCAGTATGGACCCTGATTGTCATCACTCCAAACAGACTTAAGCAGAAGCCAAGTGTGACAGACTTAGAACCTTGTGCTGGTGTAGCAGAGCAGGCATGTTAATGGGTAATGCAAGGAGGCTGAGGGATTAAATGTGCAGCTATTCTTTGGATATGTCAGGGATGTCTGTCATCTAGGACTTTCTCCCTGGACTAAGTACTCACCAATGCATTAAAATACTTGGTGAAAACTCAGATAACAACCCCACTTTCATGGGTAGACAACTCTATCAACTTACGTTTCTTATATGCCATGATGCTCTTGAGTTTCTCCAGTTTAGAGACACACTGCACTATGTATCTCTTTCTTTTGCTCCGCTGTATATCTTGGATAATTAATCATTTGATGATTTTCAGTAAGTTCATAATAAACAAATAATTTGGCAATTATTTCAGAGCAGCACGTAGTTTGTTTCTTTTCGACAAGTGTCCCTTCTGTGGCTTCCCATCTAGGATAAATGCCTAAAATTATTGAGCATTTCCTATGTTCCAGACCCTGTGCTAAGTGCTTTACATGGTATTCATAACCCTTCTAGGAAGTAGATGCAGTAATTACATCCATTTTATAGAAAAGAAACTAAAATATAGAGAGGTTAACTAATTTCCTTCCCTTCCTCCCATCCTTGTCATCTCTCCCTGCTTCTTCTCTTCCTCCCTCTCTCCTTTTTTTCTTTTTTCTTCCTTTTTCCCATTTCTCCTCCCTCCTTCCCTCCCTCCCTCCCTGCCTGCCTGCCCGCCTTCCTTCCTTCCTTCTTTCCTCCCTTCTTTCCTTCTTCGCGTCTTTCCTTCCCTCTTCTTTCCTTCTCTATTGAGCACCATTGCCCTTTTATTCAAGTAATAGTACTCCAGTATCATTTGGAATCCCTTCTCCATATCAGGTGCAGCCTTGGTTGAATAGTCAATCAAGGTGTCTAAGTGTCTTCCTCTCCACACCCCACATACTACCACCCCTGACAACCAGGTAGTGCCATGTGACCAAGTCTGGGCCAATCAGTTTCTTTTCTGGGGCACTAAACTCTTGAGCAGTAATATCTGGATGGAAAAGCTGCACCCTGCTAGAATATCAATTTTCTGCTGCAGCCTTGATCCCTGGAGAGGTCTTGCCCTTGTTATGTTCATTCATTCTTTAGCTATTCTTTCAATTCTGTGGGCCACACTGTAGCTTTTTTGATACCCCCTTTATGGTTAAGTTAACCAGTGTGGATTTCAGTAGTTTGTCCTCAAAGAATCCTATCAGATATAACTAATAACACTGACATTTGTCCCATATTGTGATACAGACCTTCCTGAATAACTTTGAGTAGTCCTATGATATAGCTTCCTTCTTTAACTGGCTGTAGTAGCTAGAATCTTCACCATAATAGCCAACTCTATTTTTTGTCATTTAGGGTTTGGACTTTCTTAGTAACAATTCAACAAGTATATGATTGCCTTCCTTGAAGGAAGGAACATTCTGATTCTTTTGTATCCAACACAGGAGGCCACTGGGATCATCCTCCAGGGAGTGTGAGATCTAGGGTCCTCTTTAAGGAGATATAGCATCTGAAGCAAATTGTTGCGTTTTTTTTCCTGCTTCTTCCAATTTTATACAGTTAGAAATCTGGCTTATCCCATTGATTCTTGATCCTTGCTCTGGTGTTGCTGCATGTAAAACTTTATTCTGACATGCCTGGTTTCAGATGTGTATTGTTTTATACTTGGGAATGTAAAATTCTGTTAGTTATCGGAATAGCTGAACTCACCAGCAGTCATCCATAAGAGGCTACTTACTTTAAAAGAATGTTAGATTTAGATGATTTTCAAGGACAAATTGGAAGGAAAAAGAAAAGAGCAACAAAAAAAGCCCTGACTTGGCAGCTTTGGGATGAACGAGGGTGAGCTGGAGAGTGGACTAGAGGGAGTGAAGAGGAGAAAAGGCAGTGGAATGGAGGTGGGGTTTGGGGCTGGGTGTGCAATTTTGCTCCTCAACAAAAGATGCCATTCTTTTCTATCACAGCTGGTAGTGTACACTGTTTCCTTCCTCTCTTTAGCAATCTGGTTCTGCAGAGCCTCTGAAACACCGAGCATGGAACACTGGACGAATTCTAGGGTCAACTGGAAATGAGCCAGTGCCTGTTGGCTGGCCAGTTGTCCACCTTCATTTATGTCTTTGTTTGCCCAGTACTTGTTCACTCATTTTCTGGTAACAAAAACTCGATTACATTTGGGAACATTTCTCTGTGATTTGCAGCTGATGTGATTCAGTCTACAACCTCACTGTCAGCTCCTGAATGAGCGCAAGTCTAGCCATTTCACCTCTTCAAGCTGTGGCAATGACACACAATCCTAAGATTCTCTTTGGAACTTCTGGGAAGAGGCTGTCTTTCCAGTAGGCTTTATGAGATGATGAAAATGGATGTGGAGCTCTTGGCAGCCTTCTCACTGTGCAGTGGTGAGATGGAATTGGAGAGAGATAGCTTTCTGACAGCAGTGTTGGAACACCTGAATCCAGTCTTGCCAGTCTAGAGCTACCTTAGGCTTTTCACTATCATGAACCAATATATTTCCTTTTTGCCTTAAGTAGTTTGGTTTCTAACAGATCAACTCCTCATGACTTCTGATTAGCTCTGGGATGCTTGCAGTCCACAGAAGAGAGGGCCAGTAGATTTTGGAGACAGAAACTTTTTCAGCTTCCAAAGTGCTTTGTGTATTTTTCATTATGCAGCTTCTTTAAAGAAGTGGTATAATGACTTTCCTGTCAACTTGAAATAAAATAGAAAAGATCTATGCAGGTGATCAAGGTGAGGGGCCTTGCAGTAATGCCACCATGGTGTGGGAGATACATCATGGCTTGGATTATTATAGCAGAGAAATAACTAGATTGTCAACAGCATTGTGTGAAAAGAAAAGCGTTCTTTTCTCCTCCTTCCACTTGCTTGTTTTTATGTGCAAATTTTAATTGGGGAAACGTGAATGATCAAAAACAGATTTCCCTCCAGAGAAGAGGCATCACGGCTTATATAAGATCTGGTACTTTTATCTGAGTGGCCTAAGAATAACTGAGCTAGCCTAGCAAGAGGAAGGATGTGTCCACCTTCTCAGTTTCCACTAACAACATCCTCTGTCTTTGCTTGATGAAGAGTCTTTTAGATCATGACTAAAGCCTGGACAAGCTTCTCTGGAACCAATGACAGTTAGTCCTTCAGAGTGAGTACTCCAGCACATGGTGGGATTTGATTTATCTTAACAAATCAACTTGTCACAAGCCTAAATTCTTTGTTGGTTGGTCAGAGTGACAAGCCATAGAACACTTGTTTGTAGCCACTTGATTTCCACTGGACTCACAGCATCAAAGAAGCAAAGAAACATTTGTCCTGATTGAAGGTTGAGTCACATAGAGAGGGGTCTAAGGACTGAATGGAAATGAAGATATAAACATGAAAATTAAAATGTCAATAAGGCTAGTATTTGATGCCTGGAGCACATGCACTGACTGCGAGCAGAATGGAAGATATTGAGGATGTTATTGGGGAGAGAAGAAGACAATGGAGAAGGTGGAAAAGCTCCAGGGAAATAAGACTTGCTTTCAGGACTCCTCTGGTGCTGACAGTTGATTGGCTACAGTCAGTCTACAGCCTTGGTGATAATTTAAATTGATTGCATTTGTAGCTTTCATAGGGGAAAGGGAAACAGGAGAGTAAACGATCTTTTGGAGTTGTCTTAGGAAACCGAATTATATATTTAAAATGGAGTGGGGTTTGGATTTGAGACTAAGGCCAAAAGAAGCAAGCAGAGTAGTTCATGCACCATAATTTCCCTTCACTTATGAACTCCTCTACACTTCTGCTTAACTTTGCCTGTTTTTTATTCAGACCTATGTGTATATATTTGCATGCACATAGGTCTGAATAAAAAACAGGCAAAGTTTTTGGGTAAGCTATGATGTGGCGTTTCAGAATTACTGGATTTTGGGGTCCTTTTAAGTTTCTGTAGGTTCTTGCTGCCTGAATTGAGGTGGAGAAGTATAGTTCTGAAGTCGCAGAACTACATTTATTTCTGCAAAGGTGGACTCCAGAACCTAGTGTGAAATGGAAGTATTGAATATGCCATAAAATAAAATAAAATAAAATAAAATAAAATAAAATAAAATAAAATAAAATAATGTTTCCATTTTCTAGTGGCAGATATGGAGATTGAGTTGTGGGGAACCTAGAACCATGAGGATCTTAGAGAAGAGGGAAGAGATTGTGGGAAGCACTGTCTGTGGGGCACCCACTTGCATTCACCGCTTCATAGAAATAGGTCATATACAAATTGGAATGGATTTTGAGGTTGGAACGAACTGAGTCTTAACACTGATTCCCCCTAATTGTTAGACACATAATGACTGACATAGGACATATTCTTGGAGTCTCAGTTTCTTTATCTGTAAGACAAGGATAATAATGCCTTTTTTCCAGGAGTGTTGTGAAGATTAAATGAAATGATGTGTTTGTAACTTGAGTGTCATGCCCTCTTGCACACCTACTGTAATGTGCCTCCTGGAGTTGTGCAATGAGGCATCCTGGTCTCCACATCCTCCAATTTTCTGGGACTTATCTCAAGTTGAAGGCAAACATAAAATGACTTCAGTCGCTAGGATTCTCTGTGGGTGGGTCTGGTGGGTGCTCACATTCGCCTGGTTCTCTTGTTTTCGACTCTGGGTTCTGCTGGGACCTTGTTTGCCATCTTGTTTTCTGTAGCTCCTGTTACAGATCTAGCTCCATTCTCCTTCATTCCCTAAAGACAATAGGAAAGTTGTTGTACACAGCAGATTTTACTGAGGGTTTTGATGATGGAGGAGAGTGCCATTATCCTAGTCTGAAATGCTTGGTGGCAAGAGTCTTGCCTGCCAAAGCGAGGACAGGTATCATATATATCATGACAGCACTACACCAGCTGCAGCATGGAATAGAAAATACGTTTAAAATAAAATGTTAGTTTTTACTGTTCCTAAACTTCTTGCCCATTCTGGCGCCAGGAAATTCTCATTACTCTCCTGCTCTTTCAACTCTGGCTGCCCTCCATCTCTTGGGACCTGCCCCCATAGTCCCTGTCACCTTCTCTTAGATCCTTCTATTTCCGGGTTCCCTGAACCCCAACCCCCACATCTGCCACTGGAAAATAAAAACATTCTCTTACTTGATTACATAGCATACTCAATATTCCCATTTCACACTAGGTTCTGGAGTCCATCTTTGCAGAAATGAAAAATTCACCTAGATATCTAAATATGAATCCTGTCCCTCTACAATGTGAGAGTGCTATAGTCATTTTTTTAAAAAATAATTCCTCTTCTCATTATAGCTGCAAAATACTAAGCCCATAATAGATGCTCAGCAAATAGGAGTGAATGATAGAATCAAAACAGTAATGTTAACAATAAAAATAAGAAGGATATGAAGTTTATCTGTAGTCTATAAGTATAGCATGTGGTTCCCATCTTCATACTGGTGAAACGTCACTGGATTCTGGCGTTGGTAGAAGAGGAGTTCATTCAACAGCTACTGTCCCAGTTGCCTCAGTAAAAAAAAAAGTTTTCAAATAGGCCATTCACATGGCTTGGGTTTGTGCCTTTGTATGAGTTATCCATGGCACGGATGATATTCAGCGAATTATCCCACATATGGCACAAAAGGCTAGAAATAAGGAAAATTCTGCAAGTATTCTGGACCACAGATCCAGAAGGCCAAACAGACTTAGAACTGGTCTGAACATGTTCTGAGCATGATTTGAGCTTGGGACACTGAGGTGGACTCTATCCCTTCCTTCGGTCTTTGGTTAAATGCACCTTCTCAGCAGTGCCTTTCCTAGCTACCCTTTGTGACCTTATAATCCCCTTCCTCCTACATTCCAGCTTCCTCTTCTTTATTGTTCTCTAAAGCACTTATTACCATTGGACAGACTACATATTTTACTTTTGCTGCTGTTTGTTTTCTCTGTTCTTCTGTTAGAATATAAGTGTCACATGCGGTGTGGTTTTATTCTGTCATTTACTGCTGTGTCCCAGAGCCTGGCACAGAGCCAGGTACTTTGTGGGTTCAGTAAATATTTGTCAGCTGTTTATTGAGTGACTGACCTACTGAGGAACTGGATTATGATAACAATGTTCTATTCTCTTTCGTGGTGCTTTATTTTTTACAAAGAGCTTTCATGTATGTTATTTTCCATAACTCTCACCCACTTAGGAAGTAGATAGCAAAGGTAAGCTCAGAATGGTAATGTGAACTCTCTGGGTCATTTAGTGAACTTGGGGGCTGGAACCCTTTTCTTTTGACTCCAAATCCAGTGTCCTCTCCACTGCATACACCAAGCAAACATGTATTGTTTGCGTAAAACATAACAAATACTTTGGGATACAAAGAGTGATGGAAGTGTTCTGGGCTAAGTGTCACAAGCATCTCTGTTGTGCCATTATCCTAGTCTGAAATGCTTGGTGGCAAGAGTCTTGCCTGCCAAAGCGAGGACAGGTATCATATATATCATGACAGCACTACACCAGCTGCAGTCTGCAATGCCAAGGCTCTGTGCCAAATTGAACAAAACCAGATCAGACTCACTTGTAAGCTCTCCGTGGGCAAGTCTTTACCAGCCTAATAGCATTGGTGGTAGTTGTAGGGGATGAGGGGGTGGGGGTAGAGGGTACAGAAAAGTACAAATGCCTGAGAGTGGATGGGCTTGGGGGCTTATGTTCACAATAATAAAAACCCACATTTGTCAAGAGGTTTACAGTCACCTCATTCCTTTAACATTTGCCATCATATTTGATATTTAAATTTTTTAAAGCAACTCTCTTGGTTAAAATGAGCAGGCATGGATTTGTCTGCTTTATATACAAGGAAGCTGACGCCTAGACAAATTGTGCAATGAATCCAATGTTAGAGTATTAGTAAGGGACAGAATTACATTTTCATCTTAGGATTTTTGAAGCCAAATATTGATGCTTTTTTCTTTTTGTTATTAGCAGTGTTGGAGAAGTTTAGCATGAATAAGAATCAGGTGGAGAGTTAAAATACCCCCAGAGATTCTGGGCAGGGTGCAGTGGCTCACACCTGTAATCCCAGCACTTTGGGAGGCCGAAGTGGGTGGATCACCTGAGGTTGGGAGTTTGAGACCAGCGTGACCAACATGGAGAAACCCCGTCTCTACTAAAAATACAAAAATTAGCCAGGCATGGTGGCGCATGCCTGTAATCTGAGCCACTTGGGAGGCTGAGGCAGGAGAATCGCTTGAACCTGGGAGGTGGAGGTTGCGGTGAGCAGAGATTGTGCCATTGCACTCCAGCCTGGGCAACAAGAGTGAAACTCTGTCTCAAAACAAACAAACAAACAAACAAACAAACAACCCAGAGATTCTGATTCTGTAGGCCTGGGGTGACACACAAGAATCTTCATTTCTAACAGATTCTCAGGTGAGACCAATGCTGCTGTTCTGACAACTACACTTTGAGTAGAATTCACATAGAGAGGAGAGCAAACTTTGCAATTGGGTATCTCTCTAGCCAGTCCCCTGCATTCCTCATATACGGGGATGCTGTTTTTTGAGCATTCCATGCATACTCCTACCTCAGGGCCTTTGCTCTTGCTTTTTCTTCTGCCTGCAATGTTTTTATCCCTAGATATCCACATGTATCACAACTTTTTTTTCCTTCAACATGCTCACATGCTGCCTTTGCAGTGAAGGCTTCCTCCACCACCCCACCCCTAAGTGCTCTGTATCTGTGATTACTTTCCATATTATTTTCCACCTTCTTGTATACCAGATACTTACTTACTTAATTTGTCCATTGCCTGTCTACCAACTCCCCAATAAGGGTGGAAACCCCAAGGACAGATCTTCATCTTTTCACTGTATCCCTAGCATTTAGGACAGTGTCTGCCATAAAGCAGCCTCTTAAAAAGAGTTACTGAATGAATGGAGGGAAGAAGCACATAGAATCAGGGGCTTTGCCATCTTGTAAACATAGATTTCTTGCTTTTACTTTGGAGTTTCATCCCTCACAGGGAAAGATCTTATTCAAGGTCGATTGTTGATCAAGGGCCCACAAAGAGCACTGGATAATACCAGAGTGTGCCTGTCCACAGTCATGAGTTTCAGAAAGATCATCCTCTTCCCAGGGTGACTAAGGAGGGGCTGCATGGGATGAAAGGATGCAGAGAACAGAACGTGGTGCCTGAAGAGCCTGCCAAGATGTGCATCAATGTCCAGTGCAGGTTCCTGGGAAGCTAACTGGACCCTTGTTGCTGCGCAGATGAGCATGAGGGGCCAGAGCCCTCAAAGCAGGGTAAAGAGCAAAGGAGACATTAAACAGCCAGCAGAAATCTTTCTTTGTGAATTTTGTAAGAAGTTCTTCACATATAAAAGGAAAATTTGTCTTCGTTTACTTGAGTGAGAAAATAAGACTATATTTTCAAGTCCTTAATATATTTACTTAAGACAAAAATTAAAATTGCAGAAAAGCACAAAGAAAACATCCAATGATTATTGCCATTTTGCCAGATTTACTTCAATATTTAATAAAATAAATAATACATTATATATAAAGTTCACATGCCTTTTGTCTGGGATTCCAAGCCTCATTCCCCTCCCTAGGTCCCTAGAAATAACCTCTGTCATGAGTGTTGAGCGTTTTTTCCAGTTAGTAGAATTAGATCTATTTACACACAGTGATATGTTTACTACATCTCAAAAATTACAATTTAGACAGAAAAAAAGTTGTAGAATGAGTTTTTACAGTATAATGGTTTTCACTGAAACACACACACACTAAGCAGTGTTATGTATTGTTCATCCTTTAAATAAAAATTTCTT
This sequence comes from Homo sapiens, assembly GCF_000001405.40. NCBI lineage: Eukaryota > Metazoa > Chordata > Mammalia > Primates > Hominidae > Homo > Homo sapiens. Next base: position 95,355,701 of record NC_000001.11, read on the forward strand.
TAAGAATGGAGCACTTGGGGAAACTTTCAGAAATATCAGTGCTATTTAAGAATAACTCTCCATAAAGAAAATCTTTATGAAAGAAGAGGGAATAGCAATCTAATACTGTTTAAGATAATGTCAATTTCATTTTACGCATTTCCTTGAGTTTCTAAGGATTTTTAAAAACTTATGGTGATAAAGTCTAGAAAAATACTAACACAGGTGGATTTGAATTTATTCATTGGATAATTGTACAGTTGAAAGAAGCCCTTGAAATGAATTAGATACATGATTGATTAATGATTAGTTTCATTCTTTCTTCGTTTATGGTACTTGGGGATAAAACATGCCATACTATGTTTGCAGAACTCTATTTAGCAAACCTTTGGTCTTGGTGACTGTATAAATTGGCAATTACATGCACTTTAAACAGAGGAATATTGTGTTGAATTAAATTGTACAGTGGTTTGGGTTGAACCCAGTTCAACCTAGCAAGTCTTTTGCTTATTAAAACTGTGCAATAGCTATAAAATCTGTATATTATCCGAAGATACACTCCTTTACAAAACAATCACATTATCAGAATAGTTTCTCAGAGTGTGAAAAGAATAAGATATTAAAATATATTTGAATCATGAATCATATTTGATAGCACATGTTCTTTCTTCCTTGCTTCGTTTACACATAGGGCTTAATTCTAGGCAGTGCCTCTCAGCGCTTCCATCAGATTACCCATCATGTCAGAGGAGGGGAACAGGCAGCTCAAGGGCTCTGGGGCTTTGCTCAAGGCGTCTCCTGCAGGAAGAAAATATTTATCTAAATGTTCATGTTTTTATTCAAATTTTATAGGATTTGCATTCTAATCTGAGATATTTACATTTAATAATATACATATGTTGTTTAAATTACTTACTAGTTAAATTATTTAACTTTTTAATACAAAAACCTCGAAGCAAAATTGGTTTTCCAGAGAAGACGGACCTTGGTTATTCTGGCATTTTGTCACTTTTCTCTAATGGGAACATAGGGTGATAAACAGTACTTTAAGGTATTATGCTAAATTTGTGGACAAATTATAATTTCACAGCCTTAGTAATTCTTATAGTTATCCTCCTGACAATAGATTTAGGTGTTTTTATTTTTTTTCCAGGGTCTTCCTCGGTTGCTCAGGCTGGAACGCAGTGGCGAGATCTTGGCTCACTGCAGCCTTGACCTCCTTGGCCTCCTGAACAGCTGGCACAACAGGCACGAGCCACCATGCCTGGATAATTTTTGTATTTTTCATAGAGATGGGGTTTTGCTATGTTGCCCAGGCTTTTCTTGAACTCCTGAGCTCAAAGTAACCACCTCAGCCTCCTAAAGTGCTGGGATTACAGACAGGACTCACATTTCTTTTTCACTCTTTTAAAAAATCTGTGCCTTGGTTTGTCCATTTACAAAGCGGGATGAGAAAAATACTATAGTTAACCTGAGTTTCTCAGATTAAAGTAACCACATACAAAATTCTATGAACAGTAGCCAACATTTAATGACTTGGTCAAGTGTCAGGGGCTGTTCTATGTGCTGCCGGTGGGTTAATGTATCTGGTCCTCACGACAGCCCCATGAAGCAGGCACTTTCATCATATTCATGTTCAGATTAAGAGTGTGCAGGGCTAGGAGGTCAGGAAATTACTCCACTGCGGTACAGAGTTTCTCAGAAATTCTCAGAACTATGGTCATATAAATATTGGAAATGTTGCATATTATACAATATGGAATGACAATATAAAACAAACCCTGAAAATTGTTGTAGTGAAAAAAAAAAACCCAAATAAGTCTTCCTTAATTTTGTTAACCAAAAATTTTCTAAAATAATTTAATAACAGGGTATTTCCTCCTCTTCCTCCTTTTACCAGACAGCTATTATTATTCTTCAGAATTAGGGTCCTCAGAACAGACTTGGAGAATCAACTGACACAGCCCCATGAGTCTGGAGGGGACATGGGGCTTGTGGGGACGGGGCAGGGATTCTCAGTTCTGATACTCTAAACACTGAGAAAGCAGTTTGCTGGATCTTTGGCATAGATCTTGGGAGAGAACTATAGTTAATTTAGGTAGATGAGACTCTCTCCATAAAGTAATGATAGTTGAGAATTAGTTGAGAAATTTTCAATTTAATCAAATAAACACTTCCTACGTGCCACCTTTCTAGGTGTTTGGGATAACACAGTGTGTAAAATCGACATGTACCCCTGCCCTTAAGGAGGAGTTAAACAATCAATGAAATAATTAACTATGTGTTATATAAGAAAGAAAATGATCCCAAGCCAGAATTGTTAGATTTCTGAAAAAATGTTTCAAGAAAATGCTGTTAGATTATAGCAGAAGCCTACCAAGGGTGGGACAATGGGCAGACACCCCGTCGGGTGCAAGCAGTGAGGAGTGCTCTGTCTGCAGGGAGTCACCGAACAGCAACACAACCAACAAAAAGTGGTCTGCTTGTTATTGTCACCATGAACCAGTGACAACTTCATTGATAAAGGAAATTCATTCATTTCTTTTGTTGGTCTAAGTCTTAAACAATTATTATGGTTACTGTTACATTTTAATATACACATACACTTCAAATTAGCACCTTTTATTATCTATTCTTTAATAAAAACTCTATTCTACATGAAAATTAATTCAGACAACCCCTAGTTATAAATTCCCTCCCTCCACACTTGCCCTTCACACACACATTCAGAATCGCTAGCGCTTGCTTCAGGAACAGAACTTGTCTCCTATCCCTGGGTTAGTATATATGCTTGAGTTTAAACAGTCGTTTTGACATAAACAACAATAGCAGAGTGATTGTAGAGACACAGAAACTGAACTTGGGCTATATCAATTCTGTCATTCTTTTTTTTTTGAGATGGAGTCTCGCTCTGTCGCCCAGGCTGGAGTGCAGTGGCATGACCTCAGCTCACTGCAACCTCCACCTCCTGTGTTCAAGCAATTCTCCTGTCTCAGGCTCCCGAGTAGCTGGCATTACAGGTGCACATCACCACACCTGGTGAATTTTTTTGTATTTTTAGTAGAGATGGGTTTTCACCATGTTGGCCAGGCTGGTCTTGAACTCCTGACCTCAAGTGATTTGCCCGCCTCGGCCTCCCAAAATGCTGGCTAGGTGTGAGCCACCAGCGGCTGGCTTAATTCTGTCATTCTATGTGGCCACTACATAACTGCCATCATTCTGTATGTTTATTTGTTTGCAATTAAAAAAAATGAAAGTAAGAATTGCCAAGTGTCATATTTTTGTTTGGAAAGTAAAAATTTTAGTTCATACAGAAGATATTTACTAAATTTGAATAATATCACTGAAATAGAAATTTGTTTTAAAACAAGTCTTATGTAATTATTTAATAATTAAATATTTAACATTAAATGGCAGTATTGTACATTTCTGAGGCAAACAATATGTAGATATAAGTTTCCCCCCCATGAATGTGATGAAAATTATTGATCCACTGCTTTGTTTCCTTTTTTGTGCTATAACATTTATTTTATTTTTTTCTTTGTTCATTGTTAAATTTTAGTACTAGCATGCTATGAACATGTAATTCAATTACAGAAAAATTTCACTGTCTCTGATTCTTTTCTGGCCATTATTATTATTAATTTTGTGATTATTCCTAAAGCTAATTCTGTTTTAAGGAGGAGAGAGAAAAAATGATCTGCTCTGAGTGTCAAATACACTAGTTATATCATTGAACTTGAATGAGATTAAGATTCCCTTTTGGGAAGTTAAATTTATCTGCCCAGCTAATCATCTGTCTTGTGACAGGCCTAATAACTTCTAACCAGACATTCCTTCATTGTACCTAGTCTAACAATGTTATCTAACCACTTTCTCTCCTTCTAGAAACATGTCTAACAAGAGAGAAACCTCAGAATTGGTGTTCTCAGGAGCCCTTTTTCTTGTGGCAAGTTTGAAATAAAACTTGGACTGGACTTTACAATTAATTGGTCTAAAAAATGCCTTTAATGCATGTTAGGTAAGATCTATTATTAAAAAGCAAACAAGAGAGCCCAGAGCAGGGTAAGAGCAATTGGCAGCATTGGTGGGGGTTAGTGGGTGGCAATTTAGCATGGAGTGGTTAGAATAAGCCTCATTGAGGAGGTAACATTTAAGCAAAGATGTGATGATGGTGAGGGATTTCACCATGTGAATATCTGGGAGAAAGGCATTCCAGACAGAGGGAGTATCACGTGCAAAGGCCCTGAGGTAGAGATTTGCTGGTGAGTTGGAGGTTATAGTAACAGGCTGTTGTGGCTGCTGGAGAGGGAGCCAGGGATTTGGTAGGAAACAAGGTCAGAGGGGCTTTGTGGGTTATTATACAGACTACAGAGGCCCTGCCTCTTCTTAGATGTCATTCTCTACTTAAGACCTTGTTTAAAGTCCTTTTTCTTCACTTCTGAGATGGTTTCCTCACTTAAATTCCTACAGAATTTGGTCACACCTTCTTATATTCTGTTTTGTCGTAAATGTTTGGTTTCTAGTCTTATCAACCCTCATTGGATTATTAGCTGTTTAAGGGCACAGCTGTGCTTGATTATCCTTTGTAATCTCACTCATTCACTTATTCATTAGAAATTTATCGAACACTTACTATGTGCCAGGAACTAGGCACTTATTAAACACATTATTATTGACTAGGCCCTTATTAAATATATCATAGCCCTCTCCTCTCAAGGAAATCATCTATTAGGAAGACACACAAAGATAGCAGCATTTTAGCACAGTAGGAAAAATATTATGGAAGCATAGAGAGAAATGCCCAATGGGGGAACCGGAGGATGGACAGGTCTGATCAGAGATGACTCCAGGAGGAGGTGATTCCATGTACAAAAGAAACACCTGTGGCATAGAACTGTACCTTGTGCCACTGGAGGAACTTTCTGTATATCTGTGAAGAATAACAGTTCTAGGGGGAAAGAAGGTGCAGTCTCTCTGCCTTTGAATAAGGCTACTTACCACTGTTATAGACTCTTGGCTGCAGCAGCCCTGGGTTCCATCACTGGGAGGGACATATTCACCAGATGCAGCCCTTTCTTGACTCAGTTCCTTCTCTCCTGGTTGAGATGTTCCTTTTCCACCCATCCAGTGTTCTTCAGCAGTCTGACTCCGGTGGGTGAATTATCTCAGAGGTCACAGCATTCCTATGGTTTTGGAATGTCTTTGCTTAGCAGTGGGATTTTGTTCTGAGGGTTAGGAAGAGTTATGGGCTATATTCATGAGTATCTACGACCATCCTATGCAGCTAGTGGGAAACCTGAAATTACTTGAATGCCTTGTTTTGCTTCTATATATAGGAAAATGGAGGCACAGGTTGGATAAGTGCCTTCCTTAGTGTCATATATTAAGTCAGTGACCAAAGTGGAAGCAGACAGATCTGTATATTAATAATTTGGGAGTGCTATGTGCCAGACTATGCTAGTTGGCATGGAGTCAAAGGCCATGGCTTATAGTAACTGCAAATTTTTAGACTTTTGTGCTTCAAATGCAGAAAAGTAATGATGCATTAACTTTGCATCACAAAGTTAACTTTCTTGTTGCTTTTGTGTGTATGCATGTGTGTATACATGTGTGAGGGTTTTTTTGAGTGCAAAAAGACAGATCTGAGTGTATGCAATATGCTTGAATTGGAGGCTATACACTGAGCTACACACTCATTTGAATGATTGACTAATTATTCCCTTTATTAAGTGCTCTGAGGTTTTTATTTTGTTTTAACATTTGGGCACCCATAACACCTTCCAGTTGACAATAAGAAATTATTGACTTTGTCATATGCAGCAGTTCCCCTTTATCTGCCGTTTTGCTTTCTGTGGTTTCAGTTAACTGCTGTCTACTGAAGCCTGAATATATTAAATGGAAAATTCCAGAGATAAATAATTTATAAGTTTTTAATTGTGTGCTGTTCTGAAATCTCATGCTGTCCTTCTCTGTCCTGGCTGGAATGTGAATCGTTCGTTTGCTCAGGTTTCCACCCTATGCCCCCACCTGCTAGTCACTTAGTAGCTGTCTTGGTTATTAGGTTGATTGAGTGTCTAGGTGGCATGGCAGTGCTTGTGTTCAAGTCACCCTTATTTTACTTAATAATGGCTCCAAGTGCAAGAGTAGTGATGCTGGCATATTGTTATAATTGTTCTATTTTATTAGTTATTGTTGTTAATCTCTTACTGTGCCTAATTCATAAATTAAACTTTATCATAGATAATTATGTATAGGAAAAAACATACTTCTATAGGGTTTGGTACTATCCAGGTTTCAGTCATCCAAAAGGGGTCTTGGAATGTATCCCCGGAAGATAAGGGGGAACTACTGTATCAAGTACTTTGAAGATAGTACCTTATTCTCCACTCTTGGCTTTTATAGGAAGATGGAGGAGCATCTCCCAAGTGCTACTACTTAATTTTTATGTATAGGGGAGCAAGCCCATGTAAATAAAGCACCTTGCCCAAGGAACTCAGAGCGCAAGAAACATCTGGCCAGTGTTTTGTAAGGCCCAGGAGGGAGTAACCTCTGTGATAATACATGCCACCACAGAGTTCCTGGCTTGCTTGTAATTACAGTAAGAGGTTGTAACTTGAGAGAAGGTGGTAGAAGACCAGGTTAAAATCATCAAGGAACTCTTCTCCCACCTGCTGGATTTTGAGTGGCCTCCTCCACCCAGACCACAGCGGGCTGAATTGAAACCCTTCTATCATCACATGAAGAAGAGCATTTCCAGGTCACTGTTAAAAAGAATGGCATGTTTGGGGTAGGGAAGGCTTTATCCAGGATTGCCTTCAGTGTTATTGAGCAGCATAGTTGCTCTGAGAAAAGATCTCTCCAGACAAGGGGCAGAACTGTTTAAATCCTACTCAGGAGCTCTACTCTTTAAATTTGAATCCAGTTTGTCTTGAGCTCCCTGATGTGGGTACTCAAGAAAGATTTGTAAATGTATTCATTTCTTTAGGTCAAGGGATTGTCCTCCTTATTTGACCTCTTTAAAATGCAGACTCCCTGGAGAGATAGCACATTAAACTACTAATAATTACACCCTAGAGGCAAGAAGTTTATAACATTTTTTTTCTTCCCCAATAAGGGGACATTCAAGCAGCAAAAAGGTATTGAAGTGGGAGGTGTTAAAAATGGGGAAAAAGTTTAGTCCCACCTCTGATTTGGAGCCTAGTATTAGTGGTGTGGGTGGAGCAGATTGATTGGCCAGGTCCACTGAGGCTGCAGCTGGGTGCCGGGCCCTGAGACCGGAACTTGAGACCAGGAGATATAAGGTGAGGAGAGAGAACAAGGACAGGGTAGGAGATGCTGTTTAGTCTGGGTGCTCTGAGGAGGAGATGCCCAGGCTGGATTAGACAGACAAGAGATTTATTAGAGGGAATGCCTATGAGGGAACATAGGAAGCGGGGAGAGCCATCAGACTATGATGTAGGTCTGAACCTTGTGAATAAGAGAGGGAAGGAAATAAAGCTGGGTGGAAGAGTCTTAAGCTGAAAGAGAGTCGAAAGTGCCTGTCAGAAGAATCTACTATCTTCCAGGGATGGCCCTGCCTTAATGTTCCTGCTGTGGTCAGCTGTTGACTGGGAGCAGGTGGTAGGAAGTGAGGCCTCCATGTGAATGTGGTGATAGATTACAGAGAGCAGACACTGGACCTATTGCTCAATTTTGCACCTTGCCAGCAGAGATCTGAGGGGTGCACTGTCGTGCCAGTGTCTTCTATAGACAAGAAAAGCCTGCTTGGAGCTCCTGCCAGGTGTGGGCCACATGGTGTGGGATTGAGCTGCCAGGGTCACAGCATGCATTTGGAGCAGCCAAAAGGGAAATGAAGACACAGACATTCTACTGTGGGATGCAGTGTTATGTAGCAGAAAGATGTTTGGCAGAATGCTATTTGTCCAACTTTTAACTCTGCTGATGACTGGCTGCATGGCCTCAAGAACGGTGCTTTGGACCTCTCAACCTCGGTTTCCCATTAAATGAGACTAATAACACTGATCTTGCAGGATGAGGTCTGTAAAGTGCCTTGCAAATGCCTGCCACAAAGCAGCCATCCCATAAGAGGGAAGCTGTTTGTGGTTCTCTTTTAGGATTGGCTAGATTTTCTGTTTGCCCAATATCTTGTGTTTTAAAATGTGCCTAAACATGCTTTTGAGATATGTAAATGTGCTTAAATATGCTTTTACATGCATCAGTTGTTATATTTTAGAAGATGATCCCAAACAAGACTGCAGTTGTGTAGGGAAGCCTGGCTAAGAGCTCTAACACGTGAACAAGTTCATTTTCCATGTCAGCATGCTCTAAGGCTGATTTGATTTGGGACCACATCTGAAATTTAGCAGAAGCTATTATATTTGGCAGTCACTTTTTTTTGTACACAGGTTCATGATGTCTTTTAACATGTCAGAATGATTAAGTTGTTTCTGGAGGAGGACTGGCATGGGGTAGCAAAAAGAGCATCAGGCCAGAAATCAAAAGGTAATGACAAGTCATTTGTGTAAAGTGCTTTACAGTTTATAAGGTGCTTTTAAAAAAGGTTGGGCTTCAGGGTATAGTAGGTATTAGCATCTCATGTCACAGATATGGAAACTGAAGTACAGAAAGCTCGAGTATGCATAAGAATGTCTATGCTATGCATGCTGTGGAGGGCATGGAGAAATTAGAAACTTGTGATGAACACTCAGGAGAGACTCAGTGCACTTCACTTACAGCATGTCAAAGAAATAAGAGGCATGGGTCTCACATGGGGATGGAAGATACACCTTTTGCTTGGCGATAGTCACTGGACTTGAACCTTGGGCGGCAAAAATTCTCAAAATTTGCTTAGGAGGAAGCTACAAAGGGTGACATTATGAAAAACTACTTAATGTGCCTTTAGGCAAATGCAAAGTTCCTTTAAAGAGCTATTTCTTGGAAAATAACGATAATGCTCATGCCAGTTATTTGCCCATTTGCTCTCCACTCCATTCCCTGCTCTTCTCTGCCTTGCTTTCTGTTGCAGGGAACTACATTTCCCAGGCTCCCTTCTCTCTCAGTTTGAAAAGAGGTTTGGCTAATGAGCAGCACTGGCAAAAGACCAGAGGGCAGGAGGAGTGGGGCCACTCCCCTCTTTCTTTCTTCTTTGGGCAGCTCCCCTGGCAGCAACTGAGTCTCTGCCATGGCTTCAGTTCTCACTCAACAGACCCATCATGGTTCCAGGTTCTGCCAGGTGGTTCTACCTCTTCCCTTTGTCCCTCCAATTTAGGGGTGGTGGCAGCTTCCTGTTGTTGCTAATCTCTGAGTTGTTTCTCTGCCCTTCTCTGTTGACTCCTAATCTCTTCCATTATCTGTATAATCAATTCCCTGTATTAAGTAAGCAATGAAGAGAGGACTCCTTATTCAATAAGTGGTGCTGGGATAACTGGCTAGCCATACACAGAATAAAACTGGATGCCTACCTTTCACCATATACAAAAATTAACTCAAGATGGATTAAAGATTTAAATGTAAAACCTCAAACTATAAGAATCCTAGAAGATAACCTAGGAAACATCATTCTGAACATGGGCCTTGGGAAAGAATTTATGACTAATTCCTCAAAGGTAATTGCAACAAAAACAAAAATTGACAAGTGGGACTCAGTTAAACTAAAGACCTGCTGCACAGCAAAAGAAACTAACAACAGAGCAAGCAGACAGCCTACAGAACAGGAGACAATATTTGTAAACTATGCATCCAACAAAGGTCTGATCTCCAGAATCTAGAAGTAACTTAAATAATTGAATAAGCAAAAAACAACCTCATTAAAAAATAGGCAAAAGACATGAACAGATACTTTCAAAAGAAGACATACAAATGGCCAAAGAAGATGAAAGAAATCATCACTAATCATCACAGAAATGAAAATCAGAACCACAATGAGATACCATCTCCCACCAGTCTGAATGGTTATTATCAAAAAGTCAAAAAAAAAAAAAACAACACACAACAACAGATGTTGGCGAGGTTGTAGAGAAAAGGAAACACATACCCCGTTAGTGGGAATGCAAATTAGTTCAGCCACTGTGTAAAGCAGTTTGGAGATTTCTCAAAGAGCTTAAAACAGAACTACTGTTTGACCCAGGAATCCCATTACTGGGTATATATTCAGAAGAAAACAAATCATTCTACCTGGAAGACACATGCACTCACCTGTTCATCACAGCACTACTCACAATAGAAAGGCATGGAATCTATCTAGGTGCCCATTAGTTGTGGATTAGACAAAGAAAATAATGTACATATGCACTATGGAATACTATGCAGCCATAAACAAGGATGAAATCATGTCCTTTGCAGCAACATGAATGCAGCTGGGGGCCATTATCCTAAGTGAATTAACACAGGAACAGAAAGCCAAATACTGCATGTTCTCACTTATAAGTGGGAGCTAAACATCAGGTACTCGTGGACATGGGAGACTACTAGAGCAGGCAGGGAGGGGGGCAAGGCTTGAAAAACTAACTGTTGAGTACATTGCTCAGTACCTGAGTAAAGGGATCATATGCACCCAAAACCTCAGCATCATACAATATACCCAGTTAACAAATTGCACATGTGCCTCATGAATCTAAAATAAAAGTTGAAAAAGAAAAAAAAATATCTACAGTAGTATCTTCTTTCTGACTGGATCTTTGCTGATACAATACCTAGTGTTTATTGAGTTATTAGCATGTACTGGACAGTGCTCTGGATTTTTAAATTTTACCTCATTTCATCCTTATGATTCATATAACCCTGTAAGTAGGCATTATGCTTAATTGTCCCAGTTTACAGATGAGAAATGAGGCATCTGCAGCACTAAGGCATGATGTATTGAGCTCAAGGTCAAACAACAGAGTAGCTGTGGTGGGATTGAGAACCAGGTGCTCTGGTTGACCACTGTACTACACTGCCTCTTGATCACAGCCTCAGAAAGCAGCTGAAAGAGTTGAGCTTCTCCGCACTTTCACTCAAGGGCTTTGCCTTGCCCTCTAGAGGTGACACGGACTCACGTGGAGCTGCACAGTGTGTCTTTAAACCTTTAAAACAGTTAAGGGTTTTAATTTGATCTTTCATTTCTGATTTAAAAAGTAGTATGAATTCATAGAAGAGATTTCAGAATCACTCATAATGATAACCTTCATGTAGCAATCATTATTAATATCTGGGTGTTTTTCCCCAGGTTTTATTTTGTATGGGAAAACTATCTGGGAAACTGTTTTTTGCATAATGTGATTTTAAAAGAGAAAGTTGACTGTGATCAGGGAGTATGCCTTGCGAATATAAGCATCGGAAAAGAGAAACTAATGTATAATAAAAGTGTTGTGATCTATTGACTACATTGCCCTGAAAGTTCACTAGCATGAGACATTGTAGCTATTTATGCAGGTAGACCTAAGGTAAAGAGGAAGTGTAAAATCAGCAAAACTCAGGCTCTGTGCATACCTTGGAAATGTGCCTACTAAATCTTATTCAGTATGTGTCAGCCTCCTTACATTTCGGTTTTCCCAGAAGATGACTTTGGGATGAAATTTTGGAGCTCTCTCGACTGGAACAAAACATTCTCTATTTGTTATACCAATAATGCTTTAACTTCTTGCATTTTACTAGTATTCTCCACCTGAATTCTCCCTATCCACCTAAAAAAGCAAAACCCAGCAATAATTCAAACCCTCGGAGGTACATTATGAAAAACATGTGCAGCAGAATGGCCGTATGCTAAGGTAGGCACCCAGGGATGAAATCCCAAGCTTTATTCCCTGAACTCTCTCCGCTACTCTGTCATGTGGCGGGTGGTTCACTCCACCTTTACCATGCTTCAATGTTTCCAGTCAAGCAGAGGCAAGTGGATGATATATCTGGCAGGTACTTTTATAAAGGCATTGTGAGAATGTAGAGGATTCTAGGAGGAACTCTGCTTACCACCTATTGTGCCCTATTTCAGGTTGAGCTCAGAGTTTAAGAGTCCTAGCAGTGAACTATGACTTAGAGGCAGTGACTTGGGATGCTTTCATAAGCTTAAAGGTTTGACGTGCATTTTTCTCTAAATTGCAAATGTTTGTGTCTACTCATCAGTCTTGAAAACTTTCTTGGACCTGTCATTGTACACAGGTAGATTTTCTCTCTGTCCTACAATTTTTAGCTTCCTCTATAATTACCTTGTTTACTCACCCTCCCCCGCAAGGACTCTCCTAACAATTACTTTGTTATAATGTTTAAGATAACAAAGGTGATAAAGGCAGCCAGAGGAACCTGGCTGGCTGGGGTATGGAGTGGATTCTCACCCAGTAACATGAAGAAATGGTACAGCTATTTGCTCTTCCACAAGGAGAAGGAAAGGAGGAGGATGAATGGGAACAGGGCACAAAGGCATCATGGAAACCTGCAAGTGAGAGTTTGAGGCATCTATTTTACCTAGAGATAACTAAAAGAGACTGATCATGATAGCAGTATGCATTGTTCCAAGAGTCTGTTTAATTGAAATGATGAGAGTAGGCCTGGAAAATGGAAGGAACCAGCTGCAGTCTCTTTGTGGCAAACAAAGATCCTATGAGGAGACGTATTTAAGCCTGGGATCAAGGAATTGGAACGAACAAAGGTCTTGATTCCAGCTTTTACTGTATTAGTGTACTGTAATCTCTGGCACTGAATAAAAAAGCCTTTGGAGATAACTTGCCTCCAAATAAAACAATTTTATCATTCTCTGGGGTAGTGGGGGAGGATGCAAGAACCTACTACCTTGTTAGACCAGAATTTCGTGAAACAAGGACAGCACTCAGGATGGTCCCTCTGAATGAATGAAATGCAAAGAAACAGTTTCTTAAAACCCCACGATTCCTGTTTTTGAGTTATTAGCATGTTTTTTGAGGTTCTTTATAATTTCATGTTCAACTTTGTTTTACATTATGGATACAAATACATTTTTATATCCGCTACTTTTTTGTCTGTCTGTAGCATTCTTTTCATGATTGTTCCGGGGTGATTGTGTTATGAGCTGATGTATTATGTCTGGCATAATGGACATCTAATGTTTGGGAGACCAAGAACTCCCTTTCCTCCATTCTCTTCATTAGGGGACAGCATGCCTCTGTGACAGAGACTGTACGTGTCCACCAAAACCTGTTTTCTCTTCCTCCTGGGCATCACGTGGAGAGGAGCCACCTGATCAGGACTGTGTCATGAGTGAAAAATAAACTTTGACTATGCTAAGCCACAGAGAGCTAGGGGTTTATCCATTTGCAGTAATTAATATTACCCTTACTTAAACACCTTTTATTTTGGGAACTGCTTTTCTCCATTCATGTAGATTCAGCAGGCAAAGCCATGTTTTTAGAGTCCATATCTCAACCCCATTTCCACATATACTTTATTGATTCAGGGGTGGCTCACTGACCCAAACTGAGCCAACCAAATAGAATTTTAAAATTCTAACCAAGAAAGACGTCAGTTTCTCTCTAGCAGTGGAAAATGTAAGATGTTAAACTTAGAAACCACCAAGAGAACCGTCTAAAAGTGAGAGACAGGATGAAAAAAGGAGGTGGGAAGGAAGGAGGAAGACAGGAAGGAAGAGAAGTAGGGGCAGGAAGAGAGACAGATTTTCCTTTTGAGTCTCTGAATCTTCTTGCTCTTTTGTCCAGTTATCTGTCTGCCCTTCCCATGGTTTAGATGTGATAGTACCTAATAACTTTCCAATATATTCCCATTTGTTGCCTAAGCTAGTTTAGGTTGGTTTCTGCAATTTGTGACCAAAAGAGTCATGACCAATACATGTCATAAGAGATGACTTATTACATTGTAATGTAGTGTTGAAGTCCATCATAATAGATATCCAGATAATCCATCTCCAATGAGTATATATGACAGTCAAGGAAATATAGAAGCAAGAATATAGAAACAGCAGGTTTTTCTGTTCAAAAGCTTATAATCTAGTTTGGGAAATAAATACTATATAAACCAATGCCAGAATCCATGGTACAAAAAAAAAAAAAAAAGACTGCAGGGGAATTGTTAGGTATTTGGCATAGAAAGTAACTATCTTGAACAGGGAAAGAGGACTTGGTAGAGTCATTGGGAACTGCTTGAGGAGAAAGGCTTGACTGAGGTATTTCTCTCTCATCTAAGATACCAACAGTTGACAATGTTTTTAAGTAATGGGAGAAAAAGGTTAGAAAATCTAATTTTTAAAAAAGGTTGAAAGCACATAAAAATATATTTTAAAATGACCTAACCAACAATTTATAGAGCCACGTCTAGAGGCACTCATCAGCCAGTAAAGAACAAGGTTTCATTTCCACCATTCTTTGCCTTGTTCTTTAAGCTTCAGAAATACTGAGCTGCTGAGAGTTGTCTTGTCCATACACAGTTTGCCTGCTCAGCCTGCTTTTTTCCGTTGGGAGGTGCCTTCCAACCACAGTAGCTGCTGAAGAGACAGCTCCAAATAGCCATGCTCACAGTGGACTATTCTGGCCACAGCTGATTGGGCCAGAAGTGATCACCTGATCCAAGCCGAACTAATCACATGACCTTCCCCTATGTAGTTTGAACTAGGAGAGGTGGAAGTGTTAAGGCTGTGAAATTACGGCTAACAAAATAGGCAGGTAGAGGAAATTGATTATCAGAAAGGAGAATGGGGCAGACGTTCAGGTTGAAGTGGACATGGGAGGTTGTGTGGTGCTAGTTCTTGGCCTTACTACCTGAAATTGGTTTCCTTACTATTCCCTTCAATACTAACAGTAAACTTACTTTTTACTTGAGCTTCTTAGAGCTGGTGTCTGCTTCTCATAGACAAACAATCCCTGATCAGAGTGTTCCCAAATATTAACACAATGTGTTTCGTTCCTGTGCACGCATTTCTCCTGCCTTCAGTAACTCTGCACATTCTGTTCTCCAGCTCACTCTGTTCGTTTCTGAAAACCCAGCTCAGCAGTCAGTCCCCTTCTGTGGAAGGTTTTAAGTTATTTATTGAAGAATAGATAGCTCATAGTAAGGAAGCAGAGGGACTTTCAGTTAGGGGAGGGTAATGGGAGCCAAGCAACAGAGAAGGGGTGTGTACAGGAACAGGGCAATGAGAAGGATCAAAGCAGAGGCTTGTTTATGTTAGAGAATAGAGGGGAGAGCAAACTTCAAGTACTTCTGCAGGACAAATATTTGTGATCTTGGCGTCATTTTGTCTGAAGGCTAAGGGCTCACCACGTACTGGATACCACGGAGAGGTCATACTGTAATTTATCCCAGCTAAGAAAGAAACTGTAGCTATTCCCGGGTATCAGTAATAACCCATTTCTGTAGCATTGCGAGGTTCAGCTCAAGACAGAGGACCACCCAGACGTACTACAAATGTTTCTGCTAGAATTCAAATAAATCACATTTGCAGACACTATAGTGCTTCCCATCAGGGGTGAGAAGGGTATGTGCAAAATAGTGCAAGCTCTGAGGGGCTGGGAGGAGCAGTTCCCCACATTGCCAAGGAGGGCCATAATGAAGACTGTCTTCCTGCTGGGAAGCACCAGAACGCGTTTATTGATTGGAGGTGAATGCAGTGAATGTAAAGTTGGGGAGTTTTGCAGTTTAATCCGACATCTGTCATTCTCGGAAGAATGAACAGTTCAAAGTAAAACCTCATCCATATTGATGTGTAAGAAGAACTCTGGGCTAGGAAAAATGGGGCCCATGAGATCAGGACTGGGAGAGCTAAGACAGAGCAAAGGTCTTCCCAGTAGCTGTCCATAACACGCGGACCAAGTTAATTGCCCTGTTGGAAGAATTAAGGAAATAATATACTGAAGCAGCTAATATAATGTCTGGCTCAAAATGGAGATTGAAAAAATATTAGCTCTCTTCTCCTTTCAAATCGGGAAGGTAGGGGAAGCTTTGGAAGCAGACTTCTGACTGCTGGAGAAGAAAAATAGAAAAAACAACAACGTGGAAACACAGATGTGTGTTTCTGGTGTGCAGGGAAGTTGAATTTTCCATTTTGGGGAGAGGTTTTTTTTTGGTGGGGAGGAGGGAGCAAAGATGGAGTGCCTACTTTATTATTATTTTTATCCCTCAGGTTGGCAGGTGGTGGAGAGAATACCAAGACCTAGGCTCTCCTGATCTCCCTGCATCCCTGTCATTTTTGGCAATGTCGCTAATCGGCCCAGCAGCCCGAATCCACACGCCCCGGCGTCCGGGCTCTGCAAGGTGCAGCTGGTCTCAGGCCCTGTCTCAGGTAAGTAATGGGCACTTTGGGCTGCAATTTCTGTTCCTGAATAGGCCTCCTATCTCAGAGTCATGCTTCAACAAACACTCAATTAAAAGGAAAAAAACCTCTGGGTGATGGAAGGCACCCTATTACTGAGAAGCAGGGGATGTTTACTGAAGAAAGCGACTTCTCCCTAGTTACTAGTAGCCGAGCGAAGATTTATGAGCCAGTTTGTCCCATAGCGATCAAACCTGAAATGTGAAGTTTAAACTGGCGCATTGTTTAATCAACAAAACAAACTAGGCCATGGGAGTTGCTTAGAATTGGGAATTAGGCAAAGCAGTGGAGTGTTAAGGCCATGGTTAAAAACAAGCTAGACCTAGGGTGGTTCTGTTAGCAAAAGACACTAAATTTAACACCAGACGCCTACAGATGAGAAGTCAATATTATTTTTTATTAAATGTTCACTCGCAGCTCATGACGGTAATCTGAAAAAATACATTTTCTTTCCAGAATACAGAAGTAATCAGAATTTATTCACGTGGGCCGACTGAGAGTTTTGACGTCAAAGGGCAATCCTGTCTGATTGATACCACTCAAATGGCAATATTGTTTGAAGAAATGTAGTTAGAGAGATGGCAATTTAAAGGCTATAAGAAGTTACAGGAAAAGTGAGTGTAACATTCCATACCGATTTCTGACGTGCGATACTACATGGTGTTGAATTGCCAGAAACTTGTCAATTGGGTTTCCTAGAGATTGAGTATCTGAAAGGAAAGGGAGGAGGAAATGTGGTTTTCAGGCACCTTACAAACACCACAGTAAACTATTTTTTTCCCCTGGGCTAGTCATTGTGGTAAATGAAGGCTTTGGTTTCTAAGACTCTGTTAATAAACCGTAGTCATTTCTTTCAAGTGTTTTACTTTGAAAAAGTTTTTTGGCTGGGTGCGGTGGCTCACACCTGTAATCTCAGCACTTTGGGAGGCCGAGGTGGGCAGATCACTGGAATCCAGAAGTTGGAGACCAGCCTAGGCAACATAGTGAGACTTGGTTTCTACGAAAAATACAAAGATTAGCCAGGTGTGGTGGCCAGCATCTGTAATCCCAGATACTTGGGAGGCTGAGGTGGAAGGATCGCTTGAGCTGGGAGGTTGAGGCTGCAGTGAGCTGTGATTGCACCACTGCATTGTAGCCTGGGTGGCACAGCGAGACCCTGTCTCAAAAAACAAAAACAAAAACAAAACTCAAAAAACAAAAAACAAGGCAACAAATAACAGTTTTTTTTTTGTTTTTTCAAACAGGATTTTGTGAATAGAGACTATAAAGCACTCCTGTAACCTTGGCCCCAAAGAGGGCTCTCCAGACAGAAAGTTGCCTGCATGTCCCGGTGCGTGTTTTTGAGTGTGATACTGTTCTTCACTGCTCTGTCCCAAGAAATCCAGCATTGCCTATGGCATACCTTCTGAGGAAAGCCTTTGGGGCAAAGAAATTACAAAAATGAAGGTGGGGGAGTATTACAATTTGTAACAGTCACTTAAGAATTCTCAACATGTTTTTTTCATTGGCTATAAACAAAACAAGGTAATACAAGACACCTGTGACCATGCAAAAAATAAGAGGCACAGATGCCCCACCGTTAAAGCAAGCAGGTCACGCAGCAGGGGCATTCCTGTGGGTGAGCGGCCTGGGAGACCAACAGAGAAGAATCACCCAGGAGGTAAAACAGCATTCAGTGAGCAAGAGGCACAGAAGTCTAGGGTGAAATTGCCAGTGAAACAGCCTTCTCAGAATGCTGGGATTTTAGAAAGCACAGCTGGGAAGTTGTGGGCTGGAGAATCCATCAGCCTCCCTCGTTGTCTATCTCTTTCCTTCCTAACTTTCTTGTATCAGCCATCAGTGCCACACTGGGTGCTGGGCTTGAGGGGATAAAATGGGGAACATACGCACCCGGTTTCTGTCCTTAGGGGGCTTAGAGTAGAATGGGGAAGAGATAAACCCAAGTAAATAGCATACAAATAAAATAATTGCCAACTGTGATAAAGGACTTTGAAGAAAGCAATTAAAGTTCTGAGTTAGAAGGTAACATGAGAGTAAATTGCGTTTCCTAGGGTGGTCAGGAAATGTTTTTTTGGACAGACTTAACATATAAACAGATCTGTAAGGAGCAGGGAGGATTTTAAAGTTTGCAGTGGGTAGAGAGGTTGGGAAAGTACTGAAAGAAAGTGGTGTGGTTGGAGAACAATATACAAATGTGACAATGAAACAAAATGGAACAAAAGAAAAGGGAAGGCTTGTCATCAGACGTGGTGACAAGTTCATTTTGATCTCTCACCCTCTATCTTCACGGTCTCTTCAGGCCTCCTAGACTTCCATTGGAAAGCCCTGGCCTCTTGGAATTACAGGTGTTGGAAATCCACACCAAACTAACTTGAGCAGGGAAGGGGAATTACCATACTGTGAGCTGTCAGGGTGCAGCTGACCAATAGATGGCTGGGGCCCGGGGATATGGGCATCGAGATTCACTTTTTTTTCTCCTGTGGTTCTCCTTCATTGTCCAGCAGACAGGCCTTGGCCTGTACTACAGTGGGACAGTGTTTCCAGTAGCAACTGTTTATCTTCCCAAATTTGCCACCAGGCAGTGGGGGGCTGTCTTCCCTTACTTCCAGTTTGGCTCATGCTTGGTGAGAGACTCTGTTTTCCTTGGCTTGGGTCACATTCCCACCCAAGGAGACAGGGTGCTGCCGGTGGCAGCGTGGGGGAAAGGAGCAACTCCCCTGCAGATGCCTGCCTGCCTGTGAGGGCGTCGATATGAGTGAGAAAGGGTAAAGAGCTGTGAGTATGTGTATTGTGAGATTGTGTGTGTGTGTTTATGTAGATGTGTGCATGTGTATGTGAGTGTGTATGAATGTATGTGTGTATGTGTGACTGGGAGAACATGTATGTGTGTACATTTGTGAGTATGTATATATGTTGAGTGTTATGTGTAAAATTGTGTCTCCCTAAAATTCTTATGTTGAAATCCTAGCCCCTAATACCTTAGAATTCAACGTTATTTGGAGAGAGGTCTTCGTATAGATAATCAAGTTCAAAGGAGACATTAGGGTGGGCTGTAATCCCATTAGCTGTTGTCTTTGTAAAAGGGGAAATTTGGACACAGAGCCACTCAGAGAGGGAAGAGGTCGTGAAGAGACACTGGCAGAAGATAGCCATGTACAAGCCAAGTAGAGAGGACTGGAACAGATCCTTCCCTCACAGCCTCCGAGGAACCAACCTGGCCGACACCTTGATTTCAGACTTCTGGCCTCCAGAACTGTGTGAGACAGCACATTTCTGTTGTGGAAGCCACCCAGTCTGTGGTACTTTGTTACAGCAGCTCCAGCAAATGCACACCATGAGCGTGTGTGTGACTGTGGGCATCTGAGTGTCAATGTCAATGTATGTGTAGACTGGGAGTTGCTCTGGTCATAAATCTAAAGATGGCTATCATGCTGCTCCTTTTCTTTGCTTATCCAATACCACTCACATTTCGAGGCCTGCCACAAATCCCCCTCCTTCTTGACATCTTTCATGGGTTCTCAGTGCTCCAGGTGCAATTCTGGCTGCCACCAATTAATCGCGTGATTCATGGTGACCTTGAGGGAAACAACCTTTCTCATTAATCTTTGGGTCCCTGTATTTGTCTTATGGCCCAGCATGTAGTAAGTACTCAAATAATATTTGTTTGCTTCACTTAACCTTCTATTTAATTTTTTTTACTGTGAAATAAAACAAATGTAGAAAATTGTACAAAACAAGAGTTTACAGCCCAGTGTTTTATCACAAAGTGAACATCTGTGTAACTACTACACAGAGCAAAAAATACATTCCTCAGCACTCAGAAAGCCCCTTGCTCTCTGCATGTCCTCTTCTGGTGACTTTACCTTCCTTGCCCCTGGAGGGTAACTACTACCCTGATTTTTATGGTAATCACTTCCATGGCTTTCTTTATAGTTTAGGCACCTAAGTTGCATCCTAAATCTCATAGGTCAGTTTGCTTGGTCAATAATAAAAAGGTGTTCAACTTTGCCAGTAATCAAGAAAATACAAATTAAAAGGATGATGTAATAACACCAGACACACAGCAGAATAACAAAACTTAAAATGACTGGTAGTAGTGATGTTAAAAATTAAAAATTGCAAAAACAGCTGAGAATATATATTTATTTTGGAAAAGTTTGGCATCATCTCAAGTTGAACAACAGAAGTGTGTGCAATGTGCACCCAAGACATGTTTGTGAATATTCCTAGCAATGTAATTGGTAATAATGGGTTGATGGAAAAATCACATTGTGTTTTTTGTTTGTCACTGTCTGATTACTATTGATATTGAACCTTCTCATGGTTCTTGGTCATCATGGCAGGGATTCTTAGTATGTTTTGAAGTACACCTGCAGAGATTCCTATTAGACATCTAAGTGAAGATGTCACGCAGGGAGTTGGATATATATGGAGTTTATGGGAGAAGTCAGGGGATGGTGATAGAAATTTGGGACCATCAGCACACAGATGGTATGGAAAGCAATGGAAGAGATAAGATGACTTAAGGGATATGAGTGCTGATAGAGAAGAGGGCTGAGGGCTGAGCCTCAAGTGGGAGTGAGAAATCCAGTAAATGAGATTGGAAAGTAACAGACAGTGAGGTAAGAAGAAAACCAGACACATATGATGTTCTATAGTCCAAGAAAAAATATTCCCCAAAGAGGGAGTTATCAAATGATGATATTAAATAATCAAATGATACTGGGAAGTCAAATAAGACAAAAATTAGGAAAAGACTATTAAGTTTGGCAATACAGAGGTCATTAACGACCTTGAAAAAACAGTTTTAGTGAAATGGGGGGATAGTAACCTGAATGGAAGGAGTTCAGGAAAGAATGAGAATCAAGGAAGTGGATGCAGAGAGCATGGCAAGGTTTTGAATGGTTTTACTGTGAATGGAAGCCAAGAAATGGATAGTGGAATTAATGCTAAAAGGAGGAAGATGTGGGATCAGGTAACAAGCCAGGAGAGAATGAAGACAATTGCTGTGCCAAAATCCTTATGTGGGCAAGAGGGGACAGGATCCATTGCACAGATGGAGGGGCTGGCTTTAGAAAGGAGGACAGACAGTTCAAGCCCTATTATAGGAGGACAGGCAAGGTGCAGGCACAGCAGCAGAGAGGATGCCAGGTTTGACTGCAGGATAAGAAAGTTCTCTTTGGGGTGTTCCTTCTTTCTTAGTAAAATAAGATATGATGTCCTTCAGAGACCAATGTGTAGGATGTGTTGAAATTTCAAGTGAAGAAGAGTGAGTGTGTGAGAGACTTGTCTCAGAGGGCAGGAGAATGAACTGGCAAGGACATTATGCCAGAATTCTTGGTTAAGGTTGAGGACATTGTTAAGGTTTGTGGTCGTGATTTTAAAGTGTGATTAATCCAAACAATTGTGGGATTTTTCTCTGGCCTTCAGAATTGGCTTGGGTGTAGGCATGGAGTAGACAGAAAGCTGAATGTAATTAGGATTGCGGTTCTGTTTTCTGAGTACATAAGGGGCAAGGTGAGCAGATGAGAGCTGAGACTGTATATGAGAGGTGATGTTAGAGATGGACCATGGAATTTAAACTGGGGAAAGAGGGAAGTGAGAACCTGATGGTCAGCAAAAGGGTGGTAGGTCCAAGATTTGAATATCCTGAGGTTACTGGAATTGTGGTAAAAACAATGATCAAGATGGAAAGCTCAGAGGTTGTAATTAGAGGGACACTTAAAACCAATATTTTGGAGGAGTGAAGTTATTGACAATGAGAAGAGACAGGGTATGACCAGGAAAATAAGTGGCTGAGGTGGGATATGGGATAAATTCAGCAAAAAGAACAAAAGTCTGTGAGATCTATGTGATTATTTTGATTATTTAACCACTCCCCATTGTTACAGAAGTGGAGAGGAAGACAGTGAGCAAAGACACATTCTTTCATTTAATGAGAGTGATCAACAGATTGGAAGGTAGATTCTTGCAACAATGCAAAGTATCAGATGGTATGGCTGGGTTTACAGGATGGAGTCAGGAGTGTTAATCTGAAAGAGGCAATGAGGAGAGCTCCCTGCTCCTTTAGGACAAATGTTATCAGAGGAAAAACACAACCTGTGTAGTGACTGGGGGAAACTGTTCCTTTGGGATCTACTGGAGATTTTCATTGGAGTGAGAAGATGATATATTCAGAGAAATTGAGTTTCTAGGTTTTTTTTTTTCTTTCTTTCTTTTTTTTATGACAGAGTTTTGCTGTGTTGCCCAGGCTGGAGGGCAATGGCGGATCTCGGCTCACTGCAACCTCTGCCTCCTGGGTTCAAGCAATTCTTCCACCTCAGCCTCCTGAGTAGTTGGGATTACAGGCGCCCATCATCATGTCCAGCTAATTTTTGTGTTTTTAGTAGAGATGGGGTTTCACCATGTTGGCTAGGTTGGTCTTGAACTCCTGACCTCAGGTGATCCACCCACCTTGGCCTCCCAAGCTGCTGGGATTACAGGCATGAGCCACTGCACCCAGCCTCTAGGTATTTTTACTCCTAACACACCATGACTTCCAGAGGACCCGGAAAAGGGTTGGGAGGGCAGTGAAGGGAAAGGACATGGGGTTAGATTGGCAGATAGAGAAAACTATATGGGGCTGTGAAGGTGACAGGGATGAAGGCACTGAAGCTGGTCCCTACGTCTTCTAAGGAAGGAATGGGTCACTAGTTTTTTTTTTGTTTTTTTTTTTTTGAGACAGAGTCTTGTGCTGTCGCCCAGGCTGCGGTACGGTGGCTCATTCTCAGCTATTGCAAGCTCCGCCTCCTGGGTTAACGCCATTCTCTTGCCTCAGCCTCCCAAGTAGCTGGGACTACAGGTGCCCGCCACCACGCCTGGCTAATTTTTTGTATTTTTAGTGGAGACGGGGTTTCACCATGTTGGTCAGGATGGTCTTGATCTCCTGACCTCGTGATCCACCCACCTCGTCCTCCCAAAGTGGTGGGATTACAGGCGTGAGCCACCGCGCCCAGCCGGGTCACTAGTTTTAAGCAGACCTTGGACTGGTATCTGCCAGTGAGTAGAGGTTTGAGAGGAGATGCTGAGCAAATGTGACCATGTGTGGCCCACCAGGAGCATGGGGAGCTCTGTGGGACTCTCTTCCATTCTGCTATGAGTAGGTTCAGGCCAGACAGGGGGCCAATCATGCTAATGTGAGGCAATCTCTTACTGATACAAATGTAGAGAAATAAGATCATTTAGGTAAAGAAGGCTCTGGGTCAGTATACTTCCTGATTTTTGTTTGCTGATCTCAGAAGAAAATACTGGGATAAGATATTCCACAGAAAGGAATTTGTTTCAATCATAAGCAGATGAAAATGCTTTGGTACCCATAGAATATTCTGGTCCTGGATGTTTTTAGCAGTTTATATTTAACCAGCTATAATTCTTCTTAAGCACCATTTTTGTTCAGTCTTTTGAAACTGAAGATTAGTCTTTCAATGAAAAATCTGCATTTCATTGTAAAGATGGAACACAATGCCTTCGGCTCACTTACTCTGTGGAGGAGCAAGCTTATTTTGGTAATGTATCTTTAGCATATTGTAAAAACAGTGATTGTAGCAAATTTATTTCAGGGAAGACAGACTGAGACATGCACATGTGTGGCTCAAGGGGCATGAACCATACATATTCCATTTCCCATACTTCAAGTAATGAAAATTTTAGAGGTGATGTCAGTTATCTTTGATTTCAAATTGGGCGTCTGTGATGAAAGAACCAGTGAGGAAAAAAGTAATTTCAGAATGGGAGATTATTGTAATTAGAGTCGGCAACAGATCTCTGTGCTATGAAAATGTTTGTTTACGTTCTCCTTCCTTGGGGAAGATATAAAGTCTTAAGAAATTTGACCATTGGTCATTTCTGCCTCACATTCTAAATATTGTGCCTAGTAGAAATTGCAGGGGAAAAGGCTTATATTCCCTTCATGGTGCTAGCCTCACTCTCAAGCAATTTTCTGGCAAGAGGCATCCATAATAACATCCACCAACATCCACCAAGCCCTGACCATTTATTTGACTACCATTATGGATTTTGAGTCTATTCTCACATGTGCATTCCTGTTGCCACTGTCCCAATTCAGACCCTCAACATCTTTCAGCCATGAAATTGCTGTAATTTGTGAAAAGGTAAGTATGATGATTTCAGTCTAAATCAGTTAAGGAAAAGCTGTTTTAAGGGGATGAAGTTTTAGTTAGGTTTAAAGGCAAGTTAGAATTTTGAAGCGTGTTGTAGGTGGGAAGGATGTTTTAAGTGAAGAAATCATGATGAGAAAGCTTAGGGCCCATTTGGGAGGTAGTAAGCAGAGTAGTTGACCAGAATTCCCTCAGGAAGGAAATGAGATGGGAAAGTTAGGGCATGTTTTAGTCAAATTCTGATTTCCCAGTGAAGGAGATTGAGCTGTACTTGGAGAATTGAGAACAATTCACCTCCCTTTATTTTTGGTGAAAGGAAGCTAATTTTCACCTCTCTGGTGTCTTGGATCATCCTGAGGAAGAAACTGGAGGAGAGGTTATAGAGGATGGTAGTCACAGCAAATATCTCTCCTGGAAGAGAACCTGCAAGCTGTGATGGTGGGTGTATTAGTCAGGGTCCTCTAGAGGAACAGAACGAATAGGATATATGTATATATTAAGAGGCATTTATTAAGGAGAACTGACTTACATGATCACTAGGTAAGTCCCATGATAGGCCGGCTGCAAGTTGAGGAGCCAAGGAAGCCAGTGGTGGATCAGTGCGAGTCCCAAAACCTCAAGAATAGGGAAGCCAACAGTGCAGCCTTCAGTCTGTGGCCAAAGGCCCAAGGGTCTCTGGCAAATTACCAATATAAGTCCAAGATTTTGAAAGCTGAAGAACTTGGAGTCTGATGTTCGAGGGCAGGAAGCACCTAGCACAGGAGAAAGATGAAGGCCAGAAGTCTCAGCAAGTCTGCTCTTCCATCTTCTCCTGCCTGTTTTATTCTAGCCTTGCTGGTAGCTGATTAGATGGTGTCTACCCAGATTGAGGGTGGCTCTGCTTCTTGTAGTCCGCTGACTCAAATGTTAATCTCTTTGGCAGCACCCTCACAGACACACCCAGGAACAGTACTTCGAATCCTTCAATCCAATCAAGTTGACACTCAGTATTGACCATCACAGTGGGGGAGGGACCACAGCTGCAAAACCTGCCATGGAGATCTACCAGCTCCTGTGGCTCCTGGTCACAGCCAGCAGGAAGGCATTTAGAGGTCAACTGAACACTGCCTCTAGATCTGCCATCAGCAGGACTTTGGCATGCTTTTTGTTATATTAAAGTTTTTGTTGTAATTGAAACAGCTGTAGAAAAATTAGGCCTTGGGACTCAATTGTGCTGCCATAAAAGATCATAATTCTTAAAAACCCAAGTCTAATAGAAACCTTAGTAGAAGTGCAGGCTCTCACAAAGTTCTAATTTTGCAAATAAATAAGACAGGAAAGCAATCTCTACAAAGACTTTATGCTAATAAAAGAGACGGTTTTGCAAGGCAAAGATGGCCAGTAACACATTCAAAAAGGCAGAAATTTAAAAATTCATCCTATGTGTATTTTACAGTTTCCAGGATAGAGCCTAGTACCATTCCTGACAGAAAGCAGGTGCTCAAGAAATATCTTGTAAATGAATGAATGTGAAATGTTCTGGACTTGGGAAGTGTGCTCATAATATTTACTTGGCTTAAAATTGTTTTTAAAAAATTGTTATGTACAAAGATTATGTGTTAGAAACAAAGAAGAAAAATATCCCACCATTTTCCCCAACTTTTAGGATTCTTCAGACCAGGATAAAGACTAATTTCACTAAAAAATCTATAAAGTGAATAGATTCTGAATACTTGATCTGGCAAAACTCTCACAAACTTGTTGAAGGCCAGAGCAATGAAAATATTAATTAGTTATTTAGTGTTTTGAGATCATGGGAGAGTGTGGATTCTATTTGCTAAATAACTTGATATGATTTTAAAATGCAACTATCACAGCAGAGTGGTTTGCACAGCTCTGTTGTTCTTCCCTGTAACTTGTTATCTTTTGTGTTTCATAGCCTTTTTGCTGTTGGCAATGTCAGTGAGGAATCTATTGCCCACTCTTCCAGTGGGTCAGAACTAAACCAGGGAGGAATTATGTATATTAGCAGATACAGGAGTTTGGGGTTTAAGGGTATCACTCTAAAGTCGCAATTCACACACAAAGAATCAGTTTTATGTGGTGTTTGGGGCTGTCAGGTGGGCTGGTTAACCAGCTTCCCCGGGGGTGACTTTTCCTTATTTGGTCATATTTGCATCAAAGATAAGAGTCAGGCACCATCTGGTGTTCAGGCAGTTTATTCTGGAGCACTCTTATGGTGGCATGGACCAGATATAGTCAGGGGTCAGATGACCCCCTGAAGGGGAGGTTTTCCTTTGGATACCATTCTCAGAGTTTGGGGGATCCTTCCCCCTTTCTTATACCTGTATTCTCTCTGGGCCAGTTACCAGGTATTTATTTCATAAAGGGAGTTTAAACTGTTCTTTCAAGGGTAAGCTTTGTTTTAAGGTTCATGAAAGTTGCATCTGTACTGAGGTGGCCTTGTCTCTAGGGCAATCCGTTGTCATAGAGACTGGGTAATCTTTGGGCCAGAGTTGGAACTCCCCAGGCCAGGTTACATCATACTGCTAAGTGACACATAGTGTAGGCCCTGTGAGATGTATGAGTGGGCCCTATGGCGATCATTAATCTTATAGCCATGATATGTCTCTTACAGTATACTACATTTTGGGTGAGGAATCAAATTGTGGATGGCTCAGGCTGAAAATACTGTGTTGCTTGTAAGGACTGGGTCTTATAACAACATCCAGCAAAACCAAAGGGCTGTGCAGAAAGGTTTGGTTTGACAGGGGAGTGAACAGAGGCTCCTTTTAGCAGTCTCAACTTGAACCTGCTAAAGTCTGATTGAAAGAGAAAAGACCAAAGGGCTAAGGTGGGAGAATTTTCTCCCTTCAGTGTTTGGGAGAGAAAACTATGAATGCCCTCCAGCATATTGAAGAATGGAATTGTTTTTTAAAAACAGAATTTGTGGTTGTTATAAAAAATATTGAAAATACATTGTCATAGACAGTGCACTGGGATTCTTCTCCTGGGAGGGAATGCTCCTACTTAGGTGAGGGGTGTACCTGGGATTACAGACTAAAAGTGCAACATAAGAATAAACCTTTATCTGGTGGTTTCTTTATATCTCCTCCAGTGAATTCTGACTTTCGTTCAGAATGAGAGGATGGATTTTCTTGCCTTACAGCTTCCGGGGAGGCATGCTGTGGGAGTCTCACTGCTTCGAAATAATTCGTGGATGTTTTGTGAAACCTTTTGACCCGGCTGGGAGCCTGGGGCTTTTGAGCATTCAAGAATAATAGGCAGCATTGAAAAGGAGTGGATAGAATGTTTTATTAACTGTAGCTATTTTTATTAACTGGAGTCAGGGGAATATCAGAAAGGATCAAAATTTAGGAATTCTTTGAAAAAGCCTTTATTTTACATGAATTTTATTTTACTTTGCTCTGATGCTTTACTCCATGGTATAACAGATGCCCTAACAAATGAGAGGGCTAAGATGAGGCTTTGAAGTTTGTATTTATTGTTAAAAGTGAGAGGGATATGAAGAGGGAGAGAGAGAGAGGTGAAGAGGTAATGGTAACTTCTTTGAGAGCTGTTTCTTGCCTCCAAAATATGTATTATTCACAATAATGTTTAACCAACATCCATCTGTCTTTCTTAGTCATGCCCACTTTATAGATTTTTATATATGCCCCAACTTAATAGGTACATTTTGAACACCAACTATGGATAAAGCATGTGCTAAGAAGTGTAAGGATTTAGAAATAAATTTCATATAGTTTTGGCTCATATTCTCTTAGTTGGGCTTAACTGAAAATTATAAATTTATTATCCTCCCTGCCTTCCATCTCAATACTCCAGGCATAACCTTTATCCTTAGTAGATGAAACTGTTAGGAATTTTTGGTTATAAGCAATAGAAACTAATGCTGGCTAATTTAGGCAAAAGAGATGTCTGTAGAAAGATAGGGAAGTTGCTTATGAGATTAAAGATCCAGATTTGGAACAGACAGGAAACATGAAGCCTCAGAGGGTCTTGATAGAAGGAACTAGTCAACTGTCTTGTCAGGGTCAAGAATTTACCAGTAATAAGGAAATTCTAACTATTTTACTATTATTCTTATGTTCTAATTCTAGGAAGGAAGTATCTGATTGTCCAAGATGAGTCACATGTCTGCTCATCATCTGTCTGGGGATGATGAGCCATCTTGATTAATAGACATAGCATACTGTGAGGGGAAAAGTAGCTCATCAAAAGTTGGGATATATTACTAAATTAAGTTGGAAGAGATGCTGGGCAATCAGAAAATCAATAAATATACTTTACAGATAGGCCAGACAATCTCTCCCCTAACTCCTACCTGTGTTAGGTTATGATCTGGGTCACAGAAGGTATAGGACATTGGAAAAAATGTTAAATCAGGGGGTGAGGGAGCTGAACCCACCTCTTCTTCCCCTCCCTCATTTGAGGGGCCCATCTACACCCAGAGGCAGAAGCAATATCTCCAGACGTTGGAAAAAGGGACTCCTGGGCCTAGGACCACATGGTCCCTGACACTGAAAAGTTCATTGCGGTTTGAGGCACCTGTGTGGAGTGGGCTGTACATTGGAGAGGCAATAAGCCAAGTATGCTGGGGCTGACTACACATCAAAGGGATTCCTGCTATTCTGAAGTCAGTCAGGTGCACTTGGAACTGTCCGTGGTGCTGACTGGCACCCCCATAAGCCTGTCCTGCAGAATGTCTGGTCTCACTACTCAGGACCCAGACAAGATTGTCTTTGTGGTGACAGCTACTCAAATGGCCCATACCCAGATATGGTCCTTGAGGTGACTTTCACTTGTGCCTATATCACTTGGGTGAGTATACCAGACCCTCCCCCACCACAATGGGCCTGACCACCATATAGAGATCAAGACTGAGCCAGAAAGAAAATTATAGATGTTTACATTGTCTCAGTATTAAAAAAACCTACTGATGTTTTGATTCTAGGATTAAAAACCCAAGTTTTCCAGAATCAGAGCTAACGCCTGCTTGATTTCTCTGTGACTGAATCTGGGCTGTTTTGGGACTGAACAGAAGCTCTCAAAAGGATATAATCTACTTGATTGGATCAATTAGTTGAATTATTGCACATACATTTAGTGTACATTTGTAATGGATAAGCCCTTAGAAGAGTGCTGCATGGATACAGACTGAGTTAAGGATTGTAGAAAACAGGGAGTAAGGATGGACAGTCAAGCTGTGCTCAGCTTCTACTGTTGCAAGAAAAAAACATGGGCACAAAATAAGTAAGAAAACATATATGTGTGATGTGTAGAGATTAAATGTCAAACCATGTCATGCTGGGATGAGCTATGACCCAGAGGAAAATTGTGTAAGCAGTATGAAAATCAGGACTCACCTATGGGTATGTGATATTTCTTTATATCAGAAGGGGTCTGGCTAGAGATAGGATGGATGGGCTATTTGTGAGACAGAATGGCAAGAACAACAGTGTTTATAAAAATATTTTTGACTGAAACAGTAAGAGATACATATCACTTTGGGGTGCATATGCCCCTCTACACCTCCCCTCCACATTTCTGGAACAAAAGTTTTGTGAAGTAATGCTTATGTTTTTTAAGTCTTACTTTAAAAAGTGACTTATGGGCCAGGTGTGGTGGCTCATGCCTGTAATCCCAGCACTTTGGGAGGCTGAGGTGGGCAGGTCACCTCAAGTCAGGAGTTCAAGACCAGCCTGGCCAACATGGTGAAACCCCATCTCTACTAAAAATACAAAAATTAGCTGGGTGTGGTAGCGCATGCCTATAATCCTAGCTACTCAGGAGGCTGAGGCAGGAGAATCACTTGAACCTGGAGGGCGGAGGTTGCAGTGAGCTGAGATTGCATTACTGCATTCCAGCCTGGGTGACAGAGTGAGACTCCATCTCAAAAAAAAAGGGACATGAGTTTTAAGGATTACTTATATTACTTTAAACAGTGACACACTCTGATATTTTGTATTCTGTTCAATTATATTCTATACCTGTCTATTCAATTTCTGGAAAAATTGCTGGTTGTAGTCCAATAGATTGCATTCAGAACCACTAGTGGGTCACAACACATACTTTGATAAATACTCCATAGTGACTGGATAAAGCTTCTGAAATCTGTTAATCTAGGTTAAAATTTTGAGTTTTCTATTTCCTAATTTTCCTAAATAAGTAGTGTCTAAATCGTCTTGGGTTGTCATACAAAATAGCATAGACTAGGTGGCTTAAACAACAGAAATTTATTTTCTTGCTCTTCTGGGTGCTGAAAACCTGAGATCAGGAGGCCAGCATGGTCAGGTTCTGGTGCAGTGCTCTTCCTGGCTTGCAATTGCTGCTTTATTGCTGTGTTCTCACATGACCTGTCCTTGGTGTATGCAAGTGGAGACAGATGTTTCTCTCTTCATCTCTCATAAGATCACTAAACTTATCAAGCCCTAGGACTCATTTAACCTTAATTTCCTCCTAAAAGCCCTATCTCCAAATACGGTGGCATTGGGGGTTAAGGCTTTATCTTGTGAATCTTTGGGTGACACAATTCAGCCCACAGCACTTGGGTAAGTTGTTTAACATCTCTGCATCTCAGTTTTTTTCTCAGTGAAATGAAGGTAATAATGTACTACATAGTTTGTTTTTTCATTAACAATATTTACATGTGCCAGGTCCTAGACAAAAGAACAAAAAAGCAGAGAGAAATCCTCACCCTATGGGACACTCGTGAATAATAAATGAAGAAATGATTGTAAAGTGCTGAGCAAAATGTAGTGCTCAATAAACATTTGTGGTTGTCATTGTTAATTGGTAAGATGCACCTGGTTGAAATGGAGTCCATCCCCTAGATGAGAGGAGGTGTCTCCTCCTGTCATGTTGTGGGTGAGACACGGTTGTTAATGTGGGTTCAATCAGCCTGTCCACATGGCTTGGATGTGCCCTTCTGTGTATTCCTCACTCTGCCATCACAGAGTCAGGCCCAGCACTGTGGGGAACTCAGCTGTATCAAGATAAACGGCATGATTTTCCATAACTGAGATGGATAGGAGTCATAGGGACTTGTAATCGAGATGGATAGTTAGACATAAATGCAGCTCTAATGCGTCACATCAGTGCTATAATAAAGTTATGAACAACGAGCTGTGGGAGTACAGAAAAGGGTGGTGAGTTCTGCTTGGGGTGGAAAAAGCTTCTCAGAAAAGTAAGATTTGAGCTTTTCCTCTCTTAATTTTCAAGAAAAACTTAACGGTGGTGTTTTAAGCAGAGGCAACAGCACAAAAATGCTTGCACATACATGCCTAGGGTAGGATAAGAAGCCGTCTGGAGCAAGGGGATGCTGGAGGTTGATAGTGAGTGGGCAGGTGCAGGTATAGCAAAAGGGACTGTCTAAAGTCTGATTTCTATCTTAGGAGATACAGAAAAGAAATATTGGGGGTTTTAAACAGGAAAGTGTCTAGCAGTTGGGAGGAATGGTTAGATAGGTGGGCATTCCACTAGGAAGCTATTACAACTCAGGGGAGACATGATGAAGGTGTGGCAGTTGGTAGTGGGGAGAAATGAACTCATGTAAGGGACATGTGTGAAGTTGAATTTATGGGGGTTAGTGGAAGATAAGAAAGTTAGAGGAGTTGAGATGACTTTAAGATCTTTCTCTTTGGTCATCAAGGGGCCCTTATCTGAATAGCAGATACAGATGGAAGAGTGAGTTTGGAGAGAACAGTGAGTTCATAATGGGCATGCTGAATTTGAGTTTTCTACATGGTTTGTATAAACAAGAATTTTGTGATAAAGAGAGAAGTAACCACAGACGTAATTATATTATGACATAATATTCAGCCCCAATTAGCTGCTGAGAAACCTGTTAACCCAACTTCCACAAAAAATCGTATTTGAGAAAGTTGAATTTGAAAACTAATTTGAATGTCTGGCAGTAACTGAGTTGCCAACAAACTGGGAGGATATAGCCTGACGTGTTGCCTGTTTCTGATGGTGCACACACTGTTTCTTTATTTAGAACCTCTTACCAGTATCAATTAAACCCAGTTAAATTTGACATCTCTTAACCTTACATTGGATCAAATTCACTGCTACAGCAGAACCCATATGGCACGGAGACAGTTGTACGCATCAGTTCATTGCTTATGTAGAGTTGCTGGCCCAGTGCCAACCAGTAATCACTGCTTTTTTGTTAATAGACATGTTTGCTTTGCAGTCATTTCTATACACAGGGCTCTGGATTAATTAGATAGAAATCTGTCATCCATCTAAGAAACCACAAGAACTCACTTTCTGTGCTTCTGAGGGAAAAGGAGCAGCAGATTTTGGCAAATTTAAAAAAAATCTGTTTTCTTGTTTCATAAGAACTTAGCAGACTATCTAAATAACCAGTGCATAAATAATTTTTGATAATTAATAAGGAGCATAGAATGGGTTGAGGAATTGAATAGGTGAGCCCTCAGATGAATTAAGGTGAGAGTTTTCTCATGATATGAATTAGTTAATTTTTTTAAAGCACTTAAAAAATATTTGTTTCCTTGCAAGTCAACAAGTGAATTTCGTTTGGGTGTAAAGATTTACAGAAAGAGCTCCTCTGGCCATCAGGTCAAAGGTTTGTTCAAGCTGAAAAGATAGCCACCAGGTTTCTTTGCACACAGGTTTGGGTGGGCAGAGAAGTGACCTTCCAGACAGTTCTGCAGCAGAGCTCTGCTGTAACTCTGCCTTTGGGGTCTGCAGCACCAAGCTGCCTCAGGGAGAGACCCCTCCACCTTGAGCAAGTTCTGCTACATCACTAATGAAACCCCACTGGACATGACTTATGCAAAATTCTTCTCTGAAGTCAATATTTCCAGACTGAGTTTCTCTTGTGGTAATACAGATATTGCTTAGTGTTTCTTATATGGAAGCATCAAAGATTTAAAAAGTACCCCAGAATTTCCACTCCATTTTTATGGGTCGTTTAGCCTAGCCTAGTGCATGATATGTATTTGTTGAATGAATAGAAGATGGAGGTAGAAAGCAGAGGAACTAAACTCATGTCTGTGTAATGATGTCTGATGTTTCTATATTCCTGCATTTAAAAGGCCCCAATCTGCTATATGCATTCGACCTCTTGGTTAAAAAGAAAGCAATCTATACCATCCAGGGTTAAATAAATGATTGATTAGCCTGTTATTTGAATTACCCAGGTTGTTGCAAACATGAATCTTGCATTTTTAGAATTCCTATTTCTTTTTTAAATGTTTTATTTTATTTTTAATTGGCATATAGTAATTGTTTACATTTAGTGGTTACAATATAATATTTTGGTATATATATACATTGTGCAGTAATCAAAATAGGCTAATTAACATATTTATCACCTCAAATATTTATCATTTCTTTGAGGCAAGAACATTTAAAATTCTCTTATTTATTTTGAAATATAAAATATTTTATTATTAACTATAGCCTCCATGCTGTGCAATAGATCACCAGAACTTATTTCTCCTATCTAAATGAAACATTGTGTCCTTTGACCAGCATCTCCCCTTTCTTATCCCACTCCCTCAGCCTCTGTTAACCATCATTCTACTTTCTACTTCCATGAATTGGACTTATTTAGATTCAACATATAATGAGATAACATGGTATTTGTTTTTCTCTGTCTGGCTTATTTCCCTTAGCATAATGTCCTCTAGGTTAATCTATGTTGTCACAAATTTTCTGCTTTTAAAAGGCCAAATAGTATTCTGTTGTGAATTTATACCACATTAAAAAAATCCATTAATCAATTGATGGGCATTTTGGTTGTTTTCATATCTTGGGTATTGTGCATAATGCTGCAACGAACGTGGTACTGTAGACATCTCTTCAGCATACTGACTTCAATTCCTTTGGATATATATCCAGAGGTGGGTGGGATTGCTGGATCATATGAAATTCTATTTTTTGATTTTTGGGGGAACTTCTGTATCATTTTCCAAAATTGTTGTACTAATTGACAATACCACCAACAGTGGACAAGAGGTCCCTTTTCCCCACATTCTCACCAACACTTGTTTCTTTTATGTTATGACAGATAGCCAATCTAACAGGTGTGAGGTGATATCTCATTGTAGTTTTAATTTGCATTTCTCTGGTGATTAGAGATGCTGAGCATTTTGAAATATATCTGTTGGCCATTTATGTGTCTTCTTTTGAGAACTATCTGTCAGGTCCTTTGACCATTTTTAAATAGTGTGGTTTTCTTGTTATTGAGTAGTTTGAGTTCCTTGTATATTTTGGATATTAATCCCTTATCTGATGTATGATTTGTAAGTATTTTCTCTTGTTTTGTGGATTGTCTCTTTCCTCTGTTGATTGCTTCCTTTGCTGTGCAGAAGCTTTTTAGTTTGATGCAATCTCATTTGTCTATTTTTGCTTTTGTTGCCTATGCTTTTGCTGTTATATCCAAGAAATTACTGCCCAGACCAATATCATGAATCTTGCATTTCTGACTATTTTCTACATAATTTGTTCAAATTCCACTTTATACTTATTGATCGCTCATTAATTGGTTCACTATCATGCTATGTTGGGTACTTAGAGACTGGCAGGTTGAGGTTAATAGACCTTTTCCTGCTTTTCATGGTAGTTGCCTCAAATAGCTGTATTGTGATTACGCAGTAGACAATCCATCTGATCCCTTATTTCCAACTTCCCCAATGAATGAGGAAGACCTTAGTTTCCTTGCTCAATACCATATAAGACCTTAGTTGTAGTATAAAGTTATCAATGTAATTAGCCAGGGAAAGGAAGTAGAGGATATAGGACAAACTAGGCGGCCATAGAACTGATGCGGGCAAGGTGAGTAAAGACTTGTTGTGCCTAAGGCAGAACAAAGAAGACATCAGAGCTGATTCCTGAAGAGATACCCAGGGTTGTGATTGCCTGAAGTGTTTCAGGGAAGGTAGGTGAGAGCCAGTGGGAGTAGAATCTATATAATTCAACATCTGTGTCTTAGGTCTGGTTAGTGGATTGTCACATAGACAGGGGCAAAAGGCTAGGCAGTACTCACACACAGCCTGTTAGGGCAGTGTTCATTGGGGAAAACTTTCTGAGGGTAGGGCAGTAGCAGTGTGCAGGTTCATCATTGTCCATTGCATTCCAGGGAGGCACATGGGGATCTAGCAGGACCAGGGGTGAGGCTGTGGGCTTTGAGGCTGACAAACCACATGGTTAGGGAAGCATTGGGCTCTGCTTTGTTGAGCTCAGTGGTGTGGATGCCATGATAATGTGTCATGGCAGAACCTTAACTCTAGTCCTGTCTTGCCAGTTTGGTGATAGTGTTAGATGGAGAACCAGCCTCTCCCCTGTGTGGTCAGAAAGCTGAGTTCTGAGCCATGGAGTTGAATCTGTATGTCAGGGCAATCTGGGAGAAAGATTTACATCAGCTTCCTTGATGCCAGCCCTTCCCTTGACACATTGTATGTGGGAAAGGAGATTTGGGTTGGCCTGGATTGATTGTCTTAAGTCCTAAGCCGTAGTTAGCATCCATGAAATTTGCAGGAGCTAGCTTCTTTTTCTGGGAGACATGAATAAAAGGGATCAGTCCTGGGCAAGTCAGCCCTTCCTTCTCACCGAGTGATCAGACACTTGTTTTCATAAATCATCAACATGTCCTGGGAAAGACATAGAGGTGCAGAAATAACAGAAACTGCCATTAATTGAATGCCTAGTATATGCCAGATACCTTACTAAACACTTTCTCAATGAATTATATCATTAAATAGTGGCAACACTTAAGGACAATAGCATTTTAGGTAAGGGACCTATGATAATCAGAGGTTAAGTAACTGGTTCAAGACCATTCCACTAATCAGTGAAAGAGCTGGAATTTATTCTCAGGAGTTCCAACTCCTAAGCCTGTACTAACAGGCATTACCCTGTACTGCCTCATTACCTCTACTGGATGGTCCCAAGATCACGCAATCCAACTGCATATCCTAGTAGTTCTGTTTCTGGGAATCCTTATGCTTACGAAGCTCAATAACAGAAGTAATATCACATTAAGAAAATAAAGGTATGCTTTGAGAAATATAGAAAATAACAAGCAATGTATTTACTTACTAACTTTGAAAGTAAATAACCGTTAGCAATTTACTAACTTAAGAAAATTGTCATTTTCATTCCTTTGATGATTTTTGCAGCCTTATTGAAGTTCCGTTCACCTATTTTTAACTCTACTTAGCAAAAATTTTCTCTGTGTCAACTGTATCAGACTTTGCTTTTACTTGCTTATTTTTGGGCAGTTATCTTTAAATATTAATATGAATGCTTCACTTAACAAAGCCCAAAATTCATAAACATGTTTGTGCTCCTCCAAAACAGCATATGGAATTTGTAACAGTTTACTGATGGCCTTTGCCCTCCTAATTTTCATGCGATTATTACCTACTATTTAAATTGTTTTTAACTGTCTTAATATCAGTCGTTGTTTTCCTTTTTTCCTCCCAATTTCAGTCAATGCTTGTTTAGAATTACCTACACATTTACCAGTTTCTTTGGTCACTATTGCTTCTTGCAACACATTCATTTCCTCTATATTTGATTTCCTTCTTATTGAAGGATACTATTTAGTAGTTCTTTCACCAAAGACTTTCTCTCAATCTTTGTCTGAAAGGTTTTCATTAGTCTTGATTTTTAAATGATTAGCTAGCTAGCTATAGAATTTTCTAGATTGACATTTATTTTCTCTTTGCACTTCCTGTTATTGGTGTGATTCATCAATTTTAAATTTACTTATTTCTCAAATCTTAGAAAATTATCAGCCTTATAATTTCAAATATTATCATTCACCCATTATATCTCTTCTTTTCTGAATTCTTGAGATATATGTCATATCTCCTCATTTCCCCTTCGTATCATTTAATGATTCTTTTATACTTTTCATATATTTAGCTATGTGAGCTGCCACTTGGATAATATACTTTTATCTTTTTTACAGCCTATTAATTTGCTTTCTGATGGAGCTGGTCTGCTTTATAACTCATCCATTAAGTTTTTAAATTTGATGACTATGTTTTTCATTTAAAAAAATTCTGTTTGATACTTGTTCACATCTAGGTATTTTAAAATTTGCTAACTTTTAAAAAATTGTCATTTCCATTCCTTTGATTATTTTTATAGCCTTATTAAAGTTTAATTTACCTATAATAAACTGTACATATATAAAATATTCATTCTGATAAAACTGGTAAATGTATATATCCATTAAACTATCACCTCAAGATAGTAGACATATTCATTGCAAATTCCAAAAATTTCCTTCTGCTCCTTTGTAATTCCTCTCTCTCTCCCTTACTTCTCCTCACCCCGATCCCTAAGTAACTACTGATCTGCTTTCTGTCATTATAGAATACTTTTCATCTTCTAGAGTTCAATATATATAGAATTATAAAAATACAATGTGTATTCTTTTCTTCTGGCTTCTTTCAGTAAAGTGATTTTGAAATTCACATTTTTGAGTGTAACAATCACTTATTACTTTTTATTGCTGAGTAGTATTCCACTATATGGATGTACCACAATTTGCTTACCCATTCACCTGTTGATGAGGCTCTAGATTATTTCCAGTATTTGGCTGTTACAAATAAAACTGCTATACACCTTCAAGTTTTTGTAGAGTTATATGATTATATTTGTAATACCCAGAAGTGGAAAGTCTGAGTTATATGGCATGTATGTTTAATATTTTAAGAAACTACTATATCATCAGTGTGTAGAAATGCAATTGATTTTTCAGACTGATCTTATATCCTATAACCTTATAAACGCTCAATTATTAGTTTTGATAGCTTTTTAAATCATTTTTTGGATTTTCTACATGGATAATCATGTTCTCCATGGTGTCTTTGCCGGGTTTTGTAATCAGGCTAATACTGATAAAATAAGCTGGAAAGTATCCTGTCCTCTTTAATTTTCTGGAAGAGTTTATGTAGACCTTTTATTATTTTCTCCTTAAATACATGGTATAATTCACCAGTGAAGGATTTGGGGCATCTAGTTTTCATTGTGGGAAGGTTTTAAATAACACGTTCGCATTCTATCATAAACATAGGGCTATTCAAATGATCGATTTTTTTTCTTCAATGAGCTTTGGTAGCTTGTGTTTCTCAAGAAATATCCATTTGGCCCAGTATGGTGACTCATGCTTGTAATCCAAGCACTTTGGGAGGCCGAGACAGGCAGATTGTTTGAGCCCAGGAGTTTGAGACCAGCCTAGGCAACATGGCAAAAACCCATCTCTACAAAAAATACAAACATTAGCTGGCCATGGTGGCATGTGCCTGTAGTTCTAGCTACTTGGGAGGCTGAGGTGGGAGGATTGCTTGAGCCTGGGAAGTCGAGGCTGCAGTCAGCCAAGATTGCACTGCTGCACTCCAGCCTGGACAATAGAATGATACCCCATCTCAAAAAAAAAAAAAAAAGAAGTATGTTAATTTTATCTAAACTTTACAATTTATTGGCATAAAGAAGCATGTTAAAGTTGCAACTTTTTTTTTTTAAGTGATTGCTTCAGGATTTGTAGTACATGTTCTTAACTTAGGGAACTCATAGTCTACCTTTAAGTGATATTATACTAACTCATGTATAGAATAACAACTGCACAACGTTTTTGTCCACGTCTTTCCTCCAAGGCTTTATGCTTTTGTTGTCATCACTTTACTTCTTCTTGGAGGGGTTAACTCTTGCTTAATGCTCTGATTTTTTTTTCTGTTTAACATCTCATTGCTTTGTATGCTCATGGATTTCTATTTCCCTTTTTTTTTGAGTTTGAATATATAGTTAAAATTTAATCCAGCCATTCTGTAGTTTATAGTTGGTGGAGATTGTCCACATCAGCTCACTCAACCCTGCTGTTGGAAATCCCTCAAAGAGCTTACTGTCCAATGAGAGAAAACAATAATAAACCTAATCATAATTATTCAATTATAATTATGATAAGTACTATGGAAGTACTATGGCAACTGAGGCTCCTAATTTTGTTTTGGATATCCCTAAAGAAAGCAATTTTAAGCTGAGACCTGAAGGGTGAATAGTGATTGCCTAGAAGAAATGACATTGGGGTGCAGAAATTGCATTTCAAATATATGCAATTGTACAAGTATAAGAGACACTGTTCAGTTTTAAAATGTAGATAAGAGATAACGGTGTCTCAACATTTAAAAACTGAACAGTGTCTCTTATCAACATTTTTAAATTGTTCAAATATAGGCAATATGTGCACAGGTATGCTCAGAGAGCTGAAAGAAAAGTCAACTTGACTAAGCCATATTAATCAAGAGACAGACAAGTGAGAAAGAACATTTTGATGATTTTGAAAATTTTTGAAAATAATTGTTAAATGTTAGTGGAGAGAGGGTGGATATTTGTAAAGAAAAAGATAAGGCATTGGGATGAGGTGCGAAGTGCAAAGAGAAATGTACTACCCAGGAGTGGATGCTGTCAACACTGACAAATGCACTATGATGGCTAATGGAACCAGCTATTCATTTACTTTATGTTTTCTTTCACATAGCATTTATTTCATGTCTATACAACAGGAACTGTGCCTTCAGTCTAGTCTAAGTACAGACATATAATTAAATAATTATATTTGATAAGAAGAGAGAGAAAAAGGGGCATTTATCAATGTATGTGTTAAAGTTGGCACATTTAGATTTTAGATTTCTTGTTTTAGATTTCTTTTCCTTGGATGCTTAGATTTTTAGACTTCAAGGGGGTAGGTCTGGGAGCTTACAGTGTTGGAGGCACATTTGAGAGAGCCTGGCTGTCAACCCCACAAAAGGGAGGTGGGAAGGAGATAGTGAGGAGGATCATGTCCATGTTTAGGAGGTGTGGAGACTGGGATATAGCCAAATATTCCCTTACCCTCATATCTTTCTGAAGGTAAAATTTGGTTAAAATGAACACAAAAAACATTCTCAGTCAACAGATATAAGAGGATCAAGAAAAGCACTTGGTAGTTGGCAGAGGTGTTAGGAATAGGTCTTCCTAAGGAGGAAAGACAGCCAAAGGTTAAGTTATTTTTGCATGCTGAGATCTTAGCTACCAGACACTAGTTCTTTATCTCTGCTTCTTTCTACTGTGGTTCTAAATCCCTCCAAAGTGCAGGACCTGAAGAATCATGTTAATGTGCCAGCTCCAAGTGATATCTCTGAATAGAGTAGTGAGAGCAACAAGGTAGAATGGACTATATGAGAAACACAGAGGTAGGGTATGTCCTTGGTGGTGAGATGTGACCTTAGAGGGCATGAGTCTGGTTGAGGCTCACATATTGGGAGTTATTCATTATTTAGATTTGTCCAGTGTGACATCATGATATAGACTTATTTAGATGAACAAAACATCAAATGCATGGTGTTCATTATGAGAATAGTAGCTTTTTTCTGTTCTTCTGGAATTTGTGCTTCGTCTACTATTTTCTTAGGGGTTGATTGTCATAAAACTCAGTAGTTTTTACTAGTATGGAAAAATGCATCTCCCTCCTTCCAAGAAAATGGCGTTATGTATGTGTGTTATAACAGATAAGTGTGTGTGTATGTATTTTTGTGTGTGTATATGTGATTTATTTCCCTTATCATCATAGAAGGACATTATGCATTGCATTTTGCAGAACCAGATGGGGAAACTGGACGGATTGTGTGTTTGGATACTTGTGTCTGGAAGCTACAAACCAGAACTAATTAGAGACAGTTGTGGTTGGCTGTGACAGGAGCAAGCTTTACGGCTGGTGGACTTTAATTCCCAGAGTGCTACATAGCAAAGAGAAAACTTATAGACACACTTCTGCCAGCTGGGAATCTGTGGGCACTTTTGCACAGTATTTCTGTGGGGTGCTTCCTATATAGAACAGTGTCTCTTATCAACATTTTAAAACTAAGTATCTCTCACATAAAACTTGACTTGTTGCTTGCCTTATTAAAAGCTGGAGGCCTGAACGTTCCCATAGATTATGTTTGTAGCCTGCCTTGATGATATATGTGTAAATTACTATGCTCTAAAGCTCATTTTCAGGCCTGTTGTCCTACAGAGGTTTTTAGTTTCTGCCACAAATAAAAGATCTATGGCTCACACAGGGTAAAATAAAGAATCTACAGCTAACATGAAGTTGCTGAGAGAGCAATGGCCATGCCCCAGAATCTATGGATGGCCAATGATGTCCAATGTATGCAAATGTGTTTCCACCATGACACTGGATATAGAAATATTTATGTAAGGACAAGGTTTAATAAGCATTTTCAGGCACCATTTAAAGGCCACAAAGGAATTAGGCCTAAATGGGGCTGAATGTATGTAACTAATCTGTTCAGACACTCTGGCCAAGGACTCAGGTGTTTAGAGCACAGTAGTAACTAGTTTAAGACTGTATATATTTAATCATCAATTGCTCTAGTTAATACTATTCTAATTCCTGGCTTGTTAACTGCTTGTGAATATACAAAGTTGGTAACCAGGTTATTCAGCATGACAGGAACAGCACAAATCTATCAGCAAGCCTGGGAAAATGTATGTATGCATATCTGTATAATATATACATATAATTATGTATATATAATATATATAAAATATATAATATATACATAAATGTATATTAAATATGTAATATATTTACTATATATGTATATATTACATAGATTTAATATATGTATATATAATTATGTTAATATTATATATAATTATACACATAAAATTGTGTATAATTATATATAATATATAATCACATATACATTATATAATACATGTATATATAATATATAATTATATATACATATATAAATATAGACATAATTATATATGGTATATATTATATATGCATAATATACATGCATATATATGTGTGAATAATGCTTCAGATCATTTTTCCCAAGCTTGCTGATAGATTTGTGCTTTTCCCGAATAATCTGCTTATCAACTTTGTTGGTATATATATATCATATGTGTATTATATACACAAATACACATGCATACATACATACTTATCTACGTCTATATCCTCTATATCTATATCTATATTTATGGAGATATAGATGGCAGGAAAGAGTGCCGGTGAATTTTTAAATTGTAAGGTTTTTTTTTTATAGCTACCAATAGCATAACTTTTCACATGTATGGACATAATATGACAATTCTGACCAAAAGAAAGAGGATTTAAAGTTTGAATACAGAAAACACGATAGAGAAGGATTCTGCCGTTCCAGGAGCACAATGCCTAAAAGCTGTCCCTTTTTGCATAGAACCATGGTGAAAGATAAGCAGATGGGAAAAGAGCCCAGAAATCTGCAATGTGGGATATCCTGAAGAGAGCTCAGACTTCTGGTTCAGCAATTGATCTGAGGCCAACACTGGCCTGAGGTGAGTCTGCAGTGTATATGTCTGGATAAAAGTGTAAGAGTAAGCAGAGATGTCAGCAAGGCCCAAAAGGCATTTGTGACCACTAAGAATATGGCTAAACATGGTGTTCCTTAAAACTAGAAGTTGATTTAATATCACAGGACTATTTAAAAAATCATCTCTTCCATGACATATTTTTTTTATCATCTCCTACATGATATACATCTCTTTTCACCACCTTCACCAGTAACTATGGTTATGACTTAATTCTTTCCTCCATCTCCTTTTCATTTGAGGTCCAAGACATAGAATATTGAGAATTCAGGATTTGGAAGTAAAATTTTAATTTAGAAACATTGCTTAGGGGGCTTAGAGACAAAACGCTTATCTTTAGGGGCAAATGGCCAAAGAGAAAGATCTACTCTAGAGCATACGTGCAGCTTAATTTCCTAGGAAGCTCCTTCTACCAACCTCTATAGTTGGCTTTTGTCATCTTGAACATCCTTCTCAAGCTTCTACCTCATCCCTGCCTTGTTTCCATCAACAAATGACACATCATCCTGGAGAAAATGGAAGTTATTAGGCGTACGTTCTCACAGTTTCACTATTCCTTGTTCTAACTCCGTGTATCCTCATCTTCCCTCTTGACTTGGATTAACAAGACTAAAGTCACTCTACCACATGTCCCCTTGATCTATCCCTTTTACTCCTCAAACTACTACAACTCTCTACTGAAAGTATTTTGCCAATGTCACCACTGACTGTATAGTTGCAAAATCCAATGGCTATTCTTTAGATCTTTCATTTCACAACATATTGCATGATTGATTAAATCATCAATTTCTCATTTACAAATTTTTAAACATTTTAAAATTTCTTATTTACATTGGATTTTATGACACCATTTTCTTCTAATCCACCTACTTATTATTTTTGATTAAGCTTTCAATTTTTTTTCTTCTTTTGACTGTCCTTAAATACCAGTATACCCTAGGCTTCCTTTTCTTCCAACTTTACACTTATCTTTCCTGGAGAGTTTCATTCATTCCCGTGATTTCAGCTACTACTTCCATGTCTATAACTAAAAAATCTTAGTGTTTAACTAGATTCCTGCTGCCCAGAATCATATACATAACCATTCATCATTGAACCCTTGAATTCCAGTTAAATTAGTTTTCTACCTCATGCAGGCTTGCTTGATTTTCATAAAAATTGGAATTTCAATTTGTGAGACATGCTTCTAGATCTAAAAGCAGAATTTCAATTGGGATAAACTTATG
Source organism: Homo sapiens (assembly GCF_000001405.40). Classification (NCBI taxonomy): domain Eukaryota; kingdom Metazoa; phylum Chordata; class Mammalia; order Primates; family Hominidae; genus Homo; species Homo sapiens. Next base: position 95,399,722 of record NC_000001.11, read on the forward strand.
TTGTATGCGGGCAATGTTAAAATATGCATTTAAACTGAAGTATGAAATGGAAGAATGAGGAGGAAAATACATGGGTTAAACTATAACCCATGACTCCTCTTCCTCTCCCATTCCCTTCCTTCTCTTTCATTCCTTTCTTATCTATTCCTGAACAAGTGTTTCTTAAAGCCAGTAGGTAGGCAGAGCATAACAGGTGTTCATGTGGAGAGGGGACCTGATGTTTGATCTTAGAGGTCAAGCAGAGTGAAGAGGGTGCGACAAATCGGAGAGGCCTAGAGTGTGGTGTCAGAGTCCACACAGTGTTGGAGGCATGCACATGGACAGGCGCCTTATGTGGGGTGTCAACGTCTGAGCTGAGTGAAGAGTGTTTCATGCAGAGGAGATGATGGCAGCAGAGATGGAGGAATGGTTACATCTAGAGTGATAGATCAAAACAATAAATATATTAACATTAATGGGATCCAAGTTCTTACTTTTGGAGAAAAGAGATATACATGTGGCGGGGAGAAGACTAAAATGAACCCTGTGGTGTTGTATTTAATTTGGAGATATTAGTGTGAACTTATGATTAAAGACAGATAACAGATATAAAATAATATAAATATTAAATGTATTTGTGACAAGTGTATACACATATGCTACTTATATGTACACATGTACTACATACACACATGCATATACACATATGCAAACACACATACATTTGTATACTCCCTATCTCTGTGCATTGTAAGGATCTTGGAGCAGCAGCTCTTCTAATATCAGTGAGCACAGTTAGCAGCTAAATATTGGTTTCTAAATACCATTCTCTAATAAGAGAAATCAGAGCTCCTTGGGGAAATGACTCATTCCAGGTCTGGGGAGGGAAAATATAAGATGAGCTGGAATATTTTATGCCAGAAAGTGAGGAAATGATCAAAGAATGATGGAGACTTGCCAAAAACACAGGCACCTGCTTGTAGGGGCCCTCAATGACCAACCCAAGGGCAATTTCAGCATCAAAATAAATTATGGTAGTAATAGGTTATAACCCATTGTATAAAATAAGAAACCATGGCTTCATATATGTATAAATAAACAAATGAATAATTCAAAATTTGATGAGGAAATGGATAGTTATACAGTCTCAAAATACCTCTCTACAGAATATTTATTAATTACACAGTGAGAAAGAGTTACTTCAGTGGAGAAGCCTAGCATATACCACCTTAATCAAGCAATCAAAGTGAACATCATTAATAAGATAAATCAAGACTGTGTCCCACCTGGTAGGAGGCAGTGAGAATACAGTATCACTTCTGTGATATTCCTGCCAAAGATGCCTAACCTATATCATGAGAAACACCAGAAAAATCCAAACTGAGGGACATTTTACTAAATAACTGCCAGTTATCTTCAAAAATGTTGAGGTCATAAGCATCAAGGAAAGAATAGTTTTTCTAGACTGAAGGAGAAAGTGGGACATGAAAATTAAAAGGCACGCATGATTCTTAGCTGAACTCTTCTGATGTAGGGGACATTATTGAGACAATTGGTGGAACTTGAAGGGGGTTCTGAGGAATAGACAATAGTTATGTATCAATGTTAATCTGATTTTGTGGTTATACAGGGGAATGTGTTTGTTGGAAACATACTAAAATTTCCTGGGGTGATGAGCATCAGGTCAGTACCTTACTTTAAGTTATTCATGGAAGAAGTTTTTTGTACTTGCAACTTCTCTGTAAGTTTCAGGGTTTTTTTTTTTTCAAAATAAAAAGAATTATCTAAAAATATGAAGCTATGGATTGGATAGGTCATCTAGGTTCTGAAAACAAGGTGGAAAGAGGTGATACATAGTACCAGGGTGGGGCAAGGCTGTTTAAATGGGTTGTACAGGGCCAGGGAGATTCTAAGTCACTGAATTGTAATAACTACACACTGAGAAAAATGCAGAAAGATTCCTAGTGACTCTGCATCCAACCATTGAGAATCAATAGAAAATTAAAGAGAATGAAGAAAAAATGAATTCTTACAAATCATCATCAAACAGGAATGCCAGAAATAAGGTTTTACTTTTCACTGGCAATGATTAGGAAAGGACATCTCTGTCTTCTCACTGTCTCCATTCCTACCCCTCTCTCTCTCCATTCCCATCTCCATCTGTGTCTTCCCTTTCCCAACCTTTTGTTTCTTTCTAAAATCTGATGTAACCTCCCTCCCAACCCACCAACAAACCCTCTTTGTATGTAAAACCACATTCTTGAACTGGGAAGATTTGACTTATTATCCATTTAAAATGTAAATGTCTAAGTGGACACTCTAATTTTTGGCAGGTCATGAGTTACTTAAACATGTTACCAAAGGGGGCCCAAGTAGAGACTGTTCCTGTTTGTGTCAGCCAGGCAAGACTTACCTTTGTCTTGTAAATGGTGGGCTGTACTCTCCTTGCCTTATGAAGTTCAACCTGTTACAGGCTGCACCTGTCTTTTATCACATATGACTTTAGGTCACATTATCTCATTTCTGCTGAATGGGTGGCTGCACATGCACAGTGCACATACACATTTGTATGTATCTAGTTATCATGTATATTTATTTAAATTTCACAAATGATGAATAACCATAGAAAAATAAACAGATAAAAAGCAATAGACAAAACCACAACAAACCAAACCATATGAAATCTCATCCAGAGAAAGCCACTGTTGCACTTCATTAAATATAGTTGGAGATCTTTTCCTAGGCAAAGATATATTTGTGTATGTGTATGCATATTTGTGTTAACAAAATAAAACCATACCAAATTTACTGCTTTGTAACTTTTTTTCACTCAATGATATTTTACGGTTATTCTCTCATGTCAGTAATTGTGGCTCTATATCTTGTTTTTGAATGTCTGCATAGTGTTTTATTGTGCATCATCCCCATACCAATAAGGGCTTGTATTGTTTTCAGTTTTTGCTATTATAAACATCAGGTTGATAGACATCTTTGCAGATACATCTTTGTGCATTTGTTCATTGATTTTCTTTGTATTAATTCCTAGAAGGGGGATTTCTGAATCAATGGTTTTGGGATTCTTTTGACATATATTGCCAGACAACACTCCAGAAAGGTTGTACCAATGGACATGCCTGCCAGAAACCTTACTAAAAATTTTTTAGAGGAATAATTTATACAAAGTAAAGTGCATAAACCTGAAGTACACTGCTCAATGAATTTTTGCAAATGTACATACCAGTGTGAAATGGTTTGTCTCTCTGTCTCCACCCAAATCTCGTGTCAAATTTTAATTCCCAGTGTTGGAGGAGAGGCCTTGTGGGAGGTGACTGAATCACTGGGGCAGACTTCTCCCTTGCTGTTATTGTGATAGAGTTCTTATGAGACCTGGTTGTTTGGAACTGTGTAGCACCTCCCCCTTCACTTTTTCTTTCTCCTGCTGGTCATGTAGGACGTGCCAGCTTCCCTTTCCCCTTCTGCCATGATTGTAAGTTTCCTGAGGCCTCCCCAGCCATGCTTTCTGTACAGCCTGCAAAACTGCAAGTCAATAAAACCTCTTCTTTATAAATTACCCAGACTCAGGTAGTTCTTTATAGCTGTGCAAGCATGGACTAATACAGAAAATTGGTACCAGAAAAGTGGAACATTGTTGTAAAAATAACTGAAAATGTGGAAGCAGTTTTGGAACTGGGTAATGGACAGAGGTTGGAACTGTTTGGAGGGCTCAAAAGACAGGAAGATGAGGGAAAGTTTGGAACTTCTTAGAGACTTGTTGAATGGTTTTGACCAAAATGCTGATAGGGAAATGGACAGAGATGGCCAGGCTGATGAGGTCTCAGATGGAGATGAGAAAGTGACTGGGAACTGTAGTAAATGTCACTCTTTCTATGCTTTAGCAAAGAGACTGGCAGCATTGTGCCCCTGCTCTAGAGATCTGTGCAACTTTGAACTTGAGAGAGATGATTTAGGGATCTGGTGGAAGAAATTTCTAAGCAGCAAAGCATTCAAGATGTAACTTGGCTGCTTCTAACAGTGTAAGCTCATATGTGTTTGCAAAGAGATGGTCTGAAATTGGAACTTTATTTAAAAGGGAAGTAGAGCACAAAAGTTTGGAAAATTTGCAGCCTGACCATGTGGTAGAAAAGAAGAACCTATTTTCTGCGGAGAAATTCAAGCTGGCTGCAGAAATTTGCATAAGTAAAGAGGAGATGAATGTTAATAGCCAAGACGATGGAGAAAATGCCACCAGGGCATGTCTGAGATTTTCACAGCAGCCTCTCCCATAACAGGCCTGGAGGCCTAGCAGAGAAAAATGGTTTTTGTGGGTGAGTCCCAGGGCCCTGCTGCTCTGTACAGCATTGGGACATGGTGCCCTACATTGTGATCACTACAGCCATTGCTAAAAGAGGCCCAGGTAAAGCTCAGGCTGCTGCTCCAGAGGGTAAAAACCCTAAGCCTTGATTGCTTCCATGTGTTGGGGTGGCTTCTGTGGTGTTGGGTTTGCAGGTGTGCAAAGGGTAACAGTTGAGGCTTGGGAGCCTCCGCCTAGATTTCAGTGGAGGTATGGAAATGTCTGGATATCCAGGCAGAAGTCTGCCTCAGGATTAGAGTCCTCATAGAGAACCTCTACTAGGACAGTGCAGAGGGGAAATATGAGATTGGAGCCTCCACACAGAGTCCCCACTGGTGCAATGCCTAGTGGAGCTGTGAGAAGAAGGCCACCATCCTCCTTACCCCAGAATGCTAGATCCGCCAACAGCTTACTCTGTGCACCTGGAAAAGCCACAGGCACTCAATACCAGCCCATGAAAGCAGCCACAGAAGGTGTACTCTGCAGAGCCACAGAGGCAGAGATGCCCAAGGCCTTGGGAGCCCACTCCTTGTATCAGTGTGTCCTGGAGGTGAAACATGGAACCAAAGGAGATTATTTTGGGGATTTAAGATTTGGTGACTGCCCTGCTAAGTTTTGGACTTGCATGGGGCCTGTAGCCCCTTCGTATTGGCCAATTTCTCCCTTTTGGAACAGGAGCATTTACCCAAGGCCTATACTACCATTGTATTTTGGAAGTAACCAACTTGTTTTTGATTTTACAGGCTCATAGGTAGAAGGGATTTGCCTTGTCTCACATGAGACTTTGGACTTAGACTTTTGAGTTAAGCTGAAATGAGCTAAGACTTTGGAGGACTGATGGGAGGTCATGCTTGTGTTTTGAAATGTGAGAAAGACATAATCTTTGGTTGGGGCCAGGGACAGAATGATACGGTTGGCTCTGTGTCCCCACCCAAATCTCATGTAGAATTGTAATTCCCAGTGTTGGAGGAGGGGCTTGGCGGGAGGTGATTGAATCATGGGGGCAGACTTCCCCCTCTTCCCCCTTGCTGTTATTGTGATAGAGTTCTCATGAGATCTAGTTGTTTGAAAGTATGTATCACTTCTCCTTTTGCTCTCTCTTCCTCCTGCTGGCCATCCAGTGCCAGCTTCCCCTTCCCCTTCTGCCATGAATGTAAGTTTCCTGAGGTCTCCCTAGCCATACTTTATAGCCTGCAGAACTGTGAGTCAATTAAAACTCTTTTCTTTGTAAATTACCCAACCTCAGGTAGTTCTTTATAGCAGTTTGAGAATAGACTAGTGTAACTACCATTCAGATTGAGACACAGAACATTTTTGTTACCCCAGAAAGTTGCCCATTGAGGCAACCACTATTCTGACTTTTGCCATTATAGATTAGCTTTGTTCCTAAACTTCATGTAAATGGAATAGTATAATATATACCTTTATATGTCTGACTTTTCTTGCTCAATATAATATTTTGAGGATACATCCATATTGTTTTTTATATCAGTATTATTTTCTTAAATTTTGGGGTAGTATTTTATTATCTAAACGTGCCACAAGATTTTAAATCTGTTTTCCTTGCTGATGGATAATTGTATTGTTTCAAGTTTGAGGCCATTATGAGTTGAGTTTCTGTGAATATTGTTCCACATGTCTTTTTCTGGATATATTCATTCATTCTTATTGGGTATATATTAAATTGTGGAATTGTTGGGCCATTAGCTAGGTATATAAGTAGCTTTATTAGAGATTCCTAAATAGTTTTTCTAATTATTGAGGCAGTTTACACTATTCTCAGCAGTGTATTAAAATTTCCTGTTGCTGTTACTGGTGGTGAATCCATACGGGTCTGCAGCAAACTCAATTCTTGCCTCCCAGAAGAAAGAATTCAACTGAGGGGCATAAAGCAGAGTGAGAGACCAAGGCAAGTTTCAGAGCAGGAGTGAAAGTTTATTAAAAAGCTTTAGAGCAGGAATGAAAGGAAGTAACGTACTTGGAAGAGGGTCAGGCAGGTGACTTGAGAGATCAAGTGCACGGTTTGACCTTTCAACTTGGGGTTTTATATGCTGACATACTTCCAGGGTCTTGTGTTACTATTCCCCTGATTCTTCCCTTGGGATGGGCTGTCCGCATGCACAGTGGCCTGCTAGCCCTTGGGAGGGGAGCATGCGCAGTGTTTACTGGTGTTGTATATGTGCTCACTTGAGGTGTTCTTCCTTTACCAGTCAAATGTCCCTAAAAGGTCATATACCAGTTAAACTTCACCATGTTGCCTCTTAATGTGTGTGCTTGAGCCCACTCACTCAACTCCTGAGATCTTGTTGGGAAGCTGCTAGTCACCATGTCAAGTGTTTCTTTTTACTGGTGGATTGCCTTTCTTTGGCACTGGCTGAGACCAATTATTATTCTAGAGAGACAGTTTAACAACTGCCTGACCGTCACCTGATGGTCACCTCACATTCCTGGTAGGGGAGGGAGCTCTCTCCTGCACTGTTCATGTCTGCCTGACTACCTACTGTAACATTGTTTCACATCCTTCTCAACACTTGAAAGTAGTCCTTTTCTATCCTCCAAAGCCATTTTATTATCTTTGTGGTAGGAAACATTTATCTTCTCCCTATTTTGGTTATATGCTTAATCCAGCACTTACTAAATTTATTCATTTATTAATTTTTGTATTTAGTTAATAAATATGCATTAAACAATTATTATTGTGCCTGATATTGTATTAAGCCTTATGGGTACAAAGATGAACTCATAAGGAACTGATAATCTAGCAGATAACACAGGTATGTGATGAAGGCAACAGCATAAGCATGTACTTTTGCTGAAGCACATGGTGATACAGAGAAAGGATAATATTAAGGAGTGAAAGATGGAGGGGACAGCAAACAGGATTGTTGCATTTCCACAATAGAGATGATAATAATAGCTAGCACTTACTGAGCACACGTTCTACTAGATACTGTGCTAAGTGTTTCACATGCCTCATCCTATTTACTGTTTGGTGTAGGTTATATTATTACTATGCTCATTTTACAGTTCAGAACATTGAGACATGGAGAAGTTGAACAACTTGTCCATAGCCACACCACTAGTAAATTAGGAAGCTGCTATTCCAACCCAGGAAATTAGGCTCTGGAGCATACACTAGACTCTTGCTTAGATAACAAGATAATGTGTGAACAGAGGGGTCTTGAAAAAGGCATGCAAGGCAGTGAAAGCAGCTGTATACCAGCAGTGGGACAGAAGATAAGATGCAGTCTGGCAAGTCTGAGGAACCTCCAGTAAGAGGCCAGAGGGAATATGATAATCAGAGCCAGAAGAGATTGGAATGAAAAATGGCAGCGGCCAAACCTGCTGGGGTGGGGGTAAGGGGAAATGATGATAGAATTCCAGGGATAGCTGTTCACTGAAGGTCGCCTCTTCTTCTGCCCTATCATCACCAATCACCAAGAATATTTAAATGTTTCATCATGTTGTTGAATGAGCCATTTGGGCACACTTGCCAAATAACTGAGCATTTGAATTTCCTCGAATGGAGCAGGAAGAATTACTTGAAGGTATGTGAGCAGACCCTGGTTTCAGATATGACGGTTCCCTGCAGCGTCTGCTTGCCCGGTGCTTTCTGTTTAACACGTCCATCTGCTAGGGAGACGTCGGCTTTCACATGAGCTGAGGACAGTGTTCCCAAGCCTTCTGAAAGAGTCCAGTCATAAAAGGATAAAACCCAAGCAATGTTCTGATGTGTAGTGCAATGGGCGATGCCAGTTTTTGCTAAAATAGGATTAAGTTAAAAAACACACACTGTAAAGCATTTGTCTTGCTTAAATAATTTAACAGGTCTTGCATTCCTGTTTCAGTCAGTTTCAACAGAAACGCTTCTCTGGGGGTTGTCCTCGTGAACATCATCAGACTAATCATGTGGAAGCGCGCCTGGTGCCAGTTGGATCAGGAGAGAGCGGGTGGATGCCTTGTGGTCCTGGTGAGGATGGGAAAGGAAGCAACGTAAAGTATACCTTTGGGGAAAATGCAAACTTTTCTTGCCTGTGGAGTGTGTGTGTTAGTATTCAGAGACTGTTGGCCCATTGTTTGCGACTCCAGCCTTCTCAGCAGAATGCGTGGCAGATGGCTTACATTTGCATTAGCCTTCTGGAGAAGGAATTTGCTACCAACAACATAAGCTGCAGCTTTTCTTTTCAGAATTTACAACAAATTGGCCAGAATGGCAATTTAAAAAAAAACATTAGCATCACTATTTCCACATTCCCTTTCTGAATAGGGTAAATGATTCCCTCTCCAACTGTGTCATTTGCACTCCCCCCTCCCCAAATGTTTATTAAAATGATTTAGGTATTTCATTATGCAAAATGACTTTTATAAAAAGACCTTTCTTTTTGCCCCACAGTCACACATAATTTCTTTTGTCACTTGTTATAGAGTGGAGTTATGTGAAGCTAGGACATATTATTTGTTCTAGTCTGTATTGGATAATTTATTACATTAAGGAACCAATAATTTTCAAATATAATCAGATTTAAGTTTTTAATAAGATTCATCTTCCCATTCACACTTGCTTAATTTAAGGATATTAAATCTGCTCAGGAACGAGCTGCCTCTCAAAGCCTGTGTGCCCATTAAAGGGCTTTATTCCTGATGTGTTAATAGGATTTAATTACATTACTGTCTTCATGCAGAGTCACAGTGCAATAGTTAACTGTGATAAGCCAAGCAAACAACAGCCTGAAAAGGAAGTTGTGTGTAGTAGTTGGTTTATCGGCTTAGAAAATCAAGACGATTATTATTTTAAAATTGATGGTTGCATGCATTTGCATCATGTTTAGTTCAAATGCTGAAGAGAACAAACTTTCTCTTTTCCTGTAAAAAGAAAATCACTTAAAAGGCCACCCACATAAAAGGTGAACAATAAACACTTAACAGAAACTACTTAATTGCCATTTATCTTTTGAATTGCAATGAGATTTTTACTAGCGACTACAAAGAGATTTGTTTCAACAATTTACCCTGCTATTCTTTTGTCTTTTTGACTATTACATCCCTGATTTGGAGTTCAGAATAATAGCTGTGTTCATGGTTAAAAAGTAATGATTTTTAAATTGCTCTTTTATCCTGTCTTAAACTTTAAAAAAAAGTCTGCTCCAGCTCTGGCCCCGTTTCCCCCTCCTTGAGTCCCCCAATTGGTTTAATGACAGCAGAGCTTCAGCCTCCTGTGGCCTGACAGGAGAATGAATCAAGATGCTGCCCTCAGTAATTCTTGTCAATTTCTCCATCAGGATCATTTGCATCGATTGGAAGTGTTGACTTCTGTGAATTTCTGTTTCATGTGAACTTGACAGAAGTCAGTACTTTTGCTCCATCACAGATGCCTGTGAAATAGAAGAATGATTTTTTGAGCATTCCAATGAATTTAAAAAAAAGAAAGAAATAAAGAAAAAGAAAAAAGCCCAGCAATATGCTATCTGGTTGAACTTTTCACTTCCAAAGTGATTGACAACTTCTGACACATTTTCATGAGAGATCACAGACCTGGCAAACAAAATTTGAGATGATATACAGTCTTGCTTTACTTTGTTAAGAGTTGTTATGGAGTACAAAGAAAAGGCAAGAGAAAGCATTCAAGTTAATTTTCTTGTTAACGGTCACTTTCTACCTGGTCTGTCAGAAAAATGTTTCTAATGTGATTTTTTTTTTTTCCCCGAGCCAAGATGGTGGAAGGTAGAGAAGAATGGGAAGACGACTACGCCCTTACTATTATTGTTCTGGTTTCCTTGGAGCCACTCCACTTTTATCTCTTCTATGTGTAGGGATTTTTGTATACATTTTTAAAGCAGTTTCACTTTTCAAGAAAAGTTTGAAAATCAAAGAACAACATTTGCTGCTGTTCATCCCTCAGCCTGCTGTTTATGGTGATCATCAAGATTCCAGTGTGTATTCTTCCAGGATTGGCTCTGAGAACAGTCGGAGGACTGGACCCTCGAGGCCATGCTGAGGCTCTGTGCACTCCTCCTGCCCTGCTGTACCTGCTCTGTCCCAGGGTCAGGTGGCTCAGGTCTACGTTCCTGGCTGTGTTTGGGCAGGTGGCCACTGTGCTTGTTCTATCTTCAACTCTGCTAAAATGTACCATGAAGTCTTTTCTTATACTCCAAGTTGGAACTGATTTCTCTTTTCTGTGGTCCTGTAGGGGAGGGAAAATAATTTTCTATCTATCCTTCATAGTTCTTAGCTAGGACAGACTTATATAACAAAATAGAGATTAACAAGAGAAAAAACAAACAAGTTTAACATGTATATTTTATGTAACATGGAAAACACTCAGGAAATGAGTAAATCTCAAATCTCAAAAAGGTAGCATTGAATTCAGGCTCATATAACATCTCCAACAAAGAAACAGTAAATTTTTAGAGAAGTAACAAGACAAAGGAAATTGATTTTGAGTCCCTAGGTGTGGCCAGTTGTGGGAAGGCAAACATATGGTAGATAAAGGCTGGCTGGTAAAATCTGCCATGTTAGACGGTTTGCCAGTGCTGTCTCCAGGCTGATAAGGACCTAAAATTATCTTCAGTGATCAACCTTTGTTCTTCCCAGTAGAGGAGTGAGGAAGGATATCTCTGCCTTTGTACAATTATGTCCTGTTTTTAAACAAATGGGAGAGGACAGAGAGCTTTTCCTGTATCTGCTTCTTCTCAATTGCCTTTGTAGCAGGATGAGCCACAGACAAGAACCCCTCAGACACCCAGTTGTAGAAGGAAAGGGCTTTATTCAGCTGGGAGCATCGGCCAACTGATGTCTCCAAAAGTTAGCAATTCCTATCCCTTTTAAGGGCTCACAACTCTAAGGGGGTCTGCATGAAAGGGTCGTGATCGATTGAGCAAGCAGGGGGCTCAATCGAGCAACATGGGGGCTGCATGTACCGGTAATCAGAACTTAACAGAACAGGACAGGGATTTTCACGATGCTTTTCCATACAATGTCTGAAATCTATAGATAACACAAGCAGTTAGGTCAGGGGTTGATTTTTAACTACCAGGCCCAGGATGTGATGCTGGGCTATCTGCCTATGGATTCCATTTCTGCCTTTTAGTTTTTACTTCTTCTTTCTTTGGAGGCAGAAATTGGGCATAAGACAATATGAGGGGTTGACTCCTCCCTTACCTTCGCCCCCAAATAATCCTTATACCAATAAGGCATATTGTGGGGTGGCATATTCTGGTCCCCTACAGTCCCACATCCCTATTCTACATTTCACTCTTTCTGCCTTCTTCCTGTGATCAGGTCTGTCTCCTCTACTGACTCTCTAACTCTTCAATCCAGAGATGCAGTCTTGTCTATCTTTAAATAAATTATCAGATAAGAAATTGTCCAGCTAAGTTCTAACACCAAGATGCTTCATGTTAGTTCTTCTTTCACCATAATAACTCCTTCCGCATCCAGCTAATGTCTTTATGTATAGAATGTGCTTAATAAATGTTTGGAAAATCAAATGTTCTGTTTTCCTTCTGTGTATCTGGACTTTAATTAGAAATCAAAGTTGCTGTAATCTTGGTTAGTTAAATATTTGTGATTTGGTTTTTGTGAGGTCTCTCACACATCACCATATGACGTTGTGCCTATTATGTGCTATCACCATCCTTGACTGGTATTGACAGAATTTTTCCTTCTGTTACCAACTTTGTTTCCTCTTTTCTTACTCCCTGCCCTTTTCCAACTGTAGCATATTCCTATCAATATGCATAGTGACTCAAAAAAATAATATATAGGTGTGAATTTCCCAGAATCTCCCATTTATCCCATTTATTTAACAGTACACTGTTAATTGTTGCATGTTCCTACTACGTGCCAGTCATCATGGTCCACAGTGGGAATATAAAAGTGAATTAAAAAATCTCCTTATCCTCAATGTTATATAACTAGATTACAACCTAGTGGGTGAGACGGCAAACATGAATACCGAAAGCAGTAATATTCCCAGTTGAACAAAATATAATTTCTGCCATTTTAGCAGATCTTAATAGTCCTTAATTCAATATTAATGTACTTTATTTACCTACTTAATTGTAAACACACTTAACATTCTTTTTTTCAGAGTTCATACTTAAGGAATTCAATCTGAATGAACCCAGGAGAGGGCAAGGGATAGTCATTTGCACTCGGTTTTCAGAAGCTATAAGTGAATACTATCAAAAGGCGATCCCTATGACTTGGTCATTACTGAAAAGGCAACAAAATTGAAGACTGTCTTCTCATAATTAGGTAAGTCAGAGATGGATCACACAGGACAAAAGGTATGTGGAGTGTGAGGCCAATATACAGGTTCACTGATGAGCAAAGCCTTTTTCCTACCCTGTGTTCCTTCACATCGACTACAGTCTGTGGATTATTCACATTTTAGGTATTTATTTGAATTATACCCTTCAGTATTTTGAACCCTCACCCCCTCCCACCACTTCAATCATTCTTTTACTTCTTCTGTTCATCTTAATCTCCCTAAAACTTCATTTTAATGTTGTAGTCTACTTGATCACTCCTTTAATGTTCAACTAGCATTTCTTTTAGGGTTTCTTATAAACAAGGTGTACACACATAATAGTTTGCACAAAGTTAAAGAGGTAAAAAGAGGCCATGGCATGTGTGGGCAGTGAAAAGCCTGGTTAGAGTGCAGGGGCAATAGGAGAGAACAGGGTGGAAGATAGGCAGGGGCTGGGGCTGGTGACAGAGACCCAACAGAGCTGTACTAAGGCCAAAGAAAATTCTGAATTCATAGTGTGCAAACAGGAGCTACAATTGCACCTTAATTTCAATAATAGATATAGTTCTGGAAAGAGAAAAGTGAATTTCTAAATTTCTTTCAATTGAATTTCATAACAAATATGAGAGGCATTTCTTTGGAGGAAAAATTGGTTTTAACATATTGGAAAATAATGCTTAAAGTCTACCAATGTCTGCTTATCCTTTTCTTCTTTCAAGGCCCAGTTTCATGTGAATCTCCAAATTTCCCCAGTAATCTATATTCCTCTGAAATTTCATAGTAGTAGTTGGATTCCATCTTTGTAATTAAAAAATAATATATATGTACAGTTATGAAAAAGTACCTGGGGTACCCCAAAGTATGGTGCTTTGGAATGCTGAGTACTGTGACCCAAAGCACATTGGAAGACCTCAGAGCCAAGGTCTCTACCCTTCTGCCCTTCTGTCTCCTGCTCCCCTTTCACCCCCAAGGCAAATCATAGAAACTAGAAATATTACTCTAACCCTGCCTTTCTGTATAGGAGCTGGCCATAAAGAAATTGTCTGACCTACCTTGTCTGACAGTAGGCTATAAGGCCCTCATTGCAGTGGGGTCCTATCCTAGACCCAGGAGACAGGAATGCTACGCAGAGAGGCCAAGAAGAATCTGAACAGTCAGGCCTTGCTGAGTTTCCCTACTCAGTCTATTAGCATTAGATCGTTTCCTTTTGGTCCGGTCATATTTCCACATGGCAGCCCATTCTTCATTGAACCAAAGCATAAAAAATAGACAGTTTTCTCTGAGTCTTTGGGTCTTCATTTCTGAAAGTTTCTGTGTCATGTGAAACTTTGATTAAGTAAGTCTGTATGCTTTTCTCTTGTTAACCTGTCTTTTTTTGCAGGAGCACTGTCCCTGACCTTTATGATTGGTGAGAAAACGTGTAACACCTTTCTGCCCCCACATGTCCATAATCTGTAAATCAGACCAAGAGAATAACCACGTTTGCTCAGGGTTTATTTACTTTTCTGAGAGAATATACTATTCATTGACTATGTTATTTGTTGTTTATTAAAGGCTTAGGCTATATGAAATTATATGTTGTTAATTTCTGAATTTGTATCCAGTTTTGAAGGAAATGATTTCTGTTCAGGAGATAAGGTAAGTCCAAAGGTTAATGCCTTATGGGACATGGCCAGTTTTATATCTAATTTAACAATCTTATTTTAACATTCTATTATTAAATTTCCTGTAAATACTCAGCTCCTCAACTATTCATCAAATCAGTTTTTCTATCTTACTGTTTTCCTCATTAATTTATGAGTTCAATAAGTTCTTTCACATGGATTCATTCTATTTCACATGAATCATGTTTTTTGCCTTTTTTTGAACAGTATACTTGGATAATATAAGTTCTTTTTAGACTTCAGCAGATGAAAATACCAAAACTTTTGTACCTATAGTGTTATCAGAGCCATTTATGAACCATACCATTTGGTAATTCTGATTCATTTTTGCTTTATAGCTTGATCATCCTTTCTGGCTGGTAGGTCCATATAGTATTTTTCTTCCCTACCCCACCAAATTAAAATGTTTTATAAAGGTCTGAGGATGAGTGTAAAACCAGCAGTGATGTAGGATCTGAGGAAAGTTATAAAATAAGATTTTCTTAAATGCTTTCTTTAAAGGCAGCATTTATATATATATATGATATTATGAGGACAACTATGTATATATATGTCATCTATACACATATACATGACGTATATATCATTGTCCTCATCATCTCATCAATTACATTGTACAGGAGGGAATGGTTAATTTCATCTTTTGGCGTTAAGGAGTAACATCTGGGCTTAAATTGGTGCTCTTTAAGCTGACAAGTTTGGGGGAAGAAAACGTCCAAGTATGGTATTAAGGAGTTTGACATATTTGGGGAATTGGATGTGGTTCAGCATTATTGGGGAGAAACGAGAGGGATGGGAGTGTGAACCAAGCAGGTGTTGGCTCATGGAGGGCCTCCTGAGGACTTTGAGCAGTGCATTAGCTTCGTATTGCTGCTGTAACAAATTACCACACATTTAGTGGCTTAAAGCAACAGATACATTCTCTTACTGTCTAGAGCAGCTGTACCCAACCCGTCTTTGAATCAAGGACCTTTTCTGTTTATCCATGGTGGTGGATATCATGAAAATTATGCACAGAACACCCCCCTCCAACCTTTTTTTTTTTTTTTTTTTTTTTTTTTCAGCTCATCAGCTATCGTTAGTGTATTTTGTGTGTGGCCCAAGATAATTCTTCTTCTCCCAGTGTGGCCCAGGGAATCCAAAAGGTTGGACCTGTGTGATCTAGGGGTAAAAGGTTTGAAGTGTGTCTGCAGGGTTGCATTCCTTCTGGAGGCTCCAGGGGAGAACCTGTTCCCTTGTTTTTTCCTGCTTCTAGAGGCCTCCTGCATTAATTGGCTCATGGCCTCTGTTATTCCAATGTCTGCTTCTGCTATTTCACCAGCCTTCTGTGAGTCTGATGTTCCTGCTTCCCTGTTATAATGAGCCTTGTGGTTACATTGGGCCCACATGGAAAATTCAGGATGATCTCATCTGAAGAGCCTTAACTTAAATACATCTGCAAATTCCTTTGCCATGTAAAGTAACATATCCATAAGTTTCAGAGATTAGGATGTGAACATCCCTGGGGGGTGGGGCATTGTTTAGCCTGCCATAAATGGTATCTCATAGTTTCTGGTAAATCATTTGAAGACTGTAAGCAGGTGATATGCTGATATAGGGGTTCGCAAATTTTAGTGTGCATGAGAATCAACTGGGGTGCTTATTAAATATATCAGTGATTCTGATTCCGTATCTCCAGGGTTGGTCTGAGAGCTGCAGTCTTAACAAGCAGCCAGGTGATTCTGATGCAGGTGTTTTGGCAGTCATCCTTCGGGAGACACTGTTCTGATGGCTGGGTGGAAAATGGGCTGAAGAGAGGAGAGCTTAGAGGTCACAAGACCTGGTGGTAGACTAATGCATTAGCACTTAGAGTAGGTAAAATATATTTATTGATTATTAAAAAATAACCTTTCAAAAGCCCAGGGATATTGAATACTGACAATGAAATGTGAAAAAAAAGCCCAGGGAGACAGTGTGTTTATTCATATGTGAAGATATCAGACAGATATGGTCTTAATTCTCTCAGACTTTGGGCAATTTACTTCATTACTTTAAATCTCAGTTTCCTTATCTGAAAACAGAGATTATAATAGCCACTTTGTGTGGTGATGTTGAGGCTTAAATAAGATGTATAAGAAGAACACCTGCCGGGCGTGGTGGCTCACGCCTGTAATCCTAGCAATTTGGGAGGCCAAGGCGGGTGGATCACGAGGTCAGGAGATCGAGACCATCCTGGCTAACATGGGGAAACTCCATCTCTACTAAAAACACAAAAGATTAGCCAGGCGTGGTGGCGGGCGCCTGTAGTCCCAGCTACTCGGGAGGCTGAGGCAGGAGAATAGTGTGAACGCAGGGGGTGGAGTTTGCAGTGAGTGGAGATCACGCCACTGTGCTCCAGCCTGGGCAACAGAGCAAGACTCCATCTCCAAAAAAAAAAAAAAAAGAACACTTAGAATGCCCCCTGGAAAACTGCAAGCACTCACAAAACTCACAAACAGTGGTTATTGTTTTCCTTTGTATCATCTCATATCTAAAGGACAGATGTTATTTTCTAAGAAAACTCTCAACTTAATTCTAATGTGCAGAATATCTGTGGATTACTTTTCTGTCACACACTTTCCTAAAGCTCTATAGAAAATACTACAGCAAAACTCAGGAAGAGCCTCTTTGAACACAGAGCCAGCCCACCTTGCTTCTTAAATCTATCAGGCATTCCTCAGGACACATTTCTCTTTGGTTATTCAGACCCTGTTTCCCAGCACTTTGTCAGCTTGAGGGTGATGATCCTGGCTAAAGGAAGAGGATGTAGAACAGCAGAGGCAAAGCATCAAATGCAACAGAGAATGAATGAGCAGCCCTTAGGAGAGAAGTCTTGTCAGAACACACATATGAAAATAATTGGAAATCCCATCTTCTAAAATATGAGAAGCAAGAACATTTGATAAAACAGGACTGTGAGTTCAGAAACTTCTCTACTTACAAACAACAGAGAATTTTAGGAACTTTCAGAGAAATAAGAACAAAATTTGTCTCATAGAAAGATGTCCCAGCTTTGCCAGTCAGATGACTATAGCAGACTCAGGAAGGCATTTACAAAAATGAGGAGTAGGGTCTTTTTGTGTTTACAAATAAATGGGTTTAGGAATAGCCTTTTAGCACGAACCTGTCATCAGGTAAAAGGACTTCTGTTTGGTGATTTAAATGGATTCCCTATGTTATTAGTAAAGTAATGGAAAATTGTCCTTAAGAGAATTTCTGTATAATGAGGTAAACATATTTGTCTGCTGCAGAAGGTGGTTTGGGGCTCCAATTATGCTGGGGAGGTGGGAGGTGATAGTAGCAGAGCACAGCTACTGGCAGTAGGTGGTACCAGCCCTGCAGTCACCCTGCAAATCATGAATACTGGGCATCAGAGAGTGTGGAATGGGTAAGAATAGGAAAGTGTGCTCAAAACCTTACAGGTGTGTTTGCTTAGACTAGGCTAACATTGGCAGCCCAGTTGGTAGAACACTATGTGTTAGAAAAGAAAAGACATCACCTACACAAAATTCCAAGGGGAATATTTAACCTACTTAAAATAAGAAACTGCTTTTAGGTATGAAACATCCATTTACATTAAAAGAATTGTTGTATACTGCTTATGAATAACCATGCTTAACTATTCTTTAAAGTACGTCCTTTAGGGACTATACCTGTCCAATTTTTGTGAATCCAGTTTACTAGAATGTATTTTGAACCATATCAAAACTGTACTTTGGGGAATAGATTTTACAGTTCAATTTGAAATAATGTGGTTGTGTATTAGTCCATTCTCATGCTGCTAATAAAGACATACCAGAGACTGGGTAATTTATAAAGGAAAGAGAGGTTTAATGGACTCACAGTTCCACATGGCTGGAGAGGCCTCACAATGATGGCAGAAGGCAAAGGAGGCGCAAAGGCACCTCTTACATGGTGGCAGGCAAGAGAACATATGCAGGGCAATTGCCCTTTATAAAACCATCAGATCTTGTGAGACTTATTCACTATCATGAGAACAGCACAGGAAAAACCCACCCCCATGATTCAATTACCTCCCACCAGGTCCTCCCACAACACATGGGGATTATGGGAGCTACAATTCAAGATGAGATTTGGTTGGGGACACAGCCAAACCATGTTAGGTTGTATTGAATGAACCGATTTTACAGATGAAGAAATTAAGGAACAGATAAATTAACATGCTCAAGATCCTATTCTGAGACTAGTAGCATCCTTCTAAACATGGAAAGCAGTTGGGTGCAGTGGCTCATGCCTATAATTCCAGCATTTTGGAAGGCCGAGGTGGGCAGATCACTCGAGGTCAGGAATTCGAAACCAGCCTGGCCAACATGGTGAAACCCCATCTCTACTAAAAATACAAAAATTTGCCTGGCATGGTGGTGGGCACCTGTGATCCCAGCTACTTGGGAGGCTGAGGCGGGAGAATTGCTTGAGTTGGGGAGGCGGAGGTTGCAGTGAGCAGAGATCCTGCCATTGCACTCCAGTCTGGGCAACAGAGTGAGACTCTGTTTCAACATAAATAAATAAATAAATAAAAAATGAAACATTTGACATTCGGTATGTCACATGTTTGGAGCCAATCCAAACAACATGTGACATTTGGTATGTCAGAACTTCAGTAGTGAGCAACCATGAATTAACATCCGGAAACTACAGCAGAAAAGCAGCTGTATCTATGTAATTAAGCAGCAAACATTATTCAAAGACTTTAAGACACCTTTGTGGTACTGAATTTACACAAGAAATCCAGAAAGAGAGCCTTCAGTGAAATGTATCCTCAGTGACAGGAGGTTATGTTTCAATTTAACAAATTTGACCAACTGACTTATCAAAATTTCTGTTTCTGATGAGTGGATTATCTCAGCTTCTAACTCTGCTCTACTGGTGATGTGGCTTTTGACATTTCTCTGTTCATTTGTATCTAACCACAGGGTGGAGGAGCAAGATAAGGTGGAGATCATCTTTGGCTATGGATTAAATCTCTATAGGAAGCTCTTAGTGGGACTGGTGGAGGGAAGTTAAAATGAGGTTTAGGTGTCATTTCTTGTTTTGTCTCCCTGCTCCAACCCCCAGTGTGTCGAGTGTTCGTGAGTTGGCCTTGAGGAGCCTCTAAATGTATCTGAGATGCTCTGAAATGCAAGTCACACAAGATAAAACATCGCTCCTCTGCTTAAAACCATGTTCCGCTGGAACACCGAATTCACATTGTGAAGGAAAAATATAATACATTAAACAGATGTAGTAATATTGTTTTATTTTGGCAAAATTTCTTGTGTTATGTGTGTATATATGAGAACACTTATATTCTCTAAATTTACTTTGTTAGTGATTTATGAGAATAAATGGAGAGGTGATCCATACATTCTCTGTGTGGATAAGTAGACTTGAAGACTTCAATTTTGACCATCATTGCTCAACGCTACTTTTCTCCCTAATTAGCATTAGTGTGTGAGTTAAGAGTTAAATAATGATATTTTTGCTTATAGAATTAGGTGATAAACACTGATCTTGACTTTCATAAAGGCTTCCCTGTTTGTATCATTACAAGTGGATGGATGATGACAAAGTTGGTTAATGGTTTACGTTGTCTTACAGTACTATTTTGAGAGGTTTGATTAAAAAAAAACTTATTCCTGATTGCCTGAAATGCCTGGAAAATAGCCCTTTTTCATTTCTTTCCTACTTTCTCTCCTTCCTTCCTTCCTTCCTTCCTTCCTTCCCTCCCTCCTTCCTTCCTTCCCTCCCTCCCTCCCTCCTTCCTTCCTTCCTTCCCTCCTTCTTTCCTTCCCTCCTTTCTTCCAGACACATTTTCTAAGCACCTACTAAATACTAGGCATATGCACTATGTACTGGTAATGCAGTAATAAATAAAATGAATATGATTTATACCATCCTGGCACTTTCAGAAACCAATTATATTAAGTATGTAAGTAATTAGTGAAATGGAATTATGATACATGTTATTAGAAGAGTTTGGGGTGCTGGGGGAATACACTGGGAACCTCCTATGTAGTCATGGGGAGTCCTGAGGAAGTAACATTTAAACTGAGCTTTAAAGAGAAGGAAGACAGAAAAAGGGCTGAGAATTTGGTGGTTAACAGGATGTGTGTGAGGAAGAGGATGGGGATGAAGAAAGGCATATGCAGAGCCTGTGGCAGAAGGACTGGTATATCCAAGAAGTAGAAACAGAGAACAGGGGGAGCAGAGCAGTTGTTGGAGTGGGGTAGTAAAGATGGCAGATCACATCAGCTGTCTTTGCTGGGGTCCTATGGAGAGTTAATGCACTGTCTCAAGAGCAATGGGGAGTCACAAATGTTTTACAGAGAAGAGTGACAGGACCAGATTGGTATGTTTCAAAGATGGACTTGGTGCAGTGTGAAGAGTGAGTTGGAGAAAGGCCAGGATTAAATCTGTGGGAGCAGAAAGGAGGTTATTTAGTTGGCTAGTATGAGTGTGATAGTAAATTTTATGTGTCAACCTGACTGGGATATGGGGTACCTAGATATCTTGTTAAACATTATTTCTGGGTGTCCTGTAAGAGTGTTTCTAGAGGAGATTACCATTTGAATTGCCAGACTGGGTAAAGCAGATGGCCAATTTGTGTGAGCATCTTCTAATCTGTTCAGGAAGAAGGGTGAATCCACTCTCCGCCTGACTACTTGAGCTCAAATATTGACCTGTCCTCAGTCATCCTAGCTCTTGGGTCTTCAAACTCAGACTAGAATCTATACCATTTGCTCTCTGGCTCTCAGGCCTTCAAACTACACTACTGGCTTTCCTGGGTGTCTAGGTCATAGTCAGCCAATCTTGGGACTTCTCAGCCTCCATAACTGCATGAGCTCATTCCTTTTAATAAATCTAATTATTTATATTCTTGGAATATATGTATCTCCTATTGGTTCTGTTTTTCTGGAGAACCCTGACTAATATAGTGTAAGATAACATAGGCAAAGAGGGGTGAGATGAAGGTAGGAAAAAGGTAGATAAATATATACAAAATTCAACTGGACCCTGTGATTAATTGGAAGGTTGGGTGAGTGGTCAGGCCAACTACCAGCTCTTGTAAAGTGTCTTGTCCTTGGATCCAAATGGTTGTTGCAAAAATCTGTGTCATTGTCTCACATCTTATACACATAGCTCTTTGTGGAGTACAAACAGTCCCCAACTTACTGTGGGTCTGATGGATTTATTGAAGTATTAAATGCATTTTTGATTTAAGATAATTTAACTTACTATAGGTTCATTGGGATGTAACTCCGTCATAAGCTGAGCATCTGTTTAAGGAGCATCTACATAAGGAATGGGATGGCTTAGAGTTCTCTGGACAATTTCCTGTCCTGGCTGTCTTCCTTACTTACTTTGGCACTTAGGAGAGAGATGTCATCTTTTGCTTCCTCACCTGGGATTTGAAGCCATCACTGGTCAGCTTCCTTGGCATTGAATAACCAGTCTCCCGACAGATTCACCTTCCTTCTTCCCTACCCTGCTTTCCCTCCCCCAGAGTCCTGTTCTTTAGTCCAGGAGATGTCTGCACCCCTCTTCCTCAATTTGGTCCATTTAAGTTGTGGATCTCCCAGATGTCACTTCCAAGTGCTCACGTGAGTCTTTGCTTCGGGTCAGGCCTTTAGATTTTTCTCCTGCCTGTTCTCTATGTTCTCTCCTCAGCGAACACACTTGCATCCAAAAGAGTGTATGCATGCATCTCACTGTGGGCAACAGTCATTCTCTGGTGAGCTGTGTGGAAAATACTGGATAAAATTATTTTAGAAATATATATTTTTGAGGAATCATTGTAAGAAATCATTTTGGAAAAAGTCTTTCTGACCTAATTGCCTGGTTACCCATCCTTCTCTTCTTTGTTGTCCATGTCTTACTGTGGCTGTGTGGAGGGATCATTCATGATCTGTGTCCTCGAGGAGCAGGGTGGAGAGTGGCTTTGGTAGAGCAGCCCTCCCATGTCCCGCACCTCTGGTGTTGGCGGGCCTGGGCCAGCATTGGAGGCATTGGGGCAGGTACTGCCCCTAGTAGGGTTTGGTGGCATAGTTGCCAGCTTTGGGGCTGGCAGAGAAAGGAGATGACCACAGAATGAAGGAG
The DNA here is from genome assembly GCF_000001405.40 of Homo sapiens. NCBI lineage: Eukaryota > Metazoa > Chordata > Mammalia > Primates > Hominidae > Homo > Homo sapiens. Next base: position 95,422,082 of record NC_000001.11, read on the forward strand.
GAGGAAAATAGTGGATTTCAGACCCCAGGACACATGGGAGACACATGCAGGGGAATTTCAGTGCCACCTGGGGGGAATTTGAGGGGTAACAATGAGTGGATGCGGGGCTGTTTCAGACAGATACTCTTTGCGGGCTGATTCTGCTCTATATTAATGTCAGGCTGATGAGTTCAGGAAACATGGTTTGCTGAAGACAAATTTACAGTGGAGGAATGATAAGAGAAGAGGCTAAAAGCATGAGCTGAGGCTAGATCATGCTCTAAAGCCTTGAATGCTTTAAGGGCAGTGGTTCTCAAACTGGGGATTCTGCATTGTTAAAATGCAGATTTTGACATGGAAGGGCTGGAATGGGGCCTGAGATTCTGCATGTCTGGAAAGCTGCCCCATGATGCCAGGGCTGCTGGGCCTTGGGCCTCACTTTGAGTAGCAAGGCCCACTAAGTTAAAGACTATAAAGCATGTTTAGTGAGACTTGTTGTGAACCTTTTATCAGAAGCACGAGATACAATATACACTTTAAGATCCAAGAGAATGTTTCTCAATGTGTGGTTCTGCGGGATATCAAAAAACGTTTAGCTTTGGAGTCAGTCTCCCTGGTTTGAACCTTGACTCTACATTCAGTAGGTGTGTAACCTTCAGGAGTTATCTAACCATGCATGTCCTCAGTTTTGTAGTCTGTAATATGGCAATAATCATGGTACCTACCTTATAGGGGTTGCTCACTGCAATTATCCAGTTTGAAGAATGTGGATTAAATAAATTAAGCTGATATCTTTACTTCAGGACGTCTCAGGACCTTTACTTTGCTAAAGTGATGCTCCAAAGAGGATGTAAGGTAAGTGGCATTTCCCACTCTTATTTTCCTGGAATGTTTGGTAGGTCTATTATTTTTTGCACCTCCTCTTTTAGGATTGATCTGGTGGCCGAGAAGAAGATGGTTGGTTTAAGAAGAGACTATAGGCTGAAGAGATTCTTCAGGACATAGGTGTGGAAGAAAGGAGTGTGGCAGAATGTCCAGATGTTGAGTCACTGAGGCAGTGGTGTAGGGTGGAGAGGAAGGAGTGGTCATAAGAAACTCTCTGAGGCTGGATCAGGCAGGAGACTCATTAGATGTGAGGGTTAGAAAGAAGGGGGAGTCTTGTAAGATTCTTTCCCCCCTAGAGAGAAACAGAAGGCCAGGGGAGAGCGCCATGTGTTTAATTTTCCATTCTGATTGAAATTCTGCTGTGTGTTGCCCACAAACTAACAGCATGCCTCTTGAGTCTCTAGGGCATTTTACAGTAAAGCCACATATTTTCTGAAGTTAGGTCAAGACTGAGCATATGAAATTCCTCAAGTGTGAAATTCCACTTAACCCCATTAATGCTTATAACCCTGAGTAGGTATTGTTTATAATTCACTCCTGGTTACCAGTGGGTATTTGCATTTGCCAAATCTTTTCAATCCTATCTCAAACTAAGTTTATTTTAGGGAAAAAAATTTGCCTTCCTGTCAAAAAGCTGAGAAGAACCAATCTCCCCCTCCCATTCCTATGGTTTGCACATTTGGCTGTAGCTCTGGGGTGTGTGTGTGTGTGTGTGTGTGTGTGTGTGTGTGTGATGTTATTCTGAATTTCATAGTACTTATGATAGTAAAACCTTACGTTTATAAGGGCCTTTACAGTTTACCAAAGGTTTGGAAATGGATATTACTCAGCATACCTATTTTTTTTTCCTTATATGTGGCAAAGAAAGTGGGGATGGTATACAGGTTTATATGTAATCTGTAGATACTTTTCTTCCCCTGGGAAATTTCTACAGCTCTTATACAGAGATTTCATACATGGTTGATGCTGAAAATATTAAAGTGATTATTTGAATTATAAGGATAAATCCATTTATGTGTAAGTACAGTTACTGAACCATGCTTGCAATGTAAGGAGCCTAGTTGAGATGCAGCTGGAATAATTTTATCCCCCTCATTCCTGCTCCCAAATTTAATTACATACTATAGCTTTATTTAAACACACACACACACACACACACACGTTACATGATTCAACATTTGCTTTAGGTTTAATTTCTTTTAACGGCCCTTTGACTTTCTCTAAAGTAAATTCTTTAGTTAATATCTTAGAGTCATTTTGACCAAAGTCTAAGATACAAATCTTTTGGGGCAGCAGTTCAAGTATAATCTAGGACGAATATGAACCACTTTAATTTCTGCAGATGGGGCCCTCTGTTTCTGGCCACTACCTAGATTGTAATTAGTGAAGGTCTCTCATCACACTTTACAATGCCGATTGGTTTAGAAATCAGGCTTTCAGATTATGTACAACCATTATCCACAAAAGCTGCCACTCATGGAACATTTATTTTGTGCCAATGACTTTACAAACATTAATACGTTTAATCCTCCCAGCTATTCTGTGAGGCCAGGATTTCGACACCATTTTCAGAAAAGAAGCAGCAGAGGAAGAATCCTGATCTCCTGGCCCCAGAGCCTGTGTCTCCACTGGCTGACAGGTGTCAGCTATGGGGCTGAAAAATGTTGATTGAGAGTTTTATTCAGAGAGTTTAGGCTACCTAGGAACTTGGAACTATGACAAAGCATTTGTATTAATCCATTTTGCATTGCTATGTAGGAATACCTGAGGCTAGGTAATTTATAAAGAAAAGAGGTTTATTTTGGCTCATGGTTTTACAGGCTCTGAAAGAAGCATGGTGCCGATATCTGCTTCTGCTGAGGCCTCAGGAAGCTTCCAGTCATGGCAGAAGGTGAAGGGGGAGTAGGTATTTCACATGACAAGAGAGGGAGCAAGAGAGAGAGGGGAGGAGGTGTGAAGCTCTTTTTTTACATGACCAGCTCTCTAGTGAACTAATAGAGCAAGAACTCATTTCTGGGGGAAGGACATCAAGCCATTCATGAGGGATCTACCCCCAAACATCTCCCACTAGGCCCCATCTCCAATACTGATGATCACGTTTCACATAAGATTTGAAGAGGGCCGGGTGCAGTGGCTCACCTGTAATCCCAGCACTTTGGGAGGCCAAGTCGGGTGGATCACTTGAGGTCAGAGTTCGTGACCAGCTTAGCCAACATGGTGAAACCACATGTCTACTAGAAATACAAAAATTTGCCGAGTGTGGTGGTGCATGCTTGTAATCCCAGTTACTCGGGAGGCTGAGGCACAAGAATTGCTTGAATCTGGGAGGCGGAGGTTGCGGTGAGCCAAGATCACACCACTGCACTCCAGCCTGGGCAACAAAGTGAGACCATCTCAAAAACAAAAACAAAAACAAAAACAACTTTTTTTGAAGGGGACAAATATCCAAACTATATCAGCATCAAATTTAACTTTCGCTTATTGCAGAACCTCTTCTTTTTGTCTTACAAAAAAGGAACAAAAATAGGTCATGAAAAAAAAAACAAGTGATGAATGATGATAATTTAATCTTTTAGTTTGAATGGGGAAATTGGCTGGAGCTTTAGAGCTATAAACCTATTAGATGAATATTCAAATATAACAGGCTGGATGTAGAATGGAAGGAAATCGTGTCAGTCAGCCAAGACCCGATCCTGTCTTCTGAGAGTGTGGGTTTCCAGTGTTTACAGCTTTCCTTCTCAGAAGCAGCACACTCTACCTCACCCTGAGGTCTCCTCACTCGAGATTGGAGCCAATACCAGTTGTCTTATAGCATGGCCAAACATCCTCGTGTGCCTGGCACTGTCCCAGTTCAGTGCTGAAAGTTCTGCATTCCTCAGTCCCAGGAAAACTGGGGTGGTTGGTGACCCTCTTGTCCTAAAGAGGGGACCAACTCTGGTGCAGAGAGTGGACTACAGATCTCCGTGGGACCTGAAGCTGGTCTCCAAATGAGGCATGTCCTGGCTCGGCTTCCTTCCCTGGCCCCTGAGAGCACTCCCTCCATACATCACTTTCACAAGACTGTTTCGGAGTCTGCTTCTAAGATAGGGTCTTAAGACCTAAGACAGGGTCCAACCAGGAAAACAGAAACACTGAAAATTTAAACTAGTAGGATTTTAAAGCAGGGATCTAGTTACACAGATGATAGAAAAAACTGAGACATCAATTAGGGGACAGTGAGGCAACCCAGAGATTAGTGACAACAGGAAGCTACTGCCATCCAAAACTGGGGGACAAAGGACAGGAGCCTAGGGCTGGGCTTAGCTAGAGGAGGTTAAAACAACATGGACTGTTGGATGGGAGCAGAAACATGGAAAAGACACAGCAGAGTTGAAGCAGAAAGGGAGGAAAGAAAACACCTTGGTTTTTCCCTTCCCCTGAAGTGCCACTACCAGTCTCTTGCAGAAGCCAGCTATCAAAGATTGGGCAAAGTGTCCTGGCTGTCCCAGCCCTCTGGCGATGCAGTGCAGAGCAGGGGCAGGGTAAGGAATGGATCTTAGAGTGTGCAGGACCAGCACAGTCCCTGTCGCTGTTTTCTCAGTAGTGAACCCAGAATTCTGTCTCTGAGTCAGCACCCAATTCTTTTACTAAAATCTGTTTATTATTTTTTGCTTAAATAAGCTATTGTTTGTTTATAGATCACTTGTTTCCATGCTGGTGATTTGGAGTTTCTTTTTCACAGGCTCATGTGGCTGATTGTCTTGCTTAGTGTGTATTTCTTCTACTCTGAAAGACTGCAACTCCTTTAAGACAGAAATGGTGTCTTCCAACGCTTTGTGACAGCCTTAATGCATTGCACATAGTACATGCCCAATAATGGGTTCTTGATATTAGAATAACAAACTCAATTTTTAGCAGTCAGGGCATTTCTCTGTTAAGTCCCTGTCTTTAAGGAAACACTTAAAAAATATTGCATCATTTTGCACCCATAGAATGCACTCTTCTACAGGAAGTTCCATTTCTCCCCTTGCACATGATCATGGAATCCGTGGCATTTTTCCATCTCCATTTAGCATGTAAAACCAGTAACATCCTTATTTGAATTCTTCTCTACTGATGCTCAAGTGTGAAGTGAAAAATAGAAGTATGCCTCCAGATATTTTCAAACCTGGCTCAGCTTTATAATCAATGTAATTACAACACATTTAGTGTTAGAGAGTATTTCTGACTTGCAGAGTGTAATGTTAAATCTCAGTGTGTATGTGATTGTGTGTTGCGTCTGTATATTTGTGAATGTGCTATTATGGTGAGGTTCCTTTTGTGCTCCAAAGTTGGGCAGGGTAATTCTTCACTCTGGACAAAAAAGTATCTGCAGAATTAGAGACAGTGTGGTAGAGTAACTCTGTGGCTGGGAATCAGACATACTTATATCCAAATCCAGATGCTGACTCTACAGGGCTTCATGACCTTGGGAAAGTTGTTTAACTTTTTGAAACCTGTTGGCTAATATGTAAAATGGGACTATACATAGCGTTCAGATTTGTTGTGAGTATTTATATGTATATATATGCAGAGTGTCAGGCTGATAGTAAATACTTGATAAACATTTGTTATGATTGTTCTTGGGTTATGGTGGTTTGGCTGAATTATGTATTTACAAGCCTAATTTTGAAGTATTTTATGTAGATAACTTTAACAAACATACACCACTTTTCCTGCCTTATACTTGGACAGGGCTTTATTTTTCCCAGCAGTCTCTAACTGAGTTACCTCATCTGATGTTTACAGCTACTCTGGAAGGTCATCAGGAAAGCATTTGAACTCACCTTGGCCAAGGCTGTGTAGTTGGGTTTGAGGTCCATGTCTGCTTTTTCTCACTGGTGTTGTTTCATAATGTAAGGGGTTTGCCTGAAAGGGGGTATTTCCTTTTCATCTGAAGACTGAGTATGGCAATTTCTCAGGTGTTTTTTTTCAGAACCATCTGAACCAAAATTAATCCACACTATTCCCCTGAAAGGAACAAAGGGGAGAAAAGACATGCTCTCTTGTTCGTAAGAATTGCCAGAGCTTTTTTTTTTTTTAATTAAGTGAGGATAGATACCTTCACTCATCTATCCACTTTTTAATTTCCTATGTTCAATTTGATTAAGATGTGTTTCTTGAAGATATGTGCTATCTGCTTCTTGTCGTATAAAAAGTTTAATATCTTTCCCCTTTTATTGGACTAGTAAAGGCATTTGACATTAAAAATAATAGCTTTGAATTTTCCTGTTGCTGTCTGCATTCAGTAGGGAGAATATTAAGAATAGATGGGAAAATTCATTTAGTTCTTTCTCTGAAGGGTCCTTTCAAAGCATTATACTTAACATGATCTACTCTGTAATCCACAGATGCATAGAATAAATAAAATAGAATGATAATGTTAGTTCCTTAGTGTCTAATCCAGGAAATGAATGTCTGTTAAAGAAATATGGCTACTAATATTTTTAAAAGTCACTAAAACTTTCTTCTTCCTTTGTTTAGCTGAACTTATTTCTTCCCAGTGTTTAGCTGAGAGAACATGTGAATTTATGCTCAAGGAAGGGCAACTACAAAGGACCTTAAGAAAACAATATTCTGTTTTGTTATTAAAAGCTGCCAAGTTGATACAACCTCTAAATTGTGTCCTATGCTCCAGCCCAAGTCTGTTTTGGGACAAAAAGTTGAATTTGGACAGAGCTTCTCACATCGTGATAGAGGTGGAAGGAAGAAGAATAAGCAAACAGGCTGAGGGTCCTGCACTGAAGTATATCAGTGTCCTGATGAGACTTCCAGTCATGCCAGAGTCACATGAATTGAGGACTCTCAGGCTGAACCCCTTTCTGGGGTGGGCTTTCAAACAGGAAGAGTTGTCCTGTAGATCTGCATGTTGAACGTTTTTCTCAGTTCTCCCTTTATTGGCTCTGTAATAGCTTAATAGTTCTAAAGAATGGGGGCTCTGAATAGAATCACACCCCCAAGTTTACATCTTGATTATCCAGTACTAACTCTACGTGGCAAGCTAGTACCTTTTCATGCGTCCGTTTTTGTGGTAGCCAGCTTCCAAGATAGACCCAGTGACCCCCACCTTCTTATGTTGATGCCCTTATGTAATCATCTCCCACGTTTACCAGTTAGTCTGTGTGATCAATAAAATATGCAGAAATGATGATGTGTCACTTCTGAGATCAGGTTATAAAAGACTGAGACTTCCACCTTGGTACCTCTGTCACTTTTAGGTCACTTATTCTGGTGGAAGCCAGTAGCTGTGCTGTGAGCCCTCCCGAGAGACCCATGTGGCAAAGATCTGAGGTCTCTTGCTAAAAGCCACATGAGTGAACTTGGGAGCAGATCTTCCAGGCCCATCAAACCTTCATAGGACTGTGTCTCTAGCCAACATCTTGACTGCAGCCTCATGAGACACTGGGACCGAATTACTTGGCTATGTTTCTCCTGGATTTCTGACCCTCGAAAATTGTGAGGTGGCACATTTGTTGTTTTAAGCTGCTAGATTTTGGGATTAATTTGTTAAATAGCAATAGAGAACAAATATGGCTTTCTCTTGACAAAATGGGGTTAACAATAATAGTATTAGTACTGCTATGTTTTAAACATTTGTGTCTCCTCAAAATTCATGTTGAAATTCTAACCTCCAAGATGATGGATTAGAAGGTGAGGCCTTTGGGTGGAGTCCTAATGAATGTCATTAATGTCCTTATGAAAGATACTGGGGAGCTGTGGAGTTCCTTTCCCTATGTGAGGACACAGCAAAAAGTCAGCAGTGTGCAAGCCAGGAGAGGGCTGTCACCAGAATCTGAATGTGCTGGACCCCGATCTTGGACTTTCCAGCCTTCAGAACCATGAGAAATAAATTTCTGTTGCTTAAAAGCTACTCAGTTTAATGTATTTTGTTATAGCAGCCTACATAGACTAAAACAAATATCCATGTAGGTACTGAGATAGCATATGTAAATGGTACAGAGTTAAATGTTCGATAAGCAGTGGCTACTATTGTTTTATTACTCTTAAGTTGATTCTTCTCTCAGATCGAAACATAGCTTACATAAATGGGTGGGACTGGGACTTTTGCCACTGTCAATGTGTGGACATGCTTGGGTGTCTACATCTCCATTTAGTGAACACCTTCCTTTGTCTTTTTTTTGCCAGTCCTGTCCTGTCTCACCACTGGTTCTGGTAGAGGGACGAGATTCAGCTGACTTATCAAATTGTGGCTGTTAAGCCCTTGACTTGGTGTCCTAGACATTGGATCAAATCAGTCTGGCTACTAAACCCTGAGAATGCTTTGGAATTGAGCTTTTGCAACTAATTTTTCTTTGTCGGGGATTTTTTTTTTTCCTTTTAAAGAGAAGATAGAATGTGGGTCAGGCAGTGGAAGGAGTAAGAATCTTGGATGGAGTCAAGGGAGTAAACATAAATTTGTTTCTTAGTAAGAAAGGAAGAGAGATCTTTGCTTCTTCCAGATTTTATTTTAATTCACTATCGTGTGAGCTATCAATATACATTTGAAGCACAGTGGTTATGTAATGTGGACTGTTTTTTTCTCTTGGAGAAGGGAAATACAGCTATTCTCAAATATTTAACAGAGAGGCACTCTTGTTCTTTTGGAAAATTCTTCTTGGGTCTACCTTATAGCTCCAGGAATTGTAGGAGAGGAAAGTGATGCCTACATAGTTGGCCAGTGTGAGAGAGTCAGCCTTGGCAATCTGTGGGAGAAACATGTCATGTGTGGATGTCATGAATTGTTCTCCCAGGCTGGTGTCTTTGTTCACAGCTGTGTATGTTATGGCTAGCATCAATACCTTTTGATACATGTGTTATTTCCCTCCATAGTTAAAGGCTTTGGTCAACAATAGTCTTTTCTGAGAAGAGCACAGAGGGTAAACAAAATCACTTCTTTCACAGTGGGATAAACTGAAGCACTGAACAATTATGTTATTCACCTCAGGACAGTCAAAACTAAAAGCCAGGTACTTAATTTTCACACTAACCTACACGTTGATACTGCTTCATCATTATCAGTGTTATTATTTTAGAATCAATGCAACAGGCACGTGACAAATATCATAGATTATGGAAACAGTAGATCTTTTTTTTTGTAAAAGTGGTACCATTTTAAATTTATTTATTGCTCTTAAGTATACTAGATAAATCACTTAGGTGTCTATAAATCTCATAGTTCCCTTTAGTCTCCAAGTTTTGGATAACAAAGGTGCTTTGGAATATTCCATAGGTGAACAAATGCATCAGATTTATGGAGGATTTACCTAGAGGGAGAAATGAAAAGCAGTGACCCAAGGAAGACAGGGTGGTTCTCTAACCTGTACTTGGAGTTGTTGGTGGTCTTAGGGCTCGATTGCTTGTTGTTAGAACAGTCTGGGTTGTGTTTTAGTACAGCCTGAAGGTTCCTATTTTCTTTTCTCTTTCTCTGACTCACTGCCTAGTCATTAGCAGAAAGATATTTTGCGCTGGGGCCTAGGGCAAACAGGGATGAGGGGTATGAACCTTTCATTTACATTAAGCAGAGTAAAGTAAATTTAATCACTCCTAAATCATGCTGTGCTATAGCATATTGATTTGCTGACTGTCAGTTGAATGTTACCTCAGAAACAGTGTCCAGCTTCTTGTTCCAGTTCTAGCAGTAAATTTCCAGGTTATTTTAATTAACACACTTTTACATTTAATGCAGCGGGCTACACTTTTCAAGGCACATTTGCACATATTGCCTTATGGAATCCCACATAACATCTCTGTCCACATTACTGTGTACACACCGTAGGGTATTCTGAAAACTCCTCTGTCACCGTAATGATGCATTAAATTAATCTCTTGTTCAGGGATTTTGACATGAAATGACCTGGGAAACAGGCTTGCACTCTTGAATAAGTCACTAAGACTTCCCTCAAGTGGTTCCTAGAAAGGGCGGCTTTCAGGCAATTCTATCATACATAATAATTAGCAACTTCTAAAAATAACTGATGGAGGAAGGCATCACTATAAAGATATTTGGGAGGCCGAGGTGGGTGGATAGCATGAGGTCAGGAGTTCAAGACCAGCCTGGCCAACATGGAGAAACCCTGTCTCTACTAAAAGTACAAAAACTAGCTGGGCATGGTGGTGCATGCCTGTAATCGCAGCTACTCAGTGGGTTGAGGCAGGAGAATCACTTGAACCTGGGAGGCAGAGGTTGCAGTGAGCTGAGATTGTGCCACTGCACTCCAGCCTGGTGACAGTGAGACTCTGTCTAAAAAAAAAAAGGTGAGGCGGGTGGATCATGAGGTCAAGAGATGGAGATCATCCTGGCCAACATGATGAAACTCCATCTCTACTAAAAAAACAAAAATTAGCTGGGCGTGGCGGAGTGTGCCTAGTCCCAGCTACTTGGGAGGCTGAGGAGAATTGCTTGAACTTGGGAGGCAGAGGTTTCAGTGAGCCGAGATCACGCCACTGCACTCCAGCCTGGGTGACAGAGCGAGATTCTGTCTCAAAAAAGAAAAAAAAAAGTAAAGTCATTCTTCCCTCCAATTGGAGAAATAATACTGGAGTTTAGAGAAAAGGAGGAATAGTAAGTCTCAACAGTAAGGTTTTAGTTGTTCCATTGTTTTCAGCCCCAGCACCTATGTTCTCTTTCTGGTTTTGAAAAGGAAAAGGACTTTAAAACCAGAGAGGCCTGAGTTGAAATCTTGGTTTGTACTGTGACTACCCAGGTACAGTAAATGAGTGGCACAGGCTGAAGGAAAAGTGCTGGCCAGTGAGAGCCCACTGCCGTTCTCTGGGAGAGAATCTAGGCATTAAAAGCTTGGTTCAAAGAGTATTAGTTTTTTTAACAGTGTGTAGGCCATATGAAACAGGTCTGTGGGCAAATCTAGCCCACAGGGCTTTAGTTGGATACTTCTATCCCTTACTTTTGTGTAACTTGATACAATTTGGGTCTCATTTTTTTTGACATTTCCTTCTGGAACCTATAATTGATTCTATTCAGAGGCATTCTCTTCTGAACCTTAAGAATGGTGTTTTCTTTGACCTATAGTATATTTTCCTTAAGTAAATCAATCACGGATGTGTGAATTTTCCTGTTCTCTACTTGTTCTCTGCTTAAGTGATTGCTGAACCCCCTTCTATGATTTTAACTTTCTCTTAAATTCTAGCATGTACTTGGTTATCAGTTGTAGCTTTCTTTTCTTCCCTTCCTTCTTTTCTCTCCCACTTAAAAAAGTTGAGGACTGCAACACATGTACAGAAAAGTGCTCAATAAATGGTCACAAAGTGAACAACTGCGATACTTCCACATCAAGAAATACAGCATTGCCCCAATCCTAGCAGTCTCATCTCTGCCCCCTTCCAATCACTACCCTCTCCCTGCTCCCTAGAGGAGCAGGGCACTATTCTCACGTCTAACAGAATGGCAGTTTTGCTTGTTTTTGAGCTAGATGGAATCATACAATATACATTCTCTTGTATCTGGTTTCTTTTGCTTAATATTATGTTTGAGAGATTCATCCATTTTGCATGTAGCTGTGATTTGCTCATTTAATTGTGATAAAGATATGCTATTTACTATAGAGCCACTAACCCCAGGAGGCTATTGAGCCCTGGAAATGTGACTAGTCTGAAATAAGATGTGCTATAAGTGTAAAGTACATACTGGAGTTCAAATATTTAGTACAAAAAAGAATGTAAAATATTTCATTAATAATTTTTAATATGGTTTATATGTTGAAATTATATTTTGGATGGATTAGGTTAAATAAAATATATTATTAAAACTAATCTTACTTGTTTATTTCTTATTTTTAATGTGCCTACTACAAAATTTAAAATTACATATGTAATTCACCTTATATTTTTATTGGACACTGCTATTATACAGTATTCCATGTTTAGCCATCCTACCGCTAATGTATATATTTTTGACTATTACTAATAATGCTGCCATAAACATTCTTCTACATGTATCTTGATGTACATGTATACATTTCTGTATGGAAGATGATTTATTAGATCTTTGTGCATTTTTTAACTTTGGTGGATAATGACAAAATATTTTCCAAGATGGTTGTACAAAAACTATCCATATATGAACACCCTTGAATTTTGACATCTTCTCGATCCTTGCCTTTTCCTGTATTTTAAATTTTAGCCATTCTGATGTGTGTTGGTATCTCATTGTGGATTTAATTTGCAGGAGGATCGCTTGAGGCATGGAGTTAGGAGTTTGAGACCAGCCTGGGCAACATAGCCAGACCCTGTCTCTACAAGAATAAATAAATAAATAAATACAAAAATTAGCTGGGCATAGTGGCACGTGCCTGTGGTCCTAGCTATTTAGGAAGCTGAGGTGGGAGGATCACTTGAGCCAGGGAGTTTGAGGCTGCAGTGAGCTGTCATTGCACCACTTCACGCCAGCCTAGGTAACAGAGCATGACCCTATCTCTAAATAAATAAATAAATAAATAAGATACATAAAAATAATAATTCTGGAAGAGTAAGTACTCTTACCTTTTTTCTCCTCTTCTTCTACAGTGTCCTTGCTATTCTTGATCCATTGCATTTCCATATAAAAGTTGGAGTTCTCTCGTCAATTTCCACACAATGTATCTTTCTGGATTTTGATTGGGTTTGCATTACATCTATATATGAATTTGAGGGGAATTGTCTTCACAATGTTGAGTTTTCAATTTTTCCATGATTATGATAAATGGTTCCATTTGTTTAGGTTTTCTTATGTTTTTCTAAGTAATATTTTATAGTTTCTATGCAGAAGTCTTACAGATCTTTGGTTAGTTATTCATATTTGTCATATTTTGATGGTATTATAGTAACATCTTTGTAATATGTCATTTTCAAACTCTTAGTGGCTAATATAAATCAGTCATATTTAAACATTAAGCTTTATCCAGATATCTTGGTCAATTCATTTATTATTTCTAATAATTTACCTATACATTCTTTTTTCAACACCAACAATCATGTCATCTGCAACACAATAAATTTTATTTTTTTCTTTCCAATCCTAATATCTTTTTTTTCTTGCCTTAATGTACTGGCTAGGCCCTCCAAAGCATCTCTGCTGAAATTCTCTAACTTGTCTTTTGTCTCCTGGAACATTCTAAGCATAACTAAAGTCTGTGACAGTTTACTCCATTTTCTGGAGCCCCTGTATGTCTCTTCCTCTTGGCTATTGTTCTTGGTTTGTGTTAACTCTGTCTGGTCTTCTTATGTCCCTTAGTGCATTTGAGATTGAGTAGTGAACATTGTTTAGGATAAATATAAAACAGTAGAGGTGTCATCCTTTCCCAGTGAGCATTTGCTTCATGCAGTGGCTGGGATGCCAATAATCTTGACTCCTTGCCACTCAGTTCCAGGAACAGATGATTGGAAGTTGACTGCAGTTCATGAAGGGGCCTATTCGTTTCTGATACATGTGGCAAACAGAAGAAGAGAATGATGCGTGGTATTCTAATAAGGTCGAGGCTCTTTATTTATTGTTGTTTGTTTTTATTTAAGGGTTCCGTGCATCTTACTTTTATATTCTTTTCAACATTATTTTTTTGTTTTAAGGCACAGGTCATATGTTTTTAAGTTTATTTGGTTTTTGCAATAGACTGAGTGTTTGTTTCCCCTCCAAATTCATATACTGAAACCCTTATCCCAGTGTTATTATATTTGGAGGTGGGACCTTTGGGAGATAATTAGCTATGAGGGTGGAGCCCTGAGGAAAAAGATTAGTGCCCTAATAAGAAGTGGCTAGAGAGCTAGCTAGCTTTCTTTCATGAGAGAGTACAATAGTGTCCTTTTATCTGCAGTTTCACTTTCCACAGTTTCAGTTACCTGCGGTCAATTGCCATACAAAAATATTAAATGCAACATTCCAGGAATAACTCATATCTTGTAAACTGCATTGTTCTCAGTACCGTGTGATGAACTCTTGCATGGTTCTGCTCCATCTCGCTGGGATGGAAATCATCCCTTTGTCCAGCCTATCCCCACTGCATGCCCTATCCACCCTTTAGTCACTTAGTTGCTGTCTCTGTTATCAGATTCACTGTGGAGGTATTGCAGTGCTTGTGTTGAACTTGCTTTTATTTTACTTAATAACGGCCCCAAAGCACAAGAATAGCAATGCTAGCAATTCAGAGATGCCAAAGAGAAGCTGTAAAGTGCTTCCTTTAAGTGAAAAGGTGAAAGTTCAAGCTTAATAAGCAAAGAAAAAACATGCTGAGGCTGTTAAGATCTATTGTAAGAACACATCTGTTAAACTGTGAAGAGTATATTGTTATAATTGTTCTATTTTGCGATTAGTTACTACTGTTAATCTCTTAGTATGCCAAATTTATAAGTTAAACTTTATCAAAAGTATGTATGTATAGGAAAAAAACAGCACATATAGAGTTTGGTATTATTGCGGTTTCAGGCATCCCCGGGGTTGTTGGAACATATCCCCTAAGGATAAGAGGGGACTACTGTCCACTGAAAAGTTGGCAGTGTGAAACCGGGAAGAGAGTCCTCACCAGAATCTGACCATGCTGGCACCCTGATCTTGGACTTCCAGCCTCCAGACTGTAAGAAATAAATGTCTGACGTTCATAAGCCGCTTGTTCTATGGTACTTTGTCACAGCAATTTGAATGGAGACAGTGCTTATACTCTCTTCCTCCTCTTGCACCCTCTCTTGCTTTTTTCTGAGTTCTTTTTTCTAGATACCTCAGAATCAAAGAATAGGAGGTTTGTAGAAATAGCTGTTGATGTGAAATGTAAGAATTGCTGCTTTGGTGAATGACTTTAGTCTTTATTCCTAGGGTCCCTGGACTCTTTTATTTCTAGGGTCCCTGGACTTGTTATCATTTGAGCCTTAGGTTGCTCCTCTGGAAGGCAAACTCAGACTGAGCTCCAAAAGCATTAACTGGGCTCTCTAAGTCACTTGCAGCTTTAATAATCTATGACTATTTAGTTATTGGTTCAGGGTTCATCAAGACAAATGGGCTAAGGGTACATTGTGTGAATTCTATTTCTCATGAGACATTTCCTATCTTGCACGCCAAGTCCGGTCCCATTCTTCTCTTGTGTTAAAACTCCAAAATCTTTCATTGAAATAGAAAAAGAAATGCTGACATTGATAGCACAGTAACAATCTAAATCGGGCATGTAGCTCCTGCATGTAGTTCTGCTTTCTTTGTGCATGCGATACCTCCTAAATGTTGAACAGCAGGGGAGATAATATAGAAGCCAGTGTGCTCCACAGGGGATGGGTGGGCATGAGTCATGCCCATTGCCACCTGCTGGACTCTTCCTCCTCAAGAATCAGCTTAGTCCTTGCAAAGCATCACTATCCCCACCCCTGCTGGGGCCCCCTGTCTCAATGATGATACTGGTTCCCTTTGTCTCCGCTGTCCTGTCCCATCCTCCTGTTAAGGTAATATTTCCAATAAAGGCATGCTGAATTATTATTATTTTTTTCTTTGCAACTTCTGACCGTGATTTCACTCTTCTGGCTTTTTCTCCCAGTATTCCGTTGGTGTAGCTCTGCATCTTTGTCCTTCACTTTAGAAAATGGTAATTTATTATTTTAAATGTTTCCCAAAGGTATAAAATGCCCTCAGGTGTTTCACTTCTAAGAAGTGAACTGTTAGGAGACAAGTCACCACAATCTCCTTATGCCAGTTTAATCACAGACCGCCAGAGTATTTTTAAACTATTATTTGCATTTTTACTTCTCTAAGTGAGCCACATAGTTTTTATATTCCCTGTGGTCTTAAGCCAGCCCCCTACTCTAGTGTTATATCTCTCTGGCCCCGGATGTTTGGCAATGTGTCTTCTGAGAAATTAACCTTGCTTTTGCAATGGGAGGTTTGTCTGTTCAGCAAGACTAGAACTAAGTTAAAACGTTCAGAAAAGGAGAATTTGATTCTCTGTGATATTTTCTTAAAAAGAGCCTGGAGGTATATTATTGCAACGCTGTTTCTCTCTCTCTCTTTTCTCAGTTCATTGGTGTTCATCCTTGCTCACATTGATATAAGAGCCGCTGGGGACTCTAATAGAGCTGCTAATGCCACTTCCTTAGAGAGGACTTTTCTAATCATGTTCTGCAAAGTAGTTTCCCTTACCGTTCTGTTTCTCAGCTCCCAGTTTCTTTCCTTCACACCACTTGTAACGGTTAGTAGTTTTTTTTTTGTTTGTTTGTTTTGTTTTTTTTCAATTATTTGCTTGCCCACATCTCCGGACTTCTACCCTCTATGAGTGAGTGAGCTACTGTATTCTTGGCATATAGTGCACTGCTTTGCAACAGGAAATATTCAGTAAATTTTGGTTCAGTTAATTGATGAAAAGGAAAGGAGTTGTGGAAGTTCAAAGACTATGTTTTTCTTGCTTATGACCACTTCTTCCCCTTTTAGCTGCTTGTGTTTAATGGATGCTGGGAGTTCACACACAATGCCCTTGCTCTCCTCCCAGCGTTGTATTCAGCCTTACAGTAATTTCTCCACAGGGGGTGATGAGAGAAAGAGTGAGAAATCTCTTGAAAAGGAATCCTGATGTATCTCCTGTGGAGGATATGTGTGCACATTTAATGTGGTCCACACAGGAAGAAAATTTGTTGGGCTACATGCTTGGAAGTGGAGAGGTAAGGGGGTGGTTTCAGTGTCATTAATTGATGATGTGATAAAAATCCATATTCTTTCTGTATCTCTGCTTTGTAGTCTTGTGCCGGCTTCACTGCAGGGCAGGATGTCCTTGTGGTTGCAGCAGGTAGTTTTGGGGGCTATGTGCTTTGTTTTTCACGTCAGGTGTGTGTGTGTGAGAGAGAGAGCGAGCAAGAGATCAAGAGAGTAAGAGAGAGAGCAAGAGTGTGAGAGTAAGAGTAAGAGACAGCACCAGATCCCCAACCACTCAACAAAAGGCCTTTTCTTTTCTTTCTTTTGTTCTAATCTGATTGTTTCTAATCAAATTGGGTTGGTTACATGCCCATCTCTGAACCAGTAATTCCCTATGGCCCTTATTCAAATTTCATTTCAGTAAGGCTTACCCTGATGACTGAGTCTAAAATCACAAGTCCAGCTTGGTAGCTTTGTTTCTCTCTAGTTCACTTACTGTCATCTAAGCAATGATGCACTTTACCGTTTTCTCTGTTTGCTTATTTTTCATAATCTTCTTAAGTGCGGAGATTGTTTTATTGATACAAAATATTTTACATATTTATGGCATACATGAGAGTGTTTGTTACATGCATAGAATGTGTAATGATCAAGTCAGGGTATTTGGGTATCCATCACCTTGAGTTTTTCTCATTTCGATGTGCTGCTATCTTTTCAAGTCCTCTCTTCTAGTTACTTTGAATTATATAAGATATTGTTGCTAAGTATAGCTACCCTAGTCTGCTATCAAACATTATAACTTTTTTTCTTCTATCTAACTGTGTGTTTGTACCCATTAACCAACTTCTCTTCATCCTTCCCTCCCACCTCCAGTTCCATCCATATTGCAGTACAGGGATTTTATCTGTTTTGTTTCCTGCTGTATCTCCAGTCCCTAGAACAGTTCTTGACTTAGAAGTCACCTAATAAATATTTATTGATTGAATAGATCAATCAATGCCCAAGGATCACTTACTAATTTATTATTATTATTATTAGCACTGTCTTGCAAATACATGGTGCTTAATGCAGCTAATTGAACTAAATTGAGTTGGATTTACATGAACATGCAGGGGTATTTCATGGGACTGTTGCCTTTGGCCTTTTTAACAAACAGTTTTATTGAAATATAATTCATATATCTATAATTCACCCATTTGGAGGTATGCAACTCAATGGCTTTTGGTATATTCACAAATTATGCACCCATCACCACAATAACTTTTAGAATATTTTCATTACCTCCAAGAGAAACTTCCCACTCCTTAGCTATTATCCTCCAACTTTTCCATCTTCCTCAGACCTAGGCAGCCACCACTTTACTTTCTGCCTCTATAGATTTGTCTGCCCCTGGTATTTCATATAAATAAAGTCATATAATATGTGGTCTTTAGTGACTAGCTTCTCTCACTTTGCATCATGTCTTCAGGGTTCACCCATGTTGTTGTATGTATCCATACTGTACTTCATTTTTTTATTGTCAAATAATATTCCAGTGTATGGATGTACCACATTTTATTTAATATCCTTTCATCAGTTGATGGACTGGCCTTGGTTTTTAAACCAATCCCTGTCAAGGGACATGGGTTTGCCATGATTGGCTTATAAGGCTTATAATCCTCTTTGCCCATCCCTGGACCTTCGTGTCAGTCCCTCCACCGGAAGTACCAACACAGAGGGAGGGACAGAATGCATGCCAATGGTGGACTGCTGGATCCACAGCAACCTGTAAACCAGCAGATCCATGTAGTGTCACAGAAGCTTCCTTCTTTCTTCCTCCTACATTTTTATTGTCATATATTTCTCCTTCCCAGTCATTAGTATTATTATTATTATTTATATTGAAAGGCCAATTGTTTGTGGCACTAAAACCACAGTAAAATAGGAGGTAGGCCAGCAACAGAGTGAATTGCATTGGCTCTTTCTTCAGTTTAATTTCTTCATCAAAAATGTCTCTTGTTTTTCAGTGGATGCTGAGGCGTTACTCCGAAGGACTACAGTAAAGAGAAATCATCATTCACCTAGGATTTAAATACTTTCCCAAGGCAGTCTCTTCTTAATTTCCTGTGTTCTGTCTGTTGGAAGGCTCACTGGTGCAGAGCCAATATGAGCCATGCTATATTTCAAACAAACGCCTTTTTGTTCTGGAGGTCTGTGTATTCTTTTCTCTTTTCCAAGTAATTAAGCCAGTCGGGGAAAAAATACCAAATGTCATTTTGTCCATTTTTATTTCCCCTTTCCTCTCTGATGAGAACCTTTTTCTCATCAAGAATATTTCCAAAGATGACTTTATGTAGTAAAATGAGGACATGGTCCACACTTTTTAATTTAGTGGCAGAAGCTTTGAGAAAGCAGCTTGCTACTTGTAGTCCAAGCAAAAATGTGTAAATGGCTTTATTGAAAATCAATATGCTCTTGTGAAGTGTTGTTCATTTTTGAGTTCTTCACAATTTGTTGCTTTGCCCTGATGAGAGTTGCAGGGAGGTTTACAGCTCTGGGTCTCTGAGTTTGAGGTTTTATTTTTTCTTGTGTTTTCTGCCATGAGCATAGGAATAAAGGATCATTTGGTGTCTTATTTTGTTTACTCTTTGGAAGAAGAGATGTGTGCCTTCTTTTTCTTCTTTTTTGATGACACGGGTTGAACTGCTACCGAGGAGTGCAGTTGTCACATAAAATGTAGTCTCATAAGTGAGGCCAAATTTGCTCAGACTTTCTGGATGTCTAAGGCTTCATGAAAGTTCCCTCAAAATGCTGTAGACTGCTCTCCTCTAATCCCAGAGAGGGGAGAGTTAAGCAGTGGAGGATTGATCTCTGTTGGTGTGCCAGGGCAGATGTCTTCATTCCATATAGAGAATGCCTAGGGTATCAAAGTTAGGTCGAGTTCTGATCATTATTGTGAGAATACAGATGAATTTTTAATTGGTCACAGTTTTGGTGAAAGATTAGCTGTGAGATTGGATTTGTCAAAATTTATGTGGTGGTTACTGTTTAATGTGGCAGCATCTGAGGAAGATCAGGGTCATTTGTAATGACTTCATTTGATTTGTACAGATGAATTACAACATTTTTCCTGCGCTGAGAAACTAGATATTTTCTCATAAATTTCCATCAACCCTTTAAAAAGTTTAACCTTCATTTTAAGCCTAGAGATAGCATAAATCTGAACTGTGAGGTGTGGGCAATGGTTGCTGTGTCACAGCAAGGTCTTAATGAAATAGAGCTTGAGAGGGGGCTATAAGAGAGAGAAGATGGAGAAGTGTGCCCTTGGATAATTTTTTAATTAATCAATGCCCAAAGATCGCTTATTTATTAATTATTATTGTTATTAGCATGTCTTACAAATACATGGTGTTCAATGCAGTTAGTTGAAGTCAATGGAGTTGGATTTACAGAGAGAATGAGACTTGATCCCAAATAATTTTAACTTTTGCATAAGAACAAAGTATTTTATGTTTTGGTGTTTTATGTAAGTAGGGAAGCCAGGACAAGCCCAGGACTCATTGAATAGTCCTAATTCTCAGCTTTACATTTTTTTTCCCTATAAAATTCTTACCCTACATACACATAAGGAAATCATATTTACATTTTGGCCTTGTCCACATTCTTTATGCGCACAAGTACCTCAGTTTCTTTTCAGTAACCTCTGACCCTGTCCTGAGAGCTTTGAACAATCCCAACAAGCCTTGCTAAGTCCCTAGAGAGAGGCTGTTATTACAAGTATTGCTAATATTCCATACTGTAACTTAAACATTACCTGCTGTACAATTTGATTACTAGTTAATTAGGATTGTGTTTAATTTGATCAGAACCACTGGAATTAAATCTTTTTATATTAAAAAATTATAAAATTTGATTGTTCCAAGAAAAGATTATTAGAGTGCCAATCAGTAGTTAGAAAAAATTGTCATCAAATAATAAGACTAATCTTATGAACTAATTGGAAAACAGCCAGAAAAGCCTGGCAGTCTAAGATTGTTCTCTGGAAACTGAGAGCCAGTGAAAACCTTTTTAATGGTTCCTTGAGCTGACCTTTTGTAGTTCGGATGTTTATGATAAAGTACTGGCTATGAATTTATTGTTGGTATGGATTGAAAATTTACTTGTGATACTTAATAAAATAAAATGTAGGCATAACCACCATTGTTTTGGTTCATTCAGTGATATTTTTCATTCGCTTATTTGTATGTGCTTGCCTTTATTTATTTTTGGGCAAACAGAATCAGATGAGTTAGGCTAGGTCATTCCTAAAAGGTTTTCTAAAGTCTACTCTGTCATACCCAAACATCTGCCAGTGTTTGGGCAACCAGATCATCCGTTTCTTTTCTTCTATAATGTGTTACTGTATGTAAGATTCTGAGTTAGAGTTGATGCCATTCATTTAGAGGGTATTGAGAGGAAATGGTAGAGAAGTTTTAAAAGTATTTCCTAGGAATCCCTGTCTCACCTCAGTCTGGCTTGACCAGCTGAGAAATGGGGAAAGGGCTGCTAGCATTGGGCAGTGGGATTTGGTTGTCTCAGTCACTTGTAACTGGGCAACCCCCTACTGAGATGACATGATCATGAATCTACCTTCTGTTTTCACAAAATATGACTAATTTGGGGACATTTAAATATACATTACATCTTATTAAATAAATGAAGAATGCCATATGGAGCTTTACAAAAATAATGAGGAAACCTCTAGCTACTGAATAATATATTTAAGTACTGAATCTAATATGCTGTGTTCAGTGTCTTTATGGAATTTCACAGACTTAACCAGTTTTCCTTATTCTCTATAGTATTGTGGGGTTTTTTTGTTTACAGTTAGTGGTTCTCATAACAAAACTTTTACCTTAATAAAGGCCCCTATTAATCCAAGTAGTTCAGAGAGGTATTTTCTTTAAAAAAATTTTTTTACTGATACACAAATTTTTTTATATTAAAAAATTATAGAATTTATGTTCCAAGAAAAGATTATTGCAGTGCCAATCAGGTAGTTGGAAAAAATTGTCATCAAATAATAAGACTAATTTTATCAACTAATTGAAAAACAGCCAGAAAAGGCTGGCAGTCTAAGATTGTTCTCAGGGAACTGAGAGCCAGTGAAAACCTTCTTAATGGTTCCTTTAGCTGACCTTCTGCAGCTCGTAAATATGTAGTTGTACAAATTTATAGGATATATGTGATATTTTGATACAAGCATACAATGTATAATGATCAAATCTGGGTAATTGGGATATCCATCTCATCAAACATTTATCATTTCTTTGTGTTGAGAACATTCCAAATCTTCTTTTCTAGCTATTTTGAAATATATAATAAGTTATTCTTAACTCTACTGAACACCAGTTCTTATTCCTTCTATCTAACTTTTTTTTGTACCCATTAACCAACCCCTCTTTATCCCTCCCTCTCTACTACCCTTCCCAGCCTCCAGTAACCACTATTCTAGTCACTATCTCTGTGAGATCAATTTTTTAGCTCCCACATATGAATAAGAGTATGCGATATTTGTCTTTCTTTGTCTGATTTGTTTCACTTAACATAATGTCTTCCAGTTCCATCCATGTTGTTGCAAATGACAAGATTTCAGTATTTTATGGCTGAATAATATTCCATTTTGTATATATACCCCATTGTCTCTCTCCATCCACTGATCAGCATTTAGGTTGATTGCAGTTGCTTCTTGCCCTTGGAAATCTCAGTAATATACTATTTCCTCTATTTTTGGATAGAGGGATCCAGTGCGATTTTTGCATCACATTATATTTATATTTTTGGTTTTTTGATGACACTTCATATTGTTTTTCATAGAGACTGTATTAATTTATATTACTGTCAACAGTTCCTGAGCATTCTCTTTTCTCTGCATCCTTGTCAGCATTTGTTATTTTCTGACTTTTTGATAACAGCCATTCTAACTGGGGTGAGATAATATCTCCTGGTGGTTTTGATTTGCATTTCCTTGATGGTGAGTGATGTGGAGCACTTTTCTCATGATGCACCCAATTTGTATGTCTTCTTTTGAGAAATGTTTATTCAGATCTTTTGCCCATTTTTTAATCAGATTATTTGGTTTTGGCTGTTGAGTTGTTTCAGTTCTTTATATATTCTGATTCTTAATCCCTTATTGGATGGATAGTTTGCAAATATTTTCTTTCTTCATTTTCTTCCCTTTGCTGATTGTTTCTTTGCTATGCAGAAGCTTTTTAGCTTGATGTAATCCCATTTGTCAATTTTTGTTTTGATTACCTATGCTTTTGAGATCTTATTCAAGAAATCTTTGCCCAGACCAACGTCCTGAAGCATTTCCTCTTGTGCTTTATTCTAGAAGTTTCAGTTTCAGGTCTTACATTTAAATCTTTAATTCATTTTGATTTGATTTTTTTATATGGTGAGAGATAAGGGTCTAGTTTCTTTTGTCTGCATATGGATATCTAGGTTTCCAAGAAGAGACTGTCTTTTCCCCAGTGTATGTTCTTGGCACCTTTGTTGAAATGAATTGGCTATAAATGTGTGGACTTATTTCTGGATTTTCTATTTAGTTTCATTGGTCTATGTGTTTTTATGTTAGTACTATACTGTTTTGGTTGCTATAACTTAGGTAGTGTGATGCCCCAAGCTTTGTTCTTTTTGCTCAGGATTGCTTTGGCTATTTTGGATCTTTTTTGGCTTCACAGGAATTTCAAGGTTTTTTTTTCCATTTTGTGAAGAAAGTCATTTGTATTTTGATAGAGATTGCATTGAATTTGTAGATAGCTTTGTGCCAGAAAGGTATTTTCTATTGCTTCAATTCTGTCTCTCGGTAAAACTGACAGGCTACCCCCACCTCTCAAAAACCATGTACTTTATTTTATTCCCTTTGTTATTTCTCACCAAAATTTTACCTAAGGAAAAAATAAAAATGAAGTAGGTATTTTTTCCTGGTTTTAAGATGAGATCTTTGAACCTCTGCAGATTATTATTCTTTAAAAATTGGCAAGATTAATATTTCTACTAGACTGTGTAAGATTAGAGCTTTTGGCTGTATTTGTTGCACCGGTCAGGCCCTGAAAATTACAAGAATAAACATTCACTGCCTCCATAATGAAAGATTACTGGAAGGATATATCAATAACTTGAATTCTTTCATGTATCAGTTTTCCTGGACGCTGTGATGTGCAATAAGCTTCTTAAGTACTCATAATATGTCAATAATAATGATAATCTTAATAGCTAATATTTATTGAGTACTTACTATGTGCTATGCATGTTACAGAGATTATAAAGTTTAATCTTCAAGGTGACTCTGTAATATAGACATATTATCTTCATTTTATAGATGAAATGGTGACTTAAAGAAGTCAAATGATTGTCTAAGGTCACACAGTTTTTAAGTGGGGATTAGAATTCAAGTAGATTGAATGCAGACTCTGAGCTATTTTGTGTTTTGGGTGTATGTCAATTTTTAAATGATTCACTGGCATTCACTGGCTTTAAGACCTAAATATAAAGATCTTTTTATCTCCACCTCATCTGCCACTCCCAACCCTTCCAAGCCAGTTAAGTACTCTTAGTTTCTTTATAAGCATATGGAGTTTTTAATGTTAATGCACACATGAATAAATATGAGCATATACTCCCACTTTTTTAAGGACACAAATTGTAGCATTTGTATATACTAGACTGAATGCTTTTCTGCATCTTAGAGCCTGAACTCTTACCTGCCTCACTAAGTCTATCTTTTAAAAAATTTTTAAATGTTTATGAATATATGGTAGATGCATATATGTATGGGGTACATGAGATATTTTGATACAGGCATACAATGTGTAATAATCACATCAGGGTAAATGGGGCATCCATCACCTTAAGCATTTATCATTTCTTTGTATTGCAAACATTCTAATTATACTTTTAGTTATTTTTAAATGTACAATAAATTATTATTAACTGTAGTCACCCCATTTTGCTATCAAATACCAGATCCTATTTATTCTATCTAACTACATTTTTGTACCCATTAAACATCCCCACTCCCCACCCTCCTACTACCCCTCACTTCACCTTTTGTGAAGGTGATTTTTCTCTGGTGGTATGTTTTAATTTCTTGCTTTTTATTTTTTGTGTATCTGTTGTATATTTTTTGAGGTTACCATGAGGCTTGCAAATAACATCTTATAACCCATTATTTTGAACTGGTAACAACTTTACACTGCAAAAACAAACTAATAAGCAAAAAGAAAACTAATAAAAAACCCACAGTTTAATTTCATTTCCTCAGGTTTTTAACTTTCTGTTGTTTCTATTTATATCTTATACTGTTTGTATCTTGAAATATTGTTGTCATTATTATTTTTGATAGGTTCATCTTTAAGTCTTTCTACTTAAAATATGAGTAGTTTACCCACCACAAATACAGTGCTGTAGTATTTTGTGTTTTTCTATGTACTTACTATTACCAGTGAGTTTTGTACCTTCAGATGGTTTCTTATTGCTCATTAACATCATTTTCTTTCAGATTAAAGAACTCCCTTTAGCATTTCTTGTAGGACAGGTCTGGTGTTGATGAAATCCCTCAGCTTTTGCTTGCCTGCAAAAGTCTTTATTTCTCTTTCACATCTGAAGGATATTTTTGCTGGAAATACTCTTCTAGGATAGTGTTTTTCCTTCAGCACTTTAAATATGTCATGCAACTCTCTTCTGGCCTATAAGATTTCCCCTGAGAAGTTTGCTGCCAGATGTAAGGGAGCTCCTTTTTATGTGATTTGTTTCTTTTCTCTTGTCGCTTTCAGGATTCTTTCATTGTCCTTGACCTTTGGGAGTTTGATCATTAAATGCCTCGAGGTAGTCTTTCTTGGGTTAAATCTGCTTGGTGTTCTACAGCCTTCTTGTACTTGAATATTGATATCTTTCTATAGATTTGGGAAGCTCTCTGATATTATCCCCTTGAATAAAACTTTCTACCCCTATCTCTTTCTCTCTTCTCATAAATGGAGCCAATAACTCTTAGATTTGGCCCTTTGAGCCTATTTTATAGATCTTGCAGATCTTCATTCTTTTTTATTTTGTCTCCTCTGACTGTGTATTTTCAAGCTAATTCTTTCTTCTGCTTGATCAATTATGCTAGCAGGAGACTCTGATGCATTCTTCAGTATGTCAATTGCATTTTTCAGCTCCAGAATTTGATTGAATTTTTAAAACTATTTCAATGTCTTTGTTAAGTTTATCTGATAGGATTCCTTTTCTGTGTTATCTTGAATTTTGTCGAGCTTCCTCAAAATGGTTATTTTGAATTCTCTCTCTGAAAGGTCACATATCTCTGTCACTGGAGGGTTGGTCACTGGTGCCCTATTTAGTTTGTTTGGTGAGGTAATGTTTTCCTGAATGTTCTTGATGTTTGTGATTGTTCATCAACATCCGAACATTGAAGAGTTAGGTATTTATTGTAGTCTTCGCAGTTTGGGCTTGTTTGTACCTGTCCTTCTTGGGAAGTCTTTCCAAGTATTCAAAGGGAATTGAGTGCTAGGATCTAAATCTTGGGTCACTGCAGCATCTTCTCTTAGAGCACACCCCAAGCCCAGTAACACTGTCACTCTTGCAGACTCATAGAGGTACCCCCTTGGTGGTCTTGGGCAAGATCCAGGAAATTTTTCCAGATTACCAGGCAGTCCTCTTCCATCACTTTCCCCCAAACAAATGGAGTCTCTCTCTCCATGCCGAGTTGCTTGTAGCTGGGGGAGAGGTGGCATAAGCACTCTTGTGGCCACCACCACTGAGACTGTGCTGGGTCAGACCCGAAGCCAGCACAGCACTGGGTCTCACCCAACGCCCATGGTGACTACTGCCTGGCTACCACTGATAGTCACTTAAGGCTCAAGCACTCTTCAGTCAGCAAGACCCAAATTTAGCCAGGGTTGTGTGCTTCCCTTCAGGGTGGCAACCTCCCCATCAGCCCAGGAAAGGTCTAGAAATGCCACTCAGGAGTCAGTGGCTGGAGTCAGGAATCTTAGTAATCTACTTAGTGGTCTATTCTACTGCAGCTGAGCTGGCACCCAAGTCACAAGACAAAGTTCTTTGTACCCTTTCCTCTCCTTTCCTCATGCAGAAGGAGGCTCTCATTGTAGACACCACCACCCCAGGCCTGCATCAAGCACTGCCTGACTACTGCTGATGTTCATTCAAGGCCCATGGGCCCTTCACTGAGCTTGGGATGAATGCTACCAGGCCCAGGTCCCTCCCTTCAGGGCAGCAGGCTCCTCCCTGGCTCAAGGTGGGTCCAGAAATGTTGTCTAGCAGCCAAGGCTTGGAATCAAGGACCCCGGGAGCCCAATTCATAGTCTACTCTACTGTGGCCCAGCTGGTGCCCAAGACGCAAGACAAATTACCCTTTACTCTTCCCTTTCCATTCCTCAAGCAGAAGGAGTTTCTCTCCATGGCCACCAGAGCTGGGAGTGCACTGGATCACACTTGAAGCCGGCACAGCCCTGGGCCTCACCCGAGGCCCCCAATGAGTACTGCCTGGGTACCATCAAGGCCTGAGGGCTAGTACACAGGTGAAGAACCTTGCCAGGACTGGATTCTTCTCTTCAAGGCAGCAGTTTCCCTTCTGTTGCAGGATGTGTCTAGAAATGTCATCTGGGAGCTAGGGCCTGGAATGGGGACCTTAGGACTCTGTCTGGTATCCTATTCAACTGTGGCTGAGCTGGTATCATAGTTGCAAGACAAAGTCTTCTTTACTCTCCAGTCTTCTCTCCTCAAGCGGAAGGAAGAAATCTCTCCTGGAGCTGTGAGCTACGCTGCCTGGGGTTTGGGGAAGGGTGGCACAAGCACTTCCTTGGCTGCCTGGCTGGTGTCTCAGTTGTGTGCCCCCTGAGTTGACTGGTTCTGAGCCCAGCACAGCACCAGCACTTGCCCAGGAATTGCAGTCATTTGGCCTAGACTGCCTTTTAAGTTTATTTAGAACCCTAGAGGGCCTTAACCCAGGGTGGTGGGGCTAGCCAGAACTCAGGTTTCCACTGCGGGGATGGGTGATTCCCCACTGGCTAGGGCTGGTCTAAATGCTCCCTCCATGGGTGAAAGCTAAATTCTTCCTCATGTTGCTTTCCACTGTGACAGGGCAGCACTGATTTCCAATGCAAAGTCCCACAAGCACTGTGCTCTCTTTCCCCCAAACATGCAGATTCTCTCTCCAAGCCACATGACTGCTGCTGGGGAACAGGAGAGGGGTGGTGTCAGCAATTCAAGACTGTCTTTCCTACCCTCTTCAGCACCTCTTTCCTGGCTATGATGTTAAAATCAGGTACTATAATCACTCAAATGATTTTTGATTCTTACGAAGGTGCTTTCTTTCGGGCATAGTTGTTCAACTTGGTGTTCTTGCAGTGGAGACAATCACTGGAGGACAATACTTGGCTATCTTGCTCTGCCTCCTCCTCCCACCTCCTAACTCCATCTTTCATAGATGGTCTTTAAACTGTTTGTCTTGTTTGCATAGACCACCACTATGATTGGGTGGTTTAAGCAAATTTGAAAATGAAAAGCCCCATAGGGCAGTGTTTATGATAGTCTCCTCAAAGGTGGCTGTTTCTCCTAATGTCCAGTCCTTATATGATTATCTTGTGATGCATAGACTGATTCCTACAATAGAGTTAAGACTCTGGCTTTATCTATCATTGGTGAGGTAATGAGCTGGAAAACCTCTGCTCAGAAATTATCTGTAAGTGAGGTGGATGCAGACTTCCCTGATTTTTCTGTCTATCCTCCTACTACAGTCATATTTTACACACACATACACATGCACACACATACATACACACATGTTATATATAATTATATATAAACAATACTTTACATATCATGTATAATTTATATCTATTATATAATTATAAATATATAATTTATGCATATGTAAATTAATAAAATCTATTTTTAGAGCATTTAGGTTTACAGCAAAATTGAGTGGAATGTGCAAAGAGTTCCTATATACTCCCTGTCCACAACATGCACACCTTTCCCCACTATCGACATTCAACACCACAGCGGTACATTTGCTAAAATATGTTATATATATTTTTGCTTTTGTAATATACTCTCTCCAAAACTGAACTGAAATTTAGTTGACAGTACATAAAGAACATCTAGTTTGTTTGGGGCACCATGCAGCCCAAGTGTGTAGTGAGTGAGGGTAAGAGGGAGTAGAGGGTAAAGAAAAAGAAGACATGGTGTGCATGCTCTCAGAGATCCAAGTCCTGTTGGGATATTCGATCACATAAAATGGCTGAAGAATTATTTTTCTGAATAATGATATACTGATGAGAAGAAAGTACTACATATAAAAGGCATATTTACTACTGTAGCAACACAGATTTTGAGATCTTGGAGACATGGAGTGGGTTGAGATATGCCTTCTATACCACTTCAGTAATAAAAGGGAGTATAGAAGAGCATATTAAGTTCATGGAAGCCATTCTTAGCCTGTTTAAGGAAGTGAATAGTTTTTCAGTATTTCCCAAGCCACTTTAGAATCAGCCACTTAAAAGCCAAAAATATGCTAATAGTTATTATAAATGGGTCTTATTTATTAAAACAGGTCATTGTTAGCTTTCCTTGGCAAGATCTGGCCTTCATTCAATGTTTTGAGCCACTTCTCTGTGACCACAGGAGGCAGTATAATGCCATGAACAAAGCCTGGGCTTTGGTGCTCGAGACAGGCGTTTTCATTGTACCTTCACTGTCTACTAGCCTGTGATGCTGATCACATGACTTTGCCTGTGAAAGCCTCAGCACTTGGTAATATTGATGTGAGGATGGATGGAACAGCTCACATCAAGTGCCTAACGGGGTGACTGACACATGGTGAGTTCATAGTAACTATATGACCACTTTCTTGAAAAGGTTGGAGAAATCAGACTTTTTAAAGAGGACAAGGCTGCCAAATGGGAACCAATAGGAAACATAACAAAAATTATTTAATATATTTAAAATGTGTTAAAATGTGTTTTTTTTTTGGAGATAGAATCTCACTCTTGTCTCCCAGGCCGGAGTGGGCGCAATCTTGACTCACTGCAACCTCCGCCTCCCAGATTCAAGCAATTCTCCTGCCTCAGCCTCCCAAGTAGCTGGGATAAAATGTATTTTTAAAATATACATTTATAATTGTGACTAACCTGCCCTTGACATATTCTAAATGACGTTACTGAGATTTTACTAAGGAGTTGAGTTCTGTGAAGTTGACTGAAGAAGAATTAACAAGTAAGTCTGACACTGTGATTGTGATTCCAGGGTGGATGGCCATTTAGAAAGACCTTGAACGTTTAGGTAGAGGGTCATAAGTAACTGCTACATATTGAAGGCTTCAGAAACATATTCCCCATGAAAACATGCTGAGCTATTTGTCTACATCTTAGTTATTTTGGGCCTGCCAAATAGCAGTCCCAGTTGGGACTGTATGTCTGGGTCACCTGGTTCTTGCTATAGTGTGGATTTCTTTCAGCAGACAGGCAGCGGGGTCGGTTTCTTAATTGTTAACTCTAGTAAAGGATACTTGTCCAGAAGACAGCTGCCAAATTGCTAGACAGGCTTATCTACGCTCTGGAACATTTTATTCACACACTGCTTCTAATGTGGCCCATCTTCTAAAGAGGTTTCTGCCATTAGTTTTTGAGACAAAATTTCATTCTGCCCTGTAGTCTCATTTTTTTGACTGTTGGCCTTAAGAGGGTTATTACTTTGTTGGCTAAAGAGTGCTAAAATTTTATGACATGCCATATGGAACCAAAGAAATAAGGAGATGACCTCTGTTGCACTGTATCATTAGGACTGAATATCACCTGTCTCCTGCCTTCAGCCATTTTCCTGGCCCCTGGATGAGGTCTGTACCAGTGGTCTGAATTAATATTGTTTTGGCTCCTAAAAGCTACAATTTCCCTGAAGTGGCAGTTGTGGTAGAGCACTTTTTCCCTCTTTCCAATTTCCTAGATACGTCCATACATGGAATTGAAATGGCCTCTTTCTACCTGCTGTGCGCATGGGACCTCTACACCTGTTCAGTCATGAAACCACTAATGAGACCTCACCTGTCCTATTCAGGATTTTGACGGAATATGAAATCTCATTACCCGGAGTCAATGAATGACATCTGTTCCCCATCCCCCTCCTGAAGCCATCATTCCATTTGCTTGGTGCTGTGAAAAAGATGCGCCACTCAGAGAAGAAATTAGAGTCCAGAAGAGAAGGTGGCGCTCCCTTGTCCAGCCAGACGGCAGCTACCGGGCTTCTCAATATTCTGGCCCCCATTTAGACCTTTGCCCTAAAAGAATTAACACAAAAGAAACTTCATTGTTTCCGACTTAAAAAAAATTCTGATGATTTGTTTCAGAAACAAGTCAAATCCTTAGCAATGTGGGGTTTTATTGATAAGGAAGATAAGGAAGATCTTAACCTGAAAACGTCTAGCTAACAAAAACTCCTGCTGACCTGATTTAAAGTGGGTGTGAATGTAAAGGATATTTATATACTTTGGTCTTTCTCAAATCATTCTTTTGGAAAGAGAAGGTATAAATAAATGCACATGAATATAATACATAAATAATACTATAACATTTTTGTTTGGGGAGTATTCATAGTAATATAGTAGGTCGGTGCAAAACTAATTGCAGTTTTGCCATTACTTTTAATACCAAAAACCGCAATTACTTTTGCACCAAACTAATAATATATGTAACACACAATCAATATAAAATACCACCAAATTAATTTGTCTAATGCATTTTCATTGTTTTCATTCATTTGCTATTCATTCATTGATGAAAATGTTCACTAAAGAAGCATTTATTGAGTATCTAATGTGTGTCAAACACTATAATTGCTTCTGTGAATACAAGGATGAATACATTTAATGTTTAGAAGAGGAGAAATGATAAAGTAAATAATGATAGGCCATGTGGTAAGTCCTATAGCAGGTGGGTGGGAGAGAGTGAGAGCATTCCTGCCTGGGATGTGAAGACCTCAGAGGGTGGAAAAGGGATCATAGGGTGGCCAGGAAGACAAAGGTAGGAGACCACTCAAGGTAAAGGAAGCAGCCTGTATAAAGATAGGCAGGCAGGAAACAGAATCTCAGGTTTGGAGACTTCTAAGGACTTAGACTGGCTGGAGGAGAGAGATAATGTTAGGCAGATTCTTCAGGGTCAGATCATGCAGGGCTCCTAAAAGCTACAATTTCCCTGAAGTGGCAGTTGTGGTAGAGCACTTTTTCCCTCTTTCCAATTTCCTAGATACGTCCACACATGGAATTGAAATGGCCTCTTTCTACCTGTTGTGCGCATGGGACCTCTACACCTGTTCAGTCATGAAACCACTAATGAGACCTCCCCTGTCCTATTCAGGATTTTGATGGAATATGAAATCTCATTACCCGGAGTCAATGCCAACTTATGCCAACTTATGGCAACTTATGCCAACCTTTATGCCAACTTAAAGAGTATGGTTCTTTTTGCTGCAAAAGAAACTTTTTGTTTGTCAAGAGTAGACTCTCAATAAAATTTTATTGAGCAAAAGTGAATTGCACTGAAGATTTCTTTTTAATTTTAATTTTTTTGGTGAAAGAGTTAAGTGAACACTGGTAACAACTGAACCACAATAGATTATGCTGTCATGAAAACAAGTCCCCAGCTCTGTTCCTTCCCACTTAGATGAGGTTTCACTCCCCAGAGGCAGCCCCTTCTGCTGCTACTCCTCCTACAATTTTCTGTCCTTTGGCTCTAATCTGGACTCATTGTTCCCTCTGTTTGCTGTACAGCTGTCATCCTGGCTTTTCTCCTACTCCTCTCCTAGGTTATACCTCTATCTCTTGGTTCCTATATTGGCCTCTTTCTTTGTTTATGCCTTTGTTTTGCTGGAGTAGCTCCTTAAGAAAACTATTCCCTGAAGTAATTTTCTCTTCTTTTTCAAACTCCCTTTAATCTTTATTCTCTCTTCCCAATCCACTCTTATCCCTCACTTAGGCAACCATTTCCAATGTGCTTAATGTGCTCTTCTTGCATGATATGTTCTTGCAAAGTGTATATTCTTTTGTTTGTATACTTTTTTTTTTAATGTAAGTAAATGGCATGCACTACTGTGTTGGCCATTTACCTGTAACTTCTCAGATCAATTTCCCGCATTTTTCTTGCTCTGTTCTATTTCACACATAAGGGGATGACCCCAAAAAAACTGCATTTCTCAGACTTGCCTGGCTTCTGGTTAATTTTGGCAAATAGGAGGCACTGAGATTAGAATAAAGGAGGTAGGAAAATGTCGGTGTATTCCCTCTATCCTAGCTTCTGCCTAGGTGGTGACTTTGATGGTGGCTACATCTCCATTGTGCTTCTAGCACCAGCCAGGTGGCCTAGATTCCAGGCTCCAGTGATGTCCCCTTACTTTTCTCTTTATTCTTCTGGCACATGCATTTTCAAGGGTGGAATCTTGCCACTAAAGGGGCTAATATTGTTCTTGGGGGAGGGGAATCCTGCTTTTTATGTAGAAAGCACAGATATACTAACAGTGCACGGATAGATATTCAGCGTATCATGGTAGGGGATGATTAGAAAAAATATACCTGAAAAGTCTTGGAGGAAAAACAATGAAATAAAGGTGAAGAAACTGCATCAGTTGTTGGCTTCTGTACTGCCTTACACTCCTTTATTTGCTCTTTGAAGCTCTTCTAGAATGTTGAATTAATTTTCTATATTAAATAACCCCTATTTAACGACCTGGCATAAGTTCTGTTTTCTGGGAAGGATTCTTACTGACACAGCTACGTTTTTCATGTCTTTTACATTTTATCCTCTCTAAGCATTTTATTAGTTAAACCTGTTAGATAAAACAGATGTAACAAATAAATACAAATCTATTTGTTAGATCTGTTAGATTTGTTAGATAAAATGTTCTCTAAGCATTTTATTTGTGAGGTCAATCCATACTGCTATGTGTATATCCAATCCCTTGTTTCTAGTGTAGGGGTGGAAAAATAGCTTTTTCTCTACCCACCCTGAAGGCTTACTGAAATCACTGACAATAGACAGATTAATAGGAGGAAAAGGCATCTAAATTTATTTAATATTCAGAAGCATGGTGGAGAATGATTACCTAATAACCCAACGAGGTCCAGATGCTTATATATGGTATTTCTTCACAGAAGAAGGGGAGATGGGGGGTAAAAAAGTAAATGATTTTCAAGGGAAGTAAAAGAGCCCAAAAATGGTGGTCTGAGAACAGTTCCTCTGAGCTCTGGGGAGGTGGTCGGAAGGTGTGGAGCAGAACTTTACTGAGAACAAAAGTTGTCTATTATGCAAATAAACTTTCTCAGGCAATTTCTTCAAGCTGTCCTCAGAAGAACAGATAAAAAGTCTGTCTGGCCACATTGTGATCAAATTAGAATTTAGGATTAAGAAACTCACTCAAAACCGCACAACTACGTGGAAACTGAACAACATGCTCCCAGATGAATACTGGGTAAATAATGAAATTAAGGCAGAAATAAATAAGTTCTTTGAAACCCATGAGAACAAAGACACAATGTACCAGCATCTCTGGGACACAGCTAAAGCAATGTTTAGAGGGAAATTTATAGCACTAAATGCCCACAAGAGGAAGCAGGAAAGATCTAAAATCAACACCCTAACATCACAATTAAAAGAACTAGACCAGCAAGAGCAAACTAATTCAAAAGCTAGCAGAAGACAAGAAATAACTAAGATCAGAGCAGAACTAAAGGAGATAAAGACACAAGAAACTCTTCAAAAAATAAATGAATCCAGGATCTGGTTTTTTGAAAAGATCGATAAAATACATAGACCACTAGCCAGACTAATAAAGAAGAAAACAGAGAAGAATCAAATAGACACAATATAAAATGATAAAGGGGATATCACCACTGATCCCATGGAAATACAAACTACCATCAGAGAATACTATAAACACCTCTAAACAAATAAACTAGAAAATCTAGAAGAAATGAATAAATTCTTGGACACATACACCCTCCAAAATCTAAACCAGGAAGAAGTCAAATCCCTGAATAGACCAGTAACAAGTTCTGAAATTGAGGCAAAAATTAATAGCCTACCAACCAAAAAACGTCCAGGACCAGATGGATTCACAGCTGAATTCTACCAGAGGTATGAAGAGGAGTTGGTACCATTCCTTCTGAAAGTATTCCAATCAATAGAAAAAGAGGGAATCCTCCCTAACTCATTTTATGAGGCCAGCATCATACTGATACCAAAACCTGGCAGAGACACAACAAAAAAAGAAAATTTCAGGCCAATATCCCTGATGAACATCAATGCGAAAATCCTCAATAAAATACTGCCAAACTGAATCCAGCAGCACATCAAAAAGCTTATCCACCATGATCAAGTTGGCTTCATCCCTGGGATAAAAGGCTGGTTCAACATTCACAAATCAATAGACGCAATCCATCACATAAAACCAAAGACAAAAACCACATGATTATCTCAATAGATGCAGAAAAGGCCTTTGACAAAATTCAACAGCCCTCATGCTAAAGACTTTCAATAAAATAGGTATTGATGGAACGTATCTCCAAATAATAAGAGCTATTTATGACAAACCCACAGCCAATATCATACTGAATGGGCAAAAACTGGAAGCATTCCCTTTGAAAACCAGCACAAGACAAGGATGCCCTCTCTCACCACTCTTATTCAACATAGTATTGGAATTTCAGGCCAGGGCAATCAGGCAAGAGAAAGAAATAAAGGGTATTCAAATAGGAAGACAGCAAGTCAAATTATCTCTGTTTGCAGATGACATGATTGTATATTTAGAAAACCCCATCATCTCAGCCCAAAATCTCCTTAAGCTGAAAAGCAACTTCAGCAGTCTCAGGATACAAAATCAATGTGCAAAAATCACAAGCATTCCTATGCACCAATAATAGAAAAACAGAGAGCCAAATCATGAGTGAACTCCCATTCACAATTGCTACAAAGAGAATAAAATACCCAGGAATCCAACTTACAATGGATGTGAAGGACCTCTTAAAGGAGAACTACAAACCACTGTTCAAAGAAATAAGAGAGGACACAAACAAATGGAAGAACATTCCGTGCTCACGGATAGGAAGAATCAATATCACAAAAATGGCCATACTGCCCAAAGTAATTTATAGATTCAATGCTATCCCCATTAAGCTACCACTGGCTTTCTTCACAGAATTAGAAAAAACTACTTTAAATTTCATATGGAGCCAAAAAAGAGCCCACATAGCCAAGGCAATCCTAAGCAAAAAGAACAAAGCTGGAGGCATCACGCTACCTGACTTCAAACTATACTACAAGGCTAAGTAACCAAGACAGCATGGTACTGGTACCAAAACAGAGATATAGACCAATGGAACAGAACAGAGGCCTCAGAAATAACACCATGCATCTACAACCATCTGATCTTTGACAAACTTGACAAAAACAAGAAATGGGGAAAGGATTCCCTATTTAATAAATGGTGTTGGGAAAACTGGCTAGCCATATGCAGAAAACTGAAACTGGACCTCTTCCTTACACCTTATACAAAAATTAATTCAAGGTGGATTAAAGACTTAAATGTAAGATCTAAAACCATAAAAACCCTAGAAGAAAACCTAGGCAATACCATTCAGGACACAGGCATGGGCAAAGACTTCATGACTAAAACACCAAAAGCAATGGCAACAAAAGCCAAAATTGACAAATGGGATCTAATTAAACTAAAGAGCTTCGGCACAGCAAAAGAAACTCTCACCAGAATGAACAGGCAACCTACAGAATTGGAGAAAATTTTTGCAGTCTATCCATCTGACAAAGGGCCAATATCCAGCATCTACAAAGAACTTAAACAAATTTACAAGAAAAAAACAACCCCATCAAAAAGTGGGCAAAGGATATGAACAGACACTTCTCAAAAGAAGACATTTATGCAGCCAAAAAACATATGAAAAAAAAGCTCATCTTCACTGGTCATTAGAGAAATGCAGATCAAAAGCATAATGAGATACCATCTCATGCCAGTTAGAATGGCGATCATTAAAAAGTCAGGAAATAACAGATGCTGGAGAGGATGTGGAGAAATAGGAACACTTTTACACTGTTGGTGGGAGTGTAAATTAGTTCAACCATTGTGGAAGACAGTGTGGCGATTCCTCAAGGATCTAGAACCAGAAATACTATTTGACCCAGCAATCCCATTACTGTATATATACCCAAAAGATTATAAATCATACTACTATAAAGGCACATTCACATGTATGTTTATTGCAGCACTGTTCACAATAGCAAAGACTTGGAACCAACCCAAATGCCCATCAATAATAGACTAGAGAAAGAAAATGTGGCACATATACACTGTGGAATACTATGCAGCCGTAAAAAAGATGAATTCATGTCCTTTGCAGGGGCATGGATGAAGCTGGAAACATCATTCTCAGCAAACTAACACAAGAACAGAAAACCAAACACGGCATGTTCTCACTCATAAGTGGGAGTTGAACAATGAGAACACATGGACACAGGGAGGGGAATATCACACACCTGGGCCTGTCAGTGGGTAGGAGGCTAGGGGAGTGATAGTATTAGGAGAAATACCTAATGTAGATGACGGGTTGATGGGTGCAGCAAACCAACATGGCACGTGTATACCTATGTAACAAACCTGCACATTCTGCACATGTATCCCAGAACTGAAAGTGTAATAAAAAAAAATTTAAAAAAAGACAGAGATTACAGATGTACTCAAATCAAATTGGCTTACTTGCCTATATTCTTGTTTTTCATGGATGTTGGCCCCTTAAGTCCTAGTTGCCTCAGCAACTCTCTAGAGCATTTACATATGAATATGTGTATAGGTGTGTATAATGTATGAAGAATTGTGGTACATTTATATGCTGTAAGCTACCCTATCCTAGTCAAAATAATGGGGATATAAATAGTTATAAAACTATATAGGTGATGCCATGCATTGTTTTTAAATAAGCACAGGTGTAATAAAGTAGGTGAGTTGATTACGAATTTAAATTTCTAAGAATTATTTTTGAAGGATCTCAGTAAATATAGTTTGAATGGTAAACATTTATAGATAAAAAAAACAAAAGCCTGTCTGGGTATAGTGGGGACTCGGAGTCTCTTCTCTTCTCCTGTGGTTAATTTTTCCTAATTATTTGATGAGATTCCTAAGGAGGGGGTCTTAAGACAGTTACATTTCTTTTGGAAAGAAGCCTCCCTAGTCAGATAAGGAAATTCCAGAGAGAGTCCCTTGCTGCGCTTCAAAAATGAAAGAGGATCAGAGAGACAGAGGGGTGGGGGAGGGTCAGAGGGAGACCTTGGTTCTGAGGCTTAGTTCTGAGGCCTTTCAATTTCTTTAATTCAAAGCACTCAGCCTGCTAAAGTGCCATATTTTGGGGTATCTTTTTCTGAACCCCAACAACAGTACTCCATGGTGTACCCTTGCCACATTTAACATTACCTCTCCCTTTGTTATGGACACTTAGACTGCTTCCAGTTCCCTACTCTACAAAAGAGCTGCAATAAGCATCCTCATATATGTACCCATAAGGACCCCCTGTGGGAATTACTTTGGGATACAGATACCGCAGTGAAATTTCTGGGTTATGTATGTAATCATTTTGTCACCAGATTGTTCTCTGGGGTGTCTGTATCTACACTTCTACAACTTTATACTTGTTGCCAGCTTAATGGACATAAAGCGGTAATTCCTTGATGTTTTATTTTGAATTTCTCTGTGAACTAATTATTTAAAAAATACTTCACATATTTGTTGGTCTTTTGGGTTCCCTCTTTTGCAAATTGCCTATCTTACCCTTCCCCTGTTTTTACTGAGGTTGTTTTTTTTATACTAGTTTGCAGGAATCCCTTAAATATCCTAAGTAGTGACTAGCTTAAACATAGGTATGTATTATATCAATCTTTTATATGTCTGTTGACTTTGTCAGTGGCTTCACATGATGACAAGTTGAGCTTAAGTTGAACTCTTAAGTTTTATATAATCAAATTATAAATTTCTTTTTAGTTCTATAGTTTATGCTTTTGGGGGTTTTAAATAAAACTCCCAAATTTCTTTCTAGTCTTTGGAATATATAGATATTCTGTTACATTTTTGTCTTTTAAGCTTATTTATTGCTTTCTCTTTTATTTTTAAGACTTTAATTTATCTGGAGCATAACTTTCTGGAGGTTTTAGGTAGGGATGTACAATTCTTTTCCTACCACCATCCAGTGAACCAATAGATGTCTATATGCTTTCTTTTCTGAAGTTTTATAGTATCCCTTAGAAGCTTATATGGAGCGTACCTCCTCGCCCCCATCTCTTTTTATCAAGGCTGATTCTGTTTGTTGATATTTATTCTTTCTTGTAAATGTTATAATGTATTTATCAACTTCCTCATAAAAATTCAAACTAGCATTTTTATTAAAATTGCATTAAAAAAGAGAAGCTCTTTGACTTTTTACATCTCTAAAATATCTTTACTTTGCTCTCACATTTAATTGATAATTTGGCTGGGTATAGAACTCTATGTTGAAAATTATTTTCCCTGAGAACTTTAAAAGCACTGGCCCATTGGCTTCTAATATCTGCTGAGCTGATGAGAAGGCATCCTTTGCAGGTAACTCATTTTTCTTTCTGGAGGCTTTTAAAATCTTTTTGTTATGCTCAGAATTTTGACATTTCAAAATTATGTGTTTAGCTATGCATCTTTTTTTCTTTTTAAGTTATCATGCTAGGCATTTTGTTTGTACTTTTAATCAGAAGACATGTCTTTTTTAAGCTCTGGGAAAATTTCTTGTATTATTTCTTTGATAATTTTCTCCCTTTTAGTTTCTTTTGTTTGTTTGTATTGTTTTTAGGTTTCTCTTTACGGAGCTTATTAACTGGATGTTGGTAACCTTTGAATTTCTTTTCTTTTTTCATGACTTTGTTTCTTTGCTTCATTTCTATAAAATTTATTTGACTTTTTTTTAGTTCTAAGTATTTTATTTCAGGAATGATTTTAAATTTCTAGTATCTTTGTTTCCAATTTTTATTAATTAATTCTTTGTCATAGCACTCATTTTGTTTTGTGAAGGCAATACTTTTATTTACTGTAGGATTTAAAAATCATTTTCTTTTTTATCTGACTTATTTTGAAGTCATTTTGTCTATTTCTCTTTCATACTGTTTGTTCTCTTCATGTTTCTGGTCATCAGTGGCTATGTCTTCATATCTAAGAAAGCAGGACTGCATACTGGTATGAATTTACTCTGCTATTGTGGAGGTAGGACTCTTTTCCCTAAGGTATCTTCCCTGAATGGGAATTTTAAGGGGAGTTCTGTGTGGGGTGGGTGGGGCAAAGCAGAGCATATCAGTGTTTACTTTATGATGAGCCAGGGGGAATCAGTTCACAGGCTGTGGGCCCACACATACCAGGATAGAAGGTCTTTTCTCAGGGACACCAGTAAACATACTATCAACATTTGTTATTCCCATGTGAACAATTGCTTTAGAGATTTATTGGCTTTTGATGTGGGAGTAAATGCTGTCTGACAATTCTACTTCAAACAGGCAGGTGATAAACTTCCATTTTGATGGATAAAATTTGTCTTGTCTATAGTTTTAGAAGTTCCCCAATTGAGACTATCTTCCTACCTTCATGGAAGACAGATGGCACCTTCAATATGAAATAATTAGAGAAGGTTTGTATACAAAAGAACTATTTGTAATGATATGCACAGGAGATGGTGCAATAATTCAGCGTCTTGTTAGCGATTGAGCTGTTACCATGCTGAGACCCAGAAAGACCAAGGTGGGAATGTTTTTATAGAGTCAGCCTTCTTGAATGGAACAATGACTTTTGGTGGATGAATACAGTTATCTCTCAGTGACCTTGTAGGGAGGGAGCCACCATTCTCCTCCCTTCACTACTACAAGTGCTTCAGCTTCACATTGGCTCAATCCAAGTGAAAGCCAGAGGACTTGGGAAACAATTGATGTGCTCCATACAGATGACTCTCAGGACAGAGAGCAGAGTAAAGAAAGGCAGACAGGGGATCTGGTAGGGAAAATGGAAAATATACAGCAAAATAAGTCTGCCTTGTTTGAGGCCTATCTGTAGCTGCCAGATATTTTGAGATGGCTCGACATCTAAAGCTGCTTTTGCTTTGGAGATATCTGTGCCCTGTGGACAGAAATGAATTAAGGGGCCTATCTTAGTTCATTCGGGCTGCTATAACAAAATACCATAGACCAGGTAGCTTATAAATGACAATTTATCTTTCATAGTTCTGAAGGCTGGAATATCCAAGATTAAAATGCTGGCAGATTCTGTATCTGGTGAGGCCCTGTTTCCTGATTGATAGATGATGCCATGCTGTTGTGTCTTCACATGGTGGAAGGGGCTAATGAGCTCCCTTGGGCCTCCTATAAGGAAACTAATTTCATTTACATAGACTCTAACCTCGTGACCTAATTATCTCCCAAAGGACCCACTTCTAACAACATTATATTAGGGACTAGGTTTAACATATTTTTTTTTGTTGGTGGAAGGGATACAAATACTTAGGCTATAGCAGGACCATCTAGATTTGGGTGAATCCAATGCCACTGTTTATTAATATGCCATAGATATCTTCTGTAGGGATAGTGTTGCAGGATGAAACTTGTTGACTTTAGGTCCAAGTCCTGAGATTGGACAAATATAGTTACTTACCCGGTAAAATAAATCACAGAAGTAGGAGTGGGATCTTTTCAGATACCAAAATTAAAAACTCCATGTGACTTTCTCTATTTTAATAACTCATCAGTAAAGCAATTTTAGAAGGTTGTAATGAGGAGATATATGAGCATGGACATTTGAAATTTCTAAAGATAAGAGCAAACTCTGCTCTGGGTTCTCTTGCTCAGCAAGATCTAATTCTTGTGCAGAAGCCATGAATTTTGAACCAAGAGGCTTTCTGAGATTTACATCCATACCTGATGTTTGCCAATATAATATCTGGAATGTCCCTGGTCTAGTTCACCCTTTTTCTGAGTGCTGACAGCAACTTCTCAGATGAGCAGGTAGTTGGAAATCTCATGTAACCTAACTCCTTGACCCTGGCAATAATGTGTTGTTGCAGGGCTGAGGTATGGAATCCTTCTGGACTTGATCTTTCTGGTTCTGTTACACTCTGCAACGTTAGAGTGTATAAAAACAAAAATGTAAACAATATTTTGTCAGGGTTCTTTTTGCCTCCACACCATCTAAAAGGCTTTGCTTGGCAGAATGCAGTGAACCAGTGTCACTGTTCCCCCCTTGAATACCTTCAGCTTGCTCTATCATTTTCGTGGAGCTGTAGTCTCTGCAAAAAGAAATTGCTCTGGTCACTAGGCATCCATTGGTGGCAACTGTGCTTTAGAAAGCCAGTGACTTCACTTTTGTGTTGATATAGAACCTCCATTCCTGAGCTTGAGGACAGTACCGAGTAGGGGAAAAATAAAGTGCCTTCTTAATTTCTTTCAGGCTATCAAGGATACCCTGTTAGGAAGCCTTAGCAAGCTATTTTTTTCCTAGAAAATTATCTGTTATATGAAATTGAAAAAATAGTCCATTATGTTCTTCAATTTTTCTTTGAATCTGAGTTAGTTATTTATTTCATTCTTCTCATTGTTTTTTAAAAATTATTTTTATTTGTAATTTTTGTGGGTACATAGTAGGTGTATATATTTATGGGATACATGAGATATTTTGATACAGGCATGCAATATGTGATAATCTCATCGTGGTAAATGGGGTATCTATACTCTCAAGCATTTTTCTTTTGTGTTACAAACAATCCAATAAAGCCTTTTAGTTACTTTAAAATGTACAATTAAATTATTATTGACTATAGTCACCCTGTTGTGCTATTAAATACTAGGTCTTATCCATTCTTTCCAACTATTTTTGTACCCATTAACCATCCCCACCCCGCTGCCGCCATGCCCCCACTATCCTTCCCGGCCTCTGATAACCATCATTCTCCTCTCTATCTCCATGAGTTCAATTGCTTTAATTTTTAGCTCTCACAAATGAGTGGGAACATGTGAGGTTTGTCTTTCTGTGCCTGGCTTATTTCACTTATTGTAATGACCTCCAGTTCTATCCATGTTGTTGCAAATGACAGGATCTCATTTTTTTATGGTTAAATAGCACTCTATTGTGTATTAATAACAGATTTTTTTTATCCATTCATCTGTTGATGTACATTTAGTTTGCTTCCAAATCTTGGCTATTGTGAATAGTGCAATAAACACGAGAGGGCAGATATCTCTTCAATATCCTGATTTCCTTATTTTGGGGTGTGTACCTAGCAGTGGGATTGCTGGATTGTATGGTAGTTCTATTTTTTTTTGTTTTTTTGAGAAACATTCAAACTGTTCTACATAGTGGTTGTACTAATTTACATTCTCACCAACAGTGTACGAGGGTTCCCTTTTCTCCACATCCTCACCAGCATTTCTTATAGCCTGTCTTTTAAGTAAAAGTCATTTTAACTGAGGTAAGATGATATCTCACTGTAGTTTTGATTCGCATTTCTCTGATGATCAGTGATGTTGAGCACCTTTTTATATGCCTGCTTGCCATTTGTATGTCTTCTTTTGAGAAATGTCTATTCAGATCTTTTGTTCATTTAAAAAATTGGATTATTAGATTTTTTTCCTATGGAGTTATTTGAGCTCCTTATATATTCTAGTTATTAATCCCTTGTCAGAGGGATAGTTTGCAAATATTTTCTGCCTTTATGTGAGTTGTCTCTTCACTTTCTTGATTGTTTCCTTTGCTGTGCAGAAGCTTTTTAACTTGATGTGATTCCATTTGTACATTTTTGCCTTGATTGCCTGGGCTTGTGAGATATTACTCAAGAAATCTTTGCCCAGACCAATGTCCTGGAGAGTTTCCCCAATGTTTTCTTATAGACATTTCATAGTTTAAGGTCTTAGATTTACATCTTTAATCTATTTTGATTTGATTTTTGTACATGGTGAGAGATAGGGGTCTGGTTTCATTCTTCAGAATATGGATATCCAGTTTTCCCAGCACCATTTATTGAAGAGACTGTCTTCCCCAATATATGTTCTTGGCATCATTGTCGAAAATGAGTTCTCTCTAGGTATGTGCATTTGCTTCTGGGTTCTCTATTGCATTCCATTGGTCTGTGCATTTGTTTTTACTCCAGTACCATGCTGTTTTGGTTACCATAGCTCTGAAGTATAATTTGAAGTTAGGTAATGTAGTTTCTTCAGTTTTGTTCTTTTTGCTCAGGATAGCTTTGGCTCTTCTTGGTCTTTTGTGGTTCCATATAAATTTTAGGATTGTGTTTTCTATTCCTGTGAAAAATGTCATTGGTATTTTGATAGGAATCATGTTGAATCTGTAGATTGCTTTGGGTAGTGTGGATATTTTAACAATATTCATTCTTCCAATCCATGAACATGGAATATCTTTCCATTTTCGTGTGTCCTCTTCAATTTATTTCATAGGTTTTATAGTTTTTATTATAGAGATCTTTCACTTCTTTGGTTAA
Source organism: Homo sapiens (assembly GCF_000001405.40). Classification (NCBI taxonomy): domain Eukaryota; kingdom Metazoa; phylum Chordata; class Mammalia; order Primates; family Hominidae; genus Homo; species Homo sapiens. The sequence continues at coordinate 95,466,121 of NC_000001.11, forward strand.
GTTAAATTAATTCCTAGTTGTTTAATTTTATTTGTGGCTATTGTAAGTGGGATTACTTTTTAAATTCCTTTTTCAGATTGTTCAGTGTTAGCATATAGAAATGCTATTGATTTTTGTATGTTAATTTTGTATCCTGCAACTTTACTGAATTTGTTTATAAGTTCTAATAGTTTTTTTGCAGTTTGTTTGTAAGTTCTAATAGTTATAAGTTCTAATAGTTTATAAGTTCTAACAGTTTTTCCAACTACGTTATATCATCTGCAAATGAGGATCATTTGACTTTTTTCTTCTCAATCTGAATGCTATTAATTTTTTTCTCTTATGCGATTGCTCTAGTTAGAACTTTCAGTACTATGTTGAATAACAGTGGTGAAAGTGGGCATCCTTGTCTTGTTCCAGATCTTAGAGGAAAGGCTTTCAGTTTTTCCCCATTCAATATAATATCTGCTATGGGCCTGCCATTCACGGCTTTTATCATGTTGAGGTATGTTTCTATACCCAGTTTTTTGTGTTTTCTTTTTTAAAAATCATGAAGGGATATTGAATTTTATTAAATGCTTTTTTAGCATCAATTGAAATGATCATATAAATTTTTTCCTTCATTCTGTTGATATGATGTACCACAGTAAATGATTTACATATGTTGAACCATTCTTGCATCCCTGGAATAAATCCCACTTGGTCATGATGAATAATCTTTTTAATGTATTGTTGAATTTGGTTTGCTAGTATTTTATTGAGTATTTTTGCATCAATATTAATAAGGGATATTGGCCTGTAGTTTTCTTTGTGTTTTTGATGTGTCTTTGGTTTTACTATGACGGTAATACTGTCTTTGCAGAATGAGTTTGGAAGTAGTCCCTTCTCCTCTATTTATTGGAATTGTTTGAGTAGAATTGGTATTAGTTCTTCTTTAAATGGTGGAATTCAGCAGTGAAGACATCAGGTCCTGGGGTTTTCTTTACTAGGAGACTATTACTGTTTCATCTTGTTACTTGCTATTGGTCTGTTTAGGCTTTGGGTTTTTTCATAAGATTGTGTTTTTCAATCTCGGTAGGTTGTATGTGTCTAGGAATTGATTCATTTCCTCTAGATTTTCCAGTTTATTGGCATATAGTTCCTCCTAGTGGCCACTAATGATCCTTTGAATGTCTGTGATATCAGTTATAATGTCTCCTTTTCCATCTTTGATTTTATTTACTTGAATATTCTCTTTTTTTCTTAGTCTGGCTAAAGGTTTGTCACTTTTGTTTATCTTTCAAAAAACCAACTTTTTGTTTCATTGGCCTTTTCTTTTGCTGTTTCAATTTCATTTATTTCTGCTCTGATCTTTATTAGTTCTTTTAGGAATTTGGGGTTTGGTTTCCTCTTATTTTTCTCGTTCTTTACGATGCAACATTAAGTTATTTGAAGTTTTTTCTCTTTTTTGATGTAAGCACTTATGGCTGTATATTTCCCTTTTAGAATTGCTTTCACTTTCACTGTATCCTACAGGTTTTGCTGTATTGTGTTTTCATTATCATTTGTTTGAAGGAATTTTTCAGTTTCCTTCTTTTTAAAAATTTTTAATAGAAACAGGTTCTTGCCATCTTGCCCAGGCTGATTTTGAACTCCTGGCCTCAAGCGATCCTCCTGCTTTGGCCTCCCAAAGTGCTAGGATTACAGATGTGTGCCATGATGCCTGGTCTCAATTTCCTTCTTAATTCTTCATTGACCTATGGTCATTCAGGAGGATATTGCTTAATTTCCATGTGTTTGTATAGTGTCCAAAATTCCTCCTCTTGTTGATTTCTAGTTTTATTCCTTTGTGGTTAGAGAAGATGCTTAATATTAGTTCAATTGTTTTGAATGTTTTAAGACTTGTTTTGTAATTTAATGTGTAGTCTATCCTTGAGAATGATCCATTTGCTAAGGAGGAGAATGTGTATTCTGCAGCTGTTGGATGGAATGTTCTGTAAATACCTATTAGGTCCATTTGCTCTACAGTGTAGATTAAATCCAATGTTTCTTGTTGATTTTCTGTTTAGAAGATCTGCCCAATGCTGAAAGTGAGGTGTTGGAATTTGTAGCTATTGTTGAATTGAATTCTAACTCTTTCTTTAGCTCTAATAAAATTTGCTTTATGTATCTGGGTACTCCAGTATTGGGTACATATATATTTACAATTGTTATATCCTGTTGCTGAATTGACCCCTTTATCATTATGTAATGACCTTCTTTGTCTCCTCTTATAGTTTTTGTCTTAAAATCTATTTTGTCTGATATAAGTTTAGGTACTCCTGCTTTTCTTTGGTTTCCATTGACATGCAATATCTTTTTCTGTCTCTTTATTTTCAGCCTCTGTTTATCTTTATAGGTGAAGTGCATTTCTTGCAGGCAACAGATCATTAGATCTTGCTTTTTCATTCATTCAGCCACTCTGTATCTTTTTTATTGGAGAGTTTAGCCCATTTACATTCAATGTTATTATTGATAAGTAAGGATTTACACATGCCATTTTGTTATTTGTTTTCTGATTGTTTTGTGTTTATCTCTTCCTTTTTTTCTTCTTTCCTGTCTTCCTTTTAGTGAAGGTGATTTTCTCTGGTGATATGTTTTAATTTCTTGCTTTTTCTTTTTTGTATATCTATTGCATGTTTTTTGATTTGAGGTTACCATGAGACTTGCAAATACTGTCTTATAATCCATTATTTTAATCTGATAACAACTTAACCCTGTTCCAAACAAACAAAAATAAAACTAATAAAGACTCCATGTCTTAACTTTGTTCCCTGCTTTTTAACTTTTTGTTCTTTCTCTTTATGTCTTATTGTACTGTCTATGTCCTGAATAGTTGTTGTAGTTATTATTTTTGATTGGTTCATTATTTAGTCTTTCTACTTAAGATGTGAGTAACTTACACCTTACAATTACAGGATTATAATATTCTGTGCTTGTCTATGCAGTTACTATTACCAGTGAGTTTTGTACCTTCAGATGATTTCTTATTGCTTATTAATGTCCTTTTCTTTCAGACTGAAGAACTTCCTTTAGCATTTCTTGTAGGACAGGTCTGGTGTTGATGAAACCCCTCAGCTTTTGTTTGGGACAGTCTTTATTTCTCTTTCATGCTTGAAGGAGGATACTTTCACTGAATATACTCTTATGGGGTAAAAATTTTTTCCTTCAGCATTTTAAATATGTCATGCAACTTTTTCCTCGCCTGTAGGGTTTCAGCGGAAAAGTCTGCTGCTAGATGTATTGGAGCTCAATTGTGTATTTTTTTTTCTCTTTCTTGCTGCTTTTAAGATCCTTTCTTTATCCTTGACCTTTGGGAGTTTGATTATTAAATGCTTTGAGGTATTTAATACCTCAAAACCTCTTTGGGTTAAATGCCTTGAGGTATTTAATACCTCAATACCTCTTTAGATTAAATCTTCTTGATGTTCTATAACATTTTTGTATTTGAATGTTGATACCTTTCTCTAGGTTTGGGAAATTCTCTGATATTATCCCTTTGAATAAACTTTCTACCCCTATCACTTTCTCTATTTCCTTCTTAAGGCCAATAACTTTTAGATTTGCCCTTGTGAGGCTATTTTCTGGATATTGAATGTGTGCTTTATTGTTTTTTATTCTTTTTTTTTTCTTTTGTCTCCTCTGGCTGTGTCTTTTCAAATAGCCTATCTTCAAGCTCCCTAATTCTTCTGCTTGATCAGTTCTGCTACTAGGAGACTCTGATGCATTCTTCAGTATGTGAATTGCATTTTTCAACTCTAGAATTTGGCTTGATTGTTTTTAATCACTTTAATCTCTTTGTTATATTTATCTGATAGAATTCTGCATTCCTTCTCTGTGATATCTTGAATTTCTTTTTTTCTCAAAACAGCTACTCTGAATTCTCTGACTGAAAGGTCACATATGGCTGTTTCTCCAAGATTGGTCCCTGGTGCTTGGTTTACTTCATTTGACAAGGTCATATTTTCCTGGCTGGTCTTGATGCTTGTAGATGTTCTTTGGTGTCTGGGCATTGAAAAGTTACGTACTTATTGTAGTTCTCACAACGTGGGCTTCTCAATCTGTGCCTGTCCTTCTTGGGAAGGCTTTTCAGGTATTTGAAGAAATGTGAGACCCAAGCCCAGTAATGTTGTGGTTCATGCAGACTTGTAGATGTATCACCTTGGTGGTTTTGAATAAGATCCATATGAACTCTTTGGATTATCAGACAGAGACTCTTTCTCTTTCCTTACATTCTTTCAAACAAATGGTATCTCTCTCTCTGTGTTAAACTACCTGGAGGTAGGGATGGGGTGATGCAGGCACACTGTGGCCATCACACCTAGAATTGCCCTGGCTCTGACTGGAAGCCAGCACAACACTGGGTCTTTCCAAAGGCCTGATGTAACCATTACCTGTCTGCCACCTATGTTCACTTAATGCTTTAGGGCTCTGCAATCAGCAGGTAGTGAAGCCAGCCAGGTTTGCATTCTTCCTTTCAGGTTGGTGAGTTCCCCCAGGCCCTGGGCGGGTCCAGAGATGCTGTCTGGCAGCCAGGAATCAGAGTCAAAAACCTTAGAAATTTACCTGGTATTCTCTTCTATTCTGGCTAAGTTGGCACTCAGATTATATGGCAAAGTCCTTCTCTCTTCCCTCCCCTTTACACAGGCAAAAGAGCCTCTCCCTGTGGCCACTACCACCTCTAGCCCATAAGCAGATCACACTGCCAGGCCACTGCTGATGTTCACTTAAGGTCCAAGGGTGCTTCAGTCAGTCTGTGGTGAATACTGCCAGGCCTGGGACTCACACTTTAGGGTAGTGGGCTCCCCTCTTGCCCAAGGCACTTCCAAAAATTTTGTCCAAGAGCCTAAGCCTGGACTTGGAACCCAAGAGCCTGCTTGGTGTTCTATTTCACTGTGGTTGAGCTGGTACCTGAAGCCAGCACATCTCAGAGTCTCATCCAGGGTCCATGGCATACTATCTGGGTATTGCTCTTGTTTATTCAGGGCCCAACAATTCTTTCAGCAGGTGGTGAATCCTGCCAGGACTGGGTCCTTCTCTTCAAGGAATAGTGTTCCTTTTTGGCCCAATGTGTGTCTAGAAATATTGTCTGGGGGCTAGGGCCTGGAATATGGGCCTCATAATTCTGCCAGGTGCCCTATCCTACTGTGGCTTATCTGGTATCCAAGATGCAAGACAACATCCTCTTTACTCTTCTCTCTCCTCTTCTCAAGCAGATGGAAAGAGTCACTTTTGTTGCTCTAAGCTTCCCTGTCTGAGGTTAGGGGAGGGGTGTTGTAAACACTTCTAAGCCACCCTGCCTGATGTCTCCCTAGGTCATATGCTGCCCCATTCCATTGGCTCTAAGTCCAGCATAGCACCAGGACTTGCCTAAGATTTTCAGTCTTTATGTCCTAGACTGCCTTTCAGGTTCACTTGGGACCCTAGTACGCTTCAGCCTGTTGTGGTGAGGCTTGCTGAAACTCAAATTCTAAGCACTGGAATGGGCCATTCTCCTCCGGCTAGGGCTGGTCCAAATGGTCCCTCTGTGGGCAGGCACTGACTGAGTTCAGCATGGTTTTACTTTCTGCTGTGACAGGGTAGCACAGAGTTCAATGCAAAGTCACTCAGTCACTGTGCTCTCCCTCCCCCAAGTGCACAGATTGTCTGTCTGTGCTGCACGGCCATTGCTGGGAGGAATGAGGGAGAGGTGTTATCTGTGAATCAAGACTGTCTCTCCTATGTCTTCAGTGCCTCTTTCAGCAGTATGAGGTTAAAACTAGGTTCTGTGATTACTTACCTCATTTTTGGTTCCTATGAAGGTGCTTCTTTGTGTGCAGTTAGTTGTTAAAATTTGGCGTTCCTGTAGGGGGAACAATCAGTGGAGCCTTCTATTCCACCATCTTGCCTCACCCTCAGATCTTTATTTTATATTTTGTATTTTGTATTTTTTTTTTTTTTGCTTTTCCTCTCTTTTCTTTATCAGAGCGGACAATAAGTTGTTTACTTTTTGGTGTTTTTAATCAATTTTATATTTTACTGTTTAGCACCTTTTTTCTTCATTTCTAAGTCATTCATTTCTCCTTATCTTTATTAACTTCACCTTTCTGCTTTTCTTAGCCTTATTTTGTATTTTGCAACTTGGGTGCCTAATTTACACATTTTCCTATTTCTTTTTGTATTCAGAGAAGTATTTGAGGATACTATTTTTCCTCTGACTTCTCTTTTAACTATTTCCATAAGGTCTTATATACTGTGTTTTCACTATTGTTATTTTCTAGATGTTCTTGAGTTTCTGTTTGAATTTGCTCTTTTATCTTCAACAATATTTTATTAGGAGATTCAGAAGGGCTACATTAGGAAATTCTTTTAAACTATAGTATTACCAATGATTGAACTTGAGAAAATTAAGTTCTGTGTGATGAAAGTCAATGAAAATGTGTGAGGGGGGTTGAAATGTTCTGTGAATCAGTAGCAAACTGCTTTTTTTTAGTGGAATTAGAAATAGTTAAGGCTGGAAGAATCTGTAGAGAAAACGAAAAGTGGAACTAGAGGCCAGGTCTAGGTAAAAGTAAAATGAGACACATTATCAGTAAGATGGCATCTGAAACACATTATCAAAGAGCACTATCCCCATCTCCTCAAGCCTTATTGCTTTCTTGATGTCTGAACCACACAGTGTCACTCTTTACATCTTGTGCTGGGTTATAATTGCTCATATTAGACTGTAAGCTCTTTGAGGGCAGAGAGTCTGTTCTTTGAAGTAACAATCCCTGGTGTTCACTCTACCTAGTTGTACTGTGGCTGATTATAGTTGGTGAGATCAAAGTGTCATAGACACTAAACAATGAAAATGCCATTAAATGAATATAAAACTTCTAGAAGATACCTGCTGCCAACACAAATTAGATTAGTTGGCATAAAAATCTGCTCTGGATCAATCACTTGTTTTAACTGTTTGGGTAATATTGCTGTCATGTTATAAATTGCTGATATAAATTTTTCTCAAGTTTCATAATATTCAGAAAGTGACTCTTTAAAAAGTTTCAACGTGTCTTTTACTTTGAAATCATAGTCTTTTGCACTTGTATTAGTCTTTGTTTGCTTTTCTCTGGTCTCAGCAAAATGCTTGTGTAACTGTCTGACCTTTTCACAAATTATGGCAGTGCTTAACAGTACATTTTTCTGGGCTTGGTCTTCTTTCCATATATAGAGAACTCAGAGCTGTCTTGCATGTGCCCACTTGGGCTACAGAAGTAGGGACAGTCATTGCTCTGGGTGTTTATAATGAAGCAGGTGGGGACTGAATGGATGATGGGCACATAGAAAGATAATTGATTAAAACTCACTTATACAAAGACAAAATCACTATATTTTAAATCCAAAGTTGGCCAAACCACTGTAGTGATTACTGCATCTCCCCTTAATAGTTAACAACTACAATAATAACAGCAACAACAACAACAAAGAGCTGCTGTCATTCATTGACTGCTTACTCTGTGTCAGATGCTGTTCTTAGCACTCTCCACGGCTAACTCACTAAATCTTCATGACCCAAGTAACTATGACTTTACTCATTTTACAGATAAGATAACTAATACACAGAGAGATTAAATTTCTCAGGTCCCTGAGTTAGTAAGTGGCAAATCTGGAATTCAAATTCCAAAGCAGTCCAGTTTTAGAAGCTTCTCATTACTATTATATGCTGCTGCTTCTAATACAAAATGATTGGGCTTTAAGTACTTATCTATTCAGTGGCTTACACATTATCAACAAGAACAGTCATTAGTGAAATCAAAGAATTTCAAAGCCAGAAGAAACCCTAGGGAGCAACAAGTTGGTCAGATCTCTCCAGTTTTCAGATGAGAAGTTGGAGGCCCAGAGAGATGGAAGAGCAGAATTATAGATATGGAAATGGACAGAGCCAGGAGTTGACTTCAGGTCTTCTGCCTCTTAGGATATTTTCTTTTTAAATGACATTAAATATTCTTTCCTTTGTTTTCATCATGTACTATCTTGTATAAAAGGTAGAAATTTATACTATTCCTATTTTTATTCTATAATTGTGCAAAAAAAAGATCAGGGATGTAATATTTGTTGAGCAACTGTTATGCGCTGGCTCCATAGTAATTCCGGGTTGCAAATGCTACTGTCCTTTTTATCCAACTGAGGAAGCCAAGGCTCAGAGAGGTTAAAAACTTGCCTGAATCCTAGGGCTAGTAAGTGTTGGAACTCCATTTGAATTCTTACTCATTGGACTTTGAAACCAACAGTCTTTGTACTCCCTGGACTGTCCATGGTTAAGGCCTTCAAAGAGTACAGACTTCATTAACCATATATATTTAGCTCTAGCTATTTACTCATTTTTCTACTGAGAGACATGCTCTCCTCCAATGTTGCAAATATGCCTGGTACATCTATTAATGATATAGTTTATTAAAAGGGAGGTTTTATGGATCTCTGCCTTTTGGTGAAAAAATTTTCTGGCAGAGTGCCTCCTGAAAAAAAAAAAATCTCCATTACTGAGAAGCCCTTTCATTTGTAATTGCTTCTTAGGTAAGACTATTAGATATTCCTCCCTAGCTGCTGTAGCTGGGCTATAAATTGTCTGCACTTTGTTTTGTTGGGATTTTGTGGTTTAATTGTTCCAAGTCACTTACATGGAGCTACATTTACAGACACAAAGAGGAGCTGGACTGATGTTTAGCTGTCTTGCACCAGCTTGTATTTTTGGATTAGCTAGTATCCCAGGAAAAGGGTTTGTATCCAAGATAATCCTTCCTCTGGACTGGTTTTCTTTCTGTGTTTTGACCCTCCCAGAAGCAGAAGAGTCATCTTGCCTCTCAGTAAAAGCAGAGAAGGGGAAATATCTTTGAATTGCTGGGTAGGATAGCTTCTCTCGCTCAGCATTTTTTCTGTTCTCCACAAGAAAACCTCTTACTGCAAAATATGTTTGTTGGTGGATCACAGACTTCAAACTCACAGGACCTTATCTCCGATACACTGAAAGTAAATGCAACATATTAAATAGTTTAATCAAAATGAGGTAGAGAGGCTATGAAGTGTCTGTAAACATTTGGTAAGCAATTTTGTCTTTTTTGCTGTTGTTCTTGTTCCCCTAGTTGCCATTACAATTCTTGGTTGGGGTTACTAGTGTTTGTTTTTAATCTTTAACGATACTGTCCCTTTCTTTGGCTGTTTGTGAAATCTCATCCAGGAATCTGATGCAAAGAAGCACGAGGACCTTCATTTTCACTCCAGTGGTTGTGGTGACTGTGGTGAGTCTGGGGGAACGGGGCAAGTTAATTGGTGGCGAGTTAATCCCCCCCCAAGAAATGTGGGGTCAGAGGCAAAAGACAAAAGCTTAGACATAGCCTATTATTTTCTTGTTTCCTTCATTTGCCTGAATCCATGAAGCCAGTGGGAGTCAATCAGGCAACACAAGGATACTCCAGTCTCTTTTCTTGCCTTCCTTATAAAGGCAGTCATAGGAGTTGGGCAGGTAGCACGGCCTATTACATTGTCCTGGGATCCACACCATCTAGCTGGCCTCACCACCGTAAGGCCATTTCCATCTGAAGGATCCAGGCAGTTCTTTACAATGTACCATTATAGCAGAACTGCTTCCTTACCTGAGTGGCATTTCAAATTAACATAATGGTATCCTAATGAGCTGTGCCACTTTCAACTTGCCAAATATGTTCAAAGTACTTTTCTCAACAGCAGTGTCATACCCAGTCAATCAAGTAATCCATTACCCACTGGCTCCTGGCTGAAGGAAAGGTCATACGCTTGTCTTGCAAAACAAAAGAGAATTGTTTCAAGACAGAGGCCAATTGTAGCATGTTTTAAATGCTTCTGGCTACCTGAGTGCCCAAACTTGACTAATCTCATGGTAGGGGTGAAACTTACAGAGCCAATTCTAATATAAAACAGCAGACACATAACAAACCAACAAACCCATTTCCAACTCTTTAACAAAGGGAGTTACTTCAGCTTTTCTTGGGAAAGAGGTGATTGTTATCCACATTCAGGAAGCCCCTGTGAGTTGTAGAAATGGGACACAGCAATAATCAAGAATGCCACTGAAGGAATATTGAAAAAGTAATTAGATTTTCCTTAGTTCATCATCTAATTAGAGGGCAGGTTAAAGTCCAAAGTAATGAAATTAAAATCTAACTACCGTTAAATCTGTAATGTTTTTTGCTGGTACCAGAGCACCTGGCACTGTAGGAGTCATGTGAGGACACAGAAGCCCCAAAAGCAGAGGAGTGTAAGGCTTTAGATAGAATTTGACAGGGCTCCATATGAAACAAGGGCAGGGGATGAGAACAAATTGACAAGATATCAGGACGTGTGATTCTTTGTTGAAAAAGGAATAATACTTATATATAGAAGTCTCAGTTTGCTCTGCTGCCAGATTATTCAGATTATGTTATTATAATAGGTCTAATAGGTCTAGTTTTCCTTTGTTAGTATACTTTTGTGGGAGATAGGCCCATTCATAGAAAATATAGACTTTTTAGCCATAGCAGTGTTTATTGCACCATTGGCAAATAATGAAACATTTGGACATTAGAATCAACTACAGGGATAGCATGACAATCCACAAAAGTACCTGGACTGAGTTCATTACATTTTTAACAGGAGAGGAATACACAACAGAAGAAACACGCACCCACATGAACACACACGGGCACAAAGAGATACTACAGAATGGGGAGCAATAAATTATTGGCCTAATTCGTGCCTGGTTCCAAAGAAAAGGGGCAGTTGGAGCCCCCCAGGCCATCTCACCGCCTTTCCCCTGACTGGGTCCCTCCATCTGGTAGTTGCCAGCCAATGTTGGAGGTCTGACCCATGCTTTTCTCTCCTTGGGAAAAGGTGAGTTTAAATATTTGGCTTCTTACTAGAGAAGACCTATATACAAACAGAATAGCCACACTGGCCTGAAAGGGCCAAAGTAGATAGCAAGTAAAGTTTTATGTTTCAGATATGAGCATGGGGTGGTGATATGGTTTTGCTCTGTGTCCCCACCCAAACCTCATCTTGAATTGTACTCCCATAATTCCCATGTGTTGTGGGAGGAACCTGGTGGGGGATAATGGAATCATGGGGGCAGTTTCTCCCACACTGTTCTCATGGTAGTGAATAAGTCTCACGAGATCTGATGGTTTGATAAGGGGAAACCCATTTCACTGGGCTCCCATTCTCTCTTTTTGCCTGCTGCCATCCATGTAAGACATGACTTGCTCCTCCTTGTCTTCTACTATGATTGTGAGGCCTTCTCAGCCGCTTGGAACTGTGAGTCTAATTAAACCTTTTTCTTTTGTACATTGCCCAGTCTCAGGTATGTCTTTATCTTAGAAAACAGACTCATACAGTAAATTGGTGCCAGTAGAGTGGGGTGTTGCTGAAAAGATACCTGAAAATGTGGGGGCGACTTTGGAACTGGGTAACAGGCAGAGGTTGGAACAATTTGGAAAGCTCAGAAGAAGACAAGAAAATTTGGGAAAGTTTGTAACTTCCTAGAGACTTGTTGAATGACTTTGACCACAAGCCTGACAGCAATATGGACAATAAGGTCTAGGCTGAAGTGGTCTCAGATGGAGATGAGGAAGTTGTTGGGAACTGGAGCAAAGATATGTGTTGTTGTTGTGTTTTAGCAAAGAGACTGGTGGCATTTTGCCCCTGCCCTAGAAATCTGGGAAACTTTGAACTTGAGAGAGATGATTTAGGGTATCTGGTGGAAGAAATTTCTAAGCATCAAAACATCTAAGGGGTGACTTGGGATGTGTTAATTCAGACTTGGGATGTTAAAGGTATTCAGTTTTATAAAGGAAGCAGAGCATAAAAGTTTGTAAAATTTACAGCCTGACAATGTGATAGAAAAGAAAATCCCATTTTCTGAGGAGAAATTCAAGTTGGCTACAGAAATTTGCATAATTAATGAGGAGCTGAATGTTAATCCCCAAGACAATGGGGAAAATGTCTCCAGGGCATGTCAGAGGTCTTCTTGGCAGCCTCTCCCATCACAGGTGTGGAGACCTAGGAAGAAAATATAGTTTCCTGGGCTGGGCCCAGGGTCTCCGTGCTGTGCACAGTCCAGGGACTTGGTGCCCTGCATCCCAGCTGCTCCAGCCATGACTAAAAGGGGTCAAGGTACAGCTTGGGCCATGGCTTCAAAGGGTGTAAGCCCCAAGCTTTGACAGCCCCAACATGATGTCGAGCCTGAGGGTGCACAGAAGTCAAGAATTGGGGTTTGGGAACCTCCACCTAGATTTCAGAAGATATATGGAAACGCCTGGATGCCCAGGCATAAGTTTGTTGCAGGGGCAGGGTGCTTGTGGAGAACCTCTGCTAGCACAGAAGGGAAATGTGGGTCAGAGCCCCCACACACAGTGCCTACTGGGGCACTGCCTAGTGAAGCTGTGAGAAGAGGGCCACTGTCCTTCAGACCCCAGAATGGTAGATCCACTGACAATTTGCACACTTCACCTGGAAAAGGTGGCTGTACTCTGCAAAGCTACAGAGATGGAGCTGCCCAAGACCATGGGAACCCACCTCTTGCATCAGCATGACCTGGATATGAGACATGGAGTCAAAGGAGATCATTTTGGAGCTTTAAGATTTGACTGCCCTGCTGGAGTTTGGACTTGCATGGGGCCTGTAACTCCTTTGCTTTGGCCAATTTCTCCCACTTGGAATGGCTGTATTTACCCAATGCCTATACCCCCTTTGTATCTAGGAAGTAATTAACTTGCTTTTGATTTTACAGGTTTATAGGTGGAAGGGACTTGCCTTGTCTCAGACAAGACTTTGGACTGTTGACTTTTCAGTTAATATTGAAATAAGTTAAGCCTTTGGGGGACTACTGGGAAGGCATGATTGGTTCTGAAATGTGAGGACATGAGATTTGGGAGGGGTCAGGGGCAGAATGATATGGTTTGGCTCTATGTCTCCACCTAAATCTCATCTTAAATTGTACTCCAATAATTCCCACTTGTTGTGGGAAGAACCTGGTGGGAGATAATTGAATCATGGGGGCAGTTTGCCCCATACTGTTCTCATGGCAGTGAATAAGTCTCATGAGATCTGATGGTTTGATAAGGGGAAACTCATTTCACTTGGCTCTCATTCTCTCTTTTTGCCTGTTGCCATTCATGTAAGAAGTGACTTGCTCCTCCTTGTCTTCCACCATCATTATGAGGCTTCTGCAGCCACGTGGAACTGTGAGTCCATTAAACCTTTTTCTTTTGTAAATTGCCCAGTCTTGGGTATGTCTTTATCAGAGCATGAAAACAGACTAATACAGGTATTACTCAAATGTCCACTTTTTCTTCTCCTATAGGGTTCTCTTCCTCTGAAGAGTTAGGAAAGAATAGGAGTTGTCCCCAAATTGTCCACCCCATCTTCATACACTCCTCCCAATGCCTTCCAAGCCCCCAGGCCCACCCTGCCTGAAATTCCTGCCCATGGTCCCCATGATACCTCCATAGGCTGCAGCTCCCTCCAGGCAGCCATTAGAGGACTGAGGATGTGGTTCACCCACACTGGACTGCCCATCTCTTGTTCCCCAGTACCCTCTCACAGGGGTGTACAGGTATGTTATTGAATAAAAGGTTTAGGGTAAAGGGGGGATATTTAATGTTGTTCAAATTATGACTTTCCCCACATTCCATGGAAAACTCACCTGAAAAGAGAAATTTTAATGGGGGTCCTCTCATAATTGCCATAGTTGTTAACTTTGTAGGCCACTTTTTTTTTTTTTTTTGAGATGGAGTCTCGCAGTGTCGCCCAGGCTGGAGTGCAGTGGCGCAACCTTGGCTCAGTGCAAGCTCCACCTCCTGGGTTCATGCCATTCTCCTTCTTCAGCCTCCCGAGTAGCTGGGATTACAGGTTCTCACCACCATGCTCAGCTAATTTTTTATATTTTTAGTAGAGATGGAGTTTCACCATGTTAGCCAGGATGGTCTCGATCTCCTGACCTCGTGATCCACCCACCTCAGCCTCCCAAAGTACTGGGATTACAGGCATGAGCCACTGTGCCCAGGCCTGCATTCCACTTCTAAGTTAGCCCTTTCAGCAAGAATGTATGTATCCTTCTTCTAATCTCCACCACATGACTCTCTATGCGTCTTTATCCACAGAGGTAGATATTATTCTCCATCCCCAATTTTAAAGTCTGTGTTGCTCAGTCTGAATGAAAATTCCCCAGAAAGCTCCCCTCATCTTCCATCCCCAGCCCACAGAATAACACTGAGTCTGCAGAGTCATCCAGGGTAGACCTGAACACCAATTCTGGTCACCAAAGGTTGTCCCACAGTGTGAGATGTAAATATGCTTCTTTATTTTTCTAAAAATTAAAAAAAATTGGACACACATACACACACACACACACACACACACACACACGCACACACTGACTTTCCAAGGCCACTATCAATTTTTAGAGACAGTCCAGCGGAAAATCATAGCATGAAACACTTTTACAACAGCCTGGTTCTTTGCATGGTGCTGTTCTCACAATGGCACCGCTCACATTTTTATGTAGCATAACAGTAGTTTAACTCATCTCACTCTTTCTCTACTCCCATCTTCAAATTGTGTTTCCTTAGGCCCAAAAGGAATAAAAAACAGAGCTACCCCTGAGCCACATACTTGTTTGTGGATGCTCCCCTAGCCAGATGAAGTACAAGGCCCCTGCTAAAGCCTCATAAAGCCTCATTAAATTCTTAGGTCCAGGTAATCTCGCATCTGAGTCTCTGCCTGGTGGCTGGGGAACAGGTGTGTGCATGTGGAGGTTCATTCTTGCAGTTACTTCAGTAAATGCTGAGTAATGTACATCATTTAATAAAGCATATGAGACAAAGCATGTCACATTTTAACCTGTCAACCGTCTTTCCATTTAAGTCACATTTTATAAGATAAGTGATATATCTAAATGCTTTATTTCTAAAATCCCCTTCTTGGTCTGGCTGGTTCACCCCTTCCCACACTTCAGGTCTGTTTGTGTGTCACCTCTGGTCTTTGCTTATGCTTTTCATCATAATACCCTGTTTATTTCTTTCAATCTTGCATTTATTAATTTACTTGTTTATTACTTGTTTTTCCTTTCTAGAATGTAAATTACTCCATGGAAAGACAATATCTGACTTACCCACTGTTGAATATCCAGCATAAGGTACATAGTAGTTATCCATAAATGTTTGCTAATTTGAGAGGGCAGAATAGCCTGGAGGTAAATAGTGTGTCTTGAGGGCCAGGCTGCCTGGCTATGAATCCTAGCTGTCCTCTTTACTAGCTGTGTTCTGTTCCTTCTGGAAACTCAGTGTCAGTGGAGCATCCAATTCATAGAGCCTATTCCTGAGGCACTTCTCTGTGCCTGTTTCTCCATTTTTTTGAACAGAGATAATAATAGTCCCTATATCACAGAGTTGTTGTAAGCATTAAATGAAGCATAAAAATATATGAAAAGTGACACATATTGAATACTATGTGAGTTAGCTGGTATTTTAAATGATTTTATTTACATTAATTGAAAGCATATTGAATGCCTTACGTAACAGGGCCTTTGCTAGTATAACCAAGACCATAAACAGGCATGACTTACAAGATGTTATCAGTATGCCCCTTTGTTTTCCTTCTACTACCCCTTTAATTTTTTTTAGATAAGAATATTGGGGATTTTTTTGCAACAGAATGAGAACTGGCAGACTTGATGACTTTTCTAATCTCAGTTCTATGACTAGAATCCTCAGCCCAGTGTAAAACCTAACTCAATTTCAAATTAAACATTCTCCTCTTTCCCAGCTTCTGGTAGGTCAGGAGCTACCTTGGTAAGAGGCAAAGGCCACTTTTTTCTTTCCTTTTGCCCTTTATTCACCCCTACCCTCCCTGCCCCCTGCCAGGATGCTAGTCACAGTTTCTGGCCCTTTCCTTTTAAAGCACAAAGGAGTAGGTGGAAAAGGGAAAACAGAAAGTTCTTACTAGAGTGATACTGTCATAAGATGGCTTTGGATTTTCTAGGATAAACAGGTGTTCAAAGCTAATTCCCATGCACTGGTTTCCATGGATTCTTAGGAGGCTCTCTGCTGGGACCTGCTAATCAGAAGCTTGAGAAGTAGCACTTCTTTTTTTTCTGGTGGCCAGTATCTCTTTTGGTCTAGTTTTCCAGGAATCCACTATAGGCAAAACTGTCTATTGACATCCTTCAGTCATCTAGGCGGTTCTCTTGGGCAATACTTAAAATGGCTCCAGGCTGTATCTCTTCCATGGTAGGAAATACTCCTGTATTCTTTACCTTGATATTGGTGGAGTACAGTTACTTCCCAAACATGGCAGTCTACTTTACCTTAGCACCACCTGAGGCTGATAAGCACAGTTTCTCATTTCCAGATTTTTCAGGCATATATCAAGACCAGTCTTCTGATCCCTCTCTCAGACATTCAGGGGATATGTACAAGGCAGAGGCCATTCAGTGGTCCATTTGAAGTTTTTGCTAAGCTGGAGCTGAGAAATCAAACAGCCCCACTACTACCCTTGGGGCAGCAAGCAAGAGATCAATTGCAGAGATTTTCCCAGAGAATACCTTCTCACAAGTATTCTTTTCAATTCCACCTCCTCACTCTTTTGAGTGAGAAGGCATTTACATATGCTTTGAGAGTTTTGGAGCCTTCTAACTGGTTGTTAGCACATCTTTGGAATTTCTGTTTTGTGTTCTGGTATTTCACTTTGCAATTTTCCATTGTATCATAGAAGCTCAGTCAAAAGTTCCAATTTAGGGGGCTAAGATGGTTGACTAGAAGCAGCAGCAATTGGAGGCTCCCATCGAAAAGAACTATAATGGCATACGAATCTTGCCCTGGCAACTGAGGTATCCAGGTTCTGTCATCAAAACTGACTAGGCAGCTGGTGTAACCCATAGAGAAGAAGGAAGAGCAGTGTGGTGTGTTGGCCCACTTGAGAACCACACGGGGCAGGGGAGCCCCTACCCCCCAGCCAAGGGAGGCAGTGAGTGAGCATGCTACCCAGCCTGGGAAAACATGCTTTTTCCACGGAACTGTGCAACCCACAGATCAGAAGATCCCACTAGCAAGCCCATGTCACTGCGGCCAAGGGTCCCAACCACAGAGCCGTGCAGATTCTCAATAGCCACTAAGCTAGAATCTGCTTAAGCCTGCTGAGCTCCTGGGGGGAATGGCGACCAGCACCACAGCTGTGGCTGCCTGCTGTCTAAGCTGTTTGAGACCCTTGGCAGGGTGGGAGGGTGATAGCCAACACTGGGACTGTTAGCTGCCTAACACACTAAGCTTCCAGGGTAGAGGAAGGATGGCAGCCCTCTCTGTAGCTCCAGACCATGCTTTTCCCTGCTGGAGCTGGGGATGCTGGATGGCTTCGTCCCAAGAGGTATCCCCCACAGCCCAATACACTGGCTGTGGCAGATGGCGGACAGAGTGCCTTTTCAGGCCTGACCGTGACACATCCCTCCTCACTGGTGGGGCCTCCCTACAGGAACTCTGACAACTCCAGCCAGGTTCTCAGGAACAGAACTCTGATCTCCTTGGGCCTGAGCCCCTAGGGGGAGGTGTGGCCACAGTCTCCCCAGACCAGTAGACTTAGTTTTTCCTTCTGCTAGTTCTGAGAAATCCAGACAGCTCAGACAAATGGGCTTCCCCCAGTGAAGGGACACTAAGGGACATCCAAAGTGCTTTGTTAAATGGGTCCTGCTCCCCATGCCACCCAACTGGGTGAGACTCTCCAACAGGGGTTGTCAGACACACTATATAGGAGCATTTATACTGGCATCAGATCAATGCCCCTCAAGGTCAGAGATCCCAGAGGAAGGAGCAGGCACCCATCTTTGCTGCTCTCCAGCCTCCTTGAGTGACATCTCCATGTGTGGGAGTGAACCAGATGAATAGGGCCTGAAGCGAACCCCCAGAAAACCACAGGAGCCTTACAGAAGAGGGACCTGACCATTGCAAGAGAAACAACAAACAGAAAGCAACAACAGAATCAACAACAACAACAACAACAAAAAGTCCCCACAAAAACCCCATTCAAGGGTCAGCAGCCTCAAAGACCACTACTCGACAAACTCATGAAGATGAGAAATAATCAATGAAAAAATGCTGAAAACCCCAAAGGCCAGAGTGTGTCTTCTACTCCAAATGATTGCAGTTCCACTCCAGCAAGGGCAGAGAACTGGATGAAGATGAGACGGATGAACTGACAGAGGTAGGCTTCAGAAAGTGGATAATAACAAACTCTGCTGAGCTAAAGGAGCATGTTCTAACCCAATGCAAAGAAGCTGAGAACCTTGATAAAAGGTTACAGGAGCTGCTAACTAAAATAACCAGTTTAGAGAGGAACATAAATGACATGATGGAGCTGAAAAACATAGCCTGGGAACTTCATGAAGCATACACAAATATCAATACCCGAATAAACCAAGTGGAAGAAAGGATATCAGAATTTGAAGACCATCTTGCTGAAATAAGGCAGGCAGACAAGATTAGAGAAAAAAGAATGAAAAGGAACAAACAAAACCTTGAGAAATATGGGACTCTGTAAAAAGACCAAACCTATGACTGATTGGAGTACCTGAAAGAGACTGAGGGAATGGAACCAAGTTGGAAAACACATTTCAGGATATTATCCAGGAAAACTTCCCCAACCTAAAAACACAGGCCTAAACATTCAAATTCAGGAAATACAGAGAATGCTACTAAGATACTCTATGAGAAGATCAACCACAAGACACATAATCATCAGATTCTCCAAGGTTGAAATGAAGGAAAAAATGTTAAGTGCAGCCAGAGAAAAAGTCCGGGTCACCTACAAAGGGAAGCCCATCAGACTAACAGCAGACCTCTCAGCAGAAACCCTATAAGCCAGAAGAGAATGGAGGCCAATATTCAATATTCTTAAAGAAAAGAATTTTCAACTCAGGCCTGCCTTGCAAAAGCTCCTGGTGGAAGCACTAAATGTGGAAAAGAAAAACCGGTACCAGCCACTGCAAAAACACACCAAAATGTAAAGACCAATGACACTATGAAGAAACTGTATCAACTTGTGTGTAAAGTATCTAGATAGCATCATGATGACAGGATCAAATTCACACATAACAATATTAACCTTAAATGTAAATGGGCTAAATGGCCCAATTAAAAGACACAGATGGGCAAATTGGATAAAGGATCAAGACCCATTGGTGTGCTGTATTCAGGAGACCCATCTCACGTGCAAAGACACACATAGGTTCAAAATAAAGGGATGGAGGAATATTTACCAAGCAAATGGAAAGCAAAAAACAGCAGGGGTTGCAATCCTAGTCTCTGACAAAACAGACTTTAAACCAACAAAGATCAAGAAAGACAAAGAAGGGCATTATGTAATGGTAAAATAATCCATTCAACAAGAAGAGCTAACTATCCTAAATATATATGCACCCAATGCAGGAGCACCTAGATTCATAAAACAAGTTCTTAGAGATCTACAAAGAGACTTAGATTCCCACACAATAATAGTGGGAGACTTTAACAGTCCACGGTCAACATTGCACAGATGAACAAGACAGAAAATTAGCAAGGATATTCAGGACTTCAACTCAGCTCTGGATCAAGTGGACCTAATAGACACGTACAGAAGACTCCCTGACAAATCAACAGAATATACATTCTTCTCAGTGCCACATGATGCTTATTCTAAAATCTACCACATATTTTGAAGTAAAGTATACCTCAGCAAATGTAAAAGAACTGAAATCATAACAAACAGTCTCTCAGATCACAGTGCAATAAAATTAAAACTCAGGATTAAGAAACTCATTCAAAACCACACAACTACATGGAAATTGCAACCTGCTCCTGAATGACTCCTGGGGAAATAATGAAATTAAGGCAGAAATCAAGAAGTTCTTTGAAACCAATGAGAACCGAGAGACAATGTACCAGAATCTCTGGGACACAGCTAAGCAGTGCAAAGAGGGAAATTTATAGCACCAAATACCCACATCAGAAAGCTAGAAAGATCTCAAATTGACACCCTAACATCACAATTAAAAGAGCTACAGAAGAAAGAGAAAAGAAATCCAAAAGCTAGCAGAAGGCAAGAAATAAGATCAGAGCAGAACTGAAGGAGATAGAGACATACACAAAAGAAAACCTTCAAAAAATCAATGAATCCAGGATGAGGGTTTTTGAAAAGATTAACAAAATAGACTGCTAGCTAGAGTAATAAAGAAAAGAGAGAAGAATCAAATAGATGCAATAAAAAATGATAAAGGGGATATCACCACTGACCCCACAGAAATACAAGCTACCATCAGAGAATGCTATAAACACCTCTACATAAATAAACCACAAAATCTAGAAGAAATGGATAGATTCCTGGACACATACACCCTCCCAAAACTAAACCAAGAAGAAGTCGAATCTTGGAATAGCCCAATAACAAGTTCTGAAATTGAGGAAGTATTTAATAGCCTACCAACCAAAAAAAGCTCAGGATCAGACAGATTCACAGCTGAATTCTACCAGGGATACAAAGAGGAGCTGGTACCATTCCTTCTGAAACTATTCCAAAAATTGAAAATGAGGGACTCCTCCCTAACTCTTTTTATGAGGCCAGCATCATACTGATACCCAAACCTGGCAGAGACACAACAAAAAAAGAAAATTGTAGGCTAATGTCCCTGATGAACATCGATGCACAAATCCTCAAAAAAATACTGGCAAACCAAATCCCGTAGCATATCAAAAAGCTTATCCACAACAATCAAGTTGGCTTCATCCCTGGGATGTAAGACTGGTTCAACATAGGCCAATCAATACACATAATCCATCACATAAACAGAACCAATGACAAAAATCACATGATCATCTCAATAGACGCAGAAAAGGCCTTTGATAAAATTTACAATCCCTTCATGTTAAAAACTCTCAATAAATTAGGCATTGAAGGAACATATCTCAAAATAATAGGAGCTATTTATAATAATCCCACGGTCAATATCATATTGAATGGGCAAACCTGGAACCATTCCTTATGAAAACCGGCACAAGACAAGGATGCCCTCTCTCTCCACACCTATTCAACATAGTATTGGAAGTTCTAGCCAGGGCCATCAGGCAAGAGAAAGAAATAAAGTGTATTCAAATAGGAAGAGAGGAACTCAAATTGTCTCTGTTCGCAGATGACATGATTGTATATTTAGGAAACCCCATCGTCTCAGCCCAAATCTCCTTAAGCTGATAAGCAACTTTAGCAACGTCTCAGGACACAAAATCAATGGCAAAAGTCACACGAATTTGTATACACCAACAATAGACAAGCAGAGAGCCAAATCATGAGTGAACTCCCATTCACAGTTGCTACAAAGAGAATAAAATACTGAGGAATACAGCTAACAAGGGATGTGAAGGACCTTTTCAAGGAGACTTACAAACCACTGCTCAAGAAAATAAGAGAGGACACAAATGAATGGAGAAACAGTCCATACTCATGGATAGCAAGAATCAATATCATGAAAATGGCCATACTGCCCAAAGTAATTTATAGATTCAATGCTATTCTCATCAAACTATCATTGACATTATTCACAGAATCAGAAAAAACTACTTTAAATTTCATATGGAACCAAAAAAGAGCCTGTATAGCCAAGACAATTCTAAGCAAAAAGAACAAAGCTGGAGGCATCACGCTACCTGACTTCAAACTATACTACAAGGCGCAGTAACCAAAACAGCATGGTACTAGTACCAAAACAGACATATAGACCAATGGAACAGAACAGAGACCTCAGAAATAACAATACACATCTACAATCTTCTGATCTTTGACAAACAGGCCCAAATCAAGCAAAGGGGAAAGAATCCCTATTTCATAAATGATACTGGAGAAACTGGCTAGCCATATGCAGAAAACTGAAACTGGACCCCTTCCTTACACCTTATACAAAAATTAACTCAACATCAACTAAAGACTTGAATGTACATCAGAAAATCATACCCTAAAAGAAAACCTAGGCAATACCATTCAGGACATAGGCATGGGCAAAGACTTCATGATGAAAATGCCAAGATCAATTGCAGCAAAAGCCAAAACTGACAAATGTGATTTAATTGAACTAAAGAGCTTCTGCACAGCAAAAGAAACTATCATCAGAGTGAACAGGCAACCTACAGAATTGGAGAAAATTTTTGCAATCTACCCATCTGACAAAGGTCTGATATCAAAAATCTACAAGGAACTTAAACAAATTTACAAGAAAAAACAACCCCATCAAAAAGTGGGCAAAGGCTGTGAACAGACACTTCTCAAAAGAAGACATTTGTGTGGCCCACAAACATATGAAAAAAAGCTCAACATCACTGATTATTAGAGAAATGCAAATCAAAACCACAATGAGTTACCATCTCACACCAGTTAGAATGGCAATCTTTAAAAAGTCAGGAAACAAGTGCTGAAGTGGATGTGGAGAAATAGGAATGCTTTTACACTGTTGGTGGGAGTGTAAACAAGTTCAACCATTGTGGAAGACAGTGTGGTGATTCCTCAAGGATCTAGAACTAGAAATACCATTTGACCCAGCGATCTCATTACTGGATATATACCCAAAGGATTATAAATCATGCTACTATAAAGACACATGCACACATATTGTGCACACGTTTATTGCGGCACTATTCACAATAGCGAAGACTTGGAACCAACCCAAATGTCCATCAATGATAGACTGGATTAAGAAAATGTGGCACATATACACCATGGAATACTTTGCTGCCATAAAAAAGGATGAGATAATCTCCTTTGCAAGGACATGGATGAAGCTGGAAACCATCACTCTCAGCAAACTAACACAGGAACAGAAAACCAAACACCACATGTTCTCCCTCATAAGTGGGAGTTGAACAATGAGAACACATGGACACAGGGATAGGAACAACACACACACTGGGGCCTGTCAGGGGGTAGGGGGCAAGGGGAGGGAGAGCATTACGACAAATAGCTAATGCATGCAGGGCTTAAGACCTAGGTGATGGCGTGATAGGTGCAGCAAACCACCATGGCACACAGATACCTATGTAACAAACCTACACGTTCTGCACTTGTATCCCAGAACTTAAAGTAAAAAACAAAACAAAACCAAAATTTCCAATTTAACAATCTATTACACTGGGAATACAAAGTAATTTCTAGTATGATGCTGGGCACACAAAGTAAGCTATATTCTGTGGCTTCAGGAAGCTCCAGGTCCAGTGGAGCTTCCGACTCATGGGTCTAATTTTGGTCTTCCTGCCATCAGCCTTTGTGGTTGCCCTGGTCCTCTCTCTCTGGTTATTAATTCGTATTGCTTCATTTTTTTTTCTCTTTTGTCTTCTCCATGCTACTCTTATCATCTCTCTTTCTCTTGTCCGTCTTTTTATTTTTCATCCTTTTCTTTCTCCCTGCCTCTCTCCCTCTTGTCTTTCCTCTTCTCCTTTCACACATGCACAGTTTATGTCCTTACTATGCTCAAAGAAATATCTCTTGATTCTGTTACTTCTTTATCCTTCTTATTCCTTCTCTTCTCAGTGTCTAAACCAATGGGTTACTTTATCAGTTTATGCCGTTACTATGCTCAAAGAAATATCTCTTGATTCTATTACTTCTTTATCCTTCTTATTTCTTCTCTTCTCAGTTTCTAAACAAATGGGTTACTTTATCACTACAATGATTTCATTTTCTGTAATATTTACCTCTTGAATATTCCAGTTTGACTTTCCTCCTCATCATTCTTTGAAGTCTTCCTACCTTCAGCTATCTATGTAATCACAGATATTTAATAATTATTTGATGCCACAAATACAAAGATCTATACACTTTGATTTTAGTTGCCCAACTTCTTTTGGCTTCTCTTTGGCAGTTCTTAGTAAATTTTGTTTTGGGGATGCCCATTCTCAAGGACAGGGGTATACTTACCTATTTTTGCTTCCAAACTGAACATCAAAACAAAGCATCTGACAAATGTTTGGAATGATGAAATGAATGGATGCAAAGCTCACACTTGTATTATTTGTGTCATTCATTCATTTATTAATTTTTAAACAAATTTATATATAGGGTTTTTGCTGTGTGCCAGACCCTGTTTTAGGTGGTAGGCATCCAATATAGCCATGGTTCTTGTTCTCATGGAATGTATATTCTAAAAGAGGAAGAGGGAGCAGGAAATAGACAAACACATAAAAGTACTAATTTCAGATGGTTATAAATGTTATGAGGGAATTAAAGTAGGAGGTTGTTAGAGAGAGTGATAGAGGAGGTGGGATTAGTGGGCTATTTTAGGTAGGAGTTCAGAGGAGTTACTCTGAGGTGGTTACATTTAACCTGAGACCCATTGTGATCAGAAGAAACCAAACATGGGACGATCCAGAAGAAGAACCTTGCAGGTAGAACACACAGTTAGTGCAAACATTTGAAATGAGACAAATCTCAGTGTGTTCAGAAAACAGAAAGAAAGCTAGTGTGCCTGAATTTTAATAAGTCAGAGAAATGAGCTCATACATGTCAGGGGTCAAATTATACAGGGTTTTAAAGGCAGCAGAAGGAGAAATGGGGAACCATTGGGAAGTTTTAAACAGGAAAGGGACATGATCTGATTAATATTTTAAAATATTTCGTTGGCAGCCAAAGGGAACAATTAGGAGGCTATTGCATAAGATCAGTTGATAGATGAATGTGTCATGAGCTAGAGTGGCCGGAGTGGTGATGGACATAAATGAATTTGAGACATTCTCTGGAGTTAGAGTTGATGGACCTCATAATTTGTTATAGGGGATTATCAGAGAAAGAGGTGAAGAATGACTTTTAGGTTTTGGTTTAGAAACTTGGTACACAATAATGCCATTGCTGAAATGGGGATGACTGGAAGAGGAGCAGAATAGGAGGTAGAAAATTAAGCACTCTATTTGGACACATTGTATTTGAGATTTTGATTAGAGCTTCATGTAGAAATGCCAACTAGGCAGTTGGACAGCCAACTAAGGTTTAAGGGTGAAATTTGTACTGGAGGTCTCCCTTGGAAGTCATCAGTCTATAGATGGCGTTGAAGCCATGAAACTGGATGAGATCCCAAGCGAGTGAGGAAAGATAGAAAGGAGGGGTCTTTAGACCCAGTGTGGGACATACCAGGGTTTAGAGGGGAAGCTGAGGATGATGAGCTGGCAAAAGAGATCAAAAAGGAGACATCTGTGGTTTGTAGGAAAACCAGGATATTGTGGTGTATTAGTCTGTTCTCACACTACTATGAAGAACTGCCCGGGAATGGGTAACTTATAAAGGAAATAGGCTTAATTGACTCACAGTTCTGAATTGTTGGAGAGGCCTCAGGAAACTTATAATCATGGTGGAAGGGGAAGCAGGCACATCTTACATGGCAGCAGAAGGGAGAGAGAGTGAAAGGGGAAGAGACCCTTATAAAATCATCAGATATCATGATAACTGACTCATTATCATGAGAATAGCATGGGGGAAACTGCCCCCATGATCCAATCACCTCTCACCAAGTTCCTCCCTTGACACGTGGGGATTACAATTCGAGATGAGATTTGGGTAGGGACACAGAGCCAAATCATATCATGTGGTGTCATAAATGACAAAAGAAGAGCTTATTTTAGTGAGGTGGTGGTTGAGAAGTTGAGTTGGATGAGGTCAGAAAAATGATCACCGTGTTTGGCAATGTGGAGTTTACTGGTGACCTTGAAAAGAGCAGTCACTGTGCAATGGTGGGAACAGAAATCTGATTAAGGTAGGAAGAAGAGAGATTGGGAAGTGAGGAAATGGATATGATGACCATTGATAGCTTTCCAGACGTTTTGCTGTGAAATGAGAGCAATAGCTGGACAGAAACGGAATCGAGAGGAGATTGTTGTTTATGTTATTCGTTATGGAGAATTTTCACGCTTCCTGGGGATATTTATCTATTTCTTAGAGCAAGGGAAAAATTGGTGTTAGGAGGAAAGTTCCTGAGATGGCACCTGATCCGTTTATTTTTTTTTTTCTTTTCCAGACATTTTTTCCTTGTATAAGTAAATGGTTACCTAGTTTTGCAAAGATAACTATGACATAAACCTCTTCTTGTTGTTGTGGAAGTGTTTGAGACTTTTTCTACCTTCCATAACAAACTACAAGACTTTTCAAGGAAATATTTTCCTGCATTGTTGTAGTATCTCTTCATAGCCAAATCTAGGGCTGTAAAGCTTTGGGCAGAAAGTGATTGTTCCATGTCTTTCTGGGACTAAGCTAAATTTTGAATTTGGAAGCATATTTTAATAGTTGAATGTGCTGGTTTCTGTCTATACGACTCTGGTGGGCTAGTAGTTACTGTGCCTAGTGACTCTGGATTCAAAACAGAGACTTGTATGATTTAAAGGAATGTAAAGATGTACAAAGAATGGAATGGGGTACTGTGGTTTTCATAGCATCCATGGCTTGAATAATAGACGTGTCTTAAAAGTTTATTTTAGAAGTAGAATTAGAGTTTATGAGTTTTTTTTAAATATATATATTTGGAATAAAAGAAATGTACTCATGAGCTAGGGAGTAGTATCATGGGCTTATCCTGAACAAGCCAAGGTGAACAGGTACCAATCTATTCTTTGCAGAGCTGGGTTTTGTGCAGCAAATTGGAATTACTCAAGTTCCTCAATACAGTCTGTGCAACATGAAAAGTCAGTATAGAAAATCCTTATTGACTTGGTGATATGGCTGTGTGATGAAAGCAGTAATCATGTTTAGACCAGCTATGAAACAAAATGCAATCCTCACACTCGCTCACTGCCCATGATAGGATTATATTCTGATTGACTGAAAATGTGGTCAGCAGGAGGATCATTTGGCGGCAGAAGAGGCCGATTTTTCTGATGATCTAGAAATCAGATTTTGATTCTGATGATTAGATATTTGGCTTATAGTCTTCTCACTCCTAAAAAATGCTGCCAAGGTCAGTCTGTCTTATATACTTTGGAGAATGAATGAATAATGGTTTATTATAACAACAAATAAGTCAACTAAAGCCTCACGACTCAATGCTGTTATCCTTCACCAGGCAAATTCAGCCCTCCTGTCTAGATGGGTAGTGTGAGATTTAAGGATGCTGGAGAGCTGCCATTTAGCTATTTAGCTTTATTCTTTGAGGAAAGACTATAGACATTTATTTTGAGGGGAATTTAACTTTAAGAATATGTCAAATATTGAAATGCTCATGGAATAGTCTTTTAAAATAAGTTTCTGATAGGATTCTTTAAGTTTAAACTGAGAATTTTTTATTATAAAAGTAGTAATATATTTAAGTTGAAAACCAAACAGTGTAGAAAAGTATGAAATAAAAGTCCTATGCAAGCTCCAAACTCATCTCCACTTCCCAAAGAGAAGCACTGTGATAATCTCTGTGTGTAGTGCCTATTATGAGTCGGGCACTGTGCTAAATTCTTTATAAGACCACTTTCTTTAGCCCTCACAACAACCCTATGAAGTACATACTGTTACTATTCCCATTTTAAATATGGGGAAACTGAAACTGAGGCACAGAGAAGGTAAGGATCTAAGTTCATGTAGTTTATTAGTTGAGGAGCTGTTTGTAAACTGGGGATGTCCATTTCCAGATGTCATGCTCGTAATCCCTGCCCATTTATGTTTCTTAGTCATTTTCCATAGAAGTACATGTAGATCCATGCGTTCTCATTGTTCAGCTCCCAGTTATGAGTGAGAACATGGGGCCTATCGGAGGGTGGGAGGCTAAGGGAGGGATAGCATTAGGAGAAATACCTAATGTAGATGACGGGTTGATGGGTGCAGCAAACCACCATGGCACGTGTATACCTATGTAACAAAACTGAATGTTCTGCAATGTACCCCAGAACTTAAAGTATAATAATAATAATAATAAAAGTACATGTAGATCCACCTTGTTCTTCCTCGTGGCTGGCATAATAGTTTATGGTATGGATGTGCCATAAGCATTTACCTAACTCCTGCTGAAGGTTGTCTTCAGATTTTTACCATTACAAAATATCCTTCTACAGATACCTTTACACCCATAATCAAATATTTTTGTTGGGATAAATCCATATACATTGACTCCATTAATCAAAGGCCATAGCATTTCTCACTTGAGTTAATATTGTCAAAGTTGCCCCAGAGTTTTTAAAATTTGTAGTCTCACTGACAATGCATAAGATTCAAGATTAGGTACTGTATTATGAAATTATTCAAGTCATTGCTAATCTGTAAACAATGGTATACTTTTTTGTTTTAATTTGCATTTATTATGAGTGATATTGACTATCTTTTCACATATTTACAGGCTATTTATATTTGTTTTAATATAAATTGCTGGCTTATGTTCTTTCCCCATTTTTCTGTTGAGTTATTCTCTTTTTCATATTGATATTCCTCTGTTTCATGTGTTGCAATTTTTTTCCAATTTAAAAATTTCTACTTTGACTTGTTAAAAAGAATGTTTTGATTTTAAGTATTCAAATTTAGCAACCTCTTTCTTTATGGCTAATATTTTGTTTTTCATGTTTAGGAAGGCTTTTCCCATTCTTGGCTAATAATGAAAACGTATTCACCTATCTATTATTTTAGTATTTTGGTGCTTTCTTTGAATTTTTGTTCCATCTGCAATGAATTGCTGTATTAGCAGCAACTTATTTTTGCTAATGATTATTTAATTGGTCCAACACTATAAAATACTTCCTCAATATTTATTTATTTATTTTTTCAAAAATATACTTATTTAATACATTATTTATGATTTTCCTTATAATATACCAGATATCTATATTTATAGGATCTGATTATACTTGCATCAGTAGCAAACTTTTTAATTACAATAGCTTTATATTATGCTTTCGTATCTAGTACAGTTATAATCCCTTAGTTCTCCTCTGACTATTCTCACGTATTTATTTTTCCAGATGAACTTAAGTACCATTTTGCCAACTTGAAGCAATATATTTATTTCCAGGATAACTTAGGAGAAACTGATATCTTTATAATGCTGCCTTCCTATCCAAGAATAATATGTGCTTTCTGCTTATTCAAATCTTCTTCTAAGTCTTTCAGGAGAGTTTTAAGGTTCTTTTAGATAAGTCCTTCTTATATTGCTTGAATTAGAATTCTCAGCAACAAACATAAAGAGACGCTGTGGCAATGCTCTGATTTGTTTTACTTCTGCCTCCCCCTGTTTGCTCCACATGTTTGCCCCACTTTGTACCATTTTCCTCCACTTCTGGCTCCCTGTTTCTTGGTCATTCCATCTGCTCATTTCGACGTTGGCTCTAGTGCAGAAGGAGAACATATCCAATGGTGGAAATGCAGAATTAGAAGTTGATGATTGTTTTGCTTTGACCATTAGCTTCCTATGAAATAATGGAACTATGCCTGTGTTTCTTTCCCTTACTCCCTCAAAGACTCTAGAAAAATAAGAAATTGCTTTAATTAAGGGAGGGAGGGGAGCATGGGTTGAAAACTACCTATTGGGTACTGTGTTCACTATTTGGGTGATAGTTTCACTAGAAGCTCAAACCCCAGAATTATGTAATATACTCATGTAACAAACCTGCACATGTACCCCCGAATCTATAATTTAAAAAAGAAATTGTTTTAACAAGTATTGAGGGGAATTTTGGTTTTGGAATAAAATAAACCAGTAGTTTGCAAAGTATGGTCCAGGAGCCTCCTGGTTAAAAATTGCCAAATGTGCTTGGTGAAAGTGTAGATTCCTGAGCCCATCCTTAGATATGAAAAATCAGAATCTTTAGAGGCAATGCCTGGGATTTTATATTTTCGGTAAATATGCCAAGTCAGTGCTTCTTCAACTGTAATCTCTATGTGCATCACGTGGGCATCTTTTAACAATGCAGGTGCTGATTCAGTAGGTTTGGGTGAAGCAAGATTCTATATTTCTAACTAGTTCTCAAGTGCAATGATGCAACTGGTCAGTGGCCACACTTTGAATACAAGGCTTTAGAGATTTTTTTTCTCCCTGAATGTGAGAACCACTGAATTGAGCTAGAATGGGGCATTAAGGATAGAAAGAAGACTTTGCTTGAGAGGAGTCCTGTAGAAAGAGAATGTGTGCTTCCCTGCGTGGGGTATCCCCATATAAAACCCTGATCCCTACCCCTCTTTCTATCACTTCCACATGATGGTTCAGTTTACCCTAATTCCTGAGCACGCTCTGTTTGATACAGGCAAGGGCTATAGCAACAGCTCTTCCAAGCCCTTCCTGGGAAGGTCCTGGCATGAGTCCTGGTGTGATAGACTTCAACAATGACCTTTTACTGAGGTGTGATCTGAGACTTGGTAGTGGGTATTCTGGGCCCACGTTACCCTTCCACTTGGACAGACTGCAGTAACGCGGTGTGGGCGGAGGGCTCCGGCACTGGGATATGTCTGGAATGTTGTATAGACTACTGCTAATGAGCAGAATCAGAGGATAAAGACAAAGACTCCCTTCCATTAGTATTATTGACCAGGGGATGAGGGCCTGAATGACCCATTGAACTTTGCTTTGGCTTTTTCCAGCCTTCAGTGCACTTAATTCTCCCACAGGCCTTGCCAGCACTTTTTTGCTGATAATACTTGATGTTTGAGGTGGCTGGCCCTTGCTACAGAATCAGTGAGTCATGGAACATAACTTTCCTTTCTTATATATCACGCTGTTTCATTTGGGGACCACATCTACCGTTTTTCTCTCCATAAACTATAAGCTAACGTTGCTAAGTGAACAAGCCAGTCCAGCTCTCCTCAGCATAAAACAATCCTGAATAATTATCAACAGGGCTGCTGAATATGACTACATGTTGTGCAACAGCAGGGGATGGGATTCACGTATGTAAATGGCATTCCTAAGGTTCTACAGTGTAGTGGCTCTGATTCCAAGGTACTTGCAAAAATGGAGCTGGGAGGCTAATCTGGGTAGTAGGAAAATGTTGGTCAGACGAAAGACAATAGGAAGAGAAGAAATATATTTTGACTACCCAAGTTTTCTGTGCAAAACTGAAAGTGTGCCTCTCTTACAAACGGCCCAAAAAATTGAGAATAAATGATAAGATTGTATAGGACTTTTAGATGAAAATGACAGAAACCGAAATCAAAACAATTTAGACAAAAGGGTTTTATTGGCCTAGATAATCCAGGAAAGGACTGAGCAATCAAATACAGGGAGGACAGTGATACAGTTGAGCCCAGACACAACTGCAATCAGGGATTCAAATGCTTTCATTTCTCTGTATTGGCTTCATTCTCTTTGAAGGCTGCTTTCTTCTGTGCGGCAGAGAACATGGCCTACTGATAGCTCCCAAGTTGTACATTTTAAATCTTTTGTTTCTAGACACTGATTCTCTTTCTTTGTTCCAGTGGGCAACACCTTGAGAAAAGACTCTGGTTGGCCTGGCTTGGACCAATTGGCTGTGGTCAGCATGGCAGCATTGTATAGAAAAATGGCAATTCCTCCACAGGAATCACATAGCCAGAGTGGAGTTAGGTTTGGAAAAATTCCCAGAAGAAGGAAAGCCTTCTGGGTAGGCTAAATAGCAGACGTCCACTCTGAAGCACATTTGCCCTTCTACACGTACTATAGTCTAAGGGGGATTTCTGTAGACTGCATGAAATCCTATCCGTATTCAGCAAGAATGCAGCTCTCTTCCGGCCTGTGGTTCCACTAAAGGCTTTCCCCTAATGCTGTTACAAGGGGCAGCTGTATGACAGCAATAGTTGCTTATTTATTCACTGTAGTGACAGTTACATTTCATGGAGCAGCTGCTGAAGCCAAAAATGTTCAGCAAGGGCAAAATGTGATAAAAGCTCAATGCAATTTGGTTGCACATTATTAAGTTTTAATTTTTGGTTCAGGAATAAATTTTGTTTTCTGAAGCTATTTTTAACTCGTTTCTACAGTTGAAAAAGAGATGAATTACTCTCATCCCATCAATTAAATTGGTTAGAAAACCCTCTTGGATTTAAGACCTGAGTTTACTCTAGCTGAAACACAGGCAAAGTAGAGTTTATTTGGGGGTGGAAGTAGAAGTAGGATTCTAGGGAATGAATTTGTAGTGGCGTTTTGAAGACATTTAAATTTTAACTTTTTACACCACATTTCTTTACCTGTAAAACGAGAATAATATTAACACTGTTGTTTGGATCAAATGAATTAATGAGTGCACAACAGTTAAAATGTAAAGCACTAGATGTTAGTTAGTGTTAGTGTATTATTACTACATTGATTTGTGCTCAATGAATGATTAGTCAACAAGTTTGATTGCAAGTAGTAGACACTCTCTCAAAAATATGGTTTGTTACAAGGCTGTATTAGACAATACCTCATGCAAAGAGGGTCCAATATTAAGTACAGGTGGGCCCCAAAGGGACAGGAGTCAGGAATGGAGATGTTCTCTCTTTCCCCAGGGCCATGTGGTTTCTTACCTCTGATTTTCCGTGTTTCTGTTCCATGCTCCTCTTTGCAGTTCAGCTTCTTCTCTCTATTCTTTCTTTCTTCTCTCAGGGCCCACATTAGAGCTTTTGCATAGCTTTGGTTTGGTATTAGCTCCAACTCCAAACCTGCCTGGGTTTTAGTTCTAGAGCCCATCGCAAAGTGGTGCATTCTATGTGTCTTAGTTGGCTTCTTATTAGAGAATGGTTGGCTGGCACTTGGCCTTGGGTCAGTTTTTCACCCTGGGACATCCACTGAGATGTGACAGGGCAGAGGGGTCCCATCAAACCACTTGGACCTGCCTCTTCAGCAGGGACTAAGGGCTGGGGAGCTGCTAGAAAGATGGTGGGCGAGAAAGCATCTGAGATCCTATCTGCTGCAAATGGCTGTGAACGAAATGATGAAATGCCAAGGTCCTCTGACAATAAATCTGGGGGATAGGATCGTTAGTGCCCAGGGCTTCCATGGTGGCAGGGGTGCCAAACCCAGGGCTCTAGAGTTTGGTGCCAAGCCAGCATCTAGACATGAACATTCTAGGTAGTTGTATGAAAGGAAGAACATTCAGAAGAAGGGCTCTTTAACATATTTGAGCCCCAGTTCCATCTATAAAAAGGTGATAATGTCTACTTTATCAGGTATTAGAATTAAGTGAGAAAAGGTATCTTACAGCTAGTCCGAGATACTTGGAACATAGTATGTGTGCAATAAATGTAATTGCCTTTTGCTTTTCTTTCCCTCCTGCTTATGCACTATTTACTATAGAAGCATATCCATTTAAAAGAAGCAATTAAAATGATTTTCCTATTTTGTTGTACTTGAAAATAAATTCAATTATTTGTAGGTAATTGATTTAAGTGATGTCTATCCAAACGGCTTACTAGATTTTTCCTGTTTCTGATAGTAAAAGGAAAATCAGAGCCACTTAATACTTTTTATTGATTTCTTGAGATAAATGCTGGTGTGACTTTGCAAATACTGTCTGTGTACTGAATTCGTAATAACAGACTATTTCAGGATCCTCTCCTAGTATGCAGGTCTCTCTTTGTAAACAGTGGTGGTGCCTCTCAGATGCAGCCTCACACTTGGAGGTGAAAATATTTCCTGAGCAGCTTCCTGAACTTATTCAATATTTAGAAAAGGGCACCTCATTATTTTCCCTTTCTTGCCCCAAGTGATACATGCTCTCTTCTGGATGAAGCCTTCTTATTTCTGTCTTCCATAGCTCACTCATACATCTCTGCTGTTAAAACTCTTTTCTCTTTCTTTTGTGCTTTCTCTTTCAGCTGTGTATTTTCTCTCCTGAATCTTCAGCTTCTGCCTACAAGAACTTCTCCCCCTTAGTCCACAAAGAAGTTAACTTTGCCTTATCTTTAGAAAAGCCCTCTTAAACCTGCTTCCCTTTCAAGCTAACCTCCTATTTCTTTCCTTCTCTTTGCCAACATAAAAAATAGATAGAGACGAATCTCCAAATGAAAAGGTTTTATTTAAGAATAATATGCGAGAAGTAGGATTATAATCTGGGACATACGTACGGAACAGGGTGGCCTCTAGTATGTCTGGAAGAACAAAGGAAAATGGTTAGAGTTTTTAGGGGGAAAGAAGAGGTTATACAAGTTGATTTGAAGGAAAGTCCATTGGTGCTGGCAGTATCTTCTAAGGGCTGGTGAGTTTTGATCAGCGAGGGTTGGTGTTTGCTAGGTAGGACTTAGAATATTGGACTTCTAGTCAGGCCCTTGTGGTTTTGGATTAGGCCTGTGAGACAGTGTGTCAGGCAATTGTTCTTGTATCAGCCACTAGCTGTCCTTGTACTGCTAGCTGTCCTTGGGTGACTCATGTAGTAAGTTGCAGTATTGCCTGATAATAGTTCCTGTTATCAGGCAAATCATGTGTGAGAGCTCCCTCTTCATTTTGCCAGGGTTTGACACAAGTGACTCCATTTTGAATCTGACAACTTTCTTACCTTCCAAACTTTCAAAAGGGTTAGTATGGGTTGATTTTCACAGCTTCCTTGTGCCTCACTTCCTTTTCAACCAGTGGCCCACAATTTCTACCTCAACTGCTTTACAGATTCTGCTTTCCCGAGCCATTAATAGCCGTCTCATGCTAACTCACATGACCTCCTAATGTTTGATCTTGAACATCCCTTTCTCGTTGAAATTCACTGCTTTCTTGACTCCTGTGACAAAATACTCTACTGCTTATTTTCCTACCTCCAAGGAGACATGCTTTCTTCTTCTCCCCTTCATACTCTATGTCTGGGTTTCTTTTGTAGAACTTGACAGATATTATTAGCTTTGCTTTTTTATTATGTGTCTCCACCAGACTATAAGCTTCAGGAAGGCAAGGCCTATTTCTGTCTTGTTTACCACTATAACCGGTGCACATTTATAACTATAAATGTTACCATTCTCCCTGTATCTCTGTCCACATGCTCTGAGGGTGCTTTTGTCTCCTTTCTCCTTTACCCTCTCCATCTAATCAGGCACGGAGGCCAATTTTACCTCCAAAGTATCTCTGGACTCCGTCTCAACATCCCTGTCCCCGCTGCTCAGCGTGAGGCCCTCCTGATGTCTAGGCAGCACTTAGGGGCAGAGTTGACAAGGTGATATCCCAGTCCATCCCCATGCCAGTCTGTCCCATGCAGTGTTGACAAATTTTCCTTCCTAAAACACAGCATGGATCACCTAACACCCTGCTTACAGACTTCTGAATCTTCACAGTGGTTATTCAATCAACTCTATGTTGCCCTCAATTTACCCTTCAATTATTCCCTCCTGTTGCTTCCCATCTTATTGACTTGTGTGCAGGCAGGGAATGGGGGTGCCCTTAGTCAACTAGAGAGGAATGAAAGAGTTGCTTTATACTACTTTGGAGTGTTGTCCTGGTCACTCTAGAGCTCCAAGACACACTGTTAAATTGGGAAGGTAAGACAAATTTAAAAAGAACAATAATATCTATAGGACAAAGAAAGGAAAATAATTGCTGAGCACAAGCGATATATTGCCTATTTTATTTAGCTTGGAATAAATATACCTTACTCTGATGGTAAGATTAAACCTAAATGTCCCAAGATAGAAACAGACAGTAAAGAATAGTGATTGAGTGCACGGACTCTGAAACCAAACTGCCTGGTTTTAAAAAGCATTTTTACTAGCCATGTGACTCTGAGCAAGTCACTTAATCTCTTATGCCTCAGTTTCCTAATCTGTTAAATGGGAATGATGAAGTTGTCAGTATTACATGAGTGAATACATATGAAATGTTTAGAAGAGTGCCTGGCACATATAGTACTATACAATTGTAGGAGGCTGTTCCTGGTGTTGATTCAACAAATATCCATCAAGTGCATATAATTGGGCAAAGCACTGCACAACTATTGGGTAAAGTATGAGGGAAGGAAGAAGGAAGGAGAAAGAAAAAGTTAGAAAATGGAAGTCTGGGATAACTCACTTTTCTGACTTGGACACACCATGAAATGAGTGCCATTCACTAAAGGAAATACAGTAAGAAAAGCAGGGAATAGGAACTTACATGTTCAAGTTTTATGTTATAATTTCTATTGGTTTCTTTTTAGACCTTTTCAAGTAGCTATTATCTCTCAAAATGTGAAATCCACAAATGCGTATTACTTTTAAATAACTTTAAGGGCCGAGAACAGCAGATAAGTAGGTAGATTAGAAAAATACTTCAGGAGTGGGAAAAAGGTAACATTTATGGGTCCATATTCCTATTCCAAACAATGCCTAGGAGAAACTGTTGGTGAAATCAGGAAATGCTGCCAGAAGAGCTGGTAATCGGTCACGTAGCCTGCTTCCTAGCAGCATGGGACGGATGTGAGCACTTGCTTTTCCCTGTTCCTCTGTGGATCAAACCTGGGTCAAGTTCTAGGTGGGAGCTGTTCAGTGTTGCTTTTCTCTCTACATTAAAATAGTCAGTGTTCAAGAATAATTGCTAGAACAATAGTGCCAGGTATCAGAAGTTTATATTATTATTAATAAACTACTTATTCACCACTTATGTGTAAGACATTGCATTATATATTTTACATGAATTACTTAATTAGGTGGGATTTCATCTATCTGTAGAATATTAGAGCAAGAAAGGGCCTCAGAGCTAATATGGTCCAACCTTCTCATTTTGCAAGTGAGCAAACTGGAGCCATGGAAAAGATTAAATAGCTTGCCGAAGATCTCATCTTGAGTTATTGTTACTAACAAGCTGGCAACGCAATACGGCTGACAAATATGCAACTGGACACTATGAAATCACTCGGGCTCCTCAATCTTTTTAAGTTATTGATACAAACAAGTAATTGTGTCTTTGCCTCACAATTTAACTAATTCCGTACCTGACAATCTTTAAACAAGACAAAGTCTAATTTTCAGAAACATGTCCTTTTGTGTTTTGTGAATGCAACCCACTCAGGTTTTGGAAACACATGGATACTACATTGAGCTGAATTACTCGTTTTTCTATTTTTATCCTCATTTATAATCTCTTTTCAACACCTGATTTAAAAAAAAATTGGAGAGAAAAATTGTGATAGCATTTTGTCTGTGTCTTTAAGAATTTACCTAAAATGTCTAGCTCCTGAAATAAGCTAGTAAATAGATTTACTTTGCTCTGTGAGCCTGTACCTTTCTTTAAAGAAAGAATAATTACACAACTTGGGGGTTATTTTCCCTCTGGCTAAAAATGGCCTGGTAAGTACCCTGAACAATCTCTCCCCTCTGTTCCCTCCTAGCTTTCTCACATGCTCTGCATGCTGTTTCTTGAAAATCCAGATGCTCTGGGCTCCAGCTTGGTCTCTCTGCCTAACATCTGATTTGAAACACTGCGCTAAAACCATCTGCTGTATTTGGGGAATAAAGGGTGGAGTGAGTAATGCTTTTTACAAATGTGTCCAAATAGGGCAATCAAGAGAAGGATAATATTAATAAGACGTGAAGGCCTGTTTGGTGCCGAGCCCTCTGGTTGGCCACTCAGTGGCTTTTGGGGTATTTGTGTTCTCTGCCTCACACCAAGCTTGTCTCAGCTTGTGCATCTTACCGTTTCTTGGCAGCAAGATATCTGTTATACGCTCTGACTAAACTGAACACTTTTAATGGTGAAGTGAGAATTCTGAAGTTCAAAAAAGCCTGAGATGGATTGTAAAGTTGCTATTCTTGAAAGATGCGCTTGAGCTCCTCAGCATCCTTTGTAACTAACATGCATCTGGAGCAGCTATGATTCTTGTTTCTTTCCCTCACTATGGACCCATTTCCAACTGAGCTGGATGTGTGCCCTCGCAGCTCTGTGCAGGGATTTCGGTGGGCTGTCTGCAGGTTTTATTGAACATCTGTAAATCCTCGGCTTGGGTATGCTTCCAGCTACCACTTTAATCTGTTCCTGGTATACAGTGCTCTAGGTTTTTAGCACTGGGGGCTGGGGAGGCATCTGTTTTGCTGCTGCAAGCAGAGGATGGAATAGTAACCTTGGTTTCCCATGCGCTGTGGAACATGATGAGGAGTTCTTAGGAGACCACGGTTACCGTCTTTAGCACAATCTGCTCTCTTTTCCCAGAGAAGTACCATCTCTGAGAAGCATATTTTTCAACTTATTGTAAATGAAGCCTATAGGGCTGCATGGGGCAGGGAAATTATACATAATTTATCCAAATATTTGTTCTTTCTGAGAGAGGAGTATGAGAGTAGGGATGCAGCTGTGGGGCTCATAGAGACACTTAATGGAGACACGTCGAACAAGTGAATCG
This sequence comes from Homo sapiens, assembly GCF_000001405.40. Lineage (NCBI taxonomy): Eukaryota > Metazoa > Chordata > Mammalia > Primates > Hominidae > Homo > Homo sapiens. Next base: position 95,504,331 of record NC_000001.11, read on the forward strand.
TGAGAGGGTAGAAAGGCAGGGGCTGTGGGTCTGGGCAGAGGGTGTGGGAAGTTGGGATGGGTGGACACAATAGGAAACCGAGACTGAAAACATCTGTGCTGCTGTCTCTGTGAATCCTTGGTGCTTAACTCTTCACAGAAGCTGGATCTGTGTGTGGCCAAGACCTGTTGAATTGCTCGCCTGATGTAAATTTCCCAAGACTTTGGCTCATACGTACTTTAGCCTCCTGGTTACAGCCAAGAGGAAAGTGACTCAAAACCTGCTCTCCTAAGGTTCTCTGGGAAGCCTGCTATGTGTCTGGACTGCATGGGGTCTCTTGACTTCAACCAGACTTTTCAGCATGTTTCAGTCAGTCTCTAAGGAATGAATCTTTGCTGAGATTTTTTTTTCTCCTCATACTACAGAAATTCTCAGAATTGTTCACACAATCTGGGAAGTTCAAATATTTTTCCCTAATCTTTGAAGACATTGATGTGCAATGCAGAACTTTAAGATCCAAAAATCTTAATTCAACAGAAAAGTCTTGTTGTACTGAGAAAAACAAAACAAAAACAATTCCTTAAATTATCTGAACATTTTAGTCTTTTCCCTCCCTTTTTCTCACTTCTTTTCCCCTCTAAGGACACAGCAAGAGTAAGCGGAAGCTATTAGGTTGGTGCAAAAGTAATTGAGGTTTCGGCCATTACTTTCAATGGCAAAAACCACAATTACTTTTTCACCAACCTAATACTTCATGGTGGTGACCCTGGAGTTTTCTTGCTATCATCCAAACACTTTTAAAATACCTTTATTTTGGATTGTTTTAAATCCATTGTTTTACAAACAGTGAATTTAAATTGAGGACCTCCTCCTCTGGCTGGAGTGCCCTGAAGAATTGTCCTTTATGCTAAGGAAAGGTAATTCTTAGGAGGGAGTCTCCTTTAAAGAGCCCCAAGCTAACGGCTCAATAATAATAATAATAATAACAATAAAAAATGCCATTCATCGGCTATCTACTATGGACCTGGCCCTTTATGAATGCTCTATTCAACCTCACAACATCCTTTCAAACTACTATTATTTATCCCCACTTTAAAGCATAGAAAATTGAGTCTCAGAGTTAAGTGAATTGATTAACTTTACAAAGCTTAATACATGATGAGGCTGGGATTTTTTTTAAATTAACTTTTATTTTAGGTTTGGGGGTACATGTGAAGGTGAGTTACCTAGGTAAAGATGTGTCATGGGGATTTGTATATATTATTTCATCACCCAGGTATTAAGCCCAGTACCCAATAGTTATCTTTTTTTCTCTCCTCCCTCCTCTTACCCTCCCTCCTCAAGTAAACCCCCATGCCTGTTGTTGTCTTCTTTGTGTTTATAAGTTCTTATCATTTAGCTCCTACTTATAAGTAAGAATGTGCTGTATTTTGTTTTCTGTTCCTGCATGAGTTTGCTAAGGATAATAGTTTTCCAGCTCCACCCATGTTCCTGCAAAAGACGTGATCTCTTTTTTTATGGCTACATAGTGTTCCATGGTGTATATATGCCACATTTTCTTTTTCCAGTCTGTCACTGATGGGCATTTGGATTGATTCCATGTCTTTGCTATTCTGAACAGTGCTGCAATGAACATTTGCATCATGTGTCTTTATGGTAGAATGATTTGTATTCCTCTGGGTATATACTCAGTAATGAGATTGCTGGGTCTAATGGTAATTCTGCTTTTAGCTCTTTGAGGAATCGCCATACTGCTTTCCACAATGGTTGAACTAATTTACTCTCCCAACAATAGTGTATAAGGGTTCTCTTTTCTCTGCAACCTCGCCAGCATCTATTTTTTTACTTTTTAATAATAGCCATTCTGACTGGTATGAGATTGTACCTTATTATGGTTTGGATGTGCATTTCTCTAATAATCAGTGATATTAAGCTTTTTTTCATGTATTTATTGGCAGCATGTATGTCTTCTTTTGAGATGTATCTGTTCATGTCCTTTGCCCACCTTTTAATGGTCTTATTTGTTTTTCCCTTGTGAATTTGTTTGAGTTTCTTATAGATGGTGAATGTTAGACCTTTGTTGGATGCATAGTTTGCAAAAATTTTCTCCCATTCTCTAGGTTGTCTGTTTACTCTGTTGATAGTTTCTTTTGCTATGCAAAAGATCCTATCTTGTCCATTTTTGCTTTTGTTGCGATTGCTTTTGGCCTTTGTCATGAAATCTGTGTTTGTTCCTATGTCCAGGATGGTATTGCCTCGGTTGTCTTCCACGGTTTTCATAGTTTTGGATTTTGAGGATGGGATTGGAATCCAGCTCTGTCTGAATCCCAATCCCGTGATGCTTGTTCATCTCTCTCTCTCTCTCTCTCTCTCTCTCTCTCTCTCGTTAATTGTATTCTGTAAGAGGACCAAGTGTTGAGCAAATTGGAGTTGAGAGACATCGGTAATTAGGACAGTTGAGGTAGTAATCATAGCATTTGCTCAGTGGTGTAGGCATTACAAGAGCCTTTCTTTGCTTGCTTTCTTTCTATCTTACTTAGTTCCCACAACACCCCTGGAACATGTCTTCTTCAACCTTTAAGTCAACCTAATGAAATGATTCACCTTGGAGTCACTAGTAAGTTCAGACAAGCCCAGGACACTGCTGAACCATCGATCGCAATTGCCCAAAACCCAGGTATGGTGACACACATCTTTATTTCCTGACCTGCTTCTGCTTGATTATAGTCCCTCAGTCCCAGCATCAAAGACTATTGTCTTTCACTTTCAACTCTACTTTTGTCTTTTCAATTTGTTAATTGCTATTGTTCATCCCAGCTGGACCCACAATGCCAAGACTTTGGCTGCTCTTCACTCTGCAGTTATGTGGCTGATCTGGCAGGATAACCCACCCAGAACCAAATTAAATTGGAAGGTCAGTTCAGCTGGATAGTTGCCAGGGAGGAAATCCTACCCAGATGCCACTTAAATTGGGAGATCAGTAGGGCCATTTACTGGAGTGCCAATAATTCAAAGCATCAAAATACACTTGTGGTCTAAACTATGCCTGGAAATATAAAAACATGGAGAAAGATGATATTTCCATAACTCGTCTCAGGGAGAGTACTGTATATCGTGTAAGAAAAACACAGATAAGCTACTTTGGAGGGGAGAGTGACAAGACACCCAAGGTAAATTATTGAGTAGCAATAGCTGGCAAGAGCTAAGTTGCTGAGAAAAAGAAGGAAGATAGAAATTGGTAGCCTGCAGCCCACGGTGCTCTTTCCCCTCTTAGTCTTCAACATCTCCTGTAGACAATGTTGAACAGATATTGAAACAAAACAAAGAGGCACCTGCTTCAGGACTACCAAATTGTTATCCTGCTATGTCACCAATATGTCTCATTCTGCTCCTGACCCCACCAGCCTCAGAACCTAGATGCTAGAACAAAGCTCCTTGGCTAGTACTCAAGCCCAGCCCCTTCCTACTCCTGTAAAGTGGGTTTGTATAGATGTAGGTGTCGTTGTTGTCATCATCATCATCGTCATCACATTTTCAGATGAGGATCTCTGAAAGTGAAATACCCAAGGCCATTCACCTAGGAAGAAGCAATGGCTTCTAAAACTACAACATGATCCCTACATAGCACATACTAAGGTAAACTAATACTATTTTTAAAAATCTAACAATGGTCATAGAAGACTGGAGCTGGTCTTTGTGTTTCCTGTCAAAGAGTTCCTCTGCATCTTTTCTTAGTATGCTAGGAATACATATTTCTTAAAAGTATCCTGACTTATGTCCAGAGAAAGCAAATACTACTAGTATTTGCCTCTTGTTCTAGAATGTGTTCTCAGAAAATGTTAATAAACACATATATGTCTTTAGTGATCACATTTTTTAAACTTTTATGTTAGGTTCAGCGGTATAGGTGCAGGTTTGCTATATAGGTAAATTAAGTGCCACAGGGTTTTGGTGTACAGATTATTTAATCACTCATGTAATGAGTGTAGTACCCAACAGGTAGTTTTTCAATCCTCTCCCTCCTCCTACCCTCCACCCTCAAATAGGCCCTAGTGTCTGTTTTTCCCTACTTTGTGTCCATATGTACTCAGTGTTTAGCTCCCACTTGTAAGTGAGAACATGTGGTATTTGGTTTTCTGTTCCTGCGTTGGTTTGCTTAGGATCATGGCCTGCAGATCCATCCATGTTAGTGACCACATTTCAAGGGTGCTTTTACGTTCTTTCACATTAGGGAACACTATCATGCCTCCAGCTGACCAAGAGCTGAGTCCTCTTGGTCCAGGTGCACTTCCATGAAAGTGCCTGAATTGTTCTTTTGCTTAGGACTTTATAAGCTCCTTAAAAGTTCATGGGAGAGGAAGTCAAGACCACCAAGGAAAGAAACCATACACATCCAAAGTGAACTGAAGCTTAAGTATATTTTTAAAAATTCACACCATCTAAAGGCATGAGTGTGGTGTGAGGGCTCCAATCTCTTTTCACTAGGAGATTCTTGAAATCCTAAATCAAAAATGGTTTGGGATTGGTGATATCCAGTTGTATTCTAGAGATCTTCCTTCATCCTGACTTAGTGTTTCTGAACAGAATTATTCACTTCTCCAGTCCAAGCTGGTTTGTTTGTTTGTTCCAAATCTTAACATCTGTTTTCTATGTGGTTGATTAAAAGGTTAGAATTCAAGGCAGGCGTATTTTCTGCCTCAACCACCCATAATTTAACCACTATACAGCTATTTTTCTTGCTATTTCTGTTTCTAAATACTACCACACATGATTTTTTTGGGACTTCTTTTTGTGACCCCTCTATGCGAGGAAGTTAGATTTGTTTATAGAGCTCTAGGGCTTGAGGTAGAAAAAAATTATCTCCAGGACTCTTTCCTGCCTGGAAGAACCTTCTTCAGCCACTTTCACATCCCTTCTGCTTGTCTGCATCTCATCCATTACCTGGGACTCCTCCACTGCCCAGTCCTGAGGCAGTGCTCTGGGTTCTTTTCCAGGAGTACTGCTTTTGGTCATTAGCTGACTGCTGCTCACTGGATGGCTATGTGAAGAGTCTCTTTACACTGCAGGGCTGGTTGGAAAGTCATGGACCCATTGAAGGCAGTGTGAACTCACTGTCTTGTGTTTCTGAACAGAAGAGCAAGGCATATCTGGCTCTGGTAGAACTGGAGGGGACAGATGTCTCTCCTTGTTCTACCTGTTTAAAGTTAACAAAGAGTAATAGTCTGGGAAAGAAACCTGAAAAAAAAAAAAAAAAAAAAACAAAAGAAAAAGAAAAGAAAGGAAAAGAAGAAAAAAGTGAGGGAGAGGCCAAAAAAGAGCAGCCAGACCTTCTGCCCTTGCTTCAATAATATCTGATCCATCATGATCGTTCCTGTGTACTGGAGTTCTGAATGAGGTCTCCATTGACCAAAGGAGACTGCTGCAAAGATAAAAAACTGAAGGGCACTTATCTTATCCAGTCCCTTCATTGCAAAAGATGAGTAAAATGTGTTATAGGAAGGTTATGAATAGCTAGGGAATATCAGAAACACACATATTGTCTTTTCCCTTTATTAATAGATTGTGGGGTATAATGCTGATCTGCTACTATTAGATACATTGAGATCAGATATAATCTGCATCCATACAGTCTTTCCAGAAAATATTATTCCCATCCTTTGGCAGGGGTGCTCAGTGCACTTGAGTCAGATGAGAAACATTCTTTGGGAATAATAGAGTTCTTCTCCCTTAGAAATGTTTCATGTACTTCAGAGTTGCTGCCATATGGTTCCCATAAAGGTTCTGCCAAAATTCCCGTGGTTCTCACAAGAGCTCCTACCTCCTCTGTTCTTTTAATCTCCTGCTGCGGGTGGCAGACATGGGAGAGACAGGCAAGCTGCAAAGGGAAGTCGACGAAATAAAATTAAAGCCCTACAATCGTGTTCGTGTCAATGTAGATGGGGTGCCCCCCTCGGTTTGCTCACAGAGGTGGGTGTGAGATCCTACAGGACGGTCTGGAAGACATCCCATGGAAGGCACTTTATTTTGCCCAGAAGCTGGAGGAAAAGCAGAAGGCAAGTGTTGTCTCTTAGAAGGCCTGGGCGGGGGGTAGGGGGATGGTAAAGGTTTAAGGAGAAGAAGTCTTTAGGAATTTTTACTTCACAGAAAAAAGAGAATGATACCTAGAGGCTTGTCTGAATTTGTGAAACAATGTAACAACAGAAAGAGGCAATGTTTAGAAAGGCTACCCCTCCTGATTATGTGTTCTGGCAGGCAGGGCAGAAACAGTCTCGGTGCCCATGTGAGGACTGGAACTGGTTTCTTTTCTCCTTTACATGATTGTTCTGAGTCCCTTCTGTTTCTTGGTGAGCTATATTGTGGTCTCTCTCCCAATCCCCCACCCTAAATTCTATGTACGTAAGTGATTGACAACTTTCTTCTTTAGAAAATCGCAAATTTCTCTTGAAGGTAAATGGCAGCGTTACAAGATACACTCGTAGAGTCTGTAGTTGTGGAACATATGCTCCTGCTTGCTAATTTCTGACTGCACATTTTGAAATAGATTCTTTGAGATTAATGACCAATTATTAGCTCTGACGTGATGCTTGCTAAGTTGGATGTGGATTCATTTAGTAAACCTTGTGTGTGCATTTGTTTTTTTATGTTTAGCAACTGCTTACATGGATCACCTGTTTTTGTTTTGCTATGACTTCAAAGTAGGTAAGGCAAAAAGAGACTTTTGGCCCCTGAAACTCATTCCAAAAATTATACTGAAGAAGTGAGATCTCTAGGTAGGTCTTGCTGAGTTTGGCAAGCCCAGGGGGGCTTATATTTTGATGTCATGTCACTTCTTTCCCAATTGTCCTGTTGTTTGACTCATCTAGAGGAGATTTAGCACACATGTTGGAGAGCAGTGAGGTGAAATAAAGGTCACTCAGGAATAGCATCCTCACAGGTCCTCATTCTAGCCAGGGTCCATCTGTATAAGCTCTTTGGGTGATCCCTCCCCACCTCCGTAAATGTTTGCCTCTCATGTTGCAGGTAGTCATGGGGCTTTTGCTTGATTTGACTGAGACAGTGAATTGATTTCACTCCCCCATTTCCCTCTCCTTCTACCCTATTTGAATTGTCTCTGCATGCTTGAAGATGAGGTAATTAAATATATCTTTGAAGGATATAGAAAACAACACCACCCTCCTCCTTGCCTTCTTCTGGGGAGTGCAATCCGGTAAACTACCAGGTTGTCTTGTCAAATGAGTTATTGTTTTTCAAAATGTAGCCTGAATGGCATCCTTTATAATTAAGGCTTCTGGCTTTCAGTTTAAAGTGATATTTGCCAGTAAAAGCCTGCCAAAAAATAAATAAATAAAAGCAGGCTTACCGTTAAATATTGATTTAAACTTGGAAACTGGCTCCAAATTTTGTTATACTAGTCTTGATCTTCACGGCCTCTGGGCATCTGTTTCAATTTGGTCAAATTGAAATGGGGAGGGACAGTGCCAGGCTAACAGCAAGGTGATCCAATATAGTAGGATGAGTTGTATTTGATGAAAAAGAGCCAGGCAAAGTCATCTACAGGTCCTGGGGATAGGTGAACTGGACTCGGATAAAATAAAAGCTGATGGGCATCTTAACCTGTCCCTTGGGCTGACCTGAGCCAGTGATTATATTTTTGAAATGTAAAAAAACATTGGGTTATCTTTGGAGGACAGAATTTTTTTTTTCTGCCTTTCTGTGTTTCCTGTTATATAGAAGCATTTCCTGCAACTGGTCTGGATGGGCATTTTTCCTTATGATCCTTCCACAGTACTGGGAGGGATATTTAAAAAGCTCAAATGCAAAACATTTCCCTAGGAACCAAATTCCTCAATCCCCACTTTGAGTTTTTTTCCTATGTAGGAAAAGGATAAGGTTCTCAGAAGAGTTTTCTCTTCCTGAGTATATATGTTTGAGATTGAGAAGTGTTCTTATCTATCTCTATCTCTCATAAGAGAAGGCAAACAGGAAGGGGGAGAGTTAAAAGTTCCTGAAAAAAGGGCCCTTGATGAAACTGAACTCTGTGGGTGCAAAGTGCCTGAGATCTATTAGTTTTGGCAACCCCAGTTATTCCAGTGTCTCTCATCATCTGTAAAGTTAACAAGGGCTGATAAGAGATGATGAGACGGGGTACTGGTTTGTATTTCCAGACTCATAAATATTTCACAATACCATTTTTTTTTTTTTACAATCAGATACATTAGTTTGCCAAGTATGCTGCTGGATGTTCATTCAGCACTAGTGTTTAACAAAAGCCCGGTTTTAAAATCAGAGGATATGAGTTGGGGGGGCCTTGAGGTAAGCATCACTTGTTATTGTACCTGGCTTTCAAATGCATGTCCTAATTTGAGAGAGGGAGTTGGTATTTGACCTCTAGAAACTGCTGCTGTCTACCTTGAAAAATATATTGTTATGTTCTATGGGCAAAAAAGCATCAATCTTAGCTACACTCTCATATTCTTTCTCATTCTCTAGCTCCGCCAGTGCCCTTGTGTTTCTTTGTACTTCACACCATGGACAGTAGAATCAGGCACCAAAGGGTGAATTTAATTTGGAACAAACCTCTGTCTTGATAGAACTGCCTTTGCCCGGGCTCAAACACAGCAACCTGCAATTTCCTGAGGCTGTGCCTCACCTAGCACTATCACAGGCTCTAAAAATTAAGTCCAGCCTCAGCATTTCTCATAGCTAACCCAACTACAGCAAAAAAGGGGTATAGACACACAAGTCAGCCAAGTAGCAATGGTTTTCTCCCTGATGTAATCAAATGGAGTGCAGGGATATCACTTGATTAACAGCTGCGGTATTAATTTCCCTTTTTGGTTGCTTGACTCACAGCAAGAATCATGTCAAGGCAGCAGAGAAGCAATTAAATTGATTTTAATCTTTGTCAGAGAAGATAACATGCCTCTTTCTCTTCTCATTTAAATAATTAAAGTTTCAGTAGGTATTATTTCTGGCTTTAAAGAAATTGGTATCTTAATGTAATAGAATCCTTGTAATTATATACTTAATGGTCCTTAATAAGTTAATCATGGTTTTTCATTTAACATGTATTTTTTACTTATTAAACTTTTATTTGTTATAGTATCTTTGCTTTCAAGAAGAAGGGGGAAAACACAAAGAATGATAGATATAAAACAGTTCTGTTATTTCTTATATTAATCCTTTCAGCATTTATTTTCTTCTTCTTTCATGCTGTCTTGGACTTAAATGTGAAGTAATTTTTTTACATTTCAGTTCATTTAAAAGAAGCCCACTTATTTTAATACCAACATACTTAATTTTAATAATAATAAAATTTTGGGCTCCTATGAAAACTTCTTTTAATAACAACATACTTAATTTTAATAATGATGAAGTTTTTGGCTTCAATGAAAACCTCCTTGTGTAATATTGTATTACTTAAATTGTTTTGAACTCCTTTAAACTTAAAATTTCATTAAGATCTTAGAGAAATATTGAAAAAACATTGCAAATGGTTTTATTCCTCTTTGGCATTGAGTCAGACATTATATAGTTATTTTACTACTCGCCCCAACATTGTGAGATGCATTTCAAGGAAAGGAAATAGAGAAAAACAAATAGGGGCAAAATTCATCACAGCCTTCCTTGTTAGATGCTGGATTTTAGCTTTGATGCATACGTAGCCTATATAATGTTGAGCATTACATAATTTAACTATATAAACCCCAGTTGCTACCAATGAGAGGAGTGACTTGTGTAACAGAAGAAGTGTTATCTGGAGAAAACCTACTTCTCAATTCAGATTCCTATGAAGAAATGAGCTTTTCACCAAAAGGTTTCAAAACTGCTTCCTTTTCAGGGCGCTGAACACTGACTAAGAGGAGAGAGCGCACATTACATGGAGACCATGGTCCCCATACCAGAAACATGAGAGTAGAGAGAAGCAAAGCCAGCATCGTGGAGCCAGTCCCTTTATCCAGGATCTTGGAGGGATACAGTCTTCTGTAGAAATTAAATAAAGACTGAATTCTTCAATGGGTATTTTGAGAAGAGAGCCACTGTAAGCTTATACACTGTGAATTGCAAAATGTTACTGCCTCTGGGTGGACAGGTTTTAAAAAGACTTTTTTTTTTCCTCCTGGCATGGCTGACAGAGGGAAGGCTGGGTTTCAATCCCATCTTTCCCTTCCCTTGCCCAGTGCTTCTTTATGTGCACAACCTGCACAACTATATGTGGTTTGCAAACACGCATAAGCAAAGACTAACAGCTTCTGAAACAAACTCTGAATAAAAGAGGGAGCATATTAAGGCAGATGGCAGAGGAGGTGAGCAGCATGGGCAGATAGAAGCATCACAGAGACTACAAGAAGAATGTGCCAGACCGGCTCATAGTGGCCACACTGATTAAGAATTACCATCAGCTCTTTAGGATTTGGAAACTTGGAAACACATTGTGTGTTCTTCCTGGTTTGTTATAGAGTATGTGTATGTACTTCTTTCTCTTAAAAATATTTATTTTTAAAGAATTGACTTATAAAATTATATGTATTTGTCATGTATAACACAATATTTTGAAGTACAGTCCTGTGTCATAAGGATATGTTCTGAGAAATCCATCAATTTTGTCATTGTATAAACATGATAGAGTGTATTTACACAAACCTAGGTGGTATAAACTACTACACACCTAGGCTACATAATGTAGCCTATTGCTCCTAGGCTATAAACCTGTATAACATGCTACTGTACTAAATACTATAGACAATAGTCACATACTGGTGAGTATTTGCGTATCAAAACATATCTAAATATAGAAAAGATGCAGTAAAAATATGGTATTACAATCTTATGAGACCACTATAGTATATGAGGTCCATCATTGATTAAAACATAGTTATATGGTGCATGACTGTATATATGCATTGTGGAATGGTTAAATCTAGCTAACTAACAAATGTGTTATATCACATAGTTATTATTTTTGAGGTGAGAATACAATATTCACTCTCTTAGCATTTTTTAAGAATACAGTATATTAACTATAGTCACCATGCTGAATGGTAGATCTCTGGAACTAATTTCTCCTATCTAAGTGTGATTATGTACCCTTTGACCAACATCTTTCTAACCCCACCCCACAAACACCCCATAATAAAGCCTCTTGTAACCACCATTTTACTCCTTTTTCTATGAGAATGGCCTTCTTTGTCTCTCCTTTTGTCTGTCCTTACAGTTTTTTACTTAATGTCTATTTTGCCTGATATTAATACAAGTATACTTCCTCCTGCTCTCTTTTAGTTTCTACTTGCATAGAATATCTTTTTCTGTTCCTTCATTTTCAGTCTGTGTGTCCTTATAGGTAAAGTGAGTCTCCTGTAGGCAGCAGATAGTTGGGTTGGCTCTTTTTTTTTTTAATCCATCCCAGCCACTTTATGTATTTTGATCAGAGACCTTTATCCTTTTACAACCAAGGTAATTATTAGTAGATAAGGACTTACTACTGACATTTTGTTTATTGCTTTCTCATTGTTTGATAGATTGTTGTGTGTGGTTTTTATTACAGGGTGTATCTTGAGTCATCTCAATTAATCTTGATGCTCTTGGTTCCTACATCGCTGTTAGCATTGAGGATGTTAGAGTGCAGAGTATCAAAACCAGCATTCATCAGAAAGAAAGGATGTTTACACAAACATTAAGGCATGGAAGAGAGTCAGTGGGGTGGGGATGGGAAAGGAAAGAATATCCTAGGCTGAGAAAATCACTGAAGCAAGAAAATGGTGTATATGAGCATGGGTTCTTTTAGAAACTATCTTAACACCTGATCAAATGTGGGTGTTTCTGAGAATGCTGAGCTGATTATGGCACATTCTCTGTCCTGGAGAAGCTGGAAGCATTTTTACATCTACCCTATTTGATCCTCATACAAATTTTATAAATTAGATAAGAAACATCTTAATAACTAAAAGTCACTGAAGAGGGAACCTTAAAAAAAGTACTTTAAAAAAGTACACAAGACTTAAGTTTACACAACTAACTCTAGGAATGCTGGGACTGGAACCCAGCTGCCTGGCAAGTACCATGGTGTTTTCAACCGGATCAGAGAGGGGTGAGCTTTTTCCTGCTTCTTCCCCAGAGCAGTAAATTAAAAAAAAAAAAAAGCGTTATTGCTGTTATTTTATTATGATGATTATTACTATTATCAGATAGTGAGGGGTGAAGGAAGAGAGTACAGCCAGATTTCTTCATTTCTCTCTACTAGTGGTAATGTGTGTGGGGGCATAATAAACTCAATTAAAGGAGTTCTGAGTATTTGCAGAGCAAGTTTGTTCATCTGTCTCAACTGCTTTAAAGATTTTTTATTTTAATAAGATAAATAGTTAACTCATCCTGCTAAATGAATTTTCTGCTAATAACCATATACCTCTCCCACAACACTAATCACAAAGTATATTTCTAAAGTGATTCCAGCCCTGTTTGGGGAATCAGTATTATTTACTCTTTTTCCTCTAGTCCCTAGCACAATGTCTGGGCTAGAGGATTCATTTGATCACTCAGGAAATATTCATTGAGAACCTACTATGTGGCAGTCACTATTTTAGGTACTTAGGACATAGCAGTGAAGAAAGTAGATATGATTCTTTCTCTAATGCAGCTTATATTTTGATGGAATATTTTAGTATTTCTATAAATAAATAAAGATATGTGTTACAAAGAAAATTAAAGAGATGTGATAATGATGAAATGGGATAATTTGCTTGGGTGCCCAGGAAGGTTACTTTGAGGAAGTGACATTGGAACTGAGACTCAAATGTCAAGTTTTAAATGTAGGAAAAAGCTTTGCATGCCTGAAAAATGGAAAGATGAATATTATGGCTTGAGGCTGAAGGGGCAAAGGAAGTGGTGTGGAGGTGAGTGGAAAGATTCCAAGGTGGTCTTTTCACAGAGGAGGGTGAGGGAGCTAGGTAATGTCAAAAGCTGACCCATGTTGCTAGGCTGTCAAAAGTACCAGGCTACAAAGATTCTCCAAAACTTAATTAAATTTAAAAATATTTGTGCTCCAAAGGACACCATCAAGAAAGTAAAAAAATAACCCACCAAATGGGAGAAAATATTGGCAAATCATGTATCTGATAAGAGGCTTGTATCCAGAAATATAAAGAACTCTTACAATTCAATGGATAAATAAACCAATTTAAAAAATGAGCAAAAGACTTGAATAAATGTTTCTTTAAAGAAGAGATATAAATGGCCAATTAACAAATGTAAAGATCCTCTTCATCTTTAGTTATCAGAAAAATGCAAATCAAATCATGAAATACTCTCTCAAACCCACTAGATGGCTAGAATTTAAAAAGTCAGTAACAAGTTGTTGGCAAGGATATATGGAAAACAATCCTCATACCCTTCTGGGAATGTAAATGGGAATGTTAAATGGTGCAGCTGCTTTAAATGTCAAATGGTCCAGCAATTCTATTTCTACATATATATACCCAAGAGAAATGAAAGCATATGCCTCAACAAAAACTTGTACACAAATGGCATTATTCATAATAGCCAAAGATGGGAATAACTCAAATGACCATCGACTGATAAATGAACAAACAAAATGTGGCATATCCATACAGTGGAACTGGCCATAAAAGGAATAAAATGCTAATACATGCTATAACATGGATGGACCTTGAAAACATGATGGTAAGTGAAAGAAGCCAGTCACAAAGGGCCACATATATCATTCCATTCACATCAAGTTTCCAGAACAGAGAATTCTATACAGTCAGAAAGTAAATTAGTAGTTGCTTGGTGGTGGGGGATGGGAAGACAGGGTAGTAGTTAAAGGGTACAGGATTTCTTTTTGAGGTGATGAACATGTTCTAAAATTTGCTGTGGAGATGGTTGCATAAATCTGTAAACATATTAAAAGTCATTAAATTGTACACTTGAAATGGGTGAACTGTATGGTGTGTGAAATATATCTTAATAAAGCTATTTTAAAAAAACACTAAAAAAGCTCCCAAAGCCTAAGGTACACTTTATACTACTAAGAGATTCAGGCTCTTCAGATAAAATTTACTACTTCCAGATTAGAATACTTCTGTGCCCAAGGGAGAATCATCAATGAGGCTATTCTTAGAACACAAAGCTTTCCTTCCTAAAATACTGGAAAGGAGCAACACCTTGAACACCACAGGAAACCCATAAATATCTAATTTGCACCACTGCATGATAAAAGCAGCTTGCTTCTTCCACTCATTAGCAACACTCAAAAATATATTCTAGCTCTTTGCCTGCTGAAAGGGATATTTACGTTTGCTCTTTGTATCAACTAAATAAGCCCTGTTTATGCCTACAGTTTCTCTGCAGCTCTGGTCCACCTGAACTGTGTTTGGAAAGCAGATAGAGAACTTCTGGGACAAACACGGTGGTGGAAGGTGTGAGAGTTGTATGAGAAATCATTTGAATTAATGCATTTGGAATCATGAATTTCAAAGTAACTCTAGAATTAAGAAAGTTTCAGCTTCCTAGATGACTAGAAGTCAGCCATTGTATCTGACTACCTGTAACATGCTCTTTGTCTTGCAGATGAACTGGTCATAGCAGAGGCAAATTTTAAGCCCTTTAAAATAGAAAATATCTTATTCATCGTTGTACTCTTTAATCTATAATTTAGTGGTTTTGTATATAACATGTGTTCAGTGATGTTTAAATTGAATTTTAATTAATGGATTACCTTGAGAACCAGTTCAAGAAAAATTTTCAGTGATTGAAATTAATAAAATTGAACACATGATGGATGCTATTAGCCACCTGTAGGTCTGACCCACCCTGGGAGCTGGCTTATAAATGTGATGCTATCTGAACCAGAGTCTCCAGCTGCCAATCAGGAAGCCATGGAATTGATGATGCTACTGTAAGTTGATATGGAAAGAAACGGAAAGTAAGACTTTCCCAGTACAGATAATGCTCAATTTATAATGGGGTTATGTACTGATAAACCGATCATAGGTCAAAAATATCATAGGTTGAAAATGAATTTAATACTCCAGGAAACCTGTCATAAAATAGAAATATAGTAAACTGAACTATTGTAAATTGAGGACTGTCTGTGTTTTTTAGCCTAGTTTAAGGAAGGAAGACCTCATAGCTGGTGGACATAAGCATTCAGTTCACTAGACTGAGGCTCTGCTTGGTGGCAGAATAGTTCAGTAGGCTTTACCGTAGTGTGCATGAGATATGTAATTTCCTCCACTATCATTATGGGACAAGGTTCCCAGGTATTGACATATATGGAGCTGTATATTTGCCAGTCACAGGGATGTCTCTTCTCTTTCTCTTGATTCCACAATAATCAATCACAAGGTGCTGCCTGTGTGTGTGAGGTCCTGTCTGAAAAAGCCTGTTGGCCTTCCTTGGAGAAAAAAATTTAACAGTTACTTCTTTCAGTTTTTTCCTAACCTTCGCTCTTTCTTGCCACCAATAGAGCAGGGCCTGTTTTCCTGAAGCTTCTCTCTGTCCATTTAGGTTATGTGAATGAGTCTGAAATGTCCAAATATCCTAAATATATTTTTGAATATATGAGATATGCTTTGAAATCCAAAGTATAGTATACTGGTACCATCTTTACCACACATATGGCTCTTAGCACTTTACAGCTCAATTTTCTGCTTAAAAGGGTGCTGCTTACAAACCAGCAAATACAGCAAGTGACTAATTAGCCAAATTAATGAGGGCTTGTTTACTTGAAGTCCCCAGTGCCCTTGGAACTTGGGATGTTTCGTTATTACAATCTGCAAGTGGTTTCCTGCAATTAATTTTTAACATACGGCTCTTGCATCTTCTCAGTAATATCTAATATCCTAATACTTTAGAGAGGTTTGCAAGATTTAACTCATTAATCCTCAAAAGGAACCACTGGAATACTGAAATAAAAAGGAATCGTACTACTTTTTTTTTTTTTGTCAACATTAATTTTGGCATACTTTACAAATGCTGTCCTATAGGTCTAGGGGAAAATTGGTAAAGATCAAGTATTTAGGCCCATTCTGATAAAAGTGTAGAAAGGAAGAAACACAGGTATATGTCAAAGGAATTGCTGCTTGCTACAGAATGAAAGATTAACAAACTAAAAACATCAGTCCACTTACTTCTAGCCTTTTATAGGATCACCTTGTTAGAGACAAACCTAAATCTAACTAAGCACATGAAAGTAAACAATCAGAAACGAAGACAAAGACAGAATATTGAAAGCAGCAAAAGGAAAGTAATTTATCACATACAAGGGTCCTTAATAAGATTAACAGCTGATTTTGCAGCAGAAAGCTTGGAGGAGAGAAGGCAGTGGGATGACATATTTAAAGTGCTAGTAGGAAAAAAAGTCAACCAAGAATTCTATTTCTGGCAAAACTATTCCTCAAAAATGAAAGTGAACTTAACATATTCCCAGATAAACAAAACCTGAAGAAATTCGTTACTAATGGACTTTGCCTACAAGAAATGCTAACAGGAGTCCTTCAGGCTAAAATAAAATGAAACTAGACAAAAATTAGAAGCCATATGGGCCGGGCGCGGTGGCTCACGCCTGTAATCCCAGCACTTTGGGAGGCCGAGGCGGGCGGATCACGAGGTCAGGAGATTGAGACCATCCTGGCTAACACGGTGAAACCCTGTCTCTACTAAAAATACAAAAAATTAGCCGGGCGTGGTAGCGGGCGCCTGTAGTCCCAGCTACTCGGGAGGCTGAGGCAGGAGAATGGCGTGAACCCGGGAGGCGGAGCTTGCAGTGAGCCGAGATGGCGCCACTGCACTCCAGCCTGGGCGACAGAGCGAGACTCCGTCTCAAAAAAAAAAAAAAAAAAAAAAAAAAAGAAGCCATATGAAGAAATACATAACTCTGGCAAAGGTAACCATAAAGGTAAACATAAACACCAGGATTACTGTGTTTTTGTTTGTAACTTATTTTTGGTTTTTCTATATAATTTAGAAGACAAATACATAAAACAGTAATTATAAATTCTATGTTAATGGACATGAAATATATAAGTATAAATTTTGTACAATAACTTGGTGGAGACAGAAAGGTATAGAAACAGAGTTTTTGTATTCTATTAAAGCTTAATTGGTTTCAATTCAAACTAGATTGTTATAGATATAGTATGTTAGTTATAATTTCCATGGTAACTACTAAGAAAAGAACTTTGAAAATATACAAAAAAAGAAATGAGGAGAAAATAAAAATAGTACCCTAGAAAAAAGTGAATCAAACACAAAAGAAGATAGTGTTGGAAGAATTGAGGAACAAAAAATATATAAAACATATAGAAAACAAATAGCAAAATGGCAGAAGTACTCCTTCCTTATCAGTAATCATTTAATGCAAATGAATTAAACTTACCAATTAAAAGACAGAGACTGTCACAATAGATTTAAAAGAAGCTTGTAGTGAGGTGTACATCTAGAGCACATGAAGAAGTAAAGTAAGCATCTCCAGCTCACTCAGAAGGGAGAGCTTATTATTGTATTGATGACTGAATTCTAATTCATCCCAAATTATCAGTTCCACTTTTGCTTCAAACTTAAAAATTTTTAATAATTCTATCTTTATATTTTGATAAAAGCCAATCTCATATATTTGGGGCTAAGCTACTATCTTAGTTCATATTGTGCTGCTGTAACATAATACCTGAGACTAGATAATTTATAAAAAACATAAATCTTAGTTCATATTGTGCTGCTGTAACATAATACCTGAGACTAGATAATTTATAAAAAACATAAATTTGTTCTCTGACATTTCTGGATGCTGGGAAGTCCAAGATCAAGGCTCTGGCATCTGTTGGGGCTTTCTTTCAGTGTCCTTACAAGGCAGAGGAGCAGAAGAGAGAGAACTCATTTTCACAAACCCCTTTTATGGCAGCATTAAGCCATCATGACCTATATAACTCCCCAAAGGTTCCACCGTCCAACACTGTTGCATTGAGGATTCAGTTTCCAATATAAGAATTGTAGAGGGGATACATTTGGGTCATAGCAGCTACAATATGGTATCGAGTTTGGAATGAATATTCCCAAAAGAGAAAAGGTTTTTTTCTTTTCTTTTCTTTTTTTCTTTTTACTCTCAACCAGCCAAGTAGTATTTTTAAAACATGGCATCAACATGTCAGGCAAATTTACATTTAAGAAACAGTGGAGGAGATGTAAAAAGGAAGAGTTGACATCATGAAATGAATGGAAACATGAAGAACAAAAGAAAGATTCAGAGTCTGTACATGCCCATTATTTACTCTGAATGTAGAAAGAATAGGTTTTGAGATAGTCTTCAAAGAAAGGGAGCCTCGTTTGTTGACTTGTGTGGAAAAAAGCATATTCCTAGTGTAGGAAGGAGGTAAAATGGGTGTTGAGTAGAAGATAGCTTTGGAAGTTAAACAAAACAAGATATGGAGTCCATCCTTCCTTGCAGTGATTGACAAACTCAAGTGCTTTGAGAAAAGAAGCAATAATCTCACCCTGAAATATTTGGATTTATACCTAACACTAAGGAAGACAAATAATAAACTGTTAGTAGCTTAATAACTGATATGGTTTTGCTGTGTCCCCACCCAAATCACATCTGGAATTCCCATATGTTGTGGGGGGGATCTGGTGGGAGATAATTGAATCATGGGGCAGGTCTTTCTCATGCTGTTCTTGTGATAGTGAATAAGTCTCTCAAGATTTGACAGTATCATAAGGGTGGGGGGCAGGTTCCCTCCCCAATCTCTGTTTTTGCCTGCTGTCATCCATGTAAGAGGTGACTTGCTCTTCCTTGCCTTCCACCTTGATTATGAGGGTTCCCAGCCACATGGAACTGTAAGTACAATTAAACCTCTTTCTTTTGTAAATTGCCCAGTCTCAGATATGTCTTTTTCATCAGTGTGAAAACAGACTAATACAAACCCACTCCTCTAATTTTTTTGATGCATCGTCTTCCCAAGATGTTTCTCTGTAAAAACACTTTGATTAATTCATTGATAAAAGTATAAAATTTAAGCTCTGCTATGGTCTACATGTGTCAATTTTGTGTCTCCCCAAAACTAATATGTTGAAACTGAATCCCCAACGTAGTAGTATTAAGAAGTGGGGCCTTTGGGAGCCCTCATGAACAGAATGTATGCCCTTATAAAAGAGGCTTAGGAACTTGTTTTCTTCTTCTACCATGTGAGAATGCCACAAGAAGGCACCAGTTTTGAAGCTGAGAGAGAACCCTCACCAGACAGTGAATATGCTGGCACTTTGATCTTTGACTTCCCAGCCTCTAGAACCATAAGCAACATATTTATGTGGTTTATAAATTACATACTCTCAAATATTTTGTAATAGTAACCGTGGACTAAGACAGAAATTGGCACCAAGAAATGGGGTGTTGCTGTATCATACCTAAAAATGTGGAAGCAACTTTGGAATTAGGTAATGAATAGAGACCAGAAGAGTTTGGAAGTTCATGCTAAAAAAACCTAAAATGCTGTAAATAGTGCATTAAGGATGGTTCTGATAACAGCTTGGAAGAAGAGAGCTTTAGAGCAGCCTCAATCTTCTTAGAGATTATCTAAGTAGCTGCAATCAAAAGGTTGATAGAAATTCGGATGGTAAAGACCATTCTGGTGAGGTCCAGATGTAAATAAGGAACATGCTGTTGGTAACTGGAGGAAAGGCCATCCTTGTTTTAAAGTGGCAAATAACTTGGCTGAGTTGTGTGAATCCTAATGCATTTTGGAAGGTAGACTTTCTGAGTGATGAAATAGATATTTAGTAAAAGAAATATTTTAGCAAAGTGTTGAAGTTATGGCATAACATTTCTTTTCTATTTACAGTAAAAATTAGGAGAGAGAAATGAATTAAAGATAGAATTTATAATCAGAAAGGAAGCAGAACTTAAATACTTGGAAAATTCTCATCCTGACTATATTGTAACAAATAGGAATGCATGTTTATGACTGTCTTCATCTTTTTGTATGGCTATAAGAAAATACCTGAGTCTTGGTAACTTAAAAAGAAAAAAAATTTATTTTCTCATAGCTCTGAAGACTAGGATACCCAGGATTGAGGCACTAACAGGTTCAGCATCTGGTGAAAGCTTGTTCCTCACCATCTAGGTGTTCTTACATGGCAGAAGATCAGAAGAGCTAAAAAAGGACTGAAGCTGTTTTCCTCTGTCCTTTTTATAAGGCACTAATCCATTTCCCCAAAGGTCCCACCTCTTTAATACTATTACCAAAATGCTGGGCATTTGGTCTAGGTCTGGTTGCTCACTGCACCAAAAGCCAATCACTGAGACAATAAGTATTGCCAGAGAAGAAGGCTTTATTATATTATGAGTGATGTCAGCTGGAGGGATGGGAGCCAAACCTCAAACCCATCTCCCTCTCAACTGACTAAAATTGGGGGTTTATATAGTGGGGAAGGAGAGTAGTTATGTGCAGGAAAATAGGAATTATTGAGGGATAAGGACACAATCATGATGAATGAGGGGCCTTGTGTCTCATTGTCTAGATGCAGTCTTCTGGTGAGTTTCAGTTCCTTGATACTATCTGGGAGGCCTGAGGTTTCTTGAGAAAGGAACTCAGATAAGACAAATGTAAGTTTCCAGGTTTAAGACTGGGACAGTCAACTCTATGTTTTTTCAAAAACTGTAACCATCAGTTCTTTGGGGAAGCTGAGCCAATTTCCATATTACTATAATGGGGATTACTTTTCAGTTTAAATTTGGAGAGGTCACACATTCAAACCATAATAGGGACCAAGAACACCAAGAGTGTGGATAAGAAGATCAGTATAGATTGGCCCTGTGCTGTTCATCAAGACAATGGAAGTGTGACCCTGAAGGCATTTTGGAGATAATTGGGGCTGCCACTCCCATCACAGTTCGGAGTGCCAGTTGGTTGAGGGCAGAATGACTTCAAGGAAGGGGTCTATGAAACATTGGGTCTTACTGCCCAGCACCACTTCAAGGCTCGGCTGCATGCATTCCAGTGCAGTACTCTTGGCTCCCCACCAGGTTCAGCTCCAGCAGGCCTGGTGCAGTTATGGCTGCTCCTCCAGAGGGCATAGACAGTAAACTTTAGTGGCATCTACATGGTGCCATATCCACTGGTGCTCAGAGTGCATGAGCTGTTGGATAATGGCTGCCTCCACCTAGATTTTATAGGGTGCCCCATAGAGCCTCCTGGTTCAGGCGGACAACTGCCGTAGGAGTAGGGCAACCACAGAAAGCCCTCACTAGCATATGGTCTAGTGGAGCCATAGAAGCAGGGTCATCCCCAAGACACCAGAATGAGAATGGTAAAGACAACAGAGTGCAACTCCAGCCTGGGAGAGCTATAGGCAGGTGACATCAACCCACGAAATCTGCAGTGTGGGCTGTGCTCAGCAAAGCCATGGAGATGGGGCTGCCTGGAGCTTTGGGGGCCCAACCACCCCCTCCCAGAAGGCAGGACAGAGAATCAAAGAAGATTATTCTTCATCCTTAAGATTTAATGTTTTTTTCCTTGTTGGATTTTGGATTTACTTGGGACTTGTTACCTCTTTCTTCTTTCCTATCTTTTTTCCTTTGTAACGAGAATATCAATCCTATGCCTATGATATTTTGGAGACACATAGTTGTTTGATTTCACAGGTTCACCTGGAGAGTGATTTGCCTTAGGATGAACTGTACCTTGAGTTTTACCCATGTCTGATTTAGACGATATTTAGATGAGACTCTGAGCTTTTGACTTTTGAGTTGATGCTGAAATAAGTTAAGACTTTTGGGGATACTAGGGTGGAATGAGTGTATTTTGCATGTGAGAAGGACATCAATTTGGAGGCATCAGGGTCAGAATACTATGGACTGAATGTTTGTGTCCCTTCCAAAATTCATGTGTTGAAACTTAATCCCCATTGTGGTAGAATTAAGAGATGGGGTCTTTGGGAGATGATTAGGTTATGAGGGCTCCACCCTCATCATAGGATTAGTGCTCTTATAAAAGAGGCCTGAGGGAGCTTGTTTGCCCTTCTTGCCATGTGAGGACACAGTGAGAAGGCGCCATCTATGAGGTGGGGAGACAGCCTTCACCAGACACTGAATCTGTTGGTATCCTGATCTTGTACTTCCCATCCTCCAAAACTGTAAGCAATAAATTTGTTTTTTATAAATGATACAGTCTAAGATATTTTGTTATAGGAGCTCAAAGGGACAAAGACAAGTTTCTTTGCTTGGATTCAAAGCCTTCCACAATCTGGTTCTTATCTGCCTTCCCACAATTTTCTCTTTTTTTTAAAGTCTTCAACTTCTCAGGAAGCAGGTTGATTAGAAGTCACAGTTATACATATTTTTTGATAAATCTACTGTTTTAGAAGAGTAGATATTTGGATGTAATAATTATTTGAAGACAAAAATAACCAAAGAATGTTCTTAGATTTTTGCATCCCTTAATCTTAAAAAGCATGATGTTAGTTTTCCTTGCATAGTTTCTTTGCCTTTCTTGGCCCCTGAGTAGTGTTCTGCTATTGTCAGGCCAGATTTTGGGGGGTTTTGATACAGAATAAGAAAGATAGGTGGAAAGTATAGAATAACTGGAATGCTCAGTCCTGATGTAGATGAGGTTTTTGTTTGTTTATTTTGTTTTTAAGAAAGTTTTTGAGGAGAATGGTACCAGACAAGTTCCAACATTTGAAGAAAATAAACGGGAGAAAAAAAATGAAAGTTTTAAAAAACATTAACTGTGGGCTATGTATTCTCTTCAAACACAATCCAAAATAGCTGAGCAATTTTGATATTACTCAGGTTGCTGAACAGTATTTGGCCGACTGTGCACTGCTGAGGCTGACTCACATGTGTCCTGGTGTCAGTAGGCTTACACAGATGATAGTGAAGTTCTGGAAACCAAGTGAACATTGAGTAAAATTTGAATTTAAAGGTACTGACACCAGTCTTTTTCCAGTCTCATTTCTGAGACTAAAATTTTTGTTGTAAAGTTCTCTCAAAGTCATCTGTCAAGACTCAGCTTCATGATTGTCTTCTCTGTAAAATCTTTTCCTGATATTTCTTTTTTCACCAGTAGAACTGACTCTCTATCCTTTGGGTCTCACTTCTCCCTCATACAGATTTCTCTCGTTACCCCTGTAGCACTTGACTGAATTTATTTGTTTGTCTCTCTAACTGATTGTGAGTTCTTTGAGGACAGGAGCCATCTATCTTTGTAGCCCCAAGGCCTGCCATTGCACCTGGCACATAGTAGGGACTTTAATGGACATTTGTTGAACAAACAGCTGCTTAGTCAGTGTTATTTATTATTTCTCCTCATTTCATCCCATGTCTACATACTGCTGTGTTTTTCAAAATGTTTTTTTCAGTAGCAAGGAAGAACCTTGTAAAATATCCCATAAAATATCCCAGCAGGTTCCCTGCCAGCCCCAGATCTTGCACTTGTAGATTGTGTAGTAAGAAGAGCTGAGACAGGAACAACAGAAAAAAAAAAAATCCCACAGGAGAGTGTAAGTTATTGTGAATATTTTAATTTCTGTGTTAGGTAGTGAGATCACTGGTGTTTATTATATTTTAAATAAGCAAGCAAGCAAGCAAATAAATAAGAGCCATGTATGGACTAATGATGAAAGTGTACCATAAATCAAGGGTATGGTTAACCCAATTCTATGAACTTGAAGTAAATAATATCTGGACATTGCAGTACAATGGAGAAAAGAACCAGTAATGCACCTGGTACATTTGTCTCCTCTTGCATGTCTGAGATCCTTGCTGCTTTCTCAATGCTGACTTCACTTGTGGGACAGTCATAAATAATAGTGTATAATGTTTTGAAAGTTTCAGGCCTACGTGCCTATATAGAAAAGGTATTCAAAGTTTATATTGAGGATTTCTCAGTAATGACTTCCTGCAGCTGGTCCTCAAGTTTTAGGTGCCTACAAATAATCTGGGGTATCTTGTTAATTTACCATTTTGAATTTCTGAACCTGTCTCTCAGTGATTCACTAGGTTTAATTGTATGACCCAAGAATCTAATTTTAAATAATCCACTTTTGGGATTTTTTGATGCAGGTGATTTAAGAAAAATTTGTTTTTGGTGATTTAAGAAAAATATGATGTTGGTCAGGCTCTTTTGGGGATATCAAGTTGAGCTACAGATGTCTCAGTAGTGTAGAGATGTACAAAGACTCTAAAGATGCTCACAAGAACAGCCTCAGAAATGGTTAGAGTAATGGAAGGATTGATCTGAGGCATTTACTAGGTTTAAAGGATCTAAATGTGCTTAATCCTTAAAGCCTAGCTCAGCAACAACTAATGGGAGATGGGATAACGCTCTACAAATATTTGAAAGGCATAAACATCAAAGATGGAGAGAAATTATTTGGCTTGTTAGAAGGCAGTATGATTAGGAGTAACTAAAAATGACCTCTAGGGTGAATCTAGGATTAGCCTACTGAAAGTAAAGTGATTAGGTTTCAGGGTAGACTCTTAACAGAAGTGATAAATCAATACAGATGAAGGTAGAAAAAAAATTGATCCACAAATGAGTTGACTTCACTTATACTTCAAACCTGAGGAATGATTACCCCCAAATTTCTTTTATTCTCTATTTTCTTTCTGCAGCACCCCAGGACCTCTCTCCCATGTGTTCTCATAATTGGCCTTGGTAGGTTTTCATTGGCCCTCTTGTCTTGTCTCTGGGGATATCACAATGCTGGCCAATCTTGATTCTCCAAACTGGCAACTGCTGGTCTCCCTTCTTTTCCTTCATTCAACAAATATTTGTTAAATTTACTAATAAGTATCTTTTAAATATTTCTTAAGGTACTAGTCTAGGCTCTATGTAACAAAACAGAGGCTCTGTCCTCATGAAGTTTATTTTCTGGGAGATTACTGATGGTACCCCACTGGCTATGTTCTAACTGGAATTGATTGAATTCTCATCAGTTCTGTCCCACCAGGGAGAACCCAATAGTACCCGGCTGTGAGCTAACCTAGAAGACAGGTAGCTGGGAGAAATGCAATTATAATAGAACCCAGCAAGAGCCTGGTCCCAATACTTCTTTCCAACCCTACCTGACTCACCTCCTTCACTGCCTTATCTTATTAACTCAGCTGAATTTGCACCATTTACTCCAGCAAACCCTCCCTTTGTTCTGCATTGCATCACCATCAGAGAAGTCTTCCAGGCAGGCAATTTGGGGCCTTTCCCCCAATACTGTGTTTTGTGTGTGGCCCTCATAGGTGACAGTTGAAGAGACAGAGACTAAGAGATGACTGTCAGGTAAAGTAAAAAGAAAAAGAAAATACACGTACAATTGGCAAACTTAGTACCATGTCTCCTCCCTGGCCCCCAAAAAGGACTGTTCTTTCTCTCTTGTGGCTTCCCTTTCTTTTCATCTTACACTGCAAGTTGCTCTTTTGTGATTTGCTTTTTTAAGGCTGATATTCATTTAAAAACACACAAACAAAAAAACATTTAAATTTCATCCATATACAAATGTTTCAAGGAGGGACAGTAGGATAAGTGAAGATTAGGATTGGGAGGGGTGGCTGACTACACCACACAAATCCACACTCAGAACCATCCTGTTGATTTATCCCATTTCCTCCACTTCTTGGGTTCTGCCTGTGTTCTTCTCATGTCATGGCTTCTGTCCTGTTACCCTGGATCCCAGGTAGACCTAGAGCTTGAGGGCAGAGACAGAGTCTTTTCTTCTTTGGTAATTCCTTGCTAGGAAAACATTGCAGGCCCTGATGCTTTCTGTATACTATTTCCTTTAATTTCACTATAAGTGCATGCAACCTCCATCCCCTCAACTCCCACAGCTAGGCAAGAATGTGGATTGCACCAGTTACAGGCTTGCCACCTCCTATCTCTGGATATTTTTCATTTCCACAGGGAGATAGCATAATCGAGCCACAATTTTTGGACTTCAGGATTTTTAAAGAAGCTTTTTTAAAAAATATTTTCTGGGTTGAACTTAGAACTGTGATCATCTTGATTGAATGAAAGGACTCAGCTGCCCTCTGTGAAAAGTACACATGCAGATGTTTCAGAGTGATTAATGATTCCGGAGCGCCTTCCTAGGGTCATCTTCTCTGAGTATTATTATAAACTAGATGGGAGAGATTAGCTATAGTACTAAGTGCAGACAAGAGAAAAGTCTAGAACAGGGCTGTTCATTATGGGAGCCAGGAACCAGCCATATGTGGCTATCAAGACTTGAAATTTAGCTCTCTGAATTGAGATGTGCTGTAAGTGTAAATTATACAGCAGATTAAAAAAAACCCAAGAGAAAAATATGTAAAATAACTCATCATACATTTTTATAGTAGTTTCATGTTGAAATAATATTTTGGATACATTGGGTTAAAATGTATTGGTAAAATTAAGCTCATTTCTTTTTACTTTTAAAAAATGTGGCTATCAGAAAATTAAAAATTACGTACATGCTAGCATATATTTTTATTGGGTAGTGCTGGTTTAGAAAAATGGTATCTAGGAATATACGCTTCTAATTAAGTTCACCTTACTTTTCTGTAACGCCTTTATTTGTATTTTTTCTGGTACTTCTTATATCTACCATTTAAACTAGCTTAGAATTAAACCGCCACCTTTGCTTTAAAAACATCTGGCATGTAACACCCAGGCGTAATTATTTTTCTGCTACAACCATGTTGCTATAGGAGCAAAGTTATGGTGTAATAAAGAACAACTTGAGCTAATAACTTGTATATGAAAATAGTTACATCTTCATTGTAGAAGCCACGAGGCACCCATGCTGTTTCATTGCACACACAAATCCCTTTTATAATGATGCTTTTTCATTCATTTGGCATGCTTTTATTATAATTAATACAAGAGCAAAAACTCCATATATATCAGGGTAAAAGCATCTATTTTGGATAATCAAACCTATAAATCTTGTGACTGCTCAGGTATAGCCAATTAACTCCTCTTCCCCAGAACTGCAGTATACCATATGGTGCAAAAAGGGTGGTCACATACTTCTTGCAGTGCTTTTGACTGAGTGACATAGTCACAAGAACCATGGAAACTAGTGACGAGGTACAAATGTTTCAGTTGCCCAAAACACTCATTTTAAATCCTAACAAGAAATGTTTCTATTCTTTAAAAATTTGACGTCTTTATTAACGATGTCAAAAGTGCTCATTAGTACTTTAGCAGAATCCTTCATTGTGCATTAGCAGAGTCCTTCTTTATACCTCTGAGGCACCATTGTTTGATAACAGAAGAGTTTTAAAAAAATAAACCAGAGATAATACTTTATAAAGAACTCTAGTCACCTTCCATATCTATTCTGGGATATTGTTTTGTTTCTTTGCCTATTGCAACAAGCCATCATTGTTGTTGTGTGCGTGTGTGTGTGTGTGTGTGTGAGAGAGAGAGAGAGAGAGAGAGAGAGAAAGAAAGAGGAGGGAGACAGAGAAGCAATCTACATGAAATGCCATGCAGTCAGTAGGCAAAGTGGGATTGACATGAGTGATAATCTTTTATTTTCATTCACTTTTAAAAAATCTTCATGTGAAAATTCCTGAAAATGTTTGATAGCTTGATTGCTGCTACCTAAATATTTTTTGAATTAACTAGTTATATCACTAAGGCAAAATATATGCTTTGAAATTTCAAAGGTCAGGAAGTCACATTTCATGATCATGTGAATTCTGGCTTGATTGTGTGTATATCCCCTGAGCACAATCTCTTTTGGACATCTGGGATTTTGGTTTTGTTGAATTAAAATTGCCCCATGATTCTAATGTGTTTTTAGACAGTGGTTGCTTCTTAATTATTTTGAACTTAAAATGGTGAACTTATGAAGTGCTTAGATATGGTTTAAAAACCTGAACAAAAATATACTGAGAAAAATTTCATATTTGTACACTTCTCATTCAATATTGTTTCTTGCCTCCAAATCGCTTCCATAAAATATTGCAGATTTCAATTTCTGTTTGAGTTGTTCATCATTCCTTCAAACTATAGCTGACCTTTCCATAAATTTGTTTTTGGATAAAAATGATGACCTAGAAGATATTTTACCAAGTGAACCCTTGCCAAAACCTGATAAGTGGGGTCCAAAATACCCAATCCTATAAAATGCAAGCTCACAATTTTACGAGGTTAATGGAATGAGGTGGGGGTGAGCCTGTTCAGCTAGCTGCCACAGTTCTGGGGTTTGTCTGAGGATCCCAGTCAGCCTCCATCCCAGTTGCAGTGTAATGCCACCTGGTGTTGGTTGTCCTTTCTAAGTGCCATTGACATTGATCCAGCTTCCCAGGGAAGACTGGGAATTCTAGGACAGCAGCAGCAATTCCATGAATCTCCTGGTTAATTTGTGCCACTTCATTGGCCTTACTTGGGGGAAACTGAGCCAGGAAAACTCTGGAGACCAGGGACCCACTCTTTTCCCCTGTACCTTCCAAGAAGAGTTTTGTTTTGTATTTTTTGCCACTTCCACCAAGTTTTGCCTTTCCCTTTACATTTCACTTCATGCCTTACCTCCCATATAAAAACTTTAACCCCACCAGATCTGAAAACATGATTAGATAGAAGGAAGGAGTCAATCACATTGTATACAAATTTTGTTTCTGTGGGTTCTGTTTGCATGGGGTTTTGCTGCAATTTTCTTGTATTCAACCAAGTATCATTAGAAATGAATTTGGCAAAAACTGTACCCTCCATGAACATGACTAGTTATAGATCTCAGTTCCTGTATAGTTTCTGCTCATGCCTACAGATGATTATTAAATATGTAGATTTTACTTATTTTCAAATTTTGATTTATTTAGCTGAGGAATCTTAACTTCATCATTAGGACATGTAGGTGGGGTATTTTACTAAAATTAGAGAAGAGGTACATTTTATTTGTATTTATTGTTTTGTACCCCAAATTAACTGCTTGAAAAAAACCTTAGCTTTTGATTGATCAGAAAGGAATTTGAAACAATGTATTTGCAGATCACACATAGAATAATATCTGCTTTTCAAATTTATTAGGTGAATCTCATGGGAAAGAGCTCTCGAAATACCTATAGCATTTGATTTGAAGCAATTGTACTGCTTTAGAGTCTCATCTCCCCTATGATAATATAAAAATTATCACTAATCACAGATTAATTTATCTTTGCATACCTCACAGTGAAGAAGTAGGCATTTAATAAATATTAAAAAAGAAAGAATGTGCATTACACATGTGCTTTTAAAATGTTCTGCAAATTAAAAAAAAGCCAAGCCACGCCATTAACAATAATCATAGCTTCTCTGTCTCCTCCAGTCTAAGTGTATAAGCAACTATGAATATAGGTGGCTAAAACATTATACAGTTGTGCATAGCACACATGCTTCACCAATGTCCAAAATACTTTTCAATCTCCTTTGTCATTCAACTTATTTTAATATCCCGTCTAGGTACTGGAGATTGAAATCAGTTGGTTTCTTGGTTCTGTAAAAGAAATGGCACAATAGCCACAGACTTGATAAGCTTTCATTCCAGATGAATGATCTTGTCTAGAGAGACAGCTTTTTCTGAAGGCAGGTTCACCCAACTCTCCATAATAAAAATCTCCTATACTCCAGCTGGAACTTTGGAAAATTTTCAGGAAAATTCAAACACCTTGAGGTGCTGTGGGAAGGTCACTTTATGTAGCAGGACATTTTAGTTACGGGGGTTATTGTTGCACAGCATGAAACAAAAAAGCAGGAGGGAGTGACTTTGTTCAGCATTTTCTACCAAAAAGATCTAGGCTTTCGTCACACAGTGGTCAACAAGCAGAATCTTCTCTTAGAGCAGATAAAATTGGCTCTCCATATCCCAACTGTATGACAGTCATGAATT
Source organism: Homo sapiens (assembly GCF_000001405.40). Lineage (NCBI taxonomy): Eukaryota > Metazoa > Chordata > Mammalia > Primates > Hominidae > Homo > Homo sapiens. Next base: position 95,534,148 of record NC_000001.11, read on the forward strand.
TAGTTCTGTGCCTGGAGAGTAATGGAACTTGAGAGTGATGGAATCAATATGCTTCTGGGTTGAGCAGAGGGATGCTTTGGGAAGAGTTTAGATGAAAACGTGGCCTCTAAGCCTCGGTCCAGAGACGGACTTCAGAAGATCTCTAAATCCATCCAAATCTCATACACAATTGTGGATGCACATATATGTATTTTTTTTTTTTTTTTGGCAGAGTACACAGCTTTCATTACGTTCTTAAGGGAATTCAAGGCTCCTACAAGAATTAGAACCTCTAATTCAGAGTACTCAGAAGTTACATTCTAATGGTTGTTTGAAAAATTTAAGAGACGGTGTCCCTAGCATTTCTTACAGATGATTGTAACAAATGTCAGGTGGATATTTGTGACTAATCTGAAAAAAGGTAACATCAGGACCTCTGTGAACAGTCGTCTTCCTTAGAGTAGTGTGGGGATGACTGTCACATAGAGCCTTAAGAGGCAGATGTGCTAGAGAGTCAAGTTGAGAGTGAAGAGACAGGGCATTTATAAGGAGGGTTAATAAAATGGAATCCAGCCAGAGGATCACAAGTAGGATGGCAGTGGGTCTAGAAATTATAGAACAAAAAAAACATAAAAAAGCTGAGAACATTTAGAGACAAGAAAGCTTTGTCCTGGGGAGGGGCACCCATGATAACCACCTTTAGATACCATGCGGAAGACAAACTGGATTTGTTTTTATTCTGAGTGTCTTGTTTTTAGTATGAGTGTCTAGAGAGACAGAACCAGGTAGCACCAGGAGCAGCTCTGGTCTGGTTGGTCATAGCTGTAATGCCAAGGCTCTTAGAGGGCATTCCTCTAAAAGCTGATCTGGAGACAATGGTTTGAGTGAGGTCGTTTATTTAGGAGTTGATCCCAGGACACACCATGAGGCATGAGAGAAAAGTCAACAAAGGGTTGTGGGAAAGTAGGGCTCAATTGCACGTGGACCTCCTGAGAGACTGTGTGGCGCAAACTTCAGAGCTCCCCTGAGGGCCGAGGAAGCTGGCATGGTTATCCACTGACTCCTGCCCCTCATTTGCTGGAATTCACTCTTGGGTGGCCCAGCCTACCCTGAGTCCAGACTGAGCTTGCTGCCGCAGCCTGAGAACACCCTCAGCTAGGAATGCAGGAAGCTGTAGGCCTGCATGGAGACTGTTTACAGGGGATCTCTGGGATGGGCTGAGGTCATCTGGGTGCCAACATCCTCTGTGAAACCAAGCTGGCACTCTTACACGCTCACTTGCCTTCTGCTTCTGCATGGATGTGAGGCAGGAGAGCTGTCACTGCAGCTAACAGAGGCAGAATGCATCTCAGGGGCATGGCACATTGAATCTTGCCTTGGATCTCAGGATTTGCGGCAGGTGGGGTGACACCCTCAGGGGATGCCAAAACCAAGGTGGTAAATGGAGGCAGTGATTTTTCTTTCAGCTCACAGCTACCATACTGCTCACGGGTCCAGCACAGGGCTGGTGGCCAGAGGCTGACTGCCGGGCAATGGCATCCTGACCTCTCCCATACATCCCCCTCAGGTTGTGCTTTTGTGACATGGGTCTCTTTCCTTTTTCTGCGGATGTGTCCATGATGTTCCCTTTAACCAGATTCCCTGTGTTACCAGGGAGAGCGAGAACAAAGGATGGGTAGTAAGGATAGAGGCTGTTTTGTGATTTACCACTGGGCCTGTGTCTGCCCTGCTGGGCTTAGCCCTGCCTGTGCTGTGTTCTCTGAATTGGACTGAATTAAATTTTATTCAGGTAGTTCCAGACAAGAAAGCAGGCATATGATCAGCTGGATTCTGGCTTATCCATGCAGCAGGTCAGCTACCAGAGTTTACTCAAGCTCTTTAATAAATTTATACTAACTCTCTTGCCCCCTGAAATTTGGACTAGAAATCAAACTAAATTAAAGTGGGCATTGTCAGCAATTTTCATTTTATTGTTGTTTTGGGTTAAATGTGTAAGGCAAATCAAATCACTGGAACTGGTTTTGCTGGTTTCAGTTACAATGTTTCATCGTAACTAGCATTTATACTTTTTCCCTTTTCCCGCTCATTCTGTCTCTTCATTCACTTTCCTTCATTCCGTTCTTAATTTAGTGATTATTTCAAATAACATACTAAGAAAAAGTGCTGACACATAAAGCTGGAATCCCATGTCTGCCTCTTTTCCCCCAACAAAAAATTACGCTGTTCAATTCTTTTTAAAAATGTAACTTCTAGCCATTCAGCCTTCAGACATAATAATATAAATCTATTTCTTCACCCAATTTTAATTCAGTTGCACAGTGCATAGTGGAATGAGCTTGGAAACCAGACAAAAATTAGAGTAATAAAAGCAGACAATGCCTTTGCCTATGTATTATGCCTTATAAATTTCAGGTTCTCTGACTGGCTTCATTTTAACTAGCTGAGAAAAATATAATCCGCCAAAGATGGTTACCAGTGTTCAAAGTCAACTGAAACCGAGGCAGTGTTCAGTAATTACAGCCTTACAGTTTCTAGGAGACTCCGTCCCCACCAGACCTGCCGTCTCATGTTCCCATTTGTAACATTGTTCATTATATTCAACCTGCTGCCATCACTCTGGAGCTTTCAAAGGCATTCTGGGGGCTATCTTGCTGTAGGACATGGATAATGAAATAGTTATATGTGACTTGTATTATAATCGTCTCACCTAACCCCCCATTTAGCTTGAAAAGTAGACTTAATAAAAGCAGGAGTGAAAGGCACTTTATGTTTTTAATAAGGAGTCTCATATGGTATTACCTGCTGTTTTTCATTGTGTGTCTCATCTCATGGTTTTCCTCTGAGATACATGACAGAAGAAAGCCAAGCACATCTCTTAATCTTAAAGCACTTTAAGAATCTATTGCAGTAATCTACCAAAATTGATCAATAACTTCAAGCTAACAGGGCTGATTTCCAAAGTACACATGTGTACTTATAGAGGCAGGCAGATCTGTTCACTGGCAAGTAAAGGCCGTCTTATGTCCAAGAAACTAGAGGATTCTACTGTATAATAATTTAATGTTCTGTTTGCAAAAGGTAATTATAAAACTCTCATTCCATCTCCTGCTCTGATGGGCTCAGGATGAATATAAACTGGATTAAGAGGAAATGGATAAGATGTTCTGTATTGCTGAACTCTGCCTGGTGTCATGATATGTAAACAGTGAGCAGAGTGCTGAAACTACTAAATACACACTGAAGAGATGACAGGACTCAAATGCGAGAATGCCTGGATCTGCCAGAGAAAAGGACTCCTAAAAATAGTGCTAACAATTTACAGAAGAGAAAATCTGACTGTGGTGTAAAAATCTTTGAAGGCAGAGCTGCTTGGAGCTGGATGCTATAAACGTATTCATGATGATATGTTTGGAGAGGCATCTATTTTCTATGCGTTAATTCTCAAATGAGGAACGGAAAGAACATCTATGGACCTGTAATATGTGCTGAAAAAAGACTGGACTAGGAATCTGGTGGCCTTATTTCTAGATGAGGATTTACCTCTAATTAGCTCTGTAACCTTTTTAGTAAGGCGCAATACCTCGTTAGGCTTTCTCTATAAAATAGGTCTGCTAAACTGAGTGTGGCCTCCAGGTGCTAAAAGATCAGGGCAGGTTGAATATTAATGATTTCCCCAAATTCTAGCCTGGTTATAATGCAAATTTTTTTAAACTTAAGGGACTACATTAAAAAATGCACCTCCCTTTTTTTAAGGTTATTACATATTTTTAAATAAAAAAGTAACACATGTTCATTATAACAAGTCAAATAACACATAAATATGGAAAGAAAAAGATTCAAAATTAAAAATCTCTCTTCAATCTTTCTCTAAAACTGTGTCTGGAATTGGTTCCTTCTGATGGGTTCTTGGTCTAGCTGACTTCAAGAATGAAGCCAGGGACCCTCGTGGTGGGTGTTACAGCTCTTAAAGATGGTGTGTCCAGAGACTGTTCCTTCAGATGTTCAAATGTGTCCAGAGTTTCTTCCTTCCGGTTGGGTTCGTGGTCCCTCTGACTTCAGGAGTGAAGCTGCAGACCTTTGCAGTGAGTGTTACAGCTCATAAAGGTAGTGCAGACCCCAAAGAGTGAGCAGCAGCAAGATTTATCGTGAAGAACGAAACAACAAAGCTGCTGTGGAAGGGGACCCAAACCAGTTGCCGCTGCTGGCTTGGGCAGCCAGCTTTCATTCCCTTATTTGTCCCCGCCCACATCCTGCTGATTGGTCCATTTTACAGAGTGCTGATTGGTCTGTTTTTACAGAGTGCTGATTGGTGCGCTTACAAACCTTTAGCTACACACAGAGTGCTGATTGGTGCATTTTTACAGAGTGCTGATTGGTGCATTTACAAACCTTTAGCTAGATACAGCGTGCTGATTGGTGCGTTTTTACAGAGTGTTTATTGGTGTCTTTTTGCAGAGTGCTGATTGGTGCATTTACAATCCTTTAGCTAGACAGAAAAGTTCTTCAAGTCCCCACTTGACCCAGAAAGTCCAGCTGGCTTCACCTCTTAAAACTACTCCACCTGAGGTAATCAGCAATGCTATATGTTATTACATTGTTTTCATTATACTTTTAATATATGTTTATATATAAATCGTTCTTTAAGCAAGTTCCTTCATAAAAATGGCATCATTTTTCATTTAATGATGTACCATGGATAGGCAAACCATGGTTCATGAGCTGACTCTGGCCATGCTGAATGTATTGTCTATGGCTGTTTTCATACTACAAAGGCAGAGTTAAGTAGTTGCAACAGAGACATTTTAGTTATAAAGCCAAAAATATTTAATATCTGGTCCTTTAGAGAAAAACTTTGCCATCCTTTCAACATGTGTAGCTCTGTCTCATTGTTTTTAAAAAGTTACATAATATTCCATAGAATGTATATGCACCATTGATTCAACTCTACTGGCTCAGGTAGTTGAAAAACCAAGAGGAATGTAAGCTTCAGATACTGTCAGATTCAGAAACAGAAATGATGTTCTCAGGAGCCTGTCTACATTTGAGTCTTGGTTCAGCATTTGTCTCTGTAAGCTTAATTCTCAAGCAGTCTTTCTTCTTTGACAAAACAGTCATCATCAGTTCCATTCTTAAATCTCATTTTACAGTGTTAAGAAAGCTGTTCTTTCCCAGTTGTTTTTTCTGAGATATGATTTCTGAGATATGATTTTCGCTGGCCTGGTTGCCCATCCCTGAGCCAGTCACTGTACCAGGGCATCAATACTCTATCTGCCAAGTTTAGGCCACGTGCTCCCCTCTGGACTCTGGAGCATGAGGCCACCCTTACCAAAACATTTGGATTGAAGGTATGAAAGTGTGATTACCCAAGGATAATTGCTGAGCAGTTATTAAAAGGGGAGACAAACACTAAGAACTTGAGACAACTAATGTCTACCGTAAACTCATATTTTCCTCAAGTAGTTTAATGCGATAGATATTTGTCTTCTTAGAACTTCTGTAAGCATGGTTGGTACACTTCTCAAAAAGTTTCTTGTAGTTGATCACAGTTTATCTCATCAGCAATTCTTAAGTACTAGTTATTAAAGCAAATTTTAAAAAATTGATTTGGTATTTGAAAAATATCTTACTGTTTAAATTTGCATTCTAATGACCACTAGTGAGATTGAGTATCTTTTCATAACTTTGTCTTTTATTATATGCATTTATTCTTTTTTTTTTTTGAGACAGAGTCTTGCTCTGTCATCAGGCTGGAGTGCAGTGGCATGATCTTGGCTTACTGCAACCTCCACCTCCTGGGTTCAAGCGATTCTCCTGCCTCAGCCTTCTGAGTAGCTGAGATTACAGGTGCGCAGCCACCACACCCAATTAATTTTTTTATATTTTTAATAGAGATGGGGTTTCACCACGTTGGCCAGGATGGTCTCAATCTCCTGACCTCATGATTCGCCTGCCTTGGCCTCCCAAAGTGCTGGGATTACAGGTGTGAGCCACCACACCCGGCTGTGCATTTATTCTTACATGAAATATCACAATATCACTTATACATTTTTCTATTGTGTTGCTTATCTTACATTTGTAGGAGCTCTGAGTACATTAAGCATACTAATCTTTTGTCTAGTTTATATGTTGCAAATCTTTTTGCATCAGTTGCTTAGTTGGCCTTACTTATTATATCATGCTATATTTTTTAAAAGTATGTGTTAAGTAAGCTCTGTGAAGAAGTCCATTCCAAATGTAGAAATAAATCACAATGTCACTGATCTGAGAGCACTGAGTGAAAGCATTATTGAAAGTTATGTTCATCTCTATGTTTAAAATGCTCATATTCAGAAATTACATGATTCAGGGTGTGTAAATAGAACACCTCCTGGCTTCTCTATTGCTATATGTTGTTCAAGGAGAGATGGGAGCTCGAACACACACAAACCCAGTCCCCTTCAACCACAAGGCGTCATCTGTCACTGAAGCAGCTCAGCTCCACCACTTGGTCAAGCACAGAAACCAATATCCAGCAATCCTACTCCTGGCTATAGATCCAAGCAAACTGAAACTAGGATCTTGCAGAGATATCAACACTCCCATGTTCATTGTAGCACTATTCATAATAGCCAAGATATGGACACTACCCAAATACTCATTGACATATGAATACAGAAAATGCAGTGAATACATACAGTGGAATATTACCCAGTCTTAAAAAAGAAAGAAATCCATTTATGACAATGTAGATGGGACTGGACGACATTGTGATAAGTGAAATAATCTTGTCACAAAAGGACAAATACTGCATGATCCCATTTATATGAGGTATCTAAAATAGTCAAGCTCACAAAAGCAGAAACTAGAGTAATTGTTGCCAGGGGCTCAATGGGTGTAAAGTTATATTTGTACAAGATGAGTAAGTTCTAGATATCTGGTGTACAACACAGTGCCTATAGTTAATAATACAGTGCTACGTACTTAAAATCTTGTTGAGGTTAGAGCTTATGTTAAGTGTTCTTACAAACAAGCAAGCAAACAAATATAAAACAAAACCATAAAATAGCCAAGGGACACAAGGAACCTTTTGGAAGTAATGAGTATATTTATTACCCTGATTATGATGATGATATCAAGAGGATACATGTATGTCCAAGCTCATCAAACTTTATAAATTATGTACAGATTTTTTTGGGTGCATCAAATATGCCTCAATAAAGCTGAAAAAAACATAAAGGGTTGTTTTGCCTAAAAATAAAAACTCTGGATACAACCGCTCTTATTCAGATAATCTGTCTACCGCAATTACTTCTAATTATGCAACATTTTCACTTTATCATAGTATGACACTTTTATTAAACTTATTTTTTCATATAATTATAAAAAGAAAAATTGTAATAGAGAATCTTATATGTGTTCATGCATATGAGTGGAATGGCTTTAAATAATAATATGAAAGGGAAGAATAAAGCATTTCTATGTAGAGTAGTTCGTAGTAAAACATGATTTATTTAAGTCTGGATTGAACAACTGACATAATTGCACAGCAAACTGACAGAAAAAAGAGATTTTTTTTTCTCTTTTTAAAGTTCTAAATATCAAGAATCTTAAAGACATTTTGATTACCCAATATAGTAATTTTGATTATAATCTTTTATTTTAAATTATGATTGCTTAGAGGTGAGGCACCGAATTGTTTTTTTAAAGCAGTACCTATCTGTAGTTTTAAAAATATAATACATCAAAAATTAAGTTATGCAATGACCTGTCCCAAATCACAAGCCAGCAAAGGGGAACACGCAGGCTAGCTAGCCAAAGGTCTCTGGATCTGCAGTCAGTTTTTGATTAATTAATTAATTAGTGCCTTCATTGATTCAGTGATATGTATTATGTATTAAGTGGTTTCTGTTACGTAAGGTGATTATAAATTAATATGTTCTGGCTAATATAGTATTTTATAAAGAAAGAATTATTGTGTAAGGTAAACATAGGTCGCCTAGTCTTAAATAATTAGATAATGAAGTTTTAATTTTTTTTTTTGACATTCTTGTTTAGCAGTTTTGTTTTTTAAAAATTTCATATTTTATTTTAGATTCAGGGGGTACCTGTGCAGGTTTGTTTCATGGGTATATTGGCTCATGTTGGGGTTTGGGATACAAACGATCCCATCACCCAGGTAGTGAGCATAGTACCCAATAGTTTTTTTTAAATCGTTGTCCCCCTCCCACTCTCTCCTCACTAGTAGTCCCCAGGGTCTACTGGTGAGAACGTGCGGTATTTGGTTTTCTGTTCCTGCGTAATTCCCTTAGGGTAATGGCCTCCAGCTGCAGGCATGTAGTTGACTAAATTTTAAATTCTCAATATCGGATAAAGGTGAATCCATTTTGCGTGATTCATACCTCAGGGTCTCATGGTGTCTGCTGCCTCATGAGTGTCCACATTTAGTGTACTTGCTGCAAATGATGGTTCATAGAGAATTCTGGACATTAGAATGTTGAAACAAGTTTAATTAATCCTCTGCCAAAATACATTCCTCCAACTCACAACTTTGTGATTGAGGAATAATAATAACAAATATATGAGAACACACACACACACGTAACTTAATTCATCAATCCTCTCAACTACTCCACTAGGTTAACACTGATTTTCCCCTTTTATAGACAAGGAAATGGAAGAACTGATAGGTTAAGTGCCTTGTCTAAGGACAGCAAGCTAGCAAACGGAAGAGCAGGATTCAAACCCAGGCTGCCCAGCTCCAGGGCTATTCTAATTTACACGTCCGACTGCCATACAAGTTATTGACAGCTAGTCTGGAAGTGGGGTCTTGCACTTGGTGCTTTTAGAAATATTTCCTCCCTCCTTCAAGCACTCATTTGTTTTAGTCTCTTGTGGCAGTGACCACATTTACCTCTACCATTGCCCTACTTTACAGATCGTGTGGATTGGAATATCACAACTGGTTGCTGTAGACACTGCTGCTCCTGACTTGCTAAACTGTTGGCAGCCTTCACCCTCATGTTTAGTTCCACCTGTTTTCTCTTATTCTGTTCACAGTGGGAATGAAAAGCAGCTGAGATTCTATTTTTGTTTATTAATTGGTCCCATTACTCAGAAGCCTTTTTTAAATAGAGCTCCCTGCTTTTCCAAGTTTAGCAATCTGTTCATTTCTTTCTTAGTCCAACACTTAATCATCTTCAGCGTTCACCTCCCAACTCCTTCCAACATCTCTATATTCCTGTGGAGCTTAGGATGAATGAATATTCAAATAGGGGTCTGACCATATAGAAAATGGAAAAGGACTTCTGGCCCTCATGTACTATGTGATTCTTTGCAGTATTCAGGTTTCCAGTTTATATTCTTTCCCCGCCTCAGTCCTCTGTATCTATGACATTTTATTCATCAGCAATCCTTTAATAATGAAATTATGTAAAATGTGCTGCATGGGCAGAGAGGTTGCTCTGCTCCTCTATTCCCAGCACATACCAAACACAGTGCCCAGATTATACTTTCAATTCTGTTAAGGAGGTTTTCAACAGAATCCAATTCAGAACAATTATTGGAACCGTACCTATTCTAAAGTCACAACTGGGACGTTGGTGAATTCAGAGTCTCCGTTAGGATTTTTGACATTTAAAATTGTGAAATAGTCAATTTGAAAAAATGGCCAAATTCATGTGATTTTGCATAAATTATTTAGTTTGATAGCTAATAGCTGTTTAAAGGACTAAGGTTTAAACTCGTTTCATGATTATACGATTTTGCTGTTAAGTTACTCAGTTAAGTTTTTGCTTTTTTTTTTTTTAGTGGAGGATGGTCCATGGTTTTGTGAAGTTGATAAAACATAAGAATCTATTTTTGTGTATCTAGGACAAAATAATTAGTTTCAAATCCTGTCAGAAATATTCTCAGTCCAAATAAATCAATGCTTGTCTTAATGAAGGAGATTTTTAACATCAGAGAAAATTAAGAGTAGAAATGCTTAGAAATTTAGGAGAGGGTATGTAAAATTCTTATGCCACAGTTAGATCTGTATCTGTGGGTGGCAGAGTGTCTTATTAGAGAGCTAAGAGGCTGTACAAATTAAGGAGTAGGCATCCATCCACATAATTTAATATGATTTCCCATTTGTTGTCACTAATTTTTATCAATTATCCTATACTTCATTTAAGAAATGGGAATTATGTATTTTTCTTTTCCTTACAGCCACATCCTTCTTGGTTAAAAGATCTGGAATTTACATCAGGTGTTTTGAGATTAATGAACAGTGCAAGATATAGGAATCCTTTAAAAATATTAAAGATAATTTCTTAATAACTACATTGGTTTTTTGGCAGCTATTTTATAGATGGCAGTAGACTGGATTTTTATAGAGGAAAATAATTTAGCATTAAGGACAACTATAATGTTTCACGTCGTTAGGACATTATTTGTTTTGAAAAATTTGTCAGTGCAGTATGAAGATTTAATTAGTTAGATTAAAGCAATTAATCAATTATTTAAGTCTAATTTAAAAATAATACATTGAAATAAAATTAAAATAATACAGATATAATTATTTTAAATATGAAATTCTCCCTCTTTACTCTTGTAGTCTTAATTGTCAAAAAGAAAAAAACTCACAAAAAGCAAATTGATAATATCTATTGTGGGAGAAAATGACTGTGCACTATTGGTGACAGTTTATATGGATGAAACTTTTTTGGAGAAGAATTTAGAAAAAAGTCATCAAAACCTTATTTGTGTTTACCATTTGACCTAGAAATTTCATTACTAAGACTATGTCCTCCAGAAAATTTCAAGGATGTTTATTTCAGCATCATTTGTAATAAAACAAAACTGGAAATGACGGAAATGCCTATCATTAGGAGACTCTTACATGAATTACAATGTGTTCTTATTAAGGAGCTATTATTTGGCTTTTAAAATATGGGAGATTTGTATGTACAAATACGATATATTGCCAAGATACAAAATTCAGAACACTACATTATTCATATAGTATTCTATGTTTTTTTTCCTTTTTTACACAACTTTTTGTTTTTCCTTTGAATTACTATTTGTCTTGCTTATTTGTTTTCTTAATTCTCTTTGTACTTATCGCTTATTCAACATTGATATTTCCCTCAGTTGTCTCAATCTGCTCTCATGCATTGAAACACATCAGATACTCTATACATTTCATGTTCTTGGGGACATCTTTCCTGGGGCTTACTGACCTCCTTAAATCTCACCTAGTTTTCTCCTTAAATTTAAGAGGAAGGCACTTAAAAGTTGATTGAAAACTTTGTGGGCATGAACAGAGCTGTCAGCTGTGTATTTTGCTGTAGAATCACATGGTGATGATGCTATATAATCTTTGTGTTTACCACTTTAATCATTCATAGAGTAAACATAACATAGTTAATGGTATCTTTACTGATTGATGATAGAGTACACATTTAAAGTTCTGCTACTAGAAATAATTCTTGGATGAATATCTTTTTATATATACTGAATTATTTCTTTAGAAGATAGTTCATTTTCTGAGTTTGGTCAAGATGATGCAGTGGGGCTGGAAATGGCCTATTTGGTTCTCTATGATGGTAATATCATGGGAACATTCTTTCTTCTTCACAGAATAAAACTCTCTGTGAGTCCAGGTCAGTGCAAGAGAGTCTAAGTCTCTATAGACTTTCTCAGATGCAAAGCCAAAATTCATCTTAATTTGTCACATTGCAGTATTCTTTTGTTCAGCTTTAGAGAAGAAGATATTTTGCTAGAGATAGTACTTAGAATCCCTAAGAATGTCAGTGATAGATACATTTAAATGTAGAATTCTAGGGTTCCATGCTACTGGAATTTAAAAATTTGGTGAATGGTAATGGTCATAAATGATATAGGATGAATAGGCATGTAGACATTCACTAGTCAGTTTTACTGTGTCAATAATGGCAGGAGTCTGCAAGAAAATTACTCTTGATATATCTGTCTCTAATGAACTGGACAGGCATTACCAAACCAACCTCTCAGCAATGAAACTTTGTGACAATGTAGCTCTGATTTGTCTTTGTTTTATCTTGTTAGCCGAGACAGTTGATAGCAAACACGTAAATGGATGGAATTAAAGCAATTCATTTGCACTCCCAGAAGGATTATTTTAACTGTTGGTATGGGTTGAATTGTTTCTCCCCAAAAAAGATACGTTGGAGTCCCAACCTCCAGTATCTAAGAATGTGACCTTGTTTGTAGATAAAGGTCTTTACAGAAGTAATCAAGTTAAAATGACCCATTAGGGTGGGCCCTGATCTAACATGACTTGTGTCTTTATAAAGACGTAAAGGGGAAATTTGACACAGAGCTAGACACACATAGAGGGAAGATGATATGAAAAGACACAGAGAGAAGATGACCATCTACAAACAAAGAGCAGCGGTCTGGGATGGATTCTCCCCTCCCAGTCCTCAGAAAAAGTCAACTCTGATGACACCTTGATTTTGAGCTTCTAGCTTCCATAACTATAAGACAATACATTTCTTTTCTTTAAGCTATCAAGTTAGTGGGTTTTCGTTACGGCAGCCCTAGCAAAGTAATGCAAACATTTCCTCTATTCCATTTTGTTAATCCAGCTGTTCATGCCAGGGCCTCCAAGTGCTTTTTAACCGGAGCGAAATCTTAGTTTCAGCAGAATGTCAAGTTGACTTATGCTAAATAGATAATAGCTTTCTAAATTCCCAATACCAAGTATTAAGATATTTTAAAATATAACTGTTGCTTTTTTCTCTCATTATTTCTGAATGTGGAAAAAAATAATCTCATTAGAAATGTTGTTTTCAAATATGTTAGCAAGCCAATTAAAATATAGGCTTCTGGGTTTTGCCCGGATGGTAGTGATGAAATTAATTATGAGCCCCATGCTCTGCTTTCTGTGAGTTTCCTCTTCTCTTAGACCAAGCTGGCAGGTCTGTTATTGTAAAAGAAACCACTGAAGGGTCATCACCAGTATGAGATGAAATCATCGATGAACGTTTGACAGTTTGTAAGGCATAGTGATGTTACTTAGATGTTTTGTTTTCTCCTTGGGTGACATGGGCAGCATAGCAATTATAGCACATTTCAAATCATTGCTTACAGGGATATGACTCATTTCACAATGCAGTACTTAGTTGGGGCCCTGGCTGTGGATAGAGACAAGTATCTTTCTGTTTATGACTTTTCCTGAATTATGAGCAAACCAGACAGAGGCTTAGGTTCATTTGAAATTTTACACTGTGTTTTTCATTTTAATGAGATGCCTGGGTAAATTCAAAACCAATACTTTACACTGACACTTGATACGCACTGACATGTCATTATGTCCTACACATGCTGGTCAGGACTTGTAAAACAGAAACACCAGAGCCATCTCAAGAGTCTCCAAATAGATATGGACGGAGTATTATGCCTGAATAGGTGGCACCTCTTTGCTTGTGCACTTGCCGTTTTTTACTGACCTTGTTTGGAGCTGAACACTGCTGCAGGCACCCTTAAATTGATGCCTTATGACAGGTTCTCAGTTGAGTACTCAAACAGCCAAATTACTATTAGTTATTTTTCCATTCTTTCTGGCCCATTCACCCAACTAATAATAGTTACTGTTAGTTCTTGACTCCACTAGTGACTGAACAGTCACTTTTTAATCTAGCGGGTTTTTTTCAATCAAAATTGTCAGATTTATGGGAAAAAAGATTATGTGAAGAATTAATTTGACATGTTTTTTTTTGTTATTCATTATAGTCAAAGGCTTATCCTCATTCATATCTTTATAAGTGTTAAAAGTGTTGCCAGATTCTCTCTTCTCCTCATTTATACCCTATACCCTACAACCCTACATGTAAATGAAATCCTTTGTGGCTTTGCGTTTCTGGTAGCACAAATGTCTGGCATGAAATACTACAATATACTGGGGCTGAAATCTACCATTTTGGGGGGCCTGGTCTGCTGCTATAATTTTCAAGCTGGTCTCCCATTCCCCAGCTTCTTACTTTCCAATTCTAGCGTGTATACATGTCAAGCATCCTGAAATCTCTTTGTCTTTGAGTGGATCTCCAACTTCAGAGCTTAGGGTGATTTGCTTCTCAATCATTTCTACCTCCACCCATCAACATCTTAGATGTAAGACTTCCCCCAGGGTTTCCTCTTTCTCTTCTTTTCTTCCTCTATGGGCAATTATCATCCCTTCCCTTGACTCTAATATATGTTGCAACTTCCACGACCCAACCTCCTCCCTAAACTCCAGATACATAATTACAACAAACATTGTTAAGTATCTTCTATGTCTCACAGATGTGTCACACTCAACATGTCCAAACCAAATTTGTTGTTTTTCCTGTAACTTCTCCTCCTCTAAAGAATATCTTTCCATTGATGGAATTGCCACTCCTCCAGTCTCCCAAAGTAGAATATCTGGCTCATCTTCAGCATCCCTCTTTTCCTCACCCTATCACATGTAATTATCATAGAAACCTATTGGTTCTCTCCTCTAAATCTTTATTGTTTCCTCCTCTTGAATCCCATCATGGCTACTTAAGTTTATGACCTTATTATCACTTGCCTGGACAATTGAAATAATCTCCTGCTTCATCTTTAGCCACTTTCTCTTTCAATCCCCCATTCACACTTTCTCCAGAGTAATCTTTCTACATGAAATCAGATCACTTCTGTCTTCTGCTCAGAATCTGGCAGGCTCTGTCATTTAATTAGCTGCTTTAGCATTGGCATAGAAATGCCTTTATAATGTCAACTTAAGTCAAATTTTACTTTTACCTCCCTCCAGGTAGAACTACATTTCTTGTGATGTTGAGTAAACCTGGTTCCCTACATACAGATTTTTTTGAAAAAATTTTTAGTGATGTTGCAAATTCTTGTTTTCTTTGTCACTGAATGAAACTACTGTATATTTACTTGCCAGGACTAGGAATCAAAATCTTTGCAGGGATCCTCAATTTTCTTTCCCTTCATACATAACCCAAAGCCACATTACATCATTACCCTAAATATTTTTCACAAGTACACTCAAGACTTTCTGTCTGTACAGTTGCTAACCTGGTAAACTGCCATTATCTTTCTCCTGGGCTCCTATAAGAGCCTGTTATCTGGTCTCCTTGTGTCTGGCCCGGATTCTTTTCCATTCTGCTGTCTGTCACACTCGCTATGTTCTAGAATGCACAATTTACCATGCCCTCCTCTTTAGAATGTCTCAAAGGCTCTCCTAAGATTTCAGGATAGGATGTAAACTTCTGAAGTTTGCTCCTGCTCTTCTCAGCTGCAAGTCTCTCCTCTGCCCTTTCCTCCCTCCTCTAAGCCTCAGCCGTGCTGAACTCCTTCCAGTTTCTGTAGTACATACCCTCTCTACGTCCAAGTCTTCCACAGCTTGGTTCCTCTCACTGAAACTCTACTCCCCTCCCTCTTCATCTGTCTAACTCCTATTTAACTTTTAAATCTCAACCAAAGGTAACTTCCTCCAGGTAGTCTTGACCATATTAGGTGCCCTTGCTATGTGCTGGTATAGCAACCTGCTTTCTTCCCCTGTTAGAGCCCTGATCATAATTTATTTTAATTACTTGTTCAATTAAGCATCTCACATTTCCCCAGCTAGAGTGTGAGGAAAGGGAGACTATCTCCCCTACTGTCATATACTAAGGCTAGCACAGTGCCTGGCAGACAGCGTGTGTTTGATAAATATACACTGATTAGTCTTCTTGTGAGACAAAAACACAGAGTACTTTAAGAAAACACCTATATAAAACATGTTGACCCAATGACTACTGAATAAATACTCTTTTCCCTGAGTGAAATGCCTTTTTTTCCCTTATCTTTATGATCAACAGTCCTTTCTGAAGAATCTGTTCAAATGCCATGTTTTGTTTTAAAATCTTGCCAGATTCTTTCATCTTCTTATTTATACCCTACAACAACCTACATGTGAATTAACTCCTTTCTGGCTTTATGTTTCTGGTAGCCAAATGTCTGGTATGAAATTCTATAATATGTTGAGATTGTTTGTTTATGTGAAACTTACAAAATGATGAGATCTAAGACTAGTGATCACAAACTCACTCATCTTCAGTTTCCAAGCATCTGGCTAGCAGAGTTCCTAGCTTGTAATCATTATTGAATCCATGAATGAATGAAGGAGTGAAGAATAAATGAGCTAGTATCAGTGCCTGAACACCTTTGTCTGGTCCTTGCAGCCCCCTCCCAACTGCCTTTTCTTCCTTCTCTCAAGTATTTCAGTTCTTAGTTCTTTGCTCCACCAAACAAATCACCTGCGGCTTTGCTCATGTGACTTTATTTTTCCCTCTGCACCTTTACACACAGCATTTCATGCACACCTCCTATTCCCCATGCCTCTTGTGCAATTCAAGTGGAAATTCCTACCCATATTCAACCTCTATATGACTATTCATTTATTTAGTCATTTTTTCCTCCTTTATCTTTTATTTACATAATTTACATTGTTCATTTGTACTTTCCATTTATTTACATTTTTTGGTGTGTTTTTAAAGGTGTTTTAAAATATCTTTAGAGATTTAAGTTTGCCAAGGGTCAGTTGTACGTTGACTAATACAACTCTCAAGACTCAGTGGCTTAAAGCAAAAACTTTTTTTCTTTTTTTATTATTACTTAACACCATCCATGTAGCATGGGTCAGTCAGGGCTGTTTTCCACTTTGCCTTACTTTGGGGCCCAAGCAGCTACTGTTTGGATCACCTCTGAAAAACAGAAAGAAAAGAGTGAAAGGGAGAGCATAGTAAATCATACACTGGCTCTTGAAACTTTACCTGGAAGTGACTCTGCTCATCTGTGAAGCAAGTCATTGTGCCACGCCTGACTTCCAAGGGTAGAGAAGTGTGATGTTACTGTATACCTGGAAAGTGTAGAAGTCTTTCATCAACAGCACTAATGATCACATAAGACTTCTATTCCCTTTGAAGGTTCCTATCGGTTCTAGTATAGAGCTTTGAACATGGGGGGAAATCAGTAAATGCTAACTCTTTGCTTGACCTGAGGTATATTCATTCCATAATTCTCTCTTGACTTGATTTTGAGTGGTGGTTCTCTTGGAGATGAAACCCAAGTTCTGCAAGAGCAAGAAAATGAACTGTACCCAAAATACAAAGGCAAAAAACACTTTAAATGCTTTAGCACTTTCTGAACTTGGCAGTGATAAAGACCTCACTAACAGTGTAGATGAACTTGATATTGTGGCCCTATTTAAAAAAAAAAAAAGCACTAAATCCTTCCAGCTGGAGATAATTGATGAAATGGCTATATCTCAAAGTTTCCCTGGCTGCCACTAACAGTGTTAAATTAGATAACTAGCAGCAGCATTTTGAGGAGATGGAAACCATCTGATACCAGAGAATAGAAAATAGAAATAGATAAAAGCATGAGAATTCTGAAAGCTATTGTGTGAGTTTTCTGAAGTTCAAGCTGTACTACCTTAAGAAGTTGGGTTGCAAAGATAATGAACATGGAAATGTCTGATCAACTGGAATATATGACATATACTGTATAGTCTTTTCACTGTGCTTCATGTGAGAGGATAAACATAGTGTGACAGAAATTCCTAAAGGTGTAGACTGTGTTTTATCCCCTGCTGTGCTCACTAGTACCCAGTAAATTGTGGTGAGGAAATATGGGGTGGTACGGGCAACACAGTGTACTGTGGTATTAACACCTTCAATTCCATCATTTGTACAATGGGGAGTGTACCTTGAAAAAAGCACCTACCTTATAGGGTTGCTGTGATGATTAAATAAGATAATGAATGCAAAAATTTAGCTCTCTGCTCAGCCCTTATTAAATAGCAGCTGTTTTGTTTACTGTACAATTTTAACTTATTCTGGTTATTGTTTTTTTTTTTTTAAAGAGAGTGCCATTTGTTCTAGTTCAGAGACTGAAGAAATAAATAGAAAAACCAAAGCATAGAGCTATTCCATATTGCCGTTTAAAAACGTGTTTTTCAAACTGTTATTTGTGACCAATTAGTAGGTCATGAAGTCAGTTTACTAGATCAGCATATAAAATAGGAGATAAAATAAAAATATGATAGTGCATTTGATTCCAAAGAATAAATATTTCTATTAAAATCTTATTTTGTGTGTAGTATGTGCCTTTATTAATGTATACATTTATTAATATATATGTATAATGGGTTAAAATATAAAATGCATTTCTTACTCTGAATTGTGGTCATAAAGTCTCAAAGTCATAATTTTAAATTATGCATAAATGCATATGGGCCTCAACTTGTGGAAGACCCTATACCCCAAGGTATACCTGAGTTGAGTTTTTCTTGAAGATCATTTTCTAGAAATGTTCTAAACCACATTTAACTTGTAGGGATACAAAATACTAAAAATGATGACAAATTGTATTATAGGGTTTCTGGGGTAAAAAAAAAAATGTGTTAGGGAATTTTCCCCCGTCCCCTTTCATCTTCTCAAATCTGGCAAGGTTCTTTTTGTAACAGCGCAAACTATAACACATTTCAAATACAAAAATGTGAGCATCATTCTGAAATCCTTAATGAAATCTGCCTGATGTAATCCAGCAGTCCAGCTAGTGTGCTGATCTATTTAGCTGTCATCATTTGATGGCCTAATCACTACTTGAGCCCCACACTTCCATTCAAAAAGCTAAGCACTTCCCAAATATAAAACAAAAGCAAGTAAAATTTAAAACGTGATATGTCACAATTGGCCTCTGAAATGCCATTTTCTTTCTTTAGACTTACAAGCCTGGGTGTCCAGGCTTCAAATTTTATAGGGCTCCTCTTCCTCAAAGGACAAAAGAGCTTGAGGAAAGCAGACCCATGCGTGTTTCATTCCGTTAGCACTTTTGAACGTACTGCTCAGTCATGGAAGGATCATGAAACACCCTTTACTGAATGCATTCCACCAACCCAAGTCTATTCACATGAAGAGAACACAACAGTCCATCATTAGCAAAATCTGCTACATTTTCCTAGCTTTCCCTGGGGGCACTGCTTTCCCTCCCAGCCTTGTCATTTGGTGCCTATTTTGTCTCACATTCCTTTTCTACCCCCTTGTGTTTTTATTGGTGTTTGCAAACCATTCTCACCCTGTCCCCGATAAAGGAAAATTGAACTTTGGATCTGATGCTCCACCACCCACATATTATCTCTTCGAGTTGTGGTTATCTGTGGAGCCCTGAGTCCCTTGTGTCTGGAGATCTTTAGTACCTGGCTCAATGTCAGTCCTTCAGCATCAGTCTTGTCAACTTTCTTGATGATGTGATTATTCTCATATATAATCCTTTCCTCTGAGTTCCTGGTCTTCTCCTCTTTAACCATCTTGTCCTCAATGCCATCTCAGCCACTCACCCCAGGCTCATATCATAGACCTTGTCTTTACTAGTAACTGTGACTCTCCACTGAAATTTTAAATAACTCTACTCCCTGGCCCTCACTTTTGATATCTTCTTTATGATATTCATGTTTAAATAATCACTGTTTGATAATGGGTTTTGTTTTATGTATCTATCAAAGGTAATTTTTTTGTACCCACATACTTCTTCACATAATCAAACTTCTTCTTCTGATGCTCTTTGGTTCTGTTTAATTGATACCGTAATGGCTTATAATTAAACTACCAAAGACAGTGAATGTTTTTTGGAATCGTTTTGCATCGCTCTCTCCACTGCTACTCCACCCTCATTTGGTTTGCAGATTCACAAACTACGCCCAACAATTTACACATTTCTAAAATCCCTATATCTGAAATTTTATCTCCACCTGTTACTGTCTTTTATCCTTTCATTGGGATCTGCAAATCAGGGGTTGAGGCACCCCTATAACATTTGCTATATTTGAGGACTTATTTGCTTGGTTGATTTACGAGACTTGGTTTTATTACTTTAATGGCTTGTTGCAGCATACACCTGTAAACATCACCTGATAAATGCTTCTTTTGTAGCAAATTAGGAAGTTACCAATTCATTGTATCATTAAATTTTTCCTGCATGTTTTTGTTCCTTTAAGAAAAATGAGAGAATGTTTATAGTTTGCAGTCTTTACCATTGCTTTTGCATTCAATAATAAAACAAATATTGAAAATCACTAACTCAGCTATTATTTGGAATAACCAATTATGGGTTCGTTGTCTTATAGTTATTTTAATAAAAATATCAGTTCAAAATATTCGGCTTGATTTTCTCATTGAGAAAGGAGATTATTTTTCACTCTGGTAGCTGCATTAATTTGTCTTTGCTACTAGAATATAATTAAGTAAATTAATTCCTCCAAGACTTTCTCTAACACCTAGTTGTGCAGATGAAGGTGCTAAGAAAGCAAAGATGTTTAAACCATGTATCCTGTCCTGCAGCTACTTACACACTAATTGATGAGATTGGGCTGAGTCAGTGGTAACCACACTGCAGGTATTTCAGATTTTGGTTAACATTTTAAATAGCATTCTTTGTGATAAACTGGTTTGTTGTTCACCAAACCAGTTTTCCCCGTCCCCTTGTGCAGTAAGCTAGATTATATTTCATATTTTCCAGATTCCCTTGCAATTAGGTGTGGACATATGACTAAGTCTCGGCCAATGGAGGACAGACTAATGTATCTCACTTTTAGATCTGTTCCATAAAACTTCCCACAATCCTCTATTCTATCTCTCTTAAACCATCTGCTGACTAGATGTCTATGCCTGAGGCTGAGAGTCAAGTATTGAAGATGGCAGAGGCTCAGTTAGCTTAGGTCCCTGAATGACGGAGTGAAGGTGAAATGGCTGCCCTATCACCCTCTGTTGAACAAGAAATAAGTCTATGTATAGTTAGGCCAGCAACATTTCAGGGTTTATCTGTTACAAATTCTAGGGTTGTGGTAACTAATACACTAAAGAACTTAGGGAGTTGATCCCTGTGCTTTTATTATATGAGAAAATAAAGCTCATACTTGAAATACATCATTATGAAAGCTAAGTATGGACTTGGTTGTACAAATGAAGACTGCCATGAAATCTAGGAATCAAAAATTATTCACTGCTGTTTACTAAAGAAGCTATGATTTAAAAAAAGTATGAGAAAAAGGGAAAGGAAATGAGGTCATGGAAGAGTCTTGGGAGTGGATGGGAGCATTCGAGGTGCAGTAAATCATTTCTGCAATAACATTTCTGGTTCTCCATGTGTTCAAGTACCCACAGCTGGGGCTCCGTAGTGACTTGGATTTACTTTTGGCTGTCCTTATTTGTTGCAAGGGAGGGTGAAATTAGTAAGGTTTAAATCAATAACTCAAAGAATGCTTAATTAAATATCTTTGTAGGAAGGCCCCAACTAATCCTGTTTTCCAGTTCTGGTATCTAGAGTTCTGTATTACTTTTATATTGGTAAGATTTTAAAACATTTACCTTCCCATCTATAATTTTTGTATGTGCTATATATAAGTTGATTTGAAACACTAAATGCCCTTATTATGTACATATCATCTACTGAAGAGCTGAGTAGTTTTACCCCAAAAGGAAAAAAATATAATCCTGTGTCATTAAATATGTGACATTTAGTGGTGAATGCTCCAAGCATCAAGAAAAGGTGGTGTCTCTTAAACTCAGTCAATAACTCATAAACTCATAATTTTATTCATACTTGAATGACTTGTTGATAAATCAGTTTGTTTCCTTTTCTGAATTTCTCCTTTTTTTGTTACTGACAGAAGAGACGTATGTTTTCATCATGGCATTCTTTTTTTACAGAAATACATATGCAAGTAATTGTTTTTTAAGAAAGAGTATATGTGGGAGGTAAGTTTTTAAATTTTTTGCATGTCAGAAAATGTCTAAGTTTTGTTCTCACACTTGATTAATAATTAACTGGTTTTAGAAATGTAGGTTCAAAATCATTTTTCTTAAGAACCTCTAAAGAATTGTGACATTGTTTCAAGCATTTGGAGTTCATGTGTAAAGAAACCTACTCCACCTTCAAATCACCAAACTTTAGATTTTCTTTTTGCATTTGAAGTTCTCAAACTTTGTCAGAAGATTTCTAAGGATGGATATTTACTCTTTGTGCTTGGCACTCAGATTGCATTTTCAATATGAAAAGAGTATGTATTTAAGCTCAGGGACACTGTCTTATTTCAATGACATTTTCCTCCTTATTTATTTATTACCTTGGTTTTCTCTTTTTGCAACTGCTATCAAATAGCTTTTGGAACTTCTGAATTATCCCCCCACAATTCTGTTTTTGAGACAGGGTCTAACTCTGTTGCCCAAGCTGAAGTGCAGTGGCACCATCAGGGCTCACTGCAGCCTTGACCTCCTGGGCTAAATCGATCCTCCCACCTCAGCCTCCTAATTAGCTGGGACTTACAGGTGTGCACCACCATACTCTGCTAATTTTTGCATTTTTTGTAGGGATAGAGGTCTGTGTTGCCCAGGCTGGTCTCAAACTCCTGGGCTCAAGCAATCTGCCCACCTTGGCCTCCCAAAGTGCTGGCATTACAGGTATGAGCCACCACACCCAGCCCATAAATCTTATTATTCATAATTTCCCACTTTACCTTTTTGCTTAATATTCTGGGAGATTTCTGTTGCAGGAAGTCAGGGACCCTGAACAGAGGGACCAGCTGGAGCCGTGGCAGAGGAACATAAATTGTGAAGATTTCATGAACATTTATCAGTTCCCAAATAATACTTTTATAATTTCTTATGCCTGTCTTTACTTTAATCTCTTAATCCTGTTATCTTTGTAAGCTGAGGATGTACATCACCTCAGGACCACCGTGATAATTGTGTTAACTGTACAAATTGATTGTAAAACGTGTGTTTGAACAATATGAAATCAGTGCACCTTGAAAAAGAACAGAATAACAGCGATTTTTAGGGAACAAGGGAAGACAACCATAAGGTCTGACTGCCTGCAGGGTTGGGCAAAAAGAGCCATATTTTTCTTCTTGCAGAGAGCCTATAAATGGGCGTGCAAGTAGGAGAGACATCACTAAATTCTTTTCCTAGCAAGGAATATTAATATTAATACCCTGGGAAAGGAATGCATTCCTGGGGGGAGGTCTATAAATGGCCGCTCTGGGAGTGTCTGTCTTACTGGTTGAGATAAGGACTGAGATACGCCCTGGTCTCCTGCAGTACCCTCAGGCTTACTAGGATGGGGAAAAAAATTCCACCCTGGTAAATTTGTGGTCAGACCTGTTCTGTGCTCTCAAACCCTGTTTTCTGTTGTTTAAGATGTTTATCAAAACAATACATGCACTGCTGAACATAGACCCTTATCAGTAGTTCTGCTTTTGCCGTTTGCCTTGTGACCTTTGTTGGATACTTATTAGTAGTTCGGTTTTTGCCCTTTGCCTTGTGATCTTTGTTGGACCCTTATCAGTAGTTCTGCTTTTGCCCTTTGTCCTGTTCCCTCAGAAGCATGTGATCTTTGTTCTGCTTTTTGCCCTTTGAAGCATGTGATCTTTGTACCTACTCTCTGTTATTACACCCTCTCCCCTTTTGAAACTCTTAATAAAAATCTTGCTGATTTGAGGCTCAGGTAGGCATCACAGTCCTACCAGTACATGATGTCACCCCCGGCAGCCCCCCTGTAAAATTCCTCTCTTTGTATTGTCTCTCTTTATTTCTCAGCTGGCTGACACTTATGGAAAATAGAAAGAACCTATGTTGAAATATTGGGGGTGGGTTCCCCCAATGGATTTCCTTGTTTATATTTTCTATGTCATTCATAACCATTCAATTTAGTAAGCATTTCTACTTAGCTTTTAATTTTAGCAGATGCATTTAATTTCCTTTTTTTTTTTTTTTTTTTTTTTTTGAGACAGAGTTTCGCTCTTGTTGCCCAGACTGGAGTGCAATGGCACGATCTCTGCCCAGCGCAACCTCTGCCTCCTGGGTTCAAGCGGTTCTCCTGCCTCAGCCTCCTGAGTAGCTGGGATTACAGGCATGTACCACCATGCCCAGCTAATTTTGTATTATAGTAGAGACAGGGTTTCTCCATGTTGGTGAGGCTGATCTCAAACTCCCATCCTCAGGTGATCTGCCCGCCTTGGCATCCCAAAGTGCTGGGATTACAGGCATGAGCCACCACACCTGGCCACAAATGTACTTAATTTCTAAGCACTCTTTCTTGTTCATGGCTTGCTCCTTTTTTGTAAATCAGTTATTCTTATTTCATTCATGGCAGAGCTTCTTAAATCTTTTTGAGATTAGAATGTCTTCAACATTTTCTTTTGTTATTATGTCATTTGGGTTTCATATAAGACCAGTGCTTATGTTTGTTCATCTTGAATTTTTTTTCATGCCCTTGGTTTTCCATAAAAACAAATATTTTTGGTTCCTTTATAAATGAATAAAGAACTGTGTTGACTTTACCAAAGGTAGCTGACATGTACTTCCTTTGCTCGTTTTAGGTCTTTTTACTCAAAGTCTTCCATGAGTGCTATGACTTTGCTTGCAGACTCTGGATATGTGGGCAGATTGTGTTAAAAGAGTAGAGTATGAGGAATGGATTAAAAAGACAGAAGCCTTCACAACAGCCAGAGGAAGACTTTGCTTTGGGCTCAAATATTTTAGCCCATTCCACTCTCTGGTAGGGGGACCACACTTCCCAGTTTGTTCCTGTTGTTATATCATAATTACTAATAGTGTCCCCTTTTACTCTCTAAAGGAGACTGATTTGGATCATAACTTATGTGAGTCACTCTCTCCATGAGTGGAGGGTTCTTCTCTTTTCCTTGGTCCAAGTCCATGGTAGAGGCCCAGGGTTACGGCAGTCTCTGATAATCTCTCTCTCTCTATTTTTAGCTCATCTTGTGTCCTTTCTAGATGAAACACACTCTTTTAGAGACTACTTCTGAGGATTCAGCTGGGGCAAACTGCTGCTACCAGCTGTCTTATATACACAGGAAAGGGGTGGGGCTATCTGCCCCAGCTGTTTCAAAGCCCTTTCCCTATGGCCCCTCCTGATTTCAGCCTCACAGCTCCCTCCTCTTCTATATACTGATTGATTTCAAATTTGAATCCTTTCTGGGGGTTTTATGGGAAAAAAGTTTTATATATTACTGTAGCCATCTTCAGCTCTCTTTCTAGTCTTTGGTTATCTTTATTCTGTTTTTCCTATCAATATAATCTCACAGACTGTGTTCCCATGTTAGTTTTCTTTTGCTGCATAGCAAATTACAAAAGTTTTAGTGTCTTGAAACAATGCCTACTTATGATCACATTTTTTGTAGGTCATAAATCTGGGTGCTGGGCTAAAGTTAAGGATGAAATTTAGGTGTTGATCATCTGGAAAGTTAGGTGTTCTCATCTGGAAGCTTGACTAGGGAAGAACCCATTTCTGAGCTCATCTGGGTTATTGGCAGGGCCCTGTGGCTGACTGCCCTGGACTGAGGCCCCGTTATCTTCCTGGCTATTGGCTGGGAGTCTCTGTTAGCTCCTAGAGGTGCTTTCATGCCCTAGCCACATGCCTCTCTCACAGCATAGTGACATGAGAATGTCTCTTTAATAAGGGCTCACCTGATTAGGCCAGGCCCACACAGGGCAATGTGCCTTCTTGTTAATCCAAAGTCAACTGACTAGGGATCTTAATTGCCTCTGCAAATCTCTTTACTTTTGCCACATAACATAACCTAATTATGAGAATAACAGTCCATCACACTCACAGATTCCCGTAGCACTCAAGGGGAAGGGATGACGCAAGGTATGGTTATTAGGTGTCAGAAATCTGGGGACCATTTTAGAATTCTGCCTACCATAGGTCCCTAGGAAGTTGATTGACTCTAAGATGAGATTCCATGTTAGACGGTCCTTAGTGAGGGCCATCAAGATGAACAGTTGTGGCCAAAAGGAAGGACAAAGCCCTGAGTGGAGGCATAAGTCAGGCTACGGAATAGTCACAATAAGGCTTCAGTCAACTCCACGGGTAGCTCATGGCTGGCTGGCATTTTAGAATTGTACCTAGTTGGGGGAAGAGGTTGTGTTTGTATAGGCTGTCTTATGCTAGTCATTGGATATGAGATCTCCTGGGAGGCTCATCTGTACAGCTGAAAGTTTTTAATTCACAACCTTCACAACAGCTGGGGGAAAGAATTTTTAGTCCTAACATGGAGTTCTGGGCTGTAGAGTACTTCAGTCATAGCATAATCCCACCTGCTGTATTTCACTACTTTGTATGCACATGCGTGTTTTCCAGTGCAATTATTTCCAGTGTTAACCCAAGATCTCACGCATCTGGTAGAAATGGAGACATTCTAAGCCTCATCAATTACTGGGTTGAAGCATGGAGTAAACTAGTTTAGGAATAGATGTTAGCAGAACTTTTATGAGAGCAGAGGTTTAACATATAAATTGTACTGCAGTAAATTAATCTTTTAGAAAATAAAGACAAATGGAGACTAATTTCTAAAGAGCCTCCCTTCCTTGCTCCACCTTCATATAATGGAAACACACATTAATAAGAGCATCAGTTTATCAAATTTGCTTGGTGTCTTGCTTCAGAGCTATAGTAATATTACCACTGTTTCTGTAGGAGCTCATTGATCTAAGTTGTTTTAATCTACTGGTTTTCTCTTATCATAAATAGTTCTGAAACAGTGAGATTGTACTTTCCTAAGCTGAGGAATATCCTGAGCAAATTCTACAGAATTCAGCCACCAGTGGATTTGCTGTGGCCCAACAATTTTTTTTATTCATGAAAATCTCAGCTATTTTAAAAATTATTTTTCCCTTTTTCCTTTAGAAGTTAAAAATAATTCTATGAGAGGTAACGAGAGATTTTATGTAACACATTTAAATGCAATTTAATGATTTCATTTTCAGCACACCTTTACATTTGAACAATTGTGTAATAGAAGAAATAACTGCATAAACTGAAAGACACATTTGAGAGGACATATTTGTTTATACAGTAAGTTAATGTGATTGCTGTAGGAAAATAACCAATGTCCCTATCTGTAGTTCTACATTAAGAAAATGATTAAGTGGACACTAAATGTGTAAGTAAATATGATCAGCTATTCAGATTCTAGTGACCTTTTGTTCTATAATATGTCTTCTCACAGTGTGGAACGTGACACAAATTGTTTTTTTTCTTAAAAGAGTGGCCTTCTCTTCTTTATTTACTTAGCATTATTACATAAAGAGTAATTCTCATGAAATAATAAGAACTTATTCTGGAATCAAATAAAAGCTACAAAGACATAGGAAAGCCTTAGCAATTAGCCAGAAAATGTAAGATGTAAATGAATTAGTATGTGGAATGTTGAAGTTGGTGGAGATTGAATCTATAGTGTGAGAATTATCTTATTCACAGGCTCCACATGGAAACAGTGATTCATGATGTGATTTTGGCAAGTATTTAAGCTGGTGCAAACATTGCTCAAAAATGTAGTAAAAGTTGAAAAGGTATTTTGAGGAGACACACAGGAAGCCTAGAATTTTCTATTGGCAATATGATCTGGAAAAATGCCAGGAAACTGTGCAAACATTTTCACATTCTTTAATTTGGAGGTTTAACAGGTGTTCAGCTTAGCTCTTTTGAGGGCTGAGGTTATGCTGTACTTGGCTGTCCAGTCTGTTTTCACATCAGCCAATAAGTAAAAAGCTCCAAGTTTTCTAAGAAAGTTTGAAATAATGAAAGGGCTCCTACTTTCTCCTTCAGTTTCTGGGCATCCAGATTTTCATTACATTCCAAGCTAGTTTCTTTGGGTAGCATACAAGAATATTCAGGCCCATGAAGAAGGTCATGTGTAATGAGACAGTGCAGTGCCCATGTCCCTGGAAGAGAAATATGCAAATTATAAGCTCCTGAGCAGCTATAGGCGGAGGATATTTTATATGGACCTCATATTTATTTCAATTAAAGGTTTTGTTAAATGTTTATTGAACAATTCAACAGATCCAAATTTCTGCCCCAATTCAGTTACATACCTCTAAGGTTTATAGACCTGTTACTAAATCTGGACTTATTCTCTTGGAAATCAGTTCCCACGGTTCTCCATGTGTATCTTGTGGTAGATAACAGGCCAATAGTTTAATGACTCCTTTGAGAGAATATCAGCCCAAATGACCAAACTCTACCTGTTTTGAGGTGACCTCAAGGCATTTCTTTGTGAACAACCATATGAGTTTATGCCAGAGTAGATCTCCCATCTGTGACAGGCTTTCTACTCTTCTGATGTAAAAGAGGACATTTTCTAATAACAAATCTTTCTGTGACTATAACTTGCCATTTAATGGATGCTTCTGCATGGTTGTGGTTCATACATCGGGGTGTGACCACAGAAAACACATCCTCTTGGTTGCCCACAGGATTGAGTTGGGTCGTGCTCAGCCACAGGACCAGGGGTGAGTAAGTCTGGTTATAGATCTGATGACTACTAATGCTTGATCTGCTACTGGCAGCTTAGTTCTTCATTAATAATAGCTGTGGTGTAAATGGCTGAAGGAGCCCAAGTAGCACACGTGATGTGCATCACTCTCAAAAGGCAGAATATCATAGGTCTAAAGAAGCTGTTCCTTTGGAACTTTGATTTATATTTGTGCAACATATATATCGCTGTTGTGAGGGAAAAAGGCTTAAAAGTTTTTTAAAATAAAAAACAAAGTAAAGTTTAAATTCTATGTTGCTGGCTCAGGCTTTGTTGACAACCAAAATTAGTTTTTTGAGGAGAAAGTAGCTAAAATACTTTATTTGGGGTTATTAAAAATTGAATTATATATGAAGTGATTCACCTTGGAATCAAACTTTATTCCCAGGTCATCCAAACAAGTATCTAAAATTGCCAAAGAAACATGATGATACAAGTTCCTGGAGACTGTCATTTAGAAAACTGACCAATAAATGAAATGAAATTTTAGGAGTTTAGAGTAGTAATAAGGATATCTATATACTTTAGGTTGTGTAAAGTCTTGCCAGGAGTTTTTACTGGACAGAAGCCAAAGCTAAGGAAAAAACCTGTCATCAGGCAGCACAATGTCTTATAAAGAACTGACTGGCAAGAAAGCAAGACACTGTATGAAGTTCCAAATGTCCTCCAAGAACCTCAGTGATCCTAGTGTAGAAGTGTTTCCAGGATTTAAGGCAAACATAGGGTTTTTTTAGGGCATTCTTTTTATGGTTTCTGATTGAGTTCCATAGGAAATTGAGTTCTGTGCCAACTGCTCATTCATTCATTCACTTATTTCTTTTTTTATTAAATATCTATTATGTTTTGAGGTCTATGACAAGCATTAGTGATACATAGTCCTGGCAATCAAGAGGTTCAGAGCATTGAACAAAAGACACATGAACTATATTTTTTTTGTGTATTTTTGAGGTATAAATAACATAAAATAACGTTCATCAATTTTAAGTGTACAATATAAGTTGGTAACTGTATACTGTGTATTAGTCTGTTCTCACATTGCTATAAAGAAATACCTGAGACCGGGTAATTTATAATGAAAAGAGGTTTAATTGGCTCATGGTTCTGCAGGCTGTACAAGAAACACGCTGCTGGCATCTGCTTGGCTTCTGAGGAGGCCTCAGAAAACTTATAATTAAGTAGAAGGTAAAGTGGGAGGAGGCATGTCACATGGCTGGAGCAGGAGCAAGAGAGGTCGGGGGAGGTGCCACACGCCTTTAAACGTAGGATCTTGCAAGAACTCATTCATTATCGTGAGAACAGCACCAAGTGGGCGGTGCTAAACCATTCATGAGAAATCTCCCCCATGATCCAACCATCTCCCACCAGGCCTCACCTCCAACACTGGGGATTACAATACAACCTGAGATTTGGGTGGGTGCACATATCCAAACTACATCAGTAACTGTTACTACAATCATGATACAGCTACATTTCTGTAGCCGCGAAAGATCCCCAGTTCCTTTTCACAGTTCATCCTCTCCCATCCACTCTATGCCAGTGGGAATCACTGTTCAACTTGTTGTCACAAGAGTTTTTTTTTCTTTTATTGAAGAGAAGTATTACTTAAATTGGTTGTGCTAACGTTTGTTGATCTATTCATCAGTTGATGGACATTAGGGTTGTTTCCAGTTTTTGGCTATTATGAATAAAGCTACTATAAACATTCACATATGGGTTTTGTGTGAACCTATGTTTTATTTCTCCTGGGTAAATACCTAGGAGTAATGATTTCTGGAAATTAGAATAAGTGTTTAACTTTATAAGAAACTTCCCAACTGTTTTCTAAAGTGGCAATACTACTTTCTCTTCTCACCAACAATGTATGAGAATTCCAGTTGCTCCCTACTACTGCCATCACCCAATAGTGTCACATTCAGTGGATGTGCCTTGGTATCTCACTGTTGCTGTAATCTTCACTTTCCTGCTAACGGGGTTGAGCATTTTTTAATGCGCTTATTTACCATTGAACATCTGCTTTGTGGAAATGTCCTTTCAATTCTTTTGCTCAATAAAAAAAAGTCAGGTTGTGTGTCTTCTTGTTATTGAGTTGTAGCAGTTCTTTATCCTGGATAAAAGTTCTTTATCAGATATCTATTTTGAAAATATATTCCCCCAGTGTATGGCATAAATTTTCACTTTCTTAATGGTATCTTTTGAAGAGCAATTTTTTTTTTTTTGAGATGGAGTTTCACTCTTGTTGCCCAGGCTAGAGTCCAATGGTGCGATCTTGGCTCACTGTAATCTCCACCTCCTGGGTTCAAGCAATTCTCCTGTCTCAGCCTCCCAAGTAACTGGGATTACAGGCATGCACCACCATGCCTGGCAAATTTTTTATTTTTAGTAGAGATGGGGTTTCACCATGTTGGTCAGCCTGGTCTCAAACTGTTGACCTCAGGTGATCCACCTGCCTCAGCTTCCCCAAGTGTTGGGATTACAGGCGTGAGCCACCATACCCAGCCTTGAAGAGTGAATGTTTTCCATTTTGGTGAAGTCTATTTTAGCAGTTTTAAAAACTGTTTATCTTTTTTGTATCCTATGCAAGAATTTTTTTCTAAACTTGGTCACAAATATTTTTCTTTTAAATTGTTTTCTAGAAATATTATAGTTTTAGCTCCTACATTTAGGTCTGTTACCCATTTTCAGTTTGCTTTTCTTTGGTGTGATATACAATATGGGTCAAGGTGTATTTGTTTCTTCTTGCACATGAATATCTAATAGTTTTAACATCATTTGTTAAAAAGACAGTCCTTCCCCTAGTGAATTACTGTCACCTTTGTCAAAAATTAATTGACCATATATATGTAAGTCTATTTCTGGACACTCTATTTGATTTCTTTGCTCTGTGTGTCTATCTCTAACACTACTGAACTGTCTTGATTATTATAGTTTCAAATGATGTCTTGAAGTCAAATAATGTGAATCCTGCAAATTTGTTCTTCTTTTCAAAATTATTTTGGCAATTTTAGATTCTTTGATTTTCCTTGTAAGTTTTAGGAAGAGCTTGTTAATTTCCACAAAAAGCCTACTGGAATTTTGATTGAGATTGTGTTGAATCTATAGATCAATTTGGGAAGAATTTACATCTTAATATTGAGTTGTTTGACTCATGAGCATGAGTATCACTCTTCTCTTTCTTAGGTCTTTTTAATTTCCCACAACAAAGTTTTATAGTTTTCAGTGTACATTTCTTACACATATTTTGTTAAGTTTATCCCAAAGTATTTCATATTTTTAAGTGATTGCAGGTGGCAGTGTCTCTGTTTTTTTTTAAATCAATTATTTGCTGGTAGTATATAGAAATAAATTTTTATAGGGATTTTATATCCTGTTAACTTACTAAAATCTACCTATTCTATTTGCTAGAACTTTCTACATGGATGATCATATCACTTGTGTAAAAATAAAGTTTTACTTTTCTATTTTAAACACTTTCTCATTTTTTTCCTTTCTACACTATGTTAAACCTTCAGTACAATATAAGTATTATTATACTTATAAGAATATGAGTGCTGAGAATGGCTATACTTCTCTTGTTCCTAATTATAGAGGGAAATTATTTAGATTTTCACCCTTAAGAAAAGTGTTACCTGTAGCTTTTTGTAGATGCCCTTTATCAAGTGACAGAAGTATTTATATAATGCTGAGGATTTTTCTCATGAATTAGTATGGGATTTTGTCAAAAACTTTTCATGAATCTGTTGAGATGATGATGGTATTTGTCTTTTTTGTTGGTTAATATGGTGAATGACCTTAACTGATTTTTTTAGTGGTAAAATAACCTTGCATTTTTAGGATGAATGCTTCTTGGTCATAATTAATTTGCTAAAGTTATATTGAGAAGTTTTGAATCTATGTTCATGACATACATTTTTCTATAGTTCTTCTATAATGTCTCTGTCTGGTTTTGGTATTTATGGTAATACTGGACTCATAAAATGAACTGGATAATATTTTTTCTGACTTCCTAGAAGAGTTTGTGTAAAATTTTTGTTTCTTTAATAAATAATTGGTAGATTTCACCAAGGAAGTCCTTTGGGCCCAGGTATGTCTCTGTGGGAAGTGCTTTACCTATAAAACTTTAAGATATATATATATATATATATATATATATATATATAAAGTATACATAAAACCAAATATATAACATATTTATAACTGATTATATAACATATATAACTTAACATACAACATATATATATGACTGAATAGATGACTATTCAGTTAATCTATTTCTTCTTGAGTGAAGTTTACTACATTGCATCTTTCAAGGCATTTATTCATTTCATCTAAGTTGTTAATTTTTTTCATTTGTCTTAAAAAGCATTATTTTTGAAAGATAGTTGAGGTAAAGAATTTAGGTTGACCATTTTTGTTTCTTTCTCTTTTTAGTACTATAAAATCTCTCTCAGCTATCTCTGTCTTACAAAGTTTCTGATAAGAAGCAAGCTATCATTCTTTTTTACCTTCACCCTACATAATGTGTCTGTTCTTCCTTTGCCTGTTTTTATGACTTTTTATTATCTCTAGTTTTTTGCAACTTGATGTGTCTTGATGTGATTTTCTTCATGTTTCTTCTGCATTGTTTTTGTTGAGCTACTTGGATCTGTGGGTTTATGGTTTTCAACAAATTTGGAAAAATTTAGCTATTATTTTCTGTGTGTTTTGGAATTGATTATACAAGCTCCTGAGTTTCACTTAATCACCATAGTTTTGCCCATATTTCCTCTCAGTCTTTCTCATCCTTGCCATGTCTCTGTTCTGGGACTCATGAGACCTCTTCACAGCAGGTCAGTTCCCTGACTACCTATAAGTCCCTCTGTGCAGCCTCTGTGATGTGGCTTCCTTAGTCCCTTTTTCTCAGTCATCACTTCTGCATGCCCTTTCACTATTCATATGCACAAATCAGCTGAAATCTTTTGCCTACTAATTGCCCCTTTTCTATGCTCATAAAGGACTGAACTCAAATGTCACTGCCTCAGAAGGCCTTCTCTGACTATCCTAACAAATATTAAACTATCCCAAGCATTCATGTTTTATGTCTCACAAAACACTGTAGCTCTCCAAATGGTCTTATTTATGTGCTTACTGCTTGTCTGTATCTCCTACTGGAACATAAGATTCACGAGGGCAGGGGTGTATTTATTTTGTATTTATTTTGACTTCATGGTCCTCAGCACCTAGCATAATTCCTAGCACATAGTAAATACTTCATAAGTATTTTCTGGTGAATCAATGAATGCATGAATCCTGAGCCTGACAGAATGCATCATAATTTGGTGTCCCTTAATTTCTCCACTGTGAACACCTGAGTTCCTTTCAAGCTTATCTTCCTATTATACCTTACCATGAATCATGATTTTGAAACTTTGCATAAGCTCTTTTCTTTCTTTATGCTGAAATTATACTTCTTTTAAGGCCTGCTTCAGATTTCATCTTCTCTATGAAGCTTTTCATGGAGGTCATATTGCTTTTCTTTTTTTTCTTTCTGTGAACTTTAACGGTGTATAGATAGTCTTAATAACATTTTAATGGTCTATTTTGTATTTCTTTATTCTTTAATTATTTCATGGTTTAGTTTTGATTCCCTAATCATCCCCAACCTTTTTGTCATCAGGGACTGGTTTCATGGAAGACAATTTTTCCACAGTGTGGGAGGGATGGGGGATCTAATGCAGATCGTGAGGCATTAGATTCTCATAAGGAGGGCACAACCTAGATCCCTCGCATGTGCCGTTCACAGTAGGGTTTGCACTCCTATGAGACTCTCATGCCGGGCTGTTCTGACAGGTGGTGGAGCTCAGGCCTTAATGCTACTCACCTGCTGCTCACCTTCTGCTGTGGCACTGGGTTCCTAACAGACCACGGGTACTACCAGTCAGTGGCCAGGGACTTGGGGGCTTCTGCTCTAATAGAATTATACATTTCTGAAAGCCAGGGATACCTATTATATCTTCTAAGAAATGTTGGTGTAAACCAAGCATTTAAGAAGATATTAATGATGCTCAGTCTTTATGTAGCTACACAAAGAATATTACTAAGTTTTTTTATGTATATCTATATACTTAGGAGACTAACAGCATAATTCACTGACTCATTCATTTATTTATTCCATAAATATTTATTGAGTGCCTTTTATGTGCTGGGCACTGCTTTAGGTGCTGAGGATACATAAAAGAATAAAATTACATTAACAACTAAAATCCCTGACCCTTTTGAGCCTACATTTTTGGGGGGTTGACAGAGAAAAAATAATTTAATAAATAAAATATATTATATGTTAGGAAGTCATATATGTAAGCAGGACCTTCAAATTTGAAGGAGATAAAAGCCTCAATAGCTTAATTAAAATGTAAGCATTAGCCCCTCAAAATCTTATAAAATGACATTTGCCTCATCTTATGTTTAGATATAGATTCTCTGGTCTGTTTTCAAACAAAGAATAACCATGTGGGGTTGAAAGAGAAAGAAAATTATTGCATTGTTTTAACATGAAATAATTAGCAAACAATGAATTTGGACTTCCTCTAATGTGATTTGAATTATCTGTGATTTATTTTGAGCCACAG
Organism: Homo sapiens; assembly: GCF_000001405.40. NCBI lineage: Eukaryota > Metazoa > Chordata > Mammalia > Primates > Hominidae > Homo > Homo sapiens. The sequence goes on from NC_000001.11 coordinate 95,569,077, forward strand.
AGATTGACTTAATGCAACTCTGAAAACTGCTAAAGAGGAAATTTTATTCTTGACTTTAAATTTTTATATCACCAGGAGATAATGTTTGTACCACGAATTGCTTGGGATATATCTGGTTTGATCGTTGCTTTCTTGAGCCCTGCTCCCCATTCTCCCATAAATGCTCTACATCTGAAATGTTAAAATAGTCCTCTCACTATACCCTTTTCCCAAAATCCACTCCAGATGGGGCACATATGTGGAGTTCTTTGTGTCAATTTTGTTCAATCTCCTCTCAGGGTCTCTGTCCATAAGGGCTCATTAACAGGCATGTAGTCAGTAGGCATGCAGGTAAAATTTTTGGTCCAGCAGCGATGTTGACTAAAAGTATATATTTTTGGTTATTTACATGGCTTAAATGTCCTCCAACTTCCCTAATCCTATCCCCTGAACAGCTTGCTGTAATTTCTTAGTCTATTTTCAGAAAGTAGCCCTTTGGAGGAAGTTAAAAATGGAGTATTAGTAATTTTTTTGTAGTGTGGACAAAGAATAAAAGAGTATTATTAGATTAGCAAATGTGTTGGTTGTAGAAATATTAATGACTATCAAAAATAAATATCCATTCATATAAAAATTCCAAATTGTGAACTAGTAGTAGACTTTAAAGCTAAATATTATATGCACTTTTAAAATGTGTGATGTAAATATAGTCTAATAACATTTATAGGATTCATATTTTAAAGGTTGGATTAATTTCTATTTGTTTTTCATTTTAATAAATGTCAAAGTATAATGTATTATGAACAATGCAGGGAATAGAATTTTTGAAATTTCCATGGCATTCATAATTTATCAGGTCTATCTGTCTTTTTTTTTTTTTTTTTTTTTTTGAGACGGAGTCTCGCTCTGTCGCCCAGGCTGGAGTGCAGTGGCGGGATCTCGGCTCACTGCAAGCTCCGCCTCCCGGGTTCACGCCATTCTCCTGCCTCAGCCTCCCAAGTAGCTGGGACTACAGGCGCCCGCCACTACGCCGGGCTAATTTTTTGTATTTTTAGTAGAGACGGGGTTTCACCGTTTTAGCCGGGATGGTCTCGATCTCCTGACCTCGTGATCCGCCCGCCTCGGCCTCCCAAAGTGCTGGGACCACAGGCGTGAGCCACCGCGCCCGGCCTATCTGTCTTTTTACTCAAAACAACTTGGTATTCTTAAAATAAAATTATAAAATCTAATGTTTTTAAGATCAAGGTAAAATATTGCTGGGGCTCAGGAAGAAAGGGAGAAGATTTGAGGCTATGTAAGATGTCTCTCTGACATTTTTCATCTCATGTTTTTGAGCATGATCGCATGTCCATTTATTCATTCAACAGATATTTATTGAACATCTGCTATATGCCAGATGCCTTTCTAAGGACTGGAGATAGAGTAATGGAAAAAATATTCCTGTCTTTGTGGACTTTATAGTCTGGAAAAGGAGCTAGACAATGGAAAGAAAATGGTAAAAGAAATTGCTCCATTAGATAGCAATATGTGCTAAGGAAAACAAGCAAAGCAAGGCAGGGGGACTGAACTTTTAAATGTGACCAGAGAGGGCTTAATTGAGAAAGTGACTTGAAGTAAAGGCTTGAAGGAAAAAGATTCCAAGCTGGGGAAAGGGTGCTTGAGGCTAAGGAAAAAATGAATGTGGGAATCCTGGGTAAGAACACATTTGGCTTGTGAAGGAACTGAAGGAGGCTGCTGTGACTGGAGTGGAGTGACCAAATCGATGAGGGTTTTCGTCAATCTCTGCTCAAGCTGCTATAACAAAATACCTAAGACTGAGTGATTTATAAGTAATAGAAATTTATTTCTCACAAGTTTAGAGACTGGGAAGTCAGAGATCAAGGTGCCAGTAGACAGATTCAGTGTCCAGTAAGGGCTCACTCTTTACTACACAGGATGGTGCCTTGTTGCTACATCGTCTCATGGCAGAAGGGCAGAGAAGACAAACTTTAGAACTAAAAGGGCTTTATAGATCATCCAGTTCAACTCCTACATTACATTTATGAGATTCATTTTTTCATGCATATATTTCTATATTCATTCACTCAACCAATATTTACTGAAGATCTATTATGCACCAAACACTCCTTTAGGAACTTGGGGCACAGGAATAAACTAAACAGATGAAAATAAACTAAACAGATTTTCTTCTGTTTAGTTTATGAAGCCTATTGATTTACTTTGGTGGTGCGATCTCCATCCCCTGCAATTTACCACTCAAATCACCCTTCTTCATTCTATACATTGTAACATGAAGACAAATCACACGCAGACCAAGTTCTTGAGCTACCCTGTCTCAGCAAATGTTTGGTATTTGGTAGGAATTAATGACTCACTCTGTATATACAGGGTATCCAAGATATGCAGATTTGGGATATATGGATTTTGCTATGGTTTGAATATTTGTGTCCCTCCAAAATTCATGTTGAAACTTAATCCCCAGTGCAGTAGTATTAAGAGATGGGGCCCTTAGGAGGTGATTAGGCCATGAGCACTCTGACCTCCTGAATGGGATTAATGCCTTTATAAAGGAGCTTGAGGGAGTAAGTTTGTCCTTTCTGCCCTTCTGCCCTTCTTCCCTTTTGCCAGGAGAAGATGTAGCAACAAGGCACCATCCTGGGTAGTAGAGTGAGCCCTCACTGGACACTGAATGTGCCTGCTGGAACCTTGATCTCTGACTTCTCAGTTTCTAAAATTGTGAAAAATAAATTTCTATTACTTACAAATTACTCAGCCTTAGGTATTTTGTTATAGCAGCTTGAGCAGACTAAGAGATTTTAATAAGATGAAGGCTTGAATAGTTGAAATTACTTGCGATGATCTATTTCCGACCTACTTGATGGATTCTCTATGGTCAATGGTATCAGTAGGCCAGTTGGGTGTCTAAAAGATTCAGTTAAATTGCAGATCCCTGAAAATTTGTGTGCGTGTGTTTTTTCCCCTTTGGGGATGCATGCTACTAAGACATGTAAAATTCTTGCCAGTTTCTGCTCATAAGCATGATTTAATCAATCTAATTGACATTGTGATATTCTGTAAAATGTAAAGATGAGTAAGACCTTTGTGTGTTAGATTGTGTCAGATAGTGACTTAGCCCTGAAGCAAGATTGTGAAGGTACATTGTTATCCCTGCTAGGTAAAAACAAATTACTTTTTTGTGGGACTTGCAATTTGATAGGGATGAAAAGGCATTTGCCAGACCCATAGCTACATAACAGAATCCAGAGGCGATATTAATGTATCCGTTTAAATATATTATATCTGGTGCAGCTGCTGCAATTGGAATTGCCTCCTGATTAAATTTACAAGAACCCATGATCCTTTTGCCTTTTACACAGGCCAAAAAGAGAATCCTTTTGCCTATTAAACGGACCAAAAAGGAGAATTAAATTGGACCCACCCTTCTGGAAGGCTTAGAGGACTATTCCAGAATATAATTTTGGCAGTGTTGAATGAGCCTTTGCAAAGACTAAGAACTCTGATCTCATGAGCTTGCTTAGGGCTGAGCTGGGTGAAAAGTTGTGCTTCACCACTGTGGTGATCCATGTCAGATTTCTGCTTACTAAACCTATAAACAGCTCTTCTGATTATAATTATATTGTATATAATCATGATTTAGTAGGTTGCCTACTTGTTTTATTGAAACCTCGTGATCAGTTAGCCACTACTGACTACTTGCGGGTCAAACATGATTGCTTATTATGGTAATTATGCTTACCTTGTTTTTAGTGGTTAAATGCTGCTATTTGGCCCCTAACATTCCAGAATTCTACCATCCACTTTAAAATCAGGAAGCCCATTTCAATGGTGGCATTTCCCACTACTATCCCTAGCTTACCAAAGACAGCCACCAGCCACGGGGCTCTTCCAGGAGGTTAACACACCCTCATTAATGCCTTAGTGGAGGGAGGGTACTTGGACTCTCTCAAGGAACACAGTGGGGGTGGGTGTTCAGGTTCTCTGAAGTGTTCCTATCTTTCTAAGCTTTCAGTCCTTTCTTCTGTTTTATGCCAAGGAAGTTCTGACATCTCATCACGATTGAATTGAATTGCCTTTCAGTCTACATGTCAGATAATCAGCCAGCCTGCTGGAAACCCGCACAGTTCCTTTATTCTCTGGTCAGGTAAACCGTAATAATACATTTGATTTGATCCAACATTATATTTTATCCTTCTGGGTCTCATAGCCATAGAAACCACTCTCACATCTATTTATGTTCTCACCAGACTTCCATTTAAAGAATGTTTAATGCTAAAATAAATTTAGTAGACACAATTAGGAATTTAATGGAAAAAAATTAGAAACTAGCAAGTGGGTGGCATTTTTCAATTCCTCTTCTGATTTATAAGCTTCCATCTGGTCTGTCCTTTTCTTTCCTGGACAGACTGTGAGGAAGGCAGAACTTGTCTTTGTCTCTGTCTTACTTTTCCTTTTAGGGATTTTCCTTATGTTTTGGCCAATGTATATTTTGAAAATCTTGCTATTCTTTTGGAGTACAAACTCTCTTCCCCCAGCTATGACAGGCCACTTTTCTCTTTGGAGCAGGTTGAGATCTGACTGTCATTATAGGTCTTGAGGCAGTGAAGGTAGTGGGGAGAATAGGCACCCTTTGTGAAGGCAGCAACCTTACATGAGGTTATCACAAGATATTCAAGAAAGGGGAAGCTACTCTTTTCAACATATTGGGGGCCGCTTCTGCTGACAAGTGAGGCACAGGGATATTAGATTGAAAATACTCAAACTTGACTGAGTCTAACAAAATGTCTTCCTCTCAAGTCTTAGGCACCTATTCCTTCCAAATAATGTCTGAACTTTCACACAGAAACTTAGTCCATCTGTAAATTCATCTTATATTGTAATCCTGCAATTCACATGATTGTATTTTGGGTTTGATTTTTAGTCATATCTGCTTTATGACTCCAGAAAATAAGAGGTTCTTAAAAGTTACCAAAGACATTTTCTGGTACTCTATGACTGATCTCAGTTCTTGTAGTTGTGCTTATTACTGTAACTGTCAAGTTCTTCAGCCACTTTGTCACTCAAAGTCTTGCCTTCAATAGACAATTCATTCCAAGCAGCCACAGATAATAATTGAAGTCATCTTGATACAATTGCTTGCTACAGATTAACAGTATCCCATTTGCTATGAGCAAAGAGATTATAGCTATGCTCAAGTTAAAGAGGTAAATAACCTAATTACAGAATCCTATCTTTGAGGATCAGTTTCCTGGGACCATTCATGGTACCAAGTACTCTATCAATCAAGGTCCAGAAACCAACCATGATAGATATTTCAAAGGAGGACTTTAATTGAAGACTTGATCTATTATCTGTTGTGGTATAACCAGTTACATCAGAATTTAGTGGCTTAAGACAATAAACATTTATTATCTCACAGTTCCTGAGGTTCAAGAATCCAGGAGCAGTTTAGAGTCTCTCATCAGGTTGCAGTCAAGCTGTTGGATGGGACTGGAGTCATCTGAAGCATTGACTAGAGATGGAGGATCTGCTTCCAAGATGGCTCACTCACATGGCTATTGGCAGGAGGCCTCAGTTTCTTGCTGGCAGTTAGCAAAAGGCCTCCAGTCTCTTGCCACATGGTCCCCTCTACAGGGCTGTTTGAGTGTCCTCATGACATAGCAGTTGACATCCCCCAAAAAGAGTGATCTAAAAGAGAGAGAGAGCAGGAGGAAGCTGTGATATCTTTTATGACCTAACTACATACCATCACTTCTATTGTATTCTACTCATTGGAAGCAAGTCACTAAGTCCAGCCCACATTCAAGGAGAGATGAATTAGGGTCCATCTGTTGGAGAGAAGAATGTCAATAATTTTGTGATATATTTTAAAACCATCACACACTGGTTTTGGGAGGCTGAAAGAGCAAAAGGGGAATGCCATTGTGAGCCCAATGTCGGTACCTGTGGTAAGTAGCTACTACTGGGGATGAATGAATAAAAGGGTGCTGGTATATCTAGGAGCTCAGGGGATTGATCTGTGTGCCAGTTCTTTGACCTCAGAGTGACAGGTATCCTGCAGCTGTTGGGGGGATCTCTAACGAGGCTGCCATGTGGCTAGTGTTCAGACTTCTGACGGAGAGATGATATGAGGCTGGTGCTCTATGAAAAGGGCATGGTGTCACTAGTACTCTGTCACTGAAGAGGCACAGCAGGCTGGTGGTTGTGTCTCTAAGGGGTGAAGCATCATTGGTACTGTGGCTGTTTTCTGTGGTTGGAGGGAAATGTACAGGAACTGTAAATAGAAGGGAAGTTTATTCTTTCCTCCTCCTGTCTTTCAATTTTACACCAGTCCCTTTCATTGACAGAGGCTAACAGGAATCCATCTGGCAAGGGAATATTGAAAATACAGTACAAAGGAGCGGAGTATGGATGGGTCGACTTGGCACTGAGAGACAATAGGTAAACAAACTGGCACAACATGATTTTCTTTTATGGGGTTTTTTTTGTAGACACCACTTTTTAAATCACCCTTTTAAATTCTTGCCATTGAACGAAGAGGGTGATCATACCTGGTTCAGATCCCTGTACTACCTCTTCCCTGTAAGTGGCTGGTCCCTGGTATGAATTGGATATTCTAGTATTTTAAAAGTACCCGAGATATGCAGATTTTTGATTGATGGATTTTAATGGGAAGAAGGCTTGAAAGTTGAAATCACTTGGTATCATCTACTTCGGACCCCCAGAGACCAATTGGCTACGTGGGAATGGAGGCTGTACATAGGTTGGATAGCTAGAAGTCTCCTTCAGGTCACTCCTAATGGTCCATTCTCTCTTTCTACCCCTCTTCCCTGTTTGCTTGGCAAATCTGATAAATATGCTCTAGTTTATAGTTGTTCTATAAGATTTGCTCCAGGCCAGAGCTGGACCAAGTGACTTCCTAAAGGTTTGCAGCTTTGGAATTGGGCAGTCTTAAATTTCTGTAAAAGAATATTGTCATCACATGAGTAGTCCAGAACCTCATTTTTCCCCAGATATGCTTTGGGCAAAGATCACCAAATGGGCAAGTTCTTCCCACTCCCTCATGTATCATCCATTCAATCCCACCTGTTTTGCACATCTTGGACAGGTTTTGTTCCCAGTCTAGACTCTTAGAGCCACCACTGGGAACTCCAAGCTGTTCTGAGATTTGGTATCCAGGGAGTGTCTGCAGCCATGTGGATAGAGCAGCTTAACTAGATTCTGCTATGTTAGCTTCTACTCATTCTCTCTTTACTTTCTCACCAGACTTCCATTTAAAGAATGTTTAATGCTAAACAAAAAATTAGTAGATGCAATTGGGAATTTAGTGGGAGACATATTAGCAACTAGCAATTGGGCAGCATTTTTCAATTATCTTCTGATTTATGAGCTTTCATCTGGTCTGCCTTCCTTTTCCTGGCCAAATTGTGAGGAAGGAAGAACTTGTTTTTATCTATGTCTCACTTTACCTTTTAGGGATCTTTCTTCTTCCCTGCCTAGTGGATGCTATTTTGTACCCCACTCTGATAGTGCTTTTGTGATAGGATAACCTGATGAAATTCAAACTTCTCTGAGTATCCATTTCCTTATCTGCTTATTCAATTGACTAGTCACCTCCTCTCTTTGGATATCTAATAGGTACTTAACATTTAAAATGCCCCAAATTGAGCTCCAGATTATCACCATTCCCCTAAATGTACTCTTTCCTCAGTTTTCCCATTTCAGTTGATGAAAGCACCATCCTTCCAGCTGCTCAGGCTAAAAATCCCCCACAGTTATTCTTCTAATTTTTTTTCTTTCTCTTATTTCTCATAATCAAACTGCTAGCAAATCTTATTGGCTCTACTATTAAAATATATCCAGAATCTGCCCACATCTCATCAGCTCTTATGACTAGTTCTCTAGTCCAAACCACTGTCACCTCTCACCTTGATTTATGCAATAACCTCCTGCTGTTTTATCTGCTCCTATCCTCCCCAACTTCAGTCTATTCTCAACATAGAAGCAGAGTGATCTTTTAAGAATGTAAGCAGAGCATGTCACTCTTCTGCTTAAAGCCTTCCAATTTCTTCCCATCTCACTCATGGTAAGCACCTGTCTTTATGTGGCTACAAGGGCTCTGTGATGATCTGGTCCCTCACTTGTCCTTTGAAAATCTTATCTCCTATTCTCTTCCCTTTTCCCCATTCTATACTTAACTCACTGTACTCTTTTTTTTTTTTTTTTTTTTTTTACAAATCAGACAAATTCTTGATCACTGTACTTACTTTTCTCTCTGCTTAGGATATCCCTTTTGCTCAGATATTTGCACAGTTTGCTTCTTCCCCTCCTAGTCTTCTCTCAAATATCACTTTCTCAATGAGGACCTCCTTGATCACTGTTATTAAAACTGTAACCATTTCAACTTCCTTCCTAGCAAGTCTTATCCCTCTTCCCTATTACATTTTTATTCATAGCACTAATCAGCATTTGGCAAACCCAAGCAATCAGGTAAAAAACACATTTTACTTATGTATTGTTGGTTGCATGTCTCCCTCCATTACCATGTAAGCTACATGAAGGGTTGGATTTTCATCTGTTTAGTTTATTCCTGTACCCCAAGTTCCTAAAGGAGTGTTTGGTGCATAATAGGTCTTCAGTAAATATTGGTTGAATGAATGAATATATAAATATATGCATGAAAAAATGAAGCTCATAAATGTAATGTAGGAGTTGAACTAGATGATCTATAAAGCTCTTTCAGTTCTAAATCTATGAAGGTGAGGCTCAAGGTGGGGTTCCTTCTGGGCTGTGGTAATAGGCTATATATTTAACATCTGGTAATAAACTAGAACTGAATAATCAAAACCAATGCCAGCTATAAAAAACAACCCTGGCCTTACTGATCATGTATATAAGCAAGATACCAACCCTGCTTCTACCTAGGAGTATTTGCATTTTAAAAGGATTCTCTTAAAAATTGAGAAGCCAAAGGTTATCATTTTTGAATAGAAATTTCGGCATTCTAGCATGCCAGTAGTAGGAAATATTTGACAATTCATCTCACCTGCAGAAAGTAGTTCTGTTCTGCACTCTCATAAGGTGAACCCTGATTTTATGTAAATCTCAGAGATCTAAACATACTAAAAATAGATTTTGTGTGATGTTTCTTCCCTGGGTTAGTAGAATTTTCTCTGCCTTAGTTTAGTTGTTGTTCAGCAGTTGAGTAAAAAAAAAAAAAAGAAAAAAGCAGTTTTTAGTTTTAAGTCCTTAGGAATATATTTTAGAAGGTTGACACTAAGAAGGAAGCCCCCAAGGAGCTCTCAATAGTGAAACAATTAGCCAGCAAGGCCATCTCTTATCTGTGTCAGCATTTGATAGTGGTATAATACATACTGACTTAGCCTGCTGTGGGCATTGTTATATTAGAGAAAAAATATATAAAGAAGGATTGCATTGAGAATAGTGACCAAATCTTCAGTTCACTGGCAAAGAATAAAATGACTCATCTATTTATTCATTTAACAAATATCTATTGAGTACTTACCATATGCCAGACAATAATCTAGGCGTTTGTGATACGTGAAACTCCTTTTCCTGGAATAGGTTGTGTAATTCATTCAGTCAACGTTGATTAAGCACCAGATGTGTGCCAGATACTGTGCTAGGTTCTGGATATGTGAAATACAGTGATATGGTCTTTGTCATTAAGGAACTTTCTCTCCAGGAGGAGGAAAACAGGTTTTAGATATCTGGACAAAGTGCAGGAAGAGAACACAAAGGATGTTCAGTTTTGTCTCTGGAGTCTGATAAAATAAAGAATTCCTAGGGAAAGGGGTGTCTGGAATGAGTGTTGGTAAATGAGTGGGTATTTGTTAGGATAGGAGGTTGGGGATAGGAGGTCGGCTTTTCAGACAAAGGGATCCACTAAGAGAAAAGCCAGGAAGTTATGAAACCACACAGGAGAGTCAGAGAGTTGTAAAAATTTTGAGGTCAAGACAACTGCTAGGCTAGATAATTTAGGGTCTTCTATGTCATTTTAAGAATTTTACTCTTTTCTCTATGAACTGTGAAAAACCTTTGAAGGATTTTAAGAAGGAAGGTTACATGATCTCTCTTGGATTTTAAAGATCACTGTCACTTTGGTAGCATTTGGAAAATGACTTAGAGGAAGTGAGATGAGAGCTCAAGAGACAGTTGGGTGACTATTTCCAAGTTTAGATAAAAGGTGAATGCAGGCTGAACTCTGGTGATAAAAGGAGGAAGGAGAGGAGGATGTAGGTATAAGAAATGATAACGATATAAAATTGAAAAGGCTTAGTTAATGGGTCTGGGAGACAGAGGAAGGTAAGATAAAGGGAGGATTAAAGAATAGCTTTTTGCTTTCTGACTTTAGTAAAGGAGTAGGTGATGGTGTCTTCAACAGAGAGAAGGAAAGATAGGAGGAGAGCAGATCTGACATTTCGGAAATGAGTTTGGCTTTGGAGTTGACTGTGTGGTCTGGTTAGAGCTCCATAGGTAGTTCACCCACATAAGTGGTCAGTAGTTAACCTCATAGGCATTGGTAAGCTCAGGTGGAAGGTGTTTATAAATCAGAAGAGTTTGGAGATCACTGACATATGAGTGAGATGATGAGAAGTCTGCTCAGATACCTTCCCTGAAGGACTTTCCAAACCTTTACACCAGAAATTGGTTCATCATCTGAAGTGAATCTTTTTTTCAGTTGGTGTGGTTGAATCAAGGTCCAAAAAATGTAGCCAAAGAAAGGGGAGTGGTGTAAAATGATGTAAGGTGCTTCCAACCAGTCAAGTCCATGGTTAAAAGTCAGGGGAGTCTGCCTTAGCTGAAGTGATCATCTCCATATGACTTGAAGGCACGGGACAAGAGCCGACTAGGACTTGGTAGTCCTCATTCACTTCCCTTCTTTTCTGGTTGAGACTTAAAATTCAAGCCTAAGAATTTATTCCTTAAGCTTCAGACTTTGACTACAGTTAATATCTATATTCCCTTACTAAGTGATAGGGCTTAATATTTTGTCAATTATATATATTTTTAATAATAACCCAGTTTCCATGATTTGCCTCCAAAATAATTACTTCCATATCTGTGGCCCCATAACACTTGATTAATACCTCTGTTATGGTTCTAATCTAATGCTATTCATATTATTCTTTCCATGACATTCTCTATCAGATTATGTCTGTGAGGTCAGAGACCTCATCTTATTCATCACTGTATCAACATCAAAAATAGTAGATGTTCAATTAAATTTTTGAGTGAATTAATAATCATTATGAAAGTAGTACCTGATTGACCCTTTAAGTTTCAAAATACTTTATCTATTTTGTAACAGTAACATGTGCATCCTCCTTAGGAAGTAAATCTCTTTATTATCCCTATTTAACACATGAGGAATATGAGCTGAGAAGATTTCATGGCTCGAACAAGGTTACACAGCCAGTAAGGGATGGAACCTGTGTTTTTTCATACCAATTCCTTCCCTTTTCACTCTGTATTGGTGAGCCTCCCCTTCGCCCACCCCATAAAAAAGGCTCTAAAAGGGGAGAAGACTAAGAGCACTGGGCCCTTCTGAGAAGCATGGAGTAAATGAGGTTTTGTCTCAGAACATGGAAGCTGGGAATAGAAGTGAAAAACTACATCCACTGCCAATTTTGTCTAGAGTAGCATTGAAAGCTAACATCTTATAGAGACACTACTGAGCTCAGATTTCCACGGAGGACAGGTCAGCAGTAATCCTGGCATTATGTGCTCTCAGGCCTGTGACCACGACATAAATGCCAGTGAAAGAAATCTTACAGTCAGTTTGTGAACTCCATTTGAAAATGCAGGTGTGGTTGTAAAGAGCCAGGAATACAGGGAGTTTGAGTTACAAGGGCAGATGTTAAATATGCATCTTAAGAAAGGATCATTGGGGTTTATAATAGTATTGACCGCACTCCAGTTTTATTTTCTCATTTCAAAAAAAGGCTTCTGTTGCCATAAACTCCAAGTGTACATTTAAAAAAATTCAATGTTAAAGGGAAATAAATGTTATTCATAGTGGCAGAATTCAGTAGGCTTTAATAATGGGCCAGGTAAAGTGAATTCTTGGAAAATAAGTGCTCTGAGGGTTACATGAGTCTAATTGAGGGTGGGTGCTCTACCATTTTGGGGGCAAGAGCTCTTTCACTTAGGCTCTGTGGGGTAGGGTATAAGATGGGGTTGAACAAAAAGAAGGAAGAAGAAAGAATATAGTAAGGACAAGATTTCTGATTTCTAATATATTTATAAATTTAGCTCTCCCTCTCCCAACCATGTAATGCCATGTCAGTTGGCTGATCCCTTTGGATTAGTCTTTCTGGCGCTCTGATATGCTGGTGTATGTTGTATACCATAGCCAAGATTGTAAGCTGCCTGTGAGTAAATGTTAATGCCTTCTTCTCTTACAAAATTCAAATAATTGGAATTTGCCACTGTGCTTCCTGGTGTTTACGTGTGCATGAGGGTCTCTGACAGGGTCTCTGAGACATCTCTATTTGCATGTGTAATAACTTGTTGTAAAATCTTTGCATTCAGTTGTTCAGCTGAATCTCCCAGGACTTTCAAAGATCTTTGGGAAAGGGAATGCCATTATGTGCAGTCATTAGCCCCATAAAAGAAGTCACCAAACAGTGTCACCTCATTTCTTCTTCCCACCACCCTTGCTTCACCTCCCTGACAATGGTTTCTAGGCACACACCTCCATTCTGTTCTTGCTTCTATTGGTTTCTCCTTCATCACTCGTCAATAAGAAACAACAACAAAACCCAGGCATTTGGCCAAATGACCTTTCCACCTGTCTTATCTTTCTGTCTGATTTCATTCTATGATGACAGAATGGAAAATCCTTGAAGGCAGGTGCTATACTTATTCATAATTTATATTCAAGACCAGGCATCTTTTAGATGTTTATTAAATTTTATATAAAAGCATTAAAAAACTTTGATGGAATGACCCTGGAAATACTTTATCTTCTCTTTTTATTTTCTTCTTCTCTTTTAGTGGCTGGTAGAAAAAGGAAAAGGTTGGGGGGTAAGTCATTTAGATGGGGAAAGACATTTCTCTAAATGTCAATACTTATGAAACACCATTTTAAACCTTTATAAATGATTATCTTCCTCAGTACTGATGAGGCAGTTTCACATTGCTGCTCAATTTATTTACTCAGGAGACCAATTTATTTCACTACCTCTGTACTAACTGTTTGCATTGACATCTAGGTCTGCTTTGAGCAAGCAACTGTGACAAGTTGTTTATTGAACTGTAAACAGGTATTGTCTGAAGCTAAACAATGGCTTTATCTAATTAGGAGACCCTGGGCATCATCTTAGCCCCATGCGGCTATCCTAACCCAGCCTAGCATCTCCTGCAGACTTCCCATGCCTTTTAAAATCTTGCTCACAGTAAAACCCTTCATCACAAAATGAAGAATAATCCTTATTTTGTCCTGTAACTGTACATACTGGTGTTTTGTGCAAAAAAAGGACTGACTGCAATAAACTGTGTTAAGTGCGGCCCAATTTAGAATGGTTGAATAAGAAAAGGAAAACATGAATGAGATATAAAAAGAAAAAGATGAATAAAGATGAACTGGGTCTGTTGCCTAGGCTGTATAAAGGCCTTGTATAAATTAGAAAACATTTTCCTACCAAAAGGGAACCTAGTGAAATGATGGCGATATGAGTTTTCAAAACAAAAATACAGGTATGATTATGGAAAGCATAATAGCAGAGCTGAGGGAGGAACAGTTAAGTTTCTGGACTCAGATTGAAATGGAGCAGGTACAAAAGCACTTGGGAGGCCTCATCTTAGCCACCATCGCTTTGTGTCTGAAGATGCTAATTGAGCACAGCAATCAATGTCTTTTGTTTTTAGCTGTCAGCACTTTCCTGAAGGGCTTTGCCCAATACTAGAGGGAGAAACTCTTAACGAAGCTTCACTTTTCAGTAGCTATTATTATTACAGTTTCCTCTTGGAAGGAAAGAATTAATTGCTGTTTTGAAAAAAAAGTCACTGCAGTGAAGTTTTCAAATGTGAGGCCAAACGTAGATCACTTTCTTAAAAAAGGAAAAAAAAATTGGCCAAGGGCTACCCCACTGCTATACATTACAAAGAAAAAGCCTACATAAAAGTGAGCAGTGCGATGAGGTATTTCTTTCAGTTGCATATAGACATTATGTTTATTTTATCATAAAGCCAGATTTTCACATTCCTTTTGTCTCTCCCCAGGCATTGAGAGTTGCTTTCTTGGTTGCTTCCTTAACAATTTGTGTAATTGGTTTCACTCACTGAGGCCCAATTGGTGGGTTCATTGTGAGTGTCTCATGAAATATGAATCTATTTAAAAATTAATAGTAAATCAATATTAATTCAATAAAATATTTTAATCTGAGGTATAAATATTTTATACCTTCACACAGACATGCAGATTTCAAAAGCCGTTTTCATGTTTCTGACAGGCTGTCCAGTTTTGCCACGACGACATTGAAATTATTCCTCCTCACACCGTGTGCCAGCTCTGGGGTCTCTCAGGAAGAGCTGCCCAGGTCAATGGTTATGTTTATTCAAACTGCTGAAGGAATGCAAATGAGATGCTTGCTGCAGAAGAACACAGGAAAGTTTACCTTGTTTAATCGAGTTTATAGTTTCTCGTGTCCCTGCCTGGAATAGACTGAAAGGGAGTCTCATGCAATCTTAGAGGTTAATCCTTGTTCACACCAGGTTTGACTTATATCAACCCTGGCATGCTGTGGCACCTGAAGGCTTCCCTGACAAGGGGCTTGAAAGAGATGGACTGCCACCGATCTAGTGGAAATGAGCCAGTTGCACCTAGCTGATAAAACCAGAGATTTACTGGAGCAGACAGGCCAGAGCTTAAACAGGCTTCTTTCTCTATTGAAACCCCTTCTGTCACTTGAATCAGTCATCTTCCCTGTCAGGCAGCATCAGCTAAAACAATAGAGTGGCGTCTGAGTTTAGCTGAAAAAAAGGAGATGTCAGATAAAAGATAGGAGTGTGTTATTCTGATCTGTGTGGTTTGGTCCACTTGATGTTCTCTGCTTGAATTCTGAGAGGGTGGTTCCTACTCCAGGTGCAGAATAAAGCCATAAAGACTTTAGAGCTAAGGTAATGATAATGAATTAGGAGGGGAAAAATGGTTTCAGTACTGATTCAATACAAGAAGTGCTAGGTAATGGCTAAAACAATAATTTTCCTCCTGTTGGGGTTTCTACCTTCATTTGTCTTTAATATATCTGTGCTACCTGATGCCTAAGCTATATTGGTAGACAGAAATAAGCTCCCAAAGAAGAAAATGTAAGCTGAACGCATTAAAAATTCATTGGCTATGGTTTCTTCCTCAGGGAGTGATGGCAAATGAGGCAATTGAATTACTCAATGTTTCCTGTGCATGGCCCAAGCCCTGGAGAACAAGTCTACACAGGTTAGAATAGCCACAAACTGGGAAGCGAATGTTATGAACATAGTGGAGGATTTAAATAAGATACCTAACAGACAAGACTTGAGTCCTTCACATCTCTGCGGGTCTGCAGAGCCGTGCATAGAGTCTTGCATGTAGTAGGCCCTCAACATACATTTTGCTGAAGGGATAAATATTTATATATTCATCTTTGACAGTTAATTTAATTTGCCTTTGCAGTGTTCTCTGGACACAAAGTAGGTGTATTCCAAAATTGTGCCCTAGAATGATATATATGCTTAACTTTTCAGAAATTTATTGTTGTATTTTTATTTTAGAAGAGAAGGTTGCAACTTTATAGAAACATATTGCTGCTGCTTATTGAAGCTAAGGGAATGTCGCTGCATCAATCAGGCCTCATGGCAGGGCTCTCTTTTCTGTGTGTGGGAGGGCACCAGGAACAAATGTTTCTTTTGAGGTGTCCCCTGGCACTGATAGCACTCTCCTCTTCCATTTTCCCTTATCTGGTAAGCTGCTTTATTTCTGAATGTATCTGAGTGAGTTCTCTGGTCTTCTTTCTTAAACCTATTGAGTGGGAGGTGTGGATCAGTATATGTGGAAAGGGCTTGAGTCTGTTGCTAAATCAAGAGGGGGTCTTGATAGGTTGACCAACTGTTCTGTTTTGCCCAGGGACTGTACTAATTTTTGTGCTGAAATTTCCACATCCTTGGAAATCCCTGAGTTCTAAGCAGAGATAGTTGGCACTTGATATTTCAGGTCTTGGACTTTTATGTTGTTCTGGGTTTCAAGTAAATGCTGAACTCCTAGAAGTTACATGGGTTTGAAGATTGAGAAGAACTGATATGTTTCTGATTTTTCTAATAATAATGTGTAAAATGACAGTTGTATAGTTTAGAGATCACCCACCTGGTGGTCTTTGCAAGCTCCATTCAGACTCACAAACCACATTTAGAATCCGTTTACAAGAAGGATCTAGCTTAGGAACTACAGCTTGACTGGCAGAGTGGGGTCGGCAGTTCTCTTCTGTCAGAGGACAGGACAGCTTAGTGGTAGAGCCAGGTTTCAAACCCAATGTCCTTGCCTTGCTTCTAACCACTCTGCTAAGGGGCACTCTGCAGTTAACAATGATGGAGGTGGTTAAAGTGTGCTCACTTTTATTGGAGTTGTTGATTCGTGTTTTCCCAGTCAATCATGACTCCTTTAGAGGCAAGAATCTGGCCTCATTCCACCTTGCATTCTCCCTGGGACCTAGTGGCTTTTGTGGTGTAGGGCAGTCTTTTGGCTTCTTGGGGGGTTGCCTAGCATCCTGGCAGTGGGTGTTGGTATATAAGAACCTCAAAGTTGCAATGCCTTCCTCCTCACTTCCCCCTCCTCTCCATCTTCATTTTCCTACCACCGCCATTGGAGTTCACCCTGTCTGTCTCCCATGGAAAGTGGGTGGAGGAAACTTTATTATTTACATGGGGATAAAAAAATCAGGTCTTCCTAATTCTTGCTGTGTGGGTGTCTAGGTGTGTGCACACTTTTGTACATAGAAAAGACGAGGGAGATATAAAGCCTTATTCAGATTTATGTATCCTTTTATGTAGACAGATTTTAATACTCAGGAACTTGTCTATTTCTTCCAAACCACCCATATTTACTGAGAGGACAAAAAATTTATTGCCCTGTTGCCTAAAAGCAGCTGTTCCAGATGTGTGAAGAGAGGCCATATGCAAACATCCCAAAGGTATGACACTTCAAAGGATGACACTTTATTTAATTGTAAATGTTTAGATTTCTGAGAATTTAATTTCTTTCAAAGTAGAAAGCAGTATGGCATATTAGGAAAAACCAGAATGGTGTAAATGCTAGTATTCTGTGATCTTAGCCAGAAAAATTAAGCTTCCTGAGCTTTATTTTCTTCAGCTAGGAAGTGGCATAATGTCTACCTTGTAGGATTTTTGTGAGGTTTAGGTAGAAGTATTGTTTCAAGTAACAGTTTCTGGCACATCATGATGACTCTAGAAATGGTTGCTATTAAAAGTAAGACAGAATTTAGTTTAGTTTAAGAAAGTGCTTTCAAGTATTAGCACTGCCTAACAATGAAATGGGCTCCACATCATTGAAGGCGTTGAAAACAAGGCCAAATCATTATCTCTCTGGGAAGCAGTAGAGGGAAATTCTATGCAATGTAGAGATTTCCATTATTTAATAGATCATATAAAGAGTTGAGAAATTCTCACCTAAACTTCTCAATAAAAATACTGAAATTAAACAAACACTTTTTGATAGTTTTTATGGTAGATATATGAAATTGATGGGACTCAGAGAAGAATCTCGTTCTCAGAGTGGGGAGACTAGCTGTGATGCTCCTTTTAGAATGATACTTAGTATTCGACCTGTCCAGGCATTGTTGCAAGGAATTGGTGAGGAGAAGAATAAGGAACCTGGGTGTCTTTCTTCAACTTTGTCATGGCCCCCTGACTTCTTCAGTTCTAGCCTTAGGATTCCTTCTGCTGTCAGAGGAACAGGGAAGGACTTTCACAGTGCATGGTCATTTAGCTAACATCCCAGGAAGCACTTTTTGAAGGGAGTGGTTGTTCGGGGAAGGCTGGGAGAGTGGGTAAAAATTGTCTTCAATGCAATTTGTGTGTTTGTTGCCTTAGCTTTGTTATGACGGTATTTGATAGGACTTCCAACAGTTTTCCCCTTACACAGGGTTCAAGATAAATCCACCTTTGATGACTTTTGGGTGTTTGTATATGATAAGTAAACAAGTGGCCCCTTCATTAAAGTTAGTTTAAGGAACACAGTTTACCTAATTTTAGTACTCTACATTCCCTTGACCAAGCTTGTTAATCCATGGCCCACGGGCTTCATGTGGCCCAGGAAGCCTTTGAATGCAGCTCAATGTAAATCTGTAAACTTTCTTAAAACATTATGAGATTTTTTTGCAATTTGTTTTCAGCTTATCAGCTATCATTAGTGTTAGTGTATTTTATTTATGGCCCAAGACAATTCTTCTTCCAGTGTGGCTCAGGGAAGCCAGAAGATGGGACACCCCTGCCCTGGACTATAAGCTATAGGGCTGTTGGCTTACTGCTAGCAGCATTTTTTCCTTGTGGTTTTAATACTAGAAAATGTAACTTCCTTTTAAAAGATGATGCTTTAAAGATCATCAATGAAGTTAAGACCTCAAGTTATCTACAGAAAAGCTTATTATTATTATTATTTTTGCTGCAAACTGCAGAAAGCCTTTATTCATAAGGTAGAAGTACCTCAAAAGCTGTCTGATAAAAACACATTTCTACTGATGTTGTTTGATATGGTTTCTATTCACACAGAATGGAGCTCACAATCAACACAATTAACATGATTAATTATGTCCATCTCAATAGCAATTAAAAATTTTTTAAAAAATTACAAATTAACATTTCTTATAAAAATATACACAATAATTCTCAACAAAGTATAGGCATATAAAATACAGCAATATAGAAAAAGAATAATACATTTTTGGTTGAACATTAAAGTCAAACAATGTGATTTACATATTAATTTAAGGAGAAAAATTGTATGACAGTTCAACAGGTGCAGAAAAAGCGTTGATCAAAATTCAACGTCAATTCATGATATGAATTCTGCAAAATAAAAAGAAGGAAAAATTCTCAGTCTAACGAAAGGCAATTTACAAAAATTCTAGAGCTTATATTATTATTAATGATGAAATGCCAAATGTACTTCCTCAAAGAGAACAGGCATGGTTGTCCAGTTTTTATTTTATTTATTTATTTTTAAATTTCTTCAATGTTTATTTAAATATTAATCTATATGGAATGTAATATCTTTTTGTGTGTGTGTGAAAATGGCCATACTGCCCAAAGTAATTTATAGATTAAATGCGATTCCTATCAAGCTACCATTGATTTTCTTCACAGAATTAGAAAAAACTACTTTAAACTGCATAAGGAACCAAAAAAGAGCCCATATAGCCAAGACAATTCTAAGCAAAAAGAGCAAAGCTGGAGGCATCATGCTACCTGACTTCAAACTATACTACAAGGCTATAGTAACCAAAGCAGTATGGTGCTGGTACCAAAACAGATATATAGACCAATGGAACAAAACAAAGGCCTCAGAAATAATACCACACATCTACAATCATCTGATCTTTGACAAACCTGACAAAAATAAGAAATGGGGAAAGGATTTGCTATTTAATAAATAGTGCTGAGAAAACTAGCTAGCCATATGCAGAAAACAGAAACTGGACACCTTCCGTACACCTTATACAAAAACTAACTCAAGATGGATTAAAGACTTAAATCTAAAGCCTAAAACCATAAAAACCCTAAAAGAAAACCTAGGCAATACTATTCAGGACATAAGCATGGGCAAAGACTTCATGACTAAAACACCAAAAGCAATGGCAACTAAAGCCAAAATTGACAAATGGGATCTCATTAAACTAAAGAGCTTCTGTACAGTAAAAGAAACTATCATCAGAGTGAACAGGCAACCTACAGAATTGGAGAAAATTTTTGCAATCTGTCCATCTGACAAAGGTCTACTATCCAGAATCTACAAGGAACTTAAACAAATTTACAAGAAAAAGACAAACAACCCCATCGAAAAGTGAGCAAAGGATATGAACAGACACTTCTCAAAAGAAGATGTTTATGTGGGCCACAAACATATGAAAAAAAGCTCATCATCACCTGTTATTAGAGAAATGCAAATCAAAACCACAGTGAGATACCATCTCATGCCAGTTAGAATGGTGATCATTAAAAAGTCAGGAAACAACAGACGCTGGAAAGGATGTGGAGAAATAGGAACGCTTTTACACTGTTGGTGGGAGTGTAAATTAGTTCAACCGTTGTGGAAGACAGTGTGGCGATTCCTCAAGGATCTAGAACCAGAGATATCATTTGACCCAGCGATCCCATTACTGGGTATATACCCAAAGGAATATAAATCATTCTACTATAAAGACACATGCACACATATGTTTATTGTAGCACTATTTACAACAGCAAAGACTTGGAACCAACCCAAATGCCCATCAATGACAGACTGGATAAAAGAATGTGGCACATATACACCATGGAATATTATGCAGCCATAAAAAATGAGTTCACGTCCTTTGCAAGGACATGAATGAAGCTGGAAACCATCATTCTCAGCAAACTAACACAGGAACAGAAAACCAAACACCACATGTTCTCACTTATAAATGGGAGCTGAACAGTGAGAACACATGGACACATGTAGAGGAACATCACACACTGGGGCCTGTCAGGGATAGGGGGCTAGGGGAGGGATAGCATTAGGAGAAATACCTAATGTAGATGACAGGTTGATGGGTGCAGGAAACTACCATGGCACATGTATACCTATGTAACAAACCCACACGTTCAGCACATGTATCCCAGAACTTAAAGTAAAATAAAAAAATATAAATATAAAGAAATTTGAAGCATAAAAGCATTTTCTTTAAAACATACCTGGATTGTTAAATTTCCCAACATGCTTATTAGGGAAAAAACATTTTTTGCTATTTGACTGAGTCTAAGATATTTGAAAGTTGCTCAGAACCACTTTGTCAAGATCTAATCACTTTCTACTTAAAATAATATCTTAGTTTCTCTCATACAAGTTACAATGGAGTTTTCAGTCTGAGTTTTCCTGTTTATCCTCAAATTCTCCTGATTAATCTGGTGACTTCCATTTTAATGGAATTTCATTGGGATTTTCATTAAAATATAAACTAGAACTACTTTATTTTCATATTTTTAACTAAAAACATGTACAGAGATGGGATTCCAAATGGATACTGGGAGTTAGAAGAGAAAAAGAATTTAATATCAGTGATTTACAGTTCTTTGTATCAAGGATTTTAGATGTTAAAACTATTATATACTGCAGAAGATTTATTGGTTGAATGTTTTTTTTTTTTTTTCTGAGTTTATCACTTAGGGGTCAGTCGGGGGAAAAAAATAGAAACTGCTCTAGGTGTTTCAACAGAAAGAATTTAATTTTGAAAATTGCTTTCACAGATTATAGAAGGGCTCAAACATCACACAAGCGATGGTGTGGCATCCCAAGTAGTAATACGAACAAGGAGCTACTACTGTCTCTAGGCCTGGGACAACAGAAGAAGTTGGTGTTACCAGGATCTAGAAGCTGGGCTATCTAGTGGAAGATGAAACCATAGCAAGGAGGGACTATCTAGTAGAATCTAGCTTCTCCAGAGCCACAGATAAGACTTAGTCCCCGTTAGAGATTCTATCAAAAGGAGTCTTAGAAATGTTGTTTGCTGTGATTTCAAGAAGAGCAGGAAAAAGGTAGTAAATTTGTCAGAGAACATACAGGCAAATGATTGGGACAATGGGAACCAGCACAGATGTTGTTTGATGCATAAAGATATAGGACCTTTTGGTACCAGAGATGAGACAACTTCTTTATTTTCAGTATGCATCTTGGACAACATCTTCAAATGGTAGTTTGCACTGATTTCTCTTTCCTTAGACCTTATTTTATAAAGGTATAATGTAATCCATTTATAATGGGCATGAAATAAAGTTTAATCCCAAGTGTCTGTGGTTATGTTGTGATGCTTAAAAAATGAGAGACACCAAGCATTATGCTTAACTTAGATAATGCTCTCTTTATCCCAGTAATTTGGGAACTTAAGAGTCTACTGACTAGCAAGCGTATTCATTCCTTAAAGACACAGGCCAGATTCACTCAACAGAGAGGTAAGGCACAATGAAAATGCACAAACTATTTGCAGGCAGAAAGGCAGCAGGCATTCTAAAGACAGACAGGAGAAGAAATCTCCTGCTTCAGTACTTTTGCAGGTCTGAACAATAGCTGGTAGGAAGAGGATGAGCTGGAGCTACGGAGATATAGTTATTGAAGACTTGAAACTTACAGTGTAAACATTCAACAATTGCTGACAGAAGAAAAAGAGGACCCAGACAGAATCAGGACATGAATATTTTTCTTAAAGATTCATTGGTTCCCTAGTGGGAAAAGAGAGAAAGGCAGTGCCTGAACGATGCTTCCCATTTTATCGTTTCTATTTTTAAAGATAGTTTATTTAGTTCATTCATGCATTCAACAAATATTTATTACAGTTTTGCTCTGTGCCAGGATAAAATGATAAACTGGATATCAATGGCCCTTGCCCTCTGAGAGCTTATAGTCTAGAGGAAGATGCTGACTAATGACCAGAAACTCCAGAAAAATCTAACAGTTGTTAGCATGGATGAAGTGAGGACTTCTAGGGTCTTATCTTGAAGGAATACCTAATCCAGGTGGAGTGAGAAAAAGGAGGTGAAAGATTAGTGAAAACAAAGCCCACAATATTAAGCCTTGCAGGATGAGTAGGAATTGTTCAGGAAAAGGGTAATCAGGAAGAATAATCCAGGCAAAATAATAGCATACCATATACAAACTCTTGCCAGGAAGGAGGCCATGGTGTTTTTGAGGATATGAAATAAATTCAAAATGGATGGTAGATAGAGTGCTATGTACTAAATAGCAAGATAAGAAACCAGTGAGGTAAGCAGGCTTCAGGTCTTCATAAACTATATTGAGGAATTTAGATTTAACCCATTCATTCATTTACCCATTCCCCTCTCCATTCAACAAATAGTTTTCAGGTCTATATGCTAGGTGCTGGGCATAAAATGGTGAATGAGAAAGACAGAACCTCTTATCTCACAGAACCCAATAGTCTATGCAGGGAGATAATTTAAAAAGCAGTTTTAGTAAAGCATAAAAAGCTCTATAATAGGGCAGCTATGCTGAAAAGTGGTTGCTATGCAAACATGCAGTAGAGGCACTTAATCTGATTTTGTCAGCAGGGAGGATGATGGTGGTGGTGGGGAGAGGTAAGGACGATGATCCAGAAATGACATTTAACCTAAGACCTAAAGAATTTTTAGGAGTTAGTAGTTAGAAAGATTGAGGTAGTGGTTCTCTAAACATAGGAACGAGCATGTGCCAAAAGCTGGAAGTAAGAAAGCACGTGCCTCATCTGACGACATAAAAGAATTTCTCTATGGCTAAAGGAGTGTATATATCCTCAGGGTAGTGAGAAGAAACATTTAGAGCATTGAGAAAGACTACTGGGCACATATATGAAGAAATATAAGAGTTTTTTAACAGATTTCCTGTATATTAGCAATGATTATTTAAATGTAATTGAGAAAAAAATTGTCAACAAAAATATTAATAATGATGGTAGCAGTGAACACATATGAAGCATTATGACTGGTACCAAAGCTTCTCTTTTGAGTCACTCTGCAAAACCTAACTCTCTCAGTTCTGTGCTCTTTTCACTGCATTATACCATTTCTAGAAACTTCATTCACTGTGTGATCATAACTCTGTTGAAACACTTTTCTCTCTCTTTAGGTTTCCCAAGCCATCTTTCCTGCACTTATAGAAGGGTGACAAGTGTTTAGCTTAGCTCCAGCCAGTAGACAGCCTGGTGACGTGCAGTTCAGCAGCAGAATCTCTGAATGTGTACCTAGGGCTAGGGCCTTCCTACCACAATTTTTGGGGAAGAGCAGTGGCTGCCCGAGTTTGGGTTCTTTTTTCCTGACACCTGTGTTCTTAATCTTGCTGGCTTTATTTTCAGTGTATTCTTGTACTTTCCGTATTCTTGCCTTTTAAAGTTCTTCCTATTCAAAGGATTATTTTCTTCCCAATGCTTCTGGATCATTCCATTCTGCACATTTTGTATTAGATAACATATTGACATTTTACAATGCAATTTTATGATTTTATGGACGTGCACATCAGTTTCTCAGCATGCTGGCCACAGCGAACACATTTCCATCAGTAAAGGCATGGTGCATGGACAGCCCAGATGTTAGCTAGTTGAAGAAACTCTCTAAACCTTGGTTAAATGACCTAACATGCTACTTTGGAATTACCATAATGCCTTTGGGAAGGACATTTATCTGGCTATGTTTAATTTTCTACGGCAATAGCTTCAAGAAAAAATACTGAAGGAGGATTTATTTGCTCAATACTTTCTGTGGTGATATTTTTATTTTATATTAAATATACCTACTATATAAATTCAGTGCTTCCTCAGTTCATCATAGTTTAGGTATATTTAAAATATCACATGCTATCAATGTAAGTGTGAAACCTGTTTACCGAATTTCTTCCTGAGCTGAGTCCAGACACTCTTTAACTTAGAACAAATTGCACATGCAAAATGAAGATAAAATGCCAACATTCAGAGCAAGGCAAGTAAATATTGTCATGAGCGCTGCTGAAATAGAGGAAGGAGCATTGGGCTTGGAGTGAGAAAAAGTGGGTCTGCCACTCTACTTTTCTATTTAGTAGCAGTGGAACCTTGGATAAACCCGAACCTTGCTTTTCTCATACAAAATTGGCACGATGGATTCATGCCTTACTTTCTTGTATTCATTCATTTATGGTTTCATTCACTTACAAAAAAATATTTGCTGACCTCATAGACTGAGTTAGAGAGGACTCCTTCCTCCTCAATTTTTTTGGGAATACTTTCAGCAGGGATGATACCAACTCTTCTTCATACATTTGATAGAATTCAGCTGTGAATCCATCTGGTCCTGGGTTTTTTTCTGGTTGGTAAGCTTTTTATTACTGATTCAATTTCAGAACTCATTATTGGTCTTTCAGGATTTCAATTTCTTCCTGGATCAGTCTTGGGAGGTTGTATATTTCCAGGAATTTATCTATTTCTTCTAGGTTTTCTAGTTTGGATGCATAGAGGTGTTTATAGTCGTCTTTGAGGATTTCTTTTTATTTTTATGGGGTTGGTTGTTATTCCCCTTTGTCGTTTCTGATTGTGTTTATTTGCATTTTTTTTCTTTGTTAGTCTAGCCGATGGTCTACCAATCTTGTTAATTCTTTAAAAAAAAAACTTCCTGATTAGTTGATCTTTTGTATGGTTTTTCATGTCCCAATTTCCTTCTGATTTTGGTTATTTCTTGTCTTCTGCTAGCTTTGGGGTTGGTTTGCTCTTGTTTCTCTAGTTCCTCTAGGTGTGATGTTAGGTTGTTAATTTGAGATCTTTCTAACTCTTTGATGTGTGTGTTTAGTGCCATAAACTTCCCTCTTAACACTACTTTAGTTGTGTCTCAGAGACTTGGATGTCTTGTGTATTTATTATCATTTGTTTCAAAGAATTTCTTGATTTTGGTCTTAATTATGTTGTTTACCCAAAAGTCACTCAGAAGAAGATTGTTTGATTTCCACGTAATTGTATGATTTTAAACAATTTTCTTAGTGAGGCCAGCATCATCCCGATACCAAAACCTGGCAGAGACACAATAAAAAAAGGAAACTTCAGGCCAATATCCTTGATAAATATGAGTGCTGAAGTCCTTAACAAAATACTAGCAAACTAAATCCAGCAGCACATCTAAAAGCTATCCACGATGATCAAGTAGGCTTTATCCCTGGGATGCAATATTTGTTCAACATATGTAAATCAACAAATGTGATTAATCACATAAACAGAACTAAAAACAAAAACCGTATGATCATCTCAATAGAAGCAGAAAATATTTTTGATAAAATTAAACATCCTTCATGTTATAAACCTTCAAAAAACTAGGCATTGAAGCAACATACCTCAAAATAATAAGAACCGTTCATGACAAACCCACAGCCAACATCATACTGAATGAGCAAAAGCTGGAAGCATTCCCCTTGAGAACTGAAACAAGACAAGGATGCCCACTCACACAATTCTTATTCAACATAGTATCGGAAGTCCTAGCCGGAGCAGTCAGACAAGAGAAAGAAATAAAAGGCATCCAAATAGGAAGAGAGGAAGTCAAACAACCACACTTGACACATGATATGATTCTATACCTGGAAAACCCCATAGCATCTGCTCAAAAGCTCCTAGATGTGATAAACAACCTCAGCAATGTTTCAGGGATACAAAATTAATGTACACGAATCAGTAGCATTTCTATACACCAACAACATCCAAACTGAGAGCCAAATTAACAATGCAACACCATTCACAACAGCCACAAAAAGAATCAAATACCCCAGAATACAGCTAACTATGGAGGTGAAAGGTCTATACAACCAGAATTACAAAACACTGCTCAAAGAAATCAGAGATAACACAAACAAATTGAAAAACATTCCATGGTCATGGATAGGAAGAATCAATATCATTAAAATGGCCATACTGCCCAAAGCAATTTACAGATTCAATACTATTCCTATCAAATTACCAATGACATTCTTCCCAGAACTGGAAAAAAATTTCATAAAACTCATATGGTACCAGAAAATAGCTTGAATAGCCAAAGCAATCCTAAGAAAAAGAACAAAGCTAGAGACATCATGTTACTTCACTTCAAACTATACTACAAGGCTACCGTAACCAAAACAGCTTGGTACTGGTACAAAAACAGACACATAAACTAATGGAACAGAATAGAGACCCACAAATAAAGTGGCACACCTACAACCATCTGACCTTTGACAAACTCAACAAAAACAAGCAATGAGGAAAGGACTCTCTATTCAATAAATGATACTGAGATAACCGGTTAGCCACATGCAGAAGATTGAAGCTGGACCCCTTCCTTACATCATATACAAAAATCAACTCAAGATGGATTAAGTACCTAAATGTACAACCTAAAACTATAAAAACCCTGGAAGATGACCTGGGACATACTATTCCGAACATAGGCTCTGGCAAATATTTCATAAGGAAGATGCCAAGAGCAATTGCAACAAAAACAAAAATGGATAAATGGGACCTAATTAAATTAAAGAGCTTCTGCACAGCAAACCAAACTATCAATAAACAGACAACTTACCAAATAGGAGAAAATATTTTCAAACTATGCATCTGACAGAAGTCTAATATCTGGAATCTATAAGGAACTTAAACAAATTAACAAGCAAAAAACAACCCCATTAAAACATGGGCAAAAGACACGAACAGACGTTTTTCAAAAGAAGACATACACATTGCCAACAGCATATGAAGAAAATACTTAACATCACTAATCATTAAAGAAATGCAACTCAAAAACCACAGTGAGATAGCATCTCATACTAGTCAGAATGGCCATTACCAAAATGTCAAAAAATAGCAGGTACTGTCAAGATTGCAAAGAAAAGGGAACACTTATACACTGCTGGTGGGAGTGTAAATTAGTTCAGCCATTGTGGAAAGCAGTGTGGTGATTTCTCAAAGAATTAAAGGCAGAAGTACCATTTTGTCCCAGCAATCATGTTATTGGGTATACAAAGACACATGCACATGTATTTTCATCACAGCACTATTCACAATAGCAAAGTCATAGAATCAATCTAAATGCCCACCCAATGGTAGACTAGATAAAGAAAATCTGGTAAATATACACCATGGAATAGTACACAGCCATACAAAAGAATGAGATCATGTTCTTTGCAGCAACATGGATGATGCTGAGGCCATAATCCTGAGCTAACTAATGCAGGAACAGAAAACCAAAAACCACATGTTCTCACTTATAAATGGGAACTAAACATTGAGTACACATGGACACAAAGGAGAGAACGACAGACACCAAGGCCTAGGAGGGAGAGGTTTAAAGAACTACCTATAGTACTGATACTATGCTTATTGCTGGGGTCACAAAATAATCCGTGCGCCAAGCCCTATGATATGTAATTTACCTATATCGGAAACCTGCACATGTTCCCCTGAAACCTGAAATAAAAGTTAAAAAAATATTTACTGAATGCCTACTATGAGGTAGGCATTTCGATAGGTAACCAACACAGTCCCTGCCCTTATAGGTTGTTGTAGAAGTCGAATGAGGTGATCATACCAATTGTTATCATTTATTAAGTGCCTACTATGTGCCGTGAACTTTACATTATTATTTGCATTATACATATGCCATGGACTTATTACCTCAGTCAGTCTTCTCATAAATCTGTTTGGGTAGTTACTGCCAATGTGCACGTAAGGTAATTGAAGTACAATTTAAAAACTTGTCAAAGTTAAATAACTTATAAGGGGCTTGACTGGGATTTGAACCAAGGTGGATCTGATTCAAAAGACACTGATTTTCCAAGAAAACATGTCAATATAAAAGTTCTTTACAAACATAAAAAGTGCCATATAAAAATAAAATAATATTTATTATTATTGTTCTCCACACCTACATATGATGATATAAAAACAGACCAAAGCCAAAACCAAGACAGGAATTAGGGGCTTAATCATGTTACTGTGGAAATTCTCATTATAATGCTTTTGATTTCTGGTTTTGCAGTTTTGAAATTTCCACTGTCTTTTTCCCCTGTGGGCACACATTGTTGCTGTTCTTTTTCTGTCTGCAGATCATGGCTGGGCTTTTGGTAAGCACATAATTTTTTAAAAATGGAAATGGTTTCATTCCAATGAATCATTGTGTCAAGGAGGTTGTGTACCTCCTCGATGATGAAAATGCCAATTTCTCATAAAAAGGAAAAAACCCTCATTTCAAAAGGTTGAAAATAATGTTATTTAACTAATTTCAAATGGCTACTTTTAGGTCACTGAAAATGTCCAAATATAAGAATAATCTCTTGGGTCTGTAACATTTTCATTTGATTCAAGAATGGATAAACTTTAATTCATTTTAACCTCTTGCCTTTTGGTATTTGGCTCTTCCGACGGGAAGTGTCTCTCCACTGTGAGATTTGTCTTAGTGCTATGGCCTGCTTAATCTGGAATCTGTTTTCATTATATCCCTGAAAGCTAAAGAAATTTCCAAGTTTTTGACACAAAGTGTATACAATTCTATACAATACAGATTTACTGAACATTTTCTTGAAATGTAACATACATAAAGTATTGTAAAAATCAGTATATTTTTAATAGAACATTACCAATACCCCAAAGCTTCATTCATGCCCTCTTTCAAGTATAACATCTGCAAAGCTAACAGCTCTTCTGATTTCTATTAAAATAGATTAGTCTTGCCTGCTTTTGAATTATATGTAGAGAGAAGCAGAATTCTATAATATATCTCTTTTTGTGTCTGGTTTTATTCACTCAACATTATGTTTATAAGATTCATCCCTGTTCCTGCATAGCAGAAGTTTATCTTTATTGCTATATAATATCCCATCTATTTCTTACTCATCCTATTTTATATAGGCATTTTGGTTGCTTCTTCTTTGTGGCTGCTTTGAATATCTGTGTAAATGTCATTTGGTACATGTATATATACATTTTTGGGGGGTGTATATCTGGGGGTGAAATTGCCTGATATGAGAGTATATTTTATACTTCACTAGATACTGTTAGTTTTTCAAAGTGGTTGCACCGATTTTAAAATCCCACCAGTAATATTTGTGGACATCTGTTGTTCTATATCCTTTCCAGGTTTTAAAATATTAACCATTCTGGTGAAGTATAGTGATATATTATTGTGATTTTAATTTGTATTTCCTTAATGATGAATGAGGTTGAACACTTTTTAATATTTTTACTGGCTGTTTGTATGTCTTCTTTTGTAATGTGTTTTGTAGTCATTTGAAAAATGTCTTCCCAAAGATGTCTATTTCCTAATTCCTGGAACTTGTGAATATATCCAGTTACATGGCAAAGGGGAATTAAGGTTGCAGATAGAATGAAGGTTGCTAATCAACTAAGGTTGCTAATCAACTGACCATAAAACAGAGAGATTATCCTGGATTATCTAGGTGAGTCTAGAGTAATCACAAAGGTCTTTAAAAGTGGAGAAGGGTATTGGAAGAGAGAAACAGAGATGGCAATGTGAGAAGCATGCAGTCCAATATTTCTGACTGTGAAGGTCACAGAAGAGGGCTCTGAGCCAAGAAATGCAGGCAGCCTATAGAAGCTGGAAAAGGCAAGGAAATGGATTCTCCCCTAAAGCCTCCAGAAGCAATGCAGGAATGCTCACACCTTGATTTTAGCAGGGTGAAACTCATTCCTACTTCTAAACTACAGCACTGTAAGATAGTACATTTATGTTGCTTTCATCCACTAAGTGTGCAGCAATTATAGCAGCAATAAGAAATTGAAACATCTTCAAGTCTTTTGTCCATATTCTTATTGGGTCTGTCTTTTTGATTTGTAGAGTTTTTTGATATATTATGAGTACTTTGTTGGGTTTGCTCAATATGTTCTTTTTTCCAGCTTGAGGTATCATCAATGGATAAAATTATATATATTCAAGGTATACATGATGTTAAATATATATGTATATATTGTGAAATCATTAACGCGATCCAGTTGGTCAACACATCCATCCATTTTTCTTTGGCGTGGCAAGAACATTTAAAATCTACTCTCTTAGCAAATTTTAAGTATATAATACAGTAATTTTAGCTATAGTTACGATGCTGTACATTAGATCCCTATCCCTAGGACTTGTTAATCTTATAACTGAAAATATATAGCATCTTCCCTCTTCTCTCATCCATCAGCCCCTGGCAACCACCCTCATGCTATCTATTTCTATGAGACTTCTTAAGGTTCCACATATAAGTGAGATCAGATGTTTGTTTTCTCTGTTTGACTTATTTCACGTGCATAATGCCTTCAAAATTTTCCTACGTTGTTTCAAATGGCAGAATTTTTTTTATAGCTGAATATTATCTCTGTGTGTGTGTGTGTGTGTGTGTGTATGTGAGTGTGCATGTATCCCATTTTCTTTATCCATTCATCTGTTAATGGACATTTAAGTTGTTTCCACATCTTGGTTATTGTGATAATGCTGCAGTGTACATGAGAATGCAGATATCTCTTTGCCATATTGATTTCATGGCCTTTAGATACATACCCAGAAATGGGATTGCTGGATCATATGGTAGTTCTATTTTAAAATTTTTGATGAATCTCTATACTGTTTTCTATAATTGCTGCACCAATTTACATTCCTACCAACCATGCTCCAGGATTCTCTTTTCCCTGCATCCTCACCATCACTTGCTATCTCTTGTCTTTTTGATAATAGTCATTTGAACAGGTGTGAGGTAATATCTCACTGTGGTTTTGATTTGCATTTCCCTGATGATTAGTGCTATTGAGCATCTTTTCATGTGCCTGTTGACCATTTGTATGTCTTCTTTGGAAAAATGTCTGTTCAGGTACTTTGCCCATTTTTAAATCAGTTTTCTTTTTGTATTTTTGCCATTGAGTTGTATGAGTTCCTGATATATTTTGGCCATTAACTCCTTATCAGATACATGGTTTATAAATATATATATTTTTTTACCATTCTGTAGGTTATTTTTTCATTTTGTTGATTGCTGTGCAAAATTTTTTTAGTTTGATGTAGTCCCATGTGTTTATTTTTGTTTTTGTTACTAGTGCTTTTGGTAGAAAATTTTTTAAAAAGTCACTGCCTATGTCAAGGAACTTTTCCCTACATTTTCTTCTGGGAGTTTCATTGTTTTCATTCTTGCATTTAAGTCTTTCACCCATTTTGAGTTAGTTTTTGTGAGTGGTGTAAAATAGGGGTCCAATTTCACTCTCTGTATGTGAATGTTCAGTTTTTCCAACACCATTTATTGAAGAGACTATACTTTTCCCATGGTGTTTTCTTGGTGCCCTTGTCAAAAATTAGATGACTATATATGTGTGGGTTTATTTCTGGGGTCTCGATTCTGTTCCATCCATCTATGTGTCTGTTTTTATGCATGTATCACACTGTTTTGTTTAGAAAGCTTGGGATATAATTTGAAATCAGCAAGTGTGATGCCTCCAGCTCTGTTCTTTCTCAAGGTTGCTTTGGCTATTTGTGGTGTTTGTGGTTTCATGCATCTATGTTCTTAAAAGAGATTCATACAGTTTTTCTTTCATGCAATGTCCTGTGAAGTTTTGGTAACAAGGTTTTGCTGACCAAATTAGAAATCACTTTGGGTTGTGGTCCCTCTTTTTTTATTCTCTCTTAGAATAGATGTAAGATACTATTCTGTGTTTCTTAAATGCTGGTGGAGTTTATCAATAAAGCCATATGGAATTTTGTCTGTGATAAAATTTTTCAAAGGACTCAACTTATTTTGTAGATAGGATTATTCATTTTTTTCATTTTTTCTTATGTCAGCTTTGATAATCTATATGTTTAAAGAAAAATCTCTTCTAGATTCCAAAATTTATTTACATAAATTTGTTCATAATACCTTCCTTTTAAAATGTTTGTAGGGGCTATAGAAATGCCTTTTTTACATTCTTAGATTTGGTAGTATTTACCTTCTTCCTCCGTTTTATTTTTAACTTTGATAAGTCTTGCTAGGAGTTTATCAATTTTAACTTTTTTTTAAGAGGATAAATTTTTGGATTCGTGGATTTTCTCTATTATGTGTGAATTTTCTGTTTCATTAATTTATGCTCCTACCTTTATTATTTCCATTCTTCTGATCTCTTTTCATTTAACTTGCTGGCTTTTTGAAAGGGGAACTTAATCATTTAGTACTTTTTGCCTTATTTCTCTAATACACATATACTTTAAGGCTAAATATATCCCTCTAAATATTGCTTTTGCTACAAATCCCAAGTTTTGATGATTTTGTTTTACTTAAACACATTTTCTAATTTCCTTTGTGACTTTTTTTTTTACCCATGTGCCATTTAGAAGTACATTGCGTAAATTCCAAATATTTGAGAATTTTCTAGTTATTTTTTGTCATTGATTTCAATATTAATTCCACTGCAGTCAGAGTATATTGTCCCTTTATCTCTATCTTTATAAGTGTGTTTATATATGTTTTATAGCCAAGTGTATTGTCAATTTTGGTAAGTGTTCATTTTGCCTTAAAATGATGTGCATTCTATAGTTATTATAAGCAGCATTCTACATATGTCACATAGGTATAGTTTATTAATAATGTTCAAATCTTCTATGTCTCTATGATATTTTAGTATCTACTTGTTCATTCGGATATTAAAAGAGATATGTCAAAATCTCCTACTATGATCATGGATTTATCTAGTTCTTTCCTGTAGATTTTTGTTTAGATTTTGAGAATATTTTATTAAGTATATACAGTTATGCAATTATTTTATTTTTCTTGGGTATTGAACTTTTGAACATGACAAAGTATCCCTCTTTATTTTTAATAATGCTTCTTTAAGATCTGCTTTGTCTGATATTAGTCCCACGATGTCAGCTTTCTTTGGTTAGTGTTTGCATGGTATAATGAATACTCCTGTGCATTGTCTCACGTTTTCTTTACTTTACATCTGATTCTAACATTAATTTCGTTTCCAGGAATAATAATGCAGAAATAAAAAAGAACATTTCTTTCTAATATAAAGATTTGAGCCTTCATATCAACTGGTGTCATGGAAAACATCATTAGATAGTAATCAATACCAGTTCATATATACCCTAGTGAAGTGACTGAAGTTGAAGGCTAAAAAAAATGGCCATTGAGGCGAAACTCAAGTCACATACAAAGGAAAAATGTAAAGTTTGTATTAGATTTTTCCCTAAACACTCAATACTAGAAAACGGTATGTGTGGCATTCTGGGAAGATGTGTGCCTCAATGATTTTCACATAAACAGGTTATCCTTGAAGCATAACGAACAAAAATGTGCACAAGAACTTTAGGAGTATAGTACTTATAAACAAATAAACCAATTTTGATTAGATGACATAATCCAGTTGACCAAGAGATAAATCAAAATAACATTTTTTGAAATGAAGAAAATATAATAAAAATACTATATGAGAACTTAGCTGATGAGCATTTAATCCATTTAGACATGACTAAAATTTGAAGTATGTCTTAATGAAATGCAATTATTGTAAACCTTAACAATACACAAATATAATAACAAAGTAATCAGAAGCGGGCATATGTTTAAGTGCACAGATTTTATGCTGTTAGAGCAGGAGTCAATAGAATCCATCTAAAATTAAAATATTTGGTTTGAAATGCATAATAATTCCAACCTTTCAATATTTTTCATAATGCTTTTAATTAACTTCAGAGATATTTTAAAAATTAATGTTGCTTGCGCTGAAGAAACATCTGAAATTCAACAATTTTGTTTATTTCATTTTTTACTTCTCATTCAGTTAATTCAAGCATAAGCAAAATTACTACTATGTATGCCAGGAAAGAGATGTCTGAAACAGTGATTTCTATTTGTTAACTACAGCTATTTGGGGATGGCAAGTTTTTGGTGAATTCTTTTTTACTTTTCATTGTTCTTTTCCTTATTGTGTTACTTTTGCTTTTCTTATAATAAGCATGTATCATTTTTACATAATCTATGCAGTAATTTTTCTAAAAAAGTTAGAGAGACAGTGATAGAGCCATCTTTAGCTAGAAAAAATTTTCTCAACTTTTTCTAAATTTACTTTTAGAAAGAAACTTTATATTTTATCTTAAAAGAAGCTACTGATTGAATTATTCTTTGTCATGGTGAGCCTAATGTGATCAATTTTTATTTGGGGTTCACTAATGAAGAGTGAATCCTTTTTCTCTGCAACTCCTAGCATTCAGTATCATTCAGCATAAGCTTTCATATCCCAGCCTTCCCTGTTTTAAGTCAAGTCTGTCATCTCTTCTTCTTAGATCTAGGAACAGACAGTGTCACCCAAAAGGACACTCTCTGAGGAGCAGGATGGCGGTGGGGTGCTACTGGTTTGAAAGTGTGTCAGATTGACAGCCATTCTGCCATGTACTACAATAGAGAGTCAAAGAATTAAAACGCACAGTATCTTATTTTATGATGGAAGATGGGGAGGACAGGAAAAATCGGCTCACAATTATTTAGCACCTGATGTATTCCTGGCATGGTCACAGCAACCCTCTCAGGTATTACTAATCCCATTGTGCACACGAGGAAAGAAAAATTTGAGAGAGGTGAGATGAGTTGCCTGTGTTTATGTGGCTAACTGGGAACACTGATGATGAAGCCTGAGCTTCCCCGGGCTCTTCCCTCTGCTTCTATCGCTGCTGTGGACAAATTCCTATAAGTTCCTTTATATTTCTACCAATTCCTATATAAGCTGTTATATGTTTTTGGTTAAATTTACAACCTTGTTTATTGTACTGAAAAAAACCCTTAAAGTTTTGCCTTTGATACAGATAATACATTTATGTTTCAAATTGTTTTTATTTTAAGAATGACTACAAAGACAATGGAAGCAGATAATTCCAGCTAGAATCAAAATTTAACGGTGAAATGAGATCAAACTCACAAAGAGTTAATTATGCTAGCACTAATTAAGTGTAGTCTTCTTAAAAGCAAAAAAAAAAAAAAAAAAAAAAAAAAAGCCAGCTTTATCCTGGCAAGAAGCCTGTAAAAAAGGGACGATCTGTCACAGACTCACAGAACACAGTAATTAAGGTCTGAAACGCTTCCCAATCAAAGAACAGGAAGAGTTCACTCCGAGTTAACTGTTTAAACAGCATCCCTTGTGAAATGGCATTGCCACTGTATGTTTTTAGATTGAATTGATTTAATTTCCTACTGTTTGCCTCTAAGTAGGAATTAGAGCCTCCATTAGGAATTGCTAATGGTGCCCATTCTGGACTCCCTCATCCCAGGACAGGAGTGGAGGGAAGGACTAATGCAGTGTGCCTGTGATATATGCTGCAGCCAGAACCTGTTCACAGGCTAATTCAGCAACAGGCAGGAATGATGAACAATTAATGAACTCACATTGTGTTTACATGTCTAATTTTGATACTAATCATTTATATGTTCTAAGTAAGATGTTACGCTTTCACGGAAGCATAAAAATGTGCACATAAACAAAAATATGTGAATTGTTCCAAAATTATGCTTAAATTTTACATTTCATTTCCTAGCAGAGACGCAGTCAACACATTCATGCAGTGACACCTGTAACTCACACATGGTGGTTTAATTTAGTAACAGTTGATTTCCCTTTACAATAAAACAATCGCCTGAACTCAGCTTCATGTATTGGTTCATTGTTCTTCCTTGCTGTCACTGTTAACCAGTATTTAGGCTTCATCCAGAACATCTACTCCACTTAAAAAGCGTAGTAAATGAACAAAAAGATGGACATTGTCACTTTCCTTTTACTACGATGTGAGGGTTGCACTTTTTCTCAATTCATAATGAATTTGTTTTTATATACCCAACCCACAGTTACTTGTTGCTTATATTAAGGGACAGATTTGGTAAATCATATTTAGGTCCATTGTGACTTGTGAACAGGTAAGTTTTTATTCACTTTCTAAAAGCAATTAACGATTTCAACTTCCTGATAAACACAATAGCTAATATTTGTTGAGAGTTTTTTTTTAGGTACTTAGCTCTTTTGAGTGTTATTTTTTTAATTGTTTCAACAACCCAATTAAGAATGTATTATTAAATATAATTATCTCAGTTTTATACATGAGGAATCTGTGATTTGGTTAAATAACTTGCCTAAGTCCACACAGCTCTGCATCAGGAACTAACATGTCCTGGTAGTGGCAGACTAACCAGGGGGACGTCTCTTGTCTATACTAGCAAAATTCTAGATCACTTAAGTCGGTGAAATGAGAGAAGGGCACTTTGAGTTTTTTTGGTTTTGTTTGTTTGTTTGTTTGTTTGTTTTTTGAGACGGAGTCTCGCTCTGTCGCCCAGGCTGGAGTGCAGTGGCGCGATCTTGGCTCACTGCAAGCTCCGCCTTCCGGGTTCACGCCATTCTCCTGCCTCAGCCTCCCGAGTAGCTGGGATTACAGGTGCCCGCCACCACGCCCGGCTAATTTTTTGTATTTTTAGTAGAGACGGGGTTTCATCGTGTTAGCCAGGATGGTCTCCATCTCCTGACCTCGTGATCTGCCCGCCTGAGCCTCCCAAAGTGCTAGGATTACAGGCGTGAGCCACTGCGCCCGGCAACACTTTGGGTTTTACACTCCTGTTCTATCCTTACAGTTTCTGACTATTGGCATTTTATGTAGAAGCAGAGCAAGTGGAGAGTCAATTATTCATGAAACTTTGGAGGAAGAGATAGCCTCTTCCTCCATCCCATTCTCTCCTTGTTCTGCTCCTCTTTTAAAATTTATTTTAAACTTCATCACCTAATTATGGGTTTACCGTATTACTCACTCATGCAATTATTTTCCATTAATAAAAGTTTCTCATATTGGAGAAATTGTGATATTCGGTGGACAAAGACCATGAACTTTTATACTTCCTATTATGATCCAGAACTCTTTGTAGAAACTATGGCCTCTGGCACAATATTTTCAGTCATGAGAGTTTAGTATCCTATGATCTCAGTGGTATTTAACAATAACTCCTGAAATACATATTTTCAAAAGCAGTGGAAAAATGGATGTCAGGTCCATTAATCGCAGATGAAAAAATTTCTCTGGGTTGGAATGTCAACCAGGCATTAGTGGTGCCTTGCACTAAAAAAATCTATTCAAATGACCTTCTCATTAGGTCAGCTTGTCCTTCTGCCCTGAGATATTTTAAAAGCTGAAACTGGCAGTTAGAGCTATAATCCTTATGATACCTTAGGCTGTGTGTAGTAGATATTTGGTCATAAGAATAGCCACAAGCAACTCCTGTGTAGCATTTTGCTCATAGCTGTCAGCTTGACCAAATCACATGCAAAATCGATTTAAAACTGCATGTTCTGTAAAGTAAGTATGTCCATTATGTGGGAAGTGTTTCGGGGTAATTTGAAATAGGCTAAAAACACTCATTGGTAACTGAAGGATTTATTTAAAATTGATGTTAGGGAAGGTATAAGTAAGCAAAACTATGTTTACTCCTTATATTTAGACATAAGGAAACACTAAGAAAAAATTCTGAACTGTGCCTATCAACAATGGTATGGTTAAAAAGAAATGTGATGTTGGCATTTGTGGCTATATGATAAATGGAGTGATATTAAACGCTAACCATTTGAAAGTTGCAAATGCCCATTTACAAATTTCTGGTGTAAAAGCACAGTTGCACAATCAAAGTACATTTACAACCTGTGAATCGCTAAAGACTTGGGAGGCCGCATCTTGTCCCTGGCAGATGCTATCCACATTCCTCAGCTCTCCTGGTGGCATTCAGGGACAGAGGCTGCTTCTGGAGAGAAGAAGAATAAAGACTCCAAAAGGCTTAAATTAGAGTGGCTTTGAAATGAAATGCATTTTAAAAATGTGTTTTAGTGCTTCTGTAAAATGATGCTATTGTTGTGTTTGTCATACTTCTGTTAAAAATGAGGCCATTTATACAGCAATAGAGACACTGAATGGGAAAGAGAATTGGGAGATGTTGGAATGTTTGAGGATATTCTTTTCCTTCCTGGGCACTGGGAAATTCCACCGTTGTCAGTCACATTAGCAGAATGTAGAACATTAGCTTAGCA
Organism: Homo sapiens; assembly: GCF_000001405.40. Classification (NCBI taxonomy): domain Eukaryota; kingdom Metazoa; phylum Chordata; class Mammalia; order Primates; family Hominidae; genus Homo; species Homo sapiens. Next base: position 95,607,857 of record NC_000001.11, read on the forward strand.
ATGCCAGGATACCCGCAAGGGAGGAACCGAGGCTACTTTGCCCATGATGTTAACCTCTTGAGTGCCACATTGCTGCAGGGTTTAATGTGTATGGAGGGATATAAGGGAGGAGTTATAGGAAGCCATTTAGTGGAAATACCATTGCACAAAACTTGATGGGCAAACCCAAAGGACAAGAATACTGTATCATAATGTCTAGGGACAGCCTTTGTTTCCCAACAAAGGCCCTCTGGTATTCAGAGGGCCACCCTTTTCCAATGTGAATATGAATACTCCAGAAACTGCACACCCTCTCTACCATGCCCACTCTTCTCATCCTTCTCTACATTCACTATTGGAATGTACATTCACCTTTGGAAGACAGAAAAACAGAAAAGATCTGCTTGTTCACAGCTTTCTATTTTGATCTATTCCTCTAATAAGTAATTTTATTTTTTCTTTAATCTTAAGACCCACTTCTTTCAGAAACATAATTAAAAAATTAGGTTTTATGCTATATGTGTCCTGGAGCTCTAAGTTTTATAATGAATGTAGCATTTATGAGCTTATTCTTAAAGACATATGATTTGCTTGTATTTATTTTTTAAAAAATTGGGGCATCTTCAAGGAATCAGGAGCTTTGCTTGGAGTACAGAGTTAACAAAATACAGTCTCTGTCCTCCAGGATCTTACACTGTCGGGTAATGGTTAGCTCATTTGTTTGCAAAGCAATTTGTATAATTCCTCCTTTCCCTTACCCCAAATTACCAGAAAAAACATGTAGAACACTCCATCCTCTAACCCAAGGAGCATAAATAGAAGTATTTAAAAAATAAAATTTTGCTTAGGAACTGAGAACAGAATGTTCTTCCTGTAAAAAAAGAGCTCATGATTAAATAAAGTCTTACCCTGTTTGTATTAGGCAAAAAGTCATATTTAGAGAACATTCTACTTTTTAACCTTGTTTATTCTTTCTACTTTCTTAATATGCAACTGTTCAGTTCATTGACACATTCATTTGTTCATTAAATTTTCTTGAATTTTTATTACCCAAATCAAGAACCTCATTGTCCGGTGGAAGAGAAAGATACAGTATAAACAGGAAATTGTAACATTTCACTAGTTTGTGTCAGAGAGGTGCTTGAAGAAAGTGTTTTAGGCACAAAGAAGAACAAAAACTAACACAGCTGGTCAGGAAGTGAGAGAGTTTGTTTTGGAGATAATGAGTTTTCAAAGTAAAGAGGCAAGGGAAGAGCATGCTAAACAGAAGGAACCGTAAGTGCAAAGACACAGAGGCTTGAACGATCCTGGAAGGTGGAGGAAATGTGGTTAGTTGGAGGTTTCTTGAGAGACAGGCTACAATGAGAGAGACGAGGTTGGGAGGTAGGCAGGGAATGGAAAGTGAAGAGTTTTATAAGTCAAGTAAATAAATAAGATGGTTCCTTTGGCAGAAGGAGTAATGGATTGTTTTTGAGCATGGCGTGATCACTGCAACAGTAGGAAGGATCACTTTATAAAAAGCAAAACATTTAAACAAAAGAAAAAAAGAGATTGCTTTGAAGTTGTATGGGAAGTAGTGGACAACCAGCTCTGATTCCATGAAGGTTATCTACAGAAGAGATAAGAGAAACCTGAACAGGGCAGTCACTGTGAGACTGGAGAAGATGGAGGTTCCCATTGTATTAAATAGTATTTGGTAACCCATGTGATAGAATATTATGGTGGGGGAGAAAGGAGACAAGAATGACTTTAGATTGATCAGATTGCTCACTTGGCAAATGGTAGCACAAAGCAGAAAAAACTGTTAAGAAGAGCATGTGCTGGGGACCAGGTCATGAGTTTGGTTTAGGACATGCTAAGTCTTAGGTGTCTGTGGGTAGTCAACAGCTTCCAGGTCCACAGAATCCTGCCACTAGATCCCAGCACAGAGTGCCAGGCAGCTGACAGCTCCTTTGCTTTCTTCATGCTTCTCTGTTCCCTCAGATGTCCTGGTCAGTAAGAAGGGCATGAGGAGGAGAAGTGCCAGGTGAGGAAAGAGAGAAAGTTGACCATGGCCTCCTTTTGCTTTTAAATTGCTGCAAGTCTCAGCCAAGAGACGTGAGAAACTGCAACTCTAAATTGAGTTTGGAGCATTGAATACTAGACGATATGGGATATTTTAATTTTAGATATGACTGAGTTTTTCTATGTAAGTGACTTTGTGACTTTTTGTTATCTGAGAGAAACAAGAGAATATGGACAGTCCCTCTTATTGGTTCAACTTAATGTTATTTTGGCTTTACAATGGTGTAAAAGCGATATGCATTCAGTAAAAGCTGTACTTTGAGTACCCATATAACCATTCTGTTTTTCATGTTCAGTATTCAATAAATTACATGAGATAGTCAATACTTTATGATAAAATAGGCTTTGTGTTAGATGATTATGCCTGACTGTAGGCTAATATAAATGGCTTGGGCATGTTTAAACTAAGCTAGGCTATGATGTCTGGCAGGTTAGGCATCTAAATACATTTTCAAATTATAATATCCTCAACTTATGATGGGTTTATCAGAATGTAACCCCATTGTAAGTCAAGGAGCATCTGTAGTTGGAATAGTCTTCCAGTGAGAGGAGAAGAACTAGTGCCACAGAGGAAATTTGGCAAGACAGTGGGTGACCAAAGTAAAGCTGCATTATAATTACCATCTTTGAGTCCAGAGTCTGCATAGGAGGAAAAGAGAAGGGCTCAGGCTGAAGCTTGGGTAACACCAGTATTTGAAGAGCCAGCAGCAGCAGAAGAGGCATCTTTAAAGAAAAAAATACTGGGAAATAGCATTCTCCAATTTGTTCAGATTTAAATCTCATAACAATGGTTTTTATCACCAACTCTTTTCAGATAAATCAGCTCAAGCTTAGAGAAGAAATTAGTCTCCCAAGGGCACATAGCTAGTGTGTGGCAGAATTAGGATCTGAAGCCTGCTGTGTGCGATATCAAAACCACTATGCTAACTATTCTCTACATCTTTAAAAAAATCACAAACTTTGAATTTTAAGGAAAACGCGAGTAAAGAACCCAGAGTGATATAAGAATAAATAATATGTTGAACATTTCATAGGCAGGGTTGATAAGAATCTGATGCTCACTCCAAGTACTGCAAATAAAATTGGCATGTGATTCAGGATACTGTAAGTCTCCTGGGTCAAATCCTAATACCAAACTTGTGCTGGTTTCTCTCTGATGTTTGCCACAATGTGGGCTGTCATTCATCTAAAGGAGTGGGGTCAGATGGAGATCCAGAGGAGCCCCAGTGACCGGCTTGTTTCTACAGTGGCCCTACGTGTGGGGAAGGCCCAATGAGACTGTTAGTTGTTTCTACCCACCCTTCACCCACTTCTCTTTGGTAGGCTTTTTTTTTTTTTTTAAGTTGTGATTCATTGTTATGAAAAACCTTTATAAGAACAATTTTACATTTGGGTTTCAATTATGTACCAACATGAGGTTCTTTAAACAATGCATTCATTTAAGAAAATGAAACCTTGGCCTTTATGGGTCACTTTACATATTAAAAAACATGCTCATAAGGGAAGCCCTAAGCGGATCCAAGAAGTGTAAGATTCACTTGTTATTTTACTTTTTATTAATACTGATTTATAATGAGAATAAAGACATACCCTTACTTAAAAATAAGTGCTGGTAATGTAGGCTATAATTTGAGAAGTGGAAAGCTTTAAAAAACCTTCCATGGTGGTTCCCACCATGGAGAGGGGCTGACTTGCTGTTAGCAGTGATTCTTTTTTCTTGTTCTTAAATATTTCCTTCATGCTTGATTCAGTCTTCATTTAAGTTTTAATTTTGGATTTTCTTTTTCTTATAGAAACATCTTGTAAAGCAGTAAAAATAAAAAGTTGTTTCTTTTGAAAGAAAGCTGATTACTGAGGTGAGACAGCCCAGTCACTGCCCCAAACAGTACAGCGTTTGTATTGTTAAACTGGAAATGAATCTGAAGTCTCCTGGTTTTCCATTCTCCAGGACTGCATGTCCATTCTTTCTACTCTTCCAAACTTGCAAATGTCATCATATTTTAAAAAGTGCCTCATTGATAGTACAATTTTCAAGTAAATTGAAATTTCCCTCTTTTTAAATCCAAGCTCCCTCTTGCTTCCCTCTCTCTCATACCACATCACACACACACACACACACACACACACACACACACACACACACACGATTAATGGTACAGACAGGCTGCTTTGCATGGAATTTGCCCTGCATCTAGACCTGACTGTCAAAGGAAGACTCTGTCCTGACCCCAGCAATACTTGTTATTTGATTTCTTAAATTAATTTTTTATTTGTAATCTCAGGTTTTGTTGACCTTGGAGAACCTCCTGAAAGAGCAATTGGAGAGCTGATTTCAGTCTGTAGACAAGTCTATGTGGAATAAGAAAGAATAGCATAGTCCGATAGGCCAAATTTTGGATTTGTATTTTAGAGCTAAGAGTGCAAATTCCATTAAGGTTGTACTTACAATAAAATTTCTTTTAAATCTGTTTTTCATCTTTAGTTTGGAAATCTGTAATATAATCTATGATTCAGAATATTTCCTATATTGGGAAAGAAGCTAAGTTGTAAAAACTAATATAATGACCATGGCTAAAAAGAAAGTTTTATTATGTTATGCCTTAATTGACCTCAACATGAAAGAGGAGTCCAGAGGTGAAGAAATATATTTGCAATGGAAAAATACCGCTTTACAAAAAAAAAATAAAAGAGGACTCTCACATCACCAACAGAATTTCTGCTAAACTCTGGGTGTGACAGACTGGTTTGGTTTTGCATTAACTTTAGGATTTTGGTGTAAATCGGCTTGTGGAAGCTTGAGGGGGAATGGTACAGAAAAGGAAAGAGAGAGAGAAATGCTTCTTCCCTTAGTCTATGACCTCCCATCCTCAAATCTATCTGGCTCATGGACTAACAGAATTTGGATGGAGTCCTGTTTTCATCCATCTCCATCCTTAGCCCAACAAACATGTCTTCATTAATTCTATCACTCTGTGATCTTGAGCAAGTTACTTAACAGATGCAGGTCTCAATTTTCTGGTTTTCTCAGGAGCTCAGTAAATAGTTTCAGAGGCTGGGCAGGTAATAAAATAAATGAATGATGTGGGGAGAGCTAGACGTTAAAGTCCTGTAGCAAACCTTATAGTGCGCCTCCCAGAGAGCCTATTCAAATGGCTTCATTTATTCATTTTAAGTTTTAGATGTTTAGTTTAAGTCCACACTTGGACTAGATACTCTCTAAATTATCTTCAAGATAAAATTCCATGAATTATCTGTAAGCCGTCATACAGATTGTATTTTCTTCTACTCATGTCGTTCTCTGAGACTCAATGGGGATCAGGAGACCTGTCCCAACTGGCTTCATGTAAAATATTTATTTAAGATTTTCTGCATCTGTAGTCAATGAGATGGAATCCTTTTCTCCCACAGAACCCTCCTTGAGCTAGTAAAGTCTGTACTTGAATCCATGCTCTTTTGTCTGAGGCAGATCAGATTGGGGAATATGATAAATCAAAGTGCTTACTCAAATATTAAACTCTAATGAAGTCTTGGCATTTAAAAATGTGCTATTACAATTAACTAGCTGGCTCCATCCCTCCTGGAATACTATCTTTTCTCTTTCTCCAGGAGTGGTGACTACATTCTGCTGTAGTCAGATTTTTGACTTTCTAGAAGGAATCTCCTTGTGAGGTAGAAAGGGAAGCCCATCTGAAGGTCATTTGCATATTCCAAACTATTAGCCACTATTGAAAATGAAAGGACTAGATTATTGATGTCTGAATCGATTGGCAGTAAATGGTGTCAAGATGCAAGAGCATGATAAGCTCAAGATGTAAGAGCATCATAAACTCAAAGGAGTATTTAGCATCTGCATATCAAAATTGTACCCAGAATCCAATGATTACATGAAATGTAAGCTCATTGTTTCTTTTAAGAGTAGTGAGATTATTTCACAAGATTGACTGTGATGATTATGACTATGATGAAGATGACTATTGTGGGTCATCTTTAGGGATTTTGCTGTAGGTAGACCTTCGCTGTCACAGTATTTTTATGTCATATATAAATTTAAAATCTGGGGCAAGTAAGTTTAAATGATTGCTGTGCGCGCGCGCGTGTGTGGTGTGTGTGTGTGTGTGTGTGTGTGTGTGTGTGTGTGTGTGCTGACTGATCAGGCAACGAATTCTCCTGTTGGCATCTTGACTGTTACCTCCTGAGGGTGGGATTGTGCTTCTCAGTCTAGATTTCCTTGGATTTAGTGATGATTTAGTGATGGGCCTGCTATTTTTGCTGAGTTACCTCAGGAGGGAAATGCTTCAGAAAGGGAGATCTGAGTCTAAGGCTCTGGCTCATGTTGCTCAATCATGGACTTGCCGGCCCTCAGCTCCATGCACTGTTTTTCTGGTCCAGGTAACCCTGGGAGTTCCCAGGAGGACTGAGTGCCCGTGACTGTCCTAATTGCTACTGTGAAGCTTCCTCTCCTCTCTGCTCCTTTCTGGCACACCAGACCCCTTATCTTGTGGCTCACAAGGCCACTGGCCCTCTGGCCGTGGCAGCTAGTCCTGGGCGGCTCTGTGACTTCGCTGACATTAGCAAGCTCTACCACTTTCTATTCCAATTATGGGTTGCTGAAGGGAGAAAAGTCTTCCTTTGCCTTTAGTGTTTATAGTTTCTTAGGCTACAGCACAGAGAGGCTTTGCTCTCTGAGTTCTACTCACTGGCCCTAGGACAGTATTATTTTAGTTTATTTGGAATTTGGCACAATTTCCCTTACACCAAATTTAGGAACTGCACACAAATCATTCTTCCCAACCAACGTTCCTTTTAGGGTCTTTGGTTGAATGGAAAATCTTTCTTCCATCAAATTGATTCATGATGCTATCAGGACTTCCTTCCTCTCTCCTTTCTTTTCTTCCTTTCTTCCTCCTACTCTTTCTAATTCCCTTCCTTCCTCCCTTCTCTCATTCTTCCCTCTCGATTACTGATAGATGTATGGAGGAAAGATCAGGAGGGAACAGTTGACAAAGGATCCCTGGCTTGTGGGGAAGGGGGACACTGAACATAAGGATGGTACAGAGAAGTGTTGACAGACATTTACTTCCCAAGTTGCCTCTGTGAGACCTTCTCACTGAATTCCCTCAGATGGAGTTGAAAAGCACTTGACTACATCCCCTTGCTACCTGGGAGACTGGGAAGGTAGTTTTCTTGCTCCCACAGATATGATACTTCTGCAATACACTTTGGGGGAGAGGCATCAGTAGAGGAGGGGGTTAACGTAGAAACTATTTCTTTATTTTTTTTTCTACCACTAATAATCCAGAATGAGGCCTGTCATATAAGATGAGGAACTAAGGACAAAAGGTAAGCCCTGATTCTTAATTTCTCTGTCTGTCTCTGTGGGTTTAAGTTAACCCTTATTAGTGAGTCCACATCATATTGCTTTCTAATTAAAACATATATATGTCTAATGAGTTTACAGAATAATAAGGCATTTGTAATACTTTAATGAAGGGCATTCTTTTCATCTTTATTTACTCAGCAGCATAATCAGGACCAACTTAGAAAGGTTAGATGTGGTCAAAATAAATGTATGAAGAGTGGCTATTAAGGGGTAGAGCATATGTATGCAGACTGTGGTTAAATAACGGTAAGTAGGATGTGTTTATTAAAATGATGCACGGATTTTATCCCTTCATTCTTGATGTCTCTTAGTACCTGACATTATACTGCTATGGTTTCCATGGAAACAGCACATACTCTTCCTTTCAGCTGACCTGAAGTTCAAGCCCTGCTGTTGCAATAGAAATTCTCAGAAGCACCTCCACTTTTATTAAAAACAAAAATACCAAATCTATGCAAAAAGTAAAAGCAGAAAAAGAGGACAAAAATATCCATTGACGATATTGCAGGAGAGAAGAGAGAATGCACAATATTTTCATTAAGATAGAATCAAGAAACAATTTACTATGCCGGAGGTTGAGAGAGTCTGTCATTTCCTTCCCCTAAATTACCTTAGAATTGATCCTCCTGAGCCTGCCTTAACATCTTCACCTTTCATTTCTAATTCAATATGTTCTACTATTTTTAGTTTTCTGGAAGTATCTCCTTTACTGATTTAAGAACTTGCTTCTTCGTGACTCACAAAAAATGTTGATCCAGTCTATACATTGCATCTTTAATAAAGGGAGGTTAACTTTAGGGTGGGATTGCTGGAATAAGACGTTTCATAAGGAGTCACAAAGTGGGTCTCTTGTCCACAGCCTCCTTTTATTTGTTTTGTTAGCAAAGATGCTTTGGGTTGCAAGTAACACAAAACTTCTTGTGGTCTATATAAGAAGGTGGATTCATTGGCTTATGCAACCAAGGGTCCAGAGCAGAGCCATAATTTGATTTGGGATCTGGGTCTGTTCCTCTAGAATTTTCTAAGCTTTGGCCTCTTAGAGCTGACATAGTCTTCAGGCCAGCTTCTGCACTGTAGCAAAACGCCTGAAGCAATTACCCAGATTATTTCAGCCTGCCATACAAAAGCGAGAAAATGAGGATGATTTTTCAAGAAATTCCTACCAAATAGCATCTTCAGCCCCATTGTTCTGATTACACCAAGGGCACCCCATGAGTCCATAACTGAGCAGGACATGGGGTAAAGCTGATTGGCTTTGGGCCTGAGTCATAGGCTCAACTTCTGGGCCAGGTGAAGTTAGTCTCCTCCAAAGCATATAGACTGCATGGCAGAAAGATGGACATCAGTGTAAAATTTGGAGGTATTACCAAGAGAAGAATAGATAGATACTGGGAAAACAGACATTGTCCACTGCAAAAGGCTATCTCATGCTAGAACCATGAGTCTCAAGCCAAATTTTTCATAGTGCCTAGCATATTCATATCTCTGTTGTTTTCTAATTAAAACACACACACACACACACACACACACACACACACACACACTCACACACACACACACATATATAATGCGCTTTCAGAATAATAAGGCACTTGTGATATGCATACAACTCTCTGTCAGAGTTTAGAAAATTCCAGAGTAACAGACCTAGAGTCCAGATCAAACCATTCCTCTGCTCTGGACCCTTGGTGATGTAAACCAATGAATCCATCTTCTTATATAGACCACAAAAAGTTTTCAGTTACTTGCAACTCAACACATCTTTGCTAATAAAGCAAACAAAAGGGGGCTGTGGAAAAGAGGCCCACCTTGGGACTCCTTGTTCATGTGAAATGTCTTATTCCAGCAATCCCACCCTAGATAAAGTTAACTGCCCTTTATTAAAAATGTCATTTATAAGTGAACCTCTTTGGGATTCCAAATAAAATCTCAGGTCTTGAAAGAGACGTTAGCTAGATTTCAATCTCATCTACTTTCCTATTCACAATGTAACCTTCTCAATTTATTTAATATTACAGCTTGCCCACCCCATCTCATTATGTTATCTTCCATAGCCCTTAACACTTTTACCATACTACAAAATTTAATGTTTGCTGTGTTTATTGTTATATTTGTTGTTTGTTATATTCACTGACATATCCCAAGCACTTAGTGAGTATCTGGGATATAGTAGATGCTCAATAAGTACTTGTCTAACAAATGAATGGAATGTATAAATAAACAGTTGAATTTGACCAGGCACTTTATGGCCATTTGCTAAGGCAATTTGATTGATCTGATTTTTGACAACTGAATATAGTACTCAAATCTCTATTTCTAAAATATCGTTCCACAGGGATTTTTGTACCTGTAGCTTTTGTGCTCCTGTAGGCAGATAACAGTAACCCCAACCTGAGTTAGACATTTTAAGGGAGGTTTGTTTCTTGGCTCCTTAAATCCCTTCACTTGGTTGGAAATGAGAATAGAGGGATATATGGAAGTCACAGTTCTATCATCAGGGTTGCAAAACTCTCCTTCATCCAGGCAAGATCAAGATCTTTCTGGGCTTGGAAGAGTTAACTGTGTCTTAGAGGAGTTCTCTGCTGCCCACTTAGCATGCCAGTGGGTATCTAGAAGCACTTGCCTTCAGGCTTCTCAGGACAATTTGCAGTTTGATGTCAACTTGAAAGCAAGATGTTTTCCTCAGTTTAGGGCAAAACCTACCTCTTTTCGCTATAGTGGCTATTCAGCCTGAGTAGCATGGCTCATGAACCTCCTAAGCGATTTCTTCACAAAGCAAACCTTGATAGCACTAGAGTTAAAGGCCAGGTCAGGGAAGGGCCCTGGCAGGTAAATATTCTGCTCTGGGTGGCCTCAGGGGAGGGATAAAAAATCATATCTGCTCTCTTGTGAGAAAGGGTAAAATTCACAGTGTTGTTTAGCTGGTTGTTAACTTTTACTCAGGATGTTTCGGTTGCTAAGGGCACATGGTAACTTTCATGTGAGCTCTACCTATGAACCTATCATCATATTCCATGAGTCATGCAAGGGGTTCTAATTTAGTACATAATTCAATTCTTCCACCACCAAGATGTCAGGGTAGAGGGTTCAAGACTTCATCCCCTGGAGATCATATCCCTAGCTCTGGACTGAACTCCATCTAATTATTCCAAACAAATTCCTTTTCTGTGGGCTGTCTTGCTCTGATTCTGAAATCCAAGAGACTTGCAGAGATGATACACACTAATAAATAATTCTATCGTGTTATATGTAGCACTTCCAGCCAGAAATCAGCCTTACTATGACAATTATGTAAAAGCTTCTATTGAAACAGTTTTGCCTGCCATAATCCTTGTCTCTAAGGTTAGATACAGTTGCCTCTATAGTTACCTGGGCAGTTCACCCTGCTCAGGGAGCTATATGTAACAATCATCAGACGCAGGGATTAAAAATATTTAACACCCTGTACACTGTGAACACCAGACAATCTCAATGGAGGGCAGCCAGTGAGTTGAATACATCAGCCTTGCCCAAAGAGATGTGTGGGTGGTGATATCAGCCACTAGTTCCCCTTCACCATCTATGAATTAAATAATTACTTTTCAAGAGTCCTCATGTGTCATCTCACTATCTATTTCTCCAGATGAGAAGACCATTTCTAAGGGAGATGAATGATTTGCTTAAAGTCACACAGAATTTAAATGTAACCCAAATAAATTCTGGAACCCCGTGTGATCAAATCTTTGCATATTTTGTGCAAGGAAACACAATCTAGAAACCAGAAGTAATTACACATATTTTGAATCCAGTTTTGGTCTTTCAAGGAAATGACAAAGAGAAGAGTAAATTCTTAATGCATGGCTAAAGTCATCTTCCTCCACTGCTTCCTTTCTTAGCATATTTTACATAGACTGCAGCTGTTACTCTGCAAGCCTCTCTATTTTCCTCCCATCACTTGCTCAAAAACTGCTCCAGAAACCCCACAAACATGAGTTAAACAATCCTCCTTCCCCTGTTGAAGGAGCACTGTGAGGTTTTGCCCAGTGGTTGGCCTGGCCAGGCTGTGGGAGGAGCCCAATGGACCAGGAAGCCATATCACCCATCCCACCAACTCAGACTCCTGATTTTCTACAAAGGGAAGCACCTGGAGGCCACTGACAAATGCATTTCTCCTATCAGTCTCACAGCTTTCCCAGTAAAAAATCATTTTTGGAAATTTCAGTTGAATATAATTCTGAACCTCACTGCACGTATAACCTCTAGGAACTGGAGCCAAGACCTCAGCTTGGGTCTCTAGGGTCCATGCAAATGGATATTATGTCTCATTTATGCTCAGCACACAGTAAATGCACAGTAAATACTCCTTAAATACAGAAATAATTCTGGGGATACAGTCAGGAAAATAATCTCAAAAGAAAAGAATGTCAGAAGGGAAAAGGAAGGGAAAGTGCAAAAGTTTCTGCTCTCCCTTCTTTTTCCTCTCTTTTTCCCTTCCATTTTTTCCTACAGAATAATTTGGATTGACCATCTACATTGGTTAAAGAAATACACCGACTGACAGTTCCATTCTTCTGTTTGCTTTGTGCAGGCCCTTTGGAATTGACTTTTATGGTCAGTCTCCATTTTCTCTTCTTGTCACTTTCCTCTTGCCTTTTTCACTGTATGCATGAGAGTAAGTTTCTGTTATATTGTTATTTTGGAAGGTCTCTGGCAGGGTGGCAGTAAAATGACACAGCTAAGCGATACAGATTTTAATGACTTAATGCTATCATAATTTCTAATAGAAACATAAGTGGAGACACGAGTGATGTTTTAAACGATATAAAAATGAAAAGTGGATCATAGAAAAGATGTTCATGAGAAATTACTGTGGCAGAGAAGAAGCAAGACAGGTGAGGATAAACTTGATAAAGGTGGGTCCATAAAATAGATGCTATTAGTAAAAGGGAAAAAGTCACAGGAGAGAAAAATAACATTTTGGAAGTATGTCAGAAAGAAAAAAAAATGATGACAAAGGGAAAAGGTGAGCTGGCTTCTTAATAGGGGAAAAGAGCAAATATGAAATTACAGAAAAAGGAAGGAAGGCTTGGCCTGTCTTATGAGCCAGGCTTGGTGACAAAGGGTAGTAGCAAAAAGAATACTTACGGTAATAATAGTCAATGAGGAAAGGCGGCGTGGAGAAGCGGTGCATTTCAGAATATCCAGGGTAGGAAAATCACTGCAGAACACAAAAGGAGAGAATAGAGGCAGTGCAGGCCAGCTGGCAATTATTTTTTAAACCTCATGGAAGACTATTAGGTTCCTAGGAATTTGAAAAGGGAAAGGCAGCTCAAATTTTTTATTTTTAAAAGTTTGATGAAATGTGTTAAAGTAGGTCACAGAGAATACATGGATTTGGTGGGCTTTCTTGGGACGCAGGTAAATTTTGGTGAAGCTAATAAAATGGCTAAGTGACCAACACAGGGCCAGCTTGCCCACTGGCTCAAATATGGGCTTCTAAGGGCCCTGGTTCAGACATCCACCCACTGCCACCTCCCCCTCCCATTGTGTACCACTTCACTTTTTATGACTCCACCAGTGGTAGAGAACCCATATTTCCCCTTATCTTTCTTTCTGTGTACACACGGGGAAGACTGAACTTTCCCTTCCCAATGCAGATGAGCAGGTGCTTGTGTGTCTAGGTGGAAGCATACAAAAGCTGATTCTCCATGGTTTTTTCTTTCTTCCTTTGTGTTTTAAAACTATAGTGTATAAGTAAATCATTTCAGGTGTATTAAGGCCAACAGGTCAGGAAACAATTGCCATAGAAAAGATAGTTTATTACTCCCAGGTCCCAAGAAGGGGACCCCATGTCCCAGGGGGCATATGGGAAGCACTGGGGTAGGTCTTGAGGCACAGGGAGGGAAGGAACTGGGTGGGAAGGAAAGGTGAGGCAGGGTAGGCAGGGTTAGGCTTGGCTACTCTGAGTGATTTGGGCAGGCTCTGGGGCACAGCGGCTGTCCCTAGTTGTCTGGTATCTGGCCCTGGGTGATTAGGACAAGTCTACAGTGGCCCAGAGTGTAAGCCTGATAAAGGAAGCGCTTTAGGGTGTGCACTCTGGATTGGTGGGTTTGTATTAGAGACCGTAACCCCCAGGGAGGAGGAGAACTCCAGAGGAGAGTGGTGGGAGGGTGCAATGGTCTGAATGTTTGTGGCCCCCTAAAATTCCTATGTTGATATCCTAACCCCTAGAGCGATGGTATTAGGAAGTGAGGCTTTGGGGAGGTGATTCAGTCATGAAGGTCGAGTCCTCATGAATGGATTACTGTCCTTTTAAAAAAAGACCCTAGAGAGACCCTTCATTTCCTTCTGCCATGTGAGGTCACAGCCAGAAGACAGCCATCTATAAACCAGAAAGCAAACTCTAACCAGAATGATTATGCTGGCACGCTAATCTTGGATTTTCAGCCTCCAGAATGGTGAGACATAAATTTCTAATGTCTGTAAGCCACCCCATTTGTGGTATTTTGTTATAGCAGTTCTAATGGACTAAGACTGGGGACAGGGCGATGAAGGAAGCAGGAGGCTTAGGCAAGGTGACTGAGGCACATTATTGGGTTGTCTAAGGCAAGGCATCTCTAGCATATGCATGTAGGGCATTGTTAAAACATCAAGTTTTCAGAGATAGAAACATGGTTAATACCCCCTGCCTCGGTGGTTGTGGTTGCATGTGCTGACAAGGGGATGCTAGCTGATCAAAGCAGCTTGGAGTGCTGCTGCAAAAGGCTCAGACCTGGAGAGTGACTTTGCATGAGTGAGAAGTTTGTAAGCCACTGGAGTTTTTTGTCACCAAAGCATAACTTAACTGATCCTCACTAATGTCCCCCCATATCAACTGTGGGAATTCAGTAAGGTAACACAAATAAAGCACTTCCTGATACATAATATCGTCTCAATAGAGTTCATTATTTCCTAATATTTATATGATTTGCCAATATTATTTTTCTTCCTAGACTGCTGTTTCACTTTTCTCTGACATCTGATACATTGATACCCATTTCAAATAAGATCAGCTGACTTGTAATGTATAGCTATGCATGTGCTTTGCATTCTTGACTATATTTATTCTGAGAACAAAAGAGTAAGGCAAGTTTTAATATCCTGCTACTACTGCTACTAATACAATAATAAAAATTATTGTTGTCACTGATGTGTTTCCATTTTGGACATGAGGAAATCAAAGATGAGGGAAGTCACACACCTAGACCAAGGTCATACAGCAGGTAAGTGGCTGAGATAGGATTTAATCCCAACTATGTCAGACTCCAGTCCTAGTCCTAACCACCATGTTATACCATATCCCACTTCCAGGATACATGACAAATTGGAGAACTTCAACGCAGTGAAATACAGAACTGAAAGTGCTGTAACAATTAAGAGCTTTCTTGGCACCAGAAGCAGCCTTCCATCAGCTTCAGTGCTCAGCCTGCATTCCCCCAGGCAGCCTGACCTCCTGCAACCAACCTTGGGAGGAAGTGAACACTGACCGTGCTGCTGGGACAGGACTGTGAAATCATCCTCCACAGCATGCTGCCACATTTCAGGATAGCTGCGTTGTGCTCTTTCGCATTCTGCTTCCTCTCTTCCAACCTGACTTCAGTCTCTCCCTCGCATACATACCACTGCTTGCCTACTGCTTTCTGCCTTTACTGCCTCCACTATAGAAGTAGAAAGCTGAATTCACTGCTCAATCTCTGTGAAAGCTAGTGGTGTCCACGGAAGCAGCTCTGGACCATGGGACACAAAGGGAGATCTGATGGGGGATGCCTGGGAAAGATATTTCACTTTCTGATGAAACAGATAGGTGCAAGAGGAGACATCTCTGATAATGCCATTTCCCCTTCTCCCTGTCCTGAGAACAGATGTGATACCTGAAGCCACTGCAGTCATCTTGCTACTATGAGGCAATGAGCCTACGGATAAAAAGCGCAGAGTTGTCAGTGACAGCATGAACCATACGAAAGAGCCCACGTTCTAACCTTATCACAGAGCAGCTGCACAACAAAACAGCAACCACCCGTCCCCTGGCCTCTTGTTAGGCAAGAAGAACAAACCTTTCCTTGCTCAATCCACTATTAACCAGATTTTTCTCTTATTTTCAGCAGAGTGTGTTCCTAAATTATATACCATATCATTATAAGTTTTCATATATATCATAAAATAACATAATTGGAATTTATCCTAATTTACATATCTAATTTCCAATTTTGGATAATTTAGATTATGCCAATGTTTTAACTAATTTAAATAATCCCATGTTGGACATCTTTGTATATAAAGTCTTTTTCATATTTATAATTTCACATTTTCTTTAGTCAGGATTAACTTTCTGTAGTAATTTAAGGCTTTTTATACATATTGTTGAAAAGCTTTACAAAATGTTTGCACCAGTTCTTGGCATTCTGTCTTTTTAAACACTGTACTGTAGTGTGTAGACCCCATACCTGCTTCGTAAATGAAGGAAGCAGACAACCTGAGCAAATCAAAATGAAACTCTGCCAGACTAAATTTTATGCATTTCATCTAAGAAAAAAACTGCCTTGATATGTGTTTCAATGTGTTTGAAAAGTATAAAAGAATAAAACCTTATATAAAAGAGGCATTAATATTATATAACAGTTGTATATAAATGGGTTTTTCTTATATTTACAAAGGTGAATGCTCTGGTGAGGGATTGCAGATGCATTAATTTGATTAAAAGACTTAAACAGAATCACAGTTTTTGTCTTGGGACAGATCTTGGGGCTCTTTTTGGTACATTCTACTGGTACAGGGTAGAAGGATGGAATGGAAGTGTTGGATGACATGTACCTGGTGCATGGACCTTCAAGGGTGCTTTTCATATACTTCTCATTTCACTGTAATATTTAAATTATCGCATCACTATTTCCATTTTACAGAGAAAGAAACTGAAGCATGGCCAAGTTAAATGCCTTGCCCAAGGTTGCAGCAACAGTTTATGGCATTTCAGGGATCCTAGCATCGGTCGGTTTGTCTGATTCCCACATCTCTGCACCACCTATGCCTCCTCATCTATACAAATTGGGAAAGTGATATGACTCATCCCATGCAGAGATGGGTCAAGAACCCAGTACCTCATGTCCTGTGCATTACATTGGAACTTTCAAGGAGATAGTTAAGACACAGTGAATGAAATTTAGCAAAGACAACCTTTATAGATATTTTGATTCACCAAGTGACACTGATGGTGTTGGATTGTTAACAGTTGGGTCACATGTTCCTCACCCAGTTTGGGGGATGAAGTCAACTTGAGGAAACTCCAAAAAGACCTTTATGATAATGAAGGATTTCCTCAAGGAAAGAATGCCTCAGGCAAGCAGTACTGTGAGGCCAAGCCATTTAAATACAGTCTCAAGTCCAAAAGATCTGTACTCAAATCCCAGCCCACTCTGCGCTAACCATAAGACCCTGGACAAGTTATTTAAACCTTTCTGTGTCTCAATTTCCCAGCTTAGAAATTGGTATAAGGATGGTGTGTAACACATCAGGTTTT
This sequence comes from Homo sapiens, assembly GCF_000001405.40. NCBI lineage: Eukaryota > Metazoa > Chordata > Mammalia > Primates > Hominidae > Homo > Homo sapiens. The sequence goes on from NC_000001.11 coordinate 95,624,812, forward strand.
CAGGAAAATTAAAAGAGACCAAAAATGCAGCCTCTGGCTCATATGTGTTAAGTGTTCATTAAATCAGACAAGTCTTACATGAATAGACAATTCTCAAAAGAAGATACACAAATGGCCAACACACATATGAAAACATGCTTAACATCACTAATTATGAGGGAAATGTAAATCAAAACCACAATGCGATACCACCTTACTCCTGCAAGAATGGACATAATCAAAAAATCAAAAAATAATAGATGTTGGCGTGGATGTGTTGAAAAGGGAACACTTCTGCACTGCTGGTGGGAATGTGAGCTAGCCCAACCACTATGGAAAACAGTGTGGAGATTCCTTAAAGAACTAAAAGTAGAACTACCATTTGATCCAACAATCCCACTACTGGGTATCTACCCAAAGGAAAATAAGTCATTATATGAAAAAATACTTGCTCACTCATGTTTATAGCAGCACAATTCACAATTGCAAAACTGTGGAACCAACCCAAATGCCCATCAGTCAACAAGTGGATGAAGAAACTATGGCATATAAATCAGATAAGTCTTAGATTGCAATGATGTTGTAACTGGATCCAATCACTTACTTACTCCCTTAGTGAACTTTATCCTGAATCTGTTTGCCACTTCTCTGCTGGTCCCTGCCTGTGTAAACACCATGACTCTGGGTTCTGCTCAGCAGACTGAAGGGAACACAACTATGATGATTCTCTATGCTGTACTTGGAGAAGGCTGGTTAGTCATAAGTTTTAAAGCAGGTCAGTATGGTGGATTTCCAGTCTGCCAGCCTCCTTTGCAGTGGGTTGGGACCGAGTGACGGCTTCTGGCAAATGAACTGTGAGTGGAAGTGACATGTATACTTCTGAGTCTGAGTGGTTAACAGCCAGTTAGGTGCCTCTCCTATCTGTCTCTTTTCTTGTTGAGGTAAAGCCACATGTTCCAGGTGGTCTAGCTATAAGATAGACAATGCCTATCTGTCACTGAGAATTCGGGGGTTATTTGTTTTGTTGTTTGTTTTTGTAAAGACAAGGTCTTGCTATGTTTCCCAGGCTGGTCTTGAACTCCTGGCTTCAAGTGATCCTCCTACCTTGGTGTCTCAAAGTGCTTGGATTACAGGTGTGAGCCACACCGCCCGGGCTCGAGTTACTTATTACTAAACAAAGATTCGGCAAGTGGTTCTCAAAGTGTGGTCCAAGAACCCCTAGGTGTTCCTAAGACACTTGTGTAGGGTTTGCTAAGTGAAAACCATTTTCATAATAATGCCATGATGTTGTTTACCTTTGCCACTCTCATTCCGTCATGATTATATAGCAGAGTTTTTCCAGATGATTTAAGATGTGTGATAATGTCATTTCTCTTACAGCTAATGACATGTATCCTTGTATATTCTTGTGTTAAAAATTGTTTCTGTTTAATTTCTAATGTGATAAATATTAATAGGTAGAACATATATAAACAAAAGTTCTTTGAGAGTCCACAATAACTTTTTTCAAAAATGTAATGGGATCTTGAGACCAAAATATTTGAGAACCACTAGATTAGTTAGTTCTACTTTGCCTAATACAGAAATTATATGGGCAATTTGGAGTGGGATATAGTGATCCTAACCTCTTTTGGTTTAAATCAATTTTAAAATTAATTTTCAAAGCTTTTTTATGAGAGAAGTACAGAATAAAAAAATTAATGCATTTTAAATTCAATAAAGTTATTTTGGTGGGGCATACTGAAAGACATTGAGCATTGAAGGAATAGTTAGAAGATAAGTGTGGAATTTGAAAGCCTGGATCATAGAAAAATTAATGATACACAGAAGAAGAAATTGTATAGCAGGCACATTTTATTGCTGAGCATATTAGTCAAATGTCGGTTGATAATTTCTACCCATAACATTAGCAAGAATTTTAGTGAATAAACTATGCAAAGGCATATAAGTTTAGAAGACTAGCTATGCTCTGTTTTTCCTAATTGTTAAAGCAAAGGGATTAAGATTTTATGAATACCTGTTTCCTGCTGTATATTTTATGTATATTACTAATAATTAGTAATCCTTACAACCCATAAAAATGAATTTTAATTACAACTGCCATTTTATGGATGAAACTGACCTTCACAATCAGAATCAGAATTTTAAAATGAAAAACTTAAAAATTTAAAAAAATTAGAATTTAAACTTAGATTTTTTTTTTTGCTCCAATACCTTCACTTCTTCCATAATGCCAAGCTGACCTGATAAAATCAAGTCAGAAATAAACAGAGATTGAATTATCATGAAGGAACATGAGCATCGGAATTTTTCTGACATTTTGCTTTTCAACAATTTTCCCAAAATGCCATTTCTGCCTCCATATACCTTAGTTCAAGGTTTGGGCAGGGATTTGTTGCTCATTACTCTTTCTTCAGATTCCATTCAAACATCTTCAGTGTTTTTTAATTGCCTGCAACCATTTAAGGCTCTTCTTTATTAATTCAGTCACCAAGTATTTATTAAGTTCTTACTACCTAGGAGATACTGTTCTAGATGCTGGAGATACAAAATAAACAAAATCTACAAACATCTCTGCTCTCTTGGCGCTTACATCAGAGAGGGAGCTGAGAATAAACAAGATAAATATACAGAATGCATGTGTCAGACAGTGATAAGGGCTAAGGAGAACAATGAGTCAGAGAAGGGGATGTGTGGGAGTCAGGGGAGGGAGGGTGCCATTCTAGACACGCGGACCAGAGTAGGTCTCAATGGGAAGGCGACATGTCAAAAAAGGTGTAAGAAATTGAGGGAGCTGCATGGGTATCCACAGGGAAAGCCTCCAGGAAGAGCGAATGCTAGCCACGAAGGCTTCGAGGTGGAAGCTGCAGGGAAAACAAAGAGGCCACCCTTGGTTGAAGCTGAGTGAAGGAAAGCTCACTTAGCTTCCTTGTAAGGTCCTTGTAAGGATTTGGGCTTTCCTATGAGCAAGGTGGGTGCTGGTTTAGTATTTTGTGCTGAGGAAAGACATGATCTGCCTGGTGTTTTAACAGAACCATTCTGGTTCCTTTGTTGGGAATTCTGTGTACAGAGGGCAAGGGAAGAAGCAAAGAGACCTGGTAGGAAGATATTGAAGAAATCCAGGTGAGAGACGATGTGACACAGGCCAGAGTGATGGCAGCAAAGGCAATGATGAGAAATGGTCAAATTTTGGTTTTTAAAATAATTGTTTGTTGACATCAGAGAAAGAAAGGAGTCAAGAGTAACCTTAAGATTTTTGGTCTGAGCATCTGCAAGAAAATCAATTGTATGCAGAAGGGTGGAGGAGAAATAGGCTTGGTGGAGAGTACCAGGAACTCAGCTTTAGCATTTGCTGTAGACTGAATGTTTGTGTCTTCCCCAAATTACTGTGTTGAAATCCTAACTTTCAATGTGATGGTATTAAGAGGCAGGGCCTTTGGGAGGTAATTAGGTCATAAGGCCAGAGCCCTCATGAATAAGATTGATGCCCTTATTAAAGAGGCCCCAGAGAGACTCCTTGTCCCTTTCACTATGTGAGGACACAGTGAGAAGGCACTGTCTAAGAGGAAGTGGGCCCTCACCAGACACTGAATGTGCCTTGATCTTGGACTTCTCAGCCTCCAGAACTGTGAGAAGTCAATTTCTGTTCTTTATAAGTCACCTGGTTTGTGGTATTATGTGACAGCATCCCAAATAGATCAAGATAATACTCTTAATTTTGTGATGCCCATTAGGCTTCTACGTATAGATGGCAATTGGATGTACAAGTCTTGAGTTCAGGGTATGCAGTGGAGACACAAATTTCAGAGTCATCTGAATAAAGATAGCATTTAAATCCACAAGAGTAGATGAGATCATAAAGGATGTGATTGTGAATAGAAAATGGAAGCTGTCCAAGGCCTGAGCTGTATTATTTAAAGGGGAGAAGAGGGAATGACCTGGAGAAGGAAAATCCGTCTAAAAAGGAGCAGCCAGTAAGGTAACACTTCAACTTATCTTTCTCATAATTTTGTTATTCCATCTACTCCTCCACAGTTTCCATGGGATCCACCCACATGGTTCAAATTGGTCACATCTTTTCTTGCCTTTATATCCTCTCTAATGGAATGCTTTATGTGTGGCATGATGCCAACTACTTTTTTCTGACATGACTTTGAACTGGTCCGTCTTCAAAGACCATTTTCAATGCCTTTCTTTTTAAAATTTTTTAAAATTTGAGGTTAAATATACATATGTAATTTACCGTCTTTATTATTTTTAGGTGTACAGTTGAGTGTTAATAAATACCTTTATATTATTTTTCCCCTTCAACCCCTCCCACTTTCCAGCCTTTAGTAATCACCACTCTACTCTCTAGCTCCATGAGATCTACTTTTTAAGCTTCTGCATATGAGTGAGAACCTGTGATATTTGTCTTTCTGTGCTTGGCTTATTTCACTGAACGTAATGGCCTCCAGTTCCATCCATTTTGCCACAGATGACAGGATTTCATTCTTTTTATGGCTGAATAATATTTCATTTTGTATGATATGGTTTGGCTGTGTCCCCACCCAAACCTCATCTTGAATAGTAGTTCCCATAATCACCACGTGTCATGGCGGGGGACCCGGCAGGAAGTAATTGAATCATGGGGGTGGTTACCTTCATGCTGTTCTCGTGATAGTGAGTGAATTCTCATGAGATCTGATGGTTTTATAAGGGGATTTTCCCCACTTCGCTCCGCACTTCTCCTTCCTGCTGCCATGTGAAGGAGGATGTGTTCGTTTCCCTCTCTGCCATGATAGTAAGTTTCCTGAGGCCTCCCTAGCCATGCGAAACTGTGAGTCAGCTAAACCTCTTTATAAATCACCCAGTCTCCAGTATTTCTTCATAGTGCATGAGAATGGACCAATTCATTGTATATGTACCGCATTTTCTTTATTCATCTATTGATGAGCACTTAGGTTGATTCCCTATTTCAGCTATTACGAATGGTGCTGTGATAAACACAGGAGTGCAGATATCTCTTTGATACATTCACTGCCTTTCTTATATCCCCCAATTTTTCCCTTTTTTGTACCAACTGCTGCATTTTAAAAACAACTGATATATAGCAATTCCACATACCTTTGTGTACATATTTGTTACTTATCTAAACAGTAAGCTTTTTTGTAGTTAAGGACTGTGCCACCTTGCAGAGTACCTTGCCTACTTATTGAGAAAAAATAAATTTTGTTGAACAATCATTGGACAGATGTGGACAGGATGAAGATGCGAAGAAGCAGGATGTATGCAGGCCCAAAACAAATAAATAAATGAATGTCTAAATAATAACTTCATTTGGATCTAAAAATTATGTGTTGCTGTGGAAACAGATTTGTCATTACATTCCTGTACTAATAGACAATATAAGTTGTGATCGATCTGCTTGTGGTATAGCATGGACCCCCACTGCTATACTGCCTTTTGATTTTTAAATTCTCCTTAAAATCTGGTAATTGAAAGAGAATTTTAAAAAACTGAAAATCAGACATGGCACTAGAATAATTTTAATAATATAGGAGATACAATCTAGTTATCCATAGACAAATACTTCCCTAATCTATTTATAAAATGAAATCATAAACATTTGACCTACTGTCCAAATTTCAGTTTGCAGATATGCATTTGCTTTGTTTGCAGGGTCCTGCACCCTCCTTTGGCAACAGGCCCCTCTGCTTCCTACAGTTTGGTCCAGGGCCATTTTACACATTTACTTTATCTATTGTAGGCAGTCCACTGGGTTTCTCAGCTCCATTTATGTATTATTAGCGTTCCACCATTTATGTGGAATACGTCAGAAATTAATAGTACCTTGGAGTTGTGCAATGCAATAGGCCATCCGTTTAGCTCCTGAAGACATTTGAATGTGTGACCTTTGTTTAAGTAAATAAATAACACATAATTATTTTAACTTTAAAAAAAAATCAAGTCCTACCATTACCTTGTAAATAATGTACCTTAAATGTTAATTGGGTTAGGAAAACCACTAGAAATGAGGAATAGGAAGATTCTGACCAGATGTATGCAGGCCCAAAACAAATAAATAAAAAAAGGCAAATATTGTAAAACTTCAAAACAGGCTTATTCAGGAATGAAAGTTTTACTTTTGATCTTCATTATTGACTGGCTTGATTGCCTTGTTTCTACTTTAGGTTCTTTCTTGCCCTGGAGACTCAATGATTTTATGTCTAGTGGTTCATAAGTCACAAAATATCTGGAATTAGGTGGTAAGTATTTTTCTTTCCATAGTGCAAGCCTATAAAACCTCAGCAGTTTGTATTTTGAGGCAATCAAAACTAAATGGAGTCCTGCATAATTTGCTTCCTCTTCCTAATGTTTCCATAAAAACAAAATACTATAGACGACCCCTGAAATATAGAGACCTTTTCCTTTCTGAATGTAAATGGAATGAAAATTAGCTTGAACAATCTCCCTACATCTATATATATATTTAAACATAAAAAATACCACATTTCACTTTGCTCACGTACTATACAATGATTAGAAATTTTAAAAATATTTGAGTAGTTACTCTTTTTAAAGATAAAAAGCCAACAACAACAACAAAAAACCTTTTGGATAACTTGAGATTTTTAGGGAACCAAACTAATGATAGATCATTACTATTGTGTAAACTACCTTCAAAATATCTCTGAAAATGAAAGAGATGGGAGATAAAACCAGCAAAGCCTCAGAACTTTTTATTAAATCACCCATCTTTTCATTTCTACATCATATGAATAGTCAGCCCTTTTGCTGCTAGCACAAAATGACCCTACAACGTTCACAATGGCTTTTCCTATCCTTTTATTATAAAAAATACCTCTCCTTCCTTTTCACCTTCTGGGAGACTTTTGGCCCTAGAACTTCTAGAAAACTTGAAAAAAAAAAAAGAATCTGAAGGAAGAATGGAAGCTGACTTTGCAGATCTGGCCATGGCTTGGGTGATAGGCTCTGACACTGAGTTAAGGAACATTATTTTGATGGGAGATGTTATTTTTAGAGCCAGACATGGTGCTTTAGAAGAGATGGAAACAGACAGCGCCTTTCTCCTAAAGTGTCGGCACTTTGATTTGTCCAGGACAACATTCATGCGAATGAGGCCTGGAGAGTGTAGCTGGCAGGCAAATCAGCATAATGAAGCTCCCAGCAGAAGGGGGCTTTCAGAAGCTAGTTGAAGATGAAGCTAGAAGGGCCTCAGGGTAGGAGATTATTCAAAAATTAAGAAGGCAGCTGAAAATAAGGCATAGAGAGCTGGGGAACCTAATGGAAGTTGCTCTGGGGAAATAAAAAAGACTGAGAAGGTCAGGTGTGACTACATATGAAAGAAAATAAGGTACAAATACCTAATGCATGAGGGGCTTGAAACCTAGATGACGTGTTGATAGCTGCAGCAAACCACCATGGCACATGTATACCTGTGTAACAAACCTGCACATTCTGCACATGTATCCTGAGACTTAAGTAAAATAAAAAAAAAAAATTTTAAGATGAAAAAAAAAGAAAAAAGTAAGGACAAGGGTGAAAGTAAGAAAGGATTTAAAGAGACTGACAGCTGCAAGAGAAAGCCCAGTGGAATCAAATGACTTGGGAACATAAATGGCATATCCTGATTGAACTACTTGATGAGTGATGTCTATTTTCTAGAATTTTATGTTAGGCAGAGCAGGGATAATATAAATTAGGTTAACATGCATGCTCTCGGTTAGATATTAAGCAAAATAAGAACTCAGAACTTCTTATCTGCAAATAAAGTGACTGGTCAGGAGAGCATTAGGATTGTCTTCCAAGGTACAAACTCTGTATTATGAAGACCAAGAGGAGAATCTTTGTGGAAATGACTAGAATAAGCCTAATTTATTTATGAGTTAAATATCTAAAATATACACTAGTGAGAAAAAGATTGCTTATGAACTCACCAAAGTAAAAATGTTTTTGGAATAGTGATGAAGATTTTCCCATCTATATTTCAAAGAGTGATTGTTACTAGTTCCTGAGAAAAACTGGGAAGAAGCCAAAGGTAGAATAACGTAGGAGAAAGGCATGATTTTTAGTGTAGCAAGTAGATGTATGATTTGGCTATTAGGGGAGAAATTGATAAAATTCAATCACCTGCCTATAACAGAAATAATAATGCAAATGGATTTAATTGGCTTAATTCAAAGGGTTCAAATGGATGCAGAATAACTGTAGAACACTTTCTAAAAGCAATAAATTTACCATAATTTCATACATTCACCAGAAGAATTTAAAATTAACTAAAATGTGACCTTACAAGGCCTGAAAGTCCCATTATTCAATTTGCTTATTATAATGGTTAGAAATAATCCTTGTCTAAATAGATGATGGGGCTAGATGACATAGCCTATGGAGCCAATAAGTATCCTTTTAATTGCATAATGTCCAATGAAATATATTAGACCATTTGTGTTTGCAATGTGTTGAAACAATTTGATGTTATATTTGCAAACTCATTGGCATTGGATGGTGTTTTTCCTTGTTTAAGAATGTTTCTAATAAAATTTCAGATTAAAAAGATAGAATTTAATACTAAAAATTTTAAGGGAAAGCTTTATACATAAGCTGATGAATATTTAATATTTGGATGCTACTCACATTGAGATATTGAGACATGGGAGGGAAAACACTTTCAATACTTCAGAATACAACAGGAAAGTCTAATGACTATACTGCTAGAAAACATTTGAAATTTTTTAACATTATGAATTTTTAGGTTATGATGGTTAATACTGAGTGTCAACTTGATTGCATTGAAGGATGCAAAATATTGTCCGTGGGTGTGTCTGTGAGGGTGTTGCTAAAGGAGATTAACATTTGAGTCAGTGGGCTGAGGAAGACAGACCCACCCATAATCTGGGGGGCACAATCTAATCAGCTGCCAATGAATATAAGGCAGGCAGAAAAATTTGAAAAGGTGAGACTGGCCTAACCTTCCAGCCTACATCTTTCTCTTGCGCGGAATGCTTCCTGCCCTTGAACATCAGACTCCAAGTTCTTCAGTTTTGAGACTTGGACTGTCTCTCCTTGCTCCTCAAGCTTGCAGACAGCCTATTGTGGGAACTTGTGATGGTGTAAGTTAATACTTAATAATCAGTTGGGCCACCAAGCAGCTGGTTGGCTTCTGTTCATCTTCACTTTTTAATCTAGGAGTATCTTTAGTTAATAGTTGCGTGGAAAATGAGCCAACTGCAAATATTTAGAGGCAAATTTTAGGGGCACTAGTAAAGACATATTATTAAACGTGGTTATGTGCCAGGTAATACAGAATTGACACAAAAGGAACCTAAGTGTTGGGGTCATTGGGCTTAGCAGAAGACACACATGGTCTCTTTTTGTCCTCATGACACTTAGTGTGGGAGCAAATATCTTCATGTCATATATGAGGCAACTGAGGTTTAGAAAGGGTAAAGAACTTTCTTAAAGTTCCAGTCCTGGTATGTGAAGGAGTCAGACTTAACTGAGATCCATGGTTTAGCCACCACCGAGCTTGCCTCAGTGTGAATTTACTCCCGGTGGCAGACAGTTGATCAAGGTGGACGTAAAAGAAGCATATTGTTGAGGAATCACTAGAGCTGGTGCTAGTAGTTATAGAAGTGGGGTAAGTAATTGCATGACAGGGACATATTCCTTTCTTAACACTGTTTGGTAGTTTCCATAACACACTCTAGATTATTATGCGTCAGGCACCACACCTGATACGGAGATACAGTGGTGAAGAAAACAAAGCTTTTGGTTTTATATAGCTTATAACCTCAGGCCTGCCACCCTCTTGGTAAAACCGATCTCTTGCCTACATGTGACCTACACCCTTAGTCTTATGCCATAAAGCTCTTGACCACATTCTGTACCTCATTCAGCCTGCCTTCCTTCCATCTTCCCTCCTATATCTGGCTGGCCCCTGGCCCTCACCAAGGCAGTTGACTGACCTGGGGTCCCGTGGGAAGGTCTAGACAGGGCCACCTAATGAGTTCATGGGTCCTGGGTGCTTCTGCCTTCATGGGCCCCTCTTCTATAAACATCACAGTAAAAATTATGTTTCATGACTGAGTTGATATCCAGATGACTCTATTAACATTACATGCTAAACTATTTTCTTTAACCTAAATGGTTTTTTTTCTTCTGTTTTTAAAACAAATTAACACATTTTCATGGACCCCTAAAAGTATTGCAGGCCCTAGGTCCTGCATCTACTGTGCCTAATGGATTCACTGGTTGTGGGTCTAGTCACCAACTGGCAAAAGCTGTTGCTGACCTGAAAGTCAGACAAAATTAGTCAATAGGTACCCTCTTTGATTGATTGTGATCTGTCTGTGAGTGACTTTTCTGGGAGTTTAAGACTTCTGCCCTTTTGCTTTGACTGCTATAATCATCACTCAGTTGTCACTTGGTAATTGCCTAATTATATTATTTGGTGATAAGTGAAGTTTTTAAGCGACAAACTCTTCCAAACAGCTGTGATTGAATTTGTTTTTGATACTTTATTTAATTTACAATTGCATTTGTAAAATCAGAATTAGTCTAATTTATTTAATGACCCCCATCACAGGCTGTAGGATATTTTCTGAGGGCTTTTAATTATACATGAATCAACACCATAATTTTAGAAGGGTTCAAGTGAAGTAGGCATTCACATAATTTCCACCATTGGTTCTCAGCTAACAATTTAGTAATTTCCCCCTGCTACAGTAAAAATCTTCTTAATAAATACAAAATGTTTTTCCAAAAGGTTGAATTCATCTAGTAATTTAGAGATCTATCTTTCTCTTTTAAAGTTTTGGAATCTAGTTATTGACTTTTTCTATTCTGTTCTCAGGATAAATATATTTCTTTGAATGAAGTTAATGATGTTATGACTGATCCTGAACAAAAGGTTAAGTTCTTATAAGGACCAGAATTGAATTTTTGGTTAATTTGTTAAAGTGGTTTCATCTATGCTTTTGTTTTTCCTCCAAACTTAAGTGTCCCTTAATTAGCCTTACCTTAAAGGGAATTTGCATTACATTTCACTCTTTTAGGGAGACCATGATGATGACATTTGGAAGCATCTCAGGAGACAAGAATAAAACGCCATTTTTTTTCCCACTTCGCTAACAACTCAGTGTTCTGAAAAGTCTGGAATGTGCTATGAAAAGTTTGTGTGCTTAGTGAAATGTTGTACAATTGGCCAATCCACTAAGTCTTGGGAAATGTCTTAGGAGCTTGGCAAGAAGAAGTTCTCAAGAGAGCCTGAATGCTGCCAGTTTCCAATTGGCCAAGACACATTACAAGGACAACTGTCTCTCTGAGCAACCTGGCATTTCCACTCCAATTGGAATCTGCAAGGGGAAGATGCGCAGGGGAAGAAGATTAAACAAACCTTTTCAGATTTCTGGTCCAGGTGAATTTTTCATTTATCTGGTGTGCTTCACTCTTCTTTTGATCACTGACCATTTCCAATATTAGGGAACACTGGACACATTGCAGGTTCATTTTTAGAACTGATCAACAGCCAAGGAAAATGCAAGATGAGTGAACTGATCTATCTTTATACATAAACACAAGGCGTTTAACCTGCCTGAACAGTTCAAATTGTTGCTAATAAAATTTTAGATCTGCTCTGTGAGGCAACCTGCCTGTCACGTTGGCTGTTGCTCAAGTAGCTCCCACCCTCGATGCATGTTTAGGAAATGTGACAGCTGTGCTCTTTGCCTGGCTGCTTCCATTTATGAAAACATGGGGGTAAATGGCAGTCACCCCCATAGGCCATTTACTGTGAATCTTCTTTTCTAGGCACAGCCAAGACTAAATGCCCCCAACAGAATCGAATAACAGTCATTCAGGGCCTACCTCAAATAGGTTTAATTTGCTTTTTACAAAAAAAGGCCTCAGGAAATTAAAAAATTTGCCTAATTGGAATTCTAAAAAACATAGTTTTTTTTTTCTTAAAACAATACCCATTTTATGTGATTTTAACATATCCACTTCTGATGGTAGCTTCTCTAGGGAAGCAAGACAAAAATATCCAATTACACCAAGTAAAATTTGCCACCTAAAGTTTATCTTCTGGGTATGGCTGGGGAGGGATTATAGGGCTTGGAGCCCACACATGCCCCTTTGGCAAATCTGATCTCATTCTATCTTGTAAGCATTGTCAGTGGTGTCATCTCTGAAAAGAAAACCTAGTGGCAGATGAGTTGAGACAGTTCCTTCAGTGTGGGTTATTAATTTATCTTTGTCTGTAGAATACTGGTTTCCTTTATCACCATGCTCTTCCTGTCCCTGCATCTTTCAAAGTGCTCCTGGGATTTTGCTTATGCTGTGTGATGCTTATCAGAGTGGTCTCTGCCCTATCTTGTGCAGTCAGCGCAGAAAGGGAGCCAGGGAGATTCTGGGGCAAGCCCTGACACATTTCCCATGTTCCCATCTTTGCCCATGTTCCCATCTTTGCCCATGTTCCTATAGTCTGAAAGCCATGCTTTGAAAACTCCCCCTTCCCCTGCCTTTTTAGTTTCTATTACAGTGTCACTATTGTGAATCCCTGGGCCACCACAAAAATACTAGTGTAATGGGGCTTAAGCAAGTGAAGGCTTCTATCAGATGACTGGAGATCAATATGGAAATTTCATGCACTGCTCCTAATAGGTCTCATTACTCTATGAGCAGACATGCATATCTACTTTTTTTGGATGGGATGCTTTGAGCAGAGCTCTTCTTGCATGTAATGAGTGATGAGTGAATAAGTGAAAGGAGAATCCCAGTGAACAACACCTCTGTCTGCTTTCATGTCTTTGATGAGCACCAGGAGGCTTTCCCAGATTGTCCCACTGGTGTTCACTCCAGTGTTTTATCACACAAATTATCCATTTCCATTAGTACATATATTTATACCCCTCCTAGGTGCCAGGCATTTTGTTAAAATGTCAACCTCCAGACCAGTAATTCAGTGTCTCAGGCATCAGAAATCAACATGGAGAGATGGTGAACCCAGCAGACAATCCTAACAGCAGGTGGAAAGTGCTTTGCTAGAGGCATCGCAAGGGCTGGTGGGAATACAGAAAGAGCACCTGGCCCTGACTAATGAGGTTAGAAGAGATGCCACTTTAATTTTAAAAATTAATTGGCATTAGCAGTGAAGAATATAAAGAAGGGAGTAGTAGGAAGGAGAGAGAGATTGGCATTTTGAAAGCATAGAGACTTGAAGCTTGAAGAACTAAAAGCAAATGAACAAGATCTTCATTGTATCAAGATTAGGTATCTGCTGTTTTTCTACATCTCATCTCCTTCTGTTGGATAATCTTTGGAGATGAGGCCTAATTGGCCAGCATTTCCCACATAGACATCTTCATATGTTTATGGTCACTTCTGGTCTCTACACTTGAAGAGGGAGACAGGAATAGTGACTTTTGCTCAGAAGGAAGAAGACAATTTGTGAGAGAAGTTAAAATTGGGTCATAAAGCAGATGCCTGAAGGAGGTGGTGGTGTTTGGTCTGGAGAAATGACAACTCAAGGGGCTTCAAACCTTTGAAGGATTATTGTTCAGAAGATGGATTAGTCCAGGTTTGACAGTGTCCCACAATGCCGCCATGTTTCTTATCAGACATCAATAATTAAACAAAGCCTTTGTTCCCTTCAAACACCAGATGCAGCCTCACAATCCCCCTCAGCAAGGTGCTTTCAGCAGTAAATTCTGTACCGTAACTCGGATTAAAGTTTTTCGCCATTCTTAGATTGGACAGGAACTGTGTGTTCCTGAGGGTTCAACTGATACCAATGGGTAAAAGATATAGGGATTCAACTTTAAAAACTGTCAGAGTTGACCAGTGATGGACTAGGTCACTCCTAGGCTTAGTGAGTTTCCTAATATGAAAGGTTTTCAGATATATATATTAGAAAAAATGTATCATATAAATTTTTGTGATGTCTCACTCTCCCAAACCTAGCCTTTTGGTGAGAAGGGCCAGAAAGTAACTGTCTCTGAGAAGCAGTGAGGTCAGAGGTACCCCATGTCTAGGGATGACTGGTGTCTTCTTTGGGTCACAGTGGCAGCACTCCGGTAGAGCTCCAAAGCGGAAGATGCACCAAGGGAAAGGCTGAACTCCAGGCAAAGGGTTTTCAGTCTTGCCATGGTGTTTACTGTGGGACATGTGGAAAGAGCACCACTTTTTCAGGGACCACTAGTGGTTTAAAAAATTGGGACATTAGAGGCAACTGTGACAGGCTGGAGAGTCATGGCTTTTACCCCTTTAATCTCCTGAACTCTAAAGTGACCCTGAGAGAAGAAAGGGCCTTCAGTAATGGTGACAGAATTTCCTGCCAGCCAAATAGGCATGAGGCTTAGAGTCAGATTTTATTTTACTTAGATGAAAAAAAAAAAAAGATTTCTTCTACATGTACTTTTGTTTAGTGGCTAAGGTTTGCAACTATTACAATATGACCAATAATCATTGGCCAGGGGCTGGGTGCAGTGGCTCACGCCTGTAATCCCAGCACTTTGAGAGGCTGAGGTGGGCGGATCACCTGAGGTCAGGAGTTCGAGACCAGCCTGGCCAACATGGTGAAACCCTGTCCCTACTAAAAATACAAAAAATTAGCCATGCATGGTGCGTGCCTATAATCCCAGCTACTCGGGAGGCTGAGGCACAAGGATTGCTTGAACCTGGGAGGCAGAAGTTGCAGTGAGCCGATATCATGCTACCAGCCTGGGTGACAGAGCAAGACTCTGTCTCAAAAAAAAAAAAAAAAAAAAAAAAAAAAAAATCCTTGGTGAGGAAGTCATCAAGGAGATTCAAACATTGAAACCAGTGTGGACTACTTAAATTGTCAAGTCTCTCTCAATTCTGAGATGTTATACTTTTTTGATTCATGAAATTTGTAATCAATCATTTTCTTTACTCTTATTTAAGCAGAACAACTCTAATTCCTTCTATTCTACCTCATATGATGTGCAAGATATCTTCATTTACCTTTTGCACATGGCTTGTAAGCTTTAACAATAATTTCAAATTCTTTTAAATATACGGTTCCCCAAATCTGATACTATCGGCTAAGCATGGCCCCAAATTCTGCATCTATGAAATGCAGCAATTAGTAGCACCGGCTCAAGGACAGATTCACTGTGAAATTAATGAAGCTTCACTTCAGGGCTCCTCTCACATTTTCTGGGACTCTTCCAAGACCTTAGGAGCAGGGTTGTTAAATTTAGCAGATAAAAAGATATGGGATACCTAGTTATGTTTGAATATCAGATTCAAGTATATAATAAATGAATACTATATATATATATATATATATATATATATATATATAGTACAAGTATGTCCCAAATTTTTCATGAGACAATATTATACTTAAAAATTATTCACTTTTTAGATGAAATTCGAATTTAACTAGGAGTCCTGTATTTTATCTGGCAACCCCAGCAATAGAGCATTAGTAATTTTTTATTTTTCTTCTCAAAGACGGAGGCCAAATTGGTTAAGCTCTATGCCCCCAAACCTGGATTCTCTTGTGTCCTTAAAGCACGAATAACTTAAAGCACATTACCATTATTAAAACTACCATGGTTATTGCTGTTGTTTTAGGAGAAATATGCCTCGATAAAGAAAGGCCACATTTTATGGCCTTTGCTGACATATTCAGCTTAGGATGAACCAAGAACAGCAGCTCTCTTTTTCCTCACTCATGTTTAATTACTTTTTCTGTCTTGAAAATTCCATTTGCGTTAGGCCCTCTCTATTCACAGCATTTTAATTAATCTGTAGCATGTTCCTAGCCACATTCCTCACCACTGCTTCTCCTTTCAATAGATAAAGCGAATAAATGTAACTTCGAGTCAGAAACAGGATTCTCTCACTCATGCGAAAGCCTGTGAAAATATTATTGGAATACTCACAAAAAGAAAAGGAGAAAGAAAAGAAATTGTATTCTAAGGCCAATTGTCTGCTTTATTTTTATAGCTCAATGCCATTTTTATGATTTTTGAATAGCCGAAGAGGTCTTTCTCCTTTCCCCTGTATTTTAACCCACTAGTCATTTATGAGACCTGCATCAGCTCACTTCACCCTGGGCAGTAGCTCTATGGATGTCCATTTCTGACAATTAGCCAAGTTTTCTCTGGCTGCTTGCCACAGGGAACTGCTTGTCAAACAGGAACAATGAAACTCTATTTTAGCCAAGCTAGTATTTACCTAGCTCACCACCACTCTACTCCTATCAACTTAAGTTCCCATCAAAACCTGATGAATCCCATGAATCCTTGATAGAGCACTGCCAACCCATGAGGAGGGCTTCGTGCTGTTCCTCAGCATCTGGGATATAAAGGACTTTCACTGTGCTTAAGTAAACAATATGTTTCTTACCAGTTTCTTAAGGTTTCTTTGGCAAGCAACTAAGGAGTAGGCTTGTAATATTTTTACATACTATGCTTGGAATCGCTAATGCAAAATCAATTATCTCACCATCGTTTTAAACACTGTGGGAAAAGTACAGGAGTTATGCTAATGTTTCAGAGAATACTGTTTGCCCCCATGGAAGTTATGCTGTTTTATCACTGATAGTTCTCACCCTATGCTTAACCTTGAATGATTTTCCTTTCCCAACCGGTATCCCAGTGCCATGGTGTCACTCAGTACCTTTGTTTCTGTACACCAGGTCTATACTAGTTGAACACTTCAGGGCCATAAAGTCATAGTCATTTGTTTGCCAGTATACTCTCAGCAGTGGTTATCTCTACATTGACCAGCCCGCATTTTGTTTATCATGAAATTCAGTCTAAAGTAAACTGCAGAAACAGCCTGGACATTGTCCTTTATTGCAAGATACAGTGATTGTTTCCTGTGGCCAAAGGTTTTCCCAGGGTCAAAGCAGGCTGCTACTTCAGAAAGGTCCTAGGACAGTGTCATGGTATGAAGCAATGTCCTGGGTAAGTACTGAGAATTAAACTTGGTCTCCATTTTTTAAAGGGAGGTGGAGCACTAAATGACTGCTGGTCTTCAGGGCTTCTACTAATAATATTTATTACAGTAGTTGAAATATTTTGAGGGCTTTCTATGTGCCAGGCTTTGCAGTATGGGATTTACTACACCATCTCCTTAAATCTTCACCTCCTGATGAAGTGTCAATATTAGTTTCCCCATTATACAAATGCAAAACTGAGTGGTTAAAGAATTTCTCAAAGTAATAAAGCCAATTCATTGTGGAAAGTGTTGGTGGAAGGTCAAAATAGATTTGGTGGGCTCTGGCGTTCAGCATCATCTAACGTAATTAATCTTGGACCAAGTACAGAGCCACCTTAATTGAATCCTGGATCTACAGCTCACTTGGAGTTTTTTTTTTTTTAATTCTGCTTCTTTGTTGATAAGATGAATTTAGTAACAGCATCTGTAGTAACTGGTTGTAAAGATTGAAGGGATGCTAATAACAGTGACACTTATGAATGCTTATCATGTGCCAATCACTGTGTCTAAATTCAGTGAACATATCTGCTTATTTAATTCTGACCACAAGCCTGTGAGGTAGATAATCCTGCCTGTCTCCTTCTAGAGACAAGGAAGCTGAGGTTCACAGAAGTTAAGTAACTTTGCCAAGATTATGTAGAGAGTAAATGAAGCTGGGCTATGAACTCAGGCATTTGGTGAGCTTGGAACCACCTTTACTCCATTGCTTTCAGTAACATAACCAAAGCACTTAGCACAGTGCCTTGCCTCATGGTAACCAATCAATAAATGTTAACCATTTAAGAATATAACTCTGTATCAGACATTATGCTAGGCATTTAACATATATTATTTATAAAATTCTCAGGACCACCTAATAAGATATCAATGAACCCAATTTTGCATATTTGGATATCAAGTTGCAGATTAAATATTAGGTCGGTGCAAAAGCCATTGCAGTTTTTGCCATTAAAAGTAATGGCAGATGCTGTTACTAAATTCATTCCTTAAAAGTAATGGCAAAAACTGCAATCACTTTTGCACCAACTTTATACTTTGCCCAAGGTTACATCTCCTGCCCAACATCGCATTCCAAGTGGGTAAGTATATTGGGCACAGACCCTTTGCTTCTTTGTACCCCAAAACCTGTGGCTTTGACCAGTCTGCCAGATTATAGATGCTATTTTTAGAAATAACAGTCTCAGGTAGTGGCATGTTTTTACACAAGCCTATTAATTTTTCTGTTTCTTTCAAAAGCTCCCATGTAGTCTTTTTTGATACTTATTTAGGTTTAGTTTCTGAAACATTATAGTAAAGCATAATCATGAAATTGATCATGTATTACTACTTACGTTTTTTCTTTGGCCTCTCTGTCCCAACACAGTCTCCTCATTCAATGTTTCTCATCTCACTGGGAGTATTGACGCTATAGGAAGCATTTTGCATTCTAGGGCTCTACTGCACCTCACTTTGGGGTGATATATCAGACAATCAGTCACAGCAAGATACTAAGTGCCAGATGTTACTTTGTTAGCTAGGATCATCCTTTAAACATTTGTCTCCAGTCCTGAAAGGGGAAATGCCCTAATGTGCAGAAAACATGGCTTTTTATAAGGAAGCATTCAGGCTGCTAATTAGCCACCAGGAGTGATCCAAAAAAAATAAACTTAACCCAAAGGAAACGGGCCATATTCTATAACTCAATAGTATTTTCAATGGGTGAAGATAGGAGGAGGGGTGCATACTCTAAGGAAGAACTTATCTGATGGCTTCTCTTGTCTTTTTTTAAATCCTAGTGGCTACTGGGGTTTTCCTAGGACCTTTTTCATTTTCTGATTACTCAAAGAATATTTAGAAAAGGCTTGTTATGTGAATGTAGCTGTGCTGTGTACTGTAGAGACTTTTATTGTAGGATCTTTGCCCTTAGGGAGTTACTATTAGACACAATTTGGTTTACATGTCTTTGTATAGTTGAAATTATTTTGATTGATTAATTTATGTATTCATTAAACATTTTGGAATTGCATGCCTAGTGTATCTTTAAGAAAACCAGAATCATGATAACACTGAAATACATATTCTTTACAGGTTTTGTCTTTAGTACATCAACCGTAGGAGCTAACCAGGGAAAACATTATCTTGTACTAGTTTCCTATTTCTGCTATAACAAATTATCACACACCTAATGGTGTAAAACAGCATAAATTTATTATCTCATAGTTCTGGAGGTCAAAGATCCAAAGTGGATTTTGCTGAGCCCAAATCTATCTGTCAGCCAGGCCATGCAACCTCTTGCCTTTTTCACCTTCTAGCGACCTAGTGCATTCCTGGCTCATGGCCTCTTCCTCTGTCTTGAGATCTCTAACAAATACCTCTTTGACTCTGGCCCTCTGCCTCCATCATCATAACTCCTGCCTTTTGTGATTTTGATTTTCCTGTCTCTCTTATAAAAACTCTTGGGACCCTTGTGATTACATTGGGGCTATCCAGATAATCCAGGATAACCGTCCTACCTCA
This sequence comes from Homo sapiens, assembly GCF_000001405.40. Lineage (NCBI taxonomy): Eukaryota > Metazoa > Chordata > Mammalia > Primates > Hominidae > Homo > Homo sapiens. Next base: position 95,644,264 of record NC_000001.11, read on the forward strand.
ACATCCTTAATTTAATTACATCTGCAAAGTACCTTTTACCATGAGTATTAGTTTCCTAGGACTGCCATGTTCCCTCTAAGACTCTCGCTAGAGTCCTTCCTTATGTCTTCCTTGCTTCTGGCAGTGGTGGCAGCTCTTGGCATTCCTCGGCTTGCAGCTGTATCACTCCAGTCTCTGCCTCTTGCTGTCACATGGTTTCTTTTCACATAGCCTTCCTGTGTTTGTTTTCACATGGCGTCTTCCTCTTCTTATGAAGACACCAGTTATATTGGATTAGTGCTCACCCTAATGACCTCATCTTAGTTTGATTACGTCTGTGTATTATTCAGGGTTCTCTAGAGAGACAGAACTATGTAAAGGGGAGTTTATTAAGTATTAACTCACATGATCACAAGGTCCCACAATAGGCTGTCTGTAGGCTGAAGAGAAAGGAGAGCCAGTCTGAGTTTCAAAAGTGAACAACTTGGAGTCCGACGTTCAAGGGCAGGAAGCATCCAGCATGGGAGAAAGATGTAGGCTGAGAGGCTAAGCCAGTCTCACCTTTTCACATTTTTCTGCTTGCTTATATTCTAGCCATGCTGCCAGCTGATTAAATTGTGTCCACCCAGATTAAGGGTGGGTCTGCCTTTCCCAGCCCACTGACTCAAATGTTAATCTCCTTTGGCAACACCCTCACAGACACACCCAGGATCAATACTTTGTATCCTTCAATCTAATCAAGTTGACACTCAGTATTAACCATCACAAATCCACCCCTTGTCAACTTGAACCCATGCACATCTCTTGAGATCATATATAATCTCCAAATAAAGAAAATAATAAGGTCATAATTATGCCTAACATAATACAACTATCCTTCATACAACCAATGCCCAACCCAAATACCATTACATAAAGTTAACAATACTTAAATGCTGATGTGAAGTCAATAAATCTTATGTCACATGATAAGGAGAAAGGAAATAAAACGAAGATATTTTCTTAGTACAAGTGTATACATGCACAAACATGTTTTTAACAAAAGAAGGAGGAAACTCATGACAACTACAGTCCTCGTAGCTGCAGTTGGTCACGTGGTTGTAGCTGGTATTCATGACTACCTTCTTCTACTACCCATTCTGTATTCCCTTTGCCTTCAGCAAGCACCTCAGCAGGTCGTGGTTTTTTCCTGGTGGAGTGACCGAAACCGTCATTCCTGAAGGGCCTGGGTCATTTGTAGTCCTTCCTGGATTGGGCTGTTGTAGTTTCCCATTGACCTTAATCACAGGGCATGGTAATACTAAGAGACACCCAAATAGATCTCCTGTATTCCATGTGTACTCTTCCTTACTTCCGTTGTGGAGTAGTAGACTGATTTCACCTTGATAGTCCAGGTCAATCACCCCAGCCAACACTGTAATTACCTTCTTAGCCTGTTGACTCAAAGGTAGGAGGAGCCCAAAGGGCCCAGGTGGCAATCTTAACTTTCAGTTTAATGGAATCATTGTTGTGTCTCCTGATGGCAGTGTTCCTCCCTCTGGAACTAAGACCTCTAGGCCAGCAGAACGTAATGTCTCAAGAACAGGAAGCAAAATTTTTCCTAGTGGGCCACTAGAGGTGATTGTGAGTGGTGCCACTTCCACTTCTTGATTCCTGGACCCATGAATCCTGGCTATGGGAGAAACAGTATCATATATTGGATGCCGATTCAGAGCATACATGGCCTTCTGGAGAATTTTGCCCCAGCCCTGCAAAGTATTGTCACCTAGTTGGCATTGTAATTGTGACTTCAAAAGGCCATTCCACCATTCTAACAATCCAGCTGCTTCAGGATGATGGAGAACATAGTAAGACCAGTGAATTCCATGAGCATGAGCCCACTGCCACACTTCTTTAGCTGCAAAGTGAGTGCCTTGGTCAGTGGCAATGTAATGCTGTGTGGAATACCATGATGGTGGGTAAGGCATTCCATGAGTCCATGGATGGTAGTCTTGGCAGAAGCATTGCATGCAGGATAGGCAAATGCATATCTGGAGTAGGTGTCTATTCCAGTGAGGACACACCTCTTCCCTTTCCATGATGGAAGAGGTCCAATATAATCAACCTGCCACCAGGTAGCTGGCTGATCACCCCGAGTAATGGTGCCATATTGAGGGCTCAATGTTGGTCTCTGTTGCTGGCAATTTGGGCACTCAGCAGTGGCTGTAGCCAGGTCAGCCTTGGTGAGTGGAAGTCCATGTTGCTGAGCTCATGCATAACATCCATCCCTGCCACCATGGCCACTTTGTTCATGGGCCCATTGGGTGACAACAGAGGTGGCTGGTGAAAGAGACTGAGTGGTGTCCTTAGAACAGGTCATCCTATCCACTCGATTACTAAAATCCTCCTCTGCTGAGGTCACCTGTTGGGGAGCACTCACATGGGATACAAGTGTCTTCACAACTTTTGACCATTCAGAGAGGTCCATCCACATACCTCTTCCCCAAATTTCTTTGTCACCAATTTTCTAATCATGCTTCTTCCAAGTCCCTGACCATCCAGCTAAACCATTGGCTACAGCCCATGAATCAGTATATAATTGCAGATCTGACCATTTCTCTTTCCTTGCTAAGTGTACAGCCAGGTACACTACTCAAAGTTCTTCCCACTGGGAAGATTTTCCTTCACTGCTGTCCTTCGAGGATGTCCTAGAAAGTGGCTGTAGTGCTACAGCTGTCCACTTGCAGGTGGTGTCTGCATATCATGCAGAACCATCTGTGAACCAGGCCCTAGTCTTCTCTTCCTCTGTCAGCTCATCATAGAGAACTCCCCATGAGGCTATCGGTGCAGACTGGGGAAGAGAAGGCAGGGTGGCAGGAATGGACACCAAGGACATTTGAACTACTTCCTCACGTAACTTACTTGTGTCTTCACAACTTGCTTGAGCCTGATCACGTATATACCACTTCCATTAGATGATGGAATGCTGCTGCGCACGACCCACTTTACGGCTAGATGGGTCAGAAAGCTCCCAGTTCATGATAGGCAGTTCAGGTCACATGGTGACTTGATGACCCATAGTCAAATGTTCAGTTTCCACCAAAGCCCAGTAACAGGCCAAGAGCTGCCTCTCAAAAGGAGAGTAGTTATCTGCAGAAGATGGCAGGGCCTTTCTCCAAAATCCTAGAGGCCTCTGCTGTGATTCACCTATGGCAGCCTGCCAAAGGCTCCAAAGAGCATCCCTATCTGCCACTGACACCTCAAGCACCATTGGATCTGCTGGGTCATATGGCAGAAGTGGCAGAGAAGCATGCACAGCAGCCTGGATTTGTTGGAGAGCCTTCTCCTGTTCTGGACCCCACTCAAAACTGGCAGCCTTTTGGGTCACTCAGTAAATGGGCCGGAGTAACACACCACAATGAGGAATCTGTTGTCTCCAAAATCCCGATAGGCCCACTAAGCATTGTGCGTCTTTCTTGATTGTAGGAGGGGTCAAATTCAACCCCTTATCCTTCACCTTAGAAGGAATATATTGACAGGCCCCACACCACAGGAGCCCTAGAAATTTTACTCAGGTAGAAGGCCCCTGAATTTTGGTCAGATTTATTTCCCATCCTCTAGGATGCAAATGTCTCACCAATAAGTCCAGTATGTTTGGTACTTCTTGCTCACTGGATCCAATCAGCATCATGTCATCAGTGTAATGGATCAGTGTAATACCTTATGGAAGTGAAAAGAGATCAAGATCTCTCTGAACAAGATTATGACACAAAGCTGGAGAGTTGATATATCCCTGAGGCAGGACAGCAAAGGTATGTTGCTGACATTGTCAGTTGAAGGCAAATTGCTTCTGGTAGGCCTTATGGACAGGAATGGAGAAAAAGACATTTGCCAAGTCAATGGCTGCATACCAGGTACCAGATGTGTTAATTTGCTCAAGCAATGAAACCTCATCTGGTACAGCAGCTGCATTTGGAGTCATCACTTGGTTAATCTTATGATTACCCACTGTCACTCACCAAGATCCTTCTGTCTTCTGCACAGGCCAAATGGGAGAGTTGAAGGGGGATGTGATGGGAATCACCACCCCTGCATCTTTCCAGTCCTTGATGGTGGCACTTATCTCCACATTTCCTCCAGAGATGTGATATTGTTTTTGATTTACTATTTTTCTAGGTAGAGAAACCTCTAGGAAAGAGGTTTAATTGACTTACAGTTCTGCAGGGCTGAGGAGGCCTGAGGAAACTTACAATCATGGTGGAAAGGGAAGCAAACATGTCCTCCTTCACATGGCAGCAGGAAGGAGAAGTGCTGAGCAAAAGGGGGAACAGCCCCTTATAGAACCATCAGATCTCATGGGAACTCACTCATGATCATGAGAACAGCATGAGGGTAACCACTCCCATGATTATATTACTTCCCACGAGGTCCCTCCCATGTGGGATTGTGGGAACTGTGATTCAAGTTAAGATTTGGGTGGGAACACAGCGCCAAGCCATATCATCTGTGTAGGTAAGTGCTTGCCCTAGTGTCACATTCCAGAGTCCTTGGATGGGAATTTACAGAAATTGTGTTGGAATCATTGACAATAACAAAGATTTAGACATTTCAATCACTAGTTTTTTAGAGAATGCCATGGCCTGGCTCTATGGCCTTGGGTAAATCACCTTTCAAATTTGACCTTAGTTACCTGATCTTTGAATCAGGACGATTAGACAAATCTGAAACGAAATTGGGCAATGACTGATTAAGAATCCGAATGAACCAGTTCAAGACCAGCCTGGCCAAGATGGTGAAACTCTGTCTCTACTAAAAATACAAAAATTAGCCAGTGTGGTGGCAGGCGCCTGTAATCCCAGTTACTTGGGAGGCTGAGGCAGAGAATTGTTTGAACCTAGAGGCAGAGGTTGCAGTTAGCCGAGATCGTGCCACTGCACTCCAGCCTCGGTGACAGAGCGAGACTCCATTTCAAATTTAAAAAAAAAAAAAAAAAGGGAATCCTAATGAACCTTATGAGCACTGAGAGCCACAGAAGGCAGAAGCTGTAATTGTGTTAAAAGCCTACTGGTGGACCACAGCCGTGGGTGTGCAAACACAGGAGCAAGAAAATGTTATTGCCTAGTGGCCCTTGATCTCTTCCTCAGCATGACAGAATACTTAAAAGTTAGCTTCTTTTCTTCGATGATAGAATTTAAAATCTAAAGCCTATATTTCTTCTTTAGTACCAATTATTCAAAAGAAAAAATAGTACATTTCAGCTATTTTAGCCCTTCTTGCATTTTCTCTACTTTTCATTTGCTCTTTAAACTTCCAATACTCTGAGAAGAGATTTTTTCTTTAATTAATAAAGAATGTATGAAATACTTCAGCAACTTCACACACCCTATTGTTAAACTCACAGTTATCGTGGAAAGATGAGAAAAAAAATAAGATATGGAATCTCCCAAAACCCCAGTTAGGTCAGTGGTATTATATTTTAGAGAAGGAATCACAAAACCTTCAGAGATCTGTATCTCTAAATAGATTGGGTATTTGCTAATGCTCTGGGTTAATCATAAAGATAAAGGAATGGCTGACAGTGTGGTTGCTTAAAACACAGGCAGTAGGAAAAGTCTGAAAATGTAAATTTGCAATTTTTTTGTTGCTCTGTCCTGCATATGTGATGTAATGTGCACACTGTCATTGAGCCCTTACTTTCTTTTGAAAGGTTTTTCTGTGCAAAGGGGGAAATCCATCACACAGATTCATGCACCGAGACCCTGACACATGAGAGTAATCTTGCCAAGCTCTGTCCTCCCCACTTTTTCCATCCCCTGTGGGACTTAGGGAATAAGTCGGCTTCTCTTGACCTAAGATTACTGACCTATACATGAAGGAGTGGGTAAGTCTTTAAGGAATCTATCTTTCTTGGAGGCTAAAGGAATGATCTCTTCATTACCATTTCTTGCTATACTTGGGACATTTGTGGAAAATATCACTTCTTTGCCCACGGTGGTTCACTGTAGCTTTGACACTGCCTCATAATAAGGAATATATGGTACAAGAAATAATGTGGAAAGAAAGTCTAGATCTTCTGAATGGTAGCCTGGGTGGAGCCCACTTTCTAAATGTTTTGTAGTAATAGGAAGCATGACACAGAAAAATCCTCAGAATTTCTCAAAGTGTGTTCTCTACAAGATGAATTATAGAGGTTGTATCAGTTATGATGCTGTTTTTCTGCAAATATACTTGTCCCTAGTTATCTGAGAGGGATTTTTCCCATGCCCTTGTGGATACCAAAATTTGTGGTTGCTCAAGTTCCTCAGAAAAAAGGGCATAGTATTTGCACATAAACCACACACATTCTCTCATATACTTTAAATCATCTCTAGATTACCTATATTACCTAATATGTATTTTTAAAATTGTATTATGTTTTATTGTTGTGTTATTTTTATTGTTTTTTCCTAATATTTTTGATCCATGGTGAGTTGACTCTAACAGAAAACTCAATTACCTTGCTACTCATTGTGTGATTCATCAACCAGCACCGGCATCTCTTGGGAGCTGACTAGGGGCCCAGCCCAGATCTACTGAATCAGAATTTGCATTTTAACAAATCCCCAGATGATTCACCTATTTAAGTCTGAGAAGCTCTTTCCTACTTACCACACTGTCACACACTGAAGGCGTTTACTTATTTGATGCAATGAGACATCCCAGAGTAGGCAGTTCTGAGTTAGTATAGTGTCTCAATGATTCCATCGGAGACCCAGGATTTCATCATCTTTGTGCTTCACTATCCTAAGCATGTAGGGCTTTGCCTTTATTCATTGGCCTTAGAATCACAAGGTGGGTATTGGACCACTGATTTCTGGTCAAGAGGAAAGGCAACCAGGAAAAGATAAAAGGGACTTTCTCTCGGGGGGCCATTCGTTTCTATTCTGGAAGGACACCTGCCTCATGAAGCACCATCTCTTAGTGCCTATAACTGTGGTGCACAGCTAAGGTTAGACACCAGAGAAGCTGAAGTGTAAAGTATTTAATGTTCTCCATACAATAGATGACACAGGAGAAGTAAGTCGCTCTTGGGTGGCTAATCCACTGTCCCTGCCATATTTGTTAGCACATTTAGATAGAGAAAAAAATGGCCAAATAAACGTGGAAAATATATTTAAATAGATTTCCTTTATATAGGGCCACTCAAAATTTTTAATATACCAAGCTTCATTATAAATCTCCCAGAGAGAAATATAGTATGTAATGTTTCCACTTAACCTGATCACAGAACCCCCATTTTTCAGGAAAATATTTTCTGCTAAAAAATCAAATAACAAAAAAAGAAAAAAAATAGATTCATAATATTGTCTCTGTCCAATTATTCAACCCTGTTGTTAGAGTGCAAAAGCCATGGGCAATAGGTAATGAATTTGGCCCTCTGTGGGCCAGATTTTGCCCATGGGCCATAATTTAGTGACTTCTGTTTTATAGTTAGCCACAACAAAAATATGGTCAGCAGTAATACAACCACAACAACGTCTATTAATATGGCACCCTAGATTCTACAAACATTTTTAATATAACTATATATCTATATTATATACCTAACATAACATATATCTATATGTAATATAAAATATATTATATGTAGATATAGACATATACACACAATCTCTTCTGATTCTAACAAACATATGAAAAAGATCATCACTATTTTATGGTTTCTGGAAAATACAGTGTCACGCTGTAAACTTCCCTAAGTAATAGAAACATTCACTAGGGCTCTGGATATTATACTTAGCTAATTGTAGTAACAGTATAATGCTTTGAATGCTTTGAATTTATACTTTTTCTTCCCTAGGTGCTCAGAGAATTTCTTAATTTGATCTTCATAATTGTCCTTTGAGAGAATCCAGCACCCACCGAATTATGCACATGAGCCTTTGAAAGTATTTCACGTACTTTGGATTTATTATTGTACTCTGCAATTTGTAGACCTTAAATCACCCCCCGACACACCCCCAACATCTCCCCTTTCAAGTATACTGGATTATTAAAGGCAGATTGGACTGTTAAAGGCAGCTCAACTTCACTGCTAATTAAGTACCACTATTATACTGTGGACATGGGTCTATCATAACATCTATGGTGTTTTGGCACATATGTTTATTTAAATGTTTATGTGTCTTCCCTAAGAGACAATAAACCACATTAGGGCCAGACGTGTGTGTGTTCTGTTTGTCTCTGTCCTCAGTGCCAAACAGAGAACATAACATATGAATGTTGTTGAGTGACATGCTCTGTGTTAATAGTGGGGGCGGGGAGCCATGGGGGGCAGTGAGGTTGACTTCCCAGCTACTGGGCTGCCCTTCGGGTTTCAGAGTCAGTATCTTCTATCCTCACAGATGCACTGCCTCCATCGCTGCAGGTGGCCATCCATTCCAACTCTGCTGGTATTTTCTGTCATGTCAGAGCAATGAGAACAGATCCCAAGGCGACTGCAACGATGTACCTGTGGATTGAGTTCAGGCCATTAAATTGCCATCATGCGACCTATCTAATGTCATTATAGTCCAGCTTCAGCAAAGCAGAGTGATAGAGAAAAAAATGACACAATTACCAATGTATGTGTTCTCAGACTTTCAAAAGAGCCTGAAGGAAGAAGTGTCTGTAATAGATGGAACGGTAGACACACACACATACTCTCTCTCTCTCACACACACACACACACACACTCTCTCTCATTCTCTCTCTCTCTCACACACACACACCCCCTGACACACAGAGCCATGTTTTCCAGGGAGAAGTTTGTAAATTGTAGGAGGAAAGGAATTACTCAGCTAAGGTTTCTGTTTGGATGTGAGCTCAGTTCACTCTCTTTGGAACTCTCTATAGTCAAGTCTCTTTTCCAGGGGCTTATGGAAGAAATTTTGCAAATTCAAAAGTGGGAATGTTGAAAACCTGAAGCCCTTAAATCATTTATCTGGTGACATATGTTTACTGGTGTTTTACTTTGGGATTAAAAAGAAGAAAGAACTATACTGTCGGACTACAAATTGGTCTACAGCACATATTCGATGGAGTATATAACAGACCCCTATGTAATTTTATATTGAATATACTACATCTTGGATTCACTAAGTATAAAGTGACTCCTAGAAATGTTGTTTTGGTAGTTTTGACTCAGAACCTTTCTCCTGGAAAGGTCCTTTAGGAATTTCCAAATGATTTCTTACTTGTGCAAGTTTCCCAAGTAGCATCTTGCATGCTTTATTGTGCTGATCTTCTTTCTTAGTGTTCATATGCTTTTTCTTTGTTTTGTTGTTGTTGTTGTATTGGCCTCATTTCTTAGGGAAAGACTTGTGCAAAATTTCCACTGCTCTTAGCTTCTTATAATTTTAATGTCAGCCTCTCTTGTCACCTAGTCTGGCAAATTGGCCTGGGAACTTTGGGCATCTTTATGCCTTAAAATTATCTTAAAAATGCCTCCCACCTCCTCTCTAATTAACTGCAATCAGTAAGGCTAGTTGGTGGACACATGGTGTCGTAGCTCTGTGAAATGCTGCCTGATGGCTATAAACACAGCCATATGTTCTCTGTGAAATATGGCTGTAATCACCAGCAACAGGAACAGCTGATAGAAGATGAAGGATCGGCTCTGCTTGTCCTCCTGCGTTATTTGCAAAACCTGTGAGGCACTTTGCAGATTGGCTGAATATTTTCTCTTCGCCATCACTGCTTCTGCTAAATTTCCTTTGTATTTTAGCTTTAGTTCTTTCCAATATATATTTGAGCTTGAAATGGCAGTTATTAAAGGAATACGTTTAGTACCCTCCCATTTAACATCACGACACTTTAATTAAGATGGTCTGTCTTGAAATCCCGCAGTACACATGTAACCCAGGTTTCTAAAACTAAGTGGTTATCAAGAAAAAGGATAAAACCATCAAAATTTTCACAGTGAATGAACAAGAATTTCTCAGCAAAGTTCAATAGATTTGCCCTGAACTGGTGCAGCTTATAATACCCTTGAGCCTAATTGCTTTCCTGCATTTTGGCAAGAAAAATAGCTGTCTTGCAATGGAGTAGAAAGAAGAGGTTTGGAAGAAAGTGTCTTTTAAGAAAAGCTTCCAGTGAAAATTTCAATCAATATTTTTAATCCCAGAAGATGAGATAAAATATGATATTATGTTCCTTGCACTGCGAGATTGTGGATAGGGTTGTTTTTCAGTGTAGGTAGGAGAGCAGTTTCAGGAGCAAAGCAGCCTCGGTATCCCTCCCACACTACGATGCAGACAGTAAGCTATAATCCAACATTTCAACAATGCCTCATATCTGAGATTTAAAACAGTGGACCTCAGATGCCACATCCTTATTCAGCCAGGGTGGATTCCTGGTTTCGTGGCTGGGCTGTGAGACACAAATGTCTGGCTTTCCCACGCAAGCATGTGAGAGAAGCCGCGTATAAGATGTGTAATGCACTCTCTGTCTCTCCACTTAGCTGCATTTAGTTGTTTTGTTTATTAAAGTAACCAGACAATACTGAGTGTACAGTTGAGGCATTGATTGCTTTTAAGCCTCCACTTTCCCATTTTAAAATGTTTTAGTTTGCTAATTTTGATATCAAGTATGTGTGTGCGTATGTACATGTATATATTATATATATTATTGAAAGCTTGCCTCTTCAATGCTTTGGGGGCTTTGTTAAAACAGGGCTGTCACCCTTTACCCTTTTTTTGCCTTTTTGTTTTTTACACCTTGTATGCACCACACAGGCTATTAAACTGTGTGCAGGTGATTGATCTCTTTAATAAAAGCAAGTTCTTTAGTAAGCAAAGAGTGATAAAGATAAACAAATGTACTGGTTTGTCCAGTGCTTTGGAGATTATGGTAACACGAGGGCATCAAGAAAGCCTATTAACAGATAAGTTAGATGAAACACATCAATTCTGATTTCAGTAAGTCAGGAACCATTCGCTTTAAGTTAATTTTATCCATGTTTTCTCTTCATTTGTAATACTTTGTGGGTTTTAACAGAAAATATTTAATAGTGTGCTGCGTAGTCCATAGATAAACGATGTTGGCAATTTCTCCACCTAACTGCTTGTCAAGCCCCTTAGCAAGGTACACACTGCCCTGCAGTTTATCATCTCGATTTCTAGATTGTTTTGGAAGATCATTGAGAGGGCTGAGACTCCCCAGAGGACTGTGCTCTAATCCTGTCATATTTTTTAAAATGCTGGAAAGTGTAAGGTTACATGGTAAGCTGATTTTACATAGGCATTTCTTCAGCTCGTCACAATAGCGCTCTCTTTCCATGGTAACTGGCGTTTCCATGGCACACACTGCAAGCTCCTCCAGAGCAGCTGAGGGGCTTTCTGAAGATGCTCACCCACCCACAAGTGTGAGCACACTTGCCCTCTCTCTCTCTCTCAGGCACAGATTCAGCCCACCGTTTATGTGAAGACAGGCACATTTTCTCACAGAAATTCACCAAATGGAACAAAGCTAATTTAAAAATAAAATTTGCTTTGCTCCCTATTATGTGATAAGACAAATAGCCACTGATGTGGCCTTTTAGAGTGATCTGGAAATGTCACAAAGCCAGTGTTGTCCTCATTGACATGGATTAACAGGATAAAATCTTGGAGGCAAAATTTGACAGGGAAAACAGTCGTCCCTGGACCAGATTTTCTAAATTTATTTCCATTCCTTACACTTTGAGCTAAGTCTATAGCTCAACATCATGTTAGATGCTGTGAAGCATAAAAGAAATTTATGCCCACGGGGACCTTGCTTTTGTTTGGAGACTTGGGGGAATAAGATTTAGACATATGCAATAATTAGAAAATAATATAAGGCTGTAAATAATCAAAATATATTCTTCCCATAGGATCACTCCAACATTTTTAGGCTTGGGGGCAAAAAATTTCGCTGTTTTCTTCCCCTATCACTATTATCCTTAGGACTAGCAAAAACCAAAACATTTCAGGAAGATGCACCAGTTTAGGAAGATGTAGTGGTGAAGAACTTTTTGAGGTACTATCTGCTTAATTTTTAAGAATAAATAGCCATTATATTGTTCTTTTATTACTGATTTCATAATTGACATCTTATCCTTTTTAAGCATAGGCGGTCACTTCTCAAGTTGACTTTCTGGTGCTTTAAATAAAATGTACAGTTTTCATTTGGTCTGAGCAAATTGAGTTAGACTACATCATCATCTGAATGACGATTCCTATATTGTCTTTTTTCTTTGATGAAGCAAGGCAGTGTAGAGAACATGGCTGCTATGGTTAAGTTTGTGTGTTGGAAACTTAATCCCCAGTGCAACGGTGTGGAGAGGCAGGACCTTTAAGAGCTGATTAGAACTAAAGGCATGATCTTAGTAGTGGGTTAGTTATTATGGGAATGGGTTCCTGATAAAAGGGTAAGTTTGGCTCACTTTCTCTTTTGCTCCCTCTCATCCTCTTTCGCCTTCTTATCTAATGCCGTGGGATGACACAGCAAGAAGGCCCTAATAAGGTGCTGGCACCTTGATATTAGAATTCCCAGCCTCCAAAACTATGAGAAATAAATTGTTTTTTAATACAAATTACCCAATCTGTGGTATTCTGTGATAGCAACACAAAACAGACTAAGAAAATAGATTTGTGGTTAAATAAATTCATTTGACTTCTGGATCTCTCATTTATTAGCTTTGTGGCTTTGGCCAAGTTAACTGACCTCTCTGAACTGGAGCAGCAAAGTGGTCTTAATACAATGGTAGGTATGTTTGTTTCTGTTAGGGTAACTATGAGGATTAAGTGGGATATTGATATGCTCAATAAACGGTAGCTTATTTATTCAACAAATGTGCATTAATTTTACACTATGTTTCAGGCATTGTCTTAATTGTGTGGATATAACAGGATTGATTTTTGGCTTTCAGGCATTTAGCATGAAGACACTGATGCAGGAAAACATAACACCATAAGATCCACTGAAACGTGGAATGGCATCTAACAGCTCCCCAAACATTAGTGAGTTAGCCTGGAAAAGTACGGGAATTTAGTTTTGTGGATATGAGTGATCCACTTTTTGCTTGGTTTTGATTTGGGGTCTGTGCCTTTTCATCGATGTCTCCATGGGTAAATTCGTACAATTTTGTGTTTCTGACAAATTGATGTACCATAGTTATAGATATTTACTCGGCTTGTGTAATATCCAAACTGGAATTTCTAATTAAAGCTAATGCTGACTCATGACTCTTGAAGTCTCCTGAGATTGCTGTGGCCAGATCCTGCTTGAAGGTCTCATCATGTATTTACTCATATACTCATTCATTAAGTCATTCATTTGACACATATTTATTCAGCACCCATTATATGCAAGTTAGTAGCTATGCATTAAGGTGGAAACAAAGATCAATCCGCAGATTTTGATCCTATCCTCAAAGAATGGACAGTTACTGAAATTTTGGGATCTGTGAGGGAACGGATGATAGGAGGGAAATGAAGTGTCTAAAATCAGGGGACTGTGTCAAATCGGCAGCTATTCTGGCATAAGATCTGTAGAAATCAGCATCATACATCTGGATCCTCCCCTCCTACCTACCTATGGATCTTCTTGGTCACTGTCCTCAGTAAAGAAAAGTATCAAGTATAAGTAGACATACTCAATTCATCATTTTTTTCAAGGAACATGTATTTTGTTTCCAAATGTGTCTATTGCTTTTCATAAAGAGCTTTCATTTTTCTTGGTAAGGAAATATGATAGCTGCACGGAGCAGCTAAGGAAGAACTCAAGCCTAGAGGTCCCAGTGGAGATTTAGAGTAATAAAGGTAAAAATGGTGGACTGTAAAGAAGTCTAAGATAATGTTATAAAAGTGCTATGTCTTAAATTGTACCTCAAAACAGCAGCATGAAAACAACAATGAGAAATTTGGGTAGGTGGAAAGAAAGGGAGAAGATAGAGAAAGAACCCAAATGTACCCCAAGGATGAAGGCAGAAATGAGCTTGGCACATTATGCTAAATGAAAGAAACCAGACATAAAAGACCACATATTGTAGGATTGCACTTACATAAAATGACCAGAGAAGGCAAAGCTATGGGGACAGAGAGTGGGGCTGCAGATGGGAATGTGGATTAACTGCCAATGGGCATGAGAGATCTTCTTGAGGTGATGAAAATATTCTAAAACTGGATTTTGGTGATGCTTGCACAACTTGATAAACATTAAAAATCAGTAAACTATAAACTCAGAGTAGGTGAATTTTATAGTATTTAAGTTATACTTTAATTATGTTAAAAAATAACAACAAAAAGAAATGTTTCTCCTGTGAATAAAGACTGGTAAGGAAATTGATATGGTTGCAGCTGTGGGGCCAGAGTCTCAGAGCAGACAAATAAATTGACCAAAGTCACACAGCTGGCAAGAAGTAAAACTTAGATTAAAGAAAAAGATAATTTGGCTCCAAGATAAGATTGGATAGGTGAAATGGTGACAATTGGAGGAGAATATTGGGTTAATGAGGAGAAGAGGATGAGCTTCATCTGAAAAACTAGGTGAAATATTTTTGACTCTTTGTAGAAAATAAGCATGCTGAAAGCAGTATTTTAGAAAGTTTAATTTAGTAGCGGGAATCACAGGTGCAATATTTTTTTAGAAGCCATGATGGATGAATGAGTGCAGTCATCTAAGTGAGGTGGGTCTTGGTTAGAGTTATGGAAGAGAAAAATCGGAGGGACATTTTGAAGGAAGAAGAGTCACGTCATGCTGACTGATCCCACAGGATTAATTATATATGAAAGTGCTTTGAAAACTGACAAGTTTGTTAAAGAAATGGAAATGATGAATTTTTACTATTGAGCTTACTGAAAGCAGTAATCAAATAAGTGGAGATACTCAAGATGTTGTAGAGGAAAGGGATAGGTGTGGGAAAAATATCCTTCAGGGGATTATGAGATGGCTTATGAGTAGAGAGGGAGGTATTTCTGTAGGAAGGCAGCTGGTCTCTTCTGGGACTGCAGAGAAGTTGATGCCACACATCACACATATTACAACCTATGCGATGGGTGCCATGCTGGATACAGCAGAGGTTTACTAGGCAGAGGTTTTGGTTGCATGTGACAGAAACCCAGCTCAAATTCATTTAAGAAAAAATGGAGTATGTTGTTACGCAATATTAGAGAGTTCAGGAATTGCATGAGCAATATCTTTTTAAAATCTGTTGGCTACATTACATCCACTCTATGTTTGCACAGTATGTCTCATGTGAAAACAAAGAACAATGATCATTGAAATTCATTTGTTAATTGTTCACTCCTTCTTCCAACAAAACTTTATTCAAAACCTTTTATATCAAAGCATGACCAGGTGTAATAAGAAATACACATGTTCCAAGTCCCAAGGAACTTACATCTAATACACTGCCTGGAGGATATTAGGCCTCGTACAGCAATTGGGCAAATGTTTCTCTCTCCAACTGGGGTCTGCAGTATATGTGGAACAATCTGAACAGTTCTTTCCTTAATCAGCTAGAGAGAAAAAAAGTCAACTAGACCTTCCTTTCCCTTCTTTGATATTTGAGATATTCTTGGAATGGTATTTCATTGCCCTTTGGTGGAATAGCTCACGAAGCCAAATAATACTTTGTGTAAACTACAGACTTTCCGAAAGGGTGTGTTTGAAATTTTTGACTCAGCTAACTTTCGTCAAGTTAAACATTAAAGATTAGGAAGGAATTTAAGCATTTGTAGAAAATTGGGACAAATTTTTGTAAATTAAAGAAGAATTAATTAAAGAAAGCTTATTATAGTCAACAAGTTTTTGGGAGCTCTATTGTGTGACATGTGTCCCCCAAATTGATTTTAAAAAATTATTACCAAGTAGGAGGAGTTGGTGTTTATTCCAAGTTTGTATTTCCAGCTACCTGCATACCATGGAGACACAGTAGGAGAGGGCCTCTTTTATAAGTTCTCTCAGATAAGCCTGAAGGGTTTATTAAAAGCATAACATTTGCGTACACTAAGTGCTGTCCCTTGTTTTTCACTAGAGTAAGCTGAAACTTGGAAAAGTCTAGAAAGCAGATTGAGACCATCAGTTTATCCCAGTGGCAGTATTCAGACATGAAACCAGGTCTCCTTTTTATTTGACATTCTTGGATCACTTGTTTTAACTTCCTAGCAATTCACAGTTGATTGGTTGAACCATGCCCTCTCCAATACAAACAATAGAATCCTATTTTTCCCACTCTCCTACTTGCCCACAGGTCACCATAATATATAGATTAATTTCAGAAATATGTTTCTAAAAGGTTAGTCTTTAAATTTCCCCAACTTCCCGCCATCTCCTTTTAGCTCATCCTGAAGAGCCAGAATACTGTGAAGATTCAGAGCCGGGGTGAAAAAAGAACTGGGCTTTGGTCCCAGTTCTACCAGTTGTTAATGACTACAGAAAGGTACTTAATAGTGATAGTAGGTTGCATTCGTGTCCTGCAAAGTTTCACTCTCTTCCACTCCTTCCATGGGGGCTGTATTTTTCCACCCCAGTGATACTAGGTTTGGCCATGTAATTTACTTTGTCTATGATAGGTTATCAAGGGGAGGCTTTAACCAGAATGTTACCAACATTGAGTTCCAATGTTAAATATGCTTGCCTAGTTTGATTTGGCCTCATGTTCTTTTGCCATCAGCTGTGAGAAAAGTAAGCTCTGGGGAGCTGCTGGTCCTGGAATGAAAGACAGCTTAAGCAAACTCGAGCCAATTTACAGCCTGGAGCCTAGTCAGCTGATCTCAGCTCAGCTCACAGAGTCACAAGTCACCCTAGCCAACCCACAAACTTATGAGTGAGAAAAATTGTATTATACTTATTTCCATAACGTTGTGAAGATTCATAAAGATGATATATGTAACATGTTTAGGACATTACCTATCACATTGTAGAAAACAATATTATTCATTATTATTTATTACTGTTTAGTAAACCATGGCCTTCCCAATAGTAAACACATCATTAAAACATGCTGGTATACTTATGTCACCTGGATATAATAGAGCAAAACCTTCCAAAGAAGGAGGAGTGCATGCAGTATTATGATAAAGCTGAACTCATCACCATTGGTTACACCTGTCCCAACTCCCCAAATCCTTGCTGGGTTAATGGATGACATGAGCCCCTTGGTGGTTGGTAGGTCTCTTCTTTCTACAGAATACCTTAGCTCTTCTACCTAGGCCTGCTACCTCCAGAGCAGATGAAGAAAGTGGTATTGAGCTCCTTTTCATACACTTGTTAGCAATTTTTATGTAATTTTTGGAGAAACGTCAGAAATGTCTGCTAAGTTCTTTGCTTGTTTTTATTTATTATTTATTATTATTATTAATTTTTTTTGAGACACAATCTCCATCTGTCACCCAGGCTGGAGTGCAGTGGCACAATATTGGCTCACTGCAACCTCTGCCTTCTGGGTTCAAGCCATTCTCGTGCCTCAGCCTCCCAAGTAGCTGGGACTACAGGCATGCATCACCACACCTGGCTAATTTTTGTAATTTTAGTAGAGATGGGATTTTGCCATGTTGGCCAGGATGGTCTTGAATTCCTGGCCTCAAGCACTCCACCCACCTCGGCCTCCCACAGTGCTTGGATTACAGGTGTGAGCCACCCCACCCGACCCTTTGCCCATTTTTAAATTGTATTATTTGGTTTCCACTATTGAGTTGTAAGAGGTTGATATATTTTGGCTGTGTCCCCATCCAAATCTCAACTTGAATTGTATCTCCCAGAATTCCCACATGCTGTGGGAGGGACCCAGGGGGAGGTAATTGAATCATGGGGGCCGGTCTTTCCCGTGCTATTCTCATGGCAGTGAAAAAGTCTCACGAGATGTGATGGGTTTATCAGGGGTTTCCACTTTTGCTTCTTCCTCATTTTTCTCTTGCTGCCACCATATAAGAACTGACTTTCAGCCGGGTGCGGTGACTCACGCCTGTAATCCCAGCACTTTGGGGGGCCAAGGCGGGTGGATTGCCTGAGCTCCGGAGTTCAAAACCAGCCTGGGAAACATGGCGAAACCCTGTCTCTACTAAAAATACAAAAAATTAGCTGGGTGTGGTGGCTGGCACCTGTAATCCCAGTTACTTGGGAGGCCGAGGAAGGAGAATTGCTTGGACCGGGGAGGCAGAGGTTGCAGTGAGCCAATCGCACCGCTGCACTCCAGCCTGGGTAACAGAGTGAGACTCTGTCTCAAAAAAAAAAAAAAGAAAGAAAGAAAGAAAAAAAAAGTGCCTTTCACCTCCTGCCATGATTCTGAGGCCTCCCCAGCCATGTGGAACTGTAAGTCCAATTAAACCTCTTTTTCTTCCCAGTGTCAGTTATGTCTTTATCAGCAGTGTGAAAATGGACAAATACAGAGTTCTTTATAAATTTTAGATATCAACCCATTATAAGATTTGTAGTTTGCAATTATTTTTTCCCAGTCCATAGGTTGTCTTTTCATTTTGTTGATTGTTTCCTTTACTGTGAAGAAGCTTTTAAGTGTGATGTAGTATCATTTACTTATTTGTGTTTTGGCAGCTTGAACTTTTGACGTTATATCCAAAAAACATTGCCAAGGCTACTATTGAGGACCTTTTCCCCTATGTTCTCTTCTAGGAGGTTTATGGTTTCAGATCTTATATTTGGTTTTAATTCTTTTTCCCTTCATTTTGAGCTGATTTTTGTGTATGGTGTAAGGGTCCAATTTCATTCTTTTGCATGTAGAATTATAGTTTCCACAGCACCATTTATTGAAGCAACTACTCTCTTCCCATGGTGCCCTTTTGGTGCTCCTGTCTAAAATTAGTTCACCATATATGTTTGGATTTATTTCTTGGGTCTCTATTCTATTCCATTGGTTTATGTTACTGTTTTTATGCCAATACCATACTGTTTTGATTACTATAGTTTTATAATATAATCCAACATCACTAATCATAAGGGAAATACAAATTAGAACCACTATGAGATATCACCACACACCTCTAAGAATGGCTATTATAAAAAAGACAAGCAATAACAAATGTTGGTGATGGTATGGAAAAAAGAGAACCTAGTACACTGTTGGTGGGAGTGTAGATTGGTAGAGCCATTCTGAAAAACAGTATTAAAGTTCCTAAAGAAATTATAAATCGAACTACCATATTGTGTCCAGAATTGGTTCCTTCCAGTGGGTTCTTGGTCTCGCTGACTTCAAGAATGAAGCCGGAGACCATTGCGGTGAGTGCTACAGTTCTTAAAGATGGTGTGTCCAGAGTTTTTTCCTTCAGATGTTCAGATGTGTCCAGAGTTTATTCCTTCTGGTGGGTTTGTGGTCTCACTGACTTCAGGAGTGAAGCTGCAGACCTTCGCAGTGAGTGTTACAGCTCTTAAAGGTGGGGCATCTGGAGTTGTTCATTGCTCCCGGTGGGTTCGTGGTCTCCTTGGCTTCAGGAGTGAAGCTCCAGACCTTCGTGGTGAGTGTTACAGCTCACAAAGGTAGTGCAGACCCAAAGAGTGAGCAGCGGCAAGATTTATTGCGAAAGAACCATCCACAGCATGGAAGGTGACCTGAGCGGGTTGCCACTGCTGGCTTGGGTGGCCAGCTTTTATTCCCTTATTTAGCCCTGCCCACATCCTGCAGATTGGTCCATTTTACAGAATGCTGATTGGTCCATTTTACAGAGTGCTAATTGGTCCGTTTTTACAGAGTGCTGATTAGTGCATTTACAAACCTTTAGCTAGACACAGAGTGCTGATTGGTGTGTTTTTACAGAATGCTGATTGGTGTGTTTACAAACCTTTAGCTAGACACAGAGAGCTGATTGGTGCATTTACCATCCTTTAGCTAGACAGAAAAGTTCTCCAAGTCCCCACCTGACCCAGAAGCCCAGCCCAGCTTCACCTCTCAATATGACCCAGCAATTCCTCTTCTGGGTGTATATCCAACGAGATAAAGTCACTACCTTGTAAACACATCTGCAGGGCACGGTGGTTCACGCCTGTGATCCCAGCACTTTGGGAGGCTGAGGTGGGTGGATCACCAGGTGAGGAGATCGAGACCATCCTGGCCAACATGGTGAAACTCCGTCTCTACTAAAAATACAAAAAATTAGCTGGGCATGGTGGCATGCACCTGTAGTCCCACCTACTTGGGAGGCTGAGGCAGGAGAATTGCTTGAACCTGGGAGGTGGAGGTTGCAGTGAGCAGAGATTGTGCCACTGCACTCCAGCCTGGCGACAGAGTGTGATGCCATCAAAAAAAAAAAAAAAAAAAAAAAAAAAAAAAAAAAGACATCCACACTCCCATTTTCATTGCAGCATTATTGACAACAGCCAGGATACAGAAACAACCTAAATGCTCATTGATGGATGAATGGATAAAATAAAATGTCACATACCCACACACACACACACACAAACTCACGATGGAATATTTTTCAACCTTAAAAAAGGAGATCCTGCCATTTGCCATGAATGGATGAACTAGGAGTACATTACGCTAGGTGAAATAAGCCAGACTCAGAAAGAAAAATATTGCGTGATTTTACTTATGTGGAATTTAATATGTGGAATATTAAAAAACAGGGCTCAAACACACAGGGATAGAGAATGAAACTGTGGTTAACATTGGTAAGGATGGAAGAGAGAAAATAGGGAGATATAGGTCAAAGGATACAAAACATCAGACATGTAAGGAGAACAAGTCTAGATATTTAATGTATAATATGAGGAGTAAAGTTAATAAAATTGCACAGTATTAGGGTTTTTGTTAAATAAGTTCATTTTAGCTGCTCTTGTCACACACACAAAGTAACTATGTGAGATGATAGACAGGTTAATCTGTTTCACTATTGAAACCATTTTACTGTTACTATGTATCCTGCATCATGTTGTAAACCTCAAATATAAACAATACAATTTAGTTCTTTTAAAAAAGAATGTGGTGTTGGCGACTAGAGCAGACACACTCAATGCCCAGCTGGTACCTCCTAGGCTCACTTCTGAGTTTCATACGCATTAAAATCTTTGTCCCTTTGACACTTGGATATCTCTGCTTCTCAGCCTGGGAGCTTTCTCGGGTACCAGGGCAGCTTGTTCAGAAGTGAGGAAGAACCTCTGGGGCAGTCCTCAAGCCTTTAAGAGATGGGATTTGGTGAATTAGTACTGTAGCTTTCCTGTCCCTCTGTGAGACATTTTGAGGAATATTCTATTAGATCCCATCAGGCTTGAACCTCAATTTCCTACAATGGTAACATGTTCATGGACATACCTGTATACGGAAAAAAAAAACTGTTTCACACCACTCCCAATATTTCCCTTCTGACACCAGATAGGTGGGTTTTTTCCCACACCAAGAAATTCTCCAACACCATTCTGCTGTCCTAAAATTTAACAAAATTCCAATACTCTCTACCTGGAGATAGCATCAAATTTCACAGGTTAAAGACTCAGTTCCACAAGACTGCCCTTACTTACAGATGCCAGTTGCAAGTAGTAGGTCCCCAGGTTACCAACAACTTCTTCTGACTTAGGTCATATTGGAGGTTCCCACAACACCCTCCTTGGGTTTGAGAATTTGAGTGGCTCACGAAATCCAGGAACTCAGTTTACCTAGTATGGTTGACTTGTTACAAAGGCTGTTTTAAAGGATACAAATGAACTGTCAGAGGAAGAGGCCTATAGGGTGAGGTTCAGAAGTGTCCTGCACATAGGAGCTTCTGTCTCCATGGAGTTGGGATGCGCCACCCTCCCGACACGTATATATACTCTTGTTCACCAACCTAGAAGTTTCCTGAACCCTAAAGTTCAGGGATTTTTGTGAAAGCTTCACCACACACAAGTGGCTGATCATTAATTCCATTTCCAGTCCTTTACCTATTTTCTGGAGAATAGGGAGTGGGGCTGAAGGTTCCAAGCTTCTAGTCATGGCTTGGTCTTTCTGGTGACCGGCGCCTATCCAGGAATCCATCAAGAGTCAACTCATTAGAGCAAAAGATGCTCCTATCATCCAGGAAATTCCAAGGGATTTAGGAGCTCTGTATCAGATGCTCCTATCACTCAGGAAAGTTCAGTGGTCTTAGAAGCTCTGTATAGGGAGCCAGAGTCAAAGACCAAATATTGGAAAAAAAGATACTTCTCGCACCCCTATTTACAAGGGTTTTAGAAGCTGTATGTCGGGACCTGGGGCAGAGGCCACTTTATATATTTCTTACTATTCCATAATACCCTTTACTGGTTTTTATCCATTTTTTTGTCTTACTTTACTCACTCCCCCGCTTATACTTTCTTGAATGATATCCCAAGTAAGCTTCAAGTCCCTTTCTCAGGACTTGTTTTGGGGAGTACCAATCTCAGAAAAGTGGCTTAACTCATCTTTTCCCCTTTTGTCCACCTTGCCTGCTAGTCTGACAGGGGGACCATGGCAGATATCAACACATATATTGAAAATCTGGTAATAAGTTTTAACTACATTTTCCTTAATTTTGTATGTAATGGAAGCCAGTGTTCTTATTTGGACAAGGTTATTGCCTTAAGAGAAGGGAGCTGTTACACCTAAGGTTGTGTATCCTCCCCAAGGATGGTCCACAACAAATGGCTGGTTGATGTGGAGGTTTAAAGCTTTACCCCACTTGCCTCAATCTGGTATAAGTCTGAAGGGGATTTCCAGCTTCAGACCCCTTATAAGGTTGGAATCGCCTGAGGCTTCTGTTACAACTGCATCACAGTTCAACTTCTTCTGTCCATTTCTGCTTCTCTTACTCCCTTACAGCCTTCTCCCCAAAAGCATTTCCCAGTAGATGCCCTGTGTGTAATCTCTACCTCACTTTTTGTGTCCAGGTGTTGCTAGGAATGGTCTTAGGAAGTGGACTCTAAAATGGGATTTGTAGCTGGATCATGCACCGTCCAGCTGGCAACAAGGACTCCATCATAAGTATTAAGTGGAGTGCTGATCGCTTCCTGGCTTGTTATTATGGTGTTGTTAGTAGAATTGGTGGTGAGCAGTGATGGGATACCTGTGGAAGGCTGGTACAGCATTTCAGGAATTCAAAAGATAGCGGTAAAATAGTCATTGTAGACCATGGAATCAGGTAGCTGTTGCTTTAAATTTTTCCTGATTTAGTCAATGGAACAAAATGGAGATTTCAGAAATAGACTTATAGTTGGTTGTTTCTAAACAGAGGTGCCAAAGTGATTCAGTGGGAAAAGATCCTTAAAACAAGTGGCTCTCAAACAACTGGAAATCCAGGTGTATAACCATGTACCTAAACCCTGTCTCATGCCGTACACAAAAATTAGTTCAATATGAACCTTAGACTTTAATATAAAAATCTAAAACTGTTAAGCTTTTAGAAGATAATATAGGGCAGTAACTTAGGGCAGGCATCTTAGTCTATGTTGTGCTGCTATAATGGAATACCTGAGACTGAGTAACTTATAAAGAACGGAATTTTATTTCTCACAGTTTTGGAGGCTGGGAAGCCCCAGATGAAGTCATTGACATCTGCTGTCTGGTCAGGGCCTTTTTGGTGCATCCTCACTTGGCAGAAGGTAGAAGGCCAAGAAAAGGGACAAATTCTCTCTACAGCCATTTGTGGGAAGGTGCGTAATCCCATTCATAACAGTGAAGCCCTCATAATTTACTCACCTCCCAAAGGGCTCAACACCCAATACTGTTGCATGGGGGACTGAATTTTCTTATGAATTTTGGCGGAGATGAAAACATTCAAACCATAACAATAAGCAAAGATTTCTTAAATAGGATAAACAGCAATAGTAATTTTTAAGAAAGAGAAATTATACTTTCTCAAAATTAAAAAACTTTTACTTATTAAAAGACAACAGTAAGAAAATAATTAGGCAAGCTACAGGTTGTGATAAAATATCATACAGTTATATTAAATAAAACCCTTAAATTCAGAACATATAGAAAATTCTTCCACTTAGTAATAAAAAATTTGGGAAAAGATTTGAATAGTTTAGACACTGCACAAAGAAACATGGTTAATAAACACATATAAAACTCATTGACATCATTAGTCGTCAGGGAAGTAAAACTATAAATCACAATTAGATACTACTCCACACCCATTAGAATGACTAAAATTACAAAGACTATCAACAATAAATCTTGGCAAGGATCTAGAGCAACTGAAACCCATATACATTGCTCGGGAGGGGCGGTATAAAATGGTACAAACACCTAGAGTGTACTCTGGCAGTTTCTTATAAAGTTAAACATAACCTCTATGACTCAGAAATTATACTGCTAGATATTTACCCAAGAAAAATGAAAGTATATGTCTAGAAAGACTTGATTGAAATTTCATAGCAGTTTTATTCACAATAGCTAAAAGCTGGAAACAACTCAAATATCCATCAACAGAAAAGTGGCTAGACCAATTTCAGTATACAATACTATTCAACCATAAAGAAGAATTAAACACCTATATATGCAGTAACATAGATGAATCTCAAAATCATTATGCTGAGGGAAAGAAGCAAGACATGTCAAACTATATTTTGTATGAAGATCTGGAAAAGGCAAAACTAACTGTGTAGTGAAAAAGATCTCAATAGTAGTGAAGCCGTGGACCCTCACGGTGAGTGTTACAGCTCTTAAGGTGGCGCGTCTGGAGTTTGTTCCTTCTGATGTTCAGATGTGTTTAGAATTTCTTCCTTTTGGTGGGTTCATGGTCTCGCTGGCTCAGGAATGAAGCTGCAGACCTTCGTGGTGAGTGTTACAGCTCTTAAGGTAGCGCGTCTGGAGTTGTTCATTCCTCCCGGTGGGCTCGTGGTCTCGCTGGCTTCAGGAGTGAAGCTGCAGATCTTTGCGGTGAGTGTTACAGCTCATAAAAGCAGTGTGGACCCAAAGACTGAGCAGTAGCAAGATTTCTTGCAAAGAGCGAAAGAACAAAGCTTCCACAGTGTGGAAGGGGACCACAGCGGGTTGCCACTGCTGGCTCGGGCAGCCTGCTTTTATTCTCTTATCTGGCCCCACCCACGTCCTGCTGATTGGTAGAGCCCAGGGGTCTGTTTTGACAGGGTGCTGATTGGTGCGTTTACAATCCCTGACCTAGACATAAAGGTTCTCCAAGGCCCCACCAGAGTAGCTAGACACAGAGTGTCCAATGGTGCCCTCACAAACCCTGAGCTAGACATAAATGTTCTCCAAGGCCCCACCAGAGTAGCTAGATACAGAGTATCGATTGGTGCACTCACAAACCTTGAGCTAGACACAGGGTACTGATTGGTGTGTTTACAAACCCTGAGCTAGAGACAGAGTGCCGATTGGTGGATTCACAATCCCTGAGCTAGACATAAAGGTTCTCCAAGGCCCCACCAGACTCAGCAGCCCAGCTGGCTTCACCCAGTGGATCCCACACCGGTGCTGCAGGTGGAGCTGCCTGCCAGTCCCACGCCGTGCGCCTGCACTCCTCAGCCCTTGGGTGGTCGATGGGACTGGCTGCCGTGGAGCAGGGGGTGGCACTCGTGGAGGAGGCTCGGGCTACCCAGGAGCCCACGGAGGGGGTGGGAGGCTCAGGCTTGGCGGGCTGCAGGTCCCGAGCCCTGCCCCACGGGAAGGCAGCTAAGGCCTGGCGAGAAATCGAGTGCAGCGCTGGCGGGCTGGCACTGCTGGGGGACCCAGTACATCCTCCGCAGCCGCTGGCCCGGGTGCTAAGCCCCTCATTGCCGGAGCCGGCAGGGCCGGCCGGCTGCTCCGAGTGTGGGGCCCGCCAAGCCCACACCCACCCGGAACTCCAGCTGGCCCGCAAGCGCCACACGCAGCCCGGGTTCCCGCTCGCGCCTCTCCCTCCACACCTCCCTGCAAGCTAAGGGAGTGGGCTCCGGCCTTGACCAGCCCAGAAAGGGGCTCCCACAGTGCAGCGGTGGGCTGAAGGGCTCCTCAAGTGCCGCCAAAGTGGGAGCCCAGGCAGAGGAGGCGCCGAGAGGGAGCGAGGGCTGTGAGGACTGCCAGCACGCTGTCACCTCTCAGTAGTTTCTTCTGCAGGTAGAGATTACCTGAGAAAGAGCACCTGGGGTCTCCCAAGAGTGAAGGAAATATTTCATATATTGATATGGGTCTGATTATACGGGTGTATTCACTTTTCAATTCATCAAACTATAACACTTAAAAGCAGAGCATTTCAATGTATATAAATTACACTTCAATAAAATAAAGAGTTAAAAAATATAAGTATACTAAGGAACTTTATTAAAAATTTGAATACAGACTTTCTTGAACTTGATTACCTTTCACATTCTCTTTCTTTTAATTATTTGCTGAGGGAATGATTATATTGGAGAGTGCTTTTAAATGAGTAAATTGCTGTTAAAAATTTCTAATTTAGAAATCCATTCTGAGAAAACAATTTAAAGTACAGACCAATATGTATATGCAAAGTCATTTATTAAAGTGTTGTAAGTTATGTTTACATTAAATGAAAATGAAACAAAAAATGGTAAAAAATAATGGTACATTCCTATAAAGAACTATTTCACAACTAAAAATCTTAAGCGTTATTTAATGAAGAAATATTAATAAATAAATTAAAAATATTGTATAGTACTGAAGATAGACTTGCACAGATAGCAATATTTTATACATGCAAATAATATGTGAATGGGAAACTCTAGGCAAATATGCATCAGATTATTCATAACGATAATTTCTGGGATTATTTTATTCTTTTTAATTTTATCATGTCTTTTTACTTCTTTTATAATCTGAAATAAATCATAAGAGTTATAAAGTTTTACTCTAAAACAAAGGTAAACCTAATTAAAAGCCCTGAGTTTTTTTCTTTGCTCTTTTATAGCCACTCAACTTTGGACAAATTATCTATAGAAGCATGTGGGAACCCACTAAGCTTTCTCAGAAATCAACTCTTAGTTGTTGCAGAAAGAGGATACTGAATTAGATTTCTTTTTCCTTCATGATGCAACTTTCTCTTTTCTCCCCTCTGGGTTTTTCTCCCCTCTCTTCTCTCCATCCTGCTCCAATTCTGCTAGTCTGTGAACCATGAAGAGCAGTGATGCTTTTTAGGAGATGCTAGCAAACACTGATATCACTAACATCCATGCCATTCTAGAAATACATTTAATTTGGCTCCATTTCCTAGTCTGCAAACTTGTTTTAATCAGAATTGGAATCAGTGTGATAAGAAGTCAGGTACATCTCAGTCCCACTGTTTGGTATTTTGCTAATATTAAGAGAGCTCAGTACCCTGTAAGAGATCTCCTTTCACAAGAAGTGTTTCTCTAAGCCTGTCAGGCATTGGCACGGTGATTACTGTAGAAAAATAATTTTTTACATCAAATTAGTTTGCGAAAACCAAGGCAATGAGTAATTGCATATAAGAGGAGGTGAAAGAGAGTGAGGAAAGAAGAAGGAATGTCAAAAATATTTCCACAGGGTATTATTTTATTTACCCAAAAGCAAATCCAAAGGTTGCTACAGGACAGTGCACATAAAACAGGTCTGCAAAGGGAATCTTCTACAAAAAATGCTGCCTTGCCCGCTTCACTGGCAGTTGAGTTCACAGTAGAAATACATTCAATTCCACATAGTAATAGTGCTTTAATAACAGATGAAAATATGTTTTATGGTGTGTGTTGATAACTAAATGCTTATCCTATATATAGAAATTCAAATAATTGGAATTTCTCATAGCCAGCATCCATTTGAGACCACTGAAGAATACCTTGATATAGAAGGTTAAAGTCAATAGACTGTGTTTTGGTTATTTTTCAGAAGATGTCTGCTGTATGTTTAATATACTATATTTGTATTATGGGCTCTGGTTCCTGTAAATCTGAGGTCTCTCTTTCTTGAATGAATGAGGAGATAAGCAATTGAATTTGAAAGATACTTTATGCAACAGAAAAGCAATTTTGTTCCTGGTTATCAGAGGGCAAGAAGTGAACTAGCAATTTAATGCTAAATATTTTTAACCCTTGGGAATCTGGTTGGCTTTGAGCCCACTAAAGATTACATTTTTTCAATCCATCTCAGCTTATTGTGTTTCATATAACAGAGGAGTATTTTGTTAAAAATTTACTCAATTTAAAGTAATTACCTTTTATTCTTACTGGGTATGGATTTGATGTTATAGTATCTCAAATTTCTATTTTTAAAAGGAAGAAAAGGAAGATTTCATTTCTACAAATGAAGACTCATGAAGCATGGGATACTGTTTTGCTTTGACAAAGGTCACTTTGTGATGGACTGGTGTTGGTTTTAACCATTATCATTATGGTCTCTGAAATTCTTGGTGCTTCCATGGTAAAGTAAAAGAGGCTGGCATTTTCCCATTACATTTCATGGTGAAAATCTCTTTGCCCGCCTCCATTTGTTCTCCCCAAATAATTTTAAAAGGAATTATATGACTTAAAAATTACTTGTTTTAAATGCTTTACTCCTGAATCTTTGAGAATAATAGTACTATAGTGATTATTTATGGGTGTATCTGCTACTGTTTTTTATTCAATGTTTTTGAAAATTATGACATGCAAAAGTGTGATGTTGTTTGGGTTATCATTTGATAGCACACTTGTGGTGGCCAGACTCTAAGGTGGGCCCCGGGGATCTTCACCTTCTGATGTTGATGTCCTTATGTAGTCCTTGTCCATAATGTATTGGAGTTGGTCTTTGTGATAGATAATATGTGACAGAAGTGAGGTTCAATCCTGTAAGGCATTGCCACTTCTGCCTTGATCTCTTGGATCACTTACCATGTCATGAGGATACTCACTCCTATGGAAAGGTCCATGTGGTAATGAACTAACCTAGTGAGGCCTCTTGACAACAACCAGCACTGGTTTGCCAGCCACTAGAGTAAAACGTTTTAAAAGCAGATTATCCAGCCCGGGTTAAACCTTCCAACAACTGCAGCCCTGGCTAACATTATGACTGTAACCTCATGAAAGACCCTGAAATGGACTATTGAGCTAAGCCATGATCTGATTCTTGACCAACAGAAACTTTAAAAGATAATAAATCTATACAGCTATTTTAGGCTGCGAAGTGTTGGAGTAATTTACAGGTAATGTTAAATAAGACAATACTGTAAAGAATGTCTAAAGCCTAAAGCCTAAGTCTCACTTGAACAGAATTTTATTAAATGATGCTGAAGATGAGAGTAACTTTGGGAGTTGGACATTGTAGTATAACTACTTTTAAAAATCAGTTTCTGCAATTAAATTTTTTTGTTACCAAAAAATGTTGCTAAGGCCAACTCCTCCATGGGTCTGCTGACAGAAACCGGCATATTAGTTTATACAAGTATATTTGCTTCAATATTTTAATAACCATCAGAGTTTATTCCTGACTCCAGATTCATTAGAGACAACAACTGTGTGTTGAACTGAATGTTAGAATCCTGACATGTGAGTTAGAGAAAGTGGAACCAAAAATGGTAGACTTTTCCAGGACTTGTTATACAGGGAAGGCCGAATATGGTGAATAGTATCTGTTTTCCAGATTAGACTCTCCCCACACTGACAAAAGCTTTTCCTGCCTCTGAACTTCAGAATAAATAGAAAAACCTACAAGAGGCAACACACACACACACACACACACACACACACACCCACACAATTATGTATATGTCACAATAACGCAACTGAGCACATATTTGTGGAGCCCTTGCTGTATGGAGTCCACTCTGCTGTGAATTTCAATTAATAGATGACACAGATTCTGCTTCTTGGCACATACTGTTCCATGACCTTTACAACTCTGACAAGCAATCCCGGAGATTGAAGCTTTAAATCCCTGCCTACCCTAAACCTTTGTCATTTAAAGTACTAGTAGATCCCTGAGTTCTTCCCACTTGGGTCTGAAGCCATCTGTTTGGAGACTGGGTCTAAGAATGTATCAGCAGTCCTGCCACAGAATTTTGAGTATTTCTCTCTCTTGTTCACTTAGTCTTGTCTTCCTAGCATTCACTGTTGGTATGATCTACTGTCTCCTCTGATTCCTTCATTATTGGTTGACCTCCCTCCTTAGTTTTCTATTTCTGGTTTAATTCATTGAAGAAAATTCTGTTAATAAGACAGGGTCTCTACCTTTAAGAGGCTTATAATTAAGTAGAATAACAAGTGTGACAGAGGAACACACGAAATCTTCATTTTGATTCCTGCTCCCCATAGACATCAATTGTCCATGAGTCAGCTCCATTTCCTTCTCCCCTGGTGTTGGGGCTTCTATTGTGAGGTGACCTCTTGGCTGCTCCCTTATGGGTCCCAGGACCTAACCACAGTTGGCCAATCATAATCCATCAGGCCCAGTTTGTTCAAAATGAATTGCTCATGTTCTCATACCCAATTCCATGAGATTTATAGTTCGGTTAAGAAGGCAACACCTGGTAGGAAAAATTAAAATAATAGGAGGTTTTAATGCTATAATAATAGAACAGATCTTATGAGACACAGAACATAATTTTTTAATGTGATACCATGGACATTGATTGTCATAGTGTACAAAGGAAGGTAAGATTCTTTGAGCTGGATCACCAGGAAGGGCTTTTCAGAGAAAGTAGTATTTTGACCTTGTTCTCAAATGCCAAATAAGATTGAGATGGGCCAACTGGGGAGGAAATTTGAATTGCATAAACAAAAGGAGCACAGTGAATGCCTGAAGATGGTAGTGTGCAGGGCCTGGTTAGAGGACCCTAAGCTGGGTATGGGGAGAGTCAGGGAGAGGCCTGCAAAAGCATTTTGGGGCAGGTTGTAGGTGCCAAATAAGATAATATATGCAAAATAGCCTTGTAAACTTCAAAGCATCCTAGAAATATGAGAAACTATTATTATAATTCCAGAAACTGTGGTGGTTGCCAGTGAAATAATATTTGACTTAGGGCTTTGTTGTTTCTTTCAAAGAAAAAAAATTCTGAAGATCATTGCTTGTTCCATTGCCAGTAGCTATCTTTCTCTCTTATTGACTTCTTTTCAGCCATCTTTAGTACAAATGGTGAAACTGAAGAAAAACTTCAGTGCTTTGCTCTCTACTTCCTTTAAAGGTTTCTCATCTCTTTAAGAGTTTAGACTTCTTTTTATAACTGTGTCAGCTGCAACTCCCAGAGGTCCTGCCTTGCCTCCAGTTTTGTTTACCACTCAGCAGGAATTTGTTTACTACCTAGTAGAAGAGTCAAGAAGATAAAAGCCAATCAGGGAAGCAGAAAGACAGCATCATGCAGAAAATACCAAGAAAATAAGATTAGAAACACTAGGCCCAAGTAAAGCTGACTTTAGTGACATGGTGATCCTGGAAAGTCTGCTGAGTGCACGTGTTAAATCACTTTATTGTGTAGGTTATTAGAGACTTGTAACATCTTCTGAAACTGCTTTGTGTCTGCTGAACATGCAGCACCATTTTAAACTTTTATGTTTTTTAAAAAATACCCAAACCTTTAAATCGAATTAGTTTTCCTTTAAGTTCTCAAATATACATCTATTTTCCGAAGTTTAGGTTGTTGGACAGATTAAATGTGGGGAAATGTCTTACTTAGAGTGATGAATATTTCTTTAATAAAATATCATTCACCGTGATATACTAAGACAATAATGTTTTTCTTTAACATAGTCCTTTGATGACTGAACTTCATATTGATGAACTTGAGGTGCCAGAACATCCTAGTGCAACATCTGAATTTACAGATAAACTTATTTTCAGCTGAGCATAAGTGTACTTTATTCTCTTTCTTTGGTAATTGGTGATCTGGTTATAATGTGAGTGTGGTTATTTTTTATTAATCAGAATAGTCAATGAACCAGAAATTCTGTTTCTCAGAGTCTGAATATGCAAGGTTTTAATGCAGGATAATTTCATAGGTTAATGCTTATTATTTACAACTTAGGGTGGTGATAAAAATGGTTGAATAATTTTGCTCATGGAATCATTTAATATGTATGCTTTTATAATCTATTTTTATTCATTCGGAGCCTGTATATATGATACTTCTGATCTTGCTAATTCACATGAATATGAAGTAAGATAAATAATTTTTGAGTATTAAAAAAAGTAGATTTCATATTCATTGATTATGAACTGGTTGTTTATAGCAGAAAGCAACTATTTCTTAGCTGTTGGATATTTATTATATATAAATTATATCAAGGGATTAAAAGGGTGTGTAATTCAGAATAGTTTAAAATAGAATTTAAGATAATCTAACACCATTAAAATATATTAATGAATCATTTATTCAACAGACCTTTATTGACACCTAGAAGCTTTTTAATAACCGTGTTAGCCAGAGGTGTTTTTCAAATGTCAACATCTAGAAATTAGGTAGAGAACAATGAGCTAATTGCTACATTTTGAGAAGCAGGTAGGTAATTATCTTTCTAGAAAAGTAATGCAATATTTTTATATTGATGGAGGGAAACACCTGTATTTATTGGGAGTTCCCAATAAATGTCATTCAAGATGATGAGTCAAGAGCAGCCTGGGACAAATCGTGGGGAAGGCAGGTATGCCTTGAAAATGAGGAGGTTGTTCACACTTGGTATCTGTTCTCGGACTCTTTTATAAGCCATTGCTGCACTTCAAAACCTGACAGCTCCTGGGCAAACTGTGTGGATATTTCAAAGATTCCAGGTAGAACTGGCAGAAGGGTAATTGTATCCTGTGGAGCTTGTGGGAGGAGGTTGGGAGGATTATTAGAGTTTATTAACCATCCTAAGGAATTTCCTACACACCTTTCTCGGGAACTTTGAATTATGCCATTTACTCCTCACTGACCCCTTTAACCTTCAGCCTTTTCTTCCTTCCAATTAATTTTTAAATGTTTCTACAAGAAATCATATTACCAAACTTCTACTTTGACTAAAATATTGAAGTGACTTCTCAATACACTGTAGATTTGACCCTAGGCATCTTTTTTTTCCAACCAATTTTCATTCCTTGCTCGTAATTTTTACTCCTGTCAAGTGGACAGGGCATGCCTTTCCTCTGCATAGCTACTTACCCCTCTGCCTGGGAAGTCATTCATCCATTCCACACAGGTTCATGGCTCCCAACTTCTGTACCATGCTGGGTGCTATTGTTTCGACAAAAAATGATTTTGATTCCATCAGTCCCCCAAAGGAACTCATAGCATCAAAAGGACACAGGCACAAAGGTGTAATTACAATACAAAAAAGAGGAGTGCTATCATGCAGTTGTGATGAACAAGGGCAGATGAGGGATCTCCAGAAGGTGTTGCAGGAAAGGCGATGCTTGAACAGTGTTGCAAAAGATGAAAATGTATTTTTCATATGAAAAGAACGGGAGAAATAACAAAAAAGCATGAAAGCATGATTTGTGAAATGGCAAATAATGGTATAGTTAGATAGACTGCAGTGAGAAATGAAGCATGGGGAAGTGAATAAGCAAAACACATTTAGGCACATTTTTGAATAGAAATTAATTCAGAGATTCTCTACAAGAGGGTGGAATGAGCTGATCTATAAAGAAAGTTTCCAATTCAAGCTAAATAAATGAGCATTAAGAAAAAAAACACCTTTCTGAGCTCAATAACAATAAATGAAATCCTTAGTGTTAGGGATAAAATGGGACCCTCCCAGTGGTGAGTGGGACTTGAAGCCCCATAATGTATGGAGGTATCTGATCTTAAGAGTTGAAATTAGGACCTAAGTCATTTGTATGTCAAGGAAACATAAAATGAGCTCCAGTATAAACTCGGGAGAAATTCCATTTGTCAATTGTAAGGTAAAACATGTAAGTATTTCATAGAAGGTGCTATGTAGTGTTGTTATAGTTAGTGCTTTCTGAATTGTCTATATTTTTAGTTTTTATTTCCTCTTTAATCCACCATTTGTTTAGAAAGAGAGCTGATATGCGGCTGGGTGAGATTTCCTGTGGGGTATAATGAGAATTTTTCTTCTGGGTGCAGGGATCCTCTTCCTTTTTCATGGTTTCTATAACTGGGACACTGGTTTGCAGCCACAGAAACTTCTTTGACAATCTTTGGTGTCAGAAGTCTCACTTTAGAAAGCTGAATGGGACCTGCCCTCTGAAAGCAGGTGGGGGTATGGTCAGGACAGTTCCATCCTTTCATTGCATCCACAGGATACAATTATCCTTCTTCTACATTCACCTTTTGGAATGTCCACACAGTTTGCTCGCAGACTCTCTGTCACCCTCTCTCTTGTGTGTGTGGCTTTTGTTGTTAGTTTGTTCCCACTCAGTTTATTTCTTATGTTTTTGACAAATTCCTCACTATTCTGTTTTTCTGGCACTTTCCCTCCCTCTACTCCCATCTTCCTTAGCTTTCTAGTGCTCTTTTGAATTTATTTTCATATTTATTCTGGACTTTATTGGAATTTTGCAAGGGGAGAGGGGTAAACATATGCATTTAGTCAATGACAAGTTATGTTATCTATTCTCTACTTCATATCTCTGATCCCTTTAAAACCCATGGAAACTGTATTATTATAAAGGTCATTCCTTAGCCACTGACAAAAAATAAAATTGCGTTAATAACTGGAAGAGTATTTTCTACACTTGTTTGGTATTTTAGAATGCCACCAGTCCTTCTGGGGTAAACTCTGGAATGCCATTTTGTCCCTTTGTCTTGAAGGTTCTATCTGCTGCAATGTAGATGTCACAGCTTCCATTCTTGTCATCTTAGTGAGGTACTTCAGAATCGCATTATTGACCATGACTCACAAGTCATGATCAGTTTAGCAAAGGTAGGGCATTTGTGGTAGCCTATGAGATAGGTTAAATTTTTGTGGCTGTGTAACATGATGTTTAAATACTCCTTTTTGAAAGCCCAGAACAAAAAAATACAAAGGATTCAAAGACACTACTTAGACAGCCATGTAAATGGTTCCTGGAATCTGGGAACCTGGTAAATCTGATTCAAACCTGAGAAAAAGAAATTTCAGCAGAGCAGAGTTAAAAATGGCCTGTGGCAGCAAAGGGACATTTGAGAGGAGACCACCTTCCCCTGACAACAGGTCAGGGGTTCTTGTTTCCCAGTGAACAGGTAAGGTATCTGTAGTAGAAATGTCTATGTAGGGCTATTTAAAAATAGACCCCTGCCCAGGAGGGTTTCCTGCAAAGACTGAAGGGACCTCAGCCAACACGGGCTGCAGTGTTCTGTTCAGATGCAGCAGCTGTGAGAGAGCCATGAGAAGCAAGCCCAAGGAGAGATGCTGCCCCTACTACACGCTCCATGGGCACTTGCAGGAGACAGAGCTCCCGACATCTGCCAGGGCCTGAGGAAATCAACACCAGATGACACCGGTGTCCACAAGATTTCCTGCACCACATCTCTCCCAACACTAGGTGTGCCACTGGCTATCCACCAAGTGGAGTTAGAGAAATCGAATTTCTAGGCAGGGAAATGGAGCAGTCACCTGCTTCCACTTCTTCCACTGTATGCTTCCAACCTGAAGCCAACCTGAGCCAGGGACATGGGGAGATGCTTGAAGTCTAAATGCAGTACCAAGCCTGAAATCAGTATATGTTACCTGTTAACCCCTCTATTAAAGCAAGACCTCCTAGCAACTAAAATGTCCAGAGAGAGTCTTAATAAACACTCTTAAAGAGTGTCCAGAAAATCCATGGGATCTGGCCGGAATTTCCTCAAGGAAAAGGAAAAAAATACAAGTTCCTCATGGGAGCACCTTTCTGATTATCTCAATGTTATACTTGTTCAAAGAAACATTATTACAGAGACAAATCCCACCTACCCTTCCTTGGGGCTGGTTTGCTACATTGCTGGGGACTAGTCCAGATTTCTTTCTGGTCAGGGGCAGTTTTCTTAGAGTCGAGGGCATGATAAGCTAGGGACTGAGAATCTCAGTCCTGCCATGTCCTACTGTCACCGCTCTGAATTTTGTGCTTTATCATTCTCATTCGTTCAGGGAGTTGAGCTATTTGTCATTTTTCTAACATTAAAACTTAGGTATGAAGATCTCTATCTATATCTGTGGTTTTTAAATGAGTCTCTGGGCCATCTGCATCTGTGTGACCTGGGTATTTATTATAAATGCAAATTCTCAGATTTATTGCATAAGAAAACCTGGGGCTGAGAGCCACCATCCTGCGCTTTAATAGGCCCACCAGATGATTCTGATACATGCTAAAGTTTGAGGACCATGGATGATCAGCAGAACCTCATTTTGTGATGCTATATTACAACTTCAGTATTTTAAAATGTTATTTGCATTTTTTAATACTGGGGATATTGCTTGGCACAGTACACAACTCTGTTCCATATGATTCCTTTCTCGTTTTGGATGATGTTATTAAAACACCCACTTGGCTTCCTTGAGAAAGAAAAAAATCTTCATTATTTTAGAGTCAGGGGGTACACATACAGGCTTGTTACATGAATATACT
This sequence comes from Homo sapiens, assembly GCF_000001405.40. Taxonomy (NCBI): domain Eukaryota; kingdom Metazoa; phylum Chordata; class Mammalia; order Primates; family Hominidae; genus Homo; species Homo sapiens. The sequence goes on from NC_000001.11 coordinate 95,680,556, forward strand.
GCATAATGCTGGGATTTGGGCTTCCTATTGAACCCACCACCAAAATCGTGAACCTAGTACCCGATAGGTAGTTTTTCAATCCTTACACCCCTTCCTCCCTCTCCCCTTTCGGAGTCCCCAGGGTCTATTGTTTCCATCTTTATGTCCATGTGTACCCATTGTTTTAGCTCCTACTTACAAGCGAGAACATGGTATTTGATTTTCTGTCTCTGCATTAATTCACTTAGGATAATGGCCTCTAGTGCATCCATGTTGCTGCAAAGGACATGATTTCATGGTTTTTATGGCTGCATAGCATTTCATGGCATAGACGTAATACATTTTCTTTATCCAATCCACGTTTATGGGCACTTAGACTGATTCCATGGCTTTACTGTTGTGAATAGTGTTGAGTATACAATTTCTGAAACATATTGCTTAAGCAGAGGTGAATCTCTGTCCATCTGAATTCCAGCTGAGGTATTTTCTAGTGAATAAGCTGGAGCCCTGACACCAGAAAGGTCTGGTTTTGAGTCCTGTTTTTACCCACTCCTGGTTGTATGATCTTCAGTAAATAGTTTCAAATTTCTAAGCCTCAGTTTCATAAATTTTGACACTGGGATAATAAGAAAAGCGCTAACCTTATAGGACTCTTGAAAGGATTAAATACTATACTCCATGTGTAATATAAGCAAAACACTTAATCCAGTGTTTGGTGTATAATAAAGCTTTTAATACATGCTGATTCCTATTACTGTAACAGGGATATTTACCACACAGCTTGGGCTGGATCTCATGTGTCTTGGTCTATTTCCAGAAAAAAGAAAAATTTGCCACAGTTCTGCCATAATCTAAGAAGTCCAGAAATCTAGTAGTTTATTTCCCTCCAAGGCGACAACTATCCCAGACTTTTCTAGAACTCGTGAGAATCTTCATTCAGATGTTGATCCAGTGTTTTTCTGTAATTTTGCATTCTTTGTGATTGGGTAGAAACCAGACTCAGTGAGATGTCTGAAGCATGGGAATTGGGCAACCTTCTTGCCCTTCCCAGCAGCTGTGAGTGTTAGAATGCCAGTGTCCCCTGGTAGATTCTGGAGATAGACCATCTCTAAAGATTTAGAGTTTTCTGCTCCAGATCAACAACTTCTCAAACAATAATTATTAATACATAAACCACTTAGATTCTCAGTCTTAAAGCATGTGAATTCGAGTTGTTATGAGGTTTTCTTCTAGAATTACAAGTACCTATTACATTATATTTGGGTTAGTAAATGGACTACTTAGGTGATTTTCTCAAGGCAAAGGGAGTATTCATTTTTGTCACATTTTGTGAGAAAAAATGTCCACCTTTGAAATGAGTCTTTCTCTCAGTCCCATCAAGGAAAAAATATAGCATGCTAGTATAGCAGAGTAATTCAGAACAATGGCTTGAAAAGACCTGTGATCAAATCCAAGCTGTGCTTCTTGCAACTTGTGTGATGGTGTGAATGCTGGTGACCCTCTAAACCTCCCCTGCATTAGCTACAAAATGAAGAGAGTGCAAAGGAAATTCCCTTCATAGGGTTGTTGTGAGGGTCATAGGGGAAATCAGGGGTAAAGCATTTAGTTTGGCGTTTGGTACATGGAAACACTCCAGAATTGTAGTTGTTGTATTGCGTCTTTTAAGAAGCAGGCACCAAGACAGAATCAGACATGCAAAAAGTAATTGAGGGATATGTCTGTGAAAGACTAAGGGGAGACCTCAATGTTGATCTGATCCCTGAGAAAGGAGTTGGGGATGAAGGATTGGGCAGGGAAACTCTCAGACTGCAGCATAGTTCTAAGAAAGTTTTGGCTAGGCTGATGGGCAGTCTTCAAACCAAAGCTGTCCTTTAGAGAGGTGCTTCTTTCCACAGGAATGGGCCAGGTCTCATACTCTGCAGTTTTTAGTCATTGCCAGGAGCAGCCAGGAGAAGGATGGCCTTGACACAAATGTGCTGGAACATCCAAAATGGTGGCAGCTGGGGCTGTAGGTCAACTCTGCTTCCCACAGGATGAGAGCTGAGCGGTTTACGTGAATGGCCATCAGACTTGTTTTCATTGTTGTGTAGGATAAGGTAGAGTTGCCTCAAATAATTGTGCAGATTGAGCCCTGCACAAGAGTTGTGGTCAAGGGGAGAAAGAGTCCTGAAATCCAACTGCTGCTCCAGTTGCTAAGTTGTGCATCTATGAAGCAGGTACCCTTGGAGGAGACACATTTGTCTTATTGTTACAAGGGTGCAACTGGGCAGCGTTCCCTGACCAAGGCACCTTATGCTACATTAAAACACAGAGCCTTTAAGGAAAATAGTATAAACATGTGCATGTGCATACATGAGCCTGGAATAGTGAGTAGGAGGGGGCACTCCAGTAAGAATCCACTGGGAACTGACACTGTAAACTGGGAGGACCATTAACATAGTGTTAACTCACTCTGGAGGAAGAGGCGGGATCTGGAGTATCCCTTGTGACCAAAAATGTGAGTTTTGGTAATTAATCATTTGACTATAAGAGTGTCTTTTCTATTGAAAGCAGCCAAACTCATCACCTAGTGAGAAAGGTGAAGTTCTAAAGACTTCATTTATCTCAGTTCCTTTGTACTCAGCAGTGTCTGTACAAATTGCCTATAAAGTGAAACGCATGGGGGAAAAGGCACAGAGAAGGTTTCCAAGGAAAGCTTTGTTTTAAATCTAGGTATGATTCTCCATTTATTATCAGAGGGAATTATATCAAATATTCCTGTGCTGGAAACAATGATTAAAAGTACCTTTTCATTTGATTCTAAAAAACCAAAAAGTGTAAGCTGTTAAAAAAAAAATGACTAGTGCCAGGTTGCCCAACCCTTATGAAATGAATAGCTCAGAGTGTGGCAGCGTAATTCTGGGTACCCAGTGGGGTTTTGTGTGTCACGGGCAACTAGAGCAGGTTGGTCTGTGATGTGTTCACACCATGGTTATGAATTAGTTAACAGTCTACATAATCTTCATGTGCTGCTGCTAAGATTCCAGGTATTTTAAATCTAAATGAAGGCACTTTGCTTATCCTGTGTAAATGGAACTTACAAACAGAACTGCAATTTCATTTAATAGCCATAAACCATTACTCTAATGGTTTGACAAATACCTATGAGGATAGACTGCAATATTTCATCCAAGAAAGGACTGAATATTAAATAAATGTAACCTCCCAATGGGTTCTACTTTAACCCCCTACTAATTTTGGAGGGTGGATTTAAAAGCTGAGAGCGTTTTAGAGTAAATGTTAGGGATATATGCAGCAGGTTCTGTGGTACAGATTAGCACTTTATCCCAGTAATCACAAATCCTTTTTCATGTTCCGTTATCACTTCAATCTCATCATTGTAAAGTGCAGAACTTAACTCAGAAGTTGGGAACACCATTGTTTCACATCTGACATCCTGCTGAGGGATTTTAGCAATTAACTAATTTCTCTGTTCTCTGCTCATGATTATTATTTTTTTGAAAAACGAAACACTAAACATTTAATGACCTCATTTAGGTTGACATCAATAAAGTCAAAAGTGCATACCCGAATAAAATGGAAAAACAAATCAATCACCTTTCCGTAGTTAGAGACTATGTCAAAGGCATCATCTCTAGATTCAAAGAATACAGTGTCATCAAGAGACTTTCAAATAAGAGGGCTTATAAGTTAGAAAATTTGAATGATGTCTAGAACCAAAAAAAAAAGGTTTATATAATTATCTTATTTAATTAAAGATACTTTTGATGTTGGTTGATCATAGAGAGGGAAGAAATAGGACAATGAATGCCCCAAGGACAGATGTGTTTAAAGAAAAAATTGATAAGAAGATGGACAGTTTTCATGCTGAGTATAACAAAAATTCAGTTTCACTTGATTCATAAACTTTTCTTTCCTGAAGACGTATCACTTATATGCATCACAGGTAAACATTTATTCTGATGATTGGCGGGAAGAGCTATAAGGGGGACCCACAAAATTGATCATGTTGGTATTAACCCAAACAAGATACCAGCAGCTACAAACGCTTTAATTATAAGTGACTTTAAAAAATTTGAAACTGCTTTTAATGGTTGCTTTTATTCTGCAGTTTTGTTTTGTACTTGACAGAGAAAAGATGTTCTGAAAGCTTCTGATTACCCAATAACAATTACCAGAAAACCAATCAAAAGGCAATTTTGATTTTTAGAAAAGTCTGACTTATCAATATATCCAATAGAGTTTTTCTTCTTTTTTTAGCTAATTTGATGGTGATTTTTGAAAAAAAATTATTCCACAGAAACAGGTTTTACTAATAAAATAGACCAATAAGCCAGACCAGGGATGTATCTTTCACTGTTGTAAAAATTGTCCCTGTCATGACACCTACTTATTTCCTAAGACTTTCCTTGGTACCCAGATTTTCTTATATTCAGTTACTTCACCTGCAGCATATCCAGAAACTACTGTGAGGAGACCCTTTTTTGACAACAAAGCAGGCATAGAGTGCAGCACTATGTTCTGATGAAAGAATAACATCCCTATGAATTTTCTAAATAGCATCATGTTTCTTCAAATGACAGGTAAAGGATACAAATGCAGATAATGAACTAATTTGAGGCGTAAATTAGCCCCCTTTGTGGCATGATGGGGATTTAAAGGAAAAAAGAATACATGAAACATGAGCCTCTGTCCTTCTGTCACCTCCCTTCCCCCCTACCAATCTACCCTGGCTGGCACATCTCATTTGTCTGCAGATGCAATGACAGCCACCACCCAGAGACCGTGTGTGTGTGTGTGTGTGTGTGTGTGTGTGTGTAAATATATACATGGCACCCAGGTGTTCAGTTTTTCTCCCTCAGAGAGCTTTAGGCTCCTGTGCACATGTACACACCACACACACACAGACAGACACACACACACACAAAGAGAAGTGGAAGTGGGTGTTTCAGATAGAGAGTGTTTCCTTCCATTTTTGGAATGGACTAGCTGTAGACAAATCCCTTTTCTATCACTGTATTCATAGGTATAATTCCTAATGACTAGTATTTCAAGAGAGGTTCATGTGATACCTGAAAGGTGAACTCACTCTGTATTAGGGGCAAAAAAAAAAACAAAAAAAAACAAAAAAAAACAGCAGTCTCTGCTATTTTGAAACTTGCTTTTCATTGGAAAGATGCTGAAGGCAGAAGTGTACAATTGCTTGCCTTTCAATATTCCATTTGCAAGAACATCTTTTCATTGATCTCTGTCTATATGTCCTGAGAGTGTGTGCTGTTAATTTGTTTATTGAGGTATGGATCCCATAGTGTTGCCAACACTTACGCCTCCCATTAATGTTCTTTGTAATGGTTTATTTTGACTTCTTTTGCAGCAAACACACATCTGCTATTGTAGACAGAACTCTATACAAATCCAAACAAAACAAAACAAAAAAGCCAGTTCCAACGGATGCTAAGTTCAAGTATCTTTGATGGTAGTTTATTTTACTGTGGAAATATGTTTTATTCTGACTTGTATGGGTGCTTGAGTAATCAAAAGTTAGTTTCATAAACAACTTCATGGTGACAAATTCTTATTCCATTTATTGAACTAAAAAATTTTAAATTTTCACATGTTGTGTCTTGTTAAATTTTAAAATGTGAGAGATTTTGAAATTACAACTCTTACCAAATTATTCGAGTATAACAACAGTTTTGATAAATCCAGTTTTTTTTTCAATTTTTTTAATGCTTCTATTTTTGAGCAAGTACTTCCTACATGCTGGCAGCTCTTGTGCCAGAAAATGTATGAATTTTGCTGCATTTCACTCTCTCAGCAGGCCAGCCAGTTATATATTTTCCCCATTTCACAGATGTAACCAAGGCTCAGAGAATTTTGATGAGTCACCCTTTGTCAGAACAGATTATAATGCCTACCCATTGGTTCAATATTTGTTCAGAAGAGTTCTGAATGTTTCAAGTCAAAGAAGGTCATGATTTAAAATCTCTCTGGGCTGATAAAATAGGCATTACACTAAGGGTTTATATTACTATTTCCAGGGCACTAGAAATTCTTATGCATAAAGTGTTATTTTCTGACATTACGTAGCTTGATTTATTTTTATGGTAAGCCTATTGTAGAGTTTGATACATATTTAAACAAGAAAAAGGAAATTAAATCTTAAAAGATCATTTATATGAGATTAAAGAGGCTATCTTAAATACACATATGTGGATAAGGGAAATGTTAACTAAACTGCGTTTCATTTCTGAGTCAGATTCGCTTCCTGCTCTCCTCTGTCTGAAAAGTTCTTCAATCACCATTTTTTCACTGAGAGAAAAGGCTCAGCCTTTCCAGTGGGCCCTGAAATACTGCTGCTATTAGGCTAGGGACCAGACAGTTAATTTGTTTAAAGATGTCCAAGGAAGGTCTTGAAGTTTAAGAGCTTCAGAGGTGATTGATGCATATGGGCACATTTCAAAGACATTATGTTTTCTTTTTTCACTAGTCATGTATGTCCCAGTCTTTCAAAGGTACACAAAGAAAATGACACTATTTTTGGCTGCTTACACCTCCTGCCTAAATTGTAGCTTGATCCTTTTCAGGGTCCAAATTTGTAGAGTCTTCACTCAAATTTACACAAATTATTCCTCTTGTATCCCATTCCCTTTCCTATTATTGCCCTTTCTGGCCTAAGGCTGGAACCCTAAGTTTATAGCAAAAGCACTTCATGATCCTCTTAAGCAGAGAAACCTGTGGACTTTAATCTGTGATGAAAAACAAAAATGTCACGTTGTCATAGGTTTTTGTGAGGACAACTACTACCTAGCTCTCATTGGACCCTTTATCTCCATTTTATTAAATAATGAAACTTATTTTACCATCTTATTATTTTACCCATATGATGGTCCTACATAGAATAATGCAATAGAAGGAGTCAACAATAGTAGGAAAAACTTTATTTCTAATCTTTTTTTGTATTTGCATTTTTACTAATATCTATGGTAATGTGTTAAAGACTCAGGGTTATAGAATTGTGGCAGAAAATTCAGAATAATGAACTGAAAATAATATTTTTATTTTTCCTTCTTTGTCTTTACTATTTAGTTACCAATTATTTTCAGTGACCAAAAATTTTATTTTCTGAGAAGGTTAAAAGTCTACGTTTAAACCCTTATGGGAAACCTATAGTAAGTTATAAAGAGTAAAATTCTCTACTCATTGTGTCAGTATCAATTATTGTTTTAACTTTGATAATACAGTATACAGATTGGTTCTAAAATAATAAAATAATCTGTAGAATATTGGACATCTTCCAGATGCATTTTCTTAGTTCTTCTCTTGCTCTCTTGCTTCTCTTTGCTGACTTCTATTATTCTGGTATTTTAAATCTTGATGTTTGTTAAGTTTATTTCAAACAGAAATTTTTCTACTCCTTGCATAACAAGCACGTATGTGTGTGTGTGTGTGTGTGTGTGTGTGTGTGTATCTGAATATTGGTGTGTGGTCAAGGGAGCTTTCTGCATTTCTGTAACTGCTGATAAAACAGTATTTTATCTGAACATAAGGCAGACTCCCCTTTTCTTAGACATTGATTTTTGTACATATCAACTGGGTCATTCTGAGTGCTCAACTGTTTATACTAGAGGTGAAAGAAAGGACCCAAGAATTGAGATATACAGATACCGATCCAGATGCAAGAAGAAACATATGAAAATAAGAGGGAACCATCCAGGACTGTGTTTTTTATAGTGAAAGCAAATTGAAGGCCTTCTCTTGTGTTCCTTTCCTTTTCTCTTCCCTTCCCTTTCATATTAGTGCCTTTTTGGACTCTACGCTTTATAGATCTCTATTTATAATAACAATAAAGGGCTAAGATGTTATTATGAAATTTTGCCATTATATACTTTTGGATAAGTAAGTGATGTCCAAGCTCTGGCTCTAATGCTATAATATAGAAGATATTTTAAAAAAATCCAGAGTTACATGAGCCAGATTACTCTGCATTTTGTTCATTCATTAATTCAGACTCCATTTATTGATGTTTACTGTGTGCTTTGTTCTAAGGTACACTTTAAAATTGTGATGAGCAATATGATAGCCACTAGACATATGTGGCTAATTAAATTTAAAATAATTAAATGTGACTAAAATATACAATTTAGGTATTCAATCACACCAGTTGCTTTTTAAGCATTAGCCACTGAGACTAGCGGCTACTATAACAGCACAGATATAGAATATTTCCAGCATGGCAGAAAGTTCTTTTTTTTGATGCTTAATAAATATTTATCAAATAAGTGAATAAATATCTCAGTTAACATATACTGTGGCCTGGGAGGTAGGAACTAATTATTTTATTATTACCCAACTGATACCCATTCATTACCGAGAAATCAGAAAAATGTAGATTTACAAAAGGAGAAAATACTAATCACCTCTAATTCTACTACCCATAGATCATTTCAGTTAACAGTTAGCATGTATCTACAGAAGTCCAAGTACTTTTATTTATTTATTTATTTATTTTTCTTTCCAACTTTTATTTTGGGTTCGGGGTTGCGGGGTACATGTGCAGGTTTGTACATGGGTAAATTGTGTGTTGCAAGGGTTTGGTGTACAGATGATTTCATTGCCCAGATAATAAGTGTAGTAGCTGACAGGCAGTTTTTAGGTCCTCTTGCTTCTCTCATGCTCCACCCTCAAATAGGCCCTGGTGTCTATTTTTCCCTTCTTTACATCCATGTGTTTAGTTCCCACTAAAGTGAAAACATGCAGTATTTGACTTTCTATTCCCACTGCAGAAAGTTTTATTGGGCCACAGAATTCTAAAAATTTAATGGTGAATAAGAAAACCCAGTCCTTACCCTAAATTACAGTGATAGACGAAGACCTTTTTTTTTTTTTTCAAAGACAAGGCATGAATACTATGCTCTTTCCTGAAGTAAGAAGGAAACAGATAAATGCTGGAGAAAAAAAAATAATGGGTTGGATGGGAAAACCTTTCTTAGGCAATATTTAAGGTAATAAATGAAAAAGAAGGAGCTGGCTATGCAAAGGGTATTATTCCACCAGGCCGCAGCTACGAAAAACCATGCCCTTTTTTCTGATCACTGTTCTCTGCTACTTTTCTCTATTGACTTTCTTGAAGAACTGGATCTAATTAATGGTGAGGCTCCAACTATGAGACCTCATCTGAAATCTGAATTCTGAACTTCAGGCTTCAGGTCTAAGGCATGTCATCACTTTCGAGCTGTATCTTCCTGACTCCAAAGTCCGTCCTCCTCTTTAGCACATTCAGGACCAGCAAGGAACTGTGTCATCTCTCTGTATTCGCATGAGTGAGTGACCCAAACATATTGACACTTGAAAAATATTTGTTGAATAAGACAGCAGATGCCCTAGATACTCCTCCATCAGCTCGGATGTAACACCCACAAATAAACACAACCAGCCTCCTGGAAAGTCATCACAACCTCCCACATTACTCATTTCCAGGGCATCCACATTCTCTCAGTGTCAAAGGATTAAAACCTCAAAGTCTTGCTTGACTTTCCCCGTCATACTCTCTATCTAATTAGCCATTGAGTCTATTTATTCCTTCTTTTCTTTCTGCCACCACTCAGTCTTTTTCTGATCGCCTTATGCCACCTAATGTCTTAGTTCCCAGACTCTCTTCCAGTTCTGCCTTCAAGATCCCTGCACACAAACCTGAGATGGCTTCTCTTCGCCCTACTCAGCTTGACATTCAAAGCTTCCCAAATCTGCTTTAATTTTCCCTTGCTGACCATATCTCCCTCCTGCCTGTCCATCCTGTCATCTGATTGCCTCCTTATCTCACTTTCTCATAATAGATACCATGGTCAATTCTGATTTATTTTTACCAGCAAAATTCCTTATACATAGAAGCCATTCATTCGTATAATCAATATTTATTGAATGCCTACTATGTTTAAGCACTGCCCTACAAGCTAGAAACATACAGTGAACCAGACAGACACAATATCTGCTCCCAAGAACTTGATCCATTCCTGTCCCTTGCTAGTTTCAATCTTATTCAGAGGATTAGGTCTATTTACCTTCATGAGGTCTTCACTTCCTTTGCTTCCCAACTCACAATGGACAAACTTCCTCCAAATTTCCCCAGCATTTACTGCTCTTATTTCATATTTTGACATTTGGTTCATTCAGTCAACAAACTTTGTATAAAGTACTCTCACTACATGCCAGAGACTGCTATTTTCTTTGATGAATATAACCTTGTAAAATCCATAATTTATTACTTTGAACCATTTACATATTCACATAACTGACAATAGTAACAAGTGGTGGCTGTATAACTCAGTGGATAGGAAGTGCCTGCCACCTCAGTGCCTGTGCACCATGAACCCTCTCTACATGGTTTGTATTTTGGCACTGCACTACCCATGGACACACTGTAGGCAGCAGAGTGAGGATATGAACTGTTTCAATCTGACTCTAAAGTCCAACCTCCTCTTTAACATAGTCAGGGGTAGTCAGGGATCATACTGTCTCTCTGTATTCCCCTAAGTACCTAAAACTCATTGACACTTGAGAAATATTTGTTGGATAAAAGAATTCAGTCATGTCTTCATCATGGTCCAAACATCAAGCGCGCCTCTTTCTGGGCATGCAAGAAGCAAACGGTTTCCAGAAGGTGCAGTATCTAATAAGTGGAGATCTGCTGGGACAGCCACTTGTTACTCTCAATATATAAATATGGGAACGAGACAGTTAAAAAATAACATATTCATTTCCATTTGTAGACCATCTGAACAGGTGACATCTTGTTATAAATAATAATAAATTTAGAGATCCTTCCGGGCTAAGGCCTGCTTAAAAGGGTAGAGTCAAGAGGTGGAACTCAAACAATCTAAGAGTTTAAAAAGCCTTTTTTGTTTGCTTTGAATGTAAAATTTCACAAAGATTCTTTTGTTCAATGAAACAAATATATAGAGCACCTATTGAAAATACACACGCACACATGCAAACACAGTCGTCTAGGCACTGTGAGAGAATCAAAGCAAAAGGGAAGAATTATCCACTGGCATTATAGAAAAGAGAGCTACAAACAAAAATGCTTCTAATAATATAAGGTCTGATGTAATTGAGCTCTAATGGAAGTACAAAGGTGATGCGAGGGTACTGTAGAGTGAGAAGTTAATTTTAGCTGAGGAAAGTGTAGGTGACTTAATGGACAAGATAGGATTTTAAGTGAGCGTTAAATATAGCTAACTACTGAAGGCAAACATTACATGAAAAGGTATGTCAGGTAGAGAAAACAGCCAGAACAAAAGCTGGAGCAATAGAATTCAGGAAAGAAACAAAGTGCTTTGGAAAACACACCTACAAAGGTCAAGAGAGGATCCACTGAGGAAGGCATTGGATTTCAGAGCCAGGAGATGGGATCATGCTTTTGTGGAGTGGGTGAGGTAGCTCCCCGCCCGTACTTTGAAATTGGACAGCCAAAACCCAAAATGATGTAAGATGGGATAACGCTGATGGAGGATGAAGGCAGAGTGTTCTTTGCATTTAGGGGATAGAAAAACTTTGAAACCTCCCTAGTAACAAGGTTAAAGCATAGAGGGCCAAGCTCCTAGGATAGCAGGGTATTTGATGTGCTCCTTGCATGCTTTATCATTATTGTTGTTAGTACTAAACTGTGACAAGTATTTTCCAAAGTAATTTATCAGTTCCTTCCAATTTAAACTTTCCCATTATTTTCTGCATTTCCTTCTAGCACTCATAAAACTGTGAAAGATGGGCTTTATTGTATTAGTTCATATTTTAATTGCATTTTACACTTTCTAAATGATTTATAACCACTAATACTTTGTGATGAATAAGTAGTCATTTGTAACCACTATTTATTTTCAGCAACACATGACAAAATCAGAGTGTGGAGATATTTTTGCATGAAACCAAAAGGTTCTTTCACACAGAAACCTCCTTATGAAAGCAAAGCAACAAGATGCCAGAATGCAAACCAAGTTTTCTCTCTGTTAAGAAGTTAAGGATATGACATAGTGCTTGATTGCCTCTTCCACTAACTAGCTCTTTGACCAGCACCATGTGAAAAAGAGAAGAATTGGTCTCACTGCTCTTTAAGATCTCACTTTTCTCTAAAATGGGTTCCTAGAATATATAAAAACACTGAAGTTTTAAAATTTCATTTTATATCATAATACCACATATTTTCTTACTTCATGTAATGTTTTTGCCTGATATTTTGTCTGATGTTAACTCTATTGAAAGATGATTACAAAATGTAATAGCAGCAGCACCTCGTATTTCAAGGCAGAGAAATGTAAATGTTCGAGGTGTAGTGTAAAAGCCAACATAAACTCCACTTAATCTTCTTACAATAAAGTAAGACCATTGACTCAATAAAACCCCAGTTTGTGTCTCTAATCCACCACTTCACTAGCTTTGCAACTTGGGCAAGATACATAACCATTCTAGAGCTGTTTCTTCATCTATAAAATGGGGATAATAGGCCGGGCATGGTATCTTATGCCTGTAATCCCATCACTTTGGGAGGCTGAGGCGGGCAGATCACTTGAGGTCGGTAGTTCAAGACCAACCTGACCAACATGGAGAAACCCCAGCTCAACTAAAAATACAAAATGAGCTGGGCGCAGTGGCTCATGCCTGTAATCCCAGCTACTCAGGAGACTGAGGCAGGAGAATTGCTTGAACCAGAGAGGCAGAGGTTGTGGTGAACTGAGATAGCACCATTGGTCTCCAGCCTGGGCAACAAGAGTAAAACTTCGTCTCAAAAAAAAAAAAAATGGGGATAATAATGAGTGTGAAGTGTGAAGATTTATTAAATTATTTGAATTAAAATATGCAAAGCAAGCATAGTGTTTTCATTTGTAATAAGAATTCTACTACTACCTGCTATCCTATAAAAATGAATTAGGCATGGTCCCAGCCCTTAAGAAAAACAGCTTGGAAAAGGGGGTGGGCACATTAACAAATTGTACAGGAAAGAAAGTGTTATTATCTTGAAAGCAGCGCAGACAAAAGACTGGGAATTTAGAAGTGGCATCTGCATGTTTTCTATTTAGTGTTTGTGCCATTGACCTTGAACCAGTGGTCTAAGGGCCTATACTTGGACACCTTTATATTGTTTCTTGCTTCTTGTTCACAAGGTGCACATGAGAAGATACTCCCTGGAACATGCTTGAGGGTTAGAGTGTGAAAGCAACTTCTCCTTTAACTTCCCTGTAGTGTGGCTCTGCTGTATTTCAGCAGGTGGTGAGGGCAGTGGGATTTGGAAGAGTCCAGGGCATGACCTCCCAACTGTTACAAGGCCCAAACGCTTCACCATTACAAAAGATAGTTCTTTGGAATGAGGTGTTCTATCTCTAAGAATCTCTTCTCATCATAAAAATATGCTATTCCCTCGATAAGAGATAGAAGGCATACCATTGTTTAAGTGGCAGTTTGTGTGTGTGTGGCGGGGTGAGGGGGAGGGGGAGACAGTATTTTAAAGTGTATTACGTTGTTAAAAACATTCTAATTTCAAAAATACTAAGATGCCTGACATAAATATGCATCTAAGAATTGAAATATAATACATTATAGAGAAGCATTCGGACATACTGCACTTATGTCAGAGTAACTCAAAAGCCCATTCGTTCATACATCCCTTCATTTAACAACTATTCGTTGAGTGTTTGGCATACAATCTTCTGGGCTACGAATGAGGTGGCTTAAGACGTGGTTTACGCAAACCAGAGCTCTAAATTTAGATGGAGATGTGCACTGACAATGTGGTGAGGTAAGTGTTGATGAAGACAGCTATGAGGGGTTGCTACAACACCAAGGATGTGGCAATTAATTGACTAGGGAGGACTTTGGGAATATTTGGAGAAAAAATGGTTATTGAAAGATCAGTGAGGAATCTTTGTCACACTTTCATCTGTTCAGAGTAAAACCAAGCAATGAGGACTAGGACCGCAGACCTGCTCTGGGAATCATATGTGGTGGGCTCATTTCCAGAATCTGGCTGCCATAATGCTCATTTAAATCATTCTGACTACAAAGCTTTGCTCTTGTGCCCATGCCTACTTTCTTCTATTTCAGCTCTTAATGCTCAGACTCTCCTTTTCAGACACCATTTGGGAACCACTGTTCCCTGGTTCAACCTCAGCTTTTCCTTGTAGTAACCTTTCTGGCCTTTATTTTCTAACTCCACTCACCATATCTACAGGTAGAAACCACATTTGCTTTCTGCCTTATGTTGAAGCAACCCAGAACCACTCCTCTTCCTTGTGATAGGAGAAAGCAGAAGATCTGGAACACTTCTGTTTGGAGGGTGGCAGGTGGAGAAGATGGGAAGAAAGTATTCTGGGCAAACAGAAGAACATTGTTCTTTCTCACTGGGCAGAGAGTTTCAGGAATTTATACTTTGCTTGATCTATCATAATGCGGATGGGTATACCTGACTTACAGGATATTGTGAGATTGGAATGAAGGAGAGCATGTAAATACACCCAGCACATAGTAAATATTCAATAAATATATATTTTTTTAATTCCCGTGCCAATGTGATAAGCAGCTTCTGTCAAAGATGTCCTGTTTTCTCCCAGGAGAAGCCATAGGAGATTCCTTTCACAAATACATTTGCCAGAACATTACCTAGATAACAAGACAAATGGCAATTGAAATTACATGATGATTTTGACTTAACTATCGCCTCCTGCCTCTCTCAATATACGCCTGGGCAAGGATTTAATCATGAGGGTCATTTTGACAATCTCATGCTCTGTGGAGAGCTGTTGCATTATTTCATTGGCCAAAATCTTTTAGGACTGAGAATTCCTACTGAAAAGTGTGTGTGTGTGTGTGTGTGTGTGTTTCAAAATCCATAGGTAGAGTACTATGGTAAAGGGTAGCCAGAGAGGGAGAGAGATTAAGGATGATGCTGATAACTCTCAAAATTTCCGTGTAGTTTGGGTCAGAACTAAATAGTATACGTGGTAGTTGGCTACGAGCTAAAGTTTCAGCATGTTTTCTTCGGGATTTTGGGAATGGCACATGTATTCTGCTTGAATAGAAATAGGCTTAGTTCATTTTAAGTCAAAGAATCATTGAATAATAGATCTCCAGGGTTTGAGGAAGGGGCATTTGAATTCAATTAATAAAACTATTGTTGATGTTCGATTCACTCTTGATCATCCCAAACAATTGGATATATTCCCTCTCCAGAGAAAATATTTTATCTTTCTAAGACTCTCAGAAAATAAGAGAATATTTTACATTGCATCTGATTCAGCTGACTTGATGTTCCATCCATTTATCCTAGATTTCCTTTCTGCAGTCATGAGAAAACATCTTTGTCATCTTGTATGAAAACAATGTAGTTACATAAGCTGCCAGAGGGTTTATCAACATCTTTCAAGTGGCTCTTTGGTATGGGATGGGACAGGGTATGGAAACTTTGTGCAAACTCAAAGTTAATTCACCCATTACAGCATGTGCAGTATGTTTATAATAAATTAAGGATACTGATTAATTATAAAATTAGTCTCATTACTACAGCATAATTCTGTACACATAGAACAGATTCACAAGGGACGTGGAAACTTCATGTTTGATAGAACCATCATGAAAGATCCTGAATCAAAAACAACTATTTGTGAGCCATTGAAATTCAGGGAATTTCGAAGTTGAGTTTACTTCTTTGGCTTGTAGATTCCATAAGACCAGATTTACAATTGCCTTGCCCAACTTTGGAAGTAGCTAATTGCAACTGAATTATATAAGCTGCTCCCTATTGACTATATGTGTCCATTTTGAATGTCTTTATCTCCAAATCTCTGTGACAGGTTAGGTACCTTTCCTAAATAATTCCCTATGCAGAGGTATGTATTAAAAATAGCTTGTCAAATTGACTAAGAGGGAAACTTGATGTTGCCCGGTCCATCTCCCTACACAGACACATTTTGACACAGTGTATTTGAGTGCTAATAATGACATTAGAAGATGTTGGAAAGAGATCTAATTCAGCATGCAGAAGTGACTTTGCTGTCATCTCCTATTTTCTGCACAATTGACAGCAGATACTTGGGGCTGAATTTTTATTTCAGGTCAAATTTCCAAGGCCTGAGGCTGTCTGTTAGGAACAGATAAGACCAAAACCAATACGAGAGCACTTGTTGGAAGTGTCAGTGGTGCTGAGGATTTGAAAGGGATGCTTCAGTTTTCTGTTTAGGACATGACATAACAACATATGTTTTAGCAGCCAGAAAAACCAACCAGCAGCTCCCTGTCATTTTTTCTATGGATCCTACTGGGAAGATTTCAGAAGAGAAGTCAGATTTCTTCGGGAGAAGAGATGATTTTTTTAAAAAAACGTATAGCCTCTTTTGTCATACTATTTTCCCCTAGCCAATACTGCCTAGAATATTTCAAACAAATGCAACTAACCAGTATTTTTTTTAGCACAAAGACCAATAAGCCCTAGAATATGACTTTTACAGCCAAAGAACAAACAGAGCTGCATAACTGTATCTAATAAAAAAAGTTGGAAATCAATAAAGTTGAGGGTTTATAAACTCATTCAGATGTGTTGACCCACTGAATTAAATGGGAAAATTCAGGTGTGTTTTAAAAGTTCCTTTGTAAATGTTCTGGGTTAGACTCTAGATAATTGATATTCTCCTGGCTGACAAGAATGGGTCCTGCTCCCTTCAGCTTGAATGTGCCAAGTTAGTATTCACCCAACAAGCTATAGTTAGCATCACCATTTTATTGCTAAGAGCAATTGATGCCTGGATAATCTTTTGTCACTTTAGCTTTAAATTTGAACTACTTCCACAAAAGTCAAGGGTTTGTTGTATCAATGGAACAAAAGCTTCAACATCAAAGTTAAAATTTTGAACATGTTCGCAATCCTAAACTTGACAAAAGTCTCTTTTCTGAACAGAATTCTTTGTACACAAAGGTATCCTGTATTTCTTATACGCCCTCTGAACTAGAATGTAAGTGTATATTTCTCTTCTCCTTTTCTGTGCCTGCTTTATTTTTATTTTATTAGTATTATTATTTAAACATTTCCTGTGGCATTTGAATTAAAATTTGCCATTTTATTTTTCTCTTCAAGAAGGAGTGATTTAAAACCCAGCCATGCACATAAAGATATTATTTGATGTATTGCCTTCAAACATTCGTCATCATAGATGGTTCGTTCTTTGAAATAGAACCCTTGGGGAACCCTAAATTCCAAACCTGAAACTACCTTACAGCAGACCCGATTTGTAATTTGTAACAAAAGTGAACCCTCCTGGACTCATTAATCTCAGGAGACTCATGTCTCATATTGTTCTCATTTTCCAGCAGCCTGGCCCCCGGGTTGAGCACTTTACTTCTTTTTCCATTTCTTCTATGTAGCTGGATTTCTTTTCAATATTCTACATAAACAATAGGTTTTACAATATGATTGCCACAAGGTCTTTCTATGAATAGATCTCTTTCAAGAGTTTGTGGAATTGTCATTGCTTTAGTCTATATTTATTCAACTTGCATAAGGTAAAACTATAAAGCTACAGGCCTTTTTTTCTTTTAAACAGGCAGAACTTTTCCTGCAACCAAGTGTTGCCTTTTAAAAATAGTCTCTTTGGGAAGTCTTTGGGAAGCTATGTACCAATTCCAGCAATTCTGCCATTGCCCAAACTTTTCAGGAAACTTCTTTATTTGAATTGCCTTTTGTGCCAGGGTGCAATTTTTAAGAAAATATTTCATTGTTGTTTAAATTATCAACTCATTAATTAATAGTCACTTAACCATTGTTTGCCAATAACAGTATTATCCTCTTCTATTAATTATCTGGTTATTAAGAATTGACTGCCAAATGACTATTCATTCCTAAACAATGAAACCTGCCATCAAAGGAAGAATGTAATCTTTTGCATAGTTAAAAGACTAAGTCCTCATCTCCAGGTGCAGTTCTGAGAAAGAACATCCCAAACGATTTTTATCTGTGAGATCACCACCAGAATAGGTGAATTGCCTCCGATGGGCCTTTGTGGGCCTAAAATTGTGTAAATTATTTAGGTAAGCTTTTTTTATTCATTTAATAACATGATGTGCATTTCATGCAAAATACTATATTTTTTCCCTTGGCTAATAATTTTTATTTTACTTTCCAGTGAGCACTCAGAGATATCAGGGGATTACAAGTTACCTAGTTTTCTTAGTTCCATTGCAATTGTTTTCCATAAGCCAGCTGCTCCCCAGTAGGTCCAGATGAAAACACACACACACATGTTTTCAAAAACATTCTATTTATCAAGAAACCCTTTAATGCCTTTTAAGCCAATTTCTGCATATTTGTGTAGCTGACATCTGTGTCTTCCAATTACCATGATCCTTTCCTCTTGTGGGAGGCCTTCTCTACATATAAGGAAAGAAAGCAGCAATCATCCAGGAAATGTTTATATCATTGGAGTATCCCTGTGTTGTAGGAGCTTAATATAAACATTTGAATAATGATTCTTTATCTATCTTTTAAGGCATGCTATGAACCCTTTAACAAAATGGTAAAGACAGAACAGGCAACTCTTTTGGGAGAAAAGCAAGATGGAACAGCCTTTATTATGTGAGGTAATGGCTTACAAAGCATTCTCCAACTAGTTAACAGACTATTCTAACTAATGCATAAAGTATAACATGACCTCTCTCCATTTTTTTTTCTTCAGGGCCTGTTGAGGGAGGAGGGACAAATTAATTATTCATTCTCATATGACTGTTCCCACTAGGTACAAGGAGGAGAAAACAGCATATAGGTGATTTATAGGCATTGTCGAGTCATCTTCTAACTAAAACTCTGAAAATCTCTGGCTGTCTTAAACACTGCTGAGCCAGGGATTAAGTCAGGAGGGATTTCTTTGTATCTCAGATTCAATACTTGTAAACACAGAAGGGATGAGCCTAGTGAGAGAAGAAGTGTAGCCGTGTAGAGAGAGGTCAAATATCCCTGGATGAATTCCTTCTGTGCTGCACACTGTCATTGCAACTAAGAAATTTCTTTGTATTGAGTAGAATACCAGATATCTTTACCCTAGTATTAAATCTCTGAGAAAAACAGATTTAGTTCAAGAAACTATTGTCCACAGAGACTGTATAAGAGCGTAAACCTTAAACAACTGATGCCATTTGTGATTTTTAACCAGCTAGAGTGGTTTTTTTCAAAAGTTAATATTTATCTTGCCATAATATTTACCTTCACATGGTAAGTGCTGCTATTTTCCCATGACTGCAATGAAGAATTGTGGTAAGATAAACTCACCTCTATAAGATAAATGTCAGATGTTTAATGAAAATCACTGGATGATCATCCCAGGTTTACTTTGAATTTTCTGAGGGTCTGGCCCTCCAGTAAAATTTAACTCACAAAATTTTCCAAATATAAGTCCCTGTGTTCAAAACTGGGGATTATAAGAAATGAATTTTGAGAGAGCACACACCTTAGGGAAGAGATGGTTGGTTGAGGGAAGCAGAGATGTGAATTCTCTATGCCTTTTTGACACTTAATGGTTGAGAGATTCTCTTGGCCTCAGTTTCATCTGTAAAATGAGCAGACTTAACTAGGTAGTCTCCAAGATTCTATCCCCTTGTATGGTTCTGTGATTCTATGCTGATACATGACCAGGCTGAAGTCCATTGTTTATCATAAATATCATACTCCAGTATTTCAGAAATAAGACATTGGATATAATTTTAAGGATAAAAGAGATCTGAGGTATGTCATTTACTGGCAGGAAATCACAAAATATTTGAGAGAATCAGATAGATATATAAAAAACTAAGTGAGAGCTTACTCTTACTTAAACTTAGGTATTTTCCTAGAAGAAGCTGAAAAGGGATGGGATGCTTGGTTGACGTGTGACAATTTGGGTTATAATTACAAATATTTTGTTCTATTTTCCATAAGGAGCTCTGATAGACCTCACTTGGCTCTCTTTGATGAGATATTGTAGAGTTGAAATTCTAGAGTGGAATGAAGATTCTCTCACCCTCACTTCAAAGACAAACACCCCATTTTTATCTGTTTAATGTATTGTACTTCCTTGTCTTAGTCTGTTCAGGCTACTATAACAAAGTATCATAGACTGGGTGGCTTAAACAACAGAACTTTATTTCTCACGGTTCTGGAGGCTGGACAGTCCAAGATTAAGGCAGCAACAGATTTAGTGTATGGTAAGGGTTCCCTCTCTGCTGCATAGATGTCAACTTCTTGCTACATCCTCACCTGGCAAAAGGAATGAACAAACTCCCTGGAGCCTCTTTTATAAGCACAGTAAACACATTCTTGGGGACACCAGACCTTATGACTTAATCACTTCCCTAAATAACTCACTTCTTAATACTATTGCATTGGGATTACATTTTTAGTATACGAATTTAGGAGTGGGGGTGGACACAAATATTTAGACCATGCTTTTTGTCAAATCTAATTTTAAGGTAAGAGTCTACTTCTCTAGAGAGTTTTGGCATCAGCAAGATGGCAAAACAGGACTTTCCAGAGCTCCTCTCCTGTAGAAACATTAATTTGAATAACCATTCATGCATAAAAATATCTTCACAATAATTGTAAAAACCAAGTGACAGATTACAGCACCTGGCTATTGCACAGAGATGAAAAAAGATGCATTGAAAAGGGTAGAAAAGATAGTTTTACATTACCTATGTCATCTCTACCTCAACCCCAGGCAGAACAGCATGGAGATAAACTCTGCTTAGGGGAAGGACAAAAAACGGGAGTGCTGGACATTACCTTAGACTACAACACTGGGCCTGTGACAGTAAAACTCAGCACTGGGCAGACCTTCTCACCAGACTATAGGCCAGTACCTGCAGACTGAGCCTCCAGGCCCACCCCAGCACTAGGTTAGATCTTACAGCCCTAAACTCTAGGCCTGCTTGGCAGACTTTCTGCTGCACCATTTTAGGCTGATTCCAGAGGTCCCAGGCTCTAGACGGGTCCTAATGCCAGGCCAATCCCACATATTTAGTCAGTAGGCCTGGCTTAGGCTCTGGACCCATGCCAGCACCAGGCCAACCCCTGCAGCCCTAGTCATAAGCAAGCCCTGTGGCCCAGGCTCCAGATCTGGGTTAGGTCTTAGACCAGCCCAGAGCCAGGTGGGCCCACTTAGTCTCAGGCTTCAGGCCTTCTCCAGTGCCAGGTTGGCAACCCTGGCTTCAGTCACCAGGCCAGCACGCACAAACAGGATCCAGACCTTCTCAGTGCCAAGCTATTCCTGCCACTCTGCCATCCAGATCAGCCCCTACAGCCCCTCCCTCCAGCAGACCTAGAGTCCAGGCCTGCTCCAGCAAACCCAGAGTTCACACCTTCTCAGTAGACCCCATCACTGGGCCAGCCTCCACAGACCCAGGCCCCAGGACCACCCCTGAAGCTCCAGGCCAACACCGACATACCCAGACAGCGTGCCAGTTCCTGCAGACCTAGAGTCTAGCTCCTATTGCTCCAGTCACCAAGCCAGGCCAGCAACTGTGATCCAAGGCACTAGACCAGCCTTCTTCTGTATGCAGGCTTCATGCCTGCCCTAGGCTCCAGGATAGTCCCACTGGCCCCAGGATTCAGTGGCCTCAGGGTCCAGGACCAACTCAGTAGATCCCAGTGTTAGGCTAGCCTTTATGGACAGAGGCCCCAGGCCCATCCCAGTGGACTCAGGTGCCAGGTCCATCCCAGTGCTAGGTCAGCTCTTATGGACTCAGGCTTCAGATTGGCTCCACAAATACAATATCCTGGCCCACTTTTTTTTTTTTTTTTTTTTGAGATAGAGCCTCACTCTGTGGCACAGGCTAGAGTACAGTGGCATGATCTCAGCTCACTGCAGCCTTCGTCTTCTAGGTTCAAGTGATTCTTGTGTCTTAGCTGCCCAAGTAGCTAGGATTAAAGACACACGCCACCAAACCCAGCTAATTTTTGTATTTTCAGTAAAGATGGGGTTTCACCATGTTGGCTAGGCTGGTCTCGAACTCCTGGCCTCAAATGATTTGCCCTCCTCTGTCTCCCAAAGTGTTGCAATTACAGGCTTCTGCCACTGCACCTGGCCTCTACTCTTATAAACCCAAGCTCTAGAACCAGCTCTGTGGATCCAATCAATAGGTCCATCCCAGTGGATCAAGGCTCCAGGCCCATTACTGCAAACCTAGGTGCCAGGCCTACCTATCTGCTGACCCAGACACCAAGTCAGCCTACTCAAGGACTCCAGCAGCAAGCCTGCCTATAGATTACATCAGACAGCCTGCCTAGAATTTTTAGACAGGCTTACTGGTAAAGGACTTTACCAGTAAAACAAACAAAGCCAGTCTACAAAGACTTGAATACATCTTTAAATGTGCAAACACTAACATCTGGCCACAAGGATCAAGAACAGTCAGGGAAACATGATACCACCAAAGGAACAATATAAAGCACCAGTAACAGACCCTAAAGAAATGGAGATTTGTGAATTGCCTGACAAAAAATTTTAAACTAATTGTCTTAAGGAAGCTCAGTCAACTTCCAGAAAATGCAGAGGAAAAATTTGGCAAAATCAGGTAATCAATAAACATCTAAAATTAGAAATTTAACATAGAAGTCATAAAAAATTGAACAAAAATTCTAGAGCTGAAAAATACAATGAATGAAATAAAAAATACAATAGAATGTCAACAGAATTGATCAAACAGAAGAAAATCTGTAAACTTGAAGACAGGCTGTTTGGAAGTCCACAGTCAATGGAGGAAAGACAAAGAATAAAAAGAGTTTTCAGGACATATGAGACAGCATCAAAAGAACAAATATTTTAATTATAGGTATACAAGAAAAAGAAAATAAAGATAAACTGGAAGACTTATTTAAAGAAAAAGTAGCAGAAAAATTTTCAAATCTGGGGAATAATATAAATATCAAGGTAGAGGAAGTTCTAAGGTCTCTAATCATTGTCAATCCAAACGAGACTACACAAAGATATCTTATAATCAAATTGTCAAAAATCAAAAACAAAGCAATAATCCTGAAAGTATAGGTTGGTGCAAAAGTAACTGTGGTTTTACCATTGACAGGAATGGAAAAACCCACAGTTACTTTTGCACCAAACTAATAGTAAGAGAAAAGAAGTATATCACATATAAGGGAGTTCCAGTAAGGCTAGTAGCGGTCTTCTCAGCAGAAACCTTATAGGCAAGGAGAGTGGGTGATATATTCAAAGTACTGAAGAAAAAATACTGCCAACCAAGAATAATGTTTCTAGCAAAACTGTCCTTCAGAAATGAAGAAGAGATAAAAAGTTTTTCAGACAAACAAAAGCTGAGGGAGTTTATCACAGCCAAATTTGTCTTACAAAAAATGCTAAAAGTATTTCTTCAAACTGAAAGACAAAGATGATAATTAGTAGCACAAAAACATGAAAGTATAAAACTTATAGATAAAAGCAAAAGCCTATAAAACTCATTGATAAAAGTAAGTACACAGTCAAATTCAGTATAATCTAATACTCTAGAGGTAGGCTATAGATTACTTATATTTTCAGTGCAAAGGTTAAATAACAAAACTATTGAAAATAATAACACCTATAATAATTTGTTAATGTATACCCAATATAAAAAGATGCCAATTGTGACATTGAAAACAGAATGCAAGAGTAGATGTGGAGTAAAAATGTTTTTTATTTGCTCAAAGTTAAGTTGTTGTCAGATTATAATAGTGTGTATATTTTATATAAGCCTTATGCAAACCTCAAAGGACAAGTCTATAGTAGATACACAAAAGATAAACAGTAAGAACTAGAGAATAACACTTTATAAATCACCTATCACAAAGGAAGACATGAGAGAGAAAGAAAGGAATAAAGGAGCTACAAAAAATAAAAACAAACAGAAAACCAGAAAATAACTCACAAAATGGCAGTAGTAAGTCCTAAGCTATCAACAATTTCTTTGACTGTAAATGGATTAAATTCTAAAATCAAAAGCATTAGAGTGGCGGAAGGAGTTTAAAAAAAAAAGACTCAACTGTATCTGTTTACAAGAGAGTCATTTCACCTTTAAGAATATACATACCTGGAAAGTGAAGAGATAGAAATGGATATTCTACACAAATGGAAACCAAAAGAGAGCAGAGTGCTAAGTATATCAGACAAAATTGACTTTAAATCAAAAGCTGTAAGACAAAGAAGGTCATGATATGATGACATAAGGCTCAATTCATCAAGAGGTCATAACAATTGTAAATAAATTTTCAGCCAATACTGGAGCACCTAAATATATGAAGAAAACATTAATAGATCTGGAAAGAGACATAGACCTGGCTATTGTGAATGAACATGAGAGTGCAGATATCTTTTCTGCATACAGATTTCAATTATTTTGTATATAATGCCCAGAAGTAAGATTGCTGGATCATATGTCAATTCTATTTTTAGTTATCTGAGGAACTTCTGTATGTTTTCCTTGATGCTTGTACTAATTTACATTCCCACCAACGATGCACAGCAGTTATTTCCTTTTCTTCATACACTTGCTAATACTTACCTTTCATCTTTTGGATAGTAGTCATTCCAATACGTGTGATGTAATATCTCATTGTGGTTTTAATATTCGTTACTCTGATGCTTAGCAATGATGAGCACTTTTTCATATATCTGTTGACCATTTGTATGTCTTCTTTTGAGAAATATCTATTTAGGTTCTCTGCCCATTATTTCATTGGATTATTTGTTTTATTTGTTATTGAGTTGTTTGAGTCTCTTAAATATTTTGGATATTAACCACTTATCAGATATATAGTTTGCAAATATTTTCTTTCAATACATGGATTGTCTCTTCACTCTAATAGTTTTTTATTTTGTTTTGTTTTTGTTTGTTTTTTTGCTGTGCAGAAGCCTTTTAGTTTGATGCAATTCCATGTTTATTTTTTACATTTGTTGACTGTGCTTTTGAGGTTATATTAAGAAAATTTTTGCCCAGAACAATGTTTTGGGGCATTTCTCCTATGTTTTCTTCTAATAGTTTTACAGTTTTAGGTCTTATGTTTACATCTTTAATTCACTTTTTTTAAGTTAATTTTTGCATATGGTATGAGAAAAGGGTCAAATTTTATTCTTCTGCAGGGGAATCTCCTGTTTTTCCAAGAAAGTTTATTGAAGAGACTATCCTTTCCCCATTGTGTGTTCTTGGCACCTTTGTTGAAAATCAATTGACTGTAAATGTATAGATTTATTTCTGGGCTCTCTCTTCTATTCTATTGGTCGATATATCTGTTTTTCTGTTTACCATGTTATTTTATTTACTATGGCTTTGCAGTATATTTTTTTATGTCAGATAGTATAATGCTTCCAGTTTTGCTCTTTTTTAAAAAAAATCAAGATTGCCTTGGTTGTTCAGGGTCTTTTGTGGTTCTACACAAATTTTAGGATTTTTTTCTACTTATGTAAAAATGTCATTGGAATTTTGATAAGGATTGCATTGAATCTGTAGATCACTTTGTTTAGTACAAACATTTTAAAACTATTAGTTCATCAAATCAATGAACACAAAATACCTTTACATTTCTCTATGTGTTCCACTGTTTGTTTCATCAGTGTTTTATATTTTTCAGTCTACAGATCCTTAAGGTTGGTAATTAAGGTTAAATGAGGTCATAAGGATGGTGCCCTGATCCAATAAGATTAGTGCCCTTGTAAAAATAAACACTGGAATAGACAGTGGAAAATTCATTCTCTCCGTGTGTGTGTGTGTGTGTGTGTGTGTGTGTGTGTGTGCATTCACTGAGGAAAGTCTCTGTGAGAATGTAGTAAGAAGGTGGCCCTATGCAAGCCAGGAAGAGCACCCTCACCAGAAACAGAATTGACCAGAACCTTGATCTTGGAGTTCCATCCTCCAGAAGTGTAAAAAAAAAAAAGAATTTCTTTTGTGTAAGCCACCAGTCTATAACGTTTTGTTATGATAGCCCAGGCAGACTAAGATAAGAACACAAATACATATCACATGAGGGAAATAGGTTTATCTTGAAATAACTTTATAGACATATGTTTTCTCTATGGTAACCAGTTTTAATTTGCATTACTCTGATGTTTAGCAATGATGAACATTTTTTCCTATATCTCTTAACCATTTGTGTGTCTTTTTTTGAGAAATGTCTATTTCAAGAAGAACTGAAATAAAAACAAAATGCAGTGTATAACTAATTATTAGCAACCACTCTGTATGTGCACATAATATGTATATGCTGTTGTACCTAGGACTGAGTTGGTAGAAGATGGAGCTAGGAATATGGACTCTGTAGATGTGAATAGTCATAAAAAAACTATGATGTATATGTCTTGTGCAAATTAGCTCACCTACAAACTTAAATTCTGGAGAGCAGTATTATACACATCAGCACACTGTGGAAGTGCAAAAAAAATCAGCAATAACAAAATTGGTGAGAGGTAGGTGGCAAAATCTTATTATCATTTTATAGAGGAGAAAAAATGTGCAGCAGAAAGGTCAAATATCTTGTTCAAAGTGACACAGAATAGCAGAGTTGAGCCTCAGAATTATTAACTTCTGTTTTCTAATCTAGTGGACTTGAGGTTATAGAATCCAACTAGGAAGGTCAAGGTATCAGTTTTATGTCATGAGACAGTTATGCTGCATGGGTCGCTTCTGTTCTTTTGTCCCCTCACCTGGGAACCACTTGATGACTTTAGCCTCAGCAGTTTTCCCCATTCTGGGAAACCTGAATCTGAAACTAGACACTACATTAAAAGTTAGTACGTCTGACTGACTGAATTTCAGATCTCCTGAACTCTAGGCTATTCAATATTTTTATTTAATTAGAATTTCTTTGTGTTCAATCTGTGTTTTCTTTGTTGAATAATGACCCGGTGATCTCTTCAGAAGAGTATAGGGGCTTCCAGTGGCGGACACCTGGAAACCTGTTCCTAGTCTAAATATTAGTAGTTTGCAGAGCCACTGAAGGGTATGTTGGGCATGATTGGTTTCCCACACTCTGCACTGAGCCTACAGCTTTTGAGATATTGTGTTAATGTCTAGATCATTTGAAGAAGTGAATTGATAAGAAGGTGAAATGATGCCTCCTGAAAATGCTATTGTAATAATTAAGCGACTTCTTTTTTTTTTTTTTTTTTTTTTTTTTTTTGTCTCTCCAACGTTTAGGCACGGTTGGCCATGCCTTCCTTCACATTCTCTCTTTTATTGGTTCAGGGATCATACATTTACTTCTGCAATAGCCACTTATTCTTTATTCACTTCTGTCTGCTACCCACCATATGCGAAGAAATTATTGAATTCAGGGCTTTATGAAAATTACAAAATGATGTTGAGAATAGCAAAACTCATATCCTCAAATCAGAACTTCATGCCATTTTCTGCTGTCAAGTTAAATTAGGCATAAATTACACAACTAAATGAAATGGGTTTGTGGCGACGTTCTGGTTTCAACTTTCAGTTCTTTCTCACTGGAAATCTGATAAGAAAATTTATCCTTTTTGACTTAGTTAATAAGTGACATTTGTTCTGGTCCAGTTTGTGATTATTATTTTTCTATATTTTGATAATTCTTTTTGTTTGTACTTTTTCTATATTGAGTTTTGTTGCCTCTTTGTTTCAATGATTTTATTACTATTTCCAGATTATTCTCTAATTCTAGGTTCCAGATTATTCTCTAATTCTAAGTGATCATAAAAAGTTAGAGAACTAAATCTATCTTGGTTGAGTTCCCACATGAATTCTCTGACACTACTTGGATGTCCCACAATTTTATTTAACTCTGACACTAATAAGCTAGGGTTAGAATAGACAGCACAGGTTGAGGGATTCAGTATCACAAGACTTCCCCCACCTTAGATGTCAACTTTCCTAGGTATCCTCAAGGCACCTGAACTTTTCTCAACTGACTATAAATTTAGGGGTTCCCACGATCCCCTCTTAGGTTTGATAATTCACTAGAATGACTCACAAAACTCAGGAAAGTGCTATACTTTTCATTTCAATATTATTACAAAGGTTGCAACTCAGGAACAGCCAATAAAAGAGATTTATAGGGCAAGGTATATGGTTGGGGTGGGGCCTAGTGATTCCAGGTTTATAGTGCAAGATCTCTGAATCCCTAGTCAATTGACCTCTAATCAATTGATATTATGGCTTTTTAAAGGAAAACTTGTTAAGAGAGTATTGTGGTAATCTAGGTAAGAGATGATGGTGATGCATACTGGGGTGAAAGAAGTGAAGGTGAAGAGGAGTGTTCATATTCAGGGAAGGTCCAGAGCATTTCCAGACATTGAGTATGAGGGAAAAGGCAGAGTCAAGAGTGACTCCAAAGTTTCTGGGCTGAGAGGTTAGAAGGATGGAGTTGCCATCAACTACAGTATGAAAAGCTGTGATTGCAGCAGTTTGGGGTCGGTGGAGGGGGTGTTCATCTGGAGGAAGATCAGAGCTCAGTTTTCAGTATATTGAATCTGAGCAATTAATAACATCCAAATCAAGTAGATACTTACGCCAGTCTGAAAATAGAGGAGAGAGATGTCTGGGCTGTAGACGTGCTTTTGAAACTTGATGGAAAGTTAATGTCACTTAAAGCTGGGACACTGAATTAAATCACTGTATTTTTAAATATGCGAAAAGAATGAAAGTCCAGGGATTTATCCCTGTGGCAGCCCAAGATTGAGAGGTCAAGAAGTAAAGGAAATGCATAGGAGTCTGAAAAGCAGTGACTAGTGGAGTAGGAGGAAAACCAAGGAAACGTTAATTTCCTTTGAAGTCAGGTGAAGAGAAATGTGCTGTGGAAAGAGTGATCTTTTCTTTTAAATGTTGCTTAATAGGTCCAGTAAATGAGGACCAGAATTAACCACTTGATGTAAGAATGTAGATGTCATTGGTGACAATTATAAAAGCATGTTTGGTGGAGTGGTTGGGTGATTGGGGTGACTTTAAAATAGAATGGAGAAAGAAAATTTAGAGACAAGTATTTACAGTTTTGTAAATGAAGTTTGTTTGTGGAGCAGTAGTTAATGAAAGGAGTAAAGGAATATTTTTCTGTTTGCTTATTTTTAAGATGGGAGAGAGAATGCGACATAAGTAGCAGAAGAAATAGGATAATGTAGAAGATCATAGGGAGAATTCCTACAGCATTGTCTTTGAGTAGGTGACAATGGATGGAATCTCATATATGAGTGAAAGTATTAGCTTCTGCCAGGGGCATAGATGTTCATCAAAGTGGGAAGGCAAATTCTGGTAGGTAGAAAGAAATAATGGGAATCTCCTGAACTTCTCTTATGATTGCTTTAATTTTTTAGTGAAGTAAGAGTCAAGAGTCTTCAGTTGAGAATAAAGACAGTGGAGGAGACACTGGGTGTAATAGCCAGGGTTCTCTAAAGGGACAGAACTAATAGGATAGACAAATATATGAAGGGGAGTTTATTAGGAGAATTGACTCACACAATGAGAAGGTGAAGTCCCACGATAGGCTGTCTGCAAGCTGAGGAGCCAGTAAGCCAGTCCGAGTCCCAAAAATTCAAAAGTAGGGAAGCCAATAGTGCATCCTTCAGTCTGTGGCCAAAGGCCCAAGAGCAACCTGGCAAATCACTGGTGTAAGTAACAGAGTCCAAAAACTGAAGAGTTTGGAGTCTGATGTTCAAGGGCAGGAAACATCCAGCATGGGAGAAAGATGCAGGCCAGAAAGCTTAGCCAGTCTAATCCTTCCATGTTCCTCTGCCTGCTTTTATCCTAGCCACGCTGACAGCTGATTAGATGGTGTCCACCCAAATTGAGGGTGGGTCTGCCTCTCCCAGTCCGCTGACTCAAATATTAATCTTTTTTTGCAATACCCTCACAGACACACCCAGGAACAACACTTTGTAACCTTCAATTCAGTCAAGTTGACACCTAATATTAACCATCACACTGGGGTTTCCCTAAAAAAAGAGAAATTGTGAAGTAGTCATCTTAAGGAGTGGATGAATAAATGAACTAGGAATATATAGTACAATTGGGGTGTGTAAATTTATAATAATGATGTGATATGATATATAGGATAATATATAATATAAGGTAAAATATATCTTATGATTTCCTGGCAGCATTAAGTTAAGGACCCACTTGGAATTAATGAACTATTGGTGAGATTCATCACAGTGGTTGTGTATTTTTTTCCAGCTATGTTCAACTGCATCAGTACAGAAGTGGAATAGGGAGAGAATTGACTTTAACCAGGATTGTGGTTTTGTTAGGGGAATACAGCAAAGCAAATGAGAAGGAGAGTAGTCTAGGGGATTTACAAAGGACTAGGAAATTTAAAGTGAGTAAGAAGGGAAATGACGACATTAGAGGTGATAGTAATTGAAAGCTGTCAGATCATCATAATGAGAGATAATTTTGGGGTTGGGATCTAAAGAAATGAACTAGAGAGACTGGATATGGTCAGAAGAGTGTGGAGCATAAAACTGTAATTACAAAGAGATTTTATTACTGGTGATGATAGGGTCTTAGGAGTGACCATAAGAGAGCGTTAGGGAGGAGTATAAGAAGAATAAGATCAATGGAAGAGAGAAATCCAAAGCTCTGAAAGATCAAGTTATTAGAGAGGTCATTTACATAGTCACCAAAAAGAAAGGCAGAATAAGTACTGGAGTGAGTGAGTGTGAGCCAGGAACTAAAACTGCTTAGAATTGAGGAGAAGTGACCCAATTGTGAGGCTGAAGGGGAGGTCATTAGATGACAGCAATAATGAAGAGTAGGGTGAGACAGTCTGCTAAGATTGAGAGCTGGAAATTTTTTCTTTCCAGAAGAGAGAAGGAGAATGGTCTGAAAGCAGAAAAAAAAAAAAAAAAAAAAAAGCGCGGGGATGACTTACCCATGTATTGACCCAGTAGAACAAGAGTTGTGGGAAAATAACACTGGGAGTATTTGAGAGGGCCACGGGGAAAACAATGTCCCCCAGGGAAGAGCCAAATTCTAGTTAAAGCAAGAACATGAAGAGAATGATCAGAGAACAAGTTCTGATTACTAATTGGTCTTCCTAGTGCCCTTCCTTATATTATCCGAGTGAAAAGGCCAGCATAATCTAGACATTTACAAGGCTATCATCCAAAAAATTGGATATTTCATCTGCTATTTTGTTTGTATCCATAATACAAGATGCAAAAGAATATTTATCCTTGGGACATTTTCTTCTTTCACATTCTGGCTGAAATGGGCCGTGGAAATGCTGTTTATTTAGCTAAGATTTTGATTGTGCAAATGATCTTTAACTACTTAATTGGCTTCAATAGATCAAAAGCAGAAAAAGCAATCTGCATACTGGGCTGTGACTTTATAGGCTTGTATATTTGGAAGGTGTTGGTAGGATAGAAAACTAAGGCTTGTAGATTACTTATTTTACCAAGGCCAGAAATAGAAATTGTGAAGGAGTAATAATCTTATAAACCTAGAAACTTCCCAAGCTGTTGAAAATAGTTTACAAACATACAAAGCAAAAGGAAAGACTAGCCTTGTAAATTGTGGTTATTTGTTTATCTTTGTTAATTTCCTTTATGACATTAAATGGCTTTCATTTTGCTAGCCAGTATTTAAAGTTTTAGCTTTCTTCCAATTGATATGCCATGGGCAATAAATTATGCACAGCCCTGCTAAAAACAAACTAGTTTTTTAAAAAAGCAATGATTACCCAAGACCAGAATTACAGTCAACATTTAAATGGATAATATTGGCCTACAACTCTTTGTCTGCCTCTTTTACTGCTAAAATTGCAACTGGTATTTACAAACTGCAAAACATGCCCTGAATTGTTGGCTCCAATGTGCCAAGAACTTTGAGAAAAGAACCATGCTAGAATAAGCCATACTACTCTCCTACCTTTTCCCATTCCCTGTGGTCCAAGCTTCTGATTGCTCTATGCATGACTTCTCTCATCCTACCTCAACGTGAACACGTCAGTCTTTCATCTGTCCTCTAATTGGAATATGCCTAACTCCAGTTTGCTAATTCAATGCCATGATAATTTTCTCCCACCTCTTTCTTTCTATTTTCATTCTTAATTTTGTTGGGAAGTCATAAGTAAGGAGTGTGAAAATAAAATTGGGGTGAATTATAATGTGAAAATTGCCTTTGGATACTGGATAGCACTGGCAATTTTGCATTCTGCTCATTTTTATGCCCTTAGATAGAGCTTTGTGGCAGATAACACCTTTAAAATCCTGCACTTACTCATCTAAAATAGGACCTGCTGGTTGTGGTCTGCACATCCTCCTGTTTCAGGGTACTTTTACCATTGTAATTAGCCTACAGTTGAGTAGTTTAAAATGAGGTTCTTGGCCTTTTAGCTATTTGTCAGATAAATGTATATATCTTTTTTGCTCATCTTTATCTATCAGGTATGAATACATACAAGAATACATGGTATTCTTGATATTAAAGAGTTGAGAGGACTTGTATCAATTTGGAAATATTCATAGTGAAATACTGTGATGACAGTAGCCCACAAAAAAAATGAGACCTCATAAAAAGAATTACACATTTTCTCATTTTCTCTTTCTTGCATTGGCAAGGGAATTGAGGAAGCTTTATATTTACAGGGGGATGTCTTTGCCTTTATGAACCCCAGAAAAAGGTTCCTTTTGTCAGCTGAGCTTGAAATATTACAGCATTTGCCCTCATGTTTCCAGTGGGAATTGTGAAGTAGTAAAGAATTTTGGAAGTATTTTAATCTCCATGAAACAAACAATCCTGTGTGTCTTCATTACATTATCCTGACATCACATGAAAACTCCAATAATTAATATAGGAGTTATGGTGACATATTACAGGATAATCAAAATTTTAGTTGTCCTGAGATTGAATAACAATAACTACACACTAAAACTACATTTGAGGTCAGCTACAAAAGCTCACTTCAGAACAAGCCTAACATGGAAACTCTAAATATAAAATCATGAACTACCTAACCTCTAGCAGGGTGTGAAACCCAACTTGGGAGACCTTTTGATGGAAAACTTCAAATAAACAGAATGCTCAGAGAACAAGAATATTCCAATCAATGAGGCAGTCTTCACTATCATTTCAAACATACCATACCATAGTGACCTTTTTTCTTTGAATTCAGTGTCCATAATAGAATTGTGGTAATTAACTGTGGTCAGCGTCTCGAGGTCATCATTATAAACATCACTCTTGACTGGAGATACATTGCTGATGAGGTTAGGACAGCTCTGTATAGCCCAATAGTATATATAAACATTGTAGAAAATTGCACTATGTCTCCATTCCTAGCTCCCTCCCTTCCTTCCTTTTTAAAGAGATCTTTGCTATCTACTTATTTTCTCAATATCTTCATCAAGTACATGAGCAATGAAATTTCTATTTATAATTAATCCGGGTTTTCATGTACATTTCTATAACGATTTTCTTTTAGATAAAAAGATAGCAGATTTAATTTTAGATGGAAACTCAAAGGGAAGATGAATATAACTTTGTTAATGTCACTTTATGTGGCTTCTTCCCATATAGGGAAGTCAGTAGTGACATTACAAAACTTTAGTTAACCTCTTCAGTTCTCCAAAGTTAAGGGATAGAGAGCTACAAAGTACATAAATAAGCTTAACATTTTGACTATGCCATACTATTTTCCATTTATTTTTATTTGAAGATTTAATTCACCATCTTGTACAATATTTTTGATCACAGACCAAAATTTAGCAGGTGTAAGAAAAATGATGGAACCATCTGACTTCATAGAGAATAATTTTTAAATTATCAAATAATTCATTCCTCTCCTTCTAGATATCTACTTTTATGCTAGGTACTATGAGAATTATTCAAGAAATATAGTTGTGGTCTTTACTCCGAAGTGCATCTGTTGAGATGTAACATGTACACATAAAACAGATGATCTATAGGTACAGATGCCAAAAGTGTCAAAAGTAATCGTGTATATCAAATTTTTTTAAAACTGTAATGAGTCACCAGGGACTCTTGTTAAAAATGCAATGATTTGATTCTGTAGGTCAGGGATAGGGCCTGAGATTCTGCATTTCTAACAAGTTTTCAGGTAAAACGATGCTAGCCAATGGACCGCACTTTGAATTGGAAGAATATAGACCAGTGTTTTTCAATAGAAATATAATTTGAGCCAGAAATCTGAGCCACATATGGAATTTCAAATTTTCTAATGGTCATATTTTAAAAAGTAAAAAGAAAAAGGTAAAATTAATTTAAGAACTATTTTGGTTTAACCAAATATGGAAAAATATGATCATTTAACATATAATCAAAATTAAAATATCGATATATTTTACTTCTTTTTTTCATTTTAAGTCTTCAAAATCCAGCGTATGTTTTGCAGTTACAGAACATCTCAATTCAGACTAGCCACAGCTCAAGTGTTCAATAGCCACATGTGTCTAGTGGCTCTGGACTGGACAGAACAGACATAGATAACATGAGCCATGGAACTGCAGATAGAAAAAGGAAAATCAGAGTCAATAGAAGAGGAAACTGCAGGGAGCCTGACATTGAAGGCTACATAACATTTGCAAAGGAGGGGCTGGAATTGACGGTAGAACAACTTCAAATGAGAAAGCATCTGTTGGGTTTTGCTTATTTGGAAATTTAGTAATAACCAGACTTCAAAACTGTGAAGAGAAGTGAACAGGATTTACATTCTAGCCAGAACCCCACTAGAACCAGATAAATTCTTACCCTGCTCCTGCCTGGAACTGTAGATAAAAAGAGTGGCATCCAATTTGTTGCCATATGAGGTATGGCAGCAATTTGTGATGTTGACCTTTAATATGCAAATAGGAGGCCCACCTAGCTTTGGACAGACAGACTCACCAACGCCCAAAGATGTCACTGAAGTCTTCTTGATATTACATGAAGCTATTCAGGTCGCTGCCAAATCTATCAAATTCCCTTGCCATTTTTAGAGTGTATATTTTTAGAAATAAATAGATCAGAAGAGAAATTGATGGATTCTTGGCTCTATCGATTAAGGTAATGTCATTTAAATTGAAGGTTCTCGTGAGAATTAGAGGTCATGTATGTAAGGAGCAAAGGGCCTGGCACATAACATATGACCAGTAGGTGACTGCTGCTATGACTGTAATAATTCTTATCAGTATCATTATCATTATGTTACCATCCTTTAAACCCCACCTCCACTGAATGGCACATTGCCTGGGTGGAAGAAATATACTCAAAGGGATAGTCAAGTACTACAGCCTTATCAGCAGCAGGCAAAGCTTTCTCTCTCTCACCCTCTCTCTCATTTGCTAAGTTATTGAAAATGAACCCTGTATTCTGATTACTCTCCAGCATGAAGATTCTTAGTTCTTTTTCCTCCCCTATAAGTTGTTCCTGGGCTCAGAGGTAGGCAAGCTGATCCATTGACAGACATTCTCACAGGGGTTACCATACAAGGGCAATCACTTCAAGATGAATATGCTATTAATAACAGTTTTAGATTTATGGTTACTGAGCTTCTCACCAACTGTTGATTGCTACTAAGAATGTGTTATTTAAGAGAGGGAATCATTGCTAAAGATCTGCGTAGAATATTTCATAGTCCTCTTTTCTTAAAGAATATTTGTCTTATTATAACCACAATGATGCTGGTGTGAGTCAGTTTAATGAATTTCTCCCTTTTTTAACCAAAGCCTGGAATAAGTTTCTTACCTGACTATTTTCTCCTCATCTGCAGCTGGTGTGTCTTATTTTCAGATCTCCAGAACTAATGATCCTACCTTTCCAGCTTATGTTCAGCGTGACTTACTGTTAGTATTGTCATGAGTCATTGAAGAGAAATTCAAGTTACCTATTAAATCAGAGGACTGTTTGGGGGAAAATAGGAATTTTATACCTCATTGAAGAGCTGAGTTACAAAAATATCACTTTATGTTTACTCCATTGAACTGCCTTAGGAAATGTCACGAGGGCCCAAGAATTGGGCAATTCACGGCTTTCACACAGGATGAAATTCCTTTCTTCAGCATTATTTCTATACTGTTTCAAGCA
This sequence comes from Homo sapiens, assembly GCF_000001405.40. Classification (NCBI taxonomy): domain Eukaryota; kingdom Metazoa; phylum Chordata; class Mammalia; order Primates; family Hominidae; genus Homo; species Homo sapiens. The sequence continues at coordinate 95,716,565 of NC_000001.11, forward strand.
AGCAACCAAATGTCAACTGCTGTCACCATCTCTATGGAATGTTTTAATTAACCTCTTTATTGGTAAACGATCAGTCTTTCACCCACCTTCCTGGGAAGTGTTTCTCTAATAAGTGATGAAATTGACCATTTTGTTCATCCAGCTGTCAGAGAAGCGTGCTCTGCACAGAGCCGGGTTGATTCCATACGGGTGTGGTACAGAGCTCATCAGCAGGCTATGAGACGTCATCCTCTTTATTTTTGTTGAGAAGCTTGCCCACCTGCTTCCAGATTTCCTGCTGACATGCCTTCCTATCCAGGTGCCAAATTTTTATTATTGTTCTAAGTCATATTTGAATAACACAGCCATCTTAGCTGACAGTGAAGATATTTTGTATGTAAGCAACCTGTTTGTGTTTTCTGTTTTCTTGTGTTTCCATATTAGATTATATATTTAGAACTATCAGAAACAATGTGGGTTGAGGACATCTTTAAGTGAAGAAGACAACAAGGAAGAACTTCATTTTTTCCCAGTTTCTTTTCAAATAACAGAAACTATGACTTTATTAGGTATGACTCTTTCAGACACTGTGGGGAATAGAAAAAGATCATAAGAGATAGCCCTGGCTGTAGGGAGTGATGGGACTGGTCAATAATTGTTGAGCATTTACTGTTTGCAGAACATTGTGAAAAAGAATAAAGAAGTAAAACACAAGGCATATACAAAGATCGTTTATAATTAAAATGATAAAACTCTATGTGACTACCTGTTAAATGAATGACACAAGTGATTAGAGATGTGGTTATTAAGAGTGAGGAGAAAACATTGTAGGATGGAATATGACCCAAGAAGCTATACTCGGAATAATCTTTCTAAAATGTCAATGTGACAATGGTCAGACCACCACAACCACATTAACAATCTCTTCAGTGACTCTACTTTTCAAGGCCCTACTTCTGCACGCTCATCTGTTGGCCTCTCTCTCTGGAACTAAATTCTCCAGTTGCACTGAAAATTAACCCATTTTAAAGTTCTACTTGATGTGCTCACAGCATTTGTTATGTTATTCTTTCTACTCAGAGCATTAACAATTTGTCTCTTGCCTGGCTAGTTCTTACTATTTCTAAGAATTTTTCTGAGACATTCCCTTTGCCCAATATCTGGGTTAGGTATATCCCTGGCTTCTTGTATTATCCTTATTGTAACTGCTATAGTTCCTCATTGTTCTCCCTCACCCTGAGACTCAAGACTCTGTGAGGGATGAGGACTTCATTTTGGCAGTTTGTGTCCAGGGCAGTCTTGAGGTCTAGTGGAGCCACACTTTCAAGATTCTATGGGATTCTCACAGCTGGAAAAGGAACAATTGGAGCAAGGCTGGAGGGCAATGACATTTCCCCAGCATCCTCCCTGGCCCTGCCATAAGGACCCTGAAGCATTCCTTCTTTGTATTTTCATGTGAACTCTGTATTTTAATACCTACTTTACAAAAGAAAAGACTGGTTAAAGATAAAAATGTGTAAATGTCTAACTTGAAATGATATAGAGGGTTAGTTAGGAAGCCAGAATTGAAATCCAGGTCTGTTTGGTCCTATGTGGTCATTTGGGAAAATGTTTATTTATATATTTAAAACAATTTAATAATACCGATAGTCATAATAATCTCTAAACTTTAAGTTGGTATATTGTTAAGCACTTTGCATGGATTAACTATTAATTTGCTCATGAATACTATAAAAAAAGCTACCATAATTATGCTTGTCTCACAGATAAGGAAACTGAGCAGAGAATTTGGCCCAAAGCCACCCAGCTGGGAAGGGGAGTCCAGGTACATAAATCCTGCCAACCTGAAGTGAGGGCTTGGGATCCAGAGATGGATCAATTTCTTGGACTCTCAGGTCACCTGCTGGAATTCCAGTCCACTGTTCATGATTTGTATAATTTGGGTAGGTTCCTTCACTTCTCTGAGAGCCGGTGTCCCCAGTTGTGGTTTTTAGAATTAAATATAAAATTCTTAGCACAGACGCTGGCATAGAGTAAGTGCACAATAAATGTTAGTCATTAATGTTTTTCTTAGTTATTACTATTGTTAAAAGATCTCATTTTCACCAAACATCAACTTTTTGTTGTCTCTTTGGTATCGCACAGTACCTCTTCTTGGTGGCTTTATTATTTGATACAATTTTCACTTAAATTTGATGAAAAATGTTCCAAGGAAATGGGACTTGCAACAATCATTATTCAATTTTGTGGTGAATTACATTTCAAGTAAAATTTCAGAGGCCATGAATTTTGGCCATAGAGATAGTTGGAGGGAAATGTGTCTTTTTAAATTAGAGAATGTATTAACAGGTCTACATGAAGCCTTAGAGAAAAATCTGGACAGCAGCTGCAGTGGAAGAAGCTGAGTGAGGGCCTGTGTCTTGCTCCCTACAATTGAATTTTTGCATACGTGTTGGTGGAATTATTCAGCTAGCTTCATCATCTTGTCTGTGGCAATTTGGGCATTGGACTCCCCTAATTTTTTTATTTGACTTAATAAGATGTGTTTTGGAATTTTCTGTTTGGTCTTAGAGCTGTGTGTACCACGTCAATACAAACCAGGTAAAGCAGAAAAATCTCAGTTCAAAATCAACTTTTATTGAGTATAAAGATCTATAAGGGGCTGTCATAGTTTCAAGTGAATTTTACATTTGTTTTAATATAGGACATTATAATTTATTACCATATTAACTGGTGAAGCTCTTGAATTTGTATAAAGAAAAGAATATAGGACTGAGACCTGTGAGACTTTCCTCTTGTTTCTGATACTGCACAGCACTGTAAATACCATCACCTTTCTGGGTCTCAGTTTTCTTGTGTATAAGATGAGTGATATGGACTAGATTAGGGGTCAGCAAACTACAGCCTATGCATCAAATCCAACCTACTACCAGTTTCATAAACATGGCAACACAGCTGCTCTCATTTGTTTATGTACCATCTATGGCTCCTTTCACCTACAACAGCAAAGTTGTAATGCAAAGCCTGAAATATTTATGATCTGCTTCTTCACAGAAAGAAAAGTTTGCTCAGCCCTAAACTTGATGTTCTCTAAGATAATTTCTAGCTCTAAGTTATAAACATAGCTCCCCATTTACTGGATGAGTGACCTTGGCCAAATCACTTAACCTCTCTCAGTTTCTTCATCTGTTAAGACAGGAAGGATAACAATAAGAATTTTAAAAAAACTGCACCATAGCCTTGTTGAGTAGACTAAAATAATCCATGTAAAAAGCATAGAACAGTCCAAGTACATTATAGAGACACACCAAAATTTAGCTATCATCATCAATAATGGTAGCATCATTTTCTGTTTTATTAAAAAATAACAAGGCTGGGCACAGTGACTCATGCCAATAATCCCAGCATTTGGGGAGGCCAAAGTAGGAAGATTGCTTGATCCCAGGAGTTTCCAACCAGCCTGGGCAACATAGCAAGATCCCGTCTCTAAAAAAAAAAAAAAATAGCCAGGCATGGTGGCTCATGCCTGTGGTTTCCACTACTTAGAAGGCTGGTAGGTTGAAGCTGAAGTGTGCCATAGTCACACCACTGCATTCCAGCCTGGGTGACACAGCAGGATCCTTTCTATTGCAGAAACCAAAACCAAAAAACACATGATACCTAAAGTCATGTGTAATCTACACAGATTTATTTTGAAATAATTTTGGGCTTGTATCCCATGGCATATTTAAGACTATCACCAGGAATCTCTGGGACTATTTGAGATAAAGTCACTTCCACATCCTGAGCCTTCCTCTCGTTGACAATTCTGTGTGTTCTCCCAGTCTCTACAAAGAGGCTCTGTAGTCTATGAAAACAGAGACTTCTCTAAGCCATCATAAGGCCTAGTTAAGATAGAACAAAAAACCATTCTGTGGATTTAAGCAGAAAATTGCATATTCACCAAGCCTCTGCAAATCCATACCCTCCACCCCTTGCAGACAGATATGGATGATGTTACCTCAACAGTTCCATTGGCACTGAACTTATTCTTGGGTGCAATGAATCTCATCACCCTCTACAGTTAAGTTTCATTCCCCTCATGCATAAAAAGGAGTAGGGAGACGCTTCTTGGTTCCATTTTAGTTTCTTTGACCGAACAGAGCCAAAGATCTCTTGAGTAGAATCAGCTACTTAGGTCAAGAACCCAGGTGTCTGGTATTTTCTTCTGTGTGCCTGAGGTTTGTAGAGAGGCTAAGACTCCTCCAGGAGCATCCCAGAGAAAAGCTCATTGCTCCTACAGAGGAAAGCAGTATACTACCCCGACTTCCTCTCATAACAGTGGGAACTGCTAAATGCCCATCAAAGCTCTTCTCTAGAGTTGTGTTGCATCTGCCTTAGCCTGTCTGCATCAGAGTAGATGCCAAAGATCCTTTCCAAACAGCAAAAAGATAATAAGCTCAGATATAAATGAAGTACAATATCTAATAGGTGATTGTATGTCAGGGATGCTCATTTATGAGGCTGTAAAATGAATTTCGTTATAATGAATGTCAATATTGTACATTCAAGTTTCAAGAACTCACAGTTTCGAAGTGTTTCAAACCATAGGGAATAAAGTAAAAGTTACTGATAGCTTGTCTTTGTGAAGAGGAAGTGGAAATTGAGATAAAGAGGCTAGACAATTGGGACTCCTGAAGCAATTGGGCTCATGTTCCTGGCTATTAGTGCCATATTCAGTTTTAATCAGACAAAATCAGTTATCCAAATGTGAGTCAATGAGCATTATTTGCTTAATTGCTTTTAAATTATTTTTGTTTTTTGTTTTAGACAGTCTTATTTGATGTCATGTTGAGCTATGTTGGTTTTCTAGAAATATATTTATGTAGACAACTCACCATGGTGGCATAAATAAGCCCAAACTCTGGATCTTTAGATGTACACATATGTATAATGGACTTATGTAGAATCATATCTCCTGCTAGCTGAATGAGCACTGTAGTATTTTGCTAGATGAAGGGAGACTAGAGATAATTCGCTTATGAATAAAACAAGTGAGATCTACCTAGCTCTTGGTCTAATCTCTGATCTGCAATGGATGTTCCCCAGTTGCCTTTCTCCTTTTTCCCTGCTACTGTGGCCAATTTGCATAATGGTAGGTGGTCAGACACTAGATCCTGAGACACTATGGTAAAAACGAAGCAAAACGAATAAACAAAGAAAATAGAGGATGACTGAATGCCCATTGAGTTTGAGAATAATGTTCTTATTATTTCTGATGATAATTTTCTGACTGACAGTGTACTTTGCCCACTTACTCATTCACTCAACAAAGTTTTACTATGTCCTCTTTTCATTGCTCTAATCATTGAAGATACAAGGAATATGGCAGATCCATTTCTCTGTCCTTACAAATTTTATAGGTCAAGAGTAAAAGTAGACACAGAGACAGATGCTTGCTAAGTGAAGAAAGAATACTTAAGACTGAATATGCTTTTTGTGCAAGTACTTTTCAAAAGACAGAGGGTAATATAATGTTATTTCAGGGCCTTATTTCTCTCTCCTCCGTCCTCCCCACTACATACACAATAATTCTGTTATTTCTTTTCAATACCTGATTCTACTATAAAAGTTTTATTTCTGTAGCTTCTACCATAAGAGTTTTACTGCTTCAGCTTATAGCTTTACCTATACAAATCCCATATATTTGAGTGCATGTGTGTATGAGAGAGAGAAAGACCTCTTAGGTTGTTATATTACTTTTGATTATGACTGAGTTCCAACTCCTTTCTTAAAAAAGGCTTAAATTAGAAAACAGAAAAGAGAGTGGTAATATATACCACTGGGGGTAAGAGCTGGTGAAAAAGAGTAAAGAACTCTTCTCCAGAATTTGGCCTGGGGATTTCTACCTCTCTTTACACCCTATCCTTTACTTCTTTATTCCTAGGATTTTCTCTTAAGGAATTGAGGCCCCAGATGAAATCTTTCTTCTTATCTTTCAAGTTTCATTCCTAGCATAAGATCCATATTCTGAAATGATTAGACTATTGTCTTAATCACACTGTCCACTAGGGCTTCTTCTCACACAAAAGTTTAGAAAACTCTGTACCCTGCTGAATAAGTTTCACTGGGTTCAGCCTCTTCCCTTTCAGTGGAAGTTTCAAGGACAAATGGAAAACTCAAGTATCATTCTTACATCTCTATGAAACAAATTTTGCAATAATTCATATTGCCCTTTTGTGTCATGAAACTGGCTCTACAATGTTGGCCCAAGGTTGATCCAAATAAAACTTTGATTGTGGGCTGTTGTCACAGTTTCATTGACCAGATCCTACCTTCCAGGCTGGGTGCACCAGGCTGCTTTCTGTACACAATTATATTCAAGAGAACAGGTCTAAAACTCTTTGGACATGGTTGTTGACCCATTTTTTCTCCCTAATATTCCTGTGAGAAATTCTAGAGAAAAAGCACAAATGGGTCATTGTTTCAATTTTACCCCAGTTAATTCTGTAAAGAATTGCAGTACCAGAGAAAATTTACATTAGACTGGTAGCAGTATACTGCAGTCCAAGTGTGTTACTCCCGATAGGTATTGTTCTGGGATGGATAACACTGTCACATTGTTTTCATTGTGTTTACTCAGAGTCACAGAGAAATCTTACGTATTTCTTTTTCTTTCTTTTTTTTTTTTTTGGAGAAGCTTTCAATTGGCATGTGAGTGGCTAGTAGTTTTTCCATCATAATAACTAAGAAAATAGCATTATTCTCTTTGAGAGTGGCCTTGCCTCCACACTATGCACGTCACCGTTGACAATTTCATCTCTCTATGACCTCTGGAAACTGTTATTAGAAAGTGGTTACTTTCTGCAGTCATTTTTGTACATGTTACATCTAAGGAGAGATAAAGCGGTAAATTTTTTTTGCTTTTGTGGATTGTGATCATTAATACCTGGAGTAAATGTTACTTTCCACTCTGAGTGACTCATGTGGACATGGTACCTGTAGCTACCTGTCTTCTGAACTTCTTCATAACAATGCATAGCCCCAGGGCTTCTGGCTGAGGTCATCAGAGAAGAAAGGGTAGAATTAGTTTTGAAATACCAATGGCTTCTGATACAGATATTTTTTACTGTTTGAAAATTTCAGGTTAGTAGTGGCAATCTTGCTGAATCTACCCCCCAACATAGTTGATGTTAATGGATGATTGAAGCAAGAAACATGACAATTCATGTAAAAAGCCAAAGTTACAGAAAAGAGGAGAAATAAATGCAAAAGCTATAATAAATAATATGTTAAAAAGTGGTTGGGCTTCCATAAGTTTTCAACATTGTAAATTTTAAAAAGTCAATGATTTTACCGTGTAATGGTATGTAAATCACAAGATTTCCTCTAAGTAGGAAGTTGCTACCATTAGTGACAAGAATAAAATGCCTGGTACAAAAAGAGAGCTAGTATAGTTTAATTTTTCTTTAAGAGTATGAGTCAAAAAGCTTGAACAAAACCAGTTACAGATATTTTAACAATCTGCACATTCACAAAATACAAATGGGAACAAATTAGACCTTCTCTCCTAAGTGTATTTGTAAGTTGCAAAATATTTGCAAATCAATTTCTGTAGACCTTAGAAATACTTCTTTCTGAGTCAGGTCTTTCTAGAAGCAACACTTTTGTTAGTGATTTTGATTATTTGTGAATATTGCCTCATAATATGTTAGTGTGGTAGCTAAAAGGTACACAAACTGGGCTTTGCTTTTTTTTTTATTATTATACTTTAAGTTTTAGGGTACATGTGCACAACGTGCAGGTTAGTTACATATGTATACATGTGCCATGCTGGTGTGCTGCACCCATTAACTCATCATTTAACATTAGGTATATCTCCTAATGCTATCCCTTCCCCCTACCTCCACCCCACAACAGGCCCTGGTGTGTGATGCTCCCCTTCCTGTGTCCACGTGTTCTCATTGTTCAATTCCCACCTATGAGTGAGAACATGCAGTGTTTGGTTTTTTGTCCTTGCGATAGTTTGCTGAGAATGATGGTTTCCTGAGCTGGTTCTTTCCTCAAAACCAAGTTTTCCCAAATTACTGTACTTTCCTTTCCACATGCATTTTATATTTGGCTCTCTTTCCCTTTCTTTCAATGCCTGGTTCTAGAACCTTGCTACTAGTTCGGCTGTCAAAATCGCTTTCAGCTCCCTCCACTTAAGACTTCAGCTTTCTTATTATCAACACTTCCTTTCCTATTTGGTGTTGACACTCTCCCAGAGAAGATGGTAAGGACTGGAGTGGAGGTACAGGCCAAAGGCATGAGCTGGGGATTATTGAGTTCAAGTCCCAGTGCTGCAATTTTCCATTTTTGTGACTTTGAAGAGTATGTGCCACTATTTCCTCATCTATGAAATGGAGATTTAAAAATTCTTCTTTCAGTCTGGGCGAGGTGGCTCATGCCTGTAATCCAACCACTTCGGGAGGCCGAGGCAAATGGATCACCTGAGGTCGGGAGTTCGAGACCAGCCTGACCAACATGGAGAAACCCTGTCTCTACTAAAAATACAAAATTAGCCCGGTGTGGTGGCACATGCCTGTACTCCCAGCTACTAGGGAGGCTGAGGCAGGAGAATCGCTTGAACCTGGGAGGCGGAGGTTGCGGTGAGCCAAGATTGTGCCATTGCACTCCAGCCTGGGCAATGAGAACGAAACTCCATCTCAAAAAAAAAAAAAAAATTCTTCTTTCAGAGTTGTGAGGATTCAGTGATATAATAAATGCACATAAAGCTCTTGGCACCATGCCTGGAAGAGAAGAAGAACTTGATAGGGAAGAGTGAGATTAGATGTTTTCACTGCTCTTGCTGTTATTATAGATTACCTGAGTCCCAAGATCTTTCTTTCCATATTCTTTCTCTTGCTCTACCCCAGCCTAGCTGATATGACTTTATCACAGAACTTCTATGTCCATGGTCCCTAGGATGTCCCAGCCTAGAAACAATGAACTATTAATAGTTTGTATACATCTTGAAGTTCCCTACTAGGTAAAAATCCACCTTCAGGAGGAAAACTCAAACCCAGTGATTCAAGCAACATCCAGTTGCTAAATATTGGGGCAGCAAATCCTGCATCCCTAGTGTGAGTAGACATTTCAGAGTAGTGGCTGGATCACCTTTATCTGAAGGCTTTGCTGACAACTTATGCAATTGAGAAATTGTTCCCCTTTTCTAATGCCTGTTCACCTTCTGCAAAACCCACACACCTGTGCTAAAACTGTCAGCACAGCACCATAAGCTTTATATTCAGACCTAGGTCTTTGAGCATTGAGTATTCTCTGGAGAATAACCTGGTTCTAACATCAGAGGGTAGGAGTCTGGGGAGAGGGTTAGGCAAAGCCTGTCTTATAGTTTGTTGTGAGGTAAGCAAATTAAAAATTATACCACCCTTTTATTAATTTCTTTGTGAACCTCTCAATCTCACTTTCTTCTAATATCTTTTTTCATTAACTTTAATTAGGTTGACATATTGCCTTATTTTTCAAAAAGCTCTACTTTTGGAGAATGTATTTAGAGAGAGGGACTACTCCCCCTGTACCCCAATAGATGAGCTCTGGTCCGAAGACTCTCAAGATTTGAAGGGAGCTCTCTGTACATTAGCAAAGCTTCCTGTACCCCCCTCCTTCTCCCCCAGCATTCCAGAATCTGGACAAAAACAGCCACAGATAAGCTATAGTTTTTCCAGGCTGTCCTGTGTAATTATCTTTTCCCAGCCCCAGGACACCCAAGGCAGCACACCACTACCTGTTCCCCACTCACACTTGCATCGTGCTGTCTTGCCTTTGTAAGTGAAAACCTAACACTTATAACAGGTATGGTAATCTCCAAAGCCCACACAAAGTAGATTTGTTATAATCTTACAGAGGATTTCCTGAGTTTCTCCAGCAGTATCTTCTTCTCACAAAATTTGGAGAAGGGAAACAGCTTACCATTTTCCAGTTAGCAGAGTTTTTCAAAATCAGTAAGGCACGCATAGGGGAGGAAGAGGTGGAATTCTCACAGTCAAATTCCTAAGTGTTGGCAGCTGTCTTAGTTCATTTTGTGCTGCTACAACAGAATAGCTGAGACTGCTCTCGCATTGTTTATGCTTGCAGAATTAGCACCACGTGGACAACTTGTGCCTTCCAGAGCAGTGGGTCAATCAGTACGTGGGCACATTTGAGCCATGGCTGGGACAGCTGAGGGACACTGTACCAGAATGTGGGGAACAGAGTCTTGAGGGGACACAGAGCAGTGAATGTTGAGGTCCCACAAACACCTCTCTGGAAATCTTACCTTCAAGGTTCTAGCTTGCCTCGAAGATATCTGAAATGCCTTTGGGATTATTCTCCCATTGTGTTGATTAATAGAACAGAACTTGGCTTCCTTCAATCCATATTTCATGATGCTCAAGCTGGTCAGGGTACAGCTTCTTTTTATACATTTTAGGGAGACATAACACATCAATTAACAAATGTAAGACTGACACTGGTTCAATCTGAAAGGGTGGGACAACTTGAACAGGGGACTTCCATGTCATAGGTAGATTTAAACATATTCTGATTGGCAATTGGTTGAAAGAGTTACTATCAGTAGGAAGGAATGTCTGGGTTTCTATAAGGGGTTGTGGAGACCAAGTTTTATCATGCAGATGAAGCCTCCAAGTAGTGGGCTTTAGAGAGAAGACTATAAATGTTTCTTATCGGACTTAAGATTGGTGCTGATGTTAAGGCTGGACGGGTATAACAAAGCATGTCCAACCCTTACTTCCCATCATGGCCTGAACCAGTCTTTCAGGTTAAATTTTACAGTGTCCTGGCCAGAGAGGAAGTCCATTCAGATGGTTGCAGGGGGCCTTCAAATTTTATTTTTGGTTTACAAAGCCATGTAGCACCTTGAATATTTTGCTTCTTAGATACTTCTTCTGCCAGATATCCTAGTTCATTACTCTTAATTTCTGCCTTCCACAAAGTTCTAGGACACGGACATAATTTTGCCAAGTTCTTTGCAACTATTCAGCAAAGACATCCTTTATCCTAGTTTCCAATACCTTGTTTCTAATTTCCATCTGAGATCTCATCAGAATGGCCTTTACTGCTCATATTTCTACGAGCATTATGATCACAACCACTTAATCACTAGGAAGATTTAGGCTCTCTCTATAGCTCTTCTACCCTTCAGATTCCATTCACAACTATCTAGGCTTTATCTAGCCTTCTTCTCCAAATTCCTCCAGCCTCTACCCATTTCTCAGTTTTAAAGTCTCTTCCACATTTTGAAGTGCTTATATAGCAGCACCTCCACTTCTGGTACCCATTTTCTGTTTTAGTCCATTTTGTGTTGCTATATCAGAATACCTGAGTCTGTGTAACCTACAAAGAACAGAAATTAATTTCATACAGTTCTGGAGGCTGGGAATTCTAAGATCAAGGGTCCCACATGTGGTGAGGTCCTTTTTACTGTATAATTCCATGATGGAAGGTTGAAGGGCAAGAGAGCAAAAGAAGAGAGAAGGGAAGAGGGCTGAACTCATCCTTTTACCAGGAACCTACTCCCACAATAACTAACCCATTCCTGCAATAATAACATTAACCTGTTCATGACTGCAGAGCCCCCATGACCTAATCATCTCTTAAAGGTCCCATGTCTCAACACTGTTGCATTGGGTATTAAGTTTCCAACACATGAACTTTGAGGGACACATTCAAACTATAGCAGTAGGGAAACCTTCTATCCTGGATTAAGTACCAGTATACTCCACCCAGTATACTCCAACCAGGCTAGTGGCAAGGAGTGGGAGTAAATACAGTTACAAAGGCTTGAACATGCACTAGCAAAGGCTCAAAATTGAGAACCCTGGGCCACTTTCGGCGCTGAATTTAGTCAGGGCTTGGAATCTCATGCATAGTCCACACTATCTTTGAATCACAGGATCAAATGTGGCAGATAAAATACACAATGTAATTCACACTATTGAATGCGCCTGTTGCTACCATAGTTGTTGACTATTGCTTTCATTTACTTAAAACTATCAACATTGTTTAAAGTAAAAAGATAAGAAGATTTTTTATTGGATTACTGTTTCTTATCATAGACAATGGCTCAAAATAAAATATCATGGCTGCTACTTGAGCTGCATCTCTTAAACATTCATATTGAACTCCTGAAAATATAAACTGAGGTCCTTCCAGATTTAGCTTTCGCTATTGAATTGGGAGCAGTATGACTTTGCCATTGCTATTAATATTAATATATATCTATTAATCTGAGAAATACTGTATATTGCTTCAAGGTCTTATCCGAGAAAGTAGAAGTCCTTTGTAACATGCTCGTTTGGTTTTTTGGCATTCTGACATTTTGCAGATGAACAATTGCTCAATATGTAAAGTCTAAATGGCTGTCTTTATTCAATAAAGTATTGTATTATTGAATGAATTACAAAGAGGCAGTATCCTTTGCACATTAACTTTGAATCTACTGCTTAGAGCACAATTCTGATTTTCTTTCAGATGCTAATAACACACTGTCCAGGCAAAGTAAAGTTATTTTCTAAAAGGAATTGGAAAGACTGGTTTGCTTTAATTTTTTTGCTTAATAATGGTTTCTTATAGTAACAGAGTAACTTTTTCTCTTATTGTTCATTATGGTAATTTGAACTCAGTTGATACTCTTCTGCTTTTGGTAAGTTAAAATATTATTGATTATAAAATAATTAAATGAAGAATAGAATTCTTTTCTTATGGCATGTGTTAATTGTAATGGTTGTTTATTCTTCTAAAGAGAATAAAGAGTTATCACATAATGCTACCAGCATAAATATACATAATATTAGCTAGGCAGTTTAATATCGTGGAGAGATTATTGTACTTGGGGTAGATAGGGCTATCTACCTGCTTCTTACATGGGTTTGGAATATTTACTTATTAGGTTATTTACTTGGATGTTGAGTAAATCATTATAACCTCTTGTAATCTCAGTTTTCTCATCTATAAAATGCAAATAAAACTTGACATTGTCAACATCCTAAAGTTATTATGAGATGAAGTCAATGGGATTAGGTTTGTGAAAGTGCATTGTTAACTATACAGCACTAGCCAGGCACAGTGGCTGTCACCTGTAACCCCAGCACTTTGGGAGGCTAAGGTGGGTGGGTTGCTTGAGCTTGGAAGTTCCAGACCAGCCTGGACAACATGGTGAAATCCTGTCTCTACAAAAAATACAAAAAATTAGCCAGGCATGGAGGCACATGCCCATAGTCCCAGCTACTTCAGGGTCTGAAGTGGGAGGGATCACTTGAGCCCAGGAGGTCGAGGCTGTAGGGACCCAGGATCACACCACTTCACTCCAGCCTGGGTGACAAAGTGAGACCCTGTCTCAGAAAAACAAAAACAGAAACAGAAACAAAAATATATAGTACTATTATGTAACAATTAATATGTTATATAATAACATTATGTAACAAGTAACTATTAATAACAATATGATCAAAATATATTAAAAATTTGTTCCCTCATTGTCAGAAAAACTTGAAAAATGCTTCCCTGAGTTTTGTTATAGAATTCCTTAAGAATCAACTTTTTGAAGCAATTTGATATAGTCTGATCTAGAATTCCAAATACTTGAATAAATTTCTCACTTTTCTGCTGAGTTGCTCTGAAACCTTAGACAAGAGTCTACATTTCCATGTTTTGATCATTTCTCCCAGTAAAATTGGTCCTTCCTTTATCCCTTACTGAATTATGGTGACTGTAGTAGGTTTTGAGAGATGAAATCTGAAGAAGACTGAATCTGTTAGTCATGAATGTTAATAGTTTGGAAACATAAATACTGATAAATGTTATGGGAACTAATGAAAGGGAGTCTGATCATCACCCTTTATGTGTCTTCTGGAGTCGGTAGTAGAAATGTCCATTCATCCTTCTCTATTGAAAGTGCTGGTTGTGGTGAAAAAATCACTGACAAGTGAAGATAATTTTCAAATCATATGTGGTGTATCAGCAAGAGCCAAGTCTTAAAAAATGACACTACAGTGGGTACTTCAAGAGTGGGAATTTAATACTGGGAGGTGGTTGCACAGGTGTTGAGGGAATAAAAGAGCAAAATGAAATACCAAGAAACACAAAAAAGACCACAGGAAGCACCACCTCTTGGGCTGAGGGAACACAGAAAATGGATAGAACTGTCAGAGCTAGCAGCTTTGAGGAACTGGAGCTCACACCTTTGAGGAGGAGGTGGACAGAATTGTTGGGGGTAATGTGGGGGTAGCAACATGGGACTAGTTCTGAGACTGCTGAAAGAACCTAGAGGCGAACCAAACTGCTGCTGCTGCAATAAAGAGCGTTACTATGGGCATGCTGATAGGAAGAGCAAGAAATAGAAAAAAAAAAAAAGAGAAAGAAAGAAATCCCTTTACCCCTGCCACGCTTTCATTCTTTGTCTAGTGCTCCTTTTGGGGGGGCCCTTATAGAAAACCCACTGGCGAAGGAAGTATGTAGTTTTCAGAGTCCCAAACCCCAGCATCACAAAACATAGACTGGAAGAGTAGACATGTAGCTGAGAGACAGTAGCCTGACGACCAGCCCACGTGGTTTTACAGAGAGGTAGCTGTGATAGCCTCAGGCCTGTGGACATAAACAATCTGTCTTTGCTAGAGTGACTGGAGCTTACTCATTTTTTCTTACTGTGGTGGTGATAACTTTCTACAAAATGGACCAAATCAAAAATGATTCAGGCTTGAAGCTTCAAATACTTAAGACAAAACAAAGCACTGCAAACCCCTCCCCTGAGTTTCCACTTCCTTTCAGTCTCATGATGTCTTCCCATTCCTAATCTCTCAGGAGATTGTTGAAAAGCCAAGAGAAGATAGACAGATAAATTTATAAAAACATCTTAAATTGGCCTTTCCACTTTCCTGATTCATGCCTTGGTTCCATGCTGATGTAGTCTTAAAATAAAAGAATTTCAGAATTAGAAATGACCTAAAATACTAGACCATTCACTTTTACAGATGAGAAACTGAGATAAAAAAAATATTAAGTGACTTGCTCAAGCACATATTTAGAATCAAAGTTTATATTGGCTTCTGGATTTCCTAATTGCCAGGTCTGACTCATTCTACCACACCTGGCTGCTAGATAAGTTTATTAGTTATTTTATGCACATTTGTTACCAATAGGTATATTCATTGACCTTAGACATTACTATGATTATCACAAACAACTGCATTATGATTAATACTATGACAGCAGTTGCTGCCATTTCCAAAGGAAATATCAAATTTATACCTATGTCTTTATATCATGTCATTGAGTTGTTACTTTTGGCTCTGATTATTATTGTATTCCAGGTTTCCATTGTTAGGAGAATCATATGTTGTGTCTAACCAGCTGAGAAAATAATGTTCATTGCTATGAGAGCCTCATATGAAATATAATTTTAGTTAATCAGGGCCAGCTGGCCAAACAAATTTTGTTGCTAAATATTACAACAAGTTTTGCCCTAAATATTACGAGGAATATAATTGAACCTTTTCACACTTTAAAAATATCACCTGAAATTCTTTTTATGTATAGATATTTTACAAGCTGTTTTTTAGTAATGTATATTTAAAATAATTTTTGTTCTTCCTTCTAGTGAATGCATATTATGATGGTTAATTTTGTGTGTCAATTGACTGGACTAAAGGAAACCCAGATAACTGTAAAATATTGTTTCTGGGTGTTTCTGTAAGGGTCTTTCTGGCAGAGACTAGCGTTCGAATCGGTAGACTGAGTAAAGAAGATCTACCCTCACCCAGTGTGGGCCGGCATTGTCCAAGCAATTGAGGGCCGAGATAGAACAAAAAGGTGGAGGAAAAGCTAATTCTCTCCCTCTCTCTTCTTGAGCTGGGGCATCCATCTTCTCCTGACCTTCGATCAGAGCTCCTAATTTCTTGAACTTTTGCCCCTGGAATTTTAACCAGCAAACTCCACCATCCCACCCCTCCCCTAGTTCTCAAGCCTTCAGACTCAGATTAATTATACCAATGATTTTCCTGAGTCTACAGCTTCATGCCTTGGTTCCATGCTGATGTAGTCTTAAAATAAAAGAATTTCGGAATTAGAAGTGACCTAAAACACTAGACCATTCACTTTTATAGATGAGAAACTGAGGTAAAAAAAAAAGTATTAAGTGACTTGCTCAAGCAGCTTGAAGATGGAATATCATGAGACTTCTTTTCTTCCATAACCATGTGAGCCAATTCCCATGATAAATATCCTCTTAGATATCTACATATCTATGTATCTATATCTATCTATCCATCTATCTATCTATCATCTCCTATTGATTCTGTTTCTCTGGAGAACCCTAATTTATATACTTTTATAAGTTACCATAAAGAGTAGAAGAAATCTTTATAAACTCAGTAAGTTATGGCATAAAAATGGTAACTGCATTTTAAAGTATTGGTATGAGATTTGGTTTCTAATCCCTATTGAATTCCCTATTATTCAATTCAATACATTCTTATTAGTTACTTACTTTATTACTAAGCTCTAATAATTATTACCAAAAGCAATGGTAAAATATGAGCAAAATTATCTTTTTCTTGGCATATATTATGGTTCCACAAAGTCATACACACTCAATGTTTACTTGTCATGCAAGAATTCCTCCCTGTCCCATGACTGTTTAAAACTACTCATCCTCAACTTCTGCATTCTTTTCAGCTGAACATAGAGGGTGTAATGATCAGCTTCAGGGATGTTTTCTCAAAATAGATGGCCTTTGAATTGTGTATTTTAACAACGGAGGGAAGCATTTGCAGCAGATTCATCAGCATTTAGAAGGCTCAGAAAGGTGAAATGAGATAGTATTGAATTCAGGGAACTGCACTGGTGGCATGAAGATCCAGGCAGAGATGTCTATACCCAATTGGATGTGGAGAACACGAGAGAGATCAAGGCTAAAGATGAAGATTTGGCAGTCAATGGTGTCATTAAAATCACCAGATTATATACAATACCCACAGAGAATGAAAACAAAGAGGTCAAAGACAGAATCCCGAGAAACACTAACATACTTGATAAACAAAGAGAAGCCAGCAGACAGATCTACGAAAAATGGTCATAGCAGTGTGGTAGGACTTTCTCCTTCGTTTGGCTAAAAACAGGGTTCTCGTCACACAACCAGGAAAGATTAGGCTCACGGACACATAGAAAGGTGGGAAAAATGGAATTTATTGGGTGAAAAGGAAAAAAAATTCAGCAAAATGAGAGAGATTCCCATTAACAGGCCCCCACCTCACAGATTGAAACCCAGGTGCCCGCCCCCGAACACGAGAGGCCAGGATCCTCCCACCCTGCAAAGGGCTCAAACTTCCCAGGGCTCCACCCAGTTCTCCCAGTGCACAAGCTGGTTGGAAATTCTCCAGGAACCCCTTTATACTTGGCTGTCTCAGCAGGAGCAGCAAGAAAGTATGGCATGTCTGTGAGTAGAAGTAAGGAGTATAGTAAGTCTTGCAAATGGACCCTAGTCCATTATTGTACAGCACCGGAGCATCTGGAATGCTATATCCTAGCAGCACAGGGAGAAAAGTAGAGGCCAAAGACCTTCCTACTAAAGCAAGAGAAAAATTGGGAGAACTGACCCAACTAGCACAGGTAGTTCTGAAGAGGATGGCAGGGTGTGTTAAATATAGTAAATGAAGAGTAGAATATTCTCTCAGCTAATTCTGGAAATTCAGTCTGTGGGATTGGTTGAGCCAAAAAAAAAAAAAAAAAAAATCTTGATATCGGTAAATGTTTGAGAGTCAAGTGACCTAGTAAGTATCCTTGAGAATTTCATTCACGTGCGACAAAATCCCAGCAGAGAGGCAGGGATATAGGACTAAGCTATGGCTCTGGGAAATTTTGCAGAAATTGGGTGGGACCTCAGCACCTCAACCAGTGAACTAAGGGACCTGAAAGAGGCTCATTTTTGGACAAGCAAGTGGGGACCAACACAGGGAAGCTAATCAGCATTAAGAGGCCTGATATTGGGTCTTAAGCCCAGTTTTAACAACAGGCCTGGTGGGAAAAGAGGGCTAAAACTTTGTTGTCTGGATGCTCAATGCAACACTATGAACATTTGTTTACTGTAGACTTTACCAGTAAGCTTTTAAAAAACTAATTCACTGCAATCTAGTTAATAACCAAATTGATAACATTGTATCTTACTACTACCGAATTTGCTGAGGTATGGTTTTTATAATCCTCATTTAGCTCAAAAACTATTTTTTAAAAGAAACACGTGTAAATAGAATAAGCCTGAAGGCTTTAAAAAAATTATTGAATTCATGAAGGTAAAAGGTATTGCACATTACTCTTTTTAGGTATAATTTTCTTAATTATCCTCAGAGATAACCAGGTTTATACTTAGAAAAAAAAAAGAGAAATCAAGTTCCAGTGAAAACAATTTTTTTTTTTAAAAAAGAAAACACAGCCTACTAAATGTATTCAGGTAGAATAGGTATATTAATTTAAGATAAACCATTTTGATTACAAATATTGTCAATGTGAAAGGAAATTAAATCTTGGGACCCCAAGCTCATTAAGCCAAAGGAAAAAATTAAGCTGGGAACTGGGTCATGAAAACCTGCCTCCCACTTTTCAGTGCCTAAATAAGATGCCTATAAGATGAAAAGCTATATGCCTCCCCAATATTTTGCCCAAAAGGAAATTCCTAGTGATCTCCAAGATCTTTACCCTAAGGTGTTTCTGTTAAAATTTTACCATGGCAATGTAAATTGATAGCCCACCAGACACAAATGTGTATCCCCTGCCCCCATTTTGTCTATGTTATCTTACGTAAAAATGCAGATTCCCTGAGCTAGACAAAGGCATGAATGACTATTTTTCCCTATCCCCCTCTTACATGAAAATTGTGTACTTGTCAATATCCCCTCATTTCCTTTTTAAATTTGGAGCCCTCAAAATTATCTTCAGAGAAATACATAGACCTGTCTCCCAGGCACACATCCTTAACTTAGGCAAATAAACCTCCTAAAATGAGTGAGACTTGTCTCGTCATTTTTCTCGATTGACAGCAATTAAAGTCAGATGTATTGGAGTTGGGAGGAAATTAGCTTTGTAAAAAGCCAAATAAATAAGAGTTTACTCTTTGAACAAGGAAACCCTTAGGTAACAAGAGAGCACTTTGAAGCCAACCTGTTTATAAGTGTTGACCAAGTTTGTCCTAAAAGAGAGGAGAAAAATTACTGATTTTATCTTGCCTGTTAACACCCCTAACAAATAAAAATTTTCATCATTAAGTCTCTTAGATGTACTAAGAAAAGTATACATTTGTATTTAAATGTCAAAAAGGAATCCAGCCTCTCCCCAAAAATTAGTTAATTCTTTGACTTACAAAAGAAGCAAAGCAAAGGGTGCATGAGAAGATATACTAATAGTTATGACAATGTAAATCATTAAAACAATCTGTGGAATATTGACATATGCTTTGGTTTGTAAAGATTTTTTATTCTATAAAATTGAAGAATGTCTGTAAATATAATTTTATGGTATAAAAATGAAGTCTGTGAAGCAGAGATACCTCCCTTGACTATTATCTGTCTGCTTTCTGTATATGTACTGATGTCTGCCATATACTCATGGAAAAAATATCCTTTGAGTCACATTTTACTTTATATATCAGGTTCAAAATAAGGGAAAAAAAGCATCAGCAACCAACTACACAAGGAACAACAGTATTGTTTTATTACATTGAAGCTCTCTTGGGTCCCAGTGGTTCAAGGACCAATGGTGCTTCCATTAGAAAGCTCTGCCTTTCTTGCCAGTGTTGAACATGGCAGTTCAGCTTCATCTTTACTCAGAGTTTAAAACCTAACAATCACACAAGTGAGATCCTTAAATCCTGAAAAATAATGTTCTTTTAAATCATTTTTCAAGAACATGAGAATTAAAAGATGAAACTACTTACAGGTACATTTATAGTACTAAGAATATAAAACAGTATCATTCTATATTATTAGTGTCAGCTTTATTCACTCATCATGCATTCACTGAAAAAAATATTTTTATTTTATTTATTTTATTTTATTTTATTTTATTTTATTTTTTTTATTTTATTTTATTGAGACAGAGTTTCGTTCTTGTTGCCCAGGCTGGAGTGCAATGGAGTGATCTCGGCTCACTGCAACCTCTGCCTCCCGGGTTCAAGCGATTCTCCTGTCTTAGCCTCCCAAATAGCTGGGATTACAGGCGCCTGCCACCACATCCAGGTACTTTTTTGTATTTTTAGTAGAGATGGGGTTTCACCATGTTGGCAAGGCTGGTCTTGAACTCCTGACCTCAGGTGATCCAGCCCCGCGGCCCCCACAAAGTGCTGGGATTACAGGCATGAGCCACCACTCCTGGACAAAAATTATTTATTAAATGTACACCATGATCTGCTTTTCAAGGCCAAGAATATAGCAGTGAACACAACAGAAAAAAAAATCTGCAATAAGAGATTTTACATTATAGAAAGGAAAGACAAACAGTAAGATAAGTAAATCGAAAAGTACATAAGAAGATGATAAGCACTTTGGAAAGAACAAAAATGGGAGTAGAGGAGGGGTTTCTTAGGAATTGTGAGGGATAAGGGTCTGGCACCAGTTTTCTTTTTTTAAATTTATTTTTTATTTCAATAGGTTTTTTTGGGGGAACAGGTGGTATTTGATTACATGAGTGAGTTATTGAGTGGTGATTTCTGAGATTTTGGTGCACCCATCACCCAAGTAGTGTACACTGTATCCGATGTGTAGTCTTTTATCCCTCACCCCCCTTCCAGCCTTTCCCTTGAGTCCACAAGTCTATTGTATCATTCTTATGGCTTTGTGTCTACATAGCTTAGCCCCCACTTACGAGTGAGAACATATGATGTTTGGTCTTGGTTTTCCATTCCTGAGTTACTTCACTTGGAAAAATGGTCTCCAATTCCATCCAGGTTTCTGCGAATGCCATTATTTTGTTCCCTTTAATGGCTGAGTAGTATTCCATGGTATATATACCATATTTTCTTTATCCACTCATTGATTGATGGGCATTTGGGCTGGTTCCACATTTTTGCAATTGTAAATTGTGCTGATATAAACATGCATGTGGAAGTACATTTTGCATATAATGACTTCTTTTCCTCTGGGTAGACACCTAGTAGTTGGATTGCTGGATCAAATGGTAGATCTACTTTTAGTTCTTTAAGGAATCTCCACACTGTTTTCTATAGTGGTTGTACTAGTTTACATTCCCACCAACAGTGTAAAAGTGTTCCCTTTTCACCACATCCATGTCAACATCTATTATATTTTTATTATGGCCATTCTTGTAGGAGTAAGGTGATATCTCATGGTTTTGATTTGAATTTCCCTGTTAGTTAGTGATGTTGATCATTTTTCCATATACCTGTTGGGCATTTGTATATCTTCTTTTGAGAATTGTCTCTTCATGTCCTTAGCCCACTTTTTTATGGGATTTTTTTTTCTTGCTGATTTGTTTGAGTTCTTTGTGGATTCTGGATATTAGTCCTTTGTCGAATGTATAGATTTTAAAGATTTTCTCCCACTCTGTGGGTTGTCTGTTAACTCTGCGATTATTTCCTTTGCCATGCAGAAGCTTTTTAGTTTAATTAAGTCCAATCTATTTATCTTTCTTTTTGTTGCATTTGCTTTTGGGTTCTTGGTCATGAAGTCTTTGCCTAAGCCAATGTCTAGAAAAGTTTTTCCAATGTTATATTCTACAATTTTTATCCTTTCAGGTCTTATATTTAAGTCCTTGATTCATCTTGAGTTGATTTTTGTATAAGGTGAGAGATGAGGATCCAGTTTCATTCTTCTACATGTGGCTTACCAATTATCCCAGCACCATTTGTTGAATAGTATGTCCTTTCCCCAATTTATGTTCTTGTTTGCTTTATAGAATATCAGTTGGCTGTAAGTATTTGGGTTTACTCCTGTGTTCCCTATTCTGTTTCATTGGTCTATAAGCCTATTTTTATGGCAGTGTCATGCTGTTTTGGTGACTATGGCCTTATAATATAGTTTGAAGTCAGGTAATCAGATGCCTCCAGATTTGTTCTTTTTTCTTAGTCTTGCTTTGGCTATGCAGGCTCCTTTTTGGTTCCATATGAATTTTAGGATTTTTTTTCTAGTTCTGTGAAAATAATGATGGTATTTTGATGAGAATTGCAGTGAATTTGTGGATTGCTTTTGGCAGTATGGTCATTTTCACAATATTGATCTTACCCATCCATGAGCATGGGATGTGTTTCCATTTGTTTGTGTCATCTATGATTTCTTTTTTGCAGCTATTGTAAAAGGGGCTGAGTACTTGATTTGATTCTCAGCTTGGTTTCTGTTGTTGTATAGCCCAGCTACTAATTTGTGTATATTAATTTTGTATCCTGAAACTTTGCAAAATTCATTTATCAGTTCTAGGAGCTTTCTGGAAAAGCCTTTAGGGTTTTCTAGGTATATGATCACATTATCAACAAACAGCAACAGTTTGACTTCCTCTTTATGGATTTGGATGCCCTTTATTTCTTTCTCTTGTCTGATTTTTCTGGCTAGGACTTCCAGTACTATGTTGAATAGAACAGGTGAAAGTGGGCATCTTTGTCTTGTTCCAGTTCTCAGGGGGAACGCTTTCAGCATTTCCCCATTTGGTATAATGTTGGCTGTGTGTTTGTCATAGATGGCTTTTGTTACCTTAAGGTATATCCTTCTATGCTGATTTTGCTAAGGGCTTTAATCATAAAGTGATGCTGGATTTTGTCAAATGTTTTTCTGCATCTATTGAGATGATCATGTAATTTTTGTTTTTAATTCTGTTTATGTGGTGTATTACATTTATTGACTTGCATATGTTAAATCATCCCTGCACCCCTGGTATAAAGCCCACTTGATCATTGTGGATTATGTTTTTGATATGCTGTTGGATTTGATTAGCTAGTATTTTGTTGAGGATTTTTGCATCTATGTTCATCAGGGATATTACTTTTTAGTTTTCTTTTTTTGTTATGTCCTTCCCTGGTTTTGTTATCAGGGTGATACTGGCTTCATAGATTGATTTAGGGAGGATTCCCTCTTTCTTTGTCCTGTAGAATAGTGTCAATAAGATTGGTGCCAATTCTTCTTTGAATGTCTGATAGAATTCAGCTGTGAATCCACCTGGTCCTGTACTTTTTTTGTTGGCAATTTTTTTATTATCATTTCAATCTTGCAGCTTGTTATTGGTCTCTTCAGAGTTTCTATATCTTCCTGGTTTAATCTAGGAGGGTCATATCTTTCCAGGAATTTATCTGTCTCATCTAGGTTTTCTAGATTATGTGCATAAAGGTGTTTGTAATAGCCTTGAATAATCTTTTGCATTTCTGTGGTATCAGTAGTAATATTTCCTGTTTCATTTCTAATTGAGCTTATTTGGATCTTCTGTCTTCTTTTCTTGGTTAATCTTGCTAATGGTCTATCAATTTTATTTATCTTTTCAAAGAACCAGCTTTTTGTTTCATTTATCTTTTTTTGTTTGTTTGTTTGTTTCCAATTCGTTTAGTTCTGCTCTGACCTTCCTTATTTGTTTTCTTCTTCTGGGTTTGGGTACAGATTGTTCTTGTTTCTCCAGTTCCATGAGATGTGATCTTAGATTGTCTGTTTGTGCTCTTTCAGACTTTTTTATGTAGGCACTTAATGCTATGAACTTTCCTCTTAGCACTGCTTTTGCCATATCCTAGAGGTTTTGATAGGTTGTGTCACTATTATTGTTTAGTTCAAAGAATTTTTAAATTTCCATCTTGATTTCATTATTAACCCAACAATCATTCAGCAGCAGGTTATTTAATGTCCATGTATTTGCATGGTTTTGAGGGTTCCTTTTGGAGTTAATTTTTCATTTTATTCCACTGTGATCGCTGAGAGTACTTGATATAATTTTAATTTTCTTACATTTACAGAGACTTGTTTTATGGCCTATCATTGGGTCTATTTTTGAGAATGTTCCATGTGCTGATAAATAGAATTTATATTCTGTAATTGTTGGGTACAATGTTCTGTAAATATCTGTTAAGTCTGCTGGTTGTAGGGTATAGTTTAAGTCTATTTTTTCTTTGTTGACTTTCCATCTTGATTACCTGTCTAGTGGAATATTAAAGTCCCCCACTTTTATTGTGTTGATGTCAGTCTTATTTCTTAGGTCTAGTAGTAATTGTTTTATAGATTTGGGAGCTCTAGTGTTAGGTGCATAGATATTTAAGATTGTGATTTTCCTGTTGGACTAGTCATTTTATCATTATATAATGTCCCTCTTTGACTTTTTTAACTGCTGTTGCTTTAAAGTTTGTTTTGTCTGACATAAGAATAGCTGCTTCTGCTTTATTTTGGTGTCCATTTGCATTGAATATCTTTTTCCACCACTGTACCTTAAGTTTATATGAGTCCTTATGTGTCAGGTGAGTCTGAAGACAGCAGAAACTTGGCTGATGAATTCTTATCCATTCTGCCATTCTCTATCTTTTAAACGGAACCTTTAGGCCATTTACATTCAATCTTAGTATTGAGATGCAAGATACTATCCTATTTATTGTGCTATTTGTTGCCTGAATAGCTTTTTCTTTTTTCATTGTGTTATTGTTACATAGGTCCTGTGAGATTTATGCTTTAAGGAGATTCTACTTTGGGGTACTTTGAGGATTTGTTTCAAGATTTAGAGCTCCTTTTAGCAGTTCTTTTAGTGCTGGCTTGGTAGTAGTGAATTCTCTCAGCATTTGTTTGCCTAGAAAAGATTGCATCTTTCCTTCATTTATAAAGCTTAGTTTTGCTGGATACAAAATTCTTGCTGATAATTGTCTTGTTTCAGGAGGCTAAAAATAGGACCCCAATCCCTTCTAGCTTGTAGGGTTTCTTCTTAGAAATCTGCTGTTAATCTGATAGGTTTTCCTTTGTAGGTTACCTGATGCTTTTGCCTCACAGCTCTTGAGATTCTTTCCTTTGTCTCAACTTTAGATAACCTGATGACTATGTGCCTAGGTGATAATCTGTTTGCCATGAATTTTCCACGTGTTCTTTGAGCTCCTTTTATTTGGATGTCTAGATTTCTAGCGAGGCTTGGGAAGTTTTATTCGATTATTCCCTCAAATATGTTTTCCAAACTTTTAGATTTCTCTTTTTCCTTGGGAACACCAACTATTCTTAGGTTTGGATGGTTAACATAGTCCCAAACTTCTTGATGGCTTTGTTCATTTTTTTTTTTTCATTGTCTTTGACAGACTGGGTTAATTTGAAAGCCTTGTCTTCAAGCTCCGAAGTTCTCTCTTCTGCTTATTTGATTCTATTGTTGAGACTTTCCAGTGCATTTTGCATTTCTCTGTGTCCTTGATTTCCAGATGTTGTGATTGTTTTTATTTATGCTATGTATTTCACTGAATATTTTTCCTTTCATATCCTGTATTATGCTTTTGATTTCTTTAAGTTGGACTTCACCTTTCTCTGGTGCCTCCTTAATTAGTTTAATAACTGACCTTCTGAATTCTTTTTCTGGCAATTTAGAGAATTTTTTCTTGGTTTGGATCCATTGCTGGTAAGCTAGTGCTATCTTTTGGGGGTGTTAAAGAACTTTGTTTTGTCATATTACCAGAATTGTTTTTCTATTTTTTTCTCATTTGGGTATACTATGTCATTGTATTTGTATATGTCAGAGGGAAGATCTGGAGTTCAAGTGCTGCTGTTCCAATTCTTTCGTTCCACGTGGTGTTCCCTTGATTCGATGTTCTCTCCCTTTCCCTAGGGTCGGGGCTTCCTGATAGCCAAACTTCAGTGGTTGCTTTTGCTCTTCTGGGTCTAGCCACCCAGCAGAGCTACCGGGCTTCAGGTTAGTACTGGGGAGTGTCTGCAAAGAGTCCTGTGATGTGATCCATCTTCAGGTGTTTCAGCTGTGGATGCCAGCACCTGTTCCGGTGGAGGTAGCAGGGGAGTGAAGTGGACTCTGTGAGGGCCCTTGGTTGTGTTTTTGTTTAGAGTGCTGGTTTTTTGTTGGTTGGCCTCCAGCCAGGAGGTTGTGCTTTCAAGATTGCACCAGCTGTGGTACTATAGGAAAGATGCAAACTTGCCCTGGGGTTATCTGGTTAAGTATTCAGGTTTCACAGGCAGTGGGGCAGGGCCTTAGAGCTCCCAAGAGATTATGTCCTTTTGTTTTCAGCAACCAAGGGGTGGGGGAGGTAGAGAAAGAGCACCAGGTGGGGCAGGAATAAGCCTGTCTGTGCTCAGCCTCTCCTTGGGTGGGGCTTGCTGTGGCTGCTGTGGGATATGGGGGTATAGTTCCCAGGCCAATGGAATTACGTTTCCAGGAGGATTATGGCTGCCTCTGCTGAGTCATACAGGTCTCCGGGGAAGTGGAGGAAAGCCAGCAGTAACAGGCCTCACCCTGCTCCCACGCAGCCTGCAGTCTTAAAGGCCAGTGTCACTCTCACTGTGCTCCCCCAACAGCACTGAGTGTATTTCCAGGCAGCCAGTGACTAAATGACTAGGGCTGAGAACTTGCCCTATACCACAAGCCTCCTCGCTGAGAAAGCAAGCGGACTCACAGTTTTTCAGGGAGCCTGCAGCCGTGATCCAGTTCTTTCAAAGGGTCTGTGAGTCTTTCAGCTTTCCTGGTATGTTTCTTTGGTAGTTCCGGGAGCAAAAGTTCATGATATGAGTCTCCACACACTGCTCTGTCTGTCCCAAGTGGGAGCTGCAAGCTAGTCCTGACTCCTATTGGACATCTTAATCCCCTATTACCTGGTCCAGTTTTAAATAGGAACATCAGAAAAGATTTGACTGAGATTTGATAAAAGGAGATAAGCAAAAACAAAATAGAAACAAAAACAACCAAAAAATACAGGTACCTGGAGAAAGGGCAAAGTCCCTGAAATGAGTGTTTTTGCTATATCTTAAAAACAGCTAGTGGGCCAATGCGACTGAAATGCAGTTTTGGGGAAATGGAAGAATAGGAGGAATAGAAGACCAGGCCAGAGATATAAGGTAAATCATGCACATTTTTATGCTCAGTGTATTAATGATAGATTGAGGGGACATTGGCAAAAACAAGAAAGCTAGTTAGGAGGCTATTGTAGCAATCTGAGTGACAGCTGATGGTGTTATAAAGGTGGTGAGTTGTTAGATACGGGATGTATTTGATAGTAGAGCCAGTGGGATTTCCTGACAGATCAGATAAGGGATAAAGCAAGGTATTTGTTGTAAGCAACTGGAATAAGGAGTGGAAATTTACTAAAGTAAGGAAAATTGAGTGGAGCACTTGGGAAAGGGGAGAGACATCAGGGTTTTTATTTTAGGGAATGCTGTTTGAAATCTCTGTTAAGCAGAATAATGGAGATGTGGAGTAATTTATTTGCATATGTTCTCTTGGTGAGGTCCAAGCTGGACATATAAATTGGAAGTTATCAATATTTTGTTAATATTTAAAGCAATAATACTGGATGAGGCAACCAAAAAGAGGGGTTATATAAAGAGAAGTGGCCCAAGAACCAGGGCATTCCACCCTTTAGATATTAGACTGACCAAAGCAAAGGAGGCTAAGGAGAAGTCATCAGTGAAGTAAAGGTAAATATGGAAGCCAAGTGAAGATAACCTTTCCAGGAAAATGGAATGATTGACTTGTCAAGTTCTGCTGAGAGCTCACGTATGGTGAGGATGGAAAATTGACTATTGAATTTAGCAATATGTAGTAAAAATTTCCACTTCATAATAATTTCTCCAGATCTAGGAAATCAGATGTTGTGCTTAAATACCCCTATTTGGCCATTCCCAGGTTGTTACAACATGAGACTGTTGTGGTGGTATATTTTAGGAATGGTTAGAGCTTTTCCTATTGATCATGATAACATGTTTCCTCAAAGTCAGATGTTTCATGGCAAATTGTCTCTTCTTATTTTTATTTTGTTACAGCTTTGTATGCTATAACTAATGCAAATTGCATATACAGAGAGTGTAAAATTTTATGGGTTTTGACATACATATCTGTGTGCAACCATCACTACAATCAAGATAATGAACCTATCTATTGTCCCAAATGTTTTCTCGCACCCATTTGCAGTCTGTCTTCCTGCTATGCCCAGCAATCAATGCCACTATAGATTAGTCTTTACCCAAATATTTACCATTTCTAGGGATCACAAGTCCTTTGTATAGATCTGAATTTCCACCTGATATCACTTTTCTTTTAGCCTGAAGAACTTCCTTTAGCATTCCTTATAATGCCTGTCTGTTGGTGACACACTATCTCGGCTTTTGTTTCCCTGAAAAAGTCTTAATCTTCCTTTTTGAAAGATATTTTCACTGGGTATTGAATTCTAGATTGGAAGTTTTATTTTCCTTTTAGCACTTTCAGGATTCCATTCCATTATATTTGGCTTGCATTATTTTTGAGAAGTCTCTGATCATTCTTATGCTTATTGCTTTCTATGTAGTGTACTTTTTTTCTTTGGCTCTCCTTAAGATTTTCTTTTCATCACTGGATTTCAACGATTTGATTGTGATGTGCTTTGTTGGGAGTCTTTTGATGTTTTTCCTGCTCAGGGTTCTTTGAGGTTCTTGGATCTCTGGGTCTATATTTCTCATCAAATTTGAGAAGATTTCTGTCAGTATTTCTCCATATATTTTGCTGACTCTCTCCTTCTGGGACTAAAATTATAAACATATTAGAATGCATAATATTACCCCACATGTCACTGATACTGTTTGTTTTGTTTATCTTTCTTTTCTCTCTCTACGCTATTTCTCTCTATTCTTATTGCTATGCATTTAAATTTCCTGATCTTTTCTTCTGTAGTATATAATCTGCTGCAAATCTCATTCTGTGACATTTTTGAGGCTTTTTTTAGCTTTACAAATTCTGCTTCATTCTCTTTATATATTTTTTATTTATCTCCTCATTATGTTAATGCTTTCCTATAAATCCTTGAACATATTTATAATAGCTATTTAATGTCTTCGTTAATTCCATCTGAATTGTCCTTTATGGTTCTGGTTCTAATGACATAATTTTCCCGCTGGCTATGGAACATTTTTCTGTTTCTTTGCATATCTAGTCTTTTTTTGAGGTTTTAAAAAATTTTTATTTTTTAATTGATCATGAATATGTACAATTACTAATTGACAACAAACAATACTACTCACAAGAAATAATACTACTCACAACAAATAAGTACAGTTATTAATTGGCAATTGGCAATTAATGACAATTAATGAATATGCACAGTTATTAATTGACAATTGACAATTAATAACTACATATTCATGGGGGTGCATAGTGATATCTAGAATACAAGTAATGTATAGTGATAAAATCAGTGTAATTAGCATATCTATCATCTCAAACATTTATCACTTGTCTTGAGAATGTTCAATAGCATCCTTTTAGCTTTTTGAAATTATATATTATTATTAACCATAGCCATCCTACAGTGGTATAGAACACCAGTCTTTTTAAATTGAATGTTGTATACTTTGAATATCAAGTTGTTGTATACTTGCATTTTGTTTTCCTTCTTTAGAGAGTGTGGAACTTCATTTGAACAGTCAGTTAAGTTTTTTACAAATTAGCTTGACTTTTTACACTTAAAAAAATCTTACTTAGGGTGGGTCTAGAGTAACCTTTAATATAACATTATTAATAGTTAGCTATATTTCTAAATTGTGACCACTGTGGGATCTTCGCAGAATGCCCTGGTAGTTTAGTGAAGTTTCTGCTTTGAGTGATCTGAACCCAAATGTCTCCCAGTCCTCTGTGAGTTGAGGGAATTGTTCAGTTTATCTTTGTCAGGCCTTGTAGAGTTTTACTCCACACATACAGTGTAGAATTCAGCAACCGACTAAAGGGAATCCCATGCATATTTATGGAGCTCTTTTTCTGTGTGACTCCCCCATCTCCATGATTTTGCTCTGCAATTCCAGCTGCTTCAGACTTCTCAAACTCTGATCAGTCTCCTCAACTCAGCCATCCTGTCATACTCTGCGTGGGTCCTTTTTTCTTGCACTGTGGTTTAGAAAGTTCCCCTAGGCAGACAGCCAGGGTAATCTTAGCATTTACCTCCTTTTCTTCCCTTCTCCCTGGGATCAGAGACCTGCTCTGCCTGTTGTCCAATGTCTGAAAACAGTTGTTTTGCACATTTTGTTTAGTTTTCCAGCAGTTTATGATAAGAAAGTTTAAGTTAATTTATATGAACTGGAAATTCCAATTTCCTCTTTTTCAAAATAAATGGTTGACATTTAATTTTAAATTTCACCATTAAAGCTCAAATAAATCTCATCACTAAGATATCATGCCTTTGAAACATCTCAATTTAGATCTTTATCAATTTTTCAAAATAATTAATAGACTTTTTTAGAGCATTTTTGAATTCACAGAAATTGGTTTGTGTTTACATTTAGGTCTATGAGTTAGTTTTTTAAATATGTTGTAAGTTTGTTGTCTACATTCATATTTTTGCATGAGAATGCCCAGTTACTTCAGCAATGTTTTTTGTCAATACCATACTTTAGCTTTATAGGAGTTTTTAGTATGCATATGTCTAACTGTGTATTCCTATATAGTAATATAGTGTTGGGCCTCTGAATTTTTTCTTCTCCTTCAATATTGTCATGGCCATCACAGGCTCTTTGCATATCTATATAAACCTTAGAATCAATTTGTCCATATTCATAAAATAACCTGCTGTGCTTTTCATTAAAATTGTGTTGAATCTGTAGATCATTTTGGGAAGAACTGATATCTTTACAATATTGAGTCTTCCTATCCATGAACATGGGGTATCTCTTCATTTATTTAGATCTTCCTTGATTTTTTAATCCAAGTTTTGTGGGTTTTCGTATATAGATCTTGTACATATTTTGTTAGATGCATATCTAATTAATAAACTGATTTATTTATTTTGGTGTTATTGTAAAAAGTGTTGTGTTTTAATTTTAAATTCCAGTTGTTCATCGCTGGCATATAAGAAATCAATTGCCTTTTGTATATTAACATTTTATCCTACAACTGCTTTAATTGCTTTTAGCTCAGGAGATTTTTGTTGATTCTTTGGAATTTTCTGCATAGACAGTCATATCTTCTGTGGACAAAGCTTTATTTCCTTCCCAGTCTTTATATCTTTTTTTTTCTTGTCTTATTGCATTAAGTAGAATGTTGAATAGAAGAGGTGAGAGGGGATATCCTTGACTTGTTCCTGACATTAGTAGGAAAATATCTAGTTTATCTCCATTAAATATAATGTTAGTTGTAGGTTTTTTGTAGATGTTCTTTATCAAATTGCGGACATTCCTGTCTATTCCTAGTTTACTAAGAGTTTTGTCATGAAGGAGTGTTGTATTTTTATCAAGTGCTTTTTCTGCATCTATGATATGGTCATATAATTTCTCTTCTTTAGCCTGTTGATATGAAGATTTTAGTGATGGATTAATTAATCCTGTTTTCAACATATGAAGCCTTGATTTTCTCACATTCTGTGGAAATTAATTCTTGCTTCATAGTCATCTATCTTGAATACTTAAAGTGCTCTCCATATCAACAAATATATTGTATATCATTTTTGTGAGTGCACAGTAATCTATTAATGGTATACACTGTAAGTAGTCCCTTATTATTGGACTTTAAGTTTTTTCTAATGTTTTTATTATTATAAACAATCCTGAACTGAACATTTTTACACATTTTTACTTTTGTCATTGTCTGTTAATTTTCTTAGAATTTATTTATAACATTTATTTTTAGGTCAAATGATATAAACAATTTAAATATTTTGAGGAATATTGCCAGAAATTGTCTTCCAGGAATGACGCATAATTTGGGATCCCATTAGCTAATATGTTTTATAAGGAAATAAATTGAATCTTCCAATTTTGGTTTCTAACCAACCTTCCCTATGTGTCTCCCAACCGCATGGTCACTAATAATTTAAGTATCTACTATATGGAGAACACTGCTGTGAATTGGAAATTGAAAAAGATATAATTCTTGTCTTCTAGTAGCTTACAATTGCTTGGACAAAATCAACATATACCTATACAGTTAACCTTTGAACAACATGGGTTTGAACTGTGCTAGTTTACTTATATATGGGTTTTCTCCACCTTTGCCAACCCCAAGGCAGTAAACCAACTGTTTCTCTTCCTCCTTCTCCTCAGCCTACTCAACATGAAGATGACAAGAAGGAAGACCTTTATGATGATCCACTTTTGCTTAGTAAATATATTCTCTCTTCCTTATAATTTTCTTAATAATATTTTCTTTTCTCTAGCTTATTTTAAGAACACAGTATATAATACATGTAACATATAAAATATGGGTTAATTGATCGCTCATGTTATCAATAAGACTGCAGTCACAGTAGGCTATTAGTAGTTAAGCTTTTGGGGAGTCAAAAGTTGTATGTGGATATTTGAAAGCACAGTTGTTCGTGGCCCTAACCCTCTAGTTGTTCAAGGGTCAACATATACATGGCCCAGGTATACCACCAAGCATTGCAGGTTCCCAGAACTCTCTCTGAAGGTAGGACTATTGTAATAAAATATCATCATTTACCAAAGAAGTTGGAGCCTCCAATGTTGTCATGTAGTGTTTTGTACTCTGTTGGAAACAACTTACTCAAATATTCACGAGGGGGATTTAGAAGGCTGATTATAATGGCCTGTGTAAGATTGGTTCAAAGCACTTAGGTGCACTCCCAATAAATGTACAGTGGGGCTGCTACATGAAATAACAAGAGATGAGACAAAGACATGTCTGTTCTATAAAATTAAACTTGTTGATACTTGAGTTCCAGGAGTTAGGAAAGGGTAACCTACCTATAATCACAGTCATTTTAGGTAATATGAGAAACTTAAGTTATAAAATATATTTATTAAATTATGAATTAATATAAAGATGTCAAAAATAGAAGCATTTTCTTCCTAAATGACTCTGCTCACACAGTTTGTTATCAGCTTCTAATGATAACTAGCTTATACCGTAAATTGAAAATTGCATAGCAGAAATCTACAACCCAGTGAGTTAAATGTATTTTATTTATAAATGCTCAGTGAGCAAGGAAAAAACCCAGAGGTATTTAGGAGTCAGAAAATCTGCTTTTCTCCTAGATGTCATAATTGTAACTACAGTACAAAGAATAAATGATAAATGAGACAATGATAGATGAGCATGGTCTGAATTATATTTAGAACCTCAAATATAAACACATCATATTATTTTGTGCCAGGATTATCCCCCCAGCCCAGAGAAGGGAGCCTATTTTTATAAGGTAAATTGAAGAAGAAAAATTGAAGATACTTACAAATAAATAAAAGTGCATGTGGAATTCAAATATGCAAATGATAACAATTCCTTTTGTACACACTGTGGATGGAAGAGGAGAGTAGGTGATCACTGCTGGAATTTATGCTGAGATCTTATACAGTGTAGCATTAGTGGCCACCCTCAGCTCAGGCACACCACAGCTGTTCACTTTAGAGAGCCTGCCACCTCCTCCTCCTTTCCACACCCCCACCCCACCACACACACACAGTAACCCTTCACACTAGCTTTATTTTTTTAAAAAGGCAGAAATGAAGGCAAAACCTTTTTGTGTAAAGAAAAACGCTATAAAGGAGGAGAAAAGCCTGAAGCAGTTACCTTAAAAAAGTTGCTTTAAAAATTAGAATTTCTTTTCCTCCAAACCACTTTTTTTCCAAACGACTTCAAAACACTTACTATGCATTTCAAAGGCAGTCATTATCTATTGTGCATATTGGAGCAGTTGATATGACCCTATTATTTTAGTGAATAAAAACTTTTGTATTGTTTAATTTTCTTTTCCTTGTGCTTGACTTTTGCATTTTGTTGAAATAAATGTATATCTAATTATGCTGCCAGAAAAGTATCATGATCTGCAAAATTTACAAAAAGTATCTAGTACTGAAAAATACTCCCAGTTCCTATTATACAATTGATTTGTGACTAGAAGCAAAATCATATTTGTTTTCATGGTGTAGTGAGCTGAACAGTGCCCTCCAAAAAGATATGTCCATGTACTAACTCTGGGACCTGTGAATATTACTTTATATGGCTAAGGATGTGATTGATTAAATTAAAGATCTTGAGAGGGAGCGTTTATCCTGGATTATTCTGGTGAGCACTAAATGCCACCACATGTATCTTTCTAAGAGAGAGAGAAAGAGGAATTTTTGAAGAGGAGGAGGCAATGTGATCATAAAGGCAGAGACTGGAGTTGTGTGGCTACAGGCCAAGGAACTCCTGAAGCCACCAGAAGCTGGGAGAGGCAAAGAAGAGATTCTGTCCTGGATCTTTCAGAGGGAGTATAAGCCTGCTGACACATTGATTTTGGATTTCGGGCCTCCGGAGCTTTGAAAGAGTAAATTTCCATGGTAGAGCTTGTGGTAATTTGTTATCAGAGGGACAGGAAACTAATATATATGGATTCCTGGAAATAAATATGTTATTAGCTAAATTTCAGATTCTCTAGAAAACAGAGCTCTAGAAAACAGTATAGATGCTTATGTGGGAGGTGCAAGTGGGGTAAGGAGAAAGGGAAGTGAGGAATGGAGGAATTTGAAGCTGATACAGTTTGGATCTTTGTCTCCTCCAAATCTCATGTTGAAATTTGACCCCCAGTGTGGAAGATAGGGCCTAATGGGAGGTGTTGGGGTCGTGGGGGCAGATGACTTGTGAATGGCTTGGTGCTCTTCCCATGGTAACTAGTGAGTTCTTGTACTATTAGTTACTGCAACATCTGATTGTTAAAAAGAATCTAGGAACCTCTCTTCTTTCCTTTGCCCCCTCTCTTGCCACAGAACACTCCTGCTCCCCCTTTGCCTTCTGCCATGAGTAAAATCTTCCTGAAGGCTCACCAGAAGCCAAGCAGATGCTAGTGCCATGCTTGTACAGGCTGCAAAACTGTGAGCCAAATAAACCTCTTCTCTTTATAAATTACTCAGTCTCAAGTATTCCTTTGTAGCAATACAAAACAGACTAATACAAAAGCAATGTGATATGATTGGTTACCATACTGACTACTGCTTATGACCAGCTGCTATGAGATATACGTTGCTCAGCAGATGTTCTAGTTAAACACCTGGACTTCTCTGGAAGGCTGGATGGAGGAATCTTCAGTAGTTCGTGGAAAGGTAAAAGGAAGGAAACTTTATCTGCCTGGCTTCATCCTATCATCTTCTGTTTCCCATGGTTAAGTTCCACTGACAACAATTCGGTTTTGAACGAAGTGATCCAGTCCCTCAGTGATAGATTGGAAAACCAGATTCTGCACTATAAGGTGTGGTATTTCATACATATGCAGAAGTGGAGGGCAAATCAGCATTCATAGGCTTGGCATGTGAGGCATGAAAGCCATTCAGGTTCAATACTTCAATTTGGAGTAAGAGTGGTTATGGATAGCTGATATCCTTGGCATCCTGGTCATAGCAACAGAGGAGGAAATCTCAGCAGCACGCAAAGTTTGTGTCTGATACTCTCTGCAGCCTGGAACAAACTGCTGGGATTCATGATCATTATGGGGAGTGATAGAAACACAACTGAGATAAATTTGGCATTTAGACTGAAGTCTGAGAAAGGTATATTTTAGGATGCCTTCCAGCATAATAGGACATTAAATACAAATTGTTAACTGATAGAGGTCATCACTCAACATGCATTGTTTTTCTAAGTTCTACCATATTATTACATTATTGTCATTAGATCATAGTGGCATACTGATCTTTTTTTCAAATTTTTTCATTGTGGTAAATGTACATAACATAAAATTTATAATTTTAATCATTTTAGTGTATAGTTCAATAGTATTCAATGCATTTATAATATTGTACAACCATCATCACCATCCATTTCCATAACTCTTTTCATACAGTATAACAGAAATTCTGTATCTATTAAACAATAACTCTTCATTATCTCCTCTCTGCAACCTCTTGGCAGAACCTTTGATAACCACCAATCTGATCACAGTGGTGGGCCATCTGGTGCAGCTGCTGCCATCAGGCTGGCTGCAGTGGGGAGGCACCACTGGTGGTGGCAGAAGCAGCTATGGGAGCAGCAGTGGCGGTGGTGGGACCCTGTGACCTGTGTCCCCTGTGCCCCACATCTCTGAGGCAGCCGACTGCCATGCCCCCCACACTTAAATGGCAGGGCAAGACCCACTCCCAGGCCAGAGCCTCCACCACTGCCACAACCCCTCTCCCTGCCGCATCCCGGGAGCCCACGAATACCAAGAGCATAGGGAGGCCCAGGTTCGCAGCTGCAACTTAGGCGGCTGCAGCTGCGCCTGGGAGGGTGAGGTTCCTTCCTGCTCCCAGCTCCTACCAGCACAAAGGCACAGCCAAAGCCACCGCCGAGACTCGTGGGGCTGGCTCTGAGAGCATAGGCTTCGTTTGTGCAGGGTTAGCCCAGGCCACCGTGCTACCTGCACCTTGTCTGCTGCCACTGAGGGGAAAATTCAGCGAGGAGGTGGGCAGTCCCCAGAGCCTGCCCCTGGAAGTCCCCCAGAGCTCACTGCCCTCGGAGCAACCACAATGAGGCCAGGCGGAGTTTCCCGCAGGTGGGGGAGCCATACGGTGGGTCACAGAGGGACAGGTAGAGAGGAGCCCTAAGGTCGAGATGAGCCTGGGGTGGTGCCACGCTCCATGGAGCCGGCAGGAGCTGGGGGCAGGCGGGAACCTCATTCTCGCAGGCGCGGCTGCAGTCACCTAAGTTGCAGCTGTGGACCTGGGCCTCCTTGTGCTGTTGGGAGCCGGAAGCAGGCAGGAGCCCTGCTTGTCAGGGCACTGCTGCAGCCGCCTGGCTGCGGGTGTGGACCCAGGTATCACTGCACTCTTAGGGGCCCAGGAAGGTCTCCCCATTTCCCGCAAAGGCTCAGAGGTGTCTGCACCTGCTGCCTGGCCTCTCCCTACCCGCAGCAACCACTCTGATTTCGGAGCAAGGTTGAGGCCAAGACCGGGCTCTGTTGCAGCCTGGCTGGGTGTGTGTATGCTTGGGGCAGTGCTGACACACCAGCCCCGTGCCACCTTGGCCGCCTCCAGACTTTGGGCACTGCCGATCACAGGAGGGAGGCCTTGGGGGAGCTGAGGGCAGGTCAGTACTGGCCTGCAGGTGCCCCTTGTCACAAACAGCCTGGGCATCATGAACCACAGCAGGAGGCAGAAAGGCTCCTGGTTGGAAGGGGGTGGGTGTCTGGTGAAGCCTTACCTTCCAGCCAGGGAGGGCCTGAAGCCTGGGGGCTGGGCTGCCGGTCCTGTGGACTGGAGTGGGAACTTGTGGCGCTTTTTCTGGGCTGGCCCATGGCCTCCTGCACACACTCCTCCATAGGCACACACTTCCTCCCCTCAGAGGTCCATAAAAAGCTCCAGACTCAGCCGGACCAGAAGAGATGTTGGGACCAGTAGCTGCAAAAAGGAACTGTTCACTCTAGGGTCTCCTCTCTGCTGAGAGCAGGGAGACCATGGGACAACCTGCCTGCAGAGAAGAGCTACCTTCTCTGTGGAGAGCTGAACACTTGCTGGGACACGCTGGCTACAGAAAGGAGCAACCCGCTGCTGGTCTCCTTTGAGTTGTCCTTAATAAAGCTCCTCTTCATCTTGCTCACCATCCACTTGTCTGTGTACCTCATTCTTCCTGGACACAGGACAAGGACGCAGGACTCGCCAAATGGCAGAGCTAAAAAAGCTGTAACACAGTGCTGAAACATGGCCCTTGCTCCACGTGTTGTGGGCAACAAGGATAGAAGAGAGAAGGGGAGAAGAGCTGTGGCCCTTTGGGGAGTCCAGACCTAGGAGTTCCCCCAGTCAGGGCTGTGACACCCTTTTAGGGCTCTGTAGTTCCTGGCATTTCCAAGCTTCTGGGTGTCACCATATTCCCCACTGTCAGCCATGGAAGCTGCTTATGGTATGCCTGGTCCAGCTGCAGCCTCACAGGGAGCCAGTGCCCATGCCTGGCCTGTGCGCAGTGGCCGGACCCCATGCTCCACTCACTCACACACCCCTCAACGCCCTGCTTGCCCTTGGCAGGCACGAAATCCAGGCTGGGAGCATGAGCCAAGCGCAGCCTGCTGGGCGGAGTGGGATCAGTGGGCCAGGGCAAAACTTGGGCAAAGGCACCACTAGCTACAGAGGTTTCCAGCTGGTGAAGCAACACCCCAAAGAGCCTGTGACATTTTTACTTTTTGTCTCTATGATTTAACTATTCAAAATACCTTATATTAGTGGAATCATACAGTAGTTGTTTTTTGTGACTGGATGATTTCACTTAGCATAATGTCCTCAAGGGTTCATTCATGAGGTAGCATATGTCAGAATTTTCCTTTTTTTTTTTTTTTTTTTTTTTGAGACAGAGTCTCACTTTGTTGCCCAGGCTGGAGTGCAGGGGCACAATCTTGGCTCACTGCAACCTCTGCCTCCTGGGTTGAAACAATTCTCCCACCTCAGTCTCCCAAGTAGCTGGGACTACAGGCACATGCCACCATGCCCTGCTAATTTTTTTGTATTTTTAGTAGAGATGGGGTTTCACCAAGTTGACCAGGCTGGTCTTGAACCTCTGACCTCAAGTGATCCACCTGCCTTGGCCTCCCAAAGTGCTGGGATTACAGGCACGAGCCACTGCACCCGGCCTACTGCTACTGCTTTTAATTCTTGTGGGCATATATTCAGAAGTGGAATTTCTGGATTATGAGGCATCTTAGTCCATTTTGTGCTTCTATAACAAAATACCACAGCTGGGTAATTATAATGAACAGAAATTCGTTGGTTCACAATTCTGAAGGCAGGGAATTTCAAGATCTAGGGGCCAGCACTTGGTGAGGGCCTTCTTATGGCATCATACCATAGCAGAAGGACAAAGATAGAATGAGGGAGAGAAAGAGATCAAACTCACGCCTCAAGCCTTTTTATACTTTTTATACTTGGCATTAATCCATTTATAAGGCTGGAGCATTCATAATATAAACACCTCCCGTTTGATCTTACCTCCCAACACTGTTGCATTGGGCATTAAGTTTCTAGCACATGTATTTGGCAGACACATTCATAACACAATATATGGTAATTTCATTTTTAACTTTTTCAGGAACCATCATACTGAGGGACAGTTTTGGCAGATATAGGATTCTTGGTTGCCAGTTTTTTTCTTTTTGCATTTTGCCTATATTGGCCCATTGCCTTCTAGCTTCCAAATTTCTGATGAGAAATCTGGTGCTAAGCTTATTGAGGATCTCTTGTGTATGAGAAATCACTTCTGTCTTTTGGCTTTCAAGATTCTTTCTTTGTATTTGTCTTTTGAGAGTATGATTATAGTGTGTCTCAGTGTGGGTCTCTTTAAGTTCATATTACTTGGAATTTATTCAGTTTCTTGAACGTTTATATTCACGTATTTCATAAAATTTGAAAAGTTTTCTGCCATTATTTTCAGATATGCTCTCTGACCCTTCTCTCTATTCTCCTCTTTTGACTCTCATAATGCATATGTTGGCCCACTTACTGGTGTCCCATAGATCCCTTAAGCTCTATTCACTTTTCTTCAATCTTTTTCACTTCTATTCCTCAGACTTAATAATTTCCATGATCTTATCTTCAAGTTAGTTGATTATTTTTTTGCCTGCTCAAATCTTCCTCTGAGTCCCTCTAGTGAATTTTTTATTTCAATTATTTTACTTTTTCACTCCAGAATTTCTTTTTAGCTTCTTTTTAAGTTTTCTGTCTTTTTCTTGGTATTTCAATTTTGTTTATACATCATTTTCTTATCTTTTCACACATCTTGCTCAAGTACTTTGACCATTTTTAAGACAGTTGTTTTAAAGTCTTTGTTTAGATTATCTGCCTTTAGGTCTTTTGCAGGTACAGCTTATGTTGATTTTCTTAATGTGTCATACTTTTCTATTTCTTTGTATGTCTTGTGATTTTTTTTTTGCTGAAAATTATTCATTAAGATCTAATAGTGTATTAACTCTGAAAATTATATTCTCTCCTTTTTCCAGAATTTGCTGTTTTTGCTATTGCTTTTGGTTATTTTTAAAAATTGTTGTAGGCTCTCTCTATGCCGTCAATCAGCCTAAGATGTAAACTTAATGTCTTTTCAGAGCCTGTGCCTTCCCCTGGCATAATAACTGTCTAATTTTTCCCATGTATGCAATATCTTTGGCATGACCTAGTCTTTAATGTCTGGCTCTCAAAGGAGGAAAAGAAAAAAATAATAAAGTAGAGAGAAAGGCATTAGCTCTTTAAATGCCTTGGAAGTCACTTACACTGGAAGGGGAGAGACTTGTAACAATGAGGGGTGATACAAAAACAATAGCTGCCTGCTTATTTGTACACATCTCTGTGATCAGGAGCAGCAACCAATGATCAGAGCACAGATTCCTAACATGTGGAGGACAGGGTCCTTTTTTACCCACTCTGGCTTCCCCAAATTAAGTGCAGTTTGCTCCAGAAACAGTGCACAGTTGCCTGCCACAGAGCTGGGTTGGGGAATGAGTAGCTGCTCCTGTGCTGAAATTGACCAAAATTAACCAAAATTTACCATCCAAGCCTGATCCTGGAAACCAACAGACTCCAAGATTCCAAAATATTTACATGAGACAGATTCTGCCAAAGCAATTGTAGTCTAGGTGGGAAGACAGATTCCTGGTGCTTCCTCCTCTTCCATCTTTCCAGAATTATCTCACTGGTAAATGTTTAACAACCAATTTCCTCCTAAAAATGTATGGATAGCCATACATACATGAGTTGATTATAAATTTCACTAATATAAAAGATGTGTAGCATATAATTTACAAATAATAATTATATATATTCTTTGTTATACATTTCATACAGATAATTGATTCTCATAGAATGCTTTCTTTGATTTTTGCCAACTCTTGTAGAATTATTGCAATCTATGGCTGCAATTGATAAATGAATGCAGTTCTGACATAAATGTTAGTTGATATTTTCATTTACCTCCATAAGTAATACAAAATGAAACAATGAAGACATATGTTGGAAATTCACTCATTTATTAATGACAGAAATGACTTCTTCACTGAATGAGGTAATAGCTTTCAAATAGTCAGTGAATATTCTCACAATTTTTTGTGCTATTCACAATATAACAGTGATAGTTATGGCACACATTTAAATTTAATCTTCATTATTAACCTTTTTCCCATAATTCTCTTAAATATAGACAATCAGCAAAGCAATAAATAAAGCCATGATTTGTAATGTTTGCCAATTTTAGTGGTGTAAATACTGTCATCATGGCTGATTTCACATGACCAATGTGCTCTCACTGAACATGGAGTTGTAACACAGTATTGTATAGTATTTTTACTGCAGGGATTAAATAGACATAAACTCAATAATATAGATAATAGTAAAATAAAATAATTAGGAAGTGATGCAGTTTGAGTATTTATTATCATTTTAATATAATTTATATTTTATTCAGTTTATATAGGTACACACAAAATTTTATAATTTAATTTTTAATATTGTCTGTGTTTAACCACTAGATTGCAAAATTCCTAAAAATTTTAGTTAATTCTAGCTATATTTTGACATACATAATGGTGCTAAACAAATGTAATATATTCTTATTGAGAATAATGGCAAAAAGGTCCAATTCAAGTATGCTAAAAAACCAGATATTTGGCTTTGGATCTTCAGAATAAAAAAAAAATGTGGATCACATTGAAACAAAAATTTGAATTCTACTTGCTTCACACACACAGAGAAAAATTGTCACCTAGAATTTCCCTTATCTACTGTAAAACATAGCATTAGACATTTTTAGCTTTTCTGAAAGTAATTATAAGCTTTTATTCAGTAAGTTTAATAAGAGTGGTCATTTATTATAAAATGGACAGAAGAGGATAGGAAGATCAAATTATAGTTTTTGGTTTTGGTGTTGTAAAGACACATCTCCTAATTGCATCACACATTTTCTTACTTTTTACTATCGATATATTTATATTGGTTAACCCTTCTAATAATTGCTTATAGTTCTACAGCTCTCTAACATGTTGAAACACTCATTTATTTAACAAATATTGATTGAATGCTTATTAAGTATAGTATGCTATTTCATTTAGGAATAACAATAAGTTTTGTGGAATAGGCAGAAATTTTAACCTCCTTTATACTTGCAGAAACCAAGGCCCAAAGTGGCTTAGTGATTTTTCTCCAAAGTCAGAGATTAGAACTTAAGAAGAACCTTGACCAGCTGGTTTAGCGTTTCTTCTCAGTATCAGTCTGGGTCTGCATAAAAGTTCACTTACGGAAAATTGCTAAATTTTGAAAGACGATCCAGTGTCCTAATTCGTTCAGCTAGTAAAGTTCATTTATTAAATTTTTTAATTGTTTAACAACTATTTATTGAGCTCATATTGTTCGCTGAGCACTGTTCTAGACCCTATGGTTAGAGCTCTGGTTATTCAAAATCATTAGTTGGGATGAAAATAATAACATGCTTGTCCAAAAAAAAAAAAAAATCAGTTGCTCTGTAAAGTCACTGAAACTTTTGAATCTTTGTAGGGTGATAATTTGTATCAAATTCTGCACTGTAATTCTAATAGCTTCTATGATATGACTGGAATTTAGTGTAATAGTAAGGTAGATTATGCTGAATTATGGAGTGTTATATGCCAACATAAACATTTTCTTATTAACTTTATACTATTTTTTTCTGATTAAAAAATGATGCCGTCAGCCAGACTAACGAAAAAAGGGAGAAGACCCAAGTAAATAAAATCAGAGAAGAAAAAGAAAACGTTACGATTGATATTGCAGAAATCCAAAGGATCATTATTGGCTACTGTGAGCAACTATATGCCAATAAATTGGAAAATCCAGTGGAAATGAATAAATTTCTAAACACATACTACCTACTAACACTGAACCATGAAGAAATACAAAACCTAAGCAGACCAATAGCAAGAAACAAGACTGAAACCATAATAAAATGTCTTCCGGTAAAGAAAAGCACAGAATCTGATGGATTTACTGCTGAATTCTACCAAACACTTAAAGAAGAACTAATGCCAATACTACTCAACTATTCTGAAGAATACAGGAGGAGGAACTCTAAACTCATTTGACAAGGCCAGCATTACCCTGATACCAAAACCAGACAAAGATAAATCAAAAAAAGAAAACTACAGGTCAGTGTCTCTGATGAATAATGATGCAAAAATCCACAACAAAATACCAGCAAACTAAATTTAACAATACATTTAAAAGATCACTCATCGTAATCAAGCGGGTTTTATCCCTGGGATACAACAATGGTTCAACATATGCAAATGAATCGGTGTGATACATTATATCAGCAGAATGAAGAAGAAAGATCATGTAATCATTTTAATTGATGCTGGAAAAGCACTTGATAAAATTCAACATCCTTTCATGCTTAAAAAAATTTAAAAAACTGAGTGTAGAAGGAACAAACTGCAACATAATAAAATGTGTATATTACAGACTCATAACTAGTGTTATACAGAAGAGGGAGAAACAGAAAGCATTTTCTCTAAGATCTGTGAGACAAGCATGCCCACTTTCACCACTGTTATTCAACATAGTACTGGAAGTCCTAGCTATAACAATTAGACAAGACAAAGAAATAAAGGGCATTCAAATTGGAAAGGAAGAGGTCAAATTATCCTTGTTTGCAGATAATATAATTACATATTTGGAAAAACCTAAAGACTCCATCAAAAAACTATTAGAACTAATAAACAAATTCAGTAAATTTGCAGGATACAAAATCAACCTATAAAAATCAGTAGCATTTCTGTATGCCTGCAGTGAGCAATCTGAAGAAAAATGTAATCCCACTTAAAATAGCCACAGAGAAAATTAAATACCAGGGAATTAACTTAACCACATAAGTGAAAGATCTCTACAATGAAAACTGTAACATACTGATGCAAGAAATTGAAGAGGACACAACAAAATGGAAAGATATTCCATGTTCATCAATTGGAAAAGTCAATATTATTAAAATGTCCATACTACCAAAAGAAATCTAGAGATTCAATGTAATTCCTATGAAAATACCAATAACATTCTTCACAGAAATATAATAAACAATCCTAAAATTTATATCAAACCACAAAAGACCCAGAATAGCCAAGCTAGTGTGTGCAAAATTAACAAAACTGAAGGAATCATATTACCT
Source organism: Homo sapiens (assembly GCF_000001405.40). Classification (NCBI taxonomy): domain Eukaryota; kingdom Metazoa; phylum Chordata; class Mammalia; order Primates; family Hominidae; genus Homo; species Homo sapiens. The sequence continues at coordinate 95,760,758 of NC_000001.11, forward strand.
GACTTCAAACTATACTACAGACCTATAGTCACCAAAACAGCATGATACTGGCATAAAAACATACACATAGACCGATGAAACAAGATAGAGAACCCAGAAACAAATTCATATGCCTACAGAACTCATTTTTGACAAAGGTGCCAAGAACATACACTGGGGAAAAAGATAGTCTCCAATAAATGGTGCTGGAAATACTGGATATCCATATACAGAAGAATTAAAGTAGACCCTTATGTCTTGCTATATACAAAAACCAAACGAAAATGAATTAAAGACTTAAACCTAATACTTCAGTCTATGAAGCTACTGAAAGAAAACATTGGGAAAACTCTCCAGGATATTGAACTGGGAAAATATCTCCAGGATATTGAACTCCTTGAGTAATACCCACAAGCCCAGAAAAAAAAAAAAAAAGGAAAATGGGATCACATCAAGTTACAAAGCTTCTGCATAGCAAAGGGAACAATCAAGTGAAGAGACAACCCACAGAATGGAAGAAAATATTTGCAAACCATCTGTATTAGTCCATTTTCACACTGCTGATAAAGACATACCCGAGATTGGGAAGAAAAAGTCTTAATGGACTTACAGTTCCACATGGCTGGGAGGCCTCACAATCATGGTGAAGTGAAAGGAGAAGCAAGTCACATCTTGTGCAGGGAAACTCTCATTTTTAAAACCATCAGCTCTCGTGAGACATATTCACTGTCTCAAGAACAGCACAGGAAAGCCCTGCCCCAATAATTCAATTATCTCCCACTGGGTCTGTTCCACAGCATGTGGGAATTATGGAAGCTGCAAGATGAGATTCGGGCGGGGACACAGAGAATCAAACCATATAATTCTGCCCCAGACCCTTCCAAATCTCATGTCTTCACATTTCAAAACCAATCATGCCTTCCCAACAGTCCCCCAAAGTCTTAACTCACTTCAGCATTAACTCAAAAGTCCACAGTCCAAAGTCTCATCTGAGACAAGGCAAGTCCCTTCACCTCTGAGCCTGTAAAAATCAAAAGGAAATTAGTTACTTCCTAGATACAATGGGGGCACAGGCAGTGGGTACAAGCATTTCTCCCATTCCAAATGGGATAAATTGGCCAAAACAAAGGGGCTACAGGCCCCGTGCAAGTCCAAAATCCAGCAGGGCAGTTAAATCTTAAAGCTCCAAATGATCTGCATTGACTCCATGTCTCATATCCAGGTCACGCTGAAGCAAAAGGGGGATTCCCATAGTCTTGGACAGCTCTGCCCCTGTGGCTTTGCAGGGTATAGCTCCAGTCCTGGCTGCTTTCATGGGCTGGCATTGAGTGTCTGTGGCATTTCCAGGTGCACAGTGCAAGCTGTCAGCAGATTTATCATTCTGGGGTCTGGAGGAAGGTGGCCCTCTTCTCACAGCTCCACTAAGTGGTTCACCAGTAGGGACTGTGTGTGGGGGCTCCAACCCCACATTTCCCTTCTGCACTGCTCTAGCAGAGTTTCTCCATGAGGGCCCCGCCCCTGCAGCAAACTTCTGCCTGAGCATCCAGGCATTTCCATACATCCTCTGAAATCTAGGCAGAGGTTACCAAATCTCAATTCTTGACTTCTGTGCACCCACAGGCTCAACATCACATGGAAACTGTCAAGGCTTGGGGCTTTCACCCTCTCAAGCAACAGTCCAAGCTGTACCTTGGCCCATTTTAGCTATGGCTGGAGTAAGTGAAACACAGGGTACCAAGACCCTAGGCTGCACAGAGCAGGAGTCCCGAGGCTCTGGCCAAGAAACCATTTTTCTCTCCTAGGTCTCCAAATCTGTGATGGGAGGGGCTGCCATGAAGACCTCTGACATACCCTGAAGACATTTTTCCCATTGTCTTGGTGATTAACATTTACCTTCTCATTACTTATGCAAATTTCTGCAGCCAGCTTGAATGTCTTCTCAGAAAATGGGATTTTCTTTTCTATCTCATTGTCAGGCTGCAAATTTTCTGAACTTTTATGCTCTGCTTCTCTTATAAAATCGAATGTCTTTAGCAGCACCCAAGTCACATCTTGAATGCTTTGCTGCTTAGAAATTTCTTCTGCCAGATACCCTAAATCATCTCTCTCAAGATTAAGGTTACACAAATCTCTACAGCAGGGGCAAAATGCCACCAGTTTCTTTGCTAAAGCATAACAAGAGTCAGCTTTGCTCTAGTTCCCAACAAGTTCTTCATCTCCACCTGAGACCACCTCAGCTTGTATTTCATTGTTCCACATCATTATCAGCATTTTGGGCAAAGCCATATAACAAGTCTCTAGGAAGTTCCAAACTTTCCCACATTTTCCATTCTTCTTCTGAGCTCCCCCAGACTGTTTAAACCTCTGCCTGTTACTCAGTTCCAAAGTCACTTCCACATTTTCAAGTATCTTTTCAGCAATTCCCCACTCTATTGGTATCAATTTACTGTATTAATTCATCTTCTTGCGGCTGATAAAGACATACCCAAGACTGGGAAAAAAAGGGGTTTAATTGGACTTACAGTTCCACATGACTGGGGAGGGCTCACAGTCATGGCAGAAGGCAAGAAGGAGCAAGTAGCCTCTTACCTGGATGGTGGCAGGCAAAGAGAGAGTTTGTTCAGGGAAACTCCTGTTTTTAAAACCATTAGATCTCATGAGATCTCACTATCACAAGAACAGCACAGGAATGACCTGCCCCCATGATTCAATTATCTCCCATCGGGTTTCTCTCACAACACATGGGAATTATGGGAGCTACAAGATGAGATTCGGGTGGGGAGACAGAGCCAAACCATATCACTACCAATCTGATAATGGATTAATAACCAGAATATAGAAGGAGCTCAAACAACTCTATAGGAATGCTCTAGGAATTTGTTACTATAAATTCCAATAATCCAATTAAAAATGGACAAAATATTTGAATAGACAATTCTCAAAAGAAGACATACAAGTGGCAATAGGCATATGAAAAGGTGCTCAGCAGCACTGATAATCAGAGAAATGCTAATCAAAACTACAGTGATATATAATCTCACCCTGGTTAAAATGGCTTTCATCCAAAAGACAGGCAATAAATGCTGGTGAGGATGTGGAGCAAAAGAAACCCTTGTACACTGTTGGTGGGAATGTAAATTAGTACAACCACTAAGGAGAACAGTTTGGATGTTCCTCACAAAACTAAAAATAGAGCTACCATATGATACAGCAGTCCCACTGCTGGGTATATACCCCAAAGAAACGAAATCAGTATTTTGAAGAGATATCTGCATTCCTATGTTTTTCGCAGCACTGTTGACATTAGTCAAGATTTGGAAGCAATGTAGATTTTCATCAACAGATGAATGGATAAGAAAATGTGGCACTTATACATAATAAAGTACTATTCAGCCATAAAAAAGAATGAGATCTTGTCATTTGCAACAACATGGGTGGAACTGGAGGTCATTATGTTAAGTGAAATAAGCCAGGCATAGAAAATCGAACATCATATGTTCTCATTTATTTGTGAGATGTAAAAATCAAAACAATTGAACACATGGAGACAGAGAGTAGAAGGGGTGGGGAGGGGAGGTGGCGATGGTTAGTGGTTAATAAATAAATAGAAAGAATGAATAAGGCCTAGTATTTGATAGCACAATGGGGAGACTATAGTCAAAATAATTGTCCATTTTAAAATAACTAAAAGAGTATAATTGGATTGTTTCTACTACAAAGAATATATTCTTGAGGAGATGGATACCACATTTACCCTGATGTGATTATTACATGTTGCATGCCTATATCAAGATATCACATGTACCCCCCAAACTGGGCACGGTGGCTCACACTTGTAATCCCAGCACTTTGGGGGTCTGAGGTGGGCAGATCACCTGAGGTCAGGAGTTTGAGACCAGCTTGGCTAATGTGGCAAAACCCTGTCTTTACTGAAAATACAAAAATTAGCCAGGCATGGTGGCAAACACCTGTAATCCCAGCTACTTGGGAGGCTGAGGCATGAGAATTGCTTGAACGTGGGAGGCAGAGGTTGCAGTGAGCTGAGATCATGCCACAGCACTCCTGCCTGGGTGATAGAGGGAGACTGTCTCAAAAAAAAAAAAAAAAAAAAAAAAAAAAAAACTCATGTACCCCATAACTATGTGTGTCTACTATGAATCCACAGAAATTGAAAATGAAAAAATAAAAATAAAAGTAAATTATGCCATATGCTTATGGTCAAAAATTGTATAAATGTAGAAGAGAAGCAATAACAAGAACAAATCAGCTTTTTTACCCTAACATCTATATGTGATCCATTGTTAATATTTTAATGTTTCCTTTCATACACACAATACATACACACATATATATGTATATTATGTAACTGTCATTATATATATATATATAATTCATTTATATAAAGTCATGCATCACATAATGTTTCAGTCAATGATGAATTGAATATAAACAGTGGTTCTATAAGATTATAGCAAAGCTGAAAAATTCCTATGCCTAGTGATTTGTGCTACAAATTCCTACAGTATTCAGTCCATTAACATGCTGTGCAGGTTTGTAGCCTAGGAGCGATAGGCTATACCATGTAGCCTAGGTGTGTGGTAGGCTCTAATATCCGGGTTTTTGTAAGGAAGTTATACTCCATGATGTTCGCATAATGGCAAAATCACCTAATGACACATTTCTTAAAATACATCCCCATCATTAAGGGACACATGAGTATACCACCTTTAACATAAATAGTATAAAACACAAATATTTTTTAATGTCATCATATATGCTTCAAAGACAACCTTTATGTACTTGTGTAATATTTAATCGTGTAGATTTACTATAAATTAACTTAGCCAGACATTAAGCTATTTTCAATGTTTTATTATTATAAGTAATATGATACTAAAATATGTATCATAGCTTTTTAAAAACTTTTGATTATTTTCTCATGCTATTTGTGGAAAATAAATTTTAAGTCCACAACTCGTGAATTTTTAAAGGCTCTTGGTACCTATTTCAAATTTTTTTTTTCAACAGCTTAAACCAAATTGCTTTCCCAGCAATACAGCGTAGGAGTGTGGATTTCCTTGCATTCTTGCCTACGCTGAACATTCATTTCACAAAATATTTCCACTTGGTAGATAAAAGATATAACATGGATTTGATTTGCTTTTCTTTGATTACTAATAAACTTTATTTTATAAGATTATTTGTCCTTTCTCTGTCTTTTAAAGTTATTGTTTCACTGCCTTTGCTCATTTTATTTTTTTAAGGGTCTTTTTAGTTATTTTAAACTTTTTTTTCCTATTCTGGAACCTATAGAAAAATTTTGAGCAGGGAGGTGATATATGATCAGATCTGTTTTCTTTTTCTACTTAACAGTGTAAAACATTTTGAATAAAACATATGGGGATAAATTTAAGCATATTTACATAGTACTAGTCTCACATGTATGCATTTCTCCCTTTTTAAATAAATTAAATTAAAATTTTTAAGCTGCCAAGTGGCACAGACTGGCAATATACATACTCCTTAAGTTACACAACAGTCAAGCAGCTAAAGTCACGATTTATGTATGTGTGCCCAATTAGAAAAGAGGCTGGTGCCAAGATAATCACAAATTTGCCATAAACTAAAGTTCATTACTGTTACATGAGAAAAGATATTGGAAGAACTTCTTTTATTTGTTCCAGTTGTCCTAGAAAAGAAAAAGGATTATGAGAAACATTTCATATGAAAGCACAGCTAACATTTATTAAATGCTGACTAAACATGTAACACTTAAATACATGTATTAAGTAATTTAATCTTCACAACAATCTATGAAATAGCTCCTGTCTTTCGTTCCATTTTATGGATTAAGAAACTGAGGCACAAGGCTGGGCGCGGTGGCTCACTCCTGTAATCCCAGCACTTTGGGAGGCCGAGGCAGGTGGATCACGAGGTCAGGAGATGGAAACCATCCTGGCTAACACGGTGAAACCTCTTCTGTACTAAAAATACAAATACCAAATTAGCCAGGCATGGTGGCGGGAGCCTGTAGTCCCAGCTACTCGGGAGGCTGAGGCAGGAGAATGGCGTGAATGCAGGAGGCGGAGCTTGCAGTGAGTCGAGGTCACGCCACTACACTCCAGCCTGGGCGACAGAACGAGATCCATCTCAAAAAAAAAAAAAAAAGAAAAAAAAAAAGAAACTGAGGCACAAGTTCAAGTGACTTTCCCAAGGTGATTTAATAAGTAAGTGATAGAGCTGGGTTTTGATTCGAGGCAAACTGGCCTTGGAATTTATACAACCTCCTTGCTAGTAGCCTTTTGATTTCAATTCCATTTAACCTTTCAATTCAATTTAACTGCATTTACTGAACAGCTGCATACTAGACACTGTAAACAACTTATGGAGAGAAAAGATAAATAAGGTATAGTTCCTTATTCTAAAAGTGCAGACAAATGAAGGTGACATGCCCATAAAGAGTGGCAAATAATGTGGAAAAGGCAGAGGATTTTACGGAAGCAGAAGGGAAGTGTACTACATTTAGTCTCTGAGAGATAATATCTGAGCTGGGGTCAAAGAATGAGGAGAAGTTAGTCAGGTGAAGAAAGAGAAACAACAATTTGAGTAGATGTTGACAAATGTTGTCAATACCTCTTATGAGTTAGTTTTGTGCTGAAAGCTGGAAATAAAACACTGAACAAATCAGAAAAGTTTTCTGCACTAAAAATGAGTGTATGTCAGCTACTAAATTAGAAATCAAGAGGATATAGATTGTGAACAATACTACGAAGAAAGCAAATGAGAAAACAAGGTACTAGAGAGAAAAAAACTGGGAATGGGTTTTAAGTGAGGTGCTCAGGTAAGGACTGTCTACGAGCTAGTCATGTGGAGATCCAGAGAAAACCAGATCTCCACGTGAGAGGCCACAGCAAAAGTAAAAGCTCTAACATAGAAAAGAGTTTAATATGTTCTGGAAGGTGAAAGAAAGCCAAAGAGGGTATAGCACAGTGAGCAAGAAGTGGCAGAGGATGCCTGAGATATCGGCAGAGCCAAATTTTACAGCCGCTTGTAGGTGGTAGTAAGGAGATTATATTTATCTTATGTGCATTAGAGAGTTATTGACAGGCTTTGAAGCCGGGGTCACTACATCATCTCATTTCTCATTCAGGCTGTTTGCGGAGAGAATGGATTAAGCAGGGCACAAGCAGAAGCTGAGAGATCTTCAAGGAGGCCTTGGTTGGTGGTCCAGCTGAAATATGGTGAAGAAACAGATGCCATACTAAGGAACTTGAACTTTCTTTTGCAAGTGATAGAGGCTCCTGGAGAGTATTTTAGCAGGGAAGTTACGCGACATAAATTGGGGTTTAGATAGATCACTTTATTAAAGTTATGGAGAACTGAGGGAAACAAAATCACTTGTCAGAAAATTTTTCCAGCACATTGTGGATACATAACAGAATTTATATGTGTGATTATAAATACGTATTTTTTTTCCAAATGAGGCTTTCTTTCTGGAGATACAGAAGACTCTCAAAAGACATTATAAACATGTAATTTGACTTCTTTCTCTCTTTCATGAGGACTCAGGTCTTGACAGAGTACTTCCAAAGTAGATTTTTGTCATCTCTTAGGGTTAACATCTAGATTTCTGCTTCAGAGAGGAGCTGATGTGACTGCAGCAGAGAGGAAAATGGTGAAAGAGAGCTGTTATATAATTGTCTCTTCCCTGTTTAGTGGACAAAGTGTCAGATGACTCTCTAGCAATGATCATGAGGCCCTTGACAATCTGGTCACCATTATCCTTCATTTGTAATTTGAATGCTAGGTAAAGGGGACCCCTGCCCTGGACCCCTGCTTTGGACCCCACATGTTAAATTTGTCAGATAGCATGAATGCAGTTGATGCTTTCATAAGAAAGTATTGCTTCCCAGGAGTTCTGAGCATCTGTTTTGCTTCTCTTTGCCTTCCAGTTTGTACTTCTGGAAGCACTCATATGTAGTGCTGAGCTCACTACAGTTGTACACAGCAGCCAAGGAGCATTTTTCAAGGTTAAACAATTCAACTTACTCTTATATTTGTTATATAGAGGTTTAGGTGTAACATGTATGAAGCATGATACCAATTCTTTTCATTGGCAAAGAGGTGGACACAAAAACTAGAATTGTATAAGGTTCAATTTTTGGAAAAACATTTAATAATATTATTAAAATTTAAATTTTTTGAAATTAAATAATGAAAATGCTCATTTTAATGATAGCTTTTAATTTTAATTAAATATATTTCATTAAAATACTTTTAAACATCAAATACAATTTTCAACTTTAAATATTTTTATTAAATATTTGAATATTTGGTAAAATATATTTGATAAATGATATACTAAATATTTTAACTAAATATATTTAATATATCAATATTAAATATTTGATTATGTATTTGATGAATATCAGTGAATTTTTTAATATCAAATAGTTGAATATCAACGTGATTTGTTCACCAACTACAATTTTATTTTATCTTTTAATTTTAATAGATAATTTTTAATATTTTAAAATATATTTTTATATTTTAAACTTTGTTAAGTTTAAGTAATTTTTATTTTTATATTTGTTTAGTTTGTGCTGTTGATGAAATACATCTAATATTTAATATTTTGAATATAATTATATTTTATTTGTTGATTCTGTAAGTTGCTATTAATGGAAAACAAGTACGTAAAAGCTTGTTTATAACAACACAGTGATTTTGCTGAATTGAAAGTAAGAAAATACCATAAAATAAATATATAATAATTTATGAATTGTCTTTATTTTATGACTCATACAAACATTGCTGGTCCATCCCCAGAAATGTCCAATAGTAATTAAAGTTAATTATCTGTGTTTTTTTGCCCAATTTTAGTAATATAAAGCTATACCTTTATATATATCTTCCAATTATGTTGTTATAAAGATACATTTGCAAAGTAAGAGATGGTATATTTTTTAGCTTGATTTATAATTTTTACATATTTAGACATGATACAGGGGCCTCCATGCATCCTTGTCCTAGGCATGGCAAATGTTAGAGGAGGGCCTGTTGATACTCACACACATTTCTGCTATATGGAGGCTTCACAGCTGCCTGAAAAACTCTGCTCCTTCCCTCTCTTCTGCTTAGTTCACTCCTCTTCATCATTCAGTGTTTGGCCCCAATGTCAGTATTCTCTGATCCCTGAATCTAGACTTAGTCACTCTCTCCTCAGGAGTCCCACTACACTTTTCATGTTTTCTTATGATTATCCATTTACATGGGTCCAAGCCTTCTCCTTTACTGTGAGCTCTTTGAGGCCAGGCATTCCTCATTCATCTCAGTATTATTAATGCTTGTCACAGAGCCTGGCCTATAGCCTGTGCCCTCCATAAGTGTTTGAGGGAAAAATGAACACTCACACCCACTCTCCATCTGTAGAGAAGTGCTTGTGTTCACACATTGCATTTGCTCTTGTGTGATGAGACATACTGCATATACCCAAATATATACACACTCTCCCACATATACAGATTTTTTGGAACATGCTTCCCAAATCAAACAATACATTTGTGTCATACAGACTTTTAAAAATCTGATCTTATTTCCTTTTCAAGTTGAATGCATATCTTTCTCTTCCTACTCTTTGAGCTGCTAATACTAAGTTGACATGATCATATATTCTTAAGATTGAGAGCACTTGCTTTTTTTTTTTTTGCTAATGTTATTATTGTTTTAACTACTTAAACAGTTTTTATTTTTTGCAGATCAGCTTGTTAACACTGTATAATAACAATGTAAAAAGAAATATCTTGCAGTTTGGGTCATAAGTGAAAGACATTTATTTAAAAAATCTTCAAATGAGATTATTCCAGAACTTTTCTCTACAACAATGAGTATTGATACCAAACATACTCCCCTGTGCAAAACAATTCTTTGACCAAGCTTACTTTCCTATTTTCATGCTAAACAATATTGGGGCCAGGCAAAAATAATTTAGCTTCTTGCTTCAGGAAATGCCTGCTCCTAGAAGATAAGACTGGAACCAACTAAGGAGATTACTTATCAAGACTAACAGCTTGTTCATCAAGAACTCTTTCAAGACTCTCCCCTCATTGTGCCCACCAATCCCGGTCTATTCTATCACAAAATCTGCAGAATCCCAATCAGTATGCCTTTTTGCGAGACTTGCCTTAAAATCACCCTCTACACTCTGTAAATACCCTCCCCTGAAATCCTTCTTCTCAGCTCAGACACTACTAAGACTGTATTATCATGATAAAGTTCTGCTTTACTGTGTTACATCTAATAAATTTAGTTTTTCTTGATAGACAGTTTTTCTGGTGAAGTTTTTAGGGATGAAACATTTGAAAAATCCTCTAGATTCTACCAAAATATAGTGTCTCAAGACCCTGGAATTGGATTAGCATGCTCCCCAAAGACCCCTTGAGCTTCCTGTCTACAGTGTCTCTGATTGCAGTGGATAATAGATTCCTTAGTGGGTCAGAGCTGTGATTAAAAAAAAAAATTCAGCTCCCAAATATTTCCTGGGAATAAGAAATCTTTGTTTCTGAATTCTTTGATTATCTGATCAGAAGTGAAATCTTTTTTCCTTTGAGAAAAGCTGTCTTGTGACTAAAAACACTGCTGTTTGTCTTTTGGTTTGTCTGTCCTCAACACTTTCTGCTGAATGTATGTAAGAAGATGATCAAAAAAAGAAGATGGGTGTAGGTTTGAGGAATTCATCTCTTGAGTAGTTCAAAAGTTCTCCTTATGTCAGGCTTCTTATAAGGCAAACTTTACCTTGGGTTTCCTATTAAACTCTTATGAGACCTTTCCTCAGTCTTGTCTTATTTTATCCATGAGCATTTGGGTCAAGGCAAGTTTTCTACTCCAAATCTTCCATTTGAAATTGGCGGTGGCTAACTATTAGGTTAGGGTGTGATGGGTAGTTTTATGTGTTAGTTTGATTGAGCTAAGAAATGCCCAGATAGTTGATAAGACATATTTCTGGGTTTGTATATGAGGGTGTTTCTGGAAGGGATTAACATTTGCATCAGTAGACTGAGTAAAGGAGATCACTCTCATCAGTGTGGGTGGGTCTCATCCAATTAGTTGAGGGCCTGAATAGAACAAAAAGGCAGAAGAAGGACAAATTCTCTCTGTTTTTGAGCTGAGACATCCATCTTCTCTTGATCCAGTACATCAGCACTACTGGTTCTTGGGCCTTCAGACTCTAATAACGTATTCTATTGGCCCCTGGCTCTCAGAGCCTCAAACTCAGATTTACTATTGGCTCTCCAGTTTCTCAGGGATTTGGATTTGGGCTGGAACTACACCACCAGCTTTCTGAGTCTTCTAGCTAGCAGAGCAGAGATTATGGGATTTCTCAGCCTCCATCATTGCATGAACCAATTCCTCATAATACATCTCCCTATATGTATTTACGTATATTCTGTAGGTTCTGTTTCTCTGGAAATTTAATACAAGGAACAGTGGGCATAAGCAAATTATCCAGAATACCATGGCTTTCATGAGGCTGTCTCAGTCCAAGTCCATGCTCCAATGCAGCTGGGGAGATCCCAGTGTGAAAGGCTCATGGGACCTCAGGGGAGAATTATCTTTTATGTAAAGGTCCTTGAGGCCCTGGACCTCAGAAGAGTGTTGGGAAATTTGCTTCTATCATGTATTTTCACTATAGTTTGTTTGTTTGTACATTTAAGTGGAATAATTTTACCAAGGATAATTTAGAATTACAGTGGCTATTTTGACGAGCATTTAATTTGAACAAAACTATTCATTTGAGAGATATTTTAGAAAAAGAATGGTCTGCAATTTTCATTGACATAAGAACCTAGCAAAAGAAATTTAGTTTCTCAAATTGATGCTTTCAAAAGATTCCTTAGCCATGGCAAATGAGAAATATAAAAACCTCAAAACTATTTTTCTTAGACCCTCCTGAACTTCCATCTGAATATAACTGCCTTTATTCCACTCTTCCTCCTTCCTAGGCTCCTACATTACCCTTATTCCCACCCCTTCCGTTGACTCATCTCCTTTCCCTTCTAGCCAAGAAGAAACTCCCAAATCTCAAATGTTTTTTAGAGTTAAACCCACTTCAGAACAGATCAAGTTCTATTGTGGTTGACTTTAAGCCCTGATCTTTGTCTGAATTGAAAGCGATTGTTAGCTACTTTCTAAAGCATACACACAAAATAGAGACAGAAATTTACAACAGAATTTGGAGTTGTTCTATTAGTAGATTATTTAGAGATCTCAGATTTACATCATTTGGCTCATATATTAATAGGAATCTCATAGGCAAAAAAAGAGGAATAAAAATTGAATGGAAAAGTCAGAATGGGGAGATTCTGAGTGACCTAATAGACCTTGAATTGTAGGGAAGATTAGAGGGGTTAGAAAAGCTGTAGATGTAGAGCAAGAGCTGTAAGATGCCATCCTCAAAGTCTGTTCTGTAAAAATAGATTGTACTGTAATCTTGTTCTACAGGCAAAGAAAGGATGAATCTACTGGTGACTTCAGGAGTAGGCTTTTTAACACCTTTATACAGCGTTCAGGAATAGATCCAGGAGCAGATGTGACCCTAACTCTATCTTCAGTTTCTTTGAACAACTTTAAGCCAGAACCAGGGGATTTAATATGAAAGCAAAAACAGGAATGGGAAGTAGCTCTGTTGCCTGGTCTCTAGTCATTCACTCAACATCTTGAAATAGCCTTAAAACACAATTGGAATAAGGTGTAGTATGAATTGGTGGTCTCACACATAAAGAAACTGCACGTTCCCTACTCTATCACAAGAACATGGGTAGAGAGTTATTAATAAAGACACCTGTAAACAACGTAAGCAGAAAAAAAATGATAAAACAATTGCACTGTGGTAGTTAGAAACTGAAGGAAAATATTGAAGTGGGTAGACACTGAAAATGCTCCAAAGGGAAATTCAGCATTTATTTTCCCATTTTTACCCTCAAATTTACAAGTAGAAATTTCTGCAAATGTTAAAGGACAACCTGCCAGATTGTTTATCGATACCACAAACCCTGCCACCAGTACACAACCTTTCTCTTAGAATCAAGAAACTAGTAATCTCTAGGTATTTCTTCATCTTAGTCTATAACCACCACCCTTCGACTTTTAACCAAATAACATTTTTTCCCCTTCTCTGTGATACCACATCTGTGAACTTAACAGGGAAGGATCTAGTGGGCAAACGAAATGTTTAGATTAAGTGTTCCACTGTTGACCTCTTGAAATCCTGAGGATTCTCCTAGTCATAATCAGATAATAACTAATTGAGATATTGACATACTGGTTTCTTTGCTTCTTAAATAAGTCCAATATGAAAATCTTCTCCATATATAAGACTACTTGTGAAAAAAAATTCCACTTATTTTGGCAAAATTATTGCTGCCGGCTATGTTCTGGATGTTTGTGTCCCTCTCAGATTCATATGTTGAATTCTAATCACCAAGGTGATGGCATCAGAAGGTGGGCCTTTGGGACATGACTGTGCTCTGATAAAAGAGGCTCTTAGACCTGCCTTAACCTTTCTCCCACGGGAGAACACGGTGAGATGGTGCCTTCTATGCACCAGGAAACAGGCCCTCGCCAGACACTAAATTTGTCAGCACCTTGATTTTGGATTTCCCAGTCTCCTGAACTGGAGAAATGATTTTCTATAGTTTATCAGCTACATATTTTAGGGTTTTTTGCTATGGCATCCCAAAAGGACTAAGACAGTGCCCAAAGCATCAGGGTTCAGATCGATCCACACAAATCTTGATACAAGTTTGCACAATACTGTTTAAAGCCAGAAACTCAAAAGGCTAAAACCAGTAGTTAAAAGACTACTAGAGAAAAGTCTCTTTATACCTAGTACCATTCTTGTAATTTTCCTTACCTCCCAGTTAACGAACGCTAAAGAAAAGGACATAGATTCATCCAGGACTTCAAGGCCATAAACAAAATAATCATTCTCTCTTCTCTTCCTTGTGGTTGTGAACCCATTTATGTGTTACTTGAAGATACATTTTTTTTTTCTTTTTTGAAGTTATAGATCTGTGTTCTGCCATCTTTACTTTCTTTAGCTGTTTGCCTCTTCCTGGGGAGTTGAAAATATACCTGGGCTCTCTCATTTTTGGCAAAGATGAGTTAGCCCTCCATCCTCCTCACAACTAAAAAAACATGGATGTAACAAAACAAACAGATTGTAAAATGCAGAACGAGAGTAGATTGCCTAGGGACCTCTTGACTTGAGGAATGACATGGCAGCTGATCATGTGGTTTTTATTGTTGCCTCCCATATATTTCCTAAAGGGAGCTTCAAAGATCTCCATCCCAGAGCCACCAACAGGTTTGTTGTCCATAGCTAAAGGACTGAGAAAAAGGTAGCCTAACAACAGAAAACTATTTTGGCAATACCTGCCATATGCCAAATAAACACCAATAAATACATTGCATTCCTCCCTGCAGTTTCAGTGGAACTGAACAGAAAGCTGGTGTCCCTTGACATCCTCCTACCCTGTGGAAGTAAGTTCAAGTTGTGATATGCAGATTCCTCTGCTGTCAGCAGACAAAGTGGAGACCTAATCTATCCCTTTCCAGGTAGAAGTCCTACTTGCAGGTAGTCCTTCTATCTGTCTGGTGGAAGCAGACTGTGCTCTGATATTACCCCCAAGCCAACAGGGTCGGATGGTAAGCTGAGACTTCACACCCACCCAGCAACAATGAGACATAATGAGGAGGTGCAAGGAGATAGTCACCACTATACTTCACCATCCACCCTCAGGATTCATGGAGCCCAGCCAGTAGCTGAGCCTTCATGTTCTCCTGGCATCCATGAGACTATACGAGGTGGTATGAGTTGAGGCTAGTCTACCAGCACTCCACTGTCACCTCACTTTTGGTGTCACAGGAGCCCTATGGAGCCCAAACTTCCACACCTACCTGGAGGCAACGAGGCCAAACAGGGCAGTATGAGGCAGAGCTAGTTGGCACTCTGGTTCCTCTGCCTACCCCAGTGTCAGTGGGTCCCAGTGGGGAGCTGAGCCTATAGTGTTCAAGAACATTGAACAATGCAATGCACATGAAGTAGGCTGATCAATATTCTTCTCTCCCCATCCTGTGCAGAGCTGAGCATACACTTCCACCTGGATCAGTAAAGAAAAATGAGGTGATGGATGGTGGGCTAAAAGTTGGCATTTTTTCCCCAAAATGGAAGAACCCAGGTATTTTTTTGACTCCCCAGGGAGTGACAAACAGCTAAAGGCAATAAAGATGGCAGAACACAAATACACATACATTGTTGTAATTTCATGCCAGTAACTTTTGTTGTGCCCTGGAAGAAGTGTGGTGCTTTAATAAATCCTGAAATACGTGGCATTGATGTTGTGATTAGGTGGCAGGCAGAAGCCTGGCAAGGCTCAAGGAGGTTGCCAGCAAGGGCACAAAGACCTGAAGGTTGTGGCAGAAACTGTCATTGCAGTAACATGGAAAAGAGGAAACACAGCCAATAAACTCAATGGTATAGTAAGGAGATTTCCACGCAGAGTGCTCAAGAAACTGTGGATTTTTCTAGCTGCTTATAATAAAATGTAGGAAGACAGAAAATAAACTATTCAGTCTTAAAGTTGGATTTAAAGGAAAAGTAGAGGCTCCAGATATTCTTTCTAGCCAGCAGAAGGTTCTCAAAGTAAGAAATATCCTATGGCAAAGATCAAATTCAGGGTGTTACCTAGAAAAAATAAAGCTGAAAATATGGCTAGTAAAATCCCTTATTAAAATCTTAGAAACACTTAAATCAGCACCTCAAAGACTCTTTCAAGAAGACCAAATGTCTTCTAATGATAGTATATGTATGCTTCACACATTCTCTCCAATAAGTAATAGGAGAATTCCAAGGTCATTGTTCTACAACCACTCTGAAGAAGACCCAGGGAGAGAACCTATTCTGAAAAGATTTGTGGGTGTGGTTTTGTTTAATAGTGTGGAATATAAATCAACTTGTAAGAAGCCCAAAAAGTCTTTAAAAGAATTATAACAGCTTGGAGAGAAAAGGATAGGGACATTACAAATTAAAAAGTAGCCTTTGGGCTCTTGAATGTCTATAAGTAAGAAGCAGGTTGAGAAAATTACTTAACTGCAAACATAAGCTATTTCTGTGGGAAGGAAAGCAGACCAGAGGGCAGAGCCAAGAGATGACAGAGTGATTCCCAGGGAGTTATTACTTGTCCTTAGTCAAGGAACTGGCCTCATGTGCCCTGCTTGTCTCTAAATTGTGTGGATCAATTATTGTGTACCTTCTACCTGTCCCTGTTTTTGAATAGGAATTACGATGCTTGTTCAGCTAATGTACATTTGGCGTGTGTAGAGCTAATAATTTGTCTTTCTTGTTTATAGGTTTTTAGATCAAAAAGAATTGTACTCAAGGAATTGAAGCTATGGAGCCTCTGCCACATCTGGACCTGATTTTGATGACAAGATCCTGTACCTCAAGCCCGAGACTAATTTCATAATTTGATGAATCTTTTTGGAGAGTCATGGGAGGAATGTAAACAATTTGTGGCCAAAGGAGAATTATGGTAGTTTGAAGATGTGGATACAAATTATTTGACATTCTTCTCATAGAAAGGTGATGCTTATGTCTCCACCCCTTGTAAACAAGCTGGCTTGTGACTTTGACCTATAGTGTATGGTGGGAGTGATGCTGTGGAACTGGAATTACTAGCATCAGGAAACCTACTTGCTACAGACCCAACAACGTGCAATGATCAGATCCCAATTTAGACTGTAAAAAGACCAATATCAGAGACTAAGAACTGAGATCAAACATACCTTCTTCCTGTACCAAACAGTTCTGGGGCCAAATATTGTCTACTGTCTCTATGCTAACTAGTACTGAAACCAGGCAAAATTAACTACTTAGCCGCTTGTTCCAGGAAATACCTGCTCTCGGAAGAAATAAGTTAACCCACCTGTATTAGTCTGTTTTCTGCTGCCATAACAGAACATTACAGACTAGATAATTACTTTGAAAAGTTTATTTGACCCACAGTTCTGGAAGCTAGGAAATCCAAGAGGATGGCACTGGTGTCTGGTGAGGGTCATGTTATAGTGGAGGAGTGGAGGATGGAAGCAAACACATGAGACAGAGAGAGAAATCAGGCCAGACTTACTTCTCTAACAAACCCCATCTCAATAACTAACTCATTCCTATGATAATAGCATTAATTATCTCATGAAAGCCCTCATAACCTAATTACCTCTTAAAGACCCCACATCAATAAAATATCAACATGAGTTTTGGAGGGGACGTATATTTAAATAATAGCACCAACTAAAGAGCTTACTTACCTTGCTCATCAAGACTTTCTTCAAGACTTTCATCGTGTTGTTTCTATCTACCCCAAACTATTATTTCATACCCTTTGTTCCATCCCAACTAATTTTAGATGCTACGGTCTGAATGTTGAAATTCATGTATTGAAACCTAGTCACCAATTTATGGTATTAGGAGATTGTCCTTTGGGAGGTGATTGGGCCACAAGGGCTTCACTCTCATTAATGGAATTAGTGTTCTTCTAAAAGAGGCTGCAGAGAGCTGCGTTTTCTCCTCCATTGTGTGTGAAGGCAGTGAGAATTTGTTTGCAATGAATCAGGAAATGGGCCCTCACCAGACACCAGCACTTTGATCTTAGATTTTCCAACCTACAGAACTGTGAGAAATGAATTTCTGTGGTTTATACCACCAACTTAGGGTATTTTGTTATAGCAGCCAGAACAGATGAAGGAACTCCACCTTGCCTTAAAATGACTCATTTCAGGCCCCGAAATCCCATAAACACTTTCCCTTGATGTCTTCCTTTTGAGATACTATTAATATTCTGTCAAGGTAGTAGTCTGCTTTAATATAATCAGCTAGTTTTTTTTTTTAACCAATAGGTTTTTCTGGTGGGTTTGTGTGTGTGTGTGTGTGTGTGTGTAGCTAATAGTCAACATCACCTTATCAAGAACAACTGTCTGAATATTAACTTACTTAGGACGTTTGTCTAGGGAGATGTTGATGTGTGGATGAGTTTAATCTTATTAATGCTCCACATGGGTATTCTAAGGCTGAGTCAAGGCATTTTTCTAACATAACATGACAGCATTAAATGATCCATTTCTAGTGTGTTTTTATTCCACACCACACATTTGTAGACCTAGGACTACAAACATTATCTATGTCATTATAATCACATTTTTTGGTCCTTTCTAACTCATTATTCACAGGATGTTCCTGGAACCAGGACCTATATTTAACACTAATACTGTCATAAAAATAATCCACTATTGCAATTTACATGTTCACAAAATACTACTCTTTTGTAAACAAAGTAAATTTTCTAACTGTAATTGAACATCAAATTCAAGGCCAGATTCCCTAAGGTCAATTCAATTACAATTTACACAGTTAATGGAGTAACTTAAAGCACACATACATTTACACACATTCATACATACTTCTTTCAAAACTGTACTCAGAAAAACACTTTCCTGCTTACCACTGAAGGCATATATTGCTACTGGCATCTAGGCATTTTTGTTTGGGTAATCTACCTGAGTAAGGCAAGGCTTTTAATGGATGAGAATAAATGACTGTGTCAAGCTAAAAGTTTCAAGATCTTTCAAGTTTCATAAAAATGAATCTTTAAGTGTTCTCAGAATGCAAAATTGGAGCTGCAATTGGATATCAAATCAGTTGCAAAAAGTGTGCAGCAGCTGTTGCTCAAGTTGAGACTCAGCTTGCAGTTTTGCAAAGAAGTTTCAGGAATAGTTTGTTTGGCCTTGTCCCATCTTCTGAAATAATCTGATCAGGCATGAATTTCTTAAAAGGCTGCCAATTTGGTAGTGAGAATTTGCTCATACTTCTCCTGAACTTTACCTTCACAGCCTCTTAAGAGATGCTCACATATTAGTCCAACTCACGGGAGCATAAAGACGGCTGGTCCCTCTTCATCAGGTTTGGAGGAATCTGATGAATTTTAGGTGCCATTATTGCTGAGAAGGGAATCATATTCTTTTAAATACAAACTTCACAGTGATTAAAAACAAAAATTATAAACAAGCAACTCCTAATTGTTTCCATTTCTGATAATGGTTTTATTCCTCTTTTCTAATCTGAAAAAATGCACTCCAGGGTGGGTTGAATGGTGTCACTTGCTGCCAGCAGGGTTGGTTGCCGTGACATGGTAGCTGTGGGTGGGGTCCAAGGTGACAAGAGAGACTTCCACACCTAGCTGAATCACTTCCACTCCAAGGTCCACGTAATCCACATCATCCCATGTCCTGTTTCTGAGGGTCAGAGACTCAGTGGACATTCCTGACCCACTGCTCCTCAGTGGGGCTCAATATCCCGATTTTATAATTTTTTAAAAAAAAGAAAACAAAAATAAAACCAAAAATAAACAATCACTCGTTCTCTACTTACATGCAGTGACTGACTCTCATTTAGCTTGATTTGCCCAATTTATTCATATCAATTAATTGGATAATGAGTCACCAACAGTCTTTAGGTTTTACAGAACCATTATCCTCATTTCCTAATTTACTTCCAGGGAAATGATATATGTAAACATTTTCTCAAAAACGGGGGAGTGTATCCATTTTTCAATATATACAAATCATTATTTTTTCATTCCAACTCCTATCTCAAAATATGCAAATGTTTCCTGAAGTTCTCTTAGGATATTTGTCTATTTATAGCTCCCCTTCCCCTCTATTTAACACTGTTTTGAGGTGCTGTTTCTAAAATGCAAATCTGACTCCTCCAGTCACACTTCCAGGTTTAAAAGTCTTCGCAGCTTTCTATCACCTTTAAAACAGGATCCCAAGTGTCCTCCCTGCTCTGGGCCCTGACCAGGTCTGTCCACCACCCGGCACGCATCTTTAAACTTGCATTTTTCTGACTTGCATTTTCTTCCCTCACCCCCTGGCTCATTCACAAACTGCTCCCATTGTTTACATTGCTTTTTACCATGGGTTCTCCTGGCACATGTTTATCTAGTGGCTGGTTCATTCTTCTCTGGGGCCCCAAATCTTCTTAGCAGTGGTTCCAGATTACCTCTTCCTCAGTGTTTCTCGGTAGTTTAGGTGTCCCTCTTCTGAGGTCCTCTCTCAGAATTGCCACGCTGTGTGGCCATCACTGACTTAGTTTTCCATCTCTCCTTCCTCACAAGAAGCTCTTTCAAGACAGGAACCGCCTTTTCTTTGTGAATGCTCAGAATTCCACTAGTGCCAGGCACAAAGGGAGCTCTCAGCTTCTCTGTTGAGTGAATGAAATGAATGCATGAGGGGTTCTAAAGAACTGTGTAGCCTTTCACAAGCAATGTCCTCCATTACAGAGGGGGTAGGACTGCCTTTCTACTCTTGGGGAAAGCTCTGTGCCATCAAACTTCAGATATTTCAAAGTCAGTGCTTTTAGGAGAAAATATTCCATTGGAGCCTAGAAAGCTGCAAGAGGTAACAGGCATGCAAGAGAAAGGGTCCCGTTCATCCTGGATCATGTCTGGCTCTTGGTAAAAAGACACAAGATGACTGTCTTTTTTATTCTTTTTTAGTGAATCTTTTTTTATTCTTTTTTAGTGAATCTTTATTAGTTTAGCAAATAATTTTTGAGCACTATGTGCCTGGCACTGGGGATTCAATAACAAACAAAATATATGTGATCTGTCTTCACCAAGTTGAAATGGATCATGAGTGAAAAACATTAAATTCTCAAGCAAATGACTGCTAAGTTCCAGGCAATTGGGGTAAAGGTTGTGAAGAAGATGCAGAGTATCCTGAGAAGCTGCAAATTTTACTTTTTGTAGATACATGAGCCACATTTCTTCATTCCAAGAAAATATTTTATTAATATGTTCAACCTGATCTGTTGGGACAGTAAAGACTTCTCCAAGAATGGCCTATGAATTAATTTAAGGATGGTGGGTGGGCAAAATGAATTTAGGAACAGCATGCACAGAAGCCCTGCAAAAGAGAATGGAAACAAGGATATTATCCCTGGAGTGTGGTGAATAAGGAGTAAAGTCAGAGGGGGTAGGGCTTGGTGATGCCCCTTCGTAATCACTTGCTGACTCACTGAACAAGTCTTGATCACTCAAGCCCTTGCTGCGTTTGCAATAAAGTCTTGCAGATTTAATCCATAGACAAATGGAAAGCTTCTGAAGGTTTTCAGCAGAGGAGTTGCAAGTTTGCATTATGCTCATTTAAAAGTATTGTTCTGGCTATTGTTTGGAGTGAAGGAGCAGAGAAGGTGGGTAGGTCATTAAGGCAGCAAATTTATCCAGGCAGTCTCTGAACGTGCCTGTGATTGAGTGTGTATGGTAGGACTTTCTGTTCAAGTTTCCTCAGTGATGTGTAATATGGTTCTTGCTCTCAAGGTAACTCCATAGCTGGGAGCCAAGTCTCGAAGCCCCATGAGGGGAAGTGGATACATCTCAGAATTGGGTTTCCTGATACACACGACTGCATCCTTCATCTGCCAGGCCCTGGCATTGTTTACTGGAGAAGATGTCATAGGAAATTGGGCTATGTCATTGAGCCACTGGAGTCACACATGAACAGCCATTTGGAGATTCTGGAATTGATGGTTCAGGTGGAGTACCCCTTATCTGAAATGCTTGGGAACAGAAGCTTTTCGGATTTGGGATTTTTTCATATTTTGAAATTTTTGCATCCTATACTTACAGGTTGAGCATCCCTAATCTGAAAATCCAAAATTGGAATTGCTTCAGTGAGCATTTCCTTTGAGTATCATGGCAGTGCTCAGAAAGTTTCAGATTTTAGAGCATTTTGGATTTTGAATTTTTGGATTAGGGATGCTTAACCTGAACCTACCATTTAAAAGTGCTTAATAATCAAGTCAAATCCTATGTTGGATAATGAGACTTGGCTTAAATAGCCCTTCCTATATTTAACTGTCTATCTTGTTCTGCTGAAACCTTGGGAATTGAGTGGGAAGAGGTATCATGGACCCCTGTTGCCTGTAAACTCCTGAAAGAAGAAAAATATGTTTTTTAACTCCTGAATGTCAGGGTTCTTATTCATCTTTGTGTCCTCTGTCACCTAGAAAAGCCTGGAAGTTAGTAGGTCTTCAATTAATAGAAGGCCTTATAGCATAATTGTTAAAAAGCTGAGGCTTTATGGGCAAATGAGAGTTTAAGTCCTGAATCCACTAATTCTCAACCGTTTCTTGGGCAAGTTAATTAACCTTCCTAAGCCTCAAGTTTTTTATCAGCAAGATAATGATTAAATGCCAAATTCTTAGTTAAATGCCTAGCAAATATAAAGGACCAAATGTATTTTAGTTCTTATTATTAATGTTGATTGAATGCAAAAATACAATCATGATGAAACAAACCATTTTACAAAATTGGGGATGAAGAAAAGAGCAAGATGTGCTACATTTATGAGCTCATCATATTTAATAGGCTTTTCAGTGTCTGCAGTTGTTCTGTTTCTGGGATAAGATTTGGTGTATTTTATATATTAATTCACATAATAATGGATCTTTTTGTGGTAATCTGCATATAACCTGGATGAAAACTCAAATATGTTTCTACAGCCTGCCAAAGTCTCCCTGAGAAGCCAAACTTCTCTTGCTTAGATCCAACTATGGGGTATTGGTATGGCCATGGCTTTGGAATAACGGTGTGATCCAACTGAACTTGGTCACAGTGGTGTAATAAAGTAGCAAAGGCATTTGGTTAGCATAGAGGAAGTGGGGGTTGGGGGAGGCACATAGCTCATGCTACTGGTCTGGGGACATGTCTGGCTGAAATGCTTGTTGGAAGTATTTCAAAGTCAAATACAAATAGTTTTACATAAGTTATTCTTATTTTCTAGTTTAGGTAAACTGTATGATGTAGTGAAACAATGTTGCCTGGAATTCCTGAAGAGAAGACCAATCACTAAAATTTGAGACTACTGCACAATTCTGATATCTGAATCATTTCCATAGATAGATTTTGGTTAAAGCACCTGTGTATATTCTGTCATTATTAATTTGTGTCTGCTTTTTTACGGTTTCTAAAATCATGTTTTTAAATTTTACAAACTCAGGTAAATAAAATAAAACCACCCATAATCCTATCACCTTAACACAGCCTTGGCCAATAGTTTTTTTGTTATATATATTTTTAAGTCTTTTTTTCTATTCACTCTTTTAATTTACCTGTAGCCATTGTGTACATAAAAATTTATATCTTCCTATCTTCTTGCTTAGCATTTATTACAAATAGTTTCTCACATTACATGATCTCAGCTATTGTAAGCATCATTTTATTATTTATTATTCTTATAAGATTATAACCTATATCTACTAAAATGCACATGGTGAAAAATAGTTGTAAATTAAAGTTATATCTTATACAAGCTCAAATTCTAAAGCCAGTATACAAGTCAAAAATTACTTCTGGGTGAATTATTCTTGGAATTTCTTTAAACAACTATAAAATGAGCATACAAAACCCTCACTTCTTCTCTGTCAATGACAAACATTGACAGAAAAACTATAACCCTCAATTCTCAATTTCTTCTCAAAAATGTTGACAGAGTCATACTACTTATTTATCTGGTTATGGAAATATTTTAAGTTTCGTTCATAGGAGAAAATTTAAAACCATGCACATATGTTTTTCACAAATTTCCAACAAGCAATGTTGGTTATAGCATGTGTAATTTCATCTACTGCCAGAAGCAAGAAACCATTGAGAGCAATGGCTTGCATAGTTGTCAGTATTACTTGAATCTCTCTCTCTCTCTCTCTCTCTCTCTCTCTCTCTCTTTCTCTCTCCCTCCTCTTTCTCTCTGTCACCCTTTGTCTCTCTCTGGTGAAGTTAATGTTTATGAGTTAAATTGAATTACCATGCAACTTCATCATTGAATATACTGCTTGTCCTTTCACCCTCTCTCCCCACCTGAACACCAGATGTAATAACTTTAAATATTTTTTAGTGCATTGGCCAGCCAATGTAAGCCCTAACATTAATTCCATAGGTATTTACGGGTGTAACAACTAACTGAATATTCAATATGCTTTTCATATAGTATTTTTTGCACATGCAGTGAATGGCTTCCATAAAGAATATCAATGATGACTATAATAGTTACACAGAGTTCCCGAAGCTCTATTCTGTGTCAGGTTCTGCTTTATCACTTTGCATGCATTGTTTACGTCATCTTCATAATGATCTACTGAGATAGATATGATTATGAGAGGTTAGTAACTTGTTCAGCATCATGGAGCCAGTAATTGGTAGAGCTGGGTCTACAATCCCAGGTATGTATGACTTCAAAGAGCAGTATGCTAACCACTGCTATGAATGTCACTGTACATTTAAACAATATGCTGATATCTCTATTTCTTGATTTATAATTTTTATATTGACTCCCTGCTGTTAAATCTGAGGAAATTAACTTGCATATGCTTCTAGGATGACAAACTTGTCCAGACTTGCCTGGGACTTTCCTTTAATCCCAGCAAACCCATCAGTTTAGAGCAAACTGTCTCTTGGCAGGTGTGCTTCACATTCTAAGTTATTTTAACAGTTTCTCTAATTATTAACTTTCTATTAACTAGTAGTTCTAAGAGTTTTAATCCTACTTAATACCTATTTAAAATAACTTAAATACCTATAATTACATTTTAATATATTTAAAATATTTTAAATATATTAAATATTTATATATAAATATATAACATATATTTTAAATATATTAAATGTAATATATGTTTATATATAAATACATAAAATATTTAAATATATTAAAATATACTTAGATACCTGTATAATAACCTATTGTAAACACTAGGCAGTATCTCTTACCTTCGAATATACAAAATAGTACATTCATATAGTGGAGATTAGTACTCTTTCAGTGCCTTTCCCTTTTCTCTTCCTCCCACTTGCAGACTGCTGCCAGCTATGTATGAGTGTTGTGTACTTTCTGTTCTGCATACCTGAAATTCAGTGTAATATACTTTGTGTAGTCATTGATTCTAAGCATGGAAAACGAGTAAACAGCATTTGCAACATTATGATTAAATAAATAATATTCATTTTATTCAAGTAAGTGATTGGACACCTAGAGAAGGAGATGTCACTGCTGCTAAGCCTGTCCTAGTTATGGGAGTTTGTTCCTTTAAGGAGTGTGTTTCTTGAATCATCCAAGTTAAATGGAAGGTCATTTTCTCTGTTGGTCAGTTTTTCAATTCGTGTAACATTTCCTTCCTATTTGGAAAATTACTTTATTGGTCAAATTTTTGTTTTTGTTTTCTCTGGAATTTTTAATTGTCTTTTTTTGTTAGCAAAAGGAGCATGCACCTTTCTCAAGTTATCACCAATATCTTGAACTTTTTTTTTTGAGACAGAGTCTTGCGCCGTTGCCCAGGCTGGAGTACAGTGGCGCGATCTCAGCTCACCACAAGCTCTGCCTCCTGGGTTCATGCCATTCTCCTGTCTCAGCCTCCCGAGTAGCTGGGACTACAGGCGCCTGCCACCACGCCTGGCTAATATTTTGTATTTTTAGTGGAGACTGGGTTTCGCCGTATTAGCCGGGATGGTCTCGATCTCCTAACCTCATGATCCGCCCACCTTGGCCTCCCAAAGTGCTGGGATTACAGGCGTGAGCCACCGCGCCCGGCCATCTTGCAACTTTTTAAACAAATTATCTGTTGAATGGAATTCATTATGTTCTTCATAAGTATATTATGGTTCTTACTGGGCCCATTGCCTTCTAGGGGTGCTGCATGGCACAGTGCTCCTCCTGGAACTGTGTTTGTAGTTCTTCTGCATTTGTTCCCGCTGTTGGTTTGCTTTTACTTTGCATTTTGTTCCTATAGTTTCATTTTTCTTTCCATTTTACTGGAGTCCATTTTCAGGTAACATTTTTAGGATATATAAATAGAGATAAACATTTCTTATTTCATGACTCACTTCTAACTGACATTTTGAAAGAGAATGAAATCCAAACTCATAACAATTTTCCTTCAGAACTGTGAAGACATTACTTCATCACTGTTAATAAGACATCTGAAGACAATACAACAATTCCTTTTTGAAAAGCCTTGTTTCCTCTGCCTTCCCACCCACCACCCTAATACTATTTTCATCTAATGTAATTTTTCTGTTTATCTCTAAATATGTTTATGTTTTGTGTGTTTTTAAGTGTCATTTGCTTAAGGATCTCAAAGGGGTTATACATACACACACATGCTCTCATGCACACACATCTATATGATTATTTCTGTCAACTAGCACAAAACTTTCAGTAAAGTTTTCTTTTAGTGAGATCTAGTTCCAGGAGACTATTCCTATTCTTGGTTTCACATACCGTTGTAAATCAGATCCATGCCTTCATTTGCTATTCTTTCATCTATGTACCCTTGTGGGTTTATTATGCATTCAATTTCAATGTGTATCTTATGACTATTACACTACCACTGGGAAGGTGCTCTATTTTCTTTCCCTTTATGTACCATACCTTTTCAAAGCATTTGGAAGGATACTAATCATTCAACGTCTCATGAAATTTTTGATGACTGATAGAAAGTAAGTAGAAACAGATGTCTTTCAAGTGGAGAGGAAGAAGTTTTGTTTTTTTTTTTTTTGCATGTGATGTTTTAATAAGATTCCTCTTACACTCTTACCTGTATCCTCACAATTTTCCTTGAGTAATGACATGGATATAAAGACTCCCCTAGATGTAGCAATTTTAAAAGAATACTTACATTGTGAAATTGGAATGGCCTGAAGCAATGCCTTTATTTCCTTGTCAAATCTCATAAACTAAAAAAGTATTAAAGAAATGGTGTTGGGGACTTTGAGAGAAGAGAGTCTTCTTTTTTGATTCTCTTTCTTCCTGTTCCCCCAGCACCGCCCTGATGGAAATGAGACTGCTACAGGGGTTGTTCTTTAAACAGTCAGACAAGTGATTATCCTGTTCCAAAGACATGCTTGAAGTAGATGCTCTGAGAGCACAGGACTTTCTCACAGAAAAGAGGATTGGCCATTCTTCCATCCTAGAATTGGGAGTTGGCATCAGCTAGTACTAAATTCATGAACTTTCTTGTAGAAAATGGGATAGAAAGTGTGTTAGTTGCTCTCATGAGATGAAGAGGATCTGCTACATTAAAGAATGATAATACTAATAATGATAACCAATAGTAATAAAACTAATACTGATAACAGTAATAGTTAACACCATTGAACACTTTTGGGTGCCAGTAACAATGCTAAATACCACATATTATTTTACATAATTCTCACAATAACATTATGAGGTTAGTGGCTACTGTAGTCTCCGCTTTTTTTTTTTTTTTTTTTTTTTTTTGAGATGGAGTCTTGCTCTGTCACCAGGCTGGAGTGCAGTGGCACCATCTTGGCTCACTGTAACCTCCGCCTCCCGAGTTCAAGCTATTCTCCTGCCTCAGCCTCCCAAGTAGCTGGGACTACAGTCATGCAGCACCACTCCCAGCTAATTTTTGTATTTTCAGTCGAGACGGGGTTTCACCATGTTGGACAGGATGGTCTCAATTTCTTGACTTCATGATCCGCCCACCTTGGCTTCCCAAAGTGCTGGGATTACAGGTGTGAGTCACCGCACTCAGCTTTCACTTTTTTTTTTTTCCTTTTTTTTTTTTTATTATACTTTATGTTTTAGGGTACATGTGCACATTGTGCAGGTTAGTTACATATGTATACATGTGCCATGCTGGTGCGCTGCACCCACTAACTCATCATCTAGCATTAGGTATATCTCCCAATGCTATCCCTCCCCCCTCCCCCCAGCTTTCACTTTTTTATAAAGAGAAAATGTGGTTTAGAGAAGTTGAGATACTTGCCCAAGGTCAAAATTAAATAACTGATGTAGCCAAGATTTAAACTGAAGTCACTGCACCACAGAACACGAGCTCCTAAGCACTACTGCTGTCATTTGCCAATGCTAACCACTTAATATGGTTTGGCTCTGAGTCCCCACCCAAATCTCATCTTGAATTGTAATCTCCAAGTGTTGAAGGAAAGGCCTGGTGGAAAATGACTGGATCATGGCGGCTGCTTTTCCCCTTACTGTTCTCATGACAGACCTCAAGATGTGATGGTTTTATAGTGTGACATTTCCCCTTCACTTGCTCTCTCTCCTCCTGCCATGTTAGAGGTGCCTGCTTCCCCTTTGCCTTCTGCCATGATATTAAGTTTTCTGAGGCCTCCCTAACCATGCAGAACTGTGAGTCAATTAAGCATCTTTTCTTTATAAACTACTTAGTCTCAGGTATTTCTTTATAGCAGTGTGAAAATGGACTAATACACCACTCTGCCTAATTAGTCTACAGAGGGATTTTGTTAAAAAGAAAAAAAAAACACCTCTAATAAAAAGATTTATGCAAAGAATTAGAAGCCCAAGCATCAGATTATGCTTAAAAGCTAAAAAAACAAACAAAAACAAAAAACAAAATGCACGCACCCACACAAAACACAAAACAAACAAACAAAACCTTTACTCAGAGTTATTTTCATGTAAAATCTAGCAATAGCTGTGACCCTTCCAATTACCAGGCAAGGAAGTTTGGGTGGTTTTAAGCATTTTTACTTTTGGAGGTTTTCCCAGATCATATCAAATGTATTTTAATGTGCTTATATCCCATGCTCAACCTAATTTCTATGTAACAAAATAAGAATAGAGTTGAGGAACAGAATAATGAGTTGACTAAGTAGTTTACACGTTACATTTTGTAGATATTTAATTATATTAAATTTCATTTTATTCAGAGATAGTTTTCAGTTAAAATTTCCAAGTAATACACATTTTTTAGACTCGAACACTGTTAGGCACCCCTTCATAGCTCATAGGATGAAGCCTATAGAAAGAAGATAAATAAACAGGAACTTTAATGGAGGATAGGTTTGAGGGGTAAAGGTGACAGCCTGCTATTGTTGCAAGAGCAGCAGATTTTGAAGCAGGTAATCAGGGATACAATTATAGCTCCACCATTTTCTTTCAGAAGCTTTGGAAAATCATTTAACTTTCTTTAGGTCTTAGATTCTATGTTTAAAATAATAGATAAATGCTCAGACTATTATAATGATTATAATTTGAAGCTTTTTTAACTCAAAAATATTTATTGAATGCTTATTAAGCATGAGGCATTGCTCTAATGTTGAGATGTAACAAGAGATGAGGACAACAGAAGAGCCCGTTCTCTTGGACTTTATCTTGTATGGAAGGAAACATTAATCAATATTGTATATGCATTCATGTAGTAATAAGGCCTATGAAGAAAAATGAAGTAGGTGAAGGGGATGGGGAGTGAAAGAAGTCTTTGTTTTAGATAAATGGTCATGGGAGTCCTCTTTGAGAAGGTGACACTTGAGCAGAGTCAAACTATGTGTGCCCAACATTTCCTAGAGAATAGGAAAGAATATAAAAGTTGGAAGCAGTGTGTGTGTGTGTGTGAGTGTGTGTGTATGTGTGTGTGTATGTGTGTGTGTGCGTGTTGGGGGGTGTTATGGCGTTATGGCAGCATGACACAGACATGACACAGCTGTTTCTAGAACTCTATGCCATTTCTCTGAATCCCCCCACCGCCTCTGTTCTGAGTGCTTAGGAGCTAAAATAGCAGAGTCCCATGTGGTGTCCATATTTTCCTTAAGAAATGTGTTAGAAAATCACAATCCTGTGCAAAAAAGTCTTTTTAAAAAAGTTTACCTGATGCAAATTCAAATCTGTGAATTTACAGTAAATGCCAATCTAAGTTTGCAGTAAATTATTGTGGAAAACTCTGAGTAATACACAATAAAAACTGAAATAGATGCTGGGCGCGGTGGCTCACGCCTGTAATCCCAGCAATATGGGAGGCTGAGGCAGGCGGATCACCTGAGGTTGGGAGTTTGAGACCAGCCTGACCAAAATGGAGAAACCCCATCTCTACTAAAAATACAAAATTAGCCGGTTGTGGTGGTGCATGCTTGTAATCCCAGCTACTCAGGAGGCTGAGGCAGGAGAATTGCTTGAACCCGGGAGGTGGAGGTTGCAGTGAGCTGAGATCGCACCATTGCACTCCAGCCTGGGCAGTAAGAGAGAAACTCTGTCTCAAAAAACGAAAAACAGAAAACTGAAATAGACATGAAATGATGATTTAATTTATCTCTACCATACAGTGGTATAGCAGATAAAATGTCATCAACCCTATTTTGCAGGTGATGCCCAAACTTACACAGATAATAAATGGAAGACAGTGAGTCCCTATCCTGGCCTCACCCCAGTACAGACTATTCAAACTTGCACCTTAGCTGTTTTTCAAAACACATACTTTGGTTTTATATAAAGACCTTTACAAAATCCGAGCATCATTATGAATGTGGGTCACTTACCCATAGAGGCAACCAGAATAAGGTTTCCTGAGGGAATCTGAACAGTGCTTCAGCAAATCATTGGTTGTGTGAGAGCTCCAGCCAATGAATAGAGGTGGCAGAGATAAGGGAGAGAAAGGGCCTAGGTCCTCAGGGATCAAAGAAAAGAGGGAAAGTATAATAGTGACAAAATCTCACACGAATAAATATCCAGAGTTTGTTTCCTGTCTCAGTCTCCCTAAGGAAAATTCTGGCATTGAACACTTGACATTTCCTCACTCCCAGCTTCTGAACTTTATCATGAGCTTTGGTGTGGGAAGAAAGGAAAAAACTAGAAGATTTACACTGACGAGAGGAGGAGAAAGAATAACTAGTGGTTCTTAACCCTGGCTGGATATTAAAATCACCCAGAGAACTTTGAAAAATTCCAATGCGTAGGCCAATTACAGTCAGGTGCCACTCAATGATGAGTATATATTCTGAGAAATGCATCATTAGGCATTTCACTGAAGGGTGAACATGACAGTGTCTACTTACACAACTCTAGTATGTAGTATGGTATAGCCTACTACACAGCTAGGCTATGTGGTTTAGTCTATTGCTCCTGGGCTACAAAGCTGTGCCGCATATTACTGTACTCAATACTGTAGACAATTGTAATGCAATGGTAAGTATTTGTGTACCTAGATATATTTAGACATAAAAAAAGGCACAGCAAAATACAGTATTATAAGCCTATGGGACCACCAACATATAATGCTGTCTGTTGCTGACTTAAACATTATTATTATGACTGAAACAGTATGGTGTCACATAACCACACTGCAAAATTTCTGAAAGTTGAGCTAAGATATCAGCATTTTAAACACACCTCATGTCTTTTCAGTTTGCAAATATGCTCAAGAACAACTGGACAAGCAGAATGCAAATATATATATATAAGAGAAGGTGTGTTGAGCTGGTGGAATAAAGAATCTGGCATTCTAGGCATAGGAAATCTTGAGGATTGTAAAAATACAGTGATAAAGACAAAAGATGTGAAAGAGCAGCTGCCATCAATGGGAATAATATTGAGAATGGCAGAGGTGGAGAGAAAGGAATTTCAAGATGTTTTGCTCCATAGGAATAACATACTCCCTCTTCCAAACTCAAATTCTCCGGAAATTTTTCAGGTAAAAATCAAAATTCTTTTCAAGGTTTTTTTTTCCCCCTCTTAAAGATTGCTTCTTTTTTATATATACCATTTAGAGATTAGACCACATGGGGCCACGCTTATTTGGGGGTACAAAAGTTTGAAGGGATTAATAAAAGTGAATTAAAAGTAAATATTTATGTAAGGGTTCATTTGCTTCCTGATTATGTTAAGAAAGAATAATCAGAAATAATACTAATGATGATAATTTATGGATTACTGAGCAATGAATATACGCTAACATTCTTCTATGAACTAGAAATGGATCAACTTATGTAATTATCCCAATCATGTGAAATAGGTACTACTATTATTGCTATTTTCAAATGAGAAAATCAAGCAAAGAGAGGTTAAACATTTCTCCAAGTCACACATTTACAAAGTGGTACAGACTAATTCAAATCCAGTTTCACTCCCAAGGCCCTCTTTTAAACACTGAGAGCTTCATGGTGTTTGGCCATGAAGAGAGAGAATCATGATAACTCAGGAAAAGAGTACTATGAAAGAGTGGACAGAAGATGTAGGAAAAGGACACTCAGAGTACTGCAAAGACTTGAAGAGTGGGGGTATCAAGAGCTAAGACGCAGCAAACATGGGCAAGACAGAGGAGAACAGCAACAAAATGGAAAGCTCCAGGCAGTGGTTCAGTCTGAATGGTTTATAAATCAGGAGGAATTTGTAAACCAAACACTGAATCTGAAAGTTGCTTCTGCTTCCATCATGAATCATCAATTTTATTAATTTTGAATAATACAAAAAAAGATCTTGAATCTAAGAAATTTAGTAATTTAAAGAAAGAACACTAACATAGCTAAAGAAATTAAATGAGAGACAAAAGTTTGAAAAATGCTTAGTCTTTTTTTTTTATTAGATAAAATGGACCTCACTGCAATGATACTGCAGAAAAAACCAGGTGGATATGTCATAAATGTCTGCATTACTTTTCCATCTGTCATTCAGGGGAGATAGGTACCTACAAATATATATGCTGTTAGTCAGAAATTTATTTTGGTATTAAAGAAGGACTAAGGGCTAATGATTACAACATTTTTATTTAAAAAAATGCCTTATGATAATCTTGAAATCATTTACAATGTAATTCAAAGTATGCATTTTGTTGAGTTTCTTTTAAAATTGAGTTATGTATCATCTTGTTTATATTGGGCTAAGTCTCTAAATAAAATGAATAAAAAAAATTCTCTCTAACGGCTTATAACCTCAGTTATCTCATTTGTAAAATTAAGTGGCTGATAGTTGTCTTTCTGATCCAAAATACTATTAGCCTATGTTTATCAATACCTTTTACCTTTATCATGTAACAATTCAAAATATCATGAGCAACAGATAAGCAGAGCACAAATGATTAAATGATCAAACACCTTTTTATCAAAAAGAGGTATTTTGATTTCTAATATTCGTTTGAAGTGTTTCACAGACTCTCCACATTTTTTATTTTATTTTTATTGTTTTAGTACATGTTACTAAAATACATAACGGACAGCAACATATATACAGTCACGCATCATTTAATGACAAGGGTACCTTCTGAGAAATGTGTCATTCAACCATTTCATCATTGTGCAAACATCATAGAATGTACTTAAAAATGTCAGCACATTAACTTGTTGACCAGATGAATCGCCTAATCTGTTGTCCTTCGCTAAATTACCACGCAGTCTCGTTGTGCATGGATTTAAACTCTTGAGTCACTACTCAGGTGGTTGCCCTTCTGCCTGTGTCTTCTCACATAATACTGTCCATGGGAGGGCACCAGAGCAGCATTTGCTTATCCTTACCTTGGAAATGCTCACCAGGGTTCAGGCACTTTGCTTCTATGCCAGTGCCTCTCCTGATGTGTTTGGGGTGCAAAACAATGAGCACTGACCAGCCCAACGAAATCATTCTCACCATGGAAAGTTTCAGCACTTGCTCTCAGTGTTGAGGATTTCCTGTAGGATTTTCTCTGTTACTAAAAATGAGAATTTTAGGGGAAAAAATGTGTTTTTTTTTACCTTTAGTTTCTCCAGCTAAGGTCCTGCAAATCAGACTGACAAAAGACAGATTAACAAGAGAAAACAAACAGAAGTTTATTAACATATGCATCACACACATGTGGGAGAACTCAGCAATAAGTACCTCAAAGGGGTGGTTAAAACTTGGGCTTATATAACATCTTAGTAAAAAATAATAAATTTGTAGAGAAATAACAAGACAAAGGAAAGGAATTTTGAGCTTCTAGAGGCAGTAAACTGCAGAAAGGTAAACATATGGGGAAACTAACTCAAAGGAAAATAAGGACTAGTTAGATGTGCTATATAGGTTTCTCTGGTCCCACCTCTGGGCTGATAGGAGAATAGAATTGTCTTCAGTGATTAACAATCATCTTGCCTTTCCTAATAGAGAGATGGAGGGCAGAGAGCTTGTTCTGTGTCTGATATTTCTCAGTCACCTTTAGCTCAAAACAATTCTGTGACAGACTGGCATGTTATGGTGTGAACCCCATCAGAAACTATTAAGAATATTTGTTGTAATGGTGAGCTTTAGACTTAGTTAAACCTATAATCACATCTCTACTTTCCCACTGATAGGTTCTATGGCTTTGGTGAGATTACTTAACCTCTTTTCATAACAGGATTAATAGCAGTGTTTAATATTTCAAAAGGCAGTTAAAGTGTCTAGCACAGGACTTGACACACAGGTGTTTGAGAAATAAAGAATTAGGTACTCTACCCCATCACCAAGTAATCGATTCAGAGGAGGTGTTAGCTTGTGTCCTGTCTGTTTCCTACTGCTATAACGGAATACTACAGACTGGGTCATTTATAAAAAACAAACGTTTATGTGGCTCACAGTTCTGGAGGCTGGGAAGTCCAAGGGCATGGCACTGGCATCCAGCAAGGGTCATCCCATGGCAGAAGTATGGAAGGCAGAAGTAAGTCCATGAGTCAGAGAGAAACATTGATCTGAACTAATCCTTTTTATCAAGAACACACTCCTTCAATAACTAACCTATTCCTGTGATAACAGCAGTAATCTCTTCAAGAGGGTAGAGCCCTCATGGCCTAATCACCTCTTAAATGCCCCACCTCTTAATACTGTTACAATGACAATTAAATTTCAGCATGAGTTTGGGTGGAACATTCAAATCATAGCAGCTTGCTAATGGTTAATAAAGTTGTCAGATCAAGACTCTTTCCATGTGTGAGAAGGAGCCACCCTAAAGAGTTCCTTCTATGATCAGCATTTATCACGTTTTTATGGGAGGACACGATCTAATTGTGGGACTTTTGTTTGAAACAAGATGTAGAAATCTTGGAGGGAGTTCCAAAGAGAATGACTAAAAATGATTAGTTTAGAAAATGGGTCCTTTGAGGAAAAGCTAAAGAAATTTGGGTTATTTAGCATGAAGAAAAGTACCATGGGGATTGGGGAGAGGAAAAGAAAAATGTAAGCAGAGTGAGTTTTACTTACATTTTGATTTAAATCATTAGGTGCAAAAAATGCACTTTACAATGTGTTTTTTTATCAAAGACCTACTCCTGTCAGTGCATGTTGTGTATAATAGATGCCTTTTTTTTTGCTCGGAAGGTATACAGTGCTATGCATTTTAAAGTAGTAATTTATTTTATCACATTATTGTTGCAATTGAAAAAGAAAATGCAGTATTTTTTTATAACTTATTAAAGTCAATTGAAGCAGAGGCTATTAAATTTTTTAGCAGAAAAGATGAGTTATTCCTTAATTCAGAGTTTTCTCCTGGTGTATTAGAAGAGAACTACATCCCAAAATAAGGCATGAACAAATATTTATTTAACCAAAAATAACAAGCATACATTTATATATTAGGCATACATTTGTTTTTGTCAGCAAATGACATCTTTAATTATTTCTTAGCAAAGTAAGTGTACATATTTACTATTTTAGTTACACCTGGGAATTGTGCTTTTTGAAAAACAAAACAAAATAGACATTGCTTAGTGAAGTCGATGAAAAAATTTGAAATGTTAAGCTGAATATTGTAGTTAGTCTTGTTCTCCTTTTCCTGTTATTTCTGTCCTAGAAAAATAGGAGCTTCTTTGTTTTTCTAGTTACTAAATGTTTTCTCAATTTAAAACTAATTAGTACAATGGAAGTAAACATTCTTTGTACACCTGTGAAAGAGCTACTGTTGCTAAAAATTAGGTTATTGCTTTAAAGATGTGAGATAAATTCAGGTGTTTAAACACCTCTCCCTAGACTATTGTATGAGTTTCTTTCAAATCTAATCAACAAATACTGATCTTGAGTGGTTCATCCTCAGTCCTAGAGTGCGTTCTTGTTGGCTTTGAAGACATATGCTGCACGTTCCTCACCCAGTCAGCTCTGCTTAGAAGGGAACCTGTCATGCAAGGTATTAGCAACACATAAGTTGGAGGTACTGTAAGGCATCTTAAGACCTATTAGAATATTGTCATAAAAGGTACACAAATGAATTATACATGATAATTATCATATTATACATGATAATCTAAATTTTGAGCCAACTTAGAAACTCATTTTGCATAAGTCTAATTTATTTTTAAAGAACAAGAAAATTCGGGGTGGCTGGCAAGATGGCCGAATAGGAACAGCTCCAGTCTGCAGCCCCCAGTGAGATCAGCAGAGAAGGTGGGGGTGATTCCTGCATTTCCAACTGAGGTATGGGGCTCATGTCACTGGGACGAGTTAGACAGTGGGTGCAGCCCACAGAGGGTGAGGTGAAGCAGGGTGGGGGCATCGCCTCACCCAGGAAGCTCAAGGGGTTGGGGAACTACCTCCCCTAGCCAAGGAAAGCCGTGAGGGACTGTGCCATGAGGAATGGTGCACTCCAGCCCAGATATTACGCTTTTCCCATGGTCTTCACAACTCACAGACCAGGAGATTCCCTTGGATGCTTACACCACCGGGGCCCTGGGTTTCCAGCAAAAACTGGGTGGCTATTTGGGCAGACACTGAGCTAGCTGCAGGAGTTTTTTTTTCATACCCCAGTGGTGCCTGGAACGCCAGCAAGACAGAACCAATCACTCCCCTGGAAACAGGGCTGAAGCCAGGGAGCCAAGTAGTCTAGCTCAGGGGATCCCATCTCCATGGAGCCCAGCAAGCTAAGATCTACTGGCTTGAAATTCTCACTGCCAGCAGAGCAGTATGAAGTCAACCTGGGATGCTCGAGCTTGGTTGGGGGAGGAGCATCAGCCATTACTGAGGTTTGAGTAGGAGGTTTTCCCCACACAGTGTAAACAAAGCCACGTGGAAGTTCAAACTGGGCGGAACCCAACGTAGCCCAGCGTAGCCCAGCAAAGCTGCTGTAGCCAGACTGCCTCTCTAGATTCCCCCTCTCTGGGCAGGGCATCCCTCAAAGAAAGGCAGCAGTCCCAGTCAGAAGCTTATAGATAAAACTCCCATCTCCCTGGTACAGAGCAACTTGGGGAAGGGGCAGCTGTAGGCACAGCTTCAGCAGACTTCAATGTTCCTGCCTCCCATCTCTGAAGAGAGCAATGAATCTCCCAGCACAGTGCTTGAGCTCTGCTAAGGGACAGACTGCCTCCTCAAGTGGGTCCCTGAGCCCAGTGCCTCCTGACTGGGAGACACCTCCCAGCAGGGGTCGAGAGACTCCTCACACAGGAGAGCTGTGGCTGGCATCTGGCAGGTGCCCCTCTGGGTCGAAGCTTCCAGAGGAAGGAACAGGCACCAATCTTTGCTGTTCTGCAGCCTCTGCTGGTGATACCCAGGAAAACAGGGTCTGGAGTGGACCTCCAGCAAACTCCAGCAGACCTGCAGCAGAGGGGCCTCACTGTTAGAAGGAAAATTAACAAACAGAAAGGAATAGCATCAACGTCAACAAAAAGGATGTCCACACAGAAATCCCATCTGAAGTTCACCAACATCGAAGACCAAAGATAGATAAATCCACGAAGATGAGGAAAAACCAGTGCAAAAAGCTGAAAATTCCAAAAACCAGAATGCCTCTTCTCCTCCAAAGGATAACAACTCCTCAACAGCAAGGGAACAAAACTGGACAGAGAATGAGTTTGACAAATTGACAGAAGTAGGCTTCAGAAGGTAGGTAATAACAAACTCCTCCAAGCTAAAGGAGCATGTTCTAACCCAATGCAAGGAAGCTAAGAACTTCAAAAAAGTTTAGATGAATTGCTAACTAGAATAACCGGTTTAGAGAAGAACATAAATGACCTGATGGAGCTGAAAAACATAGCATGAGAATTTCGTGAAGCATACAGAAGTATCAGTAGCCAAATTGATCAAGCAGAAGAAAGGATATCAGAGATTGAGATCAACTTAATGAAATAAAGCATGAAGACAAGATTAGAAAAAAAAGAATGAAAAGAAGTGAACAAAGTCTCCAAGAAATATGGGACTATGAGAAAAGACCAAACCTACATATGATTGGTGTTCCTGAATGTGACGGGGGGAATGGAACCACGTTGAAAAACAATCTTCAAGATATTATCCAGGAGAACTTCCCTAACCTAGCAAGACAGGCCAACATTCAAATTCAGGAAATACAGAGAACACCACAAAGATACCCCTTCAGAAGAGCAACCCCAAGACACATACTTAACAAATTCACTGAGGTTGAAATGAAGGAAAAAATGTTAAGGGCAGCCAGAGAGAAAGATTGGGTTACCCACAAAGGGAAGCCCATCAGACTAACAGTGGATCTTTCAGCAGAAACCCTACAAGCCAATATTCGACATTCTTGAAGAAAAAAATTTTCAACCCAGAATTTCATATCCAGCCAAACTAAGCTTCATAAGCAGAGCAGAAATAAAATCCTTTACAGACAAGCAAACACTGAGAGATTTTGTCATCACCAGGACTGCCTTCCAAGAGCTCCTGAAGGAAGCACTAAATATGGAAAGGAAAAACTTGTACCAGCCACTGCAAAAGCATACCAAATTGTAAAGACCATTGACACTATGAAGACACTGCATCAACTAATGGGCAAAATAATCAGCTAGCATCATAATTACAGGGTCAAATTCACACATAACAATATTAACCTTAAATGTAGATGGGCTAAATGCCCCAATTAAAAGACACAGACTGGCAAATTGGATAAACGGTGAAGACTCATCAGTGTGATGTATTCAAGAGACCCATCTCATGGGCAAAGGCACACATAGGCTCAAAATAAAGGGATAGAGGAATATTTACTAAGCAAATGCAAAGCAAAAAAAAAAAAAAAAAAAAAAAGAAGCAGGGGTTTCAATCCTAGTCTCTGATAAAACAGACTTTAAACCAATAAAGATTAAAAAAAGACAAAGAAGGGCATTACATAATGGTAAAGGGATCAATGGAACAAGAAGAACTAACTATCCTAAATATATATGCACCCAATACAGGAGCACCCAGATTCATAAAGAAAGCTCATAGAGACCTACAAAGAGACTTAGACTCACACACAATAATAGTGGGCGACTTCAACACCCCACTGTCGATTTTAGACAGATCAATGAGACAGAAAATTAACAAGGATATTCAGGACTTGAACTCAGCTCTGGACCAAGTGGACCTAACAGACATCTACAGAATTCTCCACCCCAAATCAACAGAATATACATTCTTCTCAGCAACACACCACACTTATTCTAAAATTGACCACATAATTGGAAGTAAAACACTCCTTAGCAAATGCAAAAGAACAGAAATCATAACAAACAGTCTCTCAGACCAGAGTGCAATCAAATTAGAACTCAAGATTAAGAAACTCACTCAAAACCATATAACTACATGGAAACTGAACAACCTGCTCCTGAATAACTACTGGGTAAAAAACGAAATTAAGGCAGAAATAAATAAGTTCTTTGAAACCAGTGAGAACAAAGACACAACATACCAGAATCTCTGGGACACAGCTGAAGCAGTGTTTACAGGGAAATTTATAGCATTAAATGCCCACAAGAGGAAGTGGGAAAGATCTAAAATCGACACCCTAACATCACAATTAAAATAACTAGAAAAGCAAGAGCAAACAAATTCAAAAGCCAGCAGAAGACAACGAATAACTAAGATCAGAACAGAACTGAAGGAGATAGAGACACGAAAAATCCTTCAAAAACTCAATGAATTCAGGCGCTGGTTTTTTGAAAAGATTGACAAAATAGATAGCTCGCTAGCCAGACTAATAAAGAAGAAAAGAGAGAAGAATCAAATAGACACAATAAAAGATGATAAAGGGGGTATCACCACTGTTCCCACAGAAGTACAAACTATCATCAAAGAATAGTGTAAACACCTTTATGCAAATAAACTGGAAAATCTAGAAGAAATAGATAAATTCCCGGAAACATATACCCTCCCAAGATTAAACCAGGAAGAAGTCGAATCCCTGAATAGATCAATAACAAATTCTGAAATTGAGACAGCCAAATTCTATGAGAGGTACAGAGGAGCTGGTACTGTTCCTTCTGAAACTATTCCAAACAATAGAAAAAGAGGGAATCCTCTCTAACCCATTTTATGAGGCCAGCATTATCCTGATACCAAAACCTGACAGAGACACAACAAAAAAAAGAAAATTTCAGGCCAATATCCCTGATGAACATTGATATGCAAATTCTCAATAAAATACTGGCAAATAGAATCCAGCAGCACATCAAAAAGCTTATCCACCACAATCAAGTTGGCTTCATTCCTGGGATGCAAGGCTGGTTCCACATATGCAAATCAATAAACGTATACCATCACATAAACACAACCTATGACAAAAAACACATTATTATCTCAATACATACAGAAAAGACCTTCGATAAAATTCAACACCACTTCATGCTAAAAACTCTCAATAAACTAGGTATTGATGGAACATATCTCAAAATAATAAGAGCTATTTATGAGAAACCCACAGCCAATATCATATTGAATGGGCAGAAGGTGGAAGCATTGCCTTTGAAAACCAGCACAAGACAAGGATGCCCTCTCTCACCACTCCTATTTAACATAGTATTGGAAGTTCTGGCCAGGGCAATCAGGCAAGATAAAGAAATAAAGGGTATTCAAATAGGAAGAGAGGAAGTCAAATTGTCTCTGTTTGCAGATGACATGATTGTATATTTAGAAAACCCCATCATCTCAGCTCAAAATCTCCTTAAACTGTTAAGCAACTTCAGCAAGGTCTCAGGATACAAAATCAATGTGCAAAAATCACAAGCATTCCTATACACCAATAATAGACAGAGAGCCAAATCATGAGTGAACTCGCATTCACAATTACTATAAAGAGAATAAAATCCCTAGGAATACAACTTACAAGGGATGAGAAGGACCTCTTCAAGGAGAACTACAAACCACTGCTCAAGGAAATAAGAGATAGCACAAACAAATGGAAAAACATTCCATGCTCATGGATAGAAAGAATCAATATAATGAAAACGGCCATACTGCCCAAAGTAATTTATACATTCAATGCTATCCCCATCAAGCTACCATTGACTTTCTTCACAGAATTAGAAAAAACTACTTTAAATTTCATATGGAACCAGAAAAGAGCCCTTATAACCAAGACAATCCTAAGCAAATGAACAAAGCTGGCATCACGCTACCTGACTTCAAACTGTGCTTCAAGGCTACAGTAACCAAAACAGCATGGTACTGGTACCAAAACAGATATATAGACCAGTGGAACAGAAGAGTGGCCTCAGAAATAATACCACACATCTACAACCATCTGATCTTTGACAAACTGACAAAAACAAGCAACAGGGAAAGAATTCCCTATTTAATAAATGGTGGTGGGAAAACTGGCTAGCCATATGCAGAAAACTGAAATTGGATCCCTTCCTTACACCTTATAGAAAAATTAACTCAAGATGGATTAAAGACTTAAATGTAAAACCTGAAACCATAAAAACCCTAGAAGAAAACCTAGGCAATACCATTCAGGACATAGGCATGGGCAAAGACTTCATGACTAAAACACCAAAAGCAATGGCAACACAAGCTCAAGTTGAGAAATGGGATCTCAGTAAAGTAAAGAGCTTCTGCACAGCAAAAGAAACTAGCATCAGAGTGAACAGGCAACCTACAGAATTGGAGAAAATTTTTGCAATCTACCCATCAGACAAAGAGCTAAT
The DNA here is from genome assembly GCF_000001405.40 of Homo sapiens. NCBI lineage: Eukaryota > Metazoa > Chordata > Mammalia > Primates > Hominidae > Homo > Homo sapiens. The sequence continues at coordinate 95,802,439 of NC_000001.11, forward strand.
ACACAGAATCTATGAAGAACTTAAACAAATTTACAAGAAAAAAATTAACAACCCCATCAAAAAGTAGGGAAAGGGCATGAACAGACACCTCTCAAAAGAAGACCAACACATGTTTGTTATGTTGGTCTATAACAAACCAACAAACCAACAAACCAACATATGTTTGTTATGAGGCCAACAAACATATGAAAAAAATCTCATCATCACTGGTCATTAGAGAAATGCAAATCAAAACCACAGTAAGATACCATCTCACGCCAGTTAGAATGGCAACATTAAAAAGTCAGGAAACAACAGATCCTGGTGAGGATGTGGAGAAATAGGAACACTTTTACACTGTGGTGGGATTGTAAATTAGTTCAACCATTGTGGAAGACAGTGTGGTGATTCCTCAAGGATCTAGAATCAGAAATACCATTTGACCCGGCAATCCCATTACTGGGTGTATACCCAAAGGATTATAAATCATTCCACTATAAAGACACATGCACAAGCATGTTTATTGCAGCACTGTTCACAACAGCAAAGACTTGGAACCAACTCAAATGCCCATCAATGAAGGACTGGGGAAAGAAAATGGGGCAAATATACACCATGGAATACTATGCAGCCATAAAAAAGGATGAGTTCATGTCCTTTGCAGGGACATGGATGAAGGTGGAAACCATCACTCTCAGCAATCTAACACAGGAACAGAAAACCAAACACTGCATGTTCTCCCTCATAAGTGGGAGTTGAACAATGAGAACACGTGGACACAGGGAGGGAAACATCACACACCGGGGCCTGTGATGGGGTGGGGGAGTAGACGAGGGATAGCATTAGCAGAAATAACTAATGTAGATGACGGGTTGATGGGTGCAGCAAACCACCATGGCACCTGTATAACTATGTAACAAACCTGCACGTCCTGCATATTTATCCCATAACTTAAAGTATATATAAAAAAGAACAAGAAAATGCAACAAAATCTCAGATTATTAAATTATTTTCCTTGAAATTAACATTTTAATTCACCGTGAGCTTTAGCAATGAGAAAGAATAAAATATGTGATAAGCATAATGGCAAGTTTTGGTTTGCTGATTTCCAGTGAAAATAATGAAAATGAACAATTATAGTCAAAAGCTTAATTAGATCTTAGCTACAAGTCATCTTTTCATACACTCTACGTGTTAGATGGAGGTAGTGCTGCACCTAAGTGAGTGCTCCATCTAAGCTCTATCTGAGCATGTAACTCAGCAAGGTGAAGGGACTACTGCTTTCCAGCTAGTTAGCAGAAGGGCTGGCTAGGATGAAAGCTCAAAAAATAATGGCCGATAGTTCACTAGCCATTATATTTCTTACCACCTAACACTATTTCTCCAGTAGAGACCGCAAACTGTTTAATCCTTTTCTT